>NC_000001.11:98303835-99553835 GCF_000001405.40 Homo sapiens
GAGTGACCATTTTTACTTCTTTACCAAGGCATTCTTAAGTGACACTGGCTCCCCACTCTCCTTGGAAGTGCCTGGGAGAATGCAATCACTACTAGTACAGTTCAGAGCAGCAGCCTCAATTTGTTCATGCTAATGTGCTTCCTTCCGTTGCTTCTGCACAACAGTGTAAATAGTGACATGGCTTTTTCTAGAACAAACCATGAGATTAGAAAAATGTATTCAACTCTGAATATTTCACAAATGGTATAAATATCACTTCACAAATGGTATAAATTAAAATGCAATAAATTTTCTTCAATGATTAGTTGGTGCTGATATTAGATGCCTACAAGCAAAACAATAACCTAACAAATCTGAGGGTTGGTCTGCTCATAAGGCAAAAGTACAAATCTCAGAGGAGAAATAAACTCAGTCCTCATGTTTGCACCTAAGTCTTTACTTCAACAAACTACTGTACTGTTGGAATGTGACAGTGCCACAATTTCTTTCACTGACTTTCTTTTTCTTTTCTTTTCTTTTTTCTTTCTTTCTTTCTTTTTTTTTTTTTTTTGAGACAGATTCTCCCTCTGTTGCCCAGGCTGGAGTGCAGTGGCTCTATCTTGGCTCACTTCAACCTCCGCCTCCTGGGTTCAAGCAATTCTTCTGCCTCAGCCTCCTGAGTAGCTGGGATTACAGACACCTTACACCATGCCTGGCTAATTTTTGTATTTTTAGTAGAGATGGGGTTTCACCATATTGGTTAGGCTGGTCTTGAACCCCTGACCTCTAGTGATCTGCCTGCCTCGGCCTCCCAAAATGCTGGGATTGCAGGTGTGGGCCACATCACCTAGCCCTCTTTTACTGACTTTTCATCCAGAGATCTTCAGCAATGTCCACTCTACAGGGCTTTGTTAGTCTTTCAACGATTGTATGTGTGTCTCCATCCAATACAAAATATAACTTAATCTGTAAAGTGTTTTAGTGGATTTTTCATTTCTGGTCTGAAAAGTAGTGAGCAATTTTTGGCTTTTAAAGAGTTTATCTTACCTACATATAAAATATTCAATTCCTTTTCCTTTAAACTCTGATTGATTCTGCTCAAAATGGTGCCACAACTTTACTAGCACCAAATATTATTCCAAAAGTTCTGTTGCATAAAACACATCAGTAATGCTGAGGAAAAGATAGCTTTTGTCATAGTTTTATTTCTTATTTACAGTTTTGCTCCATTTCTTTGCAGTACATTCCTCTCTTCTGTGAGTCAGAGAACTCTCTGATATGTCAGTTTCATCTTTTTAGCATCCTTAGACCTCACTAGCACAGCTATGGGTTAAGAAAGCAAGTCTTTAAATCTCCCTTTAAAAGTCAATGATCTATCCTAAAATATAACAAAAATATATTATAAATAAGTGTTTTAAATTTTAGAACAGAATATTATTTCACTGTAAGACAGTAACATTTTTGAAAAAGAATAATTTTGAAAAGTTTTCAAAACTAAAAAATATTAATGCAAAACAAGACATGAAAGCAATTTTAGTTCTTTGTTTCTGCATAGGTGCAAGGAAAACTTCAGGGTTTCAAAATAATAGTTTGTTGAAAGGTAATGGGTTTACAAAAATTATAGCAGATATAACAAAAAATAATTAGTAAGAGTGCAGTAAAAGTGCTGATATGAGTTAATCTTTGAAAATGCAGATATCTATACATTAAGATTATGACGTTAGTAAATACAAATATGCATATAGTCATCTGAGAAATGACATCATAGTTTACATAGCCTCTGGAAGGCTCCACTGTGAACATACGCTGTGAGAGAAAGTGGGTAAAAGATAAATAGCTTTTTAGTATTACTTCTGAAAACAGTTTTGACCTTTGGGACCCCCTGAAAGAGCTACAAGAACCTTCAGGGGTCTTCAGATCACATTCTGTGTACTGCTGATTTGATGGATGTTCTCTAAATTCTCTTAGGATTAAAATAAAAATCTTTAACATACTTGACACAACCCTCAAAGATTTCACCTCTCTGTGCAGCTCTACCCTCACCTCAAACCTGCCCAGCTGCCTGGACTCCATATCAAATTCTCTTCTTCCAGGGCATGACTACCAGCCTCACTCTGCCTGAAATTCTGTATGGGCTCACACATTACCCAACCCCATCAAGTTGACTGCTTAGCTTCCTTCAGTTACTTCGGCTTTTTAAAATTCACATCTCTAAGTCCAAAAAGGGCTTTGTGCTCACCATAACTAAGTTATTGTTTTCAGATCCATCTAGGCTTTTCTTGTTATGATGAATGATAATTTAGCTCTCTTACACATTCCCACATCACCCACTCTCCTCTGGAGTTTTGTACTCTAATAATTTTTAGGTAAAACAATAGTTTATATTATTTTGATTATATAAATATTACTGCAGAGAAAATAATGTGTTAAGAATCTATGTCATTTCTTTTACATTTTTTCCTGCAATTATGAAATGTCTTATTTTTCACATGTGCACTATACTATATATATTTGAACATTTAAAATTACTTTATATATGCTGTCATACATTATCGCTATTTTTCCAAATGCTCAAAAATACCAAAATATGTTAATCTCACTTTTCCCTTTAAAAATCTTTCATTTTACTCAAATCTGTATTAATTATAGATTTTAAAATCTTTCTAAAATTATTTTTATCTGTGTCTGTGTTAATTACAGGTTAATTTTTAGGCATGCCACACAGTTGTCATCCTAGCTTCTTTTCACTTTTATCCAATAAAGGTGGATAAAGTACACTACTCTAACAGCTTTCTAAGAAAGGGCATGTAAGAGGTAGATACAGAGTCCTTGATGTCAGGAGATGTCCTTGTCTAGTCTGATTCTGGACTGATAGACTGCTGTCTTTTAGGAAGTGGTAGAGGGAGTGATAATATGGTGTTTCCTGTTGATATGCAGATTTTCATTTGACCCTTCTGCCAACCTGAAATTTTACCCTTACTGTTTACCACATCTAGTGTCCCTAAATTCTGAACATCTTGTTTCAATTTATCTGGAAAATTTACCTCCTCCCTTTTGTGGGTGTGTTGGGCAGGGAAGGATGGTTATCACTCAGCAAATCACTATCTGGTGTGAAGAAGGAAGCTTGCTATCTGATTCTCCAGTATATAGGCTTTCAATACTTTCCCCCTTCTAAACCCACACCTTAATCCCAGTTTGCTTTACCTGGTGCCTCAAAGTCTTGAAGCTTTCAGGGGTTCAAAGCTCATGTCCCCTTAGCTTGCATTACCCTGTAGTCTGCTTTGCCCTGTTGAAGCAGTAGTTACTTCTCTACTTATTTTCTGCTTTCTAAAACTTCTTTTGAAATAGCTTGACGGACTGCTGATTTTCTTTGTGATATAATGTGTTAAATCAAAATATATATATATTGTTCTTTCATTTTGGGTCTTGGGAAAGAGAAAAGATGAATTAATCTGGTGAATCTGGCATCTTTCCTAAAGAATACTGTCCGTGAAAAGCATTTCTGAGGTACACCTAATATGTAGGTCAAACACAGAATGAGCAGTTGTCCTCATTTGCTTAGGGCTAAGGGGTTTCCTAGGATGTGGGACTTCCATTGTGATGACTGGTAAAGACCAAGGCAAACAAAAACTATTGGTCACTCTAGAATAGCTTCCTATTATGGCATACTTAGAAGTAGTGCATCCTTCTGAGTGGGAAGCACTTCTGTTATCTCCAGTGGGTTCAAGTATCATTCACAAATATTTATTGGGCATCTACTATGCGTAATGCACTAAGCCAGGCAATTCAGAAGGAACATAAGTCAGGTTATCAACCCCATAAACTGTTAGGATCTTTTTTTCTTTACTTGTCTTTCTTTTTTGACATCAGTAAAGGTACATCACTTAGGATAAAGACACAAATCCTAGAAAATAATCTGCCATCTGTCTCACTATGACAGATTTTGTCCTTGAAAGTTATGTTGTAAGTGTGTGTGTGTATTTCCTACTTTTCTCTTTTTAAAAATTAAACCCTACTAATTGTTACGTTTGATTGTCACAGATGCTGGATTTTGTGGTCACGTCATGAGCATTAAAAATTCAACCAGCAGACATTGTCTAATTCAGAAGAGTAATATCGCTGTCATAGTTCTAGGGGTAGCTGTAATCTACAGAGAAACAAGCCCAGTGCTATAGGCATAACAAAAAAGATAAATAAATAAGCAATACAATTATCACACCAAAAAATAATAATTCCTTAATATTATCAAATATTAATTTTGCTAATAATGAACACTTTTTAACTTGTCTTTTACTTGCCATCTCTGTTGCTTTTTAATATCTTGGAACCTTCTCTTTCCATGGCTTGTAAAAAAATTTCTATATCCCACCCAATACTACCAGTTAGGTCAGGCCATTTGGGGCACTTTTCCCTTGTCTTCATGCACTAGAGGCTACTCTTTGGGCCCCTTTTTTGATGTGTCCTTCTCAACAGGTGAAGAGTCTCAGGACCAAAGAGACACACCTATCTTGAGCTTTCCTCCTACCCTCAGAATGTGCTCCAAGTACTTGTGCCACCAAATGGCTCTGAGCCTGCTTCTAGGACAAAACTATCCTCTTCTTTGAATCTGTTCTACTTGGGCAACTGTGCTACCAAAATGCATATTTCCTTGGCCTAAACTGTGGCAAAGAGTGGCATTTGCAAGAGAAGGGATTGTAATGGAACTTGGGTTTACAGACTGGGTTGTCCACTATCCACATAACATGCACAAATGGCAGGATGGATTCAGGGATGAGAAGAGAAAAGGGTCGAATCTTGTATAGACCCATTTTGTGCTTTTGTCCTGGGCCCTGCAAATGTTAGAGGTGGGTCATTCTTACCGCTACTTCTATTTATCTCTTAACAGCTCCCTTTTCTCCAAATAAAAAAAAAAAACAAAAAAACAAAAACAAAAACAAAAAACCATACGTTACTATTCCTAGGATTATATATTTGACTATTTTCTCACTAATAAATTATTGCCTAATCCTTCTGTATTAGTCCATTTTCACACTGCTCTAAAGAAATATCTGAGACTGGGAAATTTATAAAGGAAAAAGATTTAATTGGCTCAGTTCTGCATGGCTGGGGAGGCCACAGGAAACTTACAATCATGGTGGAAGGTGAAGGGAAAGCAAAGATATTTTTCACATGGCAGCAGGAGAGAGAGAGCAAGCAAGAGCAGGGAAAACTGCCTTATAAAACCATCAGATCTTGTGAGAACTCACTTACTAACACAAGAACAGCATGGGGGAAACTGCCCTCATGATCCAATCACCTCACATCTTGTCCCTCTCTCACACATGGGGATTACAATTCAAAATGAGATTTGGGTGGGGACATGAAGCCAAACCATTTCACCATCTACACCTACATATCAATGATTCTGAGAACTAAATTTGCACTAGACTGTAACATTCAAACACTTTAAATAAATTTGTTTTCTATGCCTATGCCTGTATTTAGGATCCCATGATTACCTCAAAATTAACTTTCTTATAATAGAACATGCTACCCCCACCTCCATATCTGATTTTCTACCTAGGTTCTCTACCTTGTCTAACTAGAAACATGAAAATGTCTTTCTTATCTCCCCTCTTCTTTCATTCATATTTACTCATTATCCAAATCCTGTGCATTGTATTTTTTTTTAGATGGAATCTTGCTCTGTCACCAGGCTGCAGTGCAGTAGTGCAATCTCTGCTCACAATTCTCCTGCCTCAGCCTCCCCAGTAGCTGGGACTATGGGCGTGCACCACCACACCCAGATAATTTTTGTACTTTTAATAGAGATGGGGTTTCACCATGTTGGCCAGGATGGTCTCAATCTCCTGACCTTGTGATCCGCCTGCCTCAGCCTCACACAGTGTTGGGATTACAGGCGTGAGCCACTGAACCTGGCGCATTGTAATATTTTAATCTCCATCAAATGTGTCCACTCTCCTAACTTTATGGGCTTATACGTTCATTGCCTCTTAGTGAATTCAGGATCTAATTGTTTAATTAACTGACTGACTTATACGTGCTCATAGCAGACCTTATTTTAATTTCCTTTCCTGAAAACTACTCTCCATACTGTTATGACTAACAAAAATCCATTAGCATCTCATTATTGCTTTCAAAATGACACTGAAACTTATCACCATTGTATATGTACTCTAGACCCCATCCTAGTTCTCCAAGTCATTTTCTCAGTGTGTATTCTTTGCTCTTCTAATACAGAACTGGTTACAACCACCACTCTCTGTAAAGTCTCCATGCTTCCACACACTTTTCTATTGCTACTTCTGGCTAACATTTTCTCAACCTTTGAAGACATAGCTAGGTGCATCTTTATCCCTCCTCCCATGGTGCTTCCCTGGCTTGCTGTGCCGCTCTTTCATAGAACCTACCACACAGTGGTGAAAAGTGTTTTGCCAAATGTCTCCCCATGTAGACTGTGTTCTCTTGAAGGGCAAGGATTCTGTACTGCTGATCTTCATTTTCTCATAATCTGGTATAGTTCCATTTCTGTAATTAAAGAGTAATCTATAAGTGAATAAGCAAAATGAAAAAAATCACAGGCTGGTTGTAAATTGAGATTTTGCACTTAGGTAGACTTCCATTAAAATAAAAACTCTGGCACTTGTATTCAGAAAACAAGCAATAACAAATGCTGATGAGGATGTGGAGAAAAGGGAACCCTCATAGACTGTTAGTGGGAATGTAAATTAGTACAACCACTATGGAGGACAGTTTGGAGGAGCTTCCTCAAAAAAACTAAAAGTAGAGATATCATATGATCCAGCAGTCCCACTGCTGGGTTTATGCCCCAAAGAAAGGAAATCAGTACATGGAAGAGATATCTACCCTCCCATGTTTGTTGCAGCACTATTCACAATAGTTAAGATTTGGAAGCAACCTAAGT
This sequence comes from Homo sapiens, assembly GCF_000001405.40. NCBI lineage: Eukaryota > Metazoa > Chordata > Mammalia > Primates > Hominidae > Homo > Homo sapiens. The sequence goes on from NC_000001.11 coordinate 98,310,740, forward strand.
GTCCATCAACAAATGAATGGGTAAAGAAAAATGTGGTACGTATACACAATGGAGTACTATCTAGTCATAAAATAGAATGAGATCCTGTCATTTGCAACAACATGGATGAAACTGGAAAGCATTATGTTAAATGAAATAAGCCAGGCACAGAAAGATAAACATTGCATGTTCTCACTTATTTGTGAGAATCTAAAAATCAAAACAATTGAGCTTATGGACATAGAGAGTAAAAGGATGGTTACCAGAGGCTGGGAAGGGTAGTGGAAGGGTCAGGTGGGGGATGTGGAGATGGTTAATTGGTACAAAAAATAGATTGAAAGACCTAACATTTGAAGCACAACAGGGTGAGTATAGTCAATAATAACTTAATTGTACATTTTAAATAACTAAAAGAGTGTAATTGGATTGTTTGCACAACAAAGGATAAATAGTTGAGGAGATGGATACCCACTCTCCATGGTGTGATTATTATGCATTGCAGGCCTATAACAAAACCCCTCATGTACCCCATAAATATATATACCTTCTCTGTACCCCCAGAAATTAAAATTAAAAAATTTAAAAAGATTAACCATTTGTCTACAAATAATTCCCCAGTTTGTCAAATATCTAGAATTTTATTTCATGATAACTTATAGAAAACAGGTTTTAGATTTTTAAGAAATTAAATCTACTTTTTTTAAAATTCTGGTATTCTTAGCTGTGTGATTTGGAGCAAATGCCTTAATCTGTCAGAGACTCAGTTACCTCATCGCTAAACGAAAGTTGAAATGAAGATTAAATATGTTAGTGAGACTTAACTGATGCATATATCTTCCTTTTTGAAATGAATGAAAGAAAAAGTTAAAATGATTTCAGTGTTTTGGGGTCTACAAAAATGGAAGAATTGTTGCTAATTCTATGACAGCTGTGAACTAAGCACCTCAATTTTGATAATCTTCTAAATTACTCCAAAAACTTTATAGAGTGCTGGGTTCTGTGATATCAGTGAAACTGGTATATTTCAAGCAATTGTCTTATTTACTTAGGCTTAAACCTCTGGCTTAGTTAGACTTAAAATTATTGATGACTATAAGTGAGACAGTTGAATACTAATAGTGATAATGTCATTAATAATAAGATGAATGTAACACTTCTATTTAAAATATTTTTAAAATTCCGTTTGAGGCACATTGAGAAACTGTTTCCAATCATGTAGTGCTTCGGGCAGTTGCAAATGTTAGCTTCAGACAGATTTACTTGATGGTCAGTAATAGAAGGGAAAGGTGGTTCATAATATAGCAAAAGTTACCTTCAGTGATAAGCTCTGCAAATAAGATTACCCTTTCAGTGTGTTTGAAAAGGGTTTTCTAGCACATTTAGATGTTTCTAGTTTCCTATCCTCAGACATAGCAATCACTATCAGTAGCACTCTCTTCAAATACAAAGGACAGTGATGCCTGTAATCATGTTTCTGAAAAAATTCAGGTCATGCTTAGATTTATTTGGCTGTATACATTCAAAGGAAACTTCCTTTGGTGTTTTTTTTTTCACCTCTAAGGAACATCTACTTAAATAAGCCTTTTACTAAGAGTTTAGTTCTTACAGCTATTCTTAACCTTTGATATGTAGCCACAAAATCAAAGGACTTTGGAAATCGGGGGGAACCTCATTGGGAATTTAGTGCTTATGTGAATGAGGAAATTGAATTGAAGCTCCAGAATTTTATGAAACTTGCTATAGGTTGCACAGTTGGTAGCAAGTCAGCATCAAAACCTGGTTTTCCTGACTTTCAATTTGATATGACTGGGCTGACTTTGACTCCAAAATGTTTTGGGAGTTTCAAGTGGATGAATAGAGAAAGGGGATACTTGTCTCAGTGGGCATTTTAAAAAGACTCTGAACAGCTAGATATTTTCTAGAGATCAACAGTCCAAGTCATCAGGGCAAGGCCAATAGCCAATTTTTATAAATTCTAGGCTAGAGGTGTTCTCCAAAGGAGGCGAATCTGAGAAGGGAGGGTAGGACACAATTGTTGGATTTCTGGTGAATGGCAGATTTCAGCATCACATTGGGATTTGAATAGCTACAAGGACACCAGAAACAAATACCAAATTTGAGAAAAGGACCTAGGGCTGGGCTTCTCTTCTAGTATAGATTGGTTTGATTATCAGAAGATTGAGGTCTATAAGAAGATATTAGATAGACTATAAAAGTGTGATGGATATTACTTTGATGACCACAGCCACATAATCCAGGGCCATCAGGGCTCTGTTCAACCCTGGGCACAAAAGGGATGGAGGAAAGTGGGGGAATTTCCCAACCATAATAACCATTGTTACTGGAAGGTGGTCCCTACATACTGTTGGGCAGAGTCTCCAGAATACAAGAACTGAGCAGAGCTGAACTTTCAGGTGCTAGACTCCAGGCCAGACCCTTGGCCAACCTGTGTATGGAAAGAGCAGGCGGCAGTAACAAGATCCTGAACTCCTTCCTTCCTTTCAGACTGCCCATGAAAAATGTGCATACCACTAAAGGCCCTTGTCTCTTTCTGTGTGTAAACATATGGCACTCTTCTAGAAATGCAGGTGGCTTTTCCAGAGAAAGTGACAGAGTTGGGAGGTAGGAGCATGTTATTTCCTCTGAATTTAGGTTGCTGCATACACAGTAGCTTGAACTATAAATTTCATATTAAATAAATCATTTTGTAATACGATTCACCACTATCATTTTCAGAAATAAATTTACCATATTAGACTATGACTTAATTCCTCTAAACTGGCATCATATGAACCTTGAACCCCATAATGCATGCCCTTCACAAATTCATATGGCCCCCAAGTTGATTCAAACTCTCTGGGGAATAAAATCCACTGTGTGTTACTTGCTTATGAACTCTAGGCCAAAGCATAAAGTAACTTTCAGAATCTAGTTACTTGGCCTAGTGGCTTTGAGTGTAAGTTTATTATGCTATCACCAACATGTTTATGATCAGTTTTAGCTAGTGCAGGCTATAAAGTACTTTTCCCTTGACCCAGTCAGTTAATTTTAAAATGTCTTGGGCCAAAACTCTCTGTGGAAAACAAGCTTCTGGTATCCCTAGGTAAATTTGTGGTTTACTTCTCTTTTGTTTTGTGCTATTTCACTCTATAAACAATGAGAGTGACTTTTTAAATATATATAGTTTTTCTATTTCCTAATTTTTAAAGAATTTGGCACTTTAGATATAAAGAATCCAAAATGTGCTGCTTAACCTTTTGTTTGGAATCAACATGAACTTACTCTTTATTTGAGAATCCCTTAAAAATAAAGTATCCTTCTCAGAGATCCTTTCACTATGACCATTTTTCTAAGTTACAGATACAAAGAACAAGAGCTTTATAATTACTTACCATCTGGTGACTAGTTCCTCCTGAAATGCCTTCCACCCATCCATATTTTAATGTCTTTTTCTTTCAATCATGTGTAATACCTCAGCCAAATATATTGGTTTATCAGTTATTTTCCCAGCTTCTCTGGGCGGCATTTGTTGTATGAATATTCATTCTTTTTCCTTCTAGGCCTTCCTCTCTTGCTGATGACAGCTCCACAGTTGCTGAAACACTAGGTCTATACTTCATAGGCAGCACAAAAGGTTTCTGGACTTAAGGTTCCTGATCTGTGTGACTCTCTCTATGTGAGAATCTGAAAGCTCATTCTATTGTTGTTGCTATAAATTGGAAAAACACCAAATGTGGACATTAACCTAGCTTTAGAAGCCAAATTGACAGGTATATCCTAAAGGGAAATAATGTCTAAAACCTTTTGCTAACTTTAAATATCTATTTATTTATTATCTATCTATCTATCATGTATCTCTCAAAACAAAGCTTACACATACACATGATTATAAATACATAAACCACAGCCACTGAAAATAAAAATTTAAGCCCCAGAGATGCCTTTTTGTGACTCATATACATAATTATTGCTTCTTATATTTGTAGGCACAGGGTCAAGGCACAATTGTAAAGATAATTTTAGCCCTTGCTTTCAGCTAACAGCCACCTGCTATCATTTCAGAGTGTGCAATGAGCCTGTGCCATGGCCAACTGTGGCTGTGTGGTTCCATGGCAGGTTGTGGTGTTTTGGGTACATAATGAGACATGAGTGGAAGTCTCCGAATTCTAGTTTAATGCAGAGCTGCCAGTCACTCATCAATCTGCAGGGTCTTATTTTAAGAACAAGTGGATGAATAAAAGGATATATTAAATAAGGTGTTTTTTCCCTTTAAAAAAATACAGTTGCTAACATAGATAAGTGAATTTGGCAGCACATTGGACTTGGCATCAAGCAAAAATTTTCATTGTAAGATTTACACCTGACAAAAATTTCATTTAAATTTTTTGAGTTTCATGTCTTTAAAAGGAAAACTCAATCTGTATATCTCTATTTTAAAAAATTTAAGAGATATTGATTCCCTTCTCCTTTTATTCTACAAATATTTATGGAACTCCTACTGTATAGTTACCATTCCATCAGAAATAAGTGGAAAGGCATTTAGAATATCCTTTAAGATCTAGAGCTTATCAAATGTGGATGAGGTCTCTCTATGATCCAACTGTCATTTTGCTGCCAAAGAGAAAAGTGAGGTGATTCCAGCTATTTCACCTGTGTCACTTTTACTTGTCATGATCTTTTTCTACTATTTTAAATCAGTGGTTTTAAAAAAATGTTAAAAGCATAATATTAAGATTGGCAATGTTTCTAGTAAATTGTTTCTAAATTCAGCTATACAAATGTGACTCATCAGAGGGGGGACAAGTGCCAAATACCAAACAGAAGTTGTTGCTCATGTACAAACCTCACTACTGAATGTTTGTGTTTATTAAAAAAAAAAAATCCAAACATCTAATTTTAGTTTCCAGGGAAAAATAAAATGAGAACTTTATGTAAAAGTGGGTCAAATTTTCAGTTTTTTTAAAAATGCTTCATACTAAATGCTTTCGAAATTCAAAAGGAAGTAAAATGAAAGCAGCAGAAGTAACACAAATGTATTTTTATTTTATTTATTTATTTTTTTCGAGAAGGGGTCTCACTTTGTTTCCCAGGCTGGAGTGTACTGGCTCAATACAACCTCCACCTCCCTTGTTCAAGTGATTCTTCTGCCTCAACTCCCTTAGTAGCTGAGACTGCAGGCAAGCACCACAATACCCGGCTAATTTTTGTATTTTTAGTAGAGGCGGGGTTTTGCCATGTTGGCCAGGCTAGTCTCAAACTCCTTGCTTCAAGTGATCGGCCCGCCTCAGCCTCCCAAAGTGCTGCGATTACAGACATGAGCCACCGTACCCGGCTATAACAAAAATTTATAAATGACCAAACTGAATCAATAAGAAGACCGGAAATACAGTGTTTCCTTTTTCTATATTCTCCTCATATATGTTGATCTACACTGCACTCGAATTTTAAGGTGCATTCAATGGCTTGGAATAGAAACCCTCAATTTAAGGAAAGAAACAGAAGGCCAACTACACTATCACTTGGGAAAGTCAAGAGAGAGACTGGAAGTGTCTGCCAGGATCAAGGTCCTGCCTGCCCCGCACCAGCGTGCTGAGGTTGCAGCTTCCTCTATATCACAACCCTCTCTAAAAGAGGCAAATCTGTACATTAGTTTTTCCTCCTCAGTTCCAAAACTTTCACCCTAGAAACAGCCATGCCTGGTCTTCCCTGTGTACTGCTGCCAACTCCTTTCCCATTCATCTGAATGCAATAAAGGGTTTATGTCCTGAACATAAATATGACTCAGAAACTCCTTTATCTCCTTCAGATTGTGACTACTGATCTAGTGAACTTACAGTGAAGGAAAATTCTTTGAGCCTTACAGAATACTATACAATTCTACATATGCTTCTATTGTGGTAGAAATTGCCATTTGCCCAAGTACTTTTTATATAAATGCCCTCAAATTTCTAAGACAGTACAGTATGTTCCACCCACTTTAGTGACAGATGGAAGAGACATTTGGAATTGTAAAATGTCTTTATGAAGAGCAGATCCTTCTAGTGTTGTAGTTTTACCTCAAGATAATACAGTTTTCTCTACCCTAGTAACATGCTGAAAAATAAATCAATTTTTATTGAGCTCCCAAATGTTTATAGCACTTGTCCTTTTTTTACTTAGAAGCCCCCATGCTCTTTCAATGCACTTTTGTCCCAAGGCACTGTTTGTGGTCTACTACTATTGTTTTTCTAGGTTTTGCTTCAGAGCTCTCATTTCATTTCAAATCTATCTTCGTTTTTGTTATTCTTTTAACACAGCCAACACTTCTTACTGTCTGAGGATGTTTGCATTTGAGTGTCACAGATTTAACCCAAACAAAACCTGTCAAAAACAAAATCATCATTTTCCTGTCTATTCATACTCTAATAGTCCCTTATAGCTTTTGCCCGCTTATCATAAGATATATATATATAGATATATATATATACATACACACACACATACACACACACACACACACACATACATGTATGTATATGTATATACTCTAATTTGAATTCAAATTCTCCTTTCTTCAAGCCAGTTACCAAGTCCTGTAGATGTATTGCTTATATTCCACCCCCTCTTTTTTTTTTTTTTTTTTTTTGAGACGGAGTCTCGCTCTGTTGCCCAGGCCAGACTGCGGACTGCAGTGGCGCAATCTCGGCTCACTGCAAGCTCCGCTTCCCGGGTTCACGCCATTCTCCTGCCTCAGCCTCCCGAGTAGCTGGGACTACAGGCGCCCGCCACCGCGCCCGGCTAATTTTTTGTATTTTTAGTAGAGACGGGGTTTCACCTTGTTAGCCAGGATGGTCTCGATCTCCTGACCTCATGATCCACCCGCCTCGGCCTCCCAAAGTGCTGGGATTACAGGCGTGAGCCACCGCGCCCGGCCCTCCACCCCCTCTTTTTCCCATGTTTAACAACTGCCACTTTAGTGAAGGCCCTTACCGGTTCAGACCTGGAAAACTGCAAAACCTCCAATGTACTCTTCCTGATCCTTAACGCCTGGTACACTGCTTTCGGATTAATCTTTTTAACATACAATTTCCATGATATCACTATAGTGCTCTAAAATATTTAGAGGTTCTCCATTACTTAAAGAACAAAATGCAAATGCTTTACCTGCTTAAGAGATCTGACTCCTACTTTTGCTACCTCTTCTTCCACCATCATGTCCAATGAATGTGAAAGTCATGCAGGATAGTGGAAGAAGCATTAGAGTAGGAATTAAAAGAAGTGGATTATATTATTTACTCAGTCTCTAACTGGTTTGTAATCATTGTCAAATAATATAACTTATCTGATATTCAGACTTATTCATAATATGAAAGGATGGACCAAGAATAATGATGATAGTACATGTAATTCCTCCTCAGTCTTAAATTCTATGATAGAAAGAGTTACAATTCTACCCATTATTCTAAGAATCCCTTATTTATTCTACCTTTACAGTGTTTTGTCCACACTTTATACCATAGCACCTGCCACTTTCTTCACTTGAAATGTCTATTTCCTATCTGAATAATGCCTCTCTTTTAAGGTCTGTCTTAAGTTTTAGTATATCCATATGAAAGCTCTCTAGATTACCACAATGGACCCTCCATTTCCTGAACTTTGCCATGTTTTTAGCACTTATTTTTCATAGCACTGGTTTTCCACCCCTATATCTCTTTTAATATACATGACAGATAATATTTAACATGTTTCCATATCTTTACCACTCCCTAGTATATCTTGACAATTATATTTTGGTATTTTATGCTATTTGATTATTATACCCAGTATCTATGTAAAGCCCAAAGGATTATTTAATAAATCTCTCAGTCACCAGGGTTACTTGTTTTCGTAGACAATAAATTTGATCATAGTTGGCCTCAGCCATAGCTCTCTATCCAGTTGCACTGCTTTTGTTCTTCTCTCTTTTAGGTGGGCTTGAATTTGTGATAGTCAACATGTATTGCATCAGTAGTGACCGCTGGAGTTTTGTGTTAGGGAGGATTCTGAAGTTACCTCTGGGCTCAGAAAAATTCCCATGATAGATTAGCAGTTTCTCATCTGGCATGGAGGTGGGAAGGGGCACCATAATTGCCATTCCCGTACTAGGCTCTAGCCTTCAATGTTTTACTGTCCTAATATGTAGCATTGTCTAAAAGGCAATAGGATAACGTAGAAAGGGCTTTGGAACTAAAATCCTAAAGTCTGGCCTGGCTAATATACTAACCAGCCCTACCACCACCATTGCAAGACTTGGGTAACTAACAATTTTTTTTTTTTTTGTAATTTTCAGCTTCTTGATTGTAAAATGGAGATTTTGTGTACAACACTGGCCACCATATAAGATTACTGAGTATCACTTAAAATAATATTTGTGAAACTATTCTGTAAATCAAGGACATAAAATGTCAGGCATTACATCAACAGGCTAAAAATGAAAAAGCACACAATCATATCAGTAGATGCAGAAAAAACATTTGATAAAAGTAGGCACCTATTCATGATAAATACTTTCAGTAAACTAGGGTTAGAGGGCGCAATGGTTAATACTGAGTGTCAACTTGATTGGATTGAAGCATACAAAGTATTGATCCTGGGTGTGTCTGTGAGGGTGTTGCCAAAGGAGATTAACATTTGAGTCAGGGGGCTGGGAAAGGCAGACCCACCCTTAATCAGTGGGCACAATCTAATCAGCTGCCAGCCCAGCTAGAATGTAAGCAGGCAGAAAAATGTGAAAAGGGAGACTGGCCTAGCCTCCCAGCCTACATCTTTCTCCTGTGCTGGATGCTTCCTGCCCTTGAACATCAGACTCCAAGTTCTTCAGTTTTGAAACCCGGACTGGCTCTCCTTGCTCCTCAGCCTGCAGACGGCCTATTGTGGGAACCTGTGAGTTAATATTTAATAAGCTCATATATATATATATATATATATATATGTATCCATTCCATTAGTTCTGTCCCTTACCCTAATGAATACAGAGAGAAGCTTCCTTAGGTAGATTAAAATAAAACAACCTACAGATAACCTCATACTTAATGGTAAGAAACGAGAAGCTTTCCCAGTAAGATTAGGAATAAGGCAAAGATATCCCCTTCCCATCACTCCTTTTCAACGTCATACTAGATGTCCTAAAACAAGAAATGCACTAAAACAAGAAAAGGTGCATGCACTAAAACAAGAAAAGGTGCATGCACTAAAACAAGAAAAGGAAATAAAAGATATATGAATTGGGAAGAAAGAAATAAAACTCTTTTGGTCTTTGACACTATAATCTATGTAGGAAATGCAAAAGATTGGACAAAAAAACTCCTTGAACTAAAAAGCAATAATAGTAGGATTGCAGGATTCAAGGTTAATATAAAACTTCAATTGATTTTTTATACACCAGCAATGAACAAGTGGAATTTGAAATTAAAAACACAATACTATTTACACTAGCATCCCCAAAACTGAAATACTTACATATACATCTAACAAAAATATGTACAAGATCTATGTGAGGAAAACTATAAAGCTCTGATGAATGAAATCAAAGAACTACATGAATTGAGAGATAATCCATATTCATGGAAAGGAAGATTCAATATTATCAAAATGTCAGTTTTTCCCAACTCGATCTATAGCTTCAATGCCATCTCAATAAAAATTTCAGAAACTTATTTTGGAAATATTTGTAAACTGATTCTAAAGTTTATTTGGAGAGGTAAAAGACCCAGAATAGCCAGCGGAATATTGAAGGAGAAGAACAACATTGGTAGAACAACATGATCAATCTCAAAACTTACTATAAAGCTACATTAATCAAGTCAGTGTGGTACTGATGAAAAAATAAACAAATGAAAATACATCAATGAAACAGAATACGGAGATCAGAATTAGACCATCATAAATATTGTCAACTTATCTTTGACAAAGAAGCAAAGGCAATACAATGGAGCAAAGACAGTCTTTTCCACAAATGCTGCTGGATGAAAAACCAAAACCAAACAAACAAACAAACAAAAAACGAAAAAAGAAACAAAGAAAGAAATAGAAAAAGAAAAAAGAGAGAATCTGGCCACAGACCTTACATCTTTCACAAAAATTAAATCAAAATCGATCATAGACCTAAATATACAATGTAAAACTATAACACACCTAGAAGACAACAGAGGAGAAAACCTAGATGAACATGGATATGGTGATGACTTTTTAGAAACAATACCAAAGGTATAATCCATGAAAGGAAGAATTAATAAGATGGATTTCATTAAAATTAAAAGCTTCTGCTCTATGAAAGATGTCAAGAGAATGAGAAGTCAAGCCACAGGTTGGAAGATAATACAGTCAGGTATCACTTGACAATGGGGAAACATTCTGAGAAATGTGTCGTTAGGTGATTACGTTGTTGTGCCCACATCATAGAGTGTACTTACATGAACCTAATGATACAGCTTACCACATACTTAGCCTGTATATTATAGACTATTGCCTCTGTGCTACAAACCTGTACAGAAGTTACTGCACCGTAGGCAACTGTAACACAATGGTAAGTATTTATGTATCTAAATGAATCTAAACATAAAAATGTACAGTAAAATTGTAAGTCAATGAGAGAAGTGGTATGTGCTATATATACTTTTATATGACTAGAAGTAGGTTTGTTTACACCAGCATATGAGTAATGCATTGCATTATGATATAATGCATTGCACTATTGATGACCATAATGTCACTGGACAATAGATATTTTTCCACTCCATTATAACTTTATGGGACGACTGTTTTATATGCAGTCTGTCATTGACTGAAACATCATTATGTTGTATGTCACTGTAATTACATAAGGTGCTTCTAATAAAGGACTGTTATTCAAAAACACAAAGATTTCATAAAGCTCAACAATAAAAAACAAACAACCCAATGTGAAAGTAAGCCAAAGACTTTAACAGATACCTCACCAAAGAAGATATACAGATGGCAAATAACCATATGAAAATATGTTCCACATCATATGTCATTAGGGAAATGCAAATTAAAGCAATAGTAAGATACTATTAAATACCTCTTAGAATCCCCCAAATTTGGAAGACTGACAACACCAAATGCTGGTGATGTAGAGCAACAGGAACTCTCATTCATTAATGGTGGGAATGCAAAGTAGTACAGACACTTGGGAAGACAATTTGGTTGTTTCTTATAAAACTGAAGATACTCTTACCATATGATCAGCTGTTTGGTATTTACCCAAAAAGTTTAAAACTAATGTCCACACAAAACCTGCACTTTATTGTTTTAAGAGCTATGTTCATAATTGCCAAAACTTGGAAGAAGCAAGATGTCTTGCAGTATATAAATGGATAAATTAACTGTGGTACATCCAGACAATGGAGCATTACTCAGTGCTAAAAAGAAATAATATCTATTAGGCCATGAAAAGACATGGAAGACCTTAAATGCATATTATTAGTGAAAGAAGCCAACCAAAAAGAGCTTCATACTATATAATCCAACTATGTGACATTCTGGAAAAGGCAAAACTATGAATACAGTAAAAAGATCAGTGGTTGCCAGGAGGGAGGCAGTGGGGGGTGGGGGGACGGTGTGAATCAGCAGAGCACAGAAGATTTTCAGGGCAGTGAAAATACAGCATCTGTATGATACTGTAATGATGGATACATGTTATTATACATTTGCTCAAAGCCATAGAATGGACACCAAAAGCAAACACTAATACAAACTTTTGACCTGGGTGATTCTGATGTGTCAATATAATTTTATCAATTATAACAAATGTTTGCTAATACAAACTTTTGACTTGGGTCATTCTGATGTGTCAATATAATTTTATCAATTATAACAAATGCACAGGAGATGTTGATAATAGAGTAGGCTATGCATATGTGGGGGCAAAGGGTACATGGAAACTCTCTGAGCCTTCCTCTCAATTTTACTGTGAACTGACAACAGCTTTTAAAAAAATAGTCTTTCAATATGAAAAAAGTCAGGGATTTCCATTTTTGCCTTGTCACAGAAAATTTAAAAAACAGGGGCAAGAGACAATCATAATCTTGCAATCTCAGTAAAGCAATACTAACATATCAATGCATTTCCTTTCCCTTGCTTTCCCATCTATCTTTTTACAAACTGGTTGTAATCATGTTAAATATATTTTACCCTGGTTTTTAATTTAACGTCATATCCTAAGTAGTTTCTCTGTTTCCACATGATTTAAAAAAAAAAATCAGTTTAATATAACATAATAATTTACTGGATATGCCATAAGTCTCTGAAATAATCCCTGCTGTTCCTATTACAACTGTAAATATATCTCTTCTCTGTTTTTTCTTGCTTCTGAAATTAAGCTGATTATTTGGTATAAATTCATGCAATCCAGAAATGCCACATTCAATCATGCATTCCACATACATTATTGACTACTTGATGCCAAGTACTGAGTTAGTCTCTAGGTATGTAGTGGTAGACAGAAAAGTTATTGCCCCGGCCTTATAAAAATGTATAATCTAGTGGGGGAAGGCAGGAACAGGTATTTTAAAAATGGATACAAATAATTATATATTTCTGAACTATGATAATGTTATGAATGAAAAAGCATGGTGCTTTGAGAAAAAACACTTGGAGAATTGGAGGGGGACACCCATTTTAATTGTGTGTTCAGAGAATACTTTTCTGAGAATGTGGCATTTCCAAATGATTAAAGGCAGCTAGCATAATAGAAATCTGAGGAAATATGATTCCAGATAGAGCAAACTATATGTGCCAAGGCCTGAAGCAGAAATGTGCTTACAGGGTTTCAGGAATGAAGCAAGAGGAAACCAGTGTGACTGGAGAGGGAGTGTCCTGAGATGAGGCTGGGGTGAGATCATGTTGGGCATTGTGTTGTCATGAAATTTGGATTTGATTTTATAGGAAATGAGATTTGATAGACCTTGAAGAGGGCAGAGGCATAATTGCTTTTATGAGAATGGTTGGAGACCTGCAAGAGTGAATGAAGACAGAAAGATTAAACAATGCAGAGTCCAGATGGGGGAAAATGGAGGCTTTTGCTAGAAAGTAGAAGTAGAGATGGAAAAGAAAAGATGAATTCAAAACATGCTTTGGAGGTAGACTTGATAGAAATGTATTTGATTGGAAGTAGGGGTAAAGAAAACGGTAATTCCAAGAATGACCCATATACAAACTGTGGTGGCTTTGTAACATGCCACTTTGGCTAGGCTGAATTACATTTCTGGTGAGGGTGGGCCACGGAGAAATTCTTGCAAGATTTGGAAGGCAGGAAGGAAGTCTCAGCTATTTTGTGGTTCACACGCCTTGTCGCTTATCTGCTGATTCACCACCTTGGAATGAGGCAGCAGCTGAGCCTGCAACTGTTCAACTTTCCTCTAAACTTTCCTTCAGCTTCTCCAACTTTTGGACCAATTCTATAGCACCATGATGAAGGGCCTTTGCTTCTGCAGGTCACCCATACCACCAAAGCCAATAAATGTGGTTTTGCTCTGTTCTGAGGAGTTTCAGTTCATGCCTGTGGGTTCCAGCTCTTTCTTAATATCCTTGTATTACATCATGTTCTCTTTTTCACTGTCTGCCCTCTGGACTTCATGCCCAAGCAGCAGACACAAAGACAGCAGCCTTACGGAAAGTGTTTAGCCCCCACAATGGTATCAGGCAAAATCCCTGTAACAGACTTGTCTGTTACTGACTTGACTGATCATAAATGAAAGTAACGTGTTTCCAACATTTTGCAGAAAAGTCGCATGATTATTAGTAGTATAATACTTATTGCTATGTTCACAATGGCTTGTGTTCAATACTACTCATCTTCATTTTTGTTGACAAGTGTCATGTACAAGGATAAAATTTTTGCTGAAATCATACCTTTTTCTAAGAAGTCTATGCTGCTTTAATTTAGCTCACTGAGTTGTTCCTTAAAATGATTTTTCTTAATCTATTGGTCTGACTATAAGCAACTTATTCTTTAAGTCTAATAAAGAGAGATTGAGTGTACCTATTTTCTTTATTTATGAATTATACTTACATAGAAATCTATCTGCTCATTACAAGACTATTGGTTAAGATAGGTATAATCACGACTGTCACAAAAATGTTATTCAAAGTTCCATCATGATCATAGAACCTCATACCTCATCTTGAAATTTTGAGGGATACAAAATTAAGACAGTAAGAGAGGAGAGAGTGACAGAGACATACAAACAAAAAGAGAAAATAAAGAGAAAGAGAAAGTGAATGAGAGACAGAAATGTGCTTTTAAAGAAGTTAAGATAATAGTAACTCTGAGTTGCTCCAGAGGAAAGGAATACAAATTTCTCTGTATTAGAGGGATTTTCTGTTTTTGGGAAAAGAAGTCTTAATTTTGGCTTGAATATAGAATCAAGCCATTTTAGTCATTTTATTTGAATTAAGACTTTCAAGTTCTGAAAGCTATCAAGATAAACTTAATGTCATTACAAAATAGTGAAAATACAATAATTGCAAAGTGTAATTTCAGTGAAGCCAGTACTGCTGCTGGAGGTTCTGGATAAATGTCCCTTACACACAGGGTGTAGAAAAGGTTGGGACTGACTGAAAGTGTCTGGAGAAAATGGGAATGCTGCCTATGATGTACTCATTAGTGGAACAGGTCTGCCATTGTTTCTGAGAAGAAAATGGAGACTGAAGGCAATGTTATTCTGAAATTACCTAAATAACTAAAATTATGAAAATATACATAAATAAAAGTTAAAAAATCAATTATTTGAATTATTTAGGAAAAGGAATCAGGCCTGAGTTGGTATCAGTTGAGCCCAATCGCTTAAGTATGATTTTAAGGAGGCTTTTGCAATGTTCAAATGCATTGATTTGTTATTCAACTCTACTTCTCTTTCCATAGGTAAATAAACTTTCTGCCTCATGACTCCTTCCCTTCTTCCTTCTTTTTCAAATGCTCAAATCTGCTGTAGAGTAAGTAAATCTTCTATTGGCAATGAGTCCCACAAAGAAATAATGTCTTCGTTTGTTCAGGTATCATGTTTTGACAAGAAGAATCTTGCTGTTCCGTTATTTTCTAATCTTAACTGGATTCAACCTGTTAGTCATTAAACTCCCTAGCAGATGGAAAGAATAGTCTGTAGTGGTAGTTCCCCAAACACCGTGACTTCAAGGGGTCTGATCATCCAGATAGATATCAAACAGTACTTATATACTGAAAAAATGACACTTCATATATATGTACTATGTTTCATATGTATGCAGATACTAATTGATTGATAAATTAGAAATTTGTTTAAAAACATTCCCGAATTTAAACTACTTTTTTGGGCACTTAGTCACTCTAAAGTAAAAATGTAATTTCCATTATACGTGATTGCTCGGTTTTAAAATGCTGCCTTTTTCTTTTGATGTACTTTTTATTTTTTGTCAAAACAAGGGGCTGGGCATGGTGACTCATGCTTGTATTCCCAGAGCTTTGTGAGGCTGAGGCAGGAGGATGGCTTGGGGCCAGGAGTTTGAGACTAGCTTGGGCAACATAGTGAGACACTGTCTCTAGAAAAAAATTTAAAAATTAACCAGGCATGGTGGCACATGCCTGTAGTTCCAGCTACTTAGGAGCCTGAGGCGGGAATATTGCTTGAGCTCAGGAATTAGCAGTTACAGTGAGCTATGACTGTGCCACTGCACTCCAGTCTAACTGATAAAGAAAACAATGTATTTTATTGCTTAGAAAGCCAAGTAATTTAAAAATACACATTTTGTAGATATACATATATGTTCATATGTGTATATATATACAAGAAAGGGTGTATTTAAAATATTCTTATTGATAGGGCTACTAATAAAAAAAATAAAGCACTCAGTTATAGTCTATGATTTTTTTTTGTCCTTGATGCATCAGCAGTCATTTTTTAAACCACTGTTTTCCAGAATTTGGTAAAATTTTCTTATCCATTGATGGCTTCTTTCTTTTCTGGAGATAATATGGATTCATATCTTTAGATTTTTTACAGGAATTTTGTTAGGGAAATGGGATAAACAAATGTCCTTTAGCTATCATTTTTAACCAGAAATCTCTTTTCAAAAGTTTTAACATCAAGAAAGAACCCTCATGCTTGGAAACACTGGGAACCACTGGTGAAGAGCAAGAGCCCTGGGAAGAATCAGGATTTCACTTGGCCTCTGCCACTGACGTGCGGCATGACTGTGGACCAGCGACCTGCACCTCTTGTGCCCCAGTTTACTCCTCTGTGAAATGAACACTCATGCGAGATGATGGCTAGACTGTCACCAGGTCTCCTATTTGCTAGTACGGTGCCCTCTTTGACCAGCAGAATAAAGATGGATAGGTGTTCTACCTACATACAGTCATCAAACTCATCAAACTGTGAGCAGGAAGAGAGAAAAGACTGGGAAACTGAGCTAGGTGGAGAGGCAGGAAACAAGGTGCTAATAAAGGAAAGAAACTTTGAAGGTGACAGAGTCCGAGGTTGAAGCATAAATATTAGAGAAGCTTGTGTCAAATCCAAGGACTACGTCAACACGGTCCTTAGCATGAAAGGGAAATTGACTTGGCAGTAATAATCTAAACAGAACTAGGAGGAGAAAATATAGGAAAAAAGGCCAAGAAATAGGCGGTTGTGGTAATTAAAACAGGAAATAACTGAAGCCTGGATATGTACCCTGGCAGGCGGAGGAGCAAAGAGGGATTTTATGTTTCACTTAGAGTGATAGGGATGAATACAACCGTATCCCTTAATTATTTTTCTCTAAAATAAACTGGCATGTTTCTAATAATGAGAAATCTACATGTTTCTAATAAAAAGACATTCTAAAACAGTTTGGTCTGGATTAAGACTAGGAGGTTGAAAAATATGAGTTCTGACTAAACGCAGATGAATCTGGAAAGAAAACCACCACCACCACCACCAAAAACAAAACAAAAAGAAAACTCTGATATAGCCAAACAAAATAAACAGCAATTTCAACTGGCTGGTTTTCTTGCTCGTGGTTGTGAGCCCAGATAAGGAGCTTTGTGGTGGTGGGAAGGCAATGAAGCCTTAATTGCCTATTAACTGGCTCCTTCTGGTTGCATCCTCTGTGCACTCTGTCGCCTATCCCCTGACTGGGCCACTGCCGCCTATGCTAAATGGGTTCTGATCAGCTAAAAATCACACAGTAATTTAAGCTGGAAATTTTAGTTAAATCCAGACAATTCCCCAGCATCTTTTCAAAAGGATGAAGGCTTTAATCAGTACAATACAAACCATGGGGAATAAGGGAGAGATCAGGTCAGAATGTGGGTCAGAAAAACTCTAGAGGAAGTGCTAATGGGATAAGGGCACCTGAGCTTTTTATCTTATTAGCGCTTCCCATGTCAAATTAGCAAAACGGTTCAGGCACTAAAGTGTTAGATAAAATGCTCATATGGTATGTGTTCCCCAGAAAGATTCTCGGAGTGCCTCTTCCAAGATGATTCAAGTTTTCTTCGCTTTTCTTTTTTACCTTTGGAGGTAAGTATGATCATGGTAAGTCAGACTCCTGGTGACCTCAGTGGAAATATGGCTTTGTCAGCAGGGCTACCACATTACAAAATTCTAGACAACACCATTCACAAAGAATATAATGTGAATGGTGCCCATGAAGGCATGCAAAGCGGGAGCTGTGCAATGCAGTGGCCTTTCATCAGGACAGATTTCCTTTTCGTAACCATGGAGTAAAAATATATATATTCCAGGAGCTGCACCTTGAAAATATACTTGTGACTTAGAACTGCAGTATTTACTTAAATAGCAGGTGTGCAAATCAGTGTCATCTGAGTATCTTTTTCAATATTCACATGTCAGTGCCCTTTCCCATCTTACTTTTTGCATCACATGGATAAGTAATTAGCATTTTAAAGGACGTAGGCAGTTATTTTAAAAATCTATTCATTCAATAAATACTAAGAACTTTCCATGTGGAGCCACACTGGTCCTCTCTCAGTTAAGTTACCAAACAGAAGTAAAGCACTTAGAACAGTGTTAGCTGTGAATTTTATTATCATTATTAGTTTTTAAACATACCAAGCTCCTTCTTGTCTCAAGACCTCCTTTTACTGTTCCCTTCCATTTTAGAAAGTTTCTGCCCCTTTCCACTTTCTTACCCCATGGCTAAATTCTTCTTGCTCTTTGGGGCTAAGCTTAAAAATCACTTCCTAATTATTCTATCTAAAGTCATTTATCTCCTCCTCCTCTCTATTTATACCTTTCTCAGCCCCACACTGGTTTCCTACACAGCATTTGTCATCATCTGTCAGTATCCTATTGCTTTATTTACTTGTGAATTATCTGGCTTATCTGATGGTGGGTAGTCTCCAAGGAGGGACCCAGTATTGTACATCAAAGGACCTCAAACAACCTTTATTAAAAGGATGTATGAATAACTAAGTAACCATAGCACCTAAATTTTCCCAAGAAAAACTTAGTTTTCAGTGCACTTGAAAGTCTACTCATTCTTTTTCTGTGTTTCTGAGTCAAATTGTGAAACTGACTTTGGTGGGATATAGTTATTAACATGTTTACTGATTTCTTTTCAAATTTGGGAGAGGCTTGAATTCAACAGAAACATGACAGTATGTAAGGGCCAGTTTCCTAATACTGCATGGCAGTGGCCGCCTCGTAGGACGGTGCTATGCAAGTTCTTCACAGTATCACAGTAAACACCCTGAAGCCTAAAGTCAAAATATGAAACATTCAACTATTGTATGTGAATATAGTCTTGATTCACTAACACAAGGGCAGTTTTTGTAAACTATACAACTGTGCACTTGTTTTAATTTTAATTTTTTTAAGGAAGAGATGCTTTCTAGGGTGTTCCATATTCCAAATTTATCGAACTGGACACTATCAAATGCAGCAAATAAAGACAATTATGTCCTGTGTAGTATATAAGATATATACAACATTGCTTTGTTGCTGCAGAGTTGCTTGCCACCAATATTGGCCTGAAATTTTACTGCTGATTGGTGCTTAGACCAACTGGACCACCAAGAAATTAGGCTAGTTTTATCCAAGCAATGGACTGATAATATCTAGGGTATGCTTCAGTTTTTTTTTTTTTTCAGTTAGTTACCAGAACTCTGTACCTACGCCATATCAATAGTTGATATAGCTTTCCTTAAGTAGCAAATTTCAGTTGAAAAGATGAATTAACCATGGTTAGAAATGACAAGCTCTGATTATACAGTTTAATAAAGGCTCTTTAGTTGCAGTGGAAATTTCCTCAAGTTAGCTCAAATGAACAATTTGTTGTTAAGGTATGATATCCTCAGAGAAATAAGTTATAACCACGTCTCTTGGGAGCTAGAGCCCCCAGGGACTGAGACGTCTACCTGCTCCATTTCACCTCACCTCTTTAGTGGCCGATGCGATTGATCTTCTTTGGGTCCCTCTGCTTCATTGTTTCTACCTTTCTCTAGAGAATGACGTTGGTGCGTCATGGCTGACAATGGCTGCTCCAAACCTCACTTGACGTGACCTTTCATTTTGTACTCCTCTCCTCTACTATTTTCTAAATATGCAATTTACTGAAAGAAATGAATTAGTTGTTGGCAAGGGAATGGATTGATTTTCCTAGGTCAGATGTTCACCTCTGACTTAATCTGCCATGGTGTGATGGCTGGGTACCATGATGGACGCATGGCTGTCTAATCCAGCCCTTTAGTGGGAATTGAAAGAGGAACTGAAATTCTAAGTTTTGTATGTCATCATATACCACATAATCGATCTTTGACATTTATCAACACACAACAAAAGTTCATGAAAACAAAAAGAAGAGCAGAAAAATTGAAGGAGATTTTACAAAAACATGTAACAGAGATTTGGGGAAAATATATCTTGCTTCATATGTGTTTTTCACTGAAATCATCACTGTGCCCCCATATTTAAGGCTACTTTCATGATGTAGCATGAGATTCTTTAAATTTATGAAGAGCAATAATTTTATTCTAAATAATCCTTCTCATTTTAATTTTTCCTCCCATGCATACATGGGGATGCATTTCAGGGGTAATATGAGGAATATAATTTGGATTCCACTTTCTTTTTTCTAGCTTTCACAAGGTCTAGGTCCCCTTAGGCATGATTTCCCTGACTTAAGTTTCACTGAATAATGATCTTTGGTCCACAGTAAATATCTTTTTTTCTGTCTTTTTTTCTTTTCCACCTTTTCCTTTTATCTTCCAAAATCCACTATTATTTTCTCTAAACAACAATTCTCAGTTTCTTTTGTAGTTACACAACTGTTGTGAATATTAATGGTATTCTTCAAGGGGTATTATTTATAGCAGGAAATATGGGCCTTTGATCAGTGTTTTTCTTAAATAAAACCCTCATGCATTGTGGGTAGATTGTATTTCTCTTATCTTATGTTGGGCATTTCGTTGCTCATTTCAATCTTTCCTTCTATAACAGACTTGGAGGCTGTTGGAGACTTTTAAGTTGTTCTTTTTAAAAAGCCTTTTTCTCCTTTATTATGTGATCTCTCTAATGCTGGCTCTGGGAATGGTGATGTCTGCCCTGGTTGGAAATCCTTTTGCTACACTCCCTAAAGGCAGCAAGTGATTCAGGGGTGACTGTGTAATTTGTTTTGTACCGTGGAATTCCTGCCATGCCTATATGTATTTAGACCACAGGCAAACCAATAAAGTTGTCATAGAAACAAAGCATTTCATGAATAAATCAATCCATAACAAACTTGTAAACTTCAAACAACCCACTGTGCTTTAACAACACATCCGTTACATACACAAAATAATCATGTTTGTAATGAGCAATGCACAATATTATTCTTTCCGATACATTTGGTCCTGTTTGCCATCTTATAAATATTCCTTAATGTATTTTTATGCAGCCTGTAGATTCCCACTGAGCTGGAATGAAATAAGTAACTCCAGCTGGTATGATAATACTGGAAAAGCAGACTTTAAAAAATGTACCTTATGGTGAACCCCAGTTCACACAATATGTTTGGAATACCTATTCAGATCAGAGGGGATTGAAATTGTGGCTAATAAAGTTTCCTCATGTTGATCAACTCTAATATTCCTTTTTCATTTTTCAGTTTGCTTGTTTGGCTTTTAATATCCTGCTCTGCATATAGTGGGCATCTTCAGGGAATGTGGTTGACTGGCAGCAGGGTGTGGTTAGCTATTTGAAAAGTGGCACTGGGTATTTTTAAAAGGATGAACGATCTGTGCCAGAAACTATCGTGACCTGATTGGAGAAAGAAAATGCTTTGAGGAAAAAAAGAATATTATTGTGTAAAACTTAAATTCCTTTGCAGATGGTAAAAAGACAAGGAAAAGGCAGAGCTAGAGAAGGAGGTCAGTGTAGTACAAGTCCTCTGGGGCTTGCTTTGGCTTCCAGAACATGAGAACTTTTCTTATTTTCATTTGGTGTGAAATTCTCTCTGTGAGTACATTTAGGTGTTGTCCTGCCTAGCAGACACGCTGGATTAGATCACCTTATTGCGGTATCTTCCTCTATTCTCACGAGTTCTGTTAACACCTTTGGCTACACCTTCATTGTGACATCTCAGCCTAATTAGACATCTCACAAATGCCTGTCATCAGATGATCAAAGGGCCCTCTATCCATATATTAAGGTATAGATATGAATTTTGTTTTCCGATAACTGCCTTAGTAATATCCAACCTTACTATGTTGAATCTCATAACATCCGGGAAGATTCCAGAGCTTTTCAGCCACTGTCAATTATTAAAATGTAGTCCAGTCTAGTTTACAACCTTAATTCCATATTTAATTCAAACTCTCTTCTTCATTGTTTTTAAGTGGGGAGAGTGGCTTTGGCCAGCCCTCTCACTTCCAGGGGTTTATGTAGATCCCTGGGACACCTCTTTTCCTAAGCACTACCAGGTCTGGGCAGGGAGGGTGGACACAGGAGGATGAGATTTTTTTGTTTAAGCTACTGGGCAGACTCTTGCTCATTCTGTTCTCTGTGCTTCTGGTGGCCTTCACCAAGTGATGGTCTTGCCCAGGTGGTGTGCATGGTTTCCTTGGATCAATGGCAGGCTTCCCTAAAGCCCATCAACTACTGATAACACCCTCGTAAATGGGATGCCACCTCTCTTTTACCCTTGTTAGGGGTTGTGCTGGGTGGAATAGTGTTCACTCAAAATTCATATTCACTGGAAGCTGTGAATGTGATCTCATTTGAAAATAGAGTCTTTGCAGGATAAATTCAGACATAAAGATATAGGGGAGGAGAAAGTCAGGTGAAGTTAGAGGCAGAGAATGGAGTGACCCATCTACCAGCCCAGGAACACCTAGGATTTATGACAACTACGAAAAATTAGGAAAAGGTAAGGCAGGATTCTTCTCTAGAGCCAAAGGGAATATGGCCCTGCCAACACATTGTTGTTGGGCTTCTAGCCTCTAAAACTGTGAGAAAATAAACTTGTTTTAAGCCACCTGGTTTGAGGTCCTTTATTATGGCAGCCCTGGGAAGCTAATAAACAGGTCCACATCTCAAATTTCATTTTTAGGTGGAAAAAAAGAACCATTCAACATCCTTACAAACCTCTAAACAAGTGTGCTCCAAACTGAAGTCGTTTTCTTTCCCTAAATCTGCTCCTCCATGTGTACCTCTAGATCAAGCCTGGCACCCCTCTCCTCTGCGACTCTAGCCTCCCTCTTGAGAGTTGTCTTCTACTCTTCCCTTTCCCTCACATCCTCTCCCTCCCCACATCTTTAAGGCCTCATTTCTTTCAGGGGGAAGTCCAGATTCTCGATGTTTATTATGCCTCCATCCTTTGCCCTCGAGGTGTCTCACTAGCCTCACCTGCAACCACAGGTACAGGCTGTGCTTTGCTTCCTATGCCAAACTGTCCCTCACCCACCGCAGCTAAGGTAATTATCCTCACCTGCAACCACAGGTACACACTGTGCTTTGCTTCCTATGTCAAACTGTCCCTCACCCACCCCAGCTAAGGTAATTATCTTTCTTTGTTCCTTCTCTGGGCCCCCATAGCACTTTTGTGTCAGTTAGTCACTGATGTCTTCTGCTCTGACACACTAAACTTTGCAGTCATCGGGGCAGGCACTTTGCCTTCTTCATCACTATTTCCCCCAGTGCTAAGCAGAAAGCCTGATTAGAGAGAGCAAAGAGAAAGGCATGGTATATGAGTGGAAGTGGAGCAAAGGGGATAACACCTAAGAGAAAGGGATAAAACTCCATAAGCATAAAACACCCGTATAAAGGGGTATTTTAACTCTCCTGGAATTTCAACTTCCCGTAAATGGTAAAGGGGCTCATAGGGGTTATGTAATAAAAACAGGACAAATGACAGGACAAATGATAACATTCCGAGATGGCTTACAACCTGCCAGACCTATGCTGAGCACTTAACTTGCATCTGTCACTTCATCTACACAACAGCCTCTGACAAATTCCTTCAATTGATGAAGCAAATGGGGCTCTGAGACATTAAGTAAATTGCCTTAGGTCACACACTCAGTAAATGGCAGGAAGAGGATTTGAACCCAATTGTGTCTGAATCTGATCATGGTTTTAACAACTAAGATTTATCCTGTCATGTTGCATAGGTTCTGAGTATTATGAGTATTCTCCTACAACTGAGGAAGTGCAGCTGCTGAATGCAGTTTTTCCTTGATTGGGACAACATCAATCTAAAGTCAGTAAGGAGTATCTTCATTAAAGAATATTCTGCCCAAGTTTCATACCTTAGTGATTTATTTAATCTTGGCATCATAGAGAAGTGTATTAAACAACTTTAGGATATTAGTGAGAAAATTTTTCTTAAACATTTATATGTATTTCCTTAAGTGTAAAATAGCGTTATTATTGAGGGCTGTTATAAGAACTATATGAAATAATGGGAAATGTTCATTTCTCTCTCTCTTTTTTCATCTTTTTCCTGAACTATAACTTGCATGTAATGCCTTATAATTTTTAAAAGTGTCTTCATGTATACTTAATTATATAAAATATTCATTATGAAATACATTATATTTAACACATATTAGTAGTAGTAGTAGTAATTCATTTGATCAGCATATCTGGAGGGTTGAAAAGACACAGCTTCTGAGGGGTCCTCACCATTAGGCTGGGCCAGATGTTCCAGAACAGTCAGTACCGATTCACCAATTCTGAGTGCACACTGTGCTCTGGGCATCCCTGACCACCCAGTGATCACTCAGCAGCAAGCTGAGCACATCAGGGCCAAACTTAATCCTCAGGGAAGCCTCATGGGCTGAGTATAGTACAAAAAGACTTGTTCTGGCTTACAACTGTTTTGGATTTAGATTTCAAAGAGTTTAACTTAGACTTTAAACTCTTAAAAATCACTATGTCAAAAGCAAAATCTATATGGGATTCTTAACCTAAGTACATACGTGCATTTCTTTTTCTCAGCAGAATATCCATAGGATTCAAAAGATTTTCAAAGTGGTTCATGGGCCAATGATGGTTAGGAATCTTTTTATTTTTTACCTTGAGACTATTCTGGGGATCCCTATAAATTCTGGGGTCCCAAAACATCTGGCCAAATAAAATTCCCTTTGCCCCAGAAGCTATATGAAGCTCAGTTAAACCCCCTAAAACCTTTTAAAACATGTTTAGGCTTTGTGTAATTGCCTGTACGTATTCTTACTACTCTAGATTCATTGTTAGGATGATAATTGTGGCTTTTGACTCCTGAATGATACTGCAGCATTCAAGCAATGCAAAGTAGGCATTTAAAAATGTGAAAATTTAGGTTTCTTTGAGGGGCTCTTCATTGAGGCTCTTCCTTCTTAAAATTTCCATACAGACATATTTTCCACTTGAATTTACATAAATACTAAGTTAGAAACAAAATTTATCTATTGAAGAAAGGGGATAAATCTTCAATCACTATTATCAGCCTGTTTTGGAGCAGGGAGAAACACATCTAAGATATACCTAAGCCACAGTCTCAGTTCAATTTTTGTAACCAGAGAGATCCAGGTTCATTTTTGTGCCCCCTACATACTAGCTGTTTGAACTGGGAGATAAGGATAATGGAGATAATGGTATATAATTCTCAGGAGAACAGTAGCAATTAAATGACTATTTGGTGATATTTAATGAGTGATTTTTTTTAATTTCAAGCATTGTATGAAGAGCTTAAAATAAAATATGTCAAGTTAATCATTTAAATAGCTCCAGTTTAAAGTGAGGGAATCAAGGCTCAGATAGTTAAAATAATAACACGAGCACTCATTTATTGCCTTGCACACAACGCATGCTTTTTAATTTAATTTAATTTTTAGAGACAGGATCTTGCTCTCTTGCCCACGCTGGAGGGCAGTGGCATGATCATAGCTCACTGCATGCAGCCTTGTCCTCCTAGGCTCAAGCCACACCCCCACCTCAAACTCCTGAGTAGCTAAAACTATAGGTGTGTGTGCCACCATGTCCAGCTACAGATTTAATTTTCTAAAGAACCAAATTAGCGAAGGCTGATTTCAGATTCTAGCCAATTAAGAAAAAATGACCAAACGATGTAATTAAGAGACAAAAGACATAAAATATTTTAATATGATCTCTGTTTTCTATTTTTTAAAAAGTACTCCACCTGTCTATTAAGATCTTTTTTCAACATTTATTTAGATACAGGGGTACATGTGCAGGTTTGTTACATGGATATAATGCACTCAGGTACTGAGCATAGTACCCAACAGGTAGTTTTTTGACCACCCCACCCCTCGCTTCAGTAGTCTACAGTGGTCTATTGTTCCCATGTTTGTGTCGGTGGGTGCTCAATGTTTAGCTTTCATTTAAAAGTGAGAACATGTACATAGCATGTTCTTAACAAAAATGTTAGCCTTTCATCTTCTCCTCCGTTTCCAGGAACCCTAAGGTACGTGATTAGATTTTCTTTCTGTTTCTCCTGGCTCCACCCAATCAGCAGCAAGGCTGCTCCTTGGGGCCCCACCCACTGCTTCCTCTCTTTCCAGCTTTCTATCAGAAAGGCGGATAACTTACTGAAAGGCAAATACAGACATTATCTGGTAATTAGGCTCATTAATTTTATAGGAAATTCTTTAATTTTCTATGGGGCCATGTTCTTGAAATGCATTATTTCCCTTTTATGACTTCACTTGCTTCAATGTCAGTAGAGATTAAAGGTTACATGCCCTGCTGGGAACAAACACAATTTTCCAGCAGCTGCATTTTGTTTTCCTTAATAATTAACAATTGCTGCTGACTAACCCTTGCGGCATAAAATGCCCACCTTATCACAAAAGAGTGGGCATTGGTTTGAGGAACTCACAAGGGATATCAGCAAAAGAAGTGTGATTAAAGCATTAAAGATTTAAAGGTTGACATTGGGATGAAAGGTGGAATTACAGTAAATATAATGCTGTTTAACATTAAATGGAATGTGTTGTACTTGCGACAGTTGTTCATTTCAACATTAATTATTAAGGGAACTTGACAACTCATTTTTAATTCGCAACTGAAGACAAAATTTCTTAAGATGTAAATACAACAAAGAAGCTCAGAAAGTTGGTGCTTTTTATTCCCTTTTATTATTCTGTGATTTTTACCTTGATAAAATCTATAAGCAAATTAGAATGGAATGTACCTAAATTGTACAAATCAGGCTGTATTATTCCATTCTCATAGTGCTATAAAGAACTGCCTGAGATTGGGTAATTTATAAAGGAAAGAGCTTTAATGGACTGACAGTTCAGCATGGGTAGGGAGGCCTCAGGAAACTTACAATCATGGCAGAAGGTGAAGGGAAGAAGGCACCTTCTCCACAAGGCAGCAGGAAGAAGTGCAGAGTGAAGTGGGAAGAACCGCTAAAAAAACCATCAGATCTCATGAGACCTCACTTACAATCATGAAAGCAACATGGGGGAACCACCCTCTTGATTCAATTACCTCCACCTGGTCTCTCCCTTGACATGTGGGGATTATGGGGATTATAGGAATTACAATTCAAGATGACATTTGGGTGGGGACACAAAGCCTAACCATATCATAAGCATAGTTGTTGGTGAACTGATATTATGCCACTGGACAGAGAGATTAAGAAGTAAGTCAGGTTATATTGGAAATTGTTTCACATATTCCTCATTATTTTGATTTGAAGATTTTCTTGGAGATATACAATTTAAATAGCATTTGAAGCAAACTTTGTATTTTAAATCAATTTTCTTCTAAGACGAGGGTAAGCATGTTTATTATTTATCTTTTAATAAGAAATGAACAGCAGATGATAATGTGATCAAATATGCATTGCCTGGGTTTATATGTGAAATTGATAAATATTCAAATTGTATTTAAAATCTACTGTCAATTACAATGTGCATGCTCTTTGTTGAGTAAAATTTTGGAGGAAATTTTTGATGACCAAGTGATATTGTATAAATGTACTTAAATAAAAAGAGAAAAAAATGATACAGTGAAGAAATTTATGGTGGGGGAATTCAAAGGGCAATTTTGGTTAATTCTTTCTAGTAAAATACAATAAAAGTCAATAGTGCTACTGTGTGATTATGATTTGCTTTCACTTTAAAGAACGTCTATGGATTGGTATCAGGAACATATCATTACAGAGTCACCCGGTTTAGGCCAAGTTATGCTGCAGTAACAAAAGACCTAAAAGTGCAGGGATTTGCATAAATGAAAGTACATTTCTGACTTATGTCACATATGTATTGAATGTTTTCTTTGGTTCTTCATTCTGGGACTCGGACTAGAGTATCATCCCCAATCTGGGATATTGTTAGTATCATGGGAGAGGGAGAAAGAAAGAGGACAGAAGCACTCAATAATTCTTAAAGCTTTTCTTAGAAGTAGCATATGTCATTTTTGCTCACATTTCAATGGTCAAAGCAAGTTACAAGGTCAATTCTGATGTTAGTGGGGTGGGGAAGAATAAAAAAGGAACCAATTTTGGAAAGGATAATACAATTTACTTCCTCTCTACATAAACATATCTTAAAGTTTTTATATAATATATCACTTGAGATATATGGACACAAGTTTTCTGAGGGCATTTAGATTGGCAACTAGCATCCATCCTCTCGCTGATAATCTTATAGGGAGAATTATCACGTTGATTTTATAGTAGAAAAATATTCAATAAAAATGATTTTTTAAATTTTAAAAAATCAAGTGTCAATCAGTGTGCTGGAGTTGCTGAGGAAAGAGAAATCTGTCAAATGACCCTGCCATAGGAATATGAATCAGAAAAATTGGATAGGCCTTATTAGTTGTAGCGTATGTCTATACTGCCATCCTGAAATATGCATCTAGAATTAAACATGTTTTATGGATATTAGGGAAGCTAGCATTTACCAGTTTGAGAATAAGATGAAACAGCTACTGCAAAACATAAGGTCATTACCCTAAATGGATAAAGGGTAACTGTCCCTGAAATGAGTTATAAAACCCTCATTTTACAAAATAGGAAAATAAAGCAAATTTGTGATGATAGAGAACAATCTTTTTAGAACATCTCTTAAATAATGTTGAAGAATTTGCAAAATGCTTTAACAGAAATCATCCACTTAATTATGCAGGATATAGACTACTAGCGTCATTTTCTGTGCAGGGGAGCTCGGAGCTCAGCTTCGGTGAGGTAAGTAACCTGCTTAAGGACATGGCAGACCTGGGATTTAAATGCAGATCTCCCACTCTGATTTCAGTGTCCTTTCCACTGACATAAGCTGTCTCCCAATACAGAAAATTATATCCTGCTAAATGGGGAAAAATGGCAAATATGTTTTAATGGAAAAAAAGATATACTTGAGTTTGGTCCTGGTTGTATTACTACTAAAGCGATGTCATATATTTAGACAAGTCACTTCAGTTTTATATACCTCAGTTTCTTCACCTGCACCATCAGGGCATTGGATTATGTATTTTCTCAAGGTCTTGTCTCAACAGTAGTACTTGATAAATTAAACAACTTACAGTCTCTTTTTGCTCACACTGACCCTCAGCACCCAGACATGTACCAAATCAGTAAGAGAATATGCTTTCCCCAGCACACTAGCTAAAGCCACCCTGATATTGGAATAACTATTATTAGCTCCAGAAACTCAAACTAGTTAAGCGGAAAAAAAAAATTTGTTGGCTCATGTGACTGGGAAGTCCAAGGTGACACATTCTTCAGACATGACCAAAAGCTGGGATTCAGAAAATCTAGCCCCATCACCCCCATCCGCTTTTCTTACTATCTACCCTTCTCTCTCATTTCTATTTGTCTCAAAACAGCTTTATTCACTCTCATAGTAAGCAAGCTGCCTTGCTTTATTTGTTGATATGTGGAGAATATGACTGACCACTGGTAGCTCCAGAGATGCATCCTTCCAGAATATAGAAGCTGGAGGACCTCTTCTCCTCCAAATACAAATCCTAAGAGCTTTGGGAAGGACTCTGATTGGCCAGGCTTGGACCGCATGCCCTCTCCTCTGCTAGACCCATCGCTTGCAAGGGGAATGTAAACTGTATTTTACCAGACCTGTGTCACTTGCCCAGCCCCTTGGACGCATGTTTGGCAGGCCCACCGGAACCATACAGGCATGAGGAAAGGCAGTCACCCATAGATAGTGCGTGCTGTTACCAGAAGAATGGAGAAGGGGCTATGATTGGAAAAGCACAATAAAGATTCACTGCACACGGTAAACATACATCTGAGCTGTCTCACTCACAGTTGGATTCCCAAATCAATGGACGAAAACTTGATGATGAAGCACACAATTATAAGCTCTAAGCTATGAGTAGAAACATGATTGTACTTTAGACCCATGGTCACATTATCCAACCCCTCCAGCATATTAAAGGACATATGAAGAAGATACATTCTCGACAGCATTCTTAATTTTAGGAATTACAGCATACATCCATACCTCCTTTAGGAACCGATAAGAAATATTTCATATATAGTCATAACCTCAAGAATGTTTCTCAAAGCTTGTTTCGTGGACTTCCAGTATTATGAGGTGTTGTGAGAAAGAGTCCTGTGGTTAAATTCTGTTGGGAAATGTTCCATATTGTCTTCACTCCAGAGAGTCATGATGTATCTTCGCATATTTAAAGTCATAGTAAAGAATCTTTGTTTAAGTCAGTATTTCCCAAACACTTTTGATTAGAGATCACCCCAACCACACACACACAACAAAGAAAGAAGGAAGGACAGGAAGAGAAGAAGTAGAACATCTAATGATAACCTGTGGAAGTTCTTTGGATTGAATGTTGGAAAACAGTGACCTAAATCTCTATTCTACATATATTTGTTTTATATCCCTTTTTAGGACAGAAAATTATCCTAGTATTTCCCAGCTGTTTAGAGTTAACACTTTTTAAAAGTTTTTTGACATGCAAACCAGTTTTAAGTTACTTCTACATGACAAATATGTCAGAACTTACCAAATGCTTAAAATTTTTGATATCATAAATACAACACTTGGAATTTAGAGGCAAACATCACTCCAACATATATCCATTAGTTTTTAAAAAAATAGATCATTGCAAACTCATTGCAAATAAATTATTTATGTGCAAGGAAATGTATTTTGGGGATCTAGAAGTAGATAAGAGATATTTCTCATGAAATAATGAACTGGATGGTCTGACTTTAGCATGTTTGAAAATCTCTCTGAGCTTTACTTTCCTCCCTTGTAAAACTGAGATCATTTACCTTCCAGAGCTGTTTTGAAGAATTACATGATAAAATGTGAAAAATGAACTTAGTAATTATTAAATATGTTTACATTAACATCCTTTCTTAGCATTTATTTTTCAGCCTAAATTTTCAAATCTTGAAGATTTATCTACTGAATGCTAAGGTGCTGGAAGAGGAGAGTGTAATTAATTAAAAAAAAAAGAATCAGGTATGGTCATGAGTAGAAAAGTGCTTACACAAATCTTAGAAAAGGAAATAACCATTTACATAAAGATAAACAACAGAAGGCAGCAAGTGTCAACCAAATGAGGTTCCTAGACATTAAATACTATAGGAGCTCAGGAGTGGGAGAAGTCACTGCAGGGGTAGTGAGTTCAAACAAGGCTTTATGGAGTCTTTGCAGCCTTGAATGAAGCAAAGCGGAGGAAGAAGAACAAATTAGAAGAGAAAAATAGCATAAGAAAAAGGGATGGAGATGAGCAAATTGGGTATTTTTAAGTGACAGTAAATAGATTAAAATAATTATGGTGAAAGACTTTGAGCAGCACAATGTAGGGTATAAAACAAGACATGTTGATCAAGTCCAGAAAGTACAATGCTTTGACTGCCAGACTGAAGTATGTGCACTTTATCTCATGAAGTAAACAGGTGATATTAGATATTCTTCAGGCAGGAAAGAGGCATAAAATAGTTAATATTTCTGGTAAAATAGTATGGTAATATATACAAAGACTTAGTTTGGCTTGGAGGGAAATTTTAACATTAAAACTTTCTGGGCTGGGTATGGTGGTTCACGCCTGCTATCCCAGCACTTT
Source organism: Homo sapiens (assembly GCF_000001405.40). Lineage (NCBI taxonomy): Eukaryota > Metazoa > Chordata > Mammalia > Primates > Hominidae > Homo > Homo sapiens. Next base: position 98,342,224 of record NC_000001.11, read on the forward strand.
GGGAGGCCGAGGCGGGCAGATCACCTGAGGTCTGGAGTTCAATACCAGCCTGACCAACATGCCGAAACCCCATCTCTACTAGAAATACAAAAAATTAGCTGGGTGTGGTGGCGGGCACCTGTATTCCCAGCTACTCGGGAGGCTGAGGCAGGAGAATCCCTTGAACCCGGGGGATGGAGGTTGCAGTGAGCTGAGATCACGCCACTGAACTCCAGCCTGGGAGACAAGAGTGAAACTCTGTCTCAAAAAAAAAAAAAAATTAAATTAAATTTAAAAACAATTCTGGCTGATATGCTTCTAAAAGCATTCTGGAGAATGCATACTTACCAGGAAACCTGATTGTCCCTAGGCATTCAGCATTGTCACATTGAGCACTGCCCAAAAGGTGCTTGCCTGCATTGATGTTGTCAAATAGTAACTCCCTTCACCTGACAGAGACACTCACTGGTTTCCCTTTTTGCCTCCTGTGACCACAGCTCAGGATCTTGCATGAATACTCTTCTTTCCCTAGATAGCATCAAGTTCACTTTCTTCAATACAGGGAGCATTCCATTTGGCACTGGTCAGAAAAAATTCTTCATTCTACTCAATGAAACAATCTACCCTTTAAGACATTGCTCATTTTGAAGCACAAACCAATCAGTGCTACCCCCGGACCTAATTCCTAATGTTGGGGGACAGGGTCATACTCTCCCTTCACCTCATGTTACCCCTCCTGCTAGACAGGATTCTCATTGCATTGCCAAGACTTGCGAGTGGTGTAATGACTCCCTGGTAGTCAGACATCATCAGAGGCTGTGAGACATTCACTAAGCTTATGAGGTTTCAATGAGAAGAATAATTAGATTTAAGATAAAAAAAATCTACTAGCCTTCCTTTCCAAGTTCCAGAGATGGCTAAGAACGTTGACAAAAAAAAAAAAAAAAATGCATTCTAGGCCAATCCCAGGAGTGTCCTGATGAAGGCTATTTTTGAACTAGCGGTGCATGAAAAGAAAAATCTGCTTTGAATGTGGATGAGTAAACAACACAACACACACAAATTTAAATTTCTGAAGAAACAATTTCCACATATTTCACCTTTTCGCTCCTATTCTCATCCCAGTCACATGGTTAAGAAAATCTCAATCTGAATATGGATAATCTGAAAACTCTAAATATCACTCTCTGAAAAGATATTAATTGGAAAGTACTTTTCTAAATTATAAAATTAGAAAAAGTTCATATGTTGTATTGCTTTTTTGTGTTTTGTTTTTGTTTGTTTTTTCTTACCCACTACAAGCTTTCTGTTTGGAGTGACTATTACATAGCAGCACCAAGTAACCACTCCCCGACTCTACCCTTTTTTTTGATGTAATTTGAAGAAGCCAGCCCATTATATAAAGGAAAGTGAATTAACCTTTCTTCCTACTCATCTCTTCACCAGACAGGCAACGGGAGGCCCTGGCCAATCTCTGTGCAATTTGATCTACTCTCACATTTGAAAGTGTAAGAAAGTACAGTGTAGAGGAAAGACACAGGCTTGGTAACCAGGTAAATCTAAGTTTAAATCCTTGCTCTGATTCTTATTAACTACATGAGCTTAGGAAAATTAATTTCCTGAACCTCAGTTTGACCATGTGCGAAAATGTAACCAAAGTGTGGTCATGAGGATTAAAAAAAATACGTGTATTAAATACAAGTAGCTCAGATCTTGACTCATTAAATGCCCAACAAATGGCACATATTTCCTTTTACGTATTTTTGTGTTTTAAAAAAAATTGTAAATATTTATCTATCCATCTACTTATCTAACCATCCATCCATGCATCCATCCCTCTAGAAAATCAGAGAAACATATAATTAATGCTGAATTTTTATGCTAATGCATGTCTCCTAATCACAATGCTTTCTGTTTAGGGATCATTGGAATAAAGCTTTTTTTTTTTGGAAGAAAAACACAGTATAAGCTTTTTGAAGCTTGGAAATAAGCCTTAAGACCCACACTTAAATTGACTGAATTTTTGAGGCATGTTGATAAATAATAGAAAAAAACATACATACATTTGTACTAGGTAAAATGTGCTTAAAATTGAAATTTTGAAACTTGTAATTCTTACTAATTTTTTTCTTGTATTGTTGTACTAATAGTGTAGTATTTTGCATAAGATCAATGCCCATACAATATGTCCTTATTAAATTTAATTGACAACTGGGAGAAAAAATTGTGGGTTACCAATTTAAGGGAATTAGCACTTAAGTAAATAAGAATTAACCACCCCGCCTCCACACACACACACATCCCCAATGGTCCTCAAACAACCACAGTCAAAAGAAGATTGTTAAAGTACAAAATGTACTCTGGTTATTTATTTTCACCATTGTTTGAGTTCAATTATTTATGATAATAGCATCCTTATAAGTGTACTGTAGGCTACTTTCTACAGTAATAAAGTTTTAGTAATATGAGCAGCCAATGTACTACTCTGCTTGCAAATCTTTTCTGATAAGCTAGATGTCATGTTTAATTTTTAAAATCGGTGCTTGTATTTGAGACTTAGGTTTGAGCATACACTAGTTAGCCATTTCATACCTCAGTATGCTGTATTTATTTTAGGCTGCCATATTTGTGCATGCCAGTTATGTATAACTAAACTTGAATAGAAGGAAATCTGTCTTGAGGGGTACACAGACTTTTGTGATAAAAGGTCTTCCTAGTCTATAGATTCCTGACTAGTGAATCATGAAGACCACCTCCTGTTTCCTGTTACCGAGTAGCATAATTTGTTATTTCTACACATGACTCTGTTTCCTGGGGAGGAGCAGCGGGGAGAGGACAGACTATGATTACTCTTTACTCCCAGGCTCCATTAGTACCCTGTCATAGCTGGATAAAGTACTGGGTATCTGCAGGTGTGCATTAAATAATATTCATAATGCCTTTAGGGAAACACAACTGCATCTTGTTAATGTAATAGTTTATAATCATTAAATTACCATTAGAGAAATTTTATTGATGTCACTACTACCTATGATCCATTGATTCTTCATGAGCAAATGGTATATGAAGGTTTCATAGATTTGCTCCTTCTCTGTCATGGAGTTCTCACATCACATACCGCTTCTGCATCCTACATTCCTATCCTCATCCATCTATTGATAGAGATTCCAGTTCTGAGATCTTTTGGGGTTTCTGTCAAGTTTTATATTCACCGTTTTCTAGCTGTGATGGGAGGGACTTGAAGCATTCTCTGGAAATGTGTATGCAGAAGGGATAAAGGAAAGTAGCTCAGCAGAAGGCACGTTGCTGACCTTTATCCACCACTGGGAGATAATACTATAAAGAAAAAATAAATAAATAAGCTAGAGAGTTTTAGTGTGTAACTTTATTGAGGAATTCCATGATTTACTGTTCAATATAGCAAGGCTTATCATGTAACTTAGCTGTGGAACTCTCTGATTTACTGTGAAGCACATTGGGGCTTATCATGTAACTATTACACGAGAGTCTTGGCAAAGACATGGTTAGGGTTTTGCAGAGACCATTAAGAGTGACTGACATGCTTTCCTCAAATGAACCAAAGCAGACTCTGGCTAGCAAACACAATTGTTATTCTCTGCATCTGAAATTCTAGTATTTTAAATTTATTCGGCACAGATTTTAAGGGTAACTTATATGCCTACTTTATCTTTCATCATTTTATATCGAAGCTTCTGCTTTATGGTAAATTGCTATATGAGGTTTACTGTTTTATGATTCTATTATCCATTTTTCAGGATTTAAACTCCTTTTAAAAGAGACATTATAGCTGGAGAAGCAGCACATTAAAACGCATGAAGCATGGGACATTTCCATCTCATGTCAGTCTCAGATTTAAGGCCTTCAAAGACTCCCTTGCCATTAGGATAAAATCAGAGCTTCATAGCCAGGGACATAGGGCCCTGCAAGTTAAGTTCCTTCTTCTTGTGAGGGAAGACCATTATGTGGAAATGGAAATATCCTCTAAACAGAGACTACAGTCCCCAAGTATTAGGATATACTGATTTTTGCTACTCATGAGAAACTAGAATTAAACAGCAATGATCATAAAGGTCTTAAGCAATTTATGCAAAAAAAAATTTGCTTTTTTCAGGCTTACCCTTTCCTGAGGATGATGTCTATGTCTTATTCTTTGAATTCTTGGCATTTAGGGCAGTCTGTGGCACCTATTGGGTCCTCAATAATTTTGAAATATGAATAAAAGTTGAACTACTTGAGATTTCTCCTTCATTTGTGTCTCCATATCTTTGCTCACACAATTACACCTGCCTGTCCATCTTGTTTCCTTCTTCATCAAATGACTGGCTACTAACCCTGTTGTAAGTTTGGAATTAGAATAATTTTTTTCCTGATCCTCTTCCTCTTGCTCCCATAGGATCCAGTGCAGATCTATATCACTTATCAAATTAAATTCTAATCAAATTTACATGCCCAATACTCCTTTTCACTCTTTTGACCAATAAAACCTAGAACCTAAGTTAATTTCTGACATAAATTGGATATTTAGTATTTTTTAATTGAACGAGTGAGTGAAGTTAATCAATGATGGTGAGTGGGCCTATTTGTTGTGACAGTGAATGACAAAAATGCCAAAATTCTTCTAAGAAAATCTTTGGTTTAATCAACAGATAGAAATAAATAGGTCAAAGAACAACATAACGTTGAGCAGTAAATAAAATAATGAAAAAATTTGATGATGATGTAATCATAGCATGGTGGATAAAAGCAAAGATTTGGGGGCAAGAGCGCCTGGGTCCAGATCTTGATTTTTTTTAATTAGCTGTGAGACTTTAGGCAGGTTACTACACCTCTCTGTGCCTGAGTTTCTTCATCAGTAAAAGAAAGATTATAATCATACCTGCTGTGTAGGATTATTATGATATTATATTAAATAGCTATCAAGTGTTATGAAAAGTCCCTAATACATAGAAACAATTATTTAAGTATTAGCTATAATAATACTATGATTGTTGTGTACTCTTCCCAGTCTCTTTTGAAAATTTTAGTGATTATTAGTATCCTCGTTTTTAATTTAATTTCCACAGTATTTTCCATATGAGTATGGCTGGCTTAAAATTCCATTAATTAGAGGTAGAATGGAAACTAGAGATAATTTGTTATTTAGGAAGAGAAGATAGAATTTGGTAGGCTGAAGAGTTAATAGAACTCTTAAACTTGAAGTTTTTAGACTGGAAATTTATAGTTATTTTATGCTGGTATCTCTACTTGGAAAACCTACTCCATTTAAATACCTTCTTAATTCAGATTATGGCATCCCAGCAAATAGCTGTGATTTAGCCCTGAACTTGTGGAAATTTGCCTATTTTATGGTCGGAAGCTAATGTTGGGAAACCCCCTATTTCCTGTTTTAAGAATGAATTAACATTTAAGTTCATTGAAAATGATAATTTGTCAGAACTCTGAATTCTTCATGTGAAATGAAGTCTAAGAAAATATGTATCTATAATTAATTGTATGCATTCTAGCACTTATAGGTTTGCTAAAACAATGCATACAATCCATTTATTTTTCTTAACTATGATTGTTCTGAGTTATCTTCCAGGATAGGCCTATTGACTGTGATGCTGGGAACCTTAGTTGACCTTTAGTCTACTTTTCCAGATGTGAAGAATGAAATAAGACAAACGTCTCCTTAACTATCCCCCAATCTGTTAACATTGGTATGTATGCTCCACTGCTTATCCCTGGGACATCCTCCTTTAACAGTCACCCTTTTGGTGATCCCATCCAGTCTCATGGATTTAAATGTCTTGTATAAGCTGTAAATTCCCAAATTTATATCTGTAGTTCTTCTCTCCTAAACTTTAGATTTCTCTCTCTCTCTCTCTTTTTTTTTTTTTTTTTTTTTTTTGAGACAGAGTCTTGCTCTGTCGCCAGGCTGGAGTGCAGCGGCACGATCTTGGCTCACTGCAACCTCTGCCTCTTGGGTTCAAGTGATTCTCCTGCCTCAGCCTCCCAAGTAGCTGGGACTACAAGTGCAAACCACCAAGCCCAGGTAATTTTTGTATTTTTAGTAGAGATGGGGTTTCACCATGTTGGCCAGGATGATCTTGATCTCTTGACCTCATGATCCACCAGCCTCGGTCTCCCAAAGTGCTGGGATTACAGGTGTGAGCCACTGCAACTGGCCAACTTCAGATTTCTATATCCAATTTCTTAGCCTACATTTCCACTTTAAGGATAAATAAGCATCTCCACTCAACTTGTTCAAAATAGTACTCTTTATATCCCTCCTCAAACCTGATTCAAAGTCTTCCTCCATTTCTTAATGGCAACAGCAACCTCCCTGTTGTTTAGATCAAAAAATCTTACAGTCATTTTGACCCTTACATTTCCTTCATGCCCACGTCCAGTTTCTCAGCAAATCGTCCTGGCTCTACTTTGAAATGTATCCAGAATGTAATGATGTCTCAGCATCCTCTAGCTAGCAACTTGTTCTAAGTTACCAGTATTGCCTACCTGAATTATTTAATGGCCTCCTAACTGTTCTATGGGCTTCTACTCTTGCATTTGTTTTAGTCTATTTTCAACTCTGTAGCTAGAGTGAGTGCGTTAAAATGTAAAAGCAGAATATGCCACTTTTCAGATCAAAACCTTAAATAAATTTCTTACTCTAGAGTGAAATACAAAGCCTTTATATAGGGTGCAAGATTGTGTGATCTTCCCTTCCTTCATTACTTTCATGAATTCACCTCCTAATGCTCTCCTTATTTACTGTAGCCACAAAAATTTCTGCTCCATGTACATGCCAGCTGAACTTCTACATCTACTTGAAATGCTCCTGAGTGGCTCTCTCCCTAAGCACATTCAGGTCTATCCAAATATCACCTTCTCAATAGTCCTCCGTGACCATCCTTGAAATCTCACTTCTCACATTTCCTATCCCTTTCCTCAGTTTTATTTTGCTTTTTGGCACTAGTCTCTTTAATTATATTATAGAATTTAGTATAGATTTTTCTTAGTTTCTGACTTACCATTCTTAAGATGTAGGTTTCATAAGGGATGCAATTTTTGTCTATTTTATTCACTACTGTATCTCCAACACCAAGAATAATGTCTGGCCACATCATAAGCACACAATCAATAAACCATTGGTTTAATCAACCAAGGGAAATAAATCAGCCAAACAATAGCATAACATTAGATATATCATTGCACATTTATTATATTATATTGATGTCAACATTTAAATAGTGTTGTAAATAGCCAACTATCCATCAACATTTCTGTTCTTCTGTTCATGGTATAGGATCTTCATTATAGACTCTTTACTGTACATTTGTTGCTATAATGCTGCTACCCAATCAGGAATTATAATCTCCAGTCCTCTCCCCACCCTTGTATTTGGTTATGGCCAAATAATAAGTTATCAATGGATTTTGGATGTGTCACTTCTAGGTCAGAGGTTTTAAAAGGCATGCATGCCTTCTCCTTATTTCCTTTCCTCTTCTTCTTTCTTCCTATGTGAGACCACTATGTAGAGTGAGAAATACACTTTTACTACATTTTTATGATGTTTTCCAGTTGCAGTTCATTATTATTTATGTAGGTAGGGATATCTCTTTAGTGGGAGGAGGTTTCAGTTTGAAGGTTATGGGCCATTTCTCTTCTTCTTGCAGGGGTAATGGGGAAAAATAAGCAGAGAGAAATTTGGGGACCAATAATGAGATAATGTGAACTATGGAATATGACTGCCAAAAGCAGCACCTCTTTCTTGGTTATGAATTTTTACTTGTCTCATGTCTGTCTTGAAGAAGTGTGAAGAAAGAAGAGAGATAACAAGTGTATGATCTGAAAAGGGGTGTCTGTATGTTAGGTAACCATTGCTGAAAGATAAAACCAAGAAAACCAATTAGGTCTCTAAGCTTTAGAGAAAAAAGGTCTTGTCCAAAGATTTAATAATTCTAACTTTAGCTCCTAGTGCCTTCCTTTCCTTATTGATCTCTCATAGTGTCAGGCTCAGTTTCTTTAACAGTCACCCTAGCAACCCTCTGTCCCAGCAGATCTAAGAATTCTCTTTATGTTTTACACATAACTTAGTTGGGGAAAACAAGGCAGCTGGGATTCCTAACATGAAGAAATTTTATTTTATAAGGGCTAGTTCCACTCTTTAGAACAAAGATATTGGACTGAAGATGGAGGTCAATAAAAATTGTAACCTGCTTGTAAAATCACTGCTGCTCTTTGGGGTTTCCAAACATCTTGCTGTAGTACAGGCATTAGAAAGTGCACTGACAACAGTGTTTCTGCTATCTTCATTATATTTTGTTCATTGTATATGCCATAATATTTGCCAAGGTTATTATCGATTTTGAATTTCATGAAATAAGAAGGGAAAAGTAAGTTGGGGTTTGGGGAGTGCAGGGAAAGGGTTTCAACTAAGTCTGTAAGTCAATTGTAGTAATTTTAAAGTAATATCCAAGAGAATCCAAGGAGAAATTGGTAAAGCAGTTGAAATACTCTGGGTAATATTGTGTAGTATAATAATAAAAAAGAAAATAAAATGAAATATTGTTCCATAGAACTTAATTTATGAGATGAAAACTTAAATCCAAGTCAAATGCCTGAAAATATAAAAGCGTAACCAAGACTAGAAAAAAAAGAGTAAGTACTGCAATTTCTCCACAATTAGAAAACCAAGATGATCTATTATTTTTCATTTTCCAGAATTGATAACATGCAGAGATTATGCAGCACTAGCCATTTTTAAAAAACGGATAAGTAGTCCTTTTTGTTTATAAATGAGTTATTTAGTAATTGTGGAGACATAATTTGATATCTAAGGTAAATATGGAGGTCATTGTGTGCTACATTCATTCTTTGTTTCATTTCCCTACTAAATGCCAGTAGGATCTGAATTAGGAAAAATGAGGACCTGAACATTTTACCCCCTTACATAGTCTTGTTATCTCTCTCAAGTTTAATTTGTAAAATATAATCCTAATTTTGGGGGGGAGGGGGTTTTTGTAACTGTGAAATATGGCATACATAGATGTAAAATAATTAGTAAAAAAAATTGGAGAAATGAAAAATAGAAAAATAGAGGGTTTGAGAGGCAAAGTTTCATTGGCAATTTGATTTTGCATAAATCTGGACTCAAGTCCGGTTTATCAGCTAATTGATCTTGGTAAGTTACTTGCCATCTGTAAGCCATAATTTGTCATAATGAACTGGATCATAATATGTTATAAATATAAGATTATATATATTAAGTATTTATTATAGAGCTTTGTGACCAATTTAAATTATTGCTATTTCCATGATTAATATGATCAAAAGTAAAATAGAAAGAGAAAAATATTTTGCACCTCTTTGTATATAGATGCCTGTTTTCAAGTTTGAAAAGACCAGAATCAGACTGGGTGTGGTGACTCACACCTATAATCCCAGCCTTTGGAAGTCTGAAGCAGGAGGATTGCTTGAGCCCAGGAGTTTGAGACCTGCGTGGGCAACAGAGTGAGACTTTCTCTACAAAAATGACAAAAATTTTCTGGGCATGATGGCACATGCCTGTACTTCCAGCTATGTATGACTGAGGTGGGAGGATCGCTTGAGCCCAGGAGTTCGAGACCAGAAGCAGATGCGTTTCCTCGTACTCTTCTCTCTCCTTTGTTCTGCACATTTATCACTTCCCCCATTTCCTGTCAAACTCTTAAACATTATGATAAACAACTCTAAGGGTCATCATAGTTCATTTCTGCTCTTTGAATTACATGTACATCGATTGAGTTGCTGAAATTATATTTCATCGTTTTAATATGCACCTTCTTCTCTATTCTTAAATCCTCAACAAATTTCCAGACCATTGCATCTCTTTGATACTAATCTTGATTTTGCTCAGTTTGAAACACCACAGTGGGAATTGCCTTAGGTCCTCTGCACATGTATTATTCCTGTATTCAAAATTATTCAGAGGTTCGTCGTGTGAAGTCAAAACTCCTCATGAGAACACGAAAGCTCTCAAGGTGTTATATTTAGTTTTCATGTTTTATTTTTATTCTTCCAAGGTCATCTTGGTTAATTAGTTTATTTAGCCTGCTTCCATGGGTGTGGAATCTTAGATTGTTATTCTTCTTTCTTCCCTTAACTACTTCATTTTCTTCTACCCCTTTACATCAATCTTCTGTAATAACCATGCTCATTGCGCCGCCTCTCCAGACTAGATGGAATCTCTTTTTAATGATGAGTCTTTGTAACACTCTTGTCATGAAATCATGCTCAAATTCTTTTTTTAGAAGAATTTCAATCAAAGTTTGCCATCTGGTCAATCTTACGTTGTACAGAGCTGACTAATGTAGTGTAACAAATACAGTAGTGCTTACTAAATATTCCATGTGCTCCCCTAGTTTTCCCAGCATCCCTTGTAATTAGGTTGAAGTTGGATGATGAATTCTGGCTGGGAGTGGAAGTGGGCATGACTTAGGTCTGAGGTGCTTAGAAGCAGGTCCTAGAGGCCATAATTTGGAATGGCAGCATCAGACAGTTGTAATAAGGTCAGTCTGGGTCCCCTAGTGGCCCCCTGACCATCCACCAGAGCTGTACATATAGCTCACTGTGTAAAATGTCTGAGACCTCAGAGTAAATATATTTCTCGAGCATATCCCAGCTTATCTTGACTAATATCTTTGGTTAATTAGGCCCAACAGTAATTAATAGGACAAAGTCAGCAATATAGGCCGCAGTGTGCAACAGCTGACTGTAGACTTGCATTCCTCAAATAGTAAAATTGTTTCTAGAAATGGTGCTTTTTATATCAACAGGGTCAGAGAAAATGTTAATAAAAGTGATGATAATCATACACAGATATTACGTTGCCATGCACAGCATGGCAATAATGAAATGGTGCTATTGATGGCTTTTGGCATTTGCAATTTTAAGGTAAATAAAAATGCATTGGCTAATGTCTGTCTCATCTATTTATTAATACAATAATAAATTGTGTGTAAGTTTTATTTTTTCATACCATAGTTTGGGGTTTTTCACATTGAACCTAAGTTCTGAATAAAAATGTGTGATTTGCAGATGCCACTGTACCATTTTCATCTTTTAGTGTGCTGCCTACTTTTCACTTTAGAAAAAAAAAAAATGAAATCAACTCTCTTTTCTTTGATTCTTCAGGCTTAATTGGAATGGAGCACTCATGCTCAAATTAAGGGGCTTTCACTTAACTATTCTGCTTCATTTAAGAAAAAAAAAAGGCCTTGTTAGCTAAGCTAAGACATGGTATTTGTGAATCCATAACTAGCAAAGCATCCATCACACAGCTGCAAAACACAATAGGTATTTTGGTATAGTTATATCTGTCTTAGGGATCTGCAGTGTGTGAAAAGAAGAGGCAAAAATAGGGCCCGCTAAATAAAAACCAGCCTTTGGCTGACTACACCTTTCCTTCGTTTCTTACCTTTCACACCCACTAATTACCTCCCAGAAATTTGGTCAATGAGAAAAACCCCACCAGATATCCAAAACTACAATCACTTTAAGTAGTTCTGTCCGCCAGATTCACAAAATATACCTGGTTAACATGGAAACATTTATTTACTTAGGAAAGAATATATCTGAAACTGAGAACAATTGTATAATTTTGACCAAGTGTCTAACAGTACATCAGGACAATTTTGTATTGTTTTCTATCCCAGTAGCACATATTTTGGAAAATGCTTAAAGGAAATGCTCTGGTTATGATTTTTAAAGGTAGATATTTGTTGCAAACATGAAGGAGGGACCATTGTAAACCTGGTCAAGCAGTGTGCTGGATTATCTCTGTCTAAGTAAACTCTGTTCTCAAGTAGATGTGTTTATGGTTATTTTATAGTGGAAAGAGCTTCTAGCCTCTTAGAAAGTCATCCTATCCTGATATATAAGTGCCATCCTTGACACCTTGTTCTCCCTCATGCCTCATATGTAATCCAGTCTATCCCCTACACATTTAAAAAATTTATATGCATAAACCCAGCACTTTGGGAGGCCAAGGCAGGTGGATCATTTGAGGTCAGGAGTTCAAGACCAGCCTGGCCAACATGGTGAAATCCTGTCTCTACTAAAAATATGAAAATTAGCCGGGCATGGTGGCATGGGCCTGTAATCCCAGCACTTTGAGTGGCAGAGATGGGTGGATCATCTGAGGTCAGAAGTTCGAGACCAGCCTGGCCAACATTGTAAAACCCTGTCTCTACTAAAAATACAAAAATTAGCTGGGCAGCAGTGGCACGCACCTCTAATCCCAGCTACTTGGGAGGCTGAGGCAGGAGCATCGCTTGAGCCTGGGAGGTGGAGGTTGCATTGAGTCGAGACTGGACCACAGTACTACAGTCTGGATGACAGAGTGAGACTCTTTCTCATAATAATAATAATAATAATAATAATAATAATAATAATAAATAAAATTTATACACATCTTTCCACCATATTCATCAGTTCATCTCACCTGGATGCTGGCAACAGCTCCTTGACTGATAAAAAGCATTCTGACTTGCCTCTGATCCAGTCTCCAAATTGCAATCAAGCAAGTATCATTGCACCACAACACACTTAAAACCTCACAATGGCTTTTGATTCCTTTTAAAATAAAGTAAAAATGCCTTTAATGAGCCTAAAACACAGTCTAACCCCTATACATATCTAACATTGTCTCTACTCAAGTCTTGCTCTCACTCTTCACTCCAGCCAAATTGGCCATGTTATATTATCTTTTGTCCTCTCCATACTTCTTTATATCACAGAGCCTTTGTACATGCTGTTACCTCTGTCTGGAGTTCTAGCTTCTTTTGCCACTCCTACACCCCTAAACAACCACAATGTTCACATACCTCATTTAATTAATTCTCACTCATGCTTGAGAACCCAGTTTAGTCATTTCTTTCTCATTGAACATACTGCAAACTATGTTTCTTGTATGCCACTAATTACAGTTGCAATTTTACACTTCTTGTTATGAATAATTGATTAATGAGTATCTCTAAACTCTATATTACATAAGGGTAGATCCTCCTTACTTTTTCATTTAATAATTGCACATAGCAGGTATTCAATAAATTCATGTTGAATGAGTTAATGAGTTAATCTTTAGAAATAAGGCTCAGCTTGCTTATCTGCAAACCTCTCAAGTCTGTTATAGGAATAAATGAAATATTGTTCATAAAGTACTTACCACTGTTCTTCTCAATAAACTCTAGTTATGATACAAATAAAAATAAGATGACCACTTATAATTTCCTCCCTTTTTAAATAGCAGCAGAGAGTCACTCTATAGAGACAATGATTGTTTTCTCTTTTTTTTGTTGAAGTTTTAGTGAGCTAATAAGTAACTCCCTACTATCCGACAGAATTCTGAGGTAGACAGAGAGAAAAGGCAGGTGGAAATAAAATGATCAGCGTTATTACTGATAAAACAGATACAGGAGAATGTAGCTAAAGTTTAAGGCAATGACACAGCTCCTAAAGCCAGCCTCAGAAAGAGGCTGACATCCCAACTAGACAACTGCAGGCCTCCCTGCGTCTGCAGGGGCAGGGCCTCATCAGCAAGCTTACTGTGTGGCACCAAGCCGACCAGAGAACATGCTTTCTGCAAACAGACAGATCACAAAACATGGGGAAGTGACTGAGCCACATGTATCAAGTTTCCTCATCCAACTTTACCAGTCACATAAATCATTCCTCTTTCCATGGAGATGAGTAAATGAGAAAGTTGGGAGAAAGGAAAAAATTATGACTTTAATGGAAATCCTTCCACATAAAAAGAGACATCAGGAATGGGGACTAAGTATTACATTTCTTACCTTAATGTATTATATTAGATACAGTGTTGTGCACTTTCTTAGAGTCCCTCAGCTGTCTTTATCTTTTAAAAAATTGTTTCACTGGAACAGAGTTGGCTTTCACCCTTCAGACTTGAATAAAAGCAGTGACTCAGACATTTGTAAGACCTAGAGCCCTGAGGGTTAAGCCTTGGCTATTGGAAAACAAGAATTGGGCGGGAAACAGGTGGGTATCTCCTTCCTTTCTCCCATGTGTGAACTGCTCTTGGGTGTAGTTTTTCCTTGTCAGCTCTGTGAAGAAGTCTTGCATGATGAAGAAATAATACATGTTGAGTGACTGCTGTGGTCTTCACAGCTCCTTGACAAACGATGGCCATAGTGATGCATCAAATCACGTTGCTATGGCATTTTCCTTGCTTCATTTTCCCATTTTTTTCTTCATCCTCAACACTTTCAGTCAGCACTTTCCAAACCCAATATCAGCACTTGGAATACTTGCCCCTGACTTTACTATCTGGAAGAACTATCATAAAACATACATGTTACTTGAAATGAAATTTTATACTGGAGTTCTTTATTTTACAAAAACATTATGGGTGTATAATAGTAATATATATTTATGGAGGACATGTGATGTTTTGATACAGGCATATAATATGTAGTAATCAAATCAGAATAATTGGGGTATCCATCACCCCAAGACTATATTATTTATTTGTGTTAGGAACATTCTGATTCCACTCTTTTACTTATTTTTAAATATATTTTTACCAGAGGCTGGGAAGGAACTCTTAGAGGGAGGTATGAAGTAGGGATGGTCAATGGGTACAGAAATACAGTTAGAGAGAATGAATAAGATCTAGTATTAGTAGCACAATAGGGTGACTATCACTAGAGTTCTTTTTTAAAGTCTTTGTATATACGTGAGAGATTGCCAGTTGTTTTCCCCATTATCTATTCTCCCCTTCCTCTGTATTAATAGGACATTAGCTGAGATCATTTCCCAGGCTCCTTTTAAATTAGTTGTGGCCAATGGAATGTGAACAAAAAAAAATGATATTTAGAACTATAGATTCCTATACTTTAAAATGAGTGTAGATTTGTATACCTCCCCTTTCCTCTTGCTCTCCCCCCATCAGCTAGAATTTTAATATGATGCCTGAGCTGGATAAGCCCTCTTAGATAAGAAGGTAGGAGCCCAGTATGAAGGATCTTAGAACCAGAATGAAGGAACCTGGGTCCCAACTCCATGGAGTGAACTGTCAGTGAGACATAGACTGTTAACACACAGACTGCTAAGTGAAAGAAAGAAACTTTACTTAGTTTAAATCAATCATTTTGACCACATTAGAGCAGCCTAACTCATAGCTAGTCCCAGATGTATACATTATAATTCTTTTAAAATTGTTTATTAGAGACAAACCATGCTGCTGCTGCTTACCCTCTTCCTCCTCCTCCTCTTCCCCCCTCCTTCTCCTCCTCCTCCTTTTTCCTCCTCCTACTCCTTTTTCTTCTTCTATTTATTTCTTTCTTATTTCTTCTTCCTCTTTCTCTTCCCCTTCTCCTTCTTCTTCTTTTCTTTCTTCTTTTTTTTTTGAGATGGAGTCTCGCTCTGTCCCCCAGGCTGGAGTGCAGTGGCGCGATCTCAGCTCACTGCAAGCTCCTCCTCTCGGGTTCACGCCATTCTCCTGCCTGGGCCTCCCCAGTAGGTGGGACTACAGGTGCCTGCCACCACACCCAGCTAATTTTGTTTTTGTATTTTTAGTAGAGATGGGGTTTCACCATGTTAGTCTGGATGGCCTTGATCTCCTGACCTCGTGATCTGCCCGCCTCGGCCTCCCAAAGTGCTGGGATTACAGGTGTGAGGCAACGCACCTGGCCTCTTTCTTTTTTCTTCTTCCTCTTTCTTCTCCTCCTCTTTTTCCTCCTCCTCCTCCTTCTTTATAATTCTAACCCATGGAGCTGAATATAAGCATTCAGAAGATGGTGAAGCAAAGTTCTTTCACAGACAACATTTCCAAGAAACTTGCTCAAAGCTCTTGCTCACAGGAATGTTAGCAGTCACCAGAAACTGGAAGAGACAGGGAAAAAATTATCCCCCAATGTCTTCAGAGGGAGCGTGGCCCTGTGGACACTTTGATTTCTACCCAGTAATGCTGATTTTAGACTTCCAGCCTCCACAGTTATGTAACAGTAAACCTCTGTTGTCTTTAAAGCAATAAAAAAAAGTTCTCACTCAAGAAATATTTCTAAGCCAGTTCATATGCTGCAGAGAAAAGGCTGAGTGAGCTGACTGGCAATAGGACATGGACCAGGCTTGATGAGATCCTTCTGATTGTAATAATTAAGGCTGTAAGCTGTGAAGATGAAGTGGTGTTTTCATTGTGGAGAAAAACATGGTCATGGTTTCCATAGTATGGGTACAACTGAAAGGGTAAGAAGAACAAATCGAGGAAAAGGAAAATCTCATCCACTAGGATGAAGCAATTTGCTCATGACCTACATACGGAACATGCAGGATTTGTAGGGAGTAATCAGAAAAGCATTTTTCATTTTCTCTATCAGTAACCCTTTAAATGTCCTCGGTGTGGGTTGTCCTCCCAAGATAGAAACTTGAGCAATCTTATAAGTTTTCCAGTAATATCCAGGTAATAAAAAGCCCTGTTGTCTGAGAACACATGGACATAGGAAGGGGAACAATACACAATGGGGTATGTCTTGGATTGGGGACCGGGGGGAAGGAAAAGCATCAGGACAAGCTAATGGATGTGGAGCTTAATACCTAGGTGATGGATTGATACGTGCGGCAAACCACCATGGCACACATTTACCTATGTAACAAGCCTGCACATACTGCACATGTATCCCACAACTTAAAATGAAAAAAAAAATTGTTTTAAAAGCCCTATTGTCTTTTTAAGTACAGTCTCAATTTAATAATTACAAAGTGTCTAGCCTGATACTTTAACCAACATTTTAATTTTAATCCCCCTCTCCCCGAGCTGGGACAGACTAAGGTAGGCTGCTGACCTTCTCATTGATTCTCTCACCTCAGCCTCTCTCACTAGCTGTTCTCTCCTCCAACATGGGTATGGAGTTGGAGCAGGAAAATACTTTACTAGTGAGACATGACAAAGATTCCTTGCTTGACCAAACTTTAGTCAGGCTCATGATTAAAACTTCTCGTAGGTCCATCTGTGCACTTTTTTGTAAAATCCACTTTTAGCAAGAACCCTGCTAAGTCATTTTAGCCAGAACCTTCTACCCTCCATATCTTATCACCCTAGAGATCTAGTCAGGTTCATCCCCCTCCACTATCCCCCAGGTGATATCTGATCACCCTGGCCTATCTTCTGCAAGAATCCTGTTACGTTAGTTTAGCCAGAATCCTCACTACCCCTAATGTTTCCTCTTAGAAATTTTCCATCCACTGACCCCTATCCTGTCCTCTGGCTGTAAATTCCCACTTGCCCAGTAGAATTGAGCACAGCTTTATACTGAGATCTCTGTTCCCATATTACAGTAATCCTGAATAAAATCTGTTTTTATCACTTTAACTACTATTTTTTCTTTGACAGAATTACCTTCCTAAATGACTTCATAATCTCTAAACTTGGCTGATATGTAATGTTCTCTCTCTCATGGAAACTTTTGTAATTCAACTGGAGGCTACCGTGGTGCCCTTCCCAATTGTGGCTCTATTAAGATGGCCAGTGCTTTTCCTATGGTGAGCTGTCCCCAGTCCACCTTTAGCAACTATTTCTGATAATACACATCACAGCTTATTACTTCTGGTGTCACTGTGTCCTGGAAAGCAACTTTCTAAGGTAGGCGCCCTTTTAATACAATTGAGGGTAAGTTTTCAGGATTTACCCTAGTACAGACAATAAATGTTTCTCCTCATCATCTTACTCTAGGATGAACTATTTCAAAAGAAATGTAATAAGTTCAGTAGTTTTTTGTTGATAAGTGAATGAATAAAAAGCTTGTTCTGCTATAATATAATCTTCCTGAACTCTGACCTTCTATTATATAATTTCTTTTTTAATCCATAAATCTAGTAATCTTTCTCCTGGTCCATTAATAAGACAATCAAACATCAACCAATTATCAAGTATATGTTCAGCATGGGCTATTTAGTATCATTTTCTAGATGTTTTAAAAAAACATAGAAGATGCAGGCTGGGCACAGTGGCTCAAGCATGTAATCTCAGCACTTTGGGAGGCAGAGGTGGGCAGATCACAAGGTCAAGAGTTCAAGACCATCCTGGCCAACATGGTGAAACCCTGTCTCTACTCAAAATACAAAAATTAGCTGGGCTTGGTGGTGTGTGCCTGTAGTCGCATCTACTCAGGAGGCTGGGGCCGGAGAATTGCTTTAACCTAGGAAGCAGAGGTTGCAGTGAGCCGAGAGTTGCGCCACTCCACTCCAGCCTGGAGACAGGGCAAGACTCTCTGTCAAAAAAAAAACATAGAAGATGCTTATATAGTGGATTACTGGCATAATTAATTTAAAATTTAGTTTGGCAACAAAGACTAACCAGAAAAGACAAATTAAGAACAACATTGTGTACAAAAGGTGTGGAATTCACTGTATACACAATAATCCTCAAAAGACACAAGGGAGCTGCTATTTTTCTTCAAGAACCCTAATTTTATCTTTTATCAGTTGACTTGCTCTCTTGCTCATACTCCTAAGTGTATAGTTATTTGTTAATTATACAGCATTCAGGTATGAAGACAGAATCAAAGAGTAAGAGAAAGACAAAGGAGAAAAAGAAAAGGAAGAAGAAGGAGGATTACAAGAAATAAGGGAAGAGGAAGGAGGAGTACATTAGGGAAAACTATTTATTGCCTGTCAAAACCTAAGTGCAGAATATGTGTGTGTGTCCATTCTCATGCTGCTACAAAGAACTGCCCAAGACTGGGCAATTTATAAAGGAAACAGGTTTAATTGGTTCCACTCTGCAAGGCTCGAGAGGCCTCAGGAAACTTACAGTCATGACAGAAGGGGAAGTAAATACCTTCTTCACATGATAGCAGGAAGGAGAAGAATGGGTGCCCAGTGAAGGGGGAGCCCCTTATAAAACCATAAGATCTTGTGAGAACTAACTCACTATCATGAGAAAAGGATAGAATCCCCCCTATCACCGCATGATTCAATTATCTCCACCTGGTCCCTCCCATGACACATGGGGATTATGAGAACTACAATTCAAGATGAGATTTGGGTGGGGACACAGCCAAACCATATAATTCTGCCCCTGGCCCCTTCCAAATCTCATATCTTCACAATTCAAAACACAATCATGCCTTCCCAACAGTCCCCCAAAGTCTTAACTCATTCCAGCATTAACCCAAAAGTCCAAGTCCAAAGTCTCCCCTGAGACAAGGCAAGTCCCTTCTGCCTATGAGCCTGTACAATCAAAAGCAGGTTAGTTACTTCCTAGATACAACGGGGGTACAGGCATTGGGTAAATGCACCCATTCCAAATGGGAGAAATTGGCCAAAATGAAGGGGTTACAGAACCTGTTTGTGTCTGAAATCCAATAAGGCAGTCATCAAACCTTAAAGTTACCAAATGGTCTCCTTTGATTCAATTTCTCATATCCAGGTCACACTGATGCAAGAGGTAGGCTCTCTGTGGCTTTTCAGGGTACAGCTCCCTTTCCAGCTGCCTTACAGGCTGGCATTGAGTGTCTGTGGCTTTTCTAGGTGCACGGTGTAAGCTGTTGGTGGATCTACCATTCTAGGGTCTGGAAGATGGTGGCCCTTTTCTCACAGCTCCACGAGACAGTGCCCCAGTGAAGACTGTGTGGGGACTCCAACCCCACACTTCCCTTCCCCACTGTGCTATCAGAGGTTCTCCATGAATGCTCTGCCCTGCAGCAAACTTCTGTCTGGACATCCAGGCATTTCCATACATCTCTGTAATCTAGGTGGAGGTTCCCAAACCTCAATTCTTGACTTCTGTGAACCTGCAGGCCCAAGGCCACATACAAACCACCAAGGCTTGGGGCTTGCATGCTCTGAAGTAATGACCTGATCTGTATGCTGGCCCCTTTTAGACATGGCTGGAGCTGAAGCATCTGGGATGCAGCCCATGAAACCATTTTTCCCTCCTAGGCCTTCAGGTCTCTGATGGGATGGGATGGCTGTGATGGTCTTTGACATGCCCTGGAGACATTTTCCACATTGTCTTGGTGATTAACATTCAGCTGTTTGTTACTTATGCAAATTTCTGCAGCAGGCTTGAATTTCTCCCCAGAAAATGGGTTTTTCTTTTCTATTGCTTCCTCAGTCTGCAAATTTTTCAGACTTTTATGCTTTTTCCTCTTGAACTCTTTGCCACTTAGAAATGTATTCTGCCATATGCCCTAAATCATCTCTCTCGAGTTCAAAATTTCACAGATCTCTAGGGCAGGGGCAAAATGCTCTCACTGCATAGCAAGAGTGACCTTTACTCCAGTTCCCAACAAGTTCTTTATCTCCATCTGAGACCACCTCAGCCTGGACTTCATTGTCCACATCATTATCAGCATTTTAGCCAAAGCCATTGAAGAAGTCTCTAGGAAGTTCCAAACCTTTCCACATATTCCTATCTTCTGATCCCTCCAAGACTCTCAGAAGTTCCAAACTTTCCCACATTTTCCTGTCTTCTTCTGAGCCCTCCAAACTGCTCCAACCTCTACCTGTTACCCAGTTCCAAAGTTGCTTGCACATTTTTCAGTATCCTTTATCAGCACCCCACTCTACCAGTACCAATTTACTGTCCTATTTCATTCTCATGCTGCTAATAAAGACATACCCAAGACTGCGTAGTTTATAAAGAAAAGAGGTTTAATTCACTCACATTTCTACAGGGCTGGGGAGGCCTCAAGAAACTTACAATCATGGTGGGAGAGGAAGTCAACACATCCTTATACACATGGCGGCAGGGAGAAGATTGAGAGCCGAGAGAAGGTGGAAGCCCCTTAGAAAACCATCAGATCTCATGAGAACTAGCTCATGAGAACAGGTTGGGAGAAACCACCCCCATGATTCAATTCTCTCCACCTGGTCCCTCCCACGACATGTGGGGATTATGGGAACTATAATTAAATATGAGATTTGGGTGGGGACACAGCCAAACCATATCAGTGTGTGTAAATTAAAGTCTCCAAAATAAGAATAAAGTGTTGTTTCAAGTTTCCACCATCTATAAGCATGGGATGAGATGCATTTTTAAGAACTTTCAAGTGAAGATCGTGAAGAGTAATTAATGTCCAAAATACATTCCCCAATCTCTGATTTTCTGTAATGATGATAAGAACATTATGGAAAATATTTTGTATAATTTTCTTTTGTTTTCCATAGAAACAGTAGTCCTTTTTGCCAACTGAGGCTCTGGTAACTGATTTCTTTCCACTAGCTGGGGCCAGAGGAAAGGTGACAGCGATCACCTCTCTGTCCATGTTCACTGACCTTTTTCTTCTGTATTCCTTATGTCTGCTATCACATCTCATGTAGGTTAAAGATTAGGCCTCCTCTGGAGTTTGGGTATTCATGAAGCCTACAAACATTTTAAAAAATGGTTAAGGGACATAGTGAAGAAACTTCTCAAAATTCCATTTTAAGGAAAGCATCATTTGTATAAACCACTTTGTTCTCGTACATTTAAGATTATTGTTTCTGAATTATTATATTCTACATATAAACATAATATGACTGCATGCTCCATGTCAAGGAATTTGGCGTGGCACTAAAGTAACTCACATGTCCAACTTTAACATCGGGATGTGCCTAGGGATGTGTTTAGTGCAGTGAGCAACCTATGACTCTCTTTTTTTCTTGAAATAACTATAGGAAGCTTTGAAAATGTGGCTCAGTGCAAAGAATAAATATTTTCTAAGAAATTTCCTGGTGAATAATGTTATTTATTATCTAGTTCTACAAGTTATATTACGGTGATTTCATAAGCCATTCTTTTAATTCTTACTGAGCAGGGAGTGGTTCAACTTTTACATTAAAATTTTCATGGTCAGCACTTCCTCACCTCCCTTTTTCCACTCTAAATCAAAGACAGGCAAGAGTTTTCCAAATCTTCTTTAAATTGCGATACAATGCAACTTTTAAAAACTTTCATTTATCTTTAATAATGTCACTTCCATTTTCTAGAAGTGTTGTGTCACCCAGGGTTACACAGCAATTAGTGGTAAAGTAAAAAGAAATCTGGAGTTCCTAAATATTTCCCTTCTTTAAGCAATTTCTTTTTCCAGAAAAAGAATGCCATGTAAAGTAGGAAACTTCTCTAATCAAATTGTTGAGAGAAGAAAAGGCGGAGAAAACAATTGAAAGATAGTGCTTAAATTTGGATATTCATTTTCTTTTGAATTTCATGCTGAGGGCTTTGAAGAGTTGGTTTGGCCTGTATATGTGGAGGTTTAATGAAAGCACACGCCCCAGTGGAACCCCAGTTCTCCAACACTAGGGAGATTTTTGGAAGAAAGGCATAAGAACGGAGGGTATTAAAATGCAGGTGAATGTGGGTAGAGCAGAAACCATTAATGAGATTTCACCTTCCTAGGACTTAAAGGCAACAAGCTCCTACTTTATTTCAAGCTATTCTTACTGTAAGCCATGTTAAAAACCAAGAATATTCTGCTAACAGCTCCTGGTGGTGTTTCAAAGAGGGAGGAAGTGACATTACATGATTGAGCAATCTCCCATGACTTCTTCCTTCTGATTTGTTGGGGAAGCATGAAAATGCATAGCGGTAGCATTTTCTTGTGTTGGACAGGGCTTAAAAAACTTCTCCTTTGTATGCTGGTTTCTATAACTTCCACATGAAAATGTTACTGTACCCATCTTTTTCTTCATCATATACATATGCACAGTGATATGGTTTGGCTATTTCCCCACCCAAATCTCATCTTGAATTCCCACCTGTTGTGGCAGAAACCCAGTGGGAAGTAATTGAATCATGGTGCAAGTCTTTCCTGTGCTGTTCTTGTGATAGTGAATAAGTCTCATGAGATCTGATGGTTTTAAAAAGAGGAGTTCCCTTGCAATAGTTTGCTGAGAATGATGGTTTCCAGCTTTATCCATGTCCCTACAAAGGACATGAACTCATCATTTTTTATGGCTGCATAGTATTCCATGGTGTATATGTGCCACATTTTCTTAATCCAGTCTATCATTGTTGGACATTTGGCTTGGTTCCAAGTCTTTGCTATTGTGAATAGTGCCACAATAAACATACATGTGCATGTGTCTTTATAGCAGCATGATTTATAATCCTTTGGGTATATACCCAGTAATGGGATGGCTGGATCAAATGGTATTTCTACTTTTAGATCCCTGAGGAATTGCCACACTGATTTCCACAATGGTTGAACTAGTTTACAGTCCCACCAGCAGTGTAAAAGTGTTCCTATTTCTCCACATCCTCTCCAGCACCTGTTGTTTCCTGACTTTTTAATGATCACCATTATAACTGGTGTG
Organism: Homo sapiens; assembly: GCF_000001405.40. Classification (NCBI taxonomy): domain Eukaryota; kingdom Metazoa; phylum Chordata; class Mammalia; order Primates; family Hominidae; genus Homo; species Homo sapiens. Next base: position 98,365,504 of record NC_000001.11, read on the forward strand.
AGATGGTATCTCATTGTGGTTTTGATTTGCATTTCTCTGATGGCCAGTGATGATGAGCATTTTTTCATGTGTCTTTTGGCTGCATAAATGTCTTCTTTTGAGAAGTGTCTGTTAAAAAACCAAACACCACATGTTCTCACTCATAGGTGGGAATTGAACAATGAGAACACATGGACACAGGAAGGGGAACATCACACACCGGGGCCTGTTGTGGGGTGGGGGGAGGGAGGAGAGATAGCATTAGGAGATATACCTAATGTTAAATGACGAGTTAATGGGTACAGCACACCAACATGGCACATGTATACGTATGTAACAAACCTGCAGGTTGTGCGCATGTACATTAAAACTTAAAGTATAATAAAAAAAAAGAGGAATTCCCCTGCATAAGTTCTCTCTCTTTGCCTGCTGCCCATCATGTAAGATGTGAATTGCTCCTCTTTGCTTCCACCACGATCGTGAGGCTTCCACAGCCACATAGAGCTGTAAGTCCAATTAAGCCTCTTTCTTTTGCAAATTGCCCAGTCTTGGGTATGTCTTTATCAGCAGCATGAAAATAAACTAATACACACATGGACACACATATACACACACACACACACACACACACACACACACACACAATTTCCCTGAGAGTACAGTAAATGCTTCTTGGCAACTTCTTACCACAAACTTGGACCTGTCAGTTGATTTCTCTGCTTGTAACAGGAGCAACTCATTTTGGCTAACTTATGAGAAAGGGAGTATTTTTTAGGGATACTGGAAGCTCATAGAATCTATAGGAAGGCTAGAAATCCCAGGTGTGGGATTATTATGAGATCCTTGGGGTGTCTCCTCGCCAGGAGGAAACCTCTGTGGCTGGCGTTGCCTTCCACCTGAGTATTGCTCATGACCATTGGACTCATTCTGCCCACTCAGCCTGGCAGGCTGCACTCAGCTCACACTACTGGCCTGGATCCCACACCTGCCAAGAGAGAACCAGGCATGGAGCAGTAAGGGGTGTGTGGGTAAGTGAGCACAGGGTCTCGCCACTGTGCACAGCCAGGCACACCAGCTGCTGTGGCAGGGCAGGCAGCTCCAGGTGCAGGTACAGGTGCCGGCTTTATGCAAGCCTGAAGCTGGACCAGATGTACCACACACAGCTTCCACTGAGGGCACCTGTGTGTGGATGAGGGGAACACAGTTGGACCTGGAAGCTTGGAGATGTGGCCTGGGATTCCTGAAGGGTCACAGCTCTTCTCTCCTTCTCGTGGCCCATGATGTAGCAAGGAGAAGGGAGGCACATTTCAGCTCTGTCTGTGTTACAGCTCTTTCAGTCCAGCCATTTGGCAGGTCCAGAGTTCTTTTCTCGTGTCTAGAAAGAATGAGATATGTGAACAACTGGAGGGAAAGTAAGATGGAGAGGAGCTTCATTGAGCAATAGAACAGCCCTCAGGAGATCTGCAGTGGGTAGCTCCTCTCTGCAGGCACATAGTCCCAACGTCCACTCAAGTCTGGCTGAGTCCAGGCTTTTTATGTGCTCACAAGGGAAGAAGTGCATGCTGATTGGTCTGGGTGGCTGTGGGCAGGACAAGAAAAAGCACAGTAAGTTCTTACCCAAGGCCACAGACTCCATCCAGAACTGGCAGCCTGGCCCCCAGGCTTCAGGCTGTAACTGTGGCATGAAGGTGGGGCATCATGCTCCCCTTTCCACCCAGGAGCCTGTCTGTCACCTGCTGTCATCAACATGCCATCCACAGCACCTGCCCTGCCAAGGGACATCTACAGGCCGATGCTGAGCCGACCTCAGCCTCGCACCAGCCTCCCTCCTGTGTTTGTCTGTGTTCAAAGTCTGGAGGGGGCTGTGGTGGCAGGGCCTGGCATGTTAGCACTGCCCCAAGTGCATACACACCTGACCAGGTTCCAACAGTATTCAGGCTCAGCCACGACTTTGCTCTGCCTCAGAGCAGGCCCTGGGAGTGGGGCAAGGCCAGGGAGCAGGAGCCAGTACTTCCAAGCCTGTGGGGGAAGGGAGGCTTCCAGAGCCCTGAGAGCACAGGGATGCCCAGGTCCAGAGCTGTGGCTGGGAGGCTGCAGCTGTGCCCAGGGGCATGGGGCTCCTGGTGGTGCCCCTGTCAACTTGGTAGGGAGTGGGGCTCCCACGTGTTCCCCAACCCCACTGCCTCCACAAAGTACGCAGCCCTGGCCACTCCTCCCCCACTGCAGCCAGTGTCTTTGCAGCAGCTACTCCAGACGGGTGGCTGCTGCCATCAGGAGTGTACTGCAGGCATGGAGGTGTTTCCATGGTCTGTGAATCTGAGACTGTGGGAATGGGTTGCAAGGCCTGCTGATGGGGTGTGAGATGAATGGACCCTACTATCATTTCTATTTATGTGTCATGTACTCATGATTCACATTCTAAGCCAGAACTAGTGATTGGCCTAGGCTCGGTCAAGTGCCTCCTTCTAGGTTAAGACATGGCTGGACAGGACATCTGATTTTAGCCACACTGGAATCTGTCCAAAGGAAAGAAATGTTATTCCCCAGCAAAGAAATGGAAGTGCTAATTGGAAGGGAAAAAGTAAGCTAGGAAACCAAACATCAATGAAGTTTCAGCACACCAGACTGAGAAGGAAGAAGAGCGCAGAAGAGCAGGGCCCAAATCACCATAGGGTCAATGCAGCCATTCCTGTTGCCAGAGCTAGCACTCTCAATGGGGTGCTTGTGATTTGTACGGACACCTCTGATTTGTGACCATTGGGAACCAGTAAGCTTCTTGTTCCATTGCTCCAAGTCCTTTTGCCCAGCAATCTGCTGGGTTCTGTGGAATCTTCATTAGCTATCACCTTACAGAAAAGATCCTTAGGGTGCAGATGAGGCTGTGAAACCAGATCGTATGATAATTTTTGCCTTCTAAACTTTCTCTTGAACCGATGAGGACAACTGGGCTCCTCACGGCTTAAATATTCTGAAACCCTAGTATTAAAAATTGTAGGTAATGGCAAAATGCTCTGAAGCTTTCATTGAGGTATGTTTATGAGAAAGAATAATGTGCTTTTCATGTGAAAGCACAGTGATTTGAAGAAGGAAAAGGAATATAACCCGCAAAGCTTTAAAACTGAAACAGAGACTCTCTCAGCAATGTTTGTATAATTCATGTTGCAGGCATTTTGAGCTGCCTAATTGAACCATTTCAAAATGTCACGTAATCAATGATTTCTGAGTTGTGCAGAGATACAGAACATGCATACACATTTGGCAAAACTCGTCAAATTCTTAACCTATATTTCTGGAGGAAAAATAGGATTTCTGTATTGGAACTTTAAACTTTATCTCTTCCACATTCCCCTTTGTGAAATTTACTTTCTGATGAGGAGGATTATAGATTAATGTTTTCAATCCCTGTCTCACTTGAGACTTCGGAACTATATGTCTCTTGCTCTTTGTGGTGATTGTTGTGGCAATCTTCTCCTCAGCCTCATCTTCTCTTTAAGTCACATCATACTTCTTCCAAGCCAGTCAAAAATTGCCTTTCTATTTGAGCCTCTATCTTCCTGCTTTTTCTGCTTCCCCATTCCCGGAATCTATCTGAAGTTGCCTTCTTAAGTGGAATTCTTCACTGCTGATTGAGAAACAGCTTATCCTGGAAATTGTGAAGGTGATATACACTTTCTTACTGAAGTCCCACACTTAAACTCCTAGAAGCTAGAAATGCCAGAAAATGCTTACGGTCTGACAGAGAGGAAGGAGTTAATTATTGGCCAGGGCTGGACCTAGCCACATCTCATTAAAATGTCTGGTAATACGTTCAGAGCATCAAGGAGGAAATGAAAAGAAAACATCAGAAGGCTAAAGATGAAAGGAGAGCAATACAATAATAGGAGAGGGCTTCTAATTTCTCAACTGTTTTAAATTTTTCTTTAAAGAACCGACTTCTCTTCTGGTTTTAAGCCTTCTTTGTTGCAAAGCTATTAGTGTGCTGAGCCACAGTCACTCAGTGACAACAGCAATCAGAGTAGTATCGAGAAACATGATGCCAAATTGGATCTTGGCACATTGGTATCTTATTTCTCAAGCTTTGGACAAAGAACTGATATGACTTCAAAGGGGATAAACAGGAAGGTGCAAACTGGCTAGAATATATGTATATATATACATATGCTCACCACACAGTTATAAAATGAGGAGGGTACAGACAACCTCTAGCTTCCTGTTTTAGAAACTTGGTCTTTCTAGGTTTCTACTAGTTCTATGAATATACAGACTATTACATGGAGAGAAGGGATAGAAAACATATCACAATACAGAAAGAACATGCAGAAACCCATGCAGATGAAAGGCAGGAAGATCTTCAGGAAATAGCAAATTTTCCAGGTTGATTGCAACATAGAAGACTTAAAGGGGACTGTGGGAGAAAGTGAAAGATAATGCATAGAAGAAAAAAATAGAATCTACAAAAGAATAAAAGATCAAGAAATATAAGGGAAAAGTTTTTACCACCCTACTCCATGATACTGCGCTGAAGAATGAAATACACAATATACATGTACACGTGCACATACATATACAGATATCATTAGACTCTCACTAGATATATTCATATGAAGCACTTTAATAAATGAGGCACACTTGGCTGGGCACGGTGGCTCACGCTTGTAATCCCAGCACTTTGGGAGGCTGAGGTGAGTGGATCATGAGGTCAAGACATCGAGACCATCCTGGCCTACATGGTGAAACTCTGTCTCTACTGAAAAAATACAAAACTTAGCTTAGCTGGATGTGGTGGTGTGTGCCTGTAATCCCATCTACTCAGGAGGCTGAGGCAGGAAAATCGCTTGAACCAGGGTGTTGGAGGTTGCAGTGAGCCGAGATTACACCATTGCACTCCAGCCTGGCAACAGAGCAAGACTCCATCTCAGGAAAAAAAAAAAAAAAAAAAGGAGACACACTCTATCTAAATATAAGGTAGTATTAGAATTATTAGATAATTAGGCAACAGTGATCCATCAGAAGTTTCTTTTAAATAGGAGATGTAATGAAAGAGGGTGGGGCAATAATATTTAAATAGAAGTAGATGAATGTCATAAGATATATAAAGAGGATAGAGTTTTAATCTAGATCATGGCAAACTCTAGCCTACCAGTTAAATTCAGCCCACTGCCTATTTTTGTAAATAAATTGTTATTGCAACATGATCATGGCCATTTGTTTAGAAATTGTCTATGGCTGCTTCCACACTACAGTCTCAGAGTCAAATAGTTGCAAAAGAGACCATATGACCTGCAAAGTGTAAAATATTTACTATCTTGCCCTTTACAAAAAGTTTGCCCATCCCTGCTCTAGATGATCAGAATAATAAAATTAGGGAACACTTACTAATCACTCACCATGTGCCAGGCACTGTTTTAACATGTTACATAGCTAAGTACCTTAGGAAGGTAGGTACCATTATTGTAGCCATTCAACAAAAGGGCTCAGAAATTTGGCAAGCTTAGATGATTAATGGCATAATTCAGGATTTTGAAAATTAGTAAATAAAAATACAGGACACGCAGTTAAATTTGGATTTCAATAAACAATGAGTAATTTCTTAATATAAGTATGTCCCCTGCAATTTAGTGGAGCAATACAATAATTAGAGAGTACTTTTAATTTCTCTGCAATTTGGGGGCATACTTATACTAAAAATTATTTATTCTTTATCTAAAATTCAAATTTAACTGGACATCCTGTATTTGCATTAACTAGGCATCCAACAGACTCCAGAGTTGACTCTTAATAAGTTCTATAGTTTCTCTGCCTTAGAAGGGTAATGGAGATATTTGAATAGGAATGGGGAGTCTCACAGAGGAATGAGATGGACACAGGAAGTGTTTTCTGGCTAGTGAGTGATAGAGTTGGCTTTCTTCCTAGAGGCACCTTAAAGATTTAGCTTGGTTTTGAGTTGAGAAAGTTAAATAAGCTCTGAATTGGTTTCTGTGTGGTATTGTCCAAATTTAGGATCTGGTGCTCAGAGAGTAATTAAGACTAGGGACATAGATTAAGAATCACCTGAATGCAAGTGGCAATGAAAGTTGGATATAAATGCCAATTCTGAGGAATTCAGGGTAGGTGTTAACTTAAATCAGACCTAAAATATCCTTCCAGACGGGGCTAACCTGCTAGTATTCGGCAGAGCTTTCAAAATCCATTCCATTTCCATAGTGAAAACCCAGCCAGAATTGCACAATAATTTCTCATCAATACTTAAGAAAAAACCAATAGAAAGGAGACGCTCAGCTCAGATTTGTAGGCCTGACTATGCTGAAAAAGTAAAATTTCTGACTAGGAAAGTAAGCTCCACATATCCTTTCTGTTCTTGGAAATAGGGCCACAGATGTGGGAAACAGCATATTGAAAAGTGCAGTCCATCAAGAGCAATAAAATTCAGCACAGGCAACAGCTCAGAGTTTACTTAGGGGTGTGGCATGTTGCTGTTGGATCTATAAGCCTGCTCTAATGGATTATTTTGCACAAAGCAGCTTGAACAAGGCAAGTGCTAGATATTGTTTTGCAATTGTTACAGGCAATAGTCCATGAGTCCAATTATATACAGGCAGTGCCCCAGACACTGATTTTGCTAATTGCTATCCCTCAGACTTGGAATTCACTTTTATCCCAGTTGCATATTTTTTCAATGAAAGGATGTGATTTCTATCCTAATGGAAGAGATTGAAATGCTGGCTGCTTCATGACATAATTGGTTACATTACGAGCTAGTTGTTGACTTTGCAAATCTAGCAAATATAAATGAAAAAGTGTAACACCTATTTAAAATTATGTATTCATACTTTGTCATCTATCTCTAAGTACTCTGCATCCCAGGTAATAATCAATTATTTCTAAAAATTTGGCAAACATTTATTAGGTAACTACTGTGTGCCAGACATATGCTAGGTAATAGGGATACTCAGATTAATTACCCAATTCTAACCACTAGGCATTCCCAGTCAAAAACGAGAGACAGAAATTTACACAAGTGAATGTCATTAGATGGGATCCATCACATAACAGAGCCGTGGTGGAAGCCCAAAGGAGAGAATGGTCAATGCTTTTTAAGGAGATCAAGACATATTTCATAAAGGAGGTTCTGCTGGAATGGAGTCTTAATATTTAAGAATGAATTTACCAGATGACAAAAGAAGAGAGAATGAGGACAGGAGCTCATGGTAGCATTAGGGAAACACATTGCGGGAAGAAAGAAAAATGAGGGCAAGGAGTAGAGAGAGAATCTCTTTAGTAGACTAAAGCAAGAATTGAAAAATTATAGCTTGTGGACCAAAACCAGCCCACTGCCTGTTTTTGTAAATAAAGTTTTATTGTCAAAAAACCAACCTCCTCCATGTAGATATTGTTTATGGCTGCTTTTGCAATACAACAGCAGAGCTGAGTAACTGCAACAGAGACCATATGGCCGACAATTGCTAACATTTACTATTTGGCCTTTTACAGAAAAAGGTTACTAACCCCTGGACTACAGCATCTGTCTACATAGAAGTAAACAAAATTTGATTCTGAGAATAAAAATAAAATTGTGGCATGTTCAATAAATAAACCAAACTTACTTTGTGTCTCTTGTGTGATAGGCAAAATGTTGAGATGAATATCACTGAATAACATAATCCCAAATTTCAGCTAAGGGCAAAAGAAAGAAGAAGTGGGGAAAGCCATTATATAAGTAGTTGCATGAATGCCATAATCCAGGAATATAAAACTACAGGGACACCACAAAAGAGGAAGTAATTATCTCTGCTTTGGACCTCTGCTTTAGAATACAGATCTGTGGCAGCAGATAGGCTTTAAAGAATAAGCAGGAGTTATTAACTAAGTGAAACGGCATTGATTCTATTTCTAAAACATATATATGAGGTTGGTGCAAGAGTAATTGCGGTTTTTGCCATTAAAAGTAATGGCAAAAGTCAAAATTACTCTTGCACCAACCTAATATATATTTGTTTACATTAGCAGTTACTTCCCTCTTTTCAAATAAATTTTGCATGATTTGGAATGCTCTGAAACTTGTGGTACACGTGAGCTTGTACTGTTCTTCTGGCTGTGGCCTTTCTCCAACATATACTGTTTAGCTCAAAGTTATATACAGGCTGGGTCTGGTGGCTCACACATAATCTCAGCACTTTGGGAGACCAAGGTGGGCAGATTGCTTGAGCTCAGGAGTTCAAGACCAGCCCAGCCCAAGCAACACAGCAACACCTCATCTCTAAAAAATTACAAAAACTAGCTGGGGGTGGTGGTGTGCGGCTATAGTCCCAGCTACTGGGAAGGCTGAGTGGGTAGGGTCACTTGAGCACGGGAGATGAAGGCTGCAGTGAGCTGTTTTTGCACCACTACATGCCAGCCTGGGTGATGAAGGAAAAAAAAATGTTGTATACAATCATGTGTAGCTTAATAATAATGATAGGTGCTGAGAAATGCGTTGTTAGGTGGTTTCATTGTTGTGGGAACATCATAGAGTGCACTTATACAAGCTGAGATGGTAGAGCCTAGGTGTGTACTAGGCTGTAGGACAGGGCTTATTGCTCCTAGGCTATAAGCCTGTACAGCATGTTTCTATACTGAATACTGCAAGCAATGGTAACACAATGTAATAATGTATACTGCAAGCAACTGTAACGCAAGAATATTTAAGCACATCTAAACGTAGAAGAGATAGAGTGAAAATACAATATAAAAGATAAAATGTGGTCCACCTCTATAGGGCACTTTACATTAATGAAGCCTGCAGGACTGGAATTTGTTCTTGGTGAGTCAGTGAGTGAGTGAAGGCCTAGTGGTCTTCACAGTGAATGTGGAGGCCTAGGACATTACCTTATACTACTGTAGACTTTACAAATGCTGTACACTTAAACTACAATAAATTTATATGAGGTTTTTTTCCACAATAAATTTGTATGAGGTTTTGTTTTCTTCAATACTAAATTAACAGTAGCATACTATTACTTTTTACTTTATAAATTGTTTAATTTTTTTAAGTTTTGATTCTTTTGTAATAATACTTAGCTTAAAATACAAATGCATTGTACAGCTGTACAAAAGTATTTCTTTCTTTATATACTTATTTTATAAGCATTTTTCTATTTTAAAATTTTTTATTTATTTATTTTACTTTTTTAGATCTTTTGTTAAAAACTAAGACACAAACACACACATTAGACTAGGCCTATACAGGGTCAGAATCATCAATATCACTGTCTTCTACCTCTACATCTTGTCCCACTGGAAGGTCTTCAGGAACAATAACAGGCAGGGAGTGCCCTCTCTTATGATAACAATGCTTTCTTCTGAATACCTCCTGAAGGACCCGCTTGAGGCTGTTTTACAGTTAACAATTTTTTATAAGTAGGAGGAATGTACTCTAAATAATGATAAAAAGTATAGTATAGTAAATACATAAACCAGTAACATAATTATTCATTATTATTATTATGAACTGTACATAATTGTATGTGCTATTACATTAAATATGAAAATAAAAATTAAAAGAATCAGTTGGATACATTAAACATAGAAAAAGAAAAGCATAATTATATATGCTAGACTATTATGCAACTGGCAGCACAGTAGGCTTGTTTACACCAGTATCACCACAAACAGGTGAGTAATGCATTGAGCTATGATGTTATGGCAGCTACAACGTCCCCAGTGGATAGGGACTTTTTTAGCTCTGTTATAATCTTACGGGATCACCATTATACGTGCAGTCCATTTTGTTGACCAAAATGTCATTATGTGAAAGACGACTATACTACAATCACAGAAACGTCAACATTATGACTAGAAGTTTTAATGTTGCAAATTGTGCACAAAGGAGAGGCCTTTTTCCTCATTGCTCCCACTCACAAGCAGATGGAAAATAATCTGACACATTTGGAACAGCTGGTAGGGTAGAAGTAATCTTCACATTTTAGAAACCTTTTTTGTGTTATGGCAAGAATAAGTTGTGCTTATTCGAACCAGAATCTTGTCTCAGAACTTCCCTGATTTGACTCCTGGAATCTCCTTGGCAGGAAGATTCTCCAAATGCAGGTGCTAAGGACAGACTGCAAAGGTGGTTGCCTAAGACTACATAAAATGCCAAAAATAGAGACTAAAACAAGATGTAGGATTCTTGTTTGCAAATCAGTTTCCTTAAGCACTAGAACATGGTCTTATTCTCTAAACAAATAACTAAATGAATAAATAAAGGTATCTTTCTTAACCATGTAATAACATTTAAACTTTGGCTTGTATTACCATAACAAACTAATGCAGCCTCATAGAGATATAACCAAAATCTATTAGGTCAGACATTCTAGAGGCTAAATAGTTTCTGATAAACATGCATATTTTGCATGAAAGAGTTTAAATAAAATACAAATACTTTGATGATATATATCCTTACTTGTATTGAGTAAATTGGATATTATTTTAGAATATGTTACTTTAAAAAGCAAATATTTCAAATGCCCATCATGAGGCTTATACATATATTTTTAAGAATGATGTCATGCTGTTTGATAAATACATACATTGTTTTCTTTTCAGTGAAATAAATATCCAAGTCACCTGGACTGAGAACTTACTATGCTATCTTAAAGTAATGACCTGGGTTAGTGGCTTACTTCTAATTCCTTTCACTGGTATTTTTTTGCTCTCCCAGTTACACTTTAGAAGTCACTTGTTTGGTTCAAAAATATGATATGCTCTTTAGACTGATTTTACCCACATTATGATCAGTGAAATCATAGATGTTGTCATGCCTTAGAAATTAATGGGACATGCCCAATTAATAAAAGCAGGATGGAACATTTAAGAAGAGGCTAAGAACTGGCACTCTATCTACACTCTAGGTAAAATGATATTTTACAATGGCTTTGACCTCTAGCTTCCCTTTGGGGATAGGATTCATTAGACTGCTTTCAGCTCTGCTTGGCAAAAACCCCACCAGTTTTACTTTGGTGCAGACCATTTGGACTGGTACCATTCCTGGGCTGGCCTTGGGAAGATTCATGGATCAACTGATCTTGGGAGTGTTTTTAATAATTAATTCCTTAAAAAACATGTTTGGCTGCCTACTCTGTGCCAGACACTGTTCTAGAAACTGGAGATACATTGAGGATGTTGGGGGAACTGAAGACAAATTCATCGCTTTGATTAAGTATAGATTCTAGTTAAGTCAAAGTTGTAATCTTTGTTTCTCTTTTTATTCCTAGTGAAAATGTGAGAATGTAAAATACAAAGTAAAAAAAAAAAGAAAAGAATAGTAATCAACCAAGAGAATTTATTTGGAAAATGGAAAATGAAAAAACATGGTTTCTAACATTCATCTGGAATAGCTACTAAGCCAGAAAATGTGAATTACAAAAAAAGAAGGCTTAAGAAATGGACTTGGCTTAAATGTCACACAAATCAACAAATAAATAAAACCAGAGCCTCTTTCATAGAAATAAACATTAAGAAAAAGATAAAGGGAGTGTTTATAAAACAGTGTACAAAGAAAATGGAAACATTTACATAAGAAACTGTATTTTATAAGAAACATACATAAATAAAAAAACAAATTTAGCCATGTAAAAGTAATGTTTCATAGCTTATATCATGGTATGGTATGTCTACTTTGTTATGAATAAAATTTGTAGTACATCATATATTTTTACCTCACAGATTCAGTGTCAGAAGAACTCAAACGTGGCGAAGAATAGATATAACATAACGCAATCAAAAGAATACGATGACTTAAGATGAATGACTTTTTATGAGTATTACCATTGTCCCTCAGTATCTGCAGGGAATTGTTTCCAGGTCCCCCAACAGACACTGAAATCTGCCAATGCTCAAGTCCCTAATAAAGAAATCTCATAGTATTTGCATATAACTTACACACATTTTCTCATATACTGTAAATCACCTTTACATACTTATAATACCTCACACAATGTAAATGCCATGTAAATAGTTGTTACACTGTAGTGTTTCTTATTTTTACTATTGTATTGTTATTTTTAAATTTTTTTAAATGCCTTTTATTTAATTTATTTAAATTATTTAAATTATTTAAAATAATTTTTGAATGCCTTTATCCAGGGATGGTTGAATCCATGAATGCAGAACCCATGGATACGGAGGGCTGACTGTATTTCATCCCTATAGACTACTGAATCTCTTTAAGGCTGTTACTGTTGTTGCCTTATTTGTTCTTTCAATTTACATTCAAAACAAGTTTCTCTAGGGCAGCCTTCAAAAAAGAGTTGCCTTGAAGGTTTCTTCTTTGTCAACTTTCCAAGGCATATTAGAAAGTAGATATTTCTACTCAAATGGCCAAATCTCTTCCCACTTTCTCTGTAACGCTTATCTCTGCCCAGTATAAAATTCCAAATACACGTTCATTTCTTCCCAAACTCTTGCCCACCAGCATCGACTTCCTTGGTTCATCCAAATGTTCTGCACCCCCAACATGGAGCACCAGACACTTGTGGTGGGGACTTTGGTACTTCCTAGTGCTCATCGCTGTATTTTTTTTTCCTGTGAGACAAGCACTTTTGTTGAATTGAGTTTGGAAAAATAGAATATTTTCACTCTCAATACACGGTTTGATTTCACTGCCTTTAGCCAAGACAAACACCTCCAAAATCACCTTAAAATCTGAAGAAGGGTCTTTTGTTTTTTGCCAGAGGTTTAACTAGATGTGAAGTATATAGTTATGATGCTCATAGAATTATAGTAAGTTAAAGAAACTGGATTTCTGTCTGACTAGCAAAGCCTGAGTTTTTTTTAACTGTGGCTTCACCCCAGTTGTCTCTGGGGTCCTCTAACCTGGAGATAACAATAAAGAAGCACAAGGTTGGAGAGAATTTACTTCCTCAGTCTGGTGCCAGAACGGGGGCATTTAGGGAGTAGAGAACGGCTTTTGTCACACGGTATGCCTCATCAGAATCACCTTAGGAAACTGCTTTTCAGAACTTCAATATTTGTCATCGGTGTAGTTCCCAAGGATTTTGATATATTGATATTAGGAGCTTTAGGTGGATTTGTGGAAATATTTTTGAAATGTCCAAGTATCATGATTTGAAAAAAAATTCATTTGAATGCAATCATCTTAACACTGCTGTGTTTGCAAGCAGTACCACTAGTTCAATGCAATAATTTTTCTCAGTTTATTCCTTTAAAGGTTCCCAGAAATAGAAAAGCCATGTGAGGTTTCTTGGTACAATTTCTTCAAATATTGAAGTTTCAAATTTAGGAGACAATATAAAAGGAAGAAAAGGAGGAATATATTGTGCTGATTAGGTAACAAATTGAAAAACCATGGGGGCATTTCTGCTTTGGAGAATGAAGCTGTAGCAGTGGGAAATAAACCCTTATGTAAATCACTGGTGAAATTAATACATTTTAAAAGTTATCAGAGCCAAACTGCTGAATCCTATAGTTTGTCGTCAGTAAATTAAATGCAAAATCACTAATTTAATTTGTATGAATTACCAGTTGACTTCTAATGTATGGAATAATAAGAACTAATGCTACTTTATGAGCTGGAAATGAGATTTTTTATTTTCAAAAGAGCAAAAAGACAAGAAATAAAATTGATTCAGAGCCCAAACAACCTTTTAGTTAACAGCAATTTGTTGACTTCTAAAAAAAAAACAAACACCTTTTTTGGGTTTTATTTGCAATTTTTTTATTCAAATTTAACTCAGATGAGATGTTGAGAGGCAACTGGCTTCCTCGTAAAGCTGGTCTGGTTCTGATCCAAGAGAAGAGGGTCCCAAGTCAGGATAAGGTGATCACGCTGCAGTTTACCCAAGACAATCACCTGCAGCCCACTTTCTCATCTTTAAACTCAATGACAGGAATAGGAGGGATTTTTGTTTGTTAGGGTTTGTTTTGTTTTGTTTGCCTTTATTATGTTTTGTACTGAGTGTGAAATTCTGAGCTTATGAAACTGGCCAAACAAAAAAACATTTCAGTGGCAATATCTGGGATTACAAAATAAATTCAAATTCTGGATCCTTAGCAAAAATCAGCATTATAGAATGTTTAGAACTCTGAGGAACTTAAGAGTTCGTTTTTGTCCAGCTACCTATTTTGTAGGTAGATAATCAGAGACTCAGAGAGATGAGGAGACATCGGAGGCTGTGTAGCTAATTCAGCCTGGACTGAAAGTCAGGGCTTGGAGCCAGAGCTCTTAATCTTTCATTAATTGCAAAATGTAGAGACCTCCATTGGAAAGGGACCCTTTTACATACACACTTAATTCTTCCTTTCACCTCCCCCACAACATCCCTACCTTTGGAGGCTGCTTAGGTAAGATTTAAAACCATGATCTCACAACTAGGGTGATTGGGAAGATACATACTGTGTCACGCAGGCTGCTTTCTTTTGGAATCATATTTCTTTCCTAAATGTATCCCTGGAAATATGGTGTTTGGTGTTTTCCTTAGCTTGGGGGTCCTCATCTTCAGAGACACGAGCTACAAAGTGGCTTCCTTGTGGTTGTTCAGTCCCCTGAAGGATGTGCCTGAGTAGTTCTGGAAAGTAACTTTATTTATCTAACTGGCAAAATAAGTGAAGATAAAAATTCAAGATAACTGAACAAAGGAAGAATAATTTTATAAACTGTTTCCATAATAAACTGGTTTAAAAAGCAACAGTGAGGTCATTTGGAATAGACCGATCCAAAGGGACATTTGGATTCCTAGTACGAGGTGTGTAGGCCTGTATCTGTCCTGTCACTCTTCTGGTGAATGGCTCTTTTTTTTTTCTTTATCTTTTGCAAATGGGTTTTTTGGCTGTCAAGACTACATGGATGATTCCCTTTCCCATGGAGCTTGTGAAGCTCAGTTTAACATTTAGAATAGAGTCACCAAAATAGAAGTCAGAAGAAAGCATAGTGAATGTCAGAATTAAACTCCACACTCTTGATAGATGAGGAAACTGAGTTCCAGTGACCAGTGACCACGACAAAGTTTTGTAGCTTAATAAAAATGAGCAGAGACCAGAAGCCAGGTTTCTCAATGCCTGTATTTTCTTATGCCTTCAACCACAATATCATCTGGCTACAGGAATGGCATGTTGAGAGGTGTGCGGGCTCTGGAATCTGGGGTCTATAATGAAATCCCAGCTCTAGCACTTACTATAAATATATCCTGGTAAAGTTACTTTATCTCCCTGTGCTGTATTTTTCTCCTCTGCAGCATAGGAATAAAATAGTCTTTATCACATCAGGTTGTTGTGAAGATTAATAGGCTTAGCTCAGTGCCTGGCTCAAACATAGTAAGAGCACAATAAATGTTAGCTTTTAATAGAAGGAAGAGTCCTGGAACAGCAGCAAGGAATGCTGGAAAGGAAATCTGATCCTGGTCGCAGGGATACATTTGCCTGTGGTTTAACCTGGGTCTGAAAAAGGAATACAAATAGACTAACCCAAAACTAATTTTTTGACAATTCGATTGTATACGTAAAATACTTAGCACTCTGCCTGACACAATTCGAGTGATGGAAAAACATCCAGTAACTCTTTTGTTGTTGTTAGCATAGTCTAATTTATTCATGGGCACTGGCTTACTCAACCCACCCAGCATCCAAGATTTGGCAAGTTTGGTTAAGCAGTGCCTGCAAATAGGAAATCTCCAAGACTTATTGTATTTTCAGAGTTCTCCAAAGAAACAGAACCGATAGGAGATACACATAGAGGAGATACATGATAGGAGATGTCTCAGGTCAAAAAGAGAGAGCAAGTCTCCCCTTTCTCCCCTTTTGTTCTATTCAGGTCCTCGATAGATTGGATGATGCTTGCCCACATTGATGAGGGCAGATCTTCTTTACACGGTCTATCAATTTTAATGCAAATCTCTTCCAAAAGGCCTTCACAGGTGTACCCAGAAATAATATTTTACCAACTATCCAGGCATCCCTTAACCCAGTTAAGTACAGGTAAAATTAGCCATTCACTTACGTTTGTCAAAAAATATTTTCATAGCAGGGTGTGTGAGAAGTGCAATGTTAGCATGTAAAGAGAGCAAACGGTAAGGGTACTGAGCCCATATGGCAGGAAGGGGACTGGTTGAGGTTAAGGGTTTTGGGGAAGACGGTATAAGTCTTGCAGGATGAGCAGGTATAAGTTAGAAGAAGAAGTTGAGGGAGGGGGACATTATAATTAGTATAAAGAGCATGTGCAGAGGAAGAATGCATAACGAGACAGAACACTCCGGAGAAACTTACAGGTCATTCAATGTGGCTAAATCTCAAAGTTTAAAAAGAGGAATGGAGCAAGGTATAGCTGAAGTGGAAGTCAAGTTCAGATCATGTTATGCTAGGCACTTCCACCCTTATCCTGAATGCTTTGGTAAGTCATTTAAGTATTTGTATGCCAAGGAATTACTTTACCAAATATTTCTTTAAGAAGGTAACCCCGGATGCTGAAGCATGGATTGGAAAAATAATGAGTGGAAGAATGAAAAAAAGTTAAGAAAAAATAAAAACCAAATGAAGGCATGAATGGTGAGAGTGGAAGAGGGGCTGAAATCAGGTGACCTCGAGATATCAGGACAGGGAGGTGTGAGGCAGAAGGAAAGCTCAAGGATGATTTAAGTTTCGTAGGTTGATGAAAGTAGCACTCACAGAAAAATAACATGCTGTTGGAGGAGCAGATATTGAGACTGGAACAATGAAGAAGATGTTCAATTTAAAGTTGCATATATTGGATTTGAAGATGCATAGGACACTGTCCAGACACATGGGAATACATACAGCCTTTTTGAAGCAAACTGTGAGAGAAAAATCAGTTGTGCTTTTCACAAAACTGCAGCTGTGTTTGCTCTTACTCCTTCCCTTACTCATTTTCTTTTTTGCTCATTCATGCTTTTCTGAGACTGTACTTCCTAAGAAAGTAGTAGCATGTAAAGATTTGCCCCACTTAGGCTGCTTTTGAGGAACTCAGGAATGGTAGTGATTGCTACCATGCAAGTGAATGAGCCTGTCCAGAAAGTGTGTGTAGAGTGATTGGAAGAAGAGTATAGGGGTGGGTTCCTGGGAAATCAGTGTATAATAACCAAATGGCATGAGAAGGGCCTGAAGAAAGCCAAGGCCAGGGCAGAGAGGGAGAAGAAAAACTAGGAGTGATCAGTGTTATAAACCCAAGGGAGGATAAGGTCTGAGATAACAGGAGTGGCCGATGGAATTAGAAGTGCAGTAGTACTCAGTAAGATCACATAAGGGAAGAACTGGCATTTTGAAATTAACACATAGGAGAACACTGCCAGTCTTGGCCAAAGGTAGAGACAAGGCCAGGTTACAGGGCATTTAAGGATGAATCAGAAAAGACGAAACATAGGTTGCAGACACAGATGGTGCTGTAAGCATGTTGGTTATGAAAGCAAGAAGAGAGGTAGTGCTGCAGCTAGAAAGAAATATTTGGTGGAAGAGAGGATTTTTAATTTCTATTTTTATTTTGATGTTGTTTTAAGAGTGGAGAAACCTGAGAATATTTATACCCAAAAGAAAATGATCCCACAGAGAACACCAGTTTGAAGATTCACACAATAGAGAACCTGCACATGTACACACCTACTAACAGAACACAGCATTTTCCTGTTACTTCCCTTGAATGCTTTCAGAAATCCAGAAATGTGTTTTACTCCTCCAAATCTAGCATCAGAAATTTGGCTACACGGGTCTGTTTGAGGAGGTTCGGTGCTTCTAAGTGATTCAGACATTCCAGCAACTTGAATTGGACATCTTCAGGCTATTCTAGAGAGCAGCATATAGTTACTGGGCTTGCTCCTTCAGACTTTTGGCTTGAAACAAAGTTAAATCTCAGTATCCAAACCAGATAAAATCAGCCCAAGTCAAGGTACACCTAAATTCCAGAATAGAACAAGATTCTTGTTTGTGAACTCTTCAGAATTCTCCTGTGAATTGTCCCAGAGAAATAATGCAGTCACGAAGTGTGATGAATTCTAGGCTAACGCAACTCAGGAAACTTCCTTTCATTAATTTTTTTTTTCCTGAAACTTACACAGACACACACACACACACACACACGCACTTTCTCTCTCTCTCAGTCTCTGTTTCTCTCTCTCTCACATACACACACAGAATCAGAATCAAGTGAGTACAAAGGTTGTCCATGTTTTTTAACAATCACTGATTTTAGTGCTTACAGGATGTTTTTAGAATGATTGAGTTCAATACTCTCATTTTACAGCTAAATAAAATGAGGCATAATGAAAACATAACAATAACAACAGCATAATGATAATGAATCATAATTATAATATGCTCTCACATATATTAACTTATTTGATTCTGAGATAAACCTTAAGGGAAGAGGAACAAAACTAAACTGGATTGGAATCATACCTTAAAGATACTGTCTTTTAATCCTCACACTTCTATAAAATAGGGGTATTTATCTTCTTTTGCTGTGAGCTGCAGGTTGAATACGTTGTTTCCATTTTACAGGTACAGAAACTAAAGTTAAGATATGTAAAAGGATGTGCTTGAAGTCAGACAAATATTCTGAGTCTAAAAATCATGTTAGAATTGATGATAGACCTCACAATTCTTTGATTTCAGAGATTTCTTTCATTTATTTTTCATTTTATATTTTTATAGCATTTTATGCTTATCAAGGTAGTTTCACTTACAAGATTTAATTAATTGTTATGACAACTCTTTATGATAGATGAAACCTAGAAACAAAATGAAAGATGAAGCACTGGTAGAAAGTCTCACAAGTAAACGATTGTGCTAGTACTAAAACAAATTGGGCTCTGAAGTTTTGTCCCCAGATCAGTTTTTTCTCAATTCTGCGGGCAAATTGGAATTATCTGAGGTTTTTTTTTTTTTTTTTTTTTTTTTAAATGCAAGTGCCTGGGTCCCACCCCAGACTAATTGGATCAGAATCTCTCATGGATGGGCGCTGGGTGTCTGGATTTTTTTTTTAAAGCTTTTCAGAGCCTGTGTTGAGAATCACTGCAACATAGCATACATTTAAAGTTCTTAATTTTTGTTCCACTGGGTTTGATTTCCTCTTCTGCAATAATAGCTAACATTTTTGTAGCATTCTGGCAGGGATGTGGAATTCATTTTATTTTAGCTCTCCACTGAACAGAAACAGTGCTACTGTGTATACAAGTATCTTGTAACGCAGGTTACCAAATTCCTATTAAATTGCTCTCTCTAACAGTAAAAAAATTAAATAAATAAACATAATCTCTTCCACCTTATGCTGCTGTAAGGCAGTCAGACACTTTCTGTATCCATATAGCATTGGGTGGCTAACATCATATTGCATAAGTAAAGTAAAGAGGAATGAATACTAGAAACATAATACCTTTGTGTTAATTGCTGATGATGGTGGCTACAGCGTGAGCAGGAACTCCCTGTTGCAGGATGAGACTCGGAACGTGGATGAGCACAGAGCTTACTGTCTCCTACACCAGAGCCCCCCGTGTATTATTGCTGGTATCCATGTGTAACAGATAGTATTGTGCACTGAGCTGGAAGATAATAAATAGATGTGAGATGATGATTTACAGAAGGGTGCTTAGAACTCCTTGAACTGGCAGAAGGAGAAAACGGTGCTGGTACAAGGTTGAACTGTCAAACTAAAAATCCCTTTTTTCCTTTCTCCCCAGAGGGCAATTTCTCCAAGACTTAGCTTGCTTTCTGCCTTATCATCAGGAAATTGGTGGTTAATTACGAAAATGCCTGATCCAAAATTTCTGTCATATTTTTTCCCCTTTTGGTTGACTTTCTCTAAAATATATCTCATTTTTAGTGAAAAAAAAGGTCTCATTAAAACTACCTTTACTTTAGGAGTCTTTGTGCAACTATTTCTGCTCCTTTTTAAATAAAATCCTCCCTTATTTAACTGAGAAATTTAATGATATTGTGGGCCTAACTAAAATCTGTAATATTTGAGATTTTAACAACAGCAACAAAAATTCTAAAATAGAAACGGGAAATGCCAGTGAATTGTTTGCATGATTTCTTATCACACAATTGTTTTATTTCATACATTTCTCATTGACAAAGGAAGAAACAAGTCTAGAGAAAGTGATGGTGATAGATATATTAAGGTGATTAATGATATTATTTGGATGATGGCTCATCTGTACAAATGAAAAATAGGTTGTTTATTTATCCAAGACTGTGCTACTTTTTTATCATTCTAATATTAAAAATAATCACAAGACTGAAGCATTAACTAACATTGCCAAAAAATGGAAAATGATTTATTTAAGGGCTCATCTTAGGCCAGATGTTACATGGAAAAATGAGTTGCTGTTAAAGATGAGATTTTTTTTACATATAGGCCAAGTAAGCTAGCCCTTGCCTTGATCTCGGGGGCCCATCAGCTTAACATAGTGATTGAGCACACTGCCTATTAGTCATACTAGTGAGTACAAATCCCAGCTCCACCACTTGCTAGCTGTGTGACATGAGGCAAATTATTAAACTCTATTGTGGCTCAGTTTCCTCATTTGTGAGAAGGGATCCAAATATGATATATCTCATAGAGTTGTCATGAAGCTTCAAATGCCTAACACATAGTGTGTGCTCCATAAATGTAAGCTAGTATTATGATCATCAATCTGGAGTGTCCCTTTGCCAGTTATTTTGTATTCAGAAGGCCTCTGAAAAGATATATACATTAATGAAAAAACAAGAGCATGAGCTGCCTGATTCATTTCTCTGATAATTCTGTCAATTTATCACCCAGGATAGGGGATACTGGGGGGAAGAAAAAATGAGTCCAGCTGTGTGGAAGCAAGAGTGTGAGTTCTTCTCCGCAAGGGCTTTGCTATATACAAAGCAGTATGATGCAGGAGATAGCATGAGTCTCTCACCAACATGCATTTGAGGGCAAGCCCTGCCTCTTGCGGTGGTGAGACCTTCTACAAATTACTTCATCTCTCTAATCCTTGGTTCACTCAAAAATAAAATATTCTAAGAATTTAAATGAGATTACATATGTAAAATACTTAGCTACAAGTTAGTGCCCAATTATTATTATTACTCTTGACAGATAATTGACTTGTATCAGTCAATTTATCACTCAGGAAAAGGATATTGCTCCTTTTTTTCAGCAATAATAATAATTGCTCCTTTTTTCAATAATAATAATTATTATTATTACTTTTACCTTGGGAGATAAGATAGAGTGGAGATACATGGGTAGTTCAGACAGGAAGAGACCAGGAGCCATAGTATGAAGGCACAGAACACATTTAACATGGTTTACAAAAAGGGCAGTGGTCGGGGTGTTCATACACCAGCTGGGCCCTTCCCACTATCTATCCCTCCCAGTGAACTGCCAACTGTCATATTCATCAGTCAGTCAACAAGTTTTATTGAGTCCCTCCTACAGGCTGGGCACTTTTCCAGGTGCCAATTTTAAAGCAGTGAACATGACAGGCAATAGTCCCACTCTTAGTTAGCTTACATTCTGTGAGGACTCTTGGATAATCAGGTGAGCGAAGAAGCAGGGAGGATAATTTCAGATTGCAAAAAGACAATAGGTTAGATAGGGAGTGCTGTGGGAGAAGGTACTGTAGCTAGAGGCGAAGAAAGGCCCACTGAAGAGGTAAAATTTAGCTAGGCTAGAAGGAAAAAGGGCCAGCCTCATCAGGTTCTCCAGAAAGGGCATTCCATTTACAGGGCTCTGCATATCAAAGGTCTTGAAGTGAAAATGATCTTGGCCTCTTCCCAGGCCCATGTGGCTGCTGCATGTAGGAGACCATGCTGAAAAGGGTAGCAGAGCCCAGGGCTAGGAGGGACTTGTAGGCCAAGCAAGGGGCGTGGATAGCAAGTGCTGCATGAAGCCAAAAAGGGCTTGAAGCAAGGGAGCAAGGTGATGGATTGACCATACAGTCTCTTGCCATGAACTCAAAAACTCACCAACCAGTAGCCATGTAGACTTTATAAGACTTGCATCCATTTATTTATTCTTGACAACAAACCAGTGAGGTGACTGAAGTAGGAATTTTGCTCGCCTAATTTTGTAAATAAGAAAACTAAGGCTCAGAGTGTCCAAATTTCCTAACTTGATGCCTCATCCAGTCAGAGTAAAATCAGTTAGTGGCAGAGGTATGGGGTCCAACCTAGGTTTTGGGATTCCAATCCTGACTTCTATCTCTTACAAGGAATTCAGTTCACTCTTCCTATTTATTCTACTAAGTATTTCTTTAAGTTTTGATTATTTTTCTCCTGTTTGTTTTTCACACCTTATGATTCCTATTTGATTTCCCATTAGGTCCTGCCAACTAAGGGTAAACTCCTAGGATGTATGTGTTAGGCTTCTGTGAGTGGTAATAACCACAGAGCTACAAGAATCACTGAACGCATAAATATGACATGACTCTTCTTGCCAATCCCCTCGTGGAAGTGCGTGCTGAGCTTAAGGAGAAGCCTGGTGAGGGGTTCAGACCGGCAATGTAGACAGAAGCATTTGATCAACATCTACAAAGATTTCATGGGCCCTTCCAGACCTTTCCACAAACTGTGCTCATTAAAACAACAGGCACAGTAATTTGTGTTATATGCTAAGTGCAACATTTGTGATTCAGTATTTGTGGTATTTACGGTTTTCTACTTTACTGGACCAAAAATGCACAGAACCCCGAATAACAGCAGTCAAAGACAGCTTTACATATGTGCTCTGACCCGGAAAATGAAAGGAGTTTCTTAAAATTTAATGAGAGGTAGAAAGAAACACTGGTTCTTTTCAAAATTTTAGTATTGACAGTACTAGTAGTGGTACTTGTAGTGATTTAGCTATAAAAGTAAGATATACTTGGGTGTAATGGTAAAGATTTAGGGAAATTGTGCTGTATTAATCAAACAAAATAAAGAAAATGTTCATTAACTGCATAGTTTGTAAGCGCCACTTTTTTTTACTGTTTGTTAGGAAGATGGAGGCATGCACTGGAAACACTAATTCTAATTATTACTGTAAGTGGGAGTTTCTGGCACAAGGTCAAGAAATAATAGGAGAATGTGTGAATCTCAGTATTGAGCTGCAGTAAGCCTAATCATTTGAATAAAGCCAGTTGTTTTTTCTTGGACCGTCTCTGGGTTGTTCAGTGTTCTGGATGAATCTAACACAATCAGGCTGTTCTCTGGTGTATAACCACTTCCTGCTGACTCAGGGCAACTTGCTTCCTCTGCCGTTTATTAAAATGAAACATTCATATTAAAACCCCATTTTTTAGTGATGACCAAATGTACATTAGTAATGACATTATTAAAACTGTTTTGTTTAAAATGAACTTTCACACTAGCGTGTTGCAAAGCGGCACAAACAAATCTATGTGATTTCACTAGAGATGGTTTAAAAAGCTTGCAGATCTTTCTGGCACTATTACAGAAGGGGATTTGATGTCTGTTTCAGGAGACAATCTAAGTTTTTATGGCCATAAAAAAATGAATACTGTTCCAGTACTCCACATAGAAAATAATGTATAATTTATAATGTTTCATTAACATGCAAATGTGAAATAGTGTCTTCTATGTTTATGTCTACTAATAATCTATCAAATATTTAGAGGCATAGTAAAGAATACTAAAATATTTTGTCTCAGCACTGTTTAAATAGATTTTTCCCTCATTTTTATTTGTTTGTTCATTTATTTATTTATTATTTTTCACTTTTGAGATGGAGTCTCACTCTGTCTCCCAGGCTGGAGTGCGGTGGTGCAATCTCAGCTCACTGCAACCTCCACCTCCCGGGTTCAGGCGATTCTCATGCCTCAACCTTTCAAGTAGCTGGGACTAAAGGCACATGCCACCAAGCTTGGCTAATTTTTTTATTTTTAGTAGAGACAGGGTTTCACTATGTTGGCCAGATTGGTCTAGAGCTCCTGATCCTCAAGTGATCCTCCTGCCTCGGCTTCCCAAAGTGCTGGGATTATGGGTATGAGCCACCTTACCCAGCCCTGTCCATATATTCACATATGCAAAAATGTGGGAGAAGCAGATAAGCAAATAATCAATTTAGTAATGGTGTTTGTAAAATAAGACAATAACCCGAATCTTTATATAGTTCTTGTAACTTTTCATAACATTTTCACATAGGATGTCTTGGCCAGCCACAGCAACAATAACATGAGGCTGATATTCTCCCCATTTCATGGATGATAAAACTAAGCCAATGGTTAACTGGATTGTTTTGTAAATATTTGGCCACCCAGTCAGCACAATGTCCTAGGAGTCATGCTTTATAATTCACTGCACCTCATTGCTAAACAGAATCTTAGGTATAAGATCAGAGTTCCAAGGTTTTAATAAATATATTTGGCTAAGACCATTACATATAGTTTGCACTGGCTATAGAATCTGAAATTATCAGTTCTATTTCTAGAGTGCTGAGAGTCTCCATTGGTTCATCCTACAAATATTCACTTAGCAAAGCATTATGCTCCTATGTGCTCAGCATTCTTACCAGGAGCCTGATGGGAACCAGAGATGAATCAGACACAGACATGACATCAACAGTAGAACAGTAGAGTCCAGAAGACAAGCTATGGAAGAAAATTACTGTAATAAAAGTAGAATTGCATCAGAAGCCATTAAAAGGGTACAGAAAATGTTTAAAGGAAAGAAAGAATGCTTTCAGATGGAGAGAGGATTTAGGCAGACTTCACTGAGGACTTATGGATCCAGGATCCAGTGATTGAAAGAAACCATTGAAGATCTAAAGCCCAATCAAGTGGTGTTTTAAGAAGTTTAATCCCAGAGGCCATGTGGCAAACTAGAGGGAGGAAGGACGGTTAGCTGGCTATTAAAGTATTTAGGAATAAGGGAACAAATTCCCAAACAAAAGGATGATGGAAATCAATAGAAAAGAAATACTTCAAAGTCAAAATTCTGGAAAAATTCTTACAACCAAACACTGACTATTTTCAATAAGGCATCAGTGGGGTGTCAGTAACGACTTGGAGTTCAGTCAGGATTATGGCAGAATATTGAATCCCCTCCTTCCTCTCTTAGTGTGTTCTGGGTTTTATTTTTACTTTTGTTTTGTAGAGACAGGGCCTCGCTATGTTGCCCAGGCTAATCTTGAACTCTTGGTGTCAAGACATCCTCCCACCTTGGCCTCCCAAAGCACTGGGATTACAGGGCTGAGCTACTGTGTTCTGGGTTTTCAAATTTCTCTACAGCGACAATTTTATTATTATTGCCTTCAGTGTAGTTTTTACGGAATAAGTCTGGTTGCATTAGGACATTTAAAAGAAATAAATCTAATACAAGTGAAATTATTCTTACAAGTTACATGAATGACTTGATACAGCCTATGTCTTCAAGGAATTTGGAGTTGAATGAAAATGTCTTTAATCACTGTACTGGGATCTCCATATATTTGAAGTGAAATTAAGGACTGGGTTACCTTTTGACAGTATAACTCCTCAACTCACAAACTTTGGCTGTTACTCCTTTGGCCAAACCTGGAGACTGACCTCCATTACAAATCTTAAGCATATTAGAAATAATCTAGCAAACTGAAGTGTAAGTAAAGGAATAGAGAGATAGCTACAAAGATTATACACATTAAAAATATCACAATGGCTGAAAATCCTTCCAGACTGCATTTTGAATCTGTTTCAAAGAGAGAGTACTTGGGTAATATTTGAAGCCACAGGTACCTGTGATATAATCCTTGCTACCCAAATGGTGTTGCTATTCCAAGAGGTCCACTGCCCTATCTCCTGTTGGTGGGATCCTCTCTAGTAAAACTGTGGCTTTAAGGATGTCTTTATACACCCACTACTGGTGAATATTTCTGTGTCCTAAGTACACTTTTACATTTTTAAGGCTTTCTTATCTACCTCTCAGGGAAGACTCCATGCTGTACCTTGGCCCCTAGACATTATGTCACACCCATAGACACTATCATAATGAAACATTTATTGTATAAAGTCATTTTCATACTTTATAAAGTGGGTTTGTGCTTTGCTTATCTGATTACAATGTCAAGAACTTCTGTAGAACATTTCATTCAAGTATTTGGGTGATATTTTCTTCGGGATTTATCTATATCACTAATTCTTTTTTTTTTTTTTTTTTGAGACGGAGTCTTGCTCTGTCGCCCAGGCTGAGTGCAGTGGCGTGATCTCGGCTCACTGCAAGCTCTGCCTCCTGGGTTCACGCCACTCTCCTGCCTCAGCCTCCCGAGTAACAGGGACTACAGGCGCCTGCCACCACGACAGGCTAACTTTTTGTATTTTTAGTACAGATGGGGTTTCACCATGTTAGCCAAGATGGTCTCGATCTCCTGACCTCGTGATCCACCCGCCTTGGCCTCCCAAAGTGCTGGGATTACAGGCGTGAGCCACCTCGCGTGGCCTACTAATTCTTAATTACACATGACAATGGGTATATCATTCAGGGTATAATCAGAGAAACAGAACACCTGTATGGTGCCTGGTATATGGTGGGCTCCCAGTAAATAATCATTTATAATGAATGAAAGGTCTTCTGATACTTAGCAAACAATATGGATACTCTGTGTCTACAATAGGAAAGTCATCATGAATTCATTTTTTAGTGTAATTACCATCTGATGTACCCATGTCAAACATATCAAATCTCTTTTCATGACAGAATGCAGTCCCACAAAATGAAAGGGAAGCACAAGGATAGCTACCTTTACCTTAGCTTTACCAGAGGACTGATATCTTGTCCTGCAAAATTTGCTTTGCTTTCACACCAAATAAACAGTAATTCTCAAATGCAAATAAGCGGACTAGGATTGGGTTGACTAGAGGGGTAATTTGTTTCAAAAAACATAAAGACTAATAACGTTCTCATCTGAGAACTGCTCACCTTACCACTGCCATCGAGTTTCAAATTCAGTAGGTATGGGGTAGAATATAGGGCATAAGAATCAGCGTTTTAATGTGGTTCCCCTGATAATTGTGTCATAAAGCCAGGCTTAGAAATCAGGGGCCTGCAGCACACACGACTGGCATCAAGATCATTCACGGTTGGCAGTGGATCAGTGGCAGTCTGGGGTGGAAGAGCACGGAAAGCCATGCTCCCCAGAATCCATGGATCTGATAAAACTCGTGAGAAACTTTTTTTTTAATTGCATATAGAAGTTGAGCAGAAGAAATTTGTTGTTATAGCCACATTAACAAAACACATTTTTACAGACCAACTTACAGCTCATGAAAAAGGCTTTTTTATATGAATGGCTTTACCACCATATGGTTGCTGTGAAGTCACTTGTCAGCCTAGGACAAGTAGAGTGTGATCTCACAGAGAAGCTCATGGAGTCTCACGAAAATCTGCTCAATGGTGAGGGGAGTCAGAAAATGTTTTAAAAGGACAACTTTTACCCTGATTATAATAGCATTTTAGAGAATTTTAAGTGTGGGAAGCATAGATGTGACAACATAGTACATCCAAGGATAGCTAACAGAAATGTATCAATAGGAATAACAGAACCGATGACTCAACAATGATTGGTAATTAGGTTCTACAATAAGCTGCATAATATCAGAGAAATGAAGATATTGTTAATTGTTTTTAAGAGACTCCTCAGAGGCCAAAAATGATTCCCCGACTGGCCTAAGCAAAACCATAATGGAAGTTAAGCTGTTGGCACAGAGAAGCAAACAAGCAGCAGGAATCTAGATGTTCATCTTTTCCTTTGTGAAGTCCATACTGTGTGCAAGATCCATGGTTAAGATGATAGAGGGAGTGGGCTTAGGTAAGTATACTGTGCCAAGCGTACTTCCTAGAGTGTGTAAAATGAACACTGCCAGGTTCTAGGTGTAGCTCTTCCTAGTTAAACATAGAGTGGAGTGATGCCCATAAGAATACAATCTTAGCTCTTATTGGTAGTAATACAATCACAGCAGTTTTATGAGAATTAAAAATGACCATAGAAACATGGGGATACGAAAAGCTATTTAATTAACAGACTTTCTCAGATAAGGTGATTGACCTATTTGATAAGTTGAAAAAATAGTTCCATTATTTTTCTAGATTTTCTTGCCCTGTATATGTGTGATGATCTGTCTGACTGTCACAAATACCAGTAGTATAGCACTGATACTTACAGTCACAGCGTTGTTTAAATTCTTACTTTCAAAGAGCATAATTTCTGCCAGGCCTGACTTTTTTTCTTTTTTTTTAGGTCTCATCCTATGAGCTTGTGCTGATTTGCTGATTTACATATCTCCACTGGCGAAAATCATATCTGTTCCTTAGGTCCAATTTTCAAGTTCCAAGCATTGGCAGTGTGACCACAAATATCTATGATCTGATGCTTTATTTGATTTTTGTGTGTTTGTTTTAATGGAAGTGTAGAAAGGGAGGGAAGAAGGGAGGGGAATATTTGATTTGCTGTCTAGCCAACACAATTCTAAAAAGCATTAAGTGGAAACTGCTACAAGTGTTTATTTTCTAACTCTTTCTGGTATAATGGGAACAGTCAAGATCTGAACAAGAGTCGATATAAGGTTTGCGGTTTATGATAAGCATATCAGCCAGTGGATAGACTAAACCCCAGTGACAGCTGTGATGGTTCTTGGAATCAGACATCCTTCAATAACATGTTTCCCCAAAGCTTATAGACATTGTTGTAGAATAGGGTCAAGGCTTATGGCAGATGTTGAATGTCTCTGAGCTATATGAAATTTCTCTCTGTGGATTCGTGCCTAACAACCATTACATCAAACCACAGGTACAATGAAGCCCATTTTCCTTTTTGACGTGATACTGTTGTTATTTTAGAGGCAAAGCCTTATGCTATTGCTAGCTGAAAAAGACACTAAAAGCCAAAAGAGTGCAGGCACAGAATTGGGAACAATTGGGCTATAGTGACCATGAAAACATAAAGCAATGATTTTACCCAGCACAAACCATGTAGGTCATTACAGTATGGTGTCTTGGAACAAGGACACCTAAAATAACAATGATCATTGCTTAAAAAAATTAATTTTGTGGAAATTCTTATAATGTTAACATACTTCATAGATATGATTCTACCCAACTGTGACCTTTGTTATGATAGCAAATGATCATTTTTTTCATAGAAAAAGAAAACTCGACTGCTTAATTGATTGATTCATTAAAAGAAATCTTGTAATTGAACTATCATGCCAAGTTTACTATGAGCATCTGATAAAAGAAAGTAAGATGATAAACAGCAACGGGTCAGATGGCTTCCAAATATCAGTGAACGTCCATAATACCTATTGAACTACTTGTAATTCATCAATAAATACTGGATGGATAGAAATACCCTTGGTAATGTGGATAAAGTTAAAGGAAGTAAAAGTAAAATTTCTGTACTCACTAGGCATTCTTGGAAAAACTAAATTTATTTTAAGAATAGTAACAGGAAAATTGTAAGAAAATACTAAGAAACAAAAATTACAGGGCTGACTCAAATTATTAATAATGTTAATATATAAAGCTGCCATCTTAATAGTTTATAAAAATGTTATATGTTATCTCATTTTATAAGCACAATAATAAAATGACTTGCCTCTCATCAATATCATACTCCTATCAGATCCTGGGTGATAATCCTATCTTCCCGCCACCAGAGTACTCTTCTTTCCACACTTTTCTATCAGTGAGCGACAGAAAAAATTTAGAAAAGTTCAGTAGAAAAATACACCTGAAATTTGATTACAGGATGTAAATGCCTTTGACCCTGAATATCAGATATGATTTGCTCTCCAGGATTTGTTGACCTTTGGTGGAAAATAATCTACCAGACCTTGTGAAGAACCAGGAGAAGGGTAACAGACATCTAGCTGCTTGATTCTAGTTCCATTAAAGACTACTTCAAGGAGGAAGAAGAGTTTTCCTGAAAATTGGCCAGAGGCCCCAGTTCACAGAAGTCCCTTTGCAGGTTGGCCTCTTTGTCTCCTACATGGAAGGAAACTATCATCATGTGTCCTCAAACCCCTGCAATCCTGTCACTTTGCAAGATGTATCTAGCAGTTACCAAAAAAAAAAAAAATGAAATGGATATTCTACAAACTGCTAGAGAACAGATGTCTTGAATAGGCAAGACAATACTCACATGATATATGGTTTACTTTTTCCTGATGCGTTGTTTTGTTTTTGGTTCAGCGAATAAAACATACATTCTCCTACGCGCATTCTCAAGGACCAGAAGCATTATTTTAAAAAGTTCCTCCCAGGCTGGGCACAGTGGCTCACACCTGTAACCCCAGTACGTTGGGAGGCCAAGGCAGGTGGATCACTTGAAGTCAGGAGTTCGAGACCAGCCTGACCAACATGGTGAAACCCCGTCTCTACTAAAAATACAAAAATTAGCTGGGCATGGTGGCACACACTTGTAATCCCAGCTGCTTACGAGACTGAGGCAGGAGAATCCCTTGAACCCAGGAGGTGGAGTTTGCGGTGAGCTGGGATTGCGCCACTGCACTGCAGCCTGGGAGACAGAGCAAGACTCTGTCTAAAATTAATAAATAAATTAATTAATAATCTATTTTCAAGCAGAAAGGAATATCCAGTTTTTAAAACATATTCTGCAATGTTATTTGTCACAAAAATATTTATATAATAGTGTACATTTTTATTTTTCTTTGTACTTAATTTTTCTAAGTATCATTCTAAATATGGGAATAAATCATTGCAAAGCATTACATTTGAATAGTTTAGCAACAT
Organism: Homo sapiens; assembly: GCF_000001405.40. Lineage (NCBI taxonomy): Eukaryota > Metazoa > Chordata > Mammalia > Primates > Hominidae > Homo > Homo sapiens. The sequence goes on from NC_000001.11 coordinate 98,396,176, forward strand.
TAGCCAGTAATCTCAAAATATTGTTTAACTTCGACTTTTTTGTGACCATTTAAAAAAGAAGTATGCGTTTAAGTTACTACATGATGTACTCTATGCCTGCTGTAATCCTATTAACAAAGTTTTTAATTCTAGAAAATAATAGAAAGCCTAACATTTTACTTCCTTTTAAAAAAACATAATATTACATATATAAAACTTTATCAGAGTTAATATGATAAGCTAAGCAGAAAAGTTTAATATTATTTATGGTTTCATGATGTGTAACATGGTAATTTGGGCCTTACCTAGTAATAAACCTAGTTCAAATCCAAGTTTTTTCTTGTTTTTGCTTCCCCCTTGCCTCCCAGTAACATAACAGAACTCCTTTAAAGATGTGAAACAGATTTTATACCTTCTTCCCAGTGCTGATATTTCAGGAAAAAATCTCTCACCATTTAGACAATGAGTATGCAAAATGGGAAGTGGAAACTCAACACACATTTCATTAATTCGATCTAAGTAAATATCCTAGAGATAACTCAGTCTGAAATAGCCACACAATTTCCAGCAATGTTGTGTTTCTTAATAAATATAAAGTGCAATGTTAAAGTCACTTACCTTCTCTATTGCAGGAATGAAATTATTTGGGTTGGTTATCTACATGGATCAGAGTGCCAAGTCTCCCTTCACTTTGTAATGCATAGACCTAGCCTTTGTTCTGTGCCCCTGAGCATTATGGTAAAAAATGAAAGCAATTAAGGAGTTTCTGGGAATTATCTTATTATTAAGAATTGCAAACTCATCTGGCATAAAGAGAAATGATAGTAAAAGGCTGACAAATGTCTAAAGAAAGGTAGCTAGAAGCATAGAGATGAAAATGAAGATGAAATGGGGAGAAGATAAGTATGAGTGTGACCATCAAACAGATGCTTATTTACATTCATCCTTTTAACAAACATATATTGCATGCTTACCAGGGTGAGATGCCATGTTAGGCACTAGGAATAGAGAAGTGAACAAGTTAAAGTCTCTATGACCAAAGTGTTCATATTAATGGAAGATTACAGGAGATCTATGATTGCTATAGATTTATGAGAGATGTAAAAGAGGTGGACGGGATAGGTATTCTGGGGAAAGCATAGAGAAGAGTCTCTGAATGATCAGGAGAGGCTTAGGAAATGCTTCCAAAAAAAGTAATGTTTGTTCTGATCACGAAGGATGGTGTCATTAGCTGGTTGCCTCTCACAAAAGAGAACTTGAGGCTGATGTATAAATAATATTTACAAGGAGAAAGTTATGTGCTTGAACCTAGCATATTTAGTGAGTGTTAATGAGGCTGTCTGTCAGGTAGGTTTTTTTCTCTCTCTCTTTCTTTCTTTTTTTCTTTTTTTAATTCAGAGATAGGGTCTCACCTTATCACCCAGGCCGGAGTGCAATGGTGCGATCATAGCTCACTGCAACCTCGAAGTCCAGGGCTCAAACGACCCTGCCATCTCAGACTCCCGAGTAGCTACGACTATAGGCACACACCACTGTGCTCAGCTAATTTAATTTTTTTTTTTTTTTTTTTTTTTGGTAGAAACAGGTTCTCACTATATTTCCCAGGCTCGTCTTAAACTCCCGCATCAAGCGATCCTCTTGCCTCAGCCTCCCAAAGTGCTGGAATTACAGGCGTGAACCACCAGGCCCAGCTCAGGTCGTTGTAACAGAGGAAACTGATAAGTTAAGACATAGACCATGAAGGAGCATTGAATTGAGTCATGAAAGTTCTGAATTGAAGTCTAGCACATACACATAAGTCCCTTGGTATTGGGTCTACTTTATTGCTGAGGGGATTTTGTTTCACTGGCCTATGAGAGTGATAGAGCAGTATAGTGGGAAAGGCACTGAACTCTACCACCAGCCTAAGCTACCCGTGGGACTCTAGACAACAGTCTCAAACTCTCCAGACTAATTTTCTTCATTGCAAATGAGGAGGTTGGACCAAGTGATCTTTAAGGTTTTTTTGGCTTGAAATTTCTGTGCTCTTTTTCTTCATTTTGAACTCCACCACTTTATAAATAGAACTAATGAGAGGCTGCCCTTGCCCTATCTCAATACTGAATAGAGAAAACAGTAAGTCACATGACCAAATTGAGCCAATCACCTAGTTAGGTAGTGATATCTTCCATTTAATGAGGCTTTCTTGGAGATAGAATTCTGGTTATAAAACCACAAGTGTGTTGATTTGTGACAGAAGCCACAAGAGGATGGTACACATGGGAGGAAAATAATTAATTTCCACACCTCCTACTTAAGCAGGAGTCCAGCTATGTAGAATAAGAATAAAAGTGAAATATTATAAGTCCATCTGTAGATTTTGTTTTTTTACTGAAGTGGGCCAATAAATTTTAACATCACTGCCAACTCAACTTTTACTTTTAAAAAATTCCAGTAAAAAATTCACAATTTCAGCTTTGTGGTGGTTTCAATTTTAAAAAGAGAAGGGATGGGGGAGTCAGAGACAGTTTCAGTCTTTGTGAGGCTGAGCTTTACAGTTTATCTGATTTGAAAGTAAGACACCTCAATGCAATAATATTATAAAAGGTAACTTGAATTCTACATTCACAGGAGTATTCTCAGCACTTCTAACTACTGGTTTGGCACTCTGACAGGAAATATTTTGAGGCTCCTACACGGGCAGTGCAGCCGTTTCACATTAATCTTAAAAAGCTTTCTGGAAATTATGGATTTTTGCTTTCAATTTCAAAATGGATATGTAGCACACATATGTAAACTATGAAGCAATCTTGCAAATTCTAGTGGAAGAAGGACTATTGTCTATGGAAGAGGCTAACATTTTAAAAGCAAAATAAAATAAGTAAGATTTATTTAAATAGGTATTTAAGCTAAGACTAAGGACAACTTGGAAATGCAAGGAGTGCTTCATAGGAGTTACTCGTAGATGTTCACATGAGAGGTAAAAAGTAAATCGGTGCAGAGAATGGACAAGTCAACTCCACAAAATAAATCTGCCTTTTTAGTCAAGAATGTTCTTAACACTAAAATTAAATGCAGACATTAGGTTTTCAGGACACAGAGTCAATATAGTGACATAGGTCAAATTAATCGTATCACCTCACATCAGAATGGCTGACAGAATTAGAAACTATAAAATATCTAGAAAAACATTCTTGAGATGACCACAATTAAATAAGGGCTAATTTCAGTCTTTTAGATAATTTGCATATAGCCATGCATTCCAGTCTTACTCATCATCTCAGTGACCCATCAGTTTAAAGATTTATCTTGATCATGGTGTGTTTAGAGAAATCAGTATCATTTTATACAACATTGGTTGGTACAAAGTGACTGATAGCTCTGAGTCCTATACTTAAGTAGATGGGCTCAAGATCTTCATTTGTTTCTATCAAAATAATTCTGGGAAGTTCTGGTACCAATAAAAATTAGACTAAATTCTAATTTGAATTTTTTTTTAGTAAAAAATTCCATTTCATTACAGTGAGATTTTTAACTCTTTGTGTATGTGTGTGTGTCATATCCACATGCACACACACAAGCACTCACACATTAACACACACGATTAAGATGGAAAACTATGGAGGACATATACATTATATTTCAATATTACAGAAGGTCCTGACTTATGATGGCTCAACTTACAATTTTTTTGATTTTATGATGGTGCGAAAATTCTATGCATTCAGCATGCTCCCCAGTGTAAGATGGGGTTACCTTTGGAGAAACCCAACATACATTAAAAATATAGAAAGTCAAAAACACTTTCAATTTATGATATCTTCAACTTATGATGAGTTTATCATTGAGAGCATCTACACAGTATTAGAATATACTAATAGATTTCTGGTATGCTCAATAAACATAGTTTTCTTTAAACATATAAAGATTCATTTTAAGCCATGAGCATAATAAGGGAGTTAATTCTTTTTACCTGAATCTGTGACCCATTCATTTATCCAAAATTATATTGTTAGCTTAATATGTGCTAGCCACCTGTATCTTCTGCATACATTATATTAGATTGTGTGTTTTTGTCATCACAAAGAGTTCAATAATAAAATAATATGATTGTAGCAGAATAATCCATGTAAAATATTGATTATTTATTTTCACACTTACCAGTTTATCATAAAGGATATCACAAGGGATGCAGATGCAGAGACACATACGGTGAGGTATGAGGGAAGGTACAGAGCTGGCCCATCAACCTTACCCTACTCTCAGAAGCTGACTTGTGCACTGATGTTTATTAATGTATTTTTTATTTATTAAATAATTATTGGGTGTCTGATATATGCTAGATATTGTTTTAGGCATGAGGGATGGGGTAGATCTGTAAGCAATCCATCAAAATCTCTTCCTTCACAGAGTTTATATTTTGGTGGAGGAGAAACTGTAAGTTTTATGGTTGTGAATGATGGCAGTGTTATGGAGAAAATTAAAGCAGGCTGAACAGGGATGCAGAAAATTGGTGTGGGGGTGGCAATTTAGAATAAGGCATTAGGAAAGACTTTACTAGGTTGACATCGAGCAGTAGCAATATTAGTAATGCACTTTCATTCCACTTATACTTGGTTAAGTGGTTAAAATATTCAATTTTGAGCAGCTAAGTAGATATTTTATGTGGTAGCCTCCAAAAATCTCAACGTCCTAACACCTAGAGCCTGCAAATATTAACCCATATGTTAAATGATACTTTGCAGATGTGATTAAATTAAACATATTGAGACGGGGGTATCATCCTGGATTATAAAGGTGGGCCTGATACGATCACATGAGTTCTTATAAAAAGGATGCAGGAGGAAGCAGAATCAGGAGAAGGCCATGTGATAACAGAAGCAGAGGGAAGCCCAAAGACAGAAGAAGCTATGCCAGTGGTTTTGAAGATGAAGGAAGGGGCCATAAGCCATGGAATACAGTTGACCTCTGGAAGCTAGAAAAGGCAAAGAAATGAATTTTCTCTGGGAGTCAGAAGGCAGTAGCCCTGCTGACACTTTGATTTTAGCCCTGGAAGATTCATTTCAGTCTTCCGACTTCCAAAACTGTAAGAGAATACATTTGAGTTAATTCACTAATTTGAGGTAACTTGTTATAGCAACAGTAAGAAACAAATATGCTATTTATGATCGTTCAAATCCAAGAGTTCTGCACATAGGCTGTGCCTTACGAATACAGCTAAATGTACTGATTAAGAACTCTAGAGCCATAATAGCAGGCTTGGATTTCCAGCTCTGCCACTTACTATTTGTGAGACTTTGTACAGTTATTTAACATCTCTGTGCCTCAGTTGTCTCACAGATACAATGATGATGATACTAGTACTTATGCGTAGGCATTTTACAAAGAGCTAGTGTTTGTAAAATGTAGTAGAGTTTTTGATAGATAAGAGTTAAATAAGTAAACTGGGTTTAGAGGCAAACACTCAAGTTAATATTGTAGTTATGCCATTTTATAGACCAGTAATGTGGGCCATTCAACTTAACTTATTTGAAACCTTGTTTTATTAGCTGGCAATAATATTTGCAATACACTGTAAGGCTATTTTGAGCATCACAGAAAAAAACATGAAAAAGTAGAGTCTGATTTATTCATCCATCCATCCGTCCATCCATCCTTCCATCCATCCATCCTTCCATCCATCCGTCTGTTTACAAATACTTAATAAACATCTACCATGTGTCAGTCACTCTTATGAGTCCTGGAATTATAGTGAAAACTATCACAGACATATTCCTTTTCCTGATGGCAGTTTTATTCTAGTTAAGAACACAGAAAATAAGCAGGTAAATGAATAATTTCAGATATTGATGAGTATGTAATGAAAAAAAATGGAAAAATGCATCTCTGTTGACTTTATATTTGAGCCAAGCCTGAATATTGAAATGAAGCTAATCATACTATGATATGAGAAAGTGAGTTTCACACAGAGAGGACAGCAAGCCAAATTCGGTATCAATTTCAATGTTCAAAAAAATCAAAAGGTCAGTTTGGCTAAAGTGTAGTGAATAAGGGAGAGGATGATATAAGATGAAATCAGAGTCAGACATGGTCCAAAACCTAGGATTTTATTCTACTTATAATGAAAACCAAAGAAAGTTTCAACCATCGGAGGATGTGATCTAATTTATATTTTTTAAAGTTATGATAGTTGTGGTGTGGTAGATATTTGAAGCAAAGATACGTTCTTTATTTTAATTTTTTAATTGACACTGTGCATATTTTTGAGGTATACTTTGATGTTTCTATGCATATATATTTTGTATAATAATCCAGTCAGGGAAGTTAGTGCATCCATCACCTCATGCATTTATTATTTCTTTGTGGTGAGAACATTGTCCCTTCTAGCTATTTTGTAATATATAATATTATACTTTACTGTTAACTCGTTACCCTGCTGTGCAATAGAGCACCAGAACATATTCCTCCTAAGAGTAACTATGTACCTATTGACAAACCTCCCCTCCTCTTCCCTCCCTTCCTAGTCTCTGGTAACTATTGTTCTACTCTCTGCTTTTGTATCATATATATTTACATTCCACATATGGGTGAGATCATGCATTCATATTTCTGTGTGTGGTTTATTGGCTTATTTCACTTAACATAATGTCTTCCAGTTTCATCTACGTTTTTGCAAATGACAGGAGTTTATTCTTTTTTGTGACTGGATAGTATTTGATTGTGTATATACACCACATTTTATCCATTCATCCATCGACAGACACAGGTTGATTCTCTATCTTGGCTATTGTGAATAGTGAATCTGCATGGTAGTGCAGTTATCTCTCTGACATACTGATTTCATTTCCTTTATATATATATACCCAGAAGTGAGGCTGCTGGATCACATGGTGTTTCTATTTTTAGGGTTTTTTTTTTTTTAAGAACCTCATGACTCTTTTCCTTAATGGCTGTACTAGTTTAAAATCCCACCAACAGTCCTCAAAGTACTGCCGTTTAGCCACATCCTTGCCAACAGTTGTTTTCATGTTCTTTATTTTATGAGAAGCCTATTCATTCTCATTGGAAGCCTCCACCATTCTCAGAGTATGTTCAAATGCATCTCCAGGAATGGGAAGATAGGTTGCTTATAAAGGGAAAAAGATATATATATCAACAACTATCTCTTTCTATGCAATTCTCTCTCTGTCTCTCTCTTATCTACCTATTATCTATGTATTTATATCTCCTGCTTTATCTATAATAGGTATAGATGAATTACAGTACCACAGGCTAAATCTGCCTAATACCTCTATTTTTTGTAAATATAGTTTTATTGGAACACAGTCATGCCAATTTGTTTATTATTTGTATTGTCTATTGCTGGCAGGGTGGAGTGGTTATTGCAGAGACTATATAATCTTCAGGACTCCAAATCTTTACTATCTAAATAGAAAAAAACAAAAGCAAACCAAAAAACAAAACAAACAAACAAAAACAAAAAACAAAGACAAAAAAAAAAAAACACCCAAAAGAAACAACAACGAAAAACCCTGTCAGCCCCTTTTCTTACAATACATTATTCATCCTTCTCTTGTCCTAGTCTTGGGGTTAAGACCCCTGGCCTACCTTCCTCTCCCTGTTGCTCATTTACTACCAAACCTAATTTTAGTGTTTCCTTCAACTTTCTTGCCAGTGGCTGTGTTTCAGTTTCTTTACCTGGACTTTTTTGGGTGGTTGATATCCACAGTTTAGCTTTGTCTGATGATTCTTTTGATATATTCTAATTAACAGTTTTTCCAGGAATGATATATGTATGTTGAATCACATATTCAAGCACAACAGAAATCCATTCTGCCATTTAACTTCATGGACTGTTAATATTTAGATAGATTCAAAATGCAAATAAATTCATTTTCTTCTTCATTTTCCACTACATGTAGGTCTTTCAAAATTCACATTGAGGATGAAAAAATCACATAGCTGGCAGGCATGTCGCTTCAAACAGAGATCTCTTTTACTGGCAGCCACAGCATAATAGAGTCTTAGAATCTGTTTGCAGTCCATTCACAGATATTTCCCACATCTCCTCCCCACATCCATAATGTTAAGTAGTCAACATCATGATGTCCTTTTATTCTGTTAGCAATCATTCTGTTGCACGGTTATGTAATAATGAGTGTGTTACTTATTTCTTCTGGACTTTAGTTTCCTCTTTCACAAAATGAGGAGTAAAATCAGATTGTCTCTAAAATTCCTTTCAACTCACAGGTTCTGTAATATATTTTGAAGTCTCTCTGAAATTAAGCCTTGAACAAAAGATGATTCTTGAGCAAATACATGGTGAATATTAAATTAGTTTACTTCTTTACCAAGCCCCCTGTGCAAGATAAAATGTCTGCAGCACCCTCTCATGCTGGTGACACAAAGCTGCTGTTTTCAGTGGTCACTGTTGAATGCATTCACTGCCTTGATCTCTTTGATATAGTTCTGTTTACACACGTGTTCAGAACTAGCTGGAATCACATCTCATATTTGTGATTCTTTCAGAAATAAAAAATGTTCATGCCCTGAAACAGCTCCTTTTTATACCTGACAGAACAGTTTGGTCTCTGTAAATTCAGGAAGTTATCGAGTGCGCCCGCCAGGAGGTAGGGGATTTTGCAAATCTTTTAAGTCAGATAATATTTTCTCACAAATATAAATAAAATCCTTAGTTTACAGTATGTCATCTAGTGTGGCAAAGGAAGAATAGATCCAAATGAAACAGTGGCCTTTAGAAAATCAAAACACCATACCTTCCTTTAAGAAGCACTGGATTCATCTACTTTGCCATAGCTTTCTTTAATCAGATGAATGTAACAAGTTGATTAGGCTTTACAAGCGTCAAGAAAAGTCAGAACCACTTAAACTGAAAAATAGGACTCAGGATGTAAATTATTCACAGTTCATTAGACTAAGACAAGCATTTCTCAAACATTTCTGTATGCTTGAGAAAAGCGACATATTGAACCCTATTTTACTGTGAGGCTCAAAATGGCAATTAACAGTCTTAAGCTGCATATAAAACCCAATATGAACTGCATTTACAAGAAAATTGTGTGAGAATCAAATTATGTTATCTTTGGTTTGAAGAACTAAGAAATAATTGCCAATAAGTATTCATGTATAGGACCAATTTTTTTGAAACAAGTTATTTTAATTACTACTAGTGTCAGGAGTATGTGAGGGTGATTTTATTAGATTTAATGTGTTTAGAGGAGCTGCCTGACTGTGGCTGCTATTCTTGACATGACATTAGAATTTATTTTATACTTGCATTTTTCATCGCAGACCACTGTTATAATAAAACTATAATTTATTTTAAGTTAATCTTTTATTTTGCAATACTTTTTAAAAACTTCTGCTGAAAAAATAGAGCTGAATGATGAATTGCACAGCAATATTTTTAAAAGCTACAGAACATCTACTGAACTAGTAAGAAGCAAATAATGGACTTAACAGTTGTGAACTCCTCCCTATATTTGTATTAGATAATGTCTGTTTGTGTTAGATCACTTGATGATTATTCTACTTGTTGTTTTTTCTACAGTCTCTACTTTGACACAACTTTCAGTAATTTGAAATGTCCTAATCCTTCAAGTACCTTTCTCTCCCTTAAAGGCCCTACCCTCTACATGGCAAACAAACAAACAAAAATGTTTGTAAGAGAAATGAAACAAAAACTAAAGTGTACGTTAGGCCACTGAAAGCAAACAAAATAAACTGGAAACTGTCTTTTACCGTATGATGTGATAAGTTCTCTGAAAGCTCACCCAGAAAGACAGCATCATTCTTTGTGGCAAGCAGATTGAAAATTCAGTATGTCTGAGGTTGACATATATGGACTTCCTTTCACCCCATCTAAAAGTAAACTGCTTTTTCACTCAGGGCTATTTTCTCGTTTCAGTCCTTGTAAATTTTCTTCACTCTGAATGCCTAAAGGATTGGCAAACATATATCTAGATTAACATATTTACTTGCAGCTGTGAATAAAGCAAAACTCAAAAAATATAGTTCAATGTTTATATTATGTTTATATTAACATCATGTGATATAAATGAACACTTTCCTAGATTTCTATTGACTATTAATTTGCAGTCATTCTACAATGAAAGAGCTTTCAGATGGTCTGGAGAAAAAGTCAGAACCTGAAATAGAAGTGAACTGCAGTTATAAAAATAAATCTCTAGAAAGAAGAGAAGAGAAAAGAGAGGAATGTTCTAATCTTACCTTCATCATAATCTTATTAGCATTTCTCAGTGAGTAGTTCAAGTATCAGTCTATAGTCTTATGATTCTGTCTCATAAATATGTCAAGTACAAAGTATAGTTATTTTAATAGTCTGTGTTGGTGGACCATCATGGATTTAATTAAGAGACAACTAGTGTATGAAATATGACACAAAAGCACAAGACTTAATGGAGAAATGTTTTACTGCAGATTTAAATCAGGGCCACAGACTTAATGATGATCCAGGCTCAGAAATCCTACTTAAATTTAATTAATGCAGACTAGTGCAGACCTGTTCTTATAGGAGAAAAAAACACAGACATAAAAAACATTAGTAATTTAAGATTCTCAAAGTACACTGCCTTATTTATAAGGTTATGTGAACATGGGTTATTAATAGCTTATTGTTTTGCATTTTGTTATGTGAGATATTTAGAATTTAAGCTGTATAAAAGTCTTTTAAAACATTATTTCTAGCCTCCTCATTTTCTGTGATAAAGCGCCACCTCCTTTACTTCTTAGCAAAAACAGCCAAAAACACAGAATGCAGTGTAAGCCATTTTAATCAGATAATGACTGAGAGAAATGTGATTTGATTTTATGTTCTTTCAAAAGGAGCATAGGTGTTATTTCTCTAACTTCACTTTACTTATGGGCATAAACAGAAGATGCACAAATAGATAAACTTCATATTTCACTTAGTAGTCCTTGTTTTGTTGTTGTTGTTGTTTTCATTAGAACCACTGAGTTGGAAAATCTGGCATCTGTATTATCTATAACCTTACTATTATCACAGAAAGAAACAATCACCAGGAATGTTATAAATTTATTGAAAAGATATAATTTTTATTACCTTTAAGGAACTTGAACAATTTATGAGGCGTAGCTTCATAACATTTACTTGTTAATAGACTTACACTAAGCCATACCCAAGATCACTTGTCTCAGTTCTTAAGAGTAAGGTTTCATATTTTCTGTTTTGTTTTTGCTTTTTAATTCTTCTCAAACTTGTTTTGTTCTTAAGGATATCTTACGAATAATTTTAAGGGATTCAAAGAAGATTAATATAAGTTTTTTTCTGACACCTTCAGATTCTGTGCTATCCAGTTTCGGAATTTGTGCATTTTGAAATTGTTCCAAGATTTCTTTCTTTTTTTTTTTCTTTTTTTTTTTTTTTGAGATGGAGTCTCGCTCTGTTGCCCAGCCTGGACTGCAAATTGTGCCATCTTGGCTCACTCCAACCTCCGCTTCCCGGGTCCAAGTGATTCTGCTGCCTCAGCCTCCTGAGTAGCTGGGATTACAGGCACAAACCACTACGCCAGAGTAATTTTTGTATTTTTAGTAGAGACGGGGTTTCACCAAGTTTATCAGACTAGTCTCAAACTCCTGACCTTGTGATCTGCCCACCTTGGCCTCCCAACCAAGATTTCTTTAACATGTCTTTTGTCAGTAACCCTTTCTGCAGTGTCTGCATGATTCTCAGTGAACCAAATTATTTCTCTCTTAATTCAGAACATTAGCGATTAAGAGCAATTTGTTATTTCTTGCCCTTGTTTATCATTAGTGGTATGTATTTTACCTTTTGCTAATCTCATCATTTCCCTTGATATATTTGGGAAAATGCTCTCATTCACTTCATTTCTCTACAATAAATCCATTCTGCCTTACATATTTGATTGTTCTATGTGTACATCGCAGTTGAGGTAACCTATGCTTAGTTAAGTTTCTTCGTTTCTTTATTTCCAGTATAGATGCTTCTTTTCTGGATCACCATTTTTGTGTGTGGAAAAAGAATGGGTTCTTTCTTGCTTTTTTATTTTTTAAATCTATTCTTGATGGCATGTACTTATTTAAAATATGCTTTACAACTTGGATATGTGGATATCCTTTTTTATTTTTAAAAATTGAAGGTGGTCTCTGTGGCTTCATAAGTATTATCTATATTCACAGTTTTAGCATTCATTTGTTTGATTTTGAGCTCTTCTACGATCCAAATGCCGCTAGATATATCAAAGATTCACTGATGGTTAGAACAGCTTTTTGAGATTTTGATTAGGATAACTTTTAAGAGGTTGGTTGTTTTAGAAGGCAGTTAAACAAAATAATAATAGTTTTATTAACCTTTTATTACTTAAAAATAGTCATTGCAATGGTTCTTTAATAAAGGGAGAGCAGGTGTTTAACAGAACTCACCTTTCTGACATAAAACTACCAGAAACCAATTATTTTGCATCATCAAAGATCTAATCAAAGTTACAAAGAAATACCATTAAGTATGGATTAATATTTTTAAGTCATCTAAGCACTTATCATACAAGTATCAATTCAGATTTTACAAAGACGAACCTGCAATTCTGATTTTTTAAAAATATATCAGAGGAATTTTAAAATATATTTTTAAGTGCATTGATCAAAAGTACAATAGTCTCCTATAGTATAACTGTGATTTAGAAAACAGCCAAGCCCTGAGTTTCTAGCATGTTTGTGTGAGATCTGTTTTTCATCTGTCATTTATATAAATTATGCAAAAGTTCACTGTGTCTTTATTTTATTTCTTCATTTTTCTTTGTTGCCAGCGTCATTAAGACAAATTCAAAGGTCATTTAAAATGACCAAAATCAACCTACAGCAATATTTAAATTTTTATTCCATGAAAAGGTCTGAATAAATTTATATTCATACAATATATTTTATGGTGTACAAATAATATTCAATGGGATCAATTTAAGTATGAATACCAAGGATTGTAAGAATCCTTCCTCTTATTTGGAGAAGAATTCTATTTCCCACAACACAGTAAACTAAAACCTGCATACTACAAACCTGAAACACGCTAAATAAAATTTGACATCCTATTAAATAAATATATGAAGTTGTAAGAAATTAAGTGAAATCTTCTGTGGACCCAAGCAACAAACTGGGAGAAGAAATTACTGGAGGTGAGCTGGCATTGAAGCTGCCGAATGCCCCCTGGGTCTGCAGTCTCTGATAGTCATAGTCTCTCTACTCAGTGCTGGTTCTCAAAACAGTAGAATTGGTACCACCTGAGAACTTGTTGGAAGTGCAGAATTGTGAGCCCTACCTTAGACCTGCTTATCGAGAATCTGTCTTTTAGTTACATGCTTATATGATTTGTGTACATATGGGGTTTGAGAAGTCTAAACTATAGTTTCAGTTAGTGTGTGTGGAAAGGTGAACAAAAAAAAAAAAAAAAAAAACTTTTGGCCTTTACAGGGTTAGGTCTTGTATTGTAGGCTTATTCCATCCAAAACCAGGGCTTGGGAAAGGCCATACCTTCAGGGAAAGGATGAACTGGGCTGGTGGAGGAGCAGTTCTCTTCAGAGTGAGACATCAAGAAAGCTTTTAGTTCTTAGCATTGGTTCTCTGTGGAAAAAGAAAAATTACCTCCCTGAGAAATCATAGCCTTTAGTAGGCCCTTTTATGGTTCAAAAGCTTGAATCTTTATTAATTTTACAAATTGAAGAGTCACAGTTTAGATTTTCAGAATTTTTATTAAAGTCAACCGAGGTTATTAGTGTACTAAAGTATCTGGCCAAGGCAAATATATATATTAGCCAATTGGAGATTATTAAGATTCACACTTAAAACATATGTGTGTGTGTGTGTGTGTGTGTGTGTGTTCATTTCTACTAGTTTTCTTTGTTTTTTATTTGTTTTTTCTTTTTTCTCTCTTATTGTCTTCTTTTCATTGTTTGAGGGTTTTTTCCTCTATTTTATCCAGTCCCGTGAAAACTATAGAAGCTGTAAACTCTATTTTTGTTCTTTGTTGGTTACTCTATAAAAGTCAAGTCCAATGTTTATATTTACTCCTTAGCATGAGTTAACTCAGATCTAGTTACAGCACACAGTGTGCTATCACTGAATGTCAGGCTCCATTCTAATTACCTCATTTAACCCTCACAAAAGCCCTGTGAGACAAGCACTATTATTACCTTCATTTTATATGAGAGAAAAATAAAGCCCATGATGTTTAAGTTTACCAAAGATACATCATTAGAAAATGTTCAAGATGGGATTGGAGATTAGATAATTTAGGGCCAGAAATTATGCTCTCAATTGTTATACTGGAAAACCTCTGCTGATTGTTCAGTATGTTAGGTCTGTCATGTGCGTGTGTGTGTGTGTGTGTGTGTGTGTGTGTGTGTGTGTGTGTTTAAATCCACCCAATTAGATTTTTATTATTTGTATACTCATTTTTTATTTATATTTAACCACATGCTTATCATTTCTTTTCTCGACTTGACTTTCCATAACTCTGACCTTCTTTCTGGGGTCATGTTTCTCCTTATTAAAGAATATTCTTTAGAATGACAGTCTGTTAGTTAAGATGAGCAAATCTAACTGAAAATGCCTTTATTTCTCCCTGAAAATACCATTCTAAGTTGATGTTATTTTCTCTTGGCACATTGAATATATTATTCATTGTTCTCTACTGGGTTTCAAAGGCTATCCACATATATTATCTTATTCCAGCTGCACAAGAAGCATCAGGATATACTTATATTTTCCTGTTTATAAACTTTTGTTTGCTTGATCATTTTGCTTATCTGTTACTTCAAGAATTGTTTGCCTAATATAATGAGATCATTTTTACCTTTTATTGAACATTTACTATGTATCAGGTACATAAGCTCTTTACTTTTCTTTTCTCATTTAGTTTCTTTTTTTTTGTTTGTTTTTCCTTTCTCTTTGGGATAGGGCCTCACTCTTATCCAGGCTGGAGTGTAGTGGTGCAATCATGGCTCACTGCAGCCTCGACTTGCTGGGCTCAAGTAATCCTCCCACCTCAGCCTCCTGAGTGGCTGGGACTATAGGCATATGCCACCATGCTTGGCTAATTTTTGAAATTTTCTGTAGAGACAAAGTCTCACTGTGTTACCCAGGTTGGTCTCCTGAAGTCCTGGCTTCAAGCAATTCTCCCACTTTAGCCTCCCGAAGCACTCAGTTTACAGGTGTGAGCCACTGCACCTGGCCTTTATTTACTTATATATCTCACTTAATCCTCATGATAACTCAGGGCCAATCATGACAACAGGGGAGCAGAAGCGCTTGGTAGAAAACTTTCAAAAATTATGAAATCGGGAAATAATATTGAATCTGCAACCAGAGATGGAAAAGCCATCCTTTTGGTCTGTCATAAAGTCCTGACAAATTAGTAATTCTATCCAGCAAAGAGGACCTAGGAAGCATTTGCAATACAATAAATAATTCATCTTCCATATAAACAAATTAAAATATTAATTAAAAGTTTTTGTCACCATCAAAGTGACCAAATTTTTAAAAGTAATAAAATCTAATGCTGATGACATTCCTAGAACATATTTTATTTCTTTTGTAAAATATTTTTATTTTTGCTTCAGATGTACATGTGCAGGTTTGTTATCTAAGTAAACTCATGTCACAGGCGTTTGATGTACAGATCATTTAGTTACTCAGGTACTAAGCATAGTACCCAATAGTTATTTTCTCTAATCCTCTCCTTCCTCCACCCTGTACCCTCAAGTAGGCCCCAGTGTCTGTCGTCTTTGTTTCCATGTGTACTCATAATTTTGCTCCCACTTATAAGTGAGAACATGCAGTATTTGGTTTCCTGTTCCTGTGTTAGTTTGCTAGAGATAATGGCCTCCAGGTCCATCCATGTTCCTTTAAAGGACATGATCTCATTCTTTTTTATAGCTGCATAGTATTCCATGGTTTACATGTACCACATTTTCTTTATCCAGTCTACTGTTGATGGGCTTTTAGGTTGAATCCATGTCTTTGATATTGTGCGTAGTGCTGCAATGAATATATGCATGCATGTGTCTTTGT
This sequence comes from Homo sapiens, assembly GCF_000001405.40. Classification (NCBI taxonomy): domain Eukaryota; kingdom Metazoa; phylum Chordata; class Mammalia; order Primates; family Hominidae; genus Homo; species Homo sapiens. The sequence goes on from NC_000001.11 coordinate 98,412,217, forward strand.
AACTATTTATATTCCTTTGGGTGTACACCCAGTAATGGGGTTGCTGGGTTGAATGGTAGTTCTGTTTTCAGTTCATTGAGGAATCGCCATGCTGCTTTCCACAATGGTTGAACTAATTTATACTCCCACCAGCAGCATATAAGTGTTCCCTTTTCTCTGAAACCTCACCAACATCTATTATTTTTTGACTTTTTAATAACAGTCATTCTGACTGGTGTAATATAATATCTCACTGTGGTTTTGATTTGCATTTCTCTAATGATTAGTGATATTGAGCTTTTCTCATATGTTTTTTGGCTGCGTGTGTGTCTTCCTCTGGTGTCTGTTCATGTTCTTTGCCCACTTTGTAATGGGGTTGTTTTTTTTCTTGTAAATTTTTTTTAAGTACTGTATAGATGCTGGATTTTAGATCTTTGTCAGAGACATCGTTTACAAATATTTTTCCCATTCTATAGGTTGTCTGTTTACTCTTGTGATAGTTTCTTTTGTTGTGGAGAAATTCTTTGGCTTAATTAGATCCCATTTATCACTTTTTGCTTTTGTTGCAATTACTTTTGGTGTCTTTATAATAAAATTCTTGCCAGTTCTTATGTCCAGAATGGTATTTTCTAGGTTGTATTCCAAGGATTTTATAGTTTCAGGTTTTGCATTTAAGTCTTTAATCCATCTTCTGTTGATTTTTGTATATGGTGTAAGGAAGAGGTCCAGTTTCAATATTCTGCATATGGCTAGCCAGTTATCCCAGCGCCATTTATTGAATAGGGAGTCCTTTCCCCATTGCTTGTTTTTGTCAGCCTTGTTGAAGATCAGATGGTTGTAGGTGTGTGTCTGTGCTCTCTATTCTATTCAACTGGTCTATGTATTTGTTTTTGTACTAGTACCATGCCATTTTGGTTACTATAGCCCTGTAGTGTAGTTTGAAGTTAGATAACATGATGCCTCCAGCGTCATTCATTTTGCTTAGGATCACTTTAGCTATTAAGGCTCTTTTTTTTAGTTCCATATGGATTTTTAAGTAGTTTTTTTTCCTAGTTCTGTGAAGACTGTCACTGGTAGTTTGATAGTAATGCACTGAATCTGTACGTTTCTTTGGGCAGCATGGCCATTTTAACAATATTGATTCTTCCTATTCACAAGTACAGAATGTTTTTCATTTGTTAGTGTCACCTCTGATTTCTTTGAGCAGTGTTTTTCAATTCTCATTGTAGAGTTTTAGTTAGCTGTATTCCCATGCATTTCATTCTTTTTGTGGCAATTGTGAATGGGATTTCATTCCTGATTTGGCTCTTGGCTTGGCTGTTGTTGGTGCAGAGGAATGCTAGTGATTTTTGTACACTGATTTTATATCTTGAAACTTTTTTAAAGTTGTTTATCAGCTCAAGGATTTTTTGGGCAGAGACTATGGGGTTTTCCAGATACAGAATCATGTCATCTGCAAACAGGGACTGTTTGGATTCCTCTCTTCCTATTTGGATGCCTTTTATTTCTTTCTCTTGCCTGATTGCTTTGGCCATGACTTCCAATACTATGTTAAATAAGAGTGGTAAAAGAGGGCATCCTTGTCTTGTGCTGGTTTTTAAGTGGAATGCGTCCCGTTTTTGCCCATTCAGTATGATGTTGGCTGTGGGCTTGGCATAGTTGGCTCTTATTATTTTGAAGTATGCAGTGTGAAAGAATATGTTCCTTCAATACTTAGTGGAAACTTACTTTTATACACTGCATATACAGTGTACATCGGGACATGTAAACAGTAAAACTTTTTCAATGGCAATCTTGCAAAGGCTTGATTATATTTTGAACTAATATTTCTACTTTTAGAAATGTATGCTAAGAAAATAATTTTCTAAATGTCAGAAAAAATCTAAATATTAAAATTTCCCCTACATTGCTTATAATACCAAACAATTGAAAATAACCTAATGGGCCCAAAATATGCAAACATACAAAATTTAATTAAATGCATTCATTTTAATGCTATGTGGCCAATTAAAATGTAGTTTTAAAGAAAATTAACAATATAAAAATTATTAACGATTTAAAATTAAGTTCAGAAAGAGGTTATGAAATGGCATATATGTTGTAATACTACTTTTTTTGTAAATATGTATAGATAATTATAAATATAATACTGAAAGGAGGTATAGTAACATGATGTCTCTTTGGGAATAATTACAGAAATTTATTCACCTGTTTCTTATTTAAAATTTTGATATTTTCAGTAATAACCATATATGATTTTGTAATCAGAAAATATTTACAAGACATGATAAAAAGAAGATTAAATGAGTAGAGATAAGCCAATTTATTTTAAGGAAAGATAAAGCTTTATGAAAAAATTATAACCACAGTCGATGAAAATAGTTACAGGTTGAAATAAATTATTCATAGGACAAAGATCCAAAGCACTACGTCCTTTTTCAGGATTTCACTGGAGAATTAAAAAGGACATTCTTTAGCATCAGTGTGCAAATTCAAAACACAAACCACAGGGTGCCTAAACTTATGGGACTTATGATGATGTCCATGTGAGTATTTCCAAATTATAATCAAGCATTTATTTCAAACCACAGTGTTGCTTAGCTCTATAAAATTACATTGAATTTTCATTGTAAATCAAGTAGTGTGCTGGATACTGAAAATACAGTGAGATCCTTGCCTTCAAGAATCTCTCTGTTAGTATTAGCATGAGAGTGCAGGGTTCTTAAAGTGTGGTCCATTAGCAACTTCAAAGTCACCAAGGGTGGTACTTCTTAAAAACCTCAGACCTTACTCTAGAGATTTGCTGTGAGAGACTGATGAAGTGGTATTCACAAGAACTTCTTTAGATGTTTCTTATGCATACTAATGTTTGAGAATTATGAGTTTGAAGAAAAAACAATAAACTTTAAATCAAACAGGTCCAGAGTTGAATCTTGACTATTTCCTTATATATTGCATTTTTATAATACAATTTAAATTCTTCCACCAACACTATACTAAAACTATACAATGTTAATTATTGCTCTGTTTTAGCTATCATTTTCTTGTGTTGGTTTTCTTGACCAACCTTCCCTTGGAATTCTCTTTTTTCTGAGACTAAACACTATTCATGGGTTTCCTCTTGTCTCTTGGATCACACCTTCTCTGTCTTTGCTGTTTATTAACTAACTTATTGTAGGTAAACAAATTAACTTGCTGAGTTTCCACATCCTCATTTGTTGAATGAGCAAACAAAATGACATCATCACCAACAAAATTATCTTACAGACTAGTTGAAGATTAAGTGAAATAATGTATGTCAAGAGTTATGCCTGTCACATAGCTGGGACTCAGTAAGTGTTAACTCTTGTTGCTATAAGGGTTATGGTAGACATAAACACAAGATGCTATTTGAACTTTTGTTTAAACCCATGAATAGTGTTTGGTCTCAGAAAAAAGAGAATTCCAAGGGAAAGTTGGTCAAGAAAACCAACACAAAGAAATGATAGCTAAAACAGAGCAATAATTAACATTGTATAGTTTTAGTATGGTGTTGGTGGAAGAATTTAAATTGTATTGTAAAAATGCAATATATAAAAGATTCTTGTTGCTACAAGGGTTATGATAAAAATAAACACAAGATGCTATTTGAACCTTTGGGAAACTGGGAGTGAAATGATGAAAGAGTTAGGTCTAAGGTCTCTTGAATGATGCCATCTTTAGTTTGTTGAGTCTTGATGGTTAAGTAAAAGATAGGAAGACAAAATAAATATGTCCATTAAAAATCTGTATAAATATTTTAGCTAAATTGACCAATCAATTTTATCACACAATTGGTTGATTTGTAGAACAAATAGTTGGCCCAGTTAAATCACATAACTGATTTTTATTCCACAATTTTTTCAAGTAAAAATACTACTTTTGTTTTTCTTTGATTTAAATTTTTAGATTCAGATTCATAGAGTTACTTTCCTGTGAAAAGAAAATGATATGAACTGTAATATTGCATTTAACTGAATATAAAAATAGCTGTTTTAAACAACTGAATACATTAAATTGGTGTAGATGGGAAATAGTGAAAATTGCTTTACAAAGAACATTTTATCTTAAACCATTATCAGCTACTGGGAGATTTCTTGCACTGCATTTTAAATAGTAATCATAAAAAGAATTGCAATAAAATGTTTATATGGTGTTCTATACTCCTGCATATAGTGAGGCAAAGTATCTCTATTACTTCTGAAAATTCTGGAGCAATAATTTCCTCACTTGGGTTTCCTGTACATCTATATGTGCTGATTTTCCAATGATCTATTAGCTACCCTTCATGGGTTACTCCTCCTACTTAGTAGACACAGGCTAGAGGTTATTTTCTTACTACTTGGGACTATTCAAGATACTTCAGATGTGTTTATAAGCACAAAGTACTTCAAATGAAATTTACCCTCTGTTAGTTATAGCAACCAATCCAGACAGTTTTGAAAGGCCTCCATTAAACCCTTAACCTAACATGAGTTTCATATCATGCAGCGTTAATTAAGACTCCCAAGGTTGCAAGTAACATAAAACTCATCCTAAACTGGCTCAAACAAAACAGGGAGTTTGTTAGTTCATATAACTGGCAAGTAACTAACTGGCAAGTAAATAACTAATTTCAGGTAAGTCTTCGTCTTAATTACTTTATGTCTAGGCACTATAATGCATGGAAAACAAGCTGAAAAATAGAGCTCTATGTAATTTTAATTTTCAAAATTATCCATAATAAACAACTCTATGGGCTGTTGTTTCTAAGAAAAATCAATAAATGGAACCAATAATCCCTCTAATCCTACTATGGTAATGATATTATTTTTCTTCTGATTAGAAGGACAGATACTAATATAATCCCTCTTCATGGCTGGATCTATCCCTATAAGAGATATGACAAGTGTTCTCTGAGTAGAATGAATATAGGTTCTTATTAGAATTCTGTTCAGGTGTAAAGTTACTCTTACTTAAAATGTTTACTACTATTTTTTAAATTCAATTCTGATAGAATATAGTAATGGATTGAGGAGTAAGTATATTAAGACTAAGAATTTCTGTGGACAGATTTTGCCTTACAGTTGCTACAGGAAAATTTATAGGAAGAAATCAGAAATTTTCCCTTGCTTGCTAAAGCCTTTATCTGGAAATTTATGGCTGTCATAGTTATAGATGTCAGTCATTAATTTTGATATCTGTATTCATGTCCGTTCAGGACAGCAAACCCCTTGGAAATGGACGGGTCCTATCTATGAGTGGAGTCACAAGTACCACAAGTAATAGCTACATATTATTCAAATAATGTATTTATTAGGAAATAAAAATGATTTGAACCTTTTAAACAAATTTCTATTTCTTTATGAGTAACAGAATGATGATGATGGTATTTTTATTTTTGAAAATCCAGTTTTAACCTGTTATCAGTGGAAGAATCAACAAACTCATTCTAAAATAACTATGGAAGGGTAAAAATCTAGAAATATTCAGGTTAACTTTGAAGACAACCTGGGCACTCATCCTATTAGATTTTATGGCATGACAGAAAGACATAGTGATATTAACAGAATCATTCTGGTACAGGTAGTGACAATTAGACCATATCAGGTGATGCACCATTATTTCTGCCATATTCTATTCTTTAGAAGTCTAGTTCACCATCAAGAAGAGAATTAAGCTCCACTTTTTAAAGGGAAAAGTAGACAATAATTTGTGGAGATAGTTTTAAAACTACAAAAAGGAAACACAAAGAAAATAGGCATAGGAAATGACCAGGCAGGGCACAAAAGAGAAGTCCCCATGACCAAGAGGTCTATCAAGAGACAGTCAAACTCATTAGTCATCTGAGGAAAGCAAATTAAAACAAGAAAGAAGTATCACTTTACATCCAGCAGAATGGCAAAATTAGTAACTCAGATAATACCAAGTGCTGACAAGGAAGTCTCATGAATAGCAAATGTGATTGACCCTATTACAGCCGTTATAGAAAGCAAATGTTAGAATTGACAGCGTTACTGTAAGAACACATGTGCTCTTTATCCCATGGATCCCATTCTGGGTTATATACTTTAGAGAAATTCTCACCAAATATGTACAAATATGGACATATATGAGAATGTTCAACCCAACGTTACTTGAGGTGCCGGAGACTGGGAAGTAAAGTAGATTTCAATGTAGTGTGTACTGGACAGCAATAAGAAGTAACAAATTATATGTATATATGGTAGAATGCATAATCCTCAGGAAAGAAAAGTCCCTTAGTTAAAAATGTCGGAAATTTTAAAACATTATACTGTTCATTTGAAAGTTAGAAAGATATATACACATAAAATATCTCATACTTTAAAAGGACACTTGCATGTTTGAGAATATATATCAGATACATTATATTTAGGGCCAATAGTAAATGAGAATGGTAGTGTAGATCATGGAAAATGAGAAAAAATAAGAATTAGAAAGGAAATTTGCATGCACTCGTGCAAAAATATGCAAAACAAAAAACCAGAGAAGTCTGGCCAAACAGACCCTTACCATCTGAGATCCAAGGAAACACACACACACATACACACACAGGCAAACACAAACACAAAATAATTTAGGTAGCCACTAACTGGATGGCACACTAAATTAAAGAACATGCTCATGATGAATATTATCCATTAGAATGATGTTTATAAATAATTTCTCATCATTTATATAATGGTAAGCATAAAAATATCAGGAAATTAAATAGGCATAGAGGGAAAATGCAAATAAAATATGTATATGCGTAAATACTGAAATTCATAAGAACCTTAGCAGTAGAAATTACTTAAGCATTTAAATTTTAAACTGTTTTTTATCTTTAATCTTTTTTCTAATATTTTTTGGTATGAGCATAATAAACTTATAATCATAAAAACATATATTCCTTTGAGATCAATATCCCTTTTAAAAGATAATCAATCAAAACTTCTAGTCTCAGCTTCTACATGTAAAGAGCCTGGAAGCCATAACTCTCATCCTTATAAAAACAGCAACAACAACAACAACAAAAAGACAAACTGAAAATCAACTACTCTTTTGGAACCTATCAGAGAACTGAATTTGCAGGATCACCCCCAAATCTAGGGAGACAGGGGAATCCACAGGGTCATCATGGATGAAATCTACTTATCTGGAGTAGAAGTCACTGGAATCAAACACTGATGTCACTTAACTGGTAGTTTTGACAAATTGTTGGAGGCTGAGTATGGGAAAGCATGAGAGTGAGAAACTACGGAGGTGATCATGTTGGAAGACAGGAAATGTGACACTTTCCTGGATTTACCTCCAGAAACCACCCCAGGTTTCCATTATGAAGATATGAGAGCGATCCCTTCATAGCTCTGTCTAGCACAGGGAAAAGTAATCCTTGTGAAATAGGCCCAGGTCCTCCAAAACAAAGGCCCACTTCTAAGAGGAAAGACTTTAGTGGAGCCTCCTCACCCTAAAACCAAGGGAGAAGGGCATTTTTCTCATACCAACTTCCTGGAGTCTTCCTGTCTCCCCTCAAGTGGTGGGGAGAGCTATACAAGGAAAAACACATGAGGGTCACAGGCCAGAAATATAAGCCTAACCAAAGATTGAGATGTAATCAATCCTAAGATTCTAGGGTGTCCTCTCTCCCACATCTTACAATCACACCAAAAGGGCTCTGGTATAGTAACAGAGGATTACTGCTGAAAGTGATGCAAGACAAAGACTGTTGAGGAGGAGTCTTTAGGGAAACCAAAAGTCAGGAAAGAAGACAAAAACAAAGACAGTAGGGGACTTTAAAGCCCCTGGCATCTCTAGCAGTAGCAGTCATTAAACAAAGCCTCAATGTCTACCCAAATTAATGTAAATACACCAGAGACTCATTTACCTCAATTCCTAGAAGAAATGAATAAATTCCTAGATACATACAACCTAGCAAGATTGAATCATTTGTTATCATTAAACCTAGATGATCAAAATACCAAAAATGAAAGTTTTTAACAGTTTAGGGTTTTTTTTTTTAATTTTGGAGATGTCAAAGGGAAAACTGTTAGAATTTGTGTTTCATATGTTAGAAGAGGTCTATACTGGGAAGCATAAGTTTTCTCAGTATTCACCGTGTGACATCTGGGAAAGAGAGAAGAGTAACTGCAGGATAAGATGAAGCTCAGGAAAAGAAAGTAAGAGGATATCAAGATAAAGTTTAAGAAAATCAGAAATAACTAGAGTGAAAACTTCATTGACTGAAATTTGGAATTTGTGATCTGGCTGTGACTTTGCATACACAAAAAAAGTCATTTTGTAGGCTTCATATTTCTTGTCATCATAATGTTTATGTAAAAGAAAAAATATGTGAGTCAAATAAAACACTGCTAGTGAATCACTGAAGTAAATAGTAATAATTATAACATCAGCAGTAACAGCTTCCATAACATGAATACATATTATATGCTGGCATTTTAAACACATTTCTTACTTTCATTCTCACAATTTGTCTTGTGAGATGGTAGGTATTATTAGTCACAATTTTTGATAGGAAAAATGATGTTTAGAAAATACAAAAGACACATAGTTAGCAAATTCAAAGCCAAACGAGATCTGTCTGGCTTCCAAATCTTAGCACTTTTCATGACACTAGAAAGTTCAAAACACATAAAGTATTAGGGTACCAGATATAAGTCAGGTACATAAGAAAAGTGTTGGTAAAACAATAGTATGAGCAACCCAATCTGATGAGTCACCTATAGTGAACTTCTGCTTGACTTACTGCAATGTTTTTAGAGGTGTTTATACATATGTGACATATTTATCTAACTCATATTTTGCACAAATGAGTGTTAAATTTTGCGTGCATTTTTTGAACATTCACCATACTAATGATGCCAAATTTGGGAAGGCAACCCAGAAGTGTACTCTTTTGCTTACGGGGTAAAGATGTATACTTTATCATTTATTTATTTGCAAGTAGATAATTGAGAGGCTCTCAGTGTTAAATTGTTTGCACTCTGTTAAATGATTTGATGCTGATGGGCCCCAGATGTCCTGAAAATGTTCCCGCACCCTTGATGGTTCCCTCTGTACACTCATTACTGCCTTAGCAAAGCAGAACATATTTACAAATTTTAGGTCACCATCTGCAAAGATGTTATGTTGTGTCTATTTCAAATAAAAAGTATACTCATATATTATGAATAACATGATGCCCTTTGAAAAATATGATAACATAAGGGTATAATGATCAACAAAGTATCTTTGTGGTTAAGAGTCTCAGAATAAAAATTAGACAGATCTGCCTACAGTCCTAGCTTTTCTACTTAGTGGTGTGACTTTGAACAAATCACATAACTTCTCTGAGCCTCAGTTTCCTCATCTGAAAAATGGGAAGAATAATACCTCTCCAGGTTGCTGTAAGAATTAAATGATATAAGAATTGTGTAAAGAGCCCAGTGCTGAGCACATAGTAAGTGATTAATAAATGATTAGTTTTGTTAGGAAACCAGCATAGTAACTTTGCAAATGTTAGACAAATATGTTTTAATTTCTCTGCAAACCATATTTTTTACAAACTAATCACCTCTGACATCAATCTTGTTTTTCTCAAGAAAATATGGATGTGGAAGTCAGGAATTATTTAAAAGTAGTTTCTTATTGAATTTTTTCACCCCCCATTAAATACAACATACTTAGCTGTCCATAATGTTGAATTTAACATAAATGAAATCCAGATATGAAGAAAAAGTAGGAGAGATAGTCTACTCATTGGGGACCTGGGAGATAATAGGGAGAGAAAGTGATGGGAGTAAGGGTGGGAGGAGGCTTTCTTTCACTCCCTATTGGGACTGTGTGAGAAGACCAACCAACCAGATGTATGGACACCTCTAAACAAACTTGGTGCCGAGTGGTTAGCCTGGGGATGAACTTCCAGCTCAGCTTTTTCAGAGTAATCTAGAATCCATGTTATGGATAGAACTCAGGGGTCCCCCTGGCCTCACTGCCTCCTCTGAGCTGAAAGACAGTTGACCTACCCTGGGAAAAGGCCAGGTGACCCTGAAGCAGAGGCTGGGGTTACTGTGCCTGGCAAGGGACTGAATGGAGGATGAGACACAAAAGATTCAAGTGGCCCAAAGGCTGCCAAAGGGCTGAGTTAGCACCTCTGGCTGAGATAAAAGATACCATAACATCAGACATGACAAACTTCTGTCATTAGCATGGAAGGATAATCAGAAACCAGGTAGACAAGAGATAACATGCTGGAGATCTGAAAAGCCAGCAATACCACTCTGAAGGTCTCCTGCTCTCAATGTTGATATGACTTTAAGATTCCCCATTTGGTTTCTGGTTACTTTCTTGAAAGGAGCTCGAAGGGTAGAAGACATAGAACTACGAGAAGCAGAGACATTTTTCTAAGTTGAACAAAGCATTATCTAAAGGAAGAGCTTGACTTTCTACATCAGACTAAGTTTTAGAATAGATAGGACCAAAGGTTGTTTTTCTTCCTCAACACCCAGTGTGTCATGGCTTAGGAAGTAGTTTGAATTAAAGATGCAACAAAGGTACATTTTTTTTCTGTGCACTTCTAGGCTGTAGTGTGAGTAAATATGTGGCCCCATTTCATTCTTATTATTGCCCTTACTGAGGTTATTAACACCCCCAATACCTTTTAACCAAACCCTTTTAAATGGAATTTTCTAAGAGGCAGTGATTGGTTTGCACTGAGAATCAGCTTTCTCACCCCTCACTCTGGTGGCCACCACATGTTTAGAATTTGGCCTTTCATAGCCTTTGGCACTATAATGGAATTTTAAATCTCTTGACAATGCTTTCTAGTTCAAAGCCACAAGCTTGGTCTCCTTAGCACCAGATGCTAACCAACTGAGCTAACTATAACTGTAGGGACCGCAGACAAGCCCCAAACCATTCCAGAGGACTTTTAAATGTCAATAATGAGGACTTCATTATTGACGTTTATGATGACTCATCTATGTAGGGGTTTTAAGAAATGTCTGTCATTTTCATGCATTTTTGCTAGATTGCTGTGTAAATGAACAATATTTTTTAAACAAACAAACAAACAAACAAAAAAGGGGCTTCCAAACATGTGCTATACATTTTTCACTTAGAGTTAGCAACCTCACTCATAGCTATGACCCTATATGGAGACAGTGTTGCACATGAAAAGAAAAAGAACAACAACAACTCTGTCTAAGAGGGGTCTTCATTAAAGGAAGTGGACATACTTAAAAGTGTGGATTTGCACATACAAGCCGGGCCACTACAAATCCGAAATTGTGGTTTGCATGTTACATTGTTCAATACCCTCTATGCTTTCTTCATCATGCTTTGCAAGTGTGTCTGTGAAGAAACTGAAATTTGGCATGGAGACTCTTATAGTTACAAGATTATCTAACGTCTGAAATTTTTAGGAATCATTTGACCAATAAAGCATATTTCAGCCTGTTATATTTGCTGACTGCTGTTCCACCTAAATTGCTGCCATTCTACTTAATTCAGACAAGGAAGCTAGCAAAACACAAACATTGACTGCAGGTCACTTCCACATATTAATATAACTATATATATATAATAAGGGTTATAATATATACTATATAATATTTATAATATATGGTAATAATATGATAATATTACTGCCTACTCTTTAAGATACAGGCCTCCATTGCTGAGATACACAGATAAATAAAACACAGGACCTTCTCTTGTGATTTTTCTTGGAGAATAGGTTACCCAATGGAGGTTAGAACAAAGGTAGGCCTGTCAAGCAGGACTTGGAGCCACAAAGGAGATCCTGCCACAGGCACTGTGAGGAGTTAAGGAAGAAATGCCCTAGCACTCATGGCTAAGCTTCTGTTCTGTTGAACATAAACACTTTCACAGGTACCATCTTCCGACCATACGTGACTGTGATAAATCAAGACAAAAACAAAACAGCTATATAATCATGTATGATCATAGACAAAACAAAAACATCATCCCAACCAAACAGATAGACCAAATATCCTCTGTCTTGGCCAATATGAGTAGTTGCATCACTACTCATTGAAACATTTGCCTCACTCACCTTCAAGAGAAGAATTATTAAGATGCCCAATCATAGAATTACCTGTTTCTTCCCAGCATCAAATCCAGAATAAAGCCTCACTTCCTTAAGGTCTCCTCCAAATCACCTAACCCTAGACAAATCCTAAAATAAGTACTTTCTAGTACCCTTTTATTGAGATGCCCCACAAGTTAATAATGAAACAAGTCAATAAATCCAAATTGGATCAAATATAGATGTGTTTCTGGTGGTATCTGACTAAGGGAAGTGACATCACTTTGCTTCTTCTTTTGAGATTCATGAAATCTTAGACTCTTAGACCTGTGAATGCTTAAGATCATGTAATCTGAATTCAGCTATGTGTGTAAAAACTCCACAATGTTTTTGACATATTATTAAGCATCCTTCAATAAATGCCTGTAGTATTAAAAACATATTTATCCAATAAGGGATCCCATTAATTATTACATAAGTCTATCTAATTATTAAGAAATTATTACTTATGTTGAACCCCAAATCTACCATTCATTAACTGTACCAAGGCTCTTCTCTCTTGACCCACACAAAATGACACGGACCTCGTTTCTACGTGATGTAGATTCAAATCTCTAAAGACGTCTACTGTAGTCTTCACGTTTTCTCATTTCAGTTTCAATATTATCAGTATATTTTCAGTTCTTTTGATTATTGATCCTTTCCATAATTTACACTCTATACAGTCTCAATCCCTCTCTGAACATATTCTTGTTTGTTACAATGTCTCTTAAAGAGTTAGCCTGTATTTGATAATGGTAATTCAGACAAAGCCTTATTACTGCATGGCTTCTGTCTTGGTTTGGATTTGTCCTATTCGTTTATTTCTTCAACTCAAAAGCACATTGAATGGTTTAGCCATTTAGCCATGTTGTTGGATACAATAGATGGATAGAATAGATTCTGGAGTCAGACTGCTTATCTTCTCATCCATGCAGTCATTTTAACATTCCACATCTTGGCTTTGTTCATCAATGATCGGTGAGAAATGTCATACCTACATCATAGAGTTGTTGTGATTAGGAAAGGAAACATAAATAGCCACAAAAGTATTTTTCACAAAGTAAATGCTATATAAGGGTTTTCTGTCACTATTGGCTATTGTCTTTGAAACACAGGCATATCTGTGTACCTATAATTTTGTCTGTTCTGGGTTTGTTCATTCTTTAAACATTGTTTACATTTACATTTAACTTTATTAATTGTAGAGTTTAAGTTTGACTCAGAATTCCACCCTTTGGAAGGTATTCTTAAACTTTTAGCCTCTAAATACTTTATTCAATATCCATCTCAGTTTTATGTCACCCCAAAATGAGACAAGTTCTTCACTGAAGACACTAACTACATATATTTGAATAGGAAAGATATGAGGCAGAGCCCTTTAACACACCCTTAGCTATCTCCCTTCCAATAAATGGATTCATTAACAATACCCATTTGGTGATGCTCATTATAGAAATCCTGAGTCTACCCAGTAGTAAATCACCCAGACCAAATTTCTTCATGTTTTAAAAGTATATTATAAGAAATTCTGTCAAATGATTTCCTGAAATCTTGACATAGTCTTTAACATAGCTCTAAACCAATATTGAGGAATTATATTAAAAATAATGTATTCATCTAGCATAGCTTAATCACAAAGTCTCATGCTGTCACTTCTTTAAGTCTTCATAGATATACCATTTTATCATTTTATAATATTTTCTGTCACAACATCAAGCTCACTGGCTCATAGGTGTCACTAACTGTATCCAATTTTTGAAAATTGGGACAATATATACTAATCTTCTTCATTCTCCATAGCTTCTATTTGACATAGCATTTCATACGTCACCAATGTTGGTTTATCAGTTTAATCTGAACTCAATAAAAAATTGATAAGCTATTCACTAAGCTCTATGAACAAACATTTGAATAGAAAAAGTTTGAGAACGGTGCCCTTTGACATCACGAGACCACAAAATCCTTTGGGGATAGCCATTCATATCTAAATTCAATCAATCAAGTGTTTCCATTAACTAGGTTTCAGGCCAGTAACTCTCAAAGTTTTTCACAGTGAGTCATACTAAGAGACACATATACTTTCTATTGATCTTTCTCCTATTTTTTATACACCCACAGACACACACACACACACACACACACACACACACACAAAATGAGAGAGAAAGAGAGACAGAGAGAGATAGAAACCGTGTTTAATATTACTATATGATTTTTTCTAACCTGCTCTAGAAAAAGAAGCTGGGCCCAAACCCACCAAACTGATTTTATGGCCCACTAATAAGCAAGCCACAGTCCATGATTAGAAAAACACGGCTCCAACACATCTGTTTTTGTGTCTTTCTTCTTACTGATCCTAATACAATTCTGTATCAGCTTGAATTTCTCTATTAGTCGATTGGCTAGACTATGATACAGTAACAAACTCCAAAATCCCACTGGCTTAAAACTTCAGTGGTTGATTTTTCAGTCTTCACATGCATGGCAGTCTTCATGTGCATGGCAAGCTCATCCTCACATTACCCCCAAGCTGAGAAAGGTTCCCTCTCTGTGTTACCATTGTTGCCAATTAGGAAAATGAAATGTGGCAAATTATGAGCCAACTCTCTAAATTTCTACTTGGAATTGACCCTGTGAATCATGTCCACTCACATCTTATTTGTCAAAGCAAGTAACATGGACACTCTCAGATCAAAGAAATCAGAGATATTTCATCCTACCACGTATCCAAATGGTGGAAAAATATATTTAGAAACAGTCTTGATGACCACTACAACACAACCTCGTGATCACAAAATACCAAGTTCAACATAAATATCTCATCAAGATTAAAGGCCGGGATGCTTAGGTGATGCTCCGTTTTCTCTGTGGCCTCTGCTGCTGCCTTCTGGGATGTTCTGCATTCTTCATTACTCTTCTTGCTTACATTTGAAGTAGGTGTTGAAGATTATGCCTTGGAAGTTGGGAAACTGATGGTCATCATATATGAAACAAATTATTTAATCTAGGCTGGTAGTCTTTTTGATAGTATAAATTTCTCAAAAGAAATGGGTTCCTTATCCATGTATTATAGTCATATATATATATAGTCATATATATATATATATATATATATATATATATATATATATATATGCAGTCACACCCATTTTTTTCTTTAAAATAATTTAAATTATTTCTCTTTCTTGGCTTTGTTGATATTCCCTTACCATAT
This sequence comes from Homo sapiens, assembly GCF_000001405.40. NCBI lineage: Eukaryota > Metazoa > Chordata > Mammalia > Primates > Hominidae > Homo > Homo sapiens. The sequence continues at coordinate 98,427,498 of NC_000001.11, forward strand.
GTCTCACTCTTTTCAAAACACATACTGATTTTTAATCTCTTTTCCCAATCAATGTTCAATTAAAAGGATTTACTGGTTGCCACTGTTGTAATTAGGTTTTTTGCTCTGAAATGAATTTAATTCATGGATTTTAACAATGGATATAAGAACCATATCCTTGAATTGATCCTTCTCATGAGGCTTAGTTTTAATAGTCCTTTGTTGCTCAAAAGCCTTTTCGGTTCTTTTCTTTTACCCTTGGGGTTGAGAAGCAGTTGCCTTCTCTAACCCTATAAAAAGGCTGAAGTCTGAACTCTCTCTAACCCCTTTCATTTCTACTTGCAAACAAGCCAATGCTTTGTAATGCTTATCTCATTTTTGTAATGCCCTGTCAAATGCAACCAAGACTAACTCTAACACAGGCTGACATTCTGTTTACCAATCTCTTCTCATAGAACTCCAAATTCACTGGGTACTGACTTGTTTGCCGTCTAAATTTTTGCAGCCAACAGGTTTACCAAATAGTTTGTGACTTCATAATGTAGGTCACCATCTTTCCAGCCTGCAATAACAGGTTTTTCGACTGCCAGTTGAACTATAAGTTCATGCTATATATTTTGGTGCATTTTGGGTTCATATTGTTGGAGAACTCCGGTTATTATGGTATCAAATTCCCGAGTCATTCAGTGAAGCTACATTAGGCTACAGCGGCTTAAAACCACAGTGATTTATTTTTCATTCCTGCTACGTGTCCAATGCAGGCCAGTTGGAAACTGTTCTTGAGAGTTGTCCTCTCTCAAGGCCCAGGCCAAAGGGAGATCCATCTCCATGCTTTCATAGTTATTGAGGTAGGAAAGGGGATGCATGAAAATTGCATAGTGGCTCTTAAAACTTTTGTCCAGAAGGTCACATGACAGTGACTACTTTTAAAGAAGATAAAGAAATGAAATCATACTATGTGCCCAGAAGGAGTGCAGATAATATATTTGTGACTAGCCTTAATGACTATCACTTTCTATGTATGTTTCTTGCTAGATACTGTGATAAAAACTGTGCATATCTTCTTGTTTAATTCTCAGAATAACTGTACACATTGAAAGTCATTATCAATTTTTATTATGTGAAAAGTAAGATTTGGCAAAGTTGGCAAAGACATAAAACTAGTAACTGGCAAAGCCAAACATTGAAACTGGGTGTGTCTGATGCTGGTGCTCTTAGGCTCTTAAATATAATGAGAAAAGCAAAATTAAATGTAGGACCATCAGTCCTGGCTATCCTCTCTGGAGGTGATTAATGCTTAACTCCTTTGGGCATTTGATGCTCTTAAGTGATTTTCCTAATTATTTTTCGAATGTCTTCCAAAAAATTATTGCTTATCATTCCTCCCAATGTAGTATTAATAAGGCTAAAGTGCTGTAAAAAATAGATCCTAAAATATGCCTCAATGCAACAGACGTTTATTTGTCATTCATGTGATAGTACAGGTTTTTGTTCCTGTTTATCAAATGGCTGTCCTTTAGATGTTAATTTAGGGACAAACTTCTTCCGTATTTTGGCTATGCTATACTCTAGGGACTTGTGTCTGTGTTCTGTGGAAGAAGCCACAGACAGAAGTTGTATACATCAATTCTTCTCACATTCGATTGGCAAATATGAATCACATGACCATACCCAGCTATGAGAGAAGCTGGAAAGTGCAGTCTTTGGTTGGGCAGCTCCATCCTAGATACAACTTTATAATTATGGAAGAGAATAATGGATTTTTTGAATAACTAACCCTCTCTAATACCTACACATACACATAAACACACACACACACACACTCTCTCACACACACACATACACACACCCACACATTCTGTCCCATCAAAACCTGCTCCCAGTAAAGGCGTTATATTAATCATTTATACCTTAATGTATGTTCATTAAATACCTTTTCTGAAAGACTTTGCATGGGAAAATCTTATATTCCAATCCTAAACATATTTCACAAAACCACTGTTAAATGGCATCCCATGGTCAAGAAATTTGGAAAATGTTAGTTTAAAGAAAGGAAAATAGATTTTTTCCCCCAGAGGATTTTTCATAGCTTCTAAATGTGTCAATATGAATTATAAATATTTAAGAAATAAATATTGTATGTAAATTTTCCCCAAAATATTTGACCACAGAATCTATTTTTGAGAAATCACTTTTTTTTTTTCATTTCAAATTACTAGGGTGACTAGGACACTCAGATTTGAAAACCCAGTTTTTGGTTTAGAGAAATTAAAAACTCTATTGAGCTTGAATAAATCAAGACTTGAGTTTGGGTTCCCAGCCCTAACATGATAGGGAGAGTCTTCTCCCCTTACACATAAAGCCAGGCCTCTATAAACTTGTGTCTGCTGTTTCGCAGCAGATTACTCTGGAAAGGGGCACCCCAGAGCCCTGACTCTCTGAACTGCAGAATACCTTCTGCTCTGGGGGCTGTTGTTACCGTCAATACAATGCAAATATGAATTCTCTTTACAACTTTGAGCAGTGTTCTTTTATAGCACCAGATGACTGGTCTTAGTCCCTCCGGAGTCCTACCAGAGGAGTGGATGTCCTCATTTCTGTGAAGTCTCCACTCCATTCTGTGCTCCCTGTCTGGAGCCAGATAATAAATATAATCCCAAAAACAAACAAAAGATTTTGCTTGCTGGCCAAATTTCAGATCAATAGAGCAGCTGGGCAGGAGCCAAGATTCAGAAGCTTGCATGGTGAGAGAGGCTACAGATCATTAAAGATGAACAGAGCCATAAAACACCAACACAACTGGCACAACCAATTGCAGTGCTTTTGGCAGGCTCTGCACAGAGTCCATGGATTGAACATTCCGGGAAACTAGGACAACCCTCTTCACACAGAGAGTGGGTGGAGCCCTCTCAACTTACTTGCAAGGTGCACTGTGGGCTCAGGCAGGGAAGCTCATTTTGCCTCTCAGGGTGATTGAGCCTGTGTGTTGCATATAGTGCTTGAGAGCTGTGTGCTTGTCCAAAACAATTCATTTACATAGCAGCAGTTAAACACAAAGGTCTAGAGTCCTTTTCAAATTCATCACACCTAGAAATAATTAACAAATAACAGTTTAATATTTTGAAGCAGTTGTTACAAATCATAGCTTGATACCTACATGAGTTTTTAATACATGCTACTATCAATTTACTGCAAAAATGGCAGTTTCCAGGTGGAGGCATGTTATTTCTCATTTGTAAACATAAATATAAGAATAACTATACAAATGAATGAACTCTATTCTGAAGCCAAATTCAAAAGTATTAAGGAATAGGTTGAAAATCCATGCTTTTATGGCTCAGCTAGATTTGTCTGATTGGTACCCCTGACTATAAGCAAATATTAAATTTTAAAGTGAATTATTAACATTCAATAAAAAGGTGGAAGTTTCTTACAAACAGGTTGTTTTCTTTGCAAAGGGATTTACCACAAAATTACTTTTCAAAAATTGAGGTACAACTTACATACAGTGAAATGCACAGATCTTACATGACCAATTTGATGAGCTTTGGCAAATGGATATACCCAAGTAACCAAGATGCAAATCAAGATATAGGCCATTTCCATTATCCAGAAAGTTTCTCCATGCCCCTTACCAGCCACTTAACCCCTTCCCTAGCACAGTCAACCACTGTCAGTTTTCTGTCCCCGTATATTAGTTTTGTCTGTTCTGGCCTTCATATATTGGAGTCATACAGTATGTAGTCTTTCATATCTGGCTTTAGTTCAACACAATGCCTGTGAGAGTCATTAATGTTACTGAGTTTTATCAGTATTTCATGAATATACTTCTATTTATGGACATCTGAGTTATTTCCTAGTTTGGCTTATTATAAATAAAATTGTTAAGATATTTTGTGCCAATCTTTTTGTAAACATATGTTTTTGTTTCTCTTTGGCAAAAACCTAGGAGAGGAATTCTTGCATCAGAGGGAAGATCAACTTTTTGAAACTTACTAAGTGGTTTTTCAAAGTGGTTGAATATATGAGAGTTTGTGTTGATCCATAATTGCACCAATATTTCCAGTGGTTAGGCAATTCTAGCAAGTATGAAAAATATTTAATTATTTGGTTTTAATTTGCATTTTCCAGACCATTAAAATTCTAAACACCATTTTATGTGCAGGTTGGTGGTTGATATATGTTTATTGCAAATTAAAATAATAAATTTCTATAGGAAATACCAATATTATACACACACACATATATATATCTCTATCCCACAGTAGGTGCTCAATAAATGTTCACTGAATTAAATAGAAAGTTCTTATAATATTTTCAAAATGTGATATTATTGTCAAAATTTGTTCATATAAATATTAATATATAAAGAGACACATTTAATTATTCATGAGTTTGGCAGTAGGCATGTTCATGCCCCATCAAAATGGATTCACTCAATATCATCATTGGTCCAAGTAATATATGGAAAAATAAATCTACATGTATGACTCATAGCAGACCCTCTGAGTGGGACAATGGAGGAGTCAACTATAGATATTAAACATAGAGTAGAGGAGAAAAACTATGAACTTTTCTGTGAAAGATCTGAATTCAAGACCAATCTCTGTAATTTTCTAGCTCTATGACTCACTTAAAGATTCTGAGTCCCAGCTAATCATTTATATAATGGCCATTAAACATCACCTATCTCAGAAATTTACTGATGATAAATTGATTGCAGAAGTATAAAAGGACATAATCTTGAGCTTGCTTAGGAGAAAGCTTGTCCTGAGACACAAAGTAGGTAAAGAATGCTCTTCAGGTATCTTGAAGGATTGACAAAAAAAAAAAAAAACACAAAAACTCACTTGCCCATCGGAGTACATGTTTTTGGAAAGCGAAAAGACTCCTAAATTACCAAGAGTTCCCAATACTGTGTCATACTTTTTATAACAAATAGTGAAGCTCATTTGCTATCAACAATAAGATTATATCAAGTCTTCAGATATAGATTTTCTTGGGTGAGTGAAACAGGCTATTTAATTAAAAACAAATATTTCAAAAACTAACAAAATCTATAGAAAACATGAAGTAATTAGTGCACAAAACCTACATGTGATAAGCCACATTCAAACAGACAGAAATAATATAAATACACCTAGAATAATTATAGTCACTGATTCGGATCTTGTTCTTGCATGCATTGTTACACCCTCTTGAATCAACATTGAAATGCCAAAAAGTAATATTTTCATAAAAAGACACAAACTTGCTTCACAGGCTAAAAAAACAAAAGAGGTTGATTCTAATTAATTTCTACCATGTTATTGTTGCAAAGCATAAATCTGCATTTCAGTGTCCATGTTAAAATAAATCTCCTTCTGATAATTCTTGTCCAAAGATTTCTCCTATAATTACATTACAAAATAAGAATACAACAATGAGAGTATTAAATATTTTTATGGTTCATTTATTAAAGACAGATCTACATCAAGCATAACCTTGATTTAACATACTGACCATTTTATCACAAATGTTCTTCATCAGATTATGAACATTTTTCCTTCAATAAGTGCATTAGAATGCAGCTCTGAAACATATACTGATTTTTGGTGTGTGTAGATGGGTGAGATTTGTTTGTCAACTTTTTTCGTTTATAATATACAATAAGAAAAATTATAGCAAAAGCGATTTAATGATATTCTAGGCATATCAGAATTTAAATGCATATATATTCACATTATCAATAAAGTTAAATTTTACTCTATGATAAATTTTGTTTCTGTAAATGCATGTCTCCAGCAGTTCCTACTTACTTTCATGTTTTTTCTACTCCAAATATACCTTCTAGCAAAACCTTAGCCATGAGCCTGAATACAAACAAAACAAAACAAAACAGAATTTTGTTTGTGCATTTTTCTCACCTAGGAAGAAGCAAGAGACAATCTAGAAAGGAAAAACAAAATCTAGTCATCATCTCTGTTCTGAAAGTAGATAATGCAGTATGACTAGGAAGTTTGTATAATTTACTGGTAGGTTTGAAGTTTAGTTGTGTATCTGATATTCAAGTAGTTCTATTTGTGGTTTATTTATTGTTTTAGGTGAATTATGTTCTTTATACAAGTGTATTTTAGAAAAGATATAATATTGACATTTGGAAATCAAAACTATATTTTATATTAATTTCAGTGGTTTACTGTTTTAAAGAACTATGATGAAACCTGTCCTAAATCAAGTTAATCTCTTGTAATTCAAATTATTTCTTCCTGGTTTATTTCAGGATTTAGAAACTTGAGTTCTTATAAACCAGGTGCTAACTTTTTTTCCTTCCTCCATGTTGCCCAGTAAGCTGTTATTTATATTAGTGTATTGTGCAGCACTGTGCTTTTCTATATCATCCAAGTAATACATAGTATTCATTACCTACTATACATACTTGTTTCTATTCCTTAAAAATTGAATTTTCTTCTTCTATTTCTGGGAGGAAGGGACAAAGAAACATAATTAGCATAGGTTTGGGGAAAATTACATTTATTTAAATATGTTTTATCTTGTTGACATATTTCAAAATCAGTAGGAAAGATAATTTGAAAACTTAGTCACATCGAACCCTCAACTTCCAGATGTAAGCTAGAATTAGAGAATGAGGATTAGAAGATAGAAGGAACCCTCCATAAATTTCACTGAATGCCTTTTAATAGGAGTATTCACAGCTACTCCAGGAGAAGGGTATAAAGGAGGTAATTTATGGGATAGACTAGGGAGATGTGAATAGCATTAGAATGAAGAAGTCCAAATATCAGGAGATGGCTTAGGCTGGGTTGATCTATTCACTCGAAGACATATTCTGACCCAAGTAAGAAGCAGAAGTGTGTAAAAGGAGTAATAACACTTGCATCTTAAACAGGCATGCATGTAGACTGAAAATGACAGGGTTAGAAGCAATGCAAAAGGTCTGTGACAATAGCCTGCGGTCAGGAGAAAGAGAATCCAGGGTTTCTTAAAAGAAAATCCACTAGAGTGAGGTAGCTGCTCACGGTCAGGAGGAAACCGCAGAAGCAAATACACATAAAATACAATGGATATTGTGAAGCTTGCGTTGCTTCAGATAGACAGCTACATTGACACAAGAGTAGAGATTGTGACTGAAGGCAGACTGGACAGCCAAGTAGGCTGACTGGCTGGCCTCTGAGCCAACATCATGATGAACAAGAATTTGGGTCTCAACTCTATACCAATTAGGATACAAGTCAGCTATATTTGAACATATTCATAGGATGTTTTCCTAAACATGTAAACTCTACCTTCACTCCAAAATTCCTATAGAAAGCTGCTCTTGTTTGGCCAAGAATATTTCTCTAGTTTTGCCATTTTATCTCCATCCTAACTTTAGACACAGCTGCCCTTCAAGCTACGAAAACTTGACTTTGTTCTTGATTTGCTCCTTTGCCTTGCCTTAATTTAGATTTGGTTAGTCAGCTACAGCCTATTCCATGACTGACTCAGAATTCCTAGATGGTGCTTTCTCTCTTCCCAAGACCCCAAGCCAATAAACTTCAACCCTGAAGTATTACACGTCTGTGCTCAAACCCAGCACTAAATACCACCAGCCCACCCAGTTGCTTATTTAAGAAAAAAAAAATTGGTGATGGACTTGCTAAGTGGTTAGAATTGGCTCAGTTAAGATTGATCCTAATGTGTAAATACATTAGCTAACTACCTAGCAAGACTTCAAAAAGCAGGGATGAGAACTTTTGTGGTACAAAAAGCTTTACAAACATTATCTCATTTTATCATCAAAACCATACCACAAAGAATTATTGTGTTGATTTTGCAGCAAGGGAATTGAAACTAAAAGAGAGATAATTGACAGAAGTTGGTGAAGCTAAGTTATGAAGCTGGGTATAAAACTCAGGTTTATTTGATGTAATTAAATAACCATCTTCTTCTACTTCCCTTTGGATATCAGGTTTCCTCCATTAGTCTCTTTGTTTTAGAATCTGGAAAACAATGAAATAAGTTAACCTAGCTAGAATAGAGGAATGATCTGATATGCTCTTGATCTTTATTGTGACCGTGCTATTCTCCATCCTCAAGAAGATGGGAAGTTGAGCAGAATGAAGAACTGAGAGGTCGCAACACTTAATGAAACTCTATATAAAGGAAAAAGTGTTCTTGAGCTAACTAAGGCTCGTTCTCCTGTACACCTGAAGAGAAAGCCAGGAAAATGGAAGTAAATCCATGGTTTCTGAGCTAAAGTTCACCTATTTAGTTCAGGAAGTCGAGAATGTGTAACAGGATGATTAAGAAGAGGCATATGGTTTATAAAAAGTGACCTGAGTTTACCAGTTTAAGGCAGAGAATGGAGACTGTCATGTGTCTGATTTGATTAGCAGATAGGTTTTGTTTGACCTGTAGTGATTTATTCAATTTTATTTTTTATTAGAATGCCCTTAGGTGGAGTATACGTTCTCCAGTTCACCACAGTTTCCATAATTTTCTATGGTCTTTTCCTGACTACTTAGGTCATTTGTATTCCCCATGGGCCTAATCATAAAGGCGTTTGAGATTGTACCTCTAGAATGGAGACTAGGTGGGGAAATGAATATAGGTTCAACAAAGAGACAGAAAAAAAAGATGTACACTGTACTTCTACTTCCATTTAATCCCCTCAGTAAATTTATGAGGAAATGACTCCCATCATTCTACAGAGGAGGGAACTAAGGACCAAAAAAGTTAAATCGTTTTTCTTAAGCACACAGGCTAGAAATATGTGAACAGGGGTCCACCTCAAATCTGTTTAATCCAAAATCAATTTTCTTGGCAATACACTGTGCTGCCTGCCTGCACCACTGCCATACCTGACCACCTGAGCATAGTTCTTCAATATCAAAGTATGTTTCTCTGGTGGATACAAAGTTTTTTTTTTCAATACATTTGCCCAGCAATTTCAAACTCTTTTAGCAGTGATTCTCAAATCTTATGCTGCATAAATATCACCTAGAAAGCTTGTGAAAAATGCAGATTCACCACCTGATCACACTTAGAGAAACTGTGATATAAAAGTTGAGGCATTATTATAATGGAGTGAAGCATCATCATAGACATAATGAAACTGTGGGAAAATTTACCATGCATCTTAATGCCAGCCCATTTTCTATATGCAGCTAATATTTCCAAACTTCTAATGGGATATATAAGCGATGTTAAGTTCAGTGAACCCAGGATTCTTGATTCAGCAGTACATTATGCTATTTTACAACTCCCTCTATTTAGGTGAATTATTTTGTTAGTATATATAATTGTAAATTAAGTCAGTGAGAATTATACTCAAATGCTTTAGAACCAATAGAAATACAATCATTGGAAGAGTTAAAAACATAAGCCAGATTTTACCTTTTACTGGTTTTAATGAGAGAAGTATGTGTGGTCATATCAAGTTAGCATATATTGTTACATAAGTCTAGGTAATAACAAATTTATTAGAACACGTGCAATTGAGTCTTGTTCGTAAAAGTACTCTCTCACTTAAAGTCTGACACACAGTGGAATTTCTATACATTTTTGTTGAATGAATGCATAAAAGTATGGAACTAAAAAGGCCATGAACTTATCGAATATTTTGTCAACAACAAACATTTGGGGACCCTCTTTTTAAAGTTTATTTTTGTGCCAGTTAATAAATCCATTCCAGAAAACATTTTACACCAAAGGATTATCCACCAGCTTGCCTGGTTCATCACACATGATTTAAAATAACTTTGGGCAATTTCCAAAAGTTATTCCTACATTTAAACAAGAAAACTTGTGTGTGTGGTGGGGCGGGGGGTGTAAAATCCACCCATCTCTAAGTGTAAAGTTAAGAGATGAGTATTCCTAAAACCTTTTAAGCAACTAAGTCAAAATTTTAATTTTATAACATTTCAAAGAGATTATTTTTTAAAAGGACAATACTCATTTTAAATACAAGTTCTGATTCTTTATTTCTTTGGGTTTCTGGGACCCATGTGATCCTATTCAAGGCTAATCATTCTTCATGTGCTTTTATCTCTGCTAGAATCCTGCTCTATCAGCAATTCTTCCTCCTAAAGCTGTTCCTTCTTTCTGACTACTCACCTACAGATTCCCTCTTTATCTGCCTTTTTCCCATCTTAGCCAACATCCTTGATGAAAGGGTCTATAGACATTGTATCCATGTTCTTACCTCCTTTCACACTGCAAGCAGCCAGTCTCAGTTTATTTACACTGTCTATTGACAAAGTCAATGGACTTTGCAATCCTTATTCTACTTGACTGCTCTCTTGCATTTGACCCTTCTGACATTTCACCTCCCTTGGTTTCAGTGACACTGGTTACACCTGTTTCTCCTGCCACCTGTTTGACCTCTCTTCTCTGTTTCCTTCTTGCTCCTTTTACTCCAATTTCCACTAAGCCACACTATTCCCCAAGAGGATGTCCTTTACTTTTTCTCTTTTCACTATACACTCCCCTACGTTACTTTGTCCTAGTGGCTTCCAAATCTGTATCTGAACACTCAATTTCTTCCTGAACTCCATACACATTTGTAGAGTGGACACTAGATATGTTCACCTGGATGTACAATGGGCATCTCAGAACAAAATTGGACTCTGTCTTCTTTCGCTTTACACTCTGCTTTGCCATAAATAATCTTTTTTGTCAGGAAGCAGTATTACTAATCGCCAAGCAGCCTAAATCCAGTAAAGGATAGACTATATCCCCTTTAGAAACCTCTTTGATACCCTCTTGTTCATAATTAATCTAAACTTGGGTTGCTTTTGTGTCCTTGACATATCCCATACCAAAATCCTCTCCTCTATCTCCTCTAACATGACCAGGAGGTGAAAAATAATGAGAACGTAAAGTCAAGCAGTAGCAAGTCTTTTCTTCCCCCACAATCCCCAGCACCCTGCCACCTTCTTCCCTCCATTGTGAAATCTTTTCTGATTACCAGCTTCCTACAATTCCTATGGTAGAATTTACTGCCTTCTGCTTTGTGTTTCCCTAAACAATTTACAAACCCCTATCTCTGTAGATTTTGTTTACATATTTGTTTCTCTTGTTGGGATTATAATCTTTGAGTAAAAAGTCACATTTTATATTTTCTCTATGCCTACCACAGAACACAAGACATTTAATACATGTTAATTAAGTGAATGTGAGAAACAATGATTTTGTTGAAGATTAAAAAGTAGAATTTGGAATAAGGTACAAAAGTATAATTAATAATCAAATAAGCACTCAGTCTAGTTGCTAATGTTTGTTGAACACTCAGTATGTGCCATGAATACTGTACATAGGAGCTAGGCTGGGGAGTGATTCACTGCATCTCTGCAACCAGAATAACTACTCAAACAATTTTAGGGACAAATGCAACGTCAAAAATAAAATACATAAATACATAGAAAAGATGTTTTAGTGAGTTTTATATCTAAAATTTGCTTCTTGAAAATAAAGGATTATTCATTTCAATAAAATAATAACCAAAACTTTTCCCAGAACCTAATTTTCTTGATATTAATGCTTACTTCATTTGACAGATCTCCCCTTCATTTCATATTCTGACAAAAGAAATAATGATTTTACATTTCTTTCAAAAAGATTCATGTTATTTAAACTTTACTTGAGTATCATTCAAGTGAAATATTTTTTAAAGTGATAAAGCTCAGTGTGTTCAACAATTTACTACTATAAGGAATATTTAAGGTATAAATTACAGTAATAAGCAATTCTACTGAACATAATGATGTTTTTTAAAAAGAATCTAGGAAGACTTCTGGTTCCAGAAAAGGTGAAATAAGTACACCCCACTCAATTTCTTCTGCTAATTAGAACTAAAATTCTAGACAAAATCCAAATGGCAACTATCAGAAGACTGAAAAGTGAAGAGAAGAAGGCAGGTTGGGTAGGGATTGGTGGTGAGTTCTCTGGCTTGTTTTGTTTTGTTTGGCCTTTGCTTAATCCATTCAGGCTGCTATAACAAAATACTGTAAAATGGATAGCTTATAAAGTACAGAAGTTTATTTCTCACAGTTCTAGAGGCTGGAAAATCAAAGAGCAAGGTGCTGGCAGGTTCAGTGTCTGGCAAGAGACCACTTCCTCATAGATGCACCTTCTCCCTGTGTCCTCACTTGATAGAACCAGGAAATGAGCTCCCTTGGATCTATTTTATACGACATTAAGCCCATTTATGAGGGCTTTGTGATCATGATCTAATAACCTCATAAAAGATCTCACCTCCTGTTGTCATCATCTTGGAGGTTAGGATTTCAACACATGAATTTGCGGAGGGGATGGGAGGGTGGAGGAGAACACAAATATTCAGATGATAATACTACTTATATAGTCTGACTTGAGTTCTAGAGAAGCCCCAAATCAGAAAAGGCCAAAGGTCAAAGGCAAAAAAGTTTCCAAGAAAAGCGTGCTCTCTCTAGCCAAAGGACCAGGAAAAAGGCATTCCTGTAGAACAGAATTATTTTGACTGAACCTGCCATACTCCAGGTGAATACCATGAAAGGTTTACCTGTGCCATTTACCCTACCCATCAGACATTGCAGTCACAGAGACTGCTGGGCGAAGCCTATTGATAATTCCCACTTTGCACTAATAGGGCAGTATTCCTGTCCTTTATTCTTGGGTTCTATGGTCACAGAGAGTATGGGATGATGCCCTATTGATTGAACATTTAAAATTAAATTAAATATAAATGGTCTAATCATATAAATAAGACAGAGATTGGCAGAATGGGTATAAAAACATATCTCCACTATACATTGCTTACAAGAAATTCATTTCATATATAATTACAGGTAAATTAAAAGTAAAGGGATGGGCCAGGCATGGTGGCTCACTCCTGTAATGCCAGCACTTTGGGAGGCTGAGACAGGCAGATCATCTGACGTCAGGAGTTTGAGACCAGCTTGGCCAACACGGCAAAACACAATTTCTACTAAAAAATACAAAAATTAGCCAGTGTGGTAACATGTACCTGCAGTCCCAGCTACTCATGAGGCTGAGGCAGGAGAACCACTTGAACTCGGGAGGTGGAGGTTGCAGTGAGCCAAGATCACGCCACTGCACTTTAGCCTGGATGACAGAGCAAGACTCTGTCTCAAAAAAAAAAAAAAAAAGTAAAAGTAAGAATGCAGGTGGAAGGATTACATAAGACTAGGAATTCAAAGCTGTAGTGAGTTAGCTATGATTGTACCACTTCACTCCAGCCTGGGCAACAGAGTGAGACCCTGTCTCAAAAAAAAAAAAAAAAGTGAAAGAATGGAAAAAGATAAAAAGATATGCTTGCCAACACTAATCAAAAGGAAGCTTGCATGGCTATATAAATCTTAGACAAAGTAGACTTCAGAGCAAAGGAAATTAGCAGGCACAAAGATCATTACATGATTATAAAATGGTCAATTTACCAAGAAGATATAATAATCCTCCATATGTATGCACCAGCAATAGAGTTTTAAAATATATGAAGTGAAACTGACAATATTGAAAGGAAAACTAATTACTACAGTTGGGGATGTGAATACCCCTTTCTCAGTAATTGATAAAATCACTAGTCATATAGCTGGGCGCAGTGGCTCATGCCTGTAATCCCAGCACTTTTGGAGGCTGAGGCGGGTGGATCACCTGAGGTCGGGAGTTCAATACCAGTCTCTACTAAAAATACAAAAATTAGCCGGGGGTGGTGGCAGGCACTTGTAATCCTAGCTACTCAGGAGGCTGAGGCAGGAGAATCGCTTTGGAGGCGGAGGCTGCGGTGAGCCGAGGTCGCACTACTGTACTCCAGCTTGGGCGATAAGAGCAAAACTCTGTCTCAAAAAAAAAAAGAAAAGAAAAGAATCACCAGACATAAAATCAGCATGTATGTAGAAGGACTGAACAACACCAACAACTACTGGGACCCAATAAATATTTATAGAATACATTAACCTACAAGAACAAAATGCACCTTCTTTTCAAGCAAACTTGAAACATTCACCAAGGTAGATGACATCATCAAGGTAGATGACATCATTATAACAAACGCTAACAAATTTTACAAAATTGAAATTCTATAAAATATGTTCTCTGGCCATAATGAAGTCAAACTGGATATGAAAAACAGAAAATGCCAGGTGTGTTTTTTATGCACTTGGAAATTAGACAACATGCTACTAGATATCCATGGGTCAAAGAAGCTGTCTCATGTGAAACTTAAAAATATAACAGAGTAAGTATATGAAAAGATGTTCAACATCATATGTCATTAGGAAATTGCAAATTAAAACAACAATGAGATACCACTACACACATATTAGAATTGCAAAAATTCAAAACACTGACAGCACCAAATGCTGGTAAGTATGTGGGGCAACAAGAACTTTTATTCATTGCTGGAGTAAATGCAAATGATACCACCACTTTGGAAAACAATTTAGTAGTTTCCTATAAAACTAAACATACTGGTACCATATGATCCAGCAATAGCATTCTCTAGTATTTACCCAAATGAATTGAAAACTTACGTTCACACAAAAGCCTGCACATGGATATTTATGGTAGCTTTATTGATAATTGCCAAAACTTGGAAGCAACCAAGATGTCCTTCAGTATATGGATGGATAAATAAACTGTGGTATATCCAGTCAATGGATATTATTCAGTGCTAAAAAAGAAATGAGCTATCAAGCCACACACACACACACACACACACACACACACACACACACACACACAAGCATGGAGGAAACTTGAATTCATATTACTAAGTAAAAGAAGCCAATCTGAAAGTGCTATATACTCAGGATTCTGACTTTATGACACTCTGGAAAAGGCAAAACTATGGAAACAATAAAAATATCAGTGATTGCCAGAATTAGTGGGAGAAAATGATAAAAGAGTAAGAGCACAGATGATTTTCAGGGCAGTGAAAATTGTCTTTATGATGTTATATGGTAGATATATGTCATTATGCATTTGTCAAAATCCACAGAGTTTACCACACCAAGAGTGAACTCTAATGTAAACTATAGACTTTGGGTGATGATGTGTCAATATAGTTTCATTGAATATAACAAACGTACTACATTCTAGTGTAGGATGTTGATGGGGCTAGGGGAACACTGTGTGTATGTGGAGCCAGAGGAGTATATGGAAAATTAATGTACCTTCTGCTTAATTTTACTGTGAATCCAGAAGTGTTTTAAAGCATAAAGTCTATTTTAAAAAATAAAAATAAAAACAATAAAGGTAGTTTTCTAATTAATCAGAAAAAATCCAATTTAATCAACCTAAAGCAGAAACATGTAAGTAATAAAAACAGAGGCTGAAATTAATACAAGAAAAACTTAATTAGAAAAAATAGATAACTATAAAGTATAGTTTTCTTAAAAGAGCAATAAGTTATTTTAGGTAACCCCCTCATGCATTTGATTAAGGAGAAAAAAGAGTGAAAACTATGCACAATCAGGAATGAGTAAAGAAATACAATAATAGAT
The DNA here is from genome assembly GCF_000001405.40 of Homo sapiens. Taxonomy (NCBI): domain Eukaryota; kingdom Metazoa; phylum Chordata; class Mammalia; order Primates; family Hominidae; genus Homo; species Homo sapiens. Next base: position 98,442,962 of record NC_000001.11, read on the forward strand.
TTAAAGAGTAGTTACCCCAAAAAAACTACATGCAACTATAACAGTAATTATAAAATCTAGATGAAATGGATAGTTCCTTAGTAAAATATAAATTACCAAAATTTAACTAAGGAAAAATCTAAAACCTTGAATCAATTGTTTACCATAGAAATGATTGAAAATATAATTAAAAATCTATTATTATATAAGATATTAGAATCAGATGGGTTCACAGCTGAATTCTACATCACTCATAAAAAACAGATAATTTTAATATTATTTAAACTAACCTGCATAAAGAGAAGAAAATTTTTTCATTTAATTTTATGAGTCTCCCTAAAGTTAATACCATCTGAATTATATATATATATATATACACACACACACATAGACATACACACACACACACATATATGTATAAAGACTAGTGGTTGCTAGGGGTTAGAAGGAAGGAGGGATTAAATGGCAGGGCACAGGGATATTTAGGGCAGTGAAACTATTCTGTATAATACTATATTGGTGGATACGTGTCATTTTTAAAAAGCAAAAACAATTGAAGTAAATGAAAATGAAAATACAAAATATCAAAGTCTGTGGGATGCAGCTAAAGCAGTGCTTAGAAAGAAATTTTTGCTCTAAAAATGCTTGTATTTTAAAAAACATAAAGTTCTTAAATCAATCATCTAAGCTTCTACCTCAAGAAATGAAAAAGAACAAAATAAAACCAAAATAAGCAAAACAAATTTAAAACAAGAAACCAATTAAATTGAAAACAGAAAACAATAGAGAAAAATCAAAGAAAACAAAAGTTTGTTCTTTGAAATGATTAATAAAGTAATAAACTTCTAGAGCAACTAAAATAGAAAAAAATGAGAGAAGCTACAAAGGTATTACCAATATCAGAAATAAAAAGGGGGTATCATTATAGGCCCTACAGACATTAACAAATTATAGGGAAATATTATGAACAACTCAGTATGTATTAACTGAACAATTTAGATGAAATAGACCAATTCATTGAAAGCCACAAACTACCAGCTCAATTTCACAGAAATTTAGTCCAGATGGCAAATACATTCGAAACAAGTATGGCTTAGAACACTTGTTTACCTATCTACGTTCTACATTTTCTTAGACCTAGATTTTTGCCAAATTATCTCTCAATATTGTGTGTGTGTGTGTGTGTGTGTGTGTGTGTGTGAAGATGCTTTTATTCTATGTCATCCAGAATTTTTAGTTGGTCTTTATAGAAGATTATTTCAATAACTTGTTCTGCCATTAACAGATGTTGTATCTGCTTGAGCATGCACTTGACTCTATTGTGGATTCCTTAATTCAATAAAGGCAGACACTATGTTATGTTTGTCTATAAACCAGGGGGTTAACAAAATGTCCTGAATACATTGAATAGAGGGGATTATAAGTTTGAACTTCTTTTTGATGCTATTGTTGTAAATTCTTTAATTGCCTTCCCAAAATATTGTCCGAATTTACATTTTAACTAGAAGTTGTAGAGTTACTTGTAATTGCGTTTGATCCAGCACCAGGTCTTATCATTATTTGGAAATTGTTCCTAATCTGATAGGAGGAAATAATATTTCATTTTTAAAATATTTATTTCATTAACAGTCATGTTGAACTATTTTTCTTACATTCTTTGCACATTTATTCTTTGAAAAGCTTATTTATATATTTTATAAAGAGATATGCTAAAATCATGTCAAAACATTAAGAAGAAAATAAAAAAGCAAAAGATGAATAGAGAAACAATATTTACAATATATTTGACAGAGGGTAAATGCCATTAATATACAGTGTTCTTATCAACCAATAAGATAATGATGCACAAATTAATGGGGAAAAATTGGCCAGAAATATAAAAGCCTGTTTTTAGAAAAATAAATGCAATTTATAAGTGAATATATTTAAAATTAACAGGAAAATACTATCGAGACAGAAATTTTCTCTCTTTTTTTTAAATTATACTTTAAGTTCTAGGGTACATGTGCACAACGTGCAGGTTTGTTACATATGTATACATGGGTCATGTTGGTGTGCTGCACCCATTAACTTGTCATTTACATTAGGTATCTCTCCTAATGCTATCCCTCCCCCCCTCCCCTAGTGTGTGATGTTCCCCACCCTGTGTCCAAGTGTTCTCAATGTTCAATTTCCACCTATGAGTGAGAACATGCAGTGCTTTGTTTTCAAACTACCAATGACTTTCTTCACAGAATTGGAAAAAAACTGCTTTAAAGTTCATATGGAACCAAAAAAGAGCCTGCATTGCCAAGACAATCCTAAGCCAAAAGAACAAAGCTGGAGGCATCACGCTACCTGACTTCAAACTATACTACAAGGCTACAGTAACCAAAACAGCATGATACTGGTACCAAAACAGAGATATAGACCAACGGAACAGAACAGATCTCTCTCTTTAAAGCATATGACTAATTATTTTGTTTTTTTTAATTCCTTTACTTTTAGGTTTTGCTATCCTAAAATCAGATAGTAAATCTGCATTTGATCTCAATATTACATGCTTTCATTTATTTTACACTTTAATTAGTCTGGAATTAATTTTTCTGTAGCACATAATTAGGGTGTGGTATTTTAAAAAGTATATTTTCAGAGCTTTTTCTTCTTATGTATGATGACCTTATTATTATTAGTGTGCTTTGCCATCAAATAGTATATACATTACAGCAGGTTCATGGAAGTCAATGCTCTTTGAATTTATTTTATTATCTGCACTGTAACGAAAGACCTTAAACACTCAACTTAATTCTTATTTGTAAAAATTGGATAAAGCAGAGCTCACTATAGTAATAAATCCATTGGACTCTGCAAATAATTTGTACATTTTTAGAGTCAGCAGAGTTAAATAGTAGTAATGATAATAAGATCTAGGTCCTGAATATATGGGTTCAAAGTCCACCATGATCACTTATCAGCTGTGTGATCTTGGTTAAATTACTTACCTTCCCTGGGCCTCTATTTTCTCATCTGTTATATATAATTTATATAGCTTTTTATTTTCTAATCACCAGCAGCATTGACCTGCTATGACCTAGTATATCCTCCAAAGAAGCAAAAGTTTTATTTTCACTCCTTTATTTTTACCAATATAATAGATATAAAAGGTATTTTTTTACTCATTTAATTGGTATTTCATGACTAGTAATGAGATAAATAATACTTTCTTAAATTTAATGTCAGTTTAACACCCTTTCATGTTAACTACCTTTTACTATGTTTGCCCAGTTTTATATTGGAATGCTTCTTTTTTGTATAAGTTTAAGTGGTACAAGTGTATTTTTGTTACATGGATAACATGTAACAAAACATTTCCCTAGTGGTGAAATCTGGACTTTTAGTGTAACCATCATCTGAATATTGTGCATTTTACCCATTAAGAAATTTGTCATTTCTCACTCCCCTCCTACCCTCCTGAGTCTCCAGTGACTATTTCCACCCTCTATGTCCATGTGTATACATTGTTTAGCTCCCACTTGTAAGTGAGAACATGTGGCATTTGACTTTCTGTTTCTGAGTGGTTTGAATTAAGATATAGCCTCAAATTTCCTCCATATTAATACAAAACATGATTTCATTATTTATGGCTGAATATTTATGGTTTAATAGTGTTACATTGTATATATGTGTAAACACACACATACACACCATGTTTTCTTTATCCAGTCATATGTTAGTGGACTCAGGCTGATTCCATATTTTTGCTATTGTGAATACTGCTGTGCTAAACATATGAGTGTAGTTCTATTTTTAATATAATTATTTATTTTCCTTTGAGTAGATACCCAGTAGTGGATTGCCAGATTGAATGGTAATTTTATTTTTAGAGAAATCTCCATACTGTTTTCCACAGAGGTTGTACTAATTTACATTCCCACCAACAGTGTATAAGCATTACCTTTTCTCCTCATCCTCATCAACATCTGTTATTTTTTTCTTTTTAATAATAGCCATTCTGACTTGTGTAAAATAATCTCATTGTGGTTTTAATGTGCATGTCTCTGATGATTAGTGATGTTGAGCGTTTTTGTTTTTTTCATATGCTTATTGGCCATTTGCACGTCTTCTTTTGAAAAATGTCCATTCATGTCCTTTGCCCACTTTTTAATAGGGTAATTTGTTTTTTTATTGTGGTTGAGTTGTTTGCATTCTTTGTAAATTCTGGATATCAGTCCCCTGTTGGATTCATATTTTGCAAATATTTTCTTCCATTCTACAGGGAGTTTTTTCACTCTTGATTATTTCTTTTGCTGTGCAAAGCCTTTTTAGTTTAATTAAGCCCTATTTGTCTATTTTGTTTCTATTGCTTATATGTTTGAGGTCTTGGTCAAGAATTCTTTGCTAGACTAATGTCCAGGAAAATTTTCCCTGGGTTTTCTTCCAGTATTTTTACAATTTCAGGTCTTTCATCTGAAGTTTTTGCTCAAACTTTGATTTTTGTATATCGTGAGAGATAGGGGTTCAGCTTCCTTCTTCTGCATATAGAAATTCAATTTTCCCAGCACCATTTATTGAAAAGGGTGTCCTTTACTCAGTGCAACTATTTTTATACCAATACCATGCTGTTTTGTTTACTGTATTTTCATAGTATAATTTGAGGTCCAGTAATGTGTTGTCTCCAGCTTTGCTTTTTTTAGTTAAGATTTATTTGGCTATTCAGGCTCTTTTTTAGTTTTGTATGAATTTTAGGATTTTTTTTTCTAATTTTTGAAAAATGACCTTGGCATTTTTGATAGGAGTTGAATTGAATGTGCAGCTTGCTTTGGGTAGTATGGTCATTTTAACAATATTAATTCTTTCAATCAATGAGCAGAGGATGTTTACTCATTTGCTTTTATTACCTACAAATTCTTCCTTCAGTGTTTTGTAGTTTTCCTTATAGAGATCTTTCATTTTCTTGACTAAATATATTATTCAGCAGAGTACTGGAAGTCCTAGCCAGAGCAATCAGGCAAGAGAAAAAAATAAATGGATTCCAAATTGGAAAAGAGGAAGTCAAATTATCTCTGTTCATTGATGATATGATCTTATAGCTGGAAAACCCTGAAGACTCCTCCAAAAAAATCTCTTAGATTTGATGAAGAAATTCAGTAAAGATTCAGAATAAAGAGTCAATGTATGAAAATAAGTGGCATTTCTATACACCAGTGACATTCAAGCTGAGAACCAAATGAAGAAGGCAATCCTATTTACAATAGCTGCAAAAAAAAAAATTACCAAGGAATATATTTAACTAAAGAGGTAAAATATCTTCTTTTTCTTCTTCTTAAATTCAGATTTAGAGAGGATAAGAGGAAAAAACAAGGTCTTGTCTCACTCTTAGGTCATAAGAATGTGGAAATCCTTTCTTAAATCCAAAGTTAAATTACCTTTCCTTCCCTTCTCTCTCTCTTTTCTTTCCTTCCTTCCTTCCTTCCTTCTTTCCTTCCTTCCTTCCTTTCTCTCTCTCTTTCTTTCTTTCTTTCTTTGTCTGTCTTTCTTTCTTTCTTTCTTTCTTTCTTTCTTTCTTTCTTTCTTTCTTTCCTTCTTTCTTTCTTTCTTTCTTTCCTTCTTTCTCTTTCTTCTTTCTTTCCACCAGGTCTTACTCTGTTGCCTAGGCTGTAGTGCAGTGGTATGATCACAGGTCACCGCAGTCTTAACCTCCTGGGCTTAAGCAATCTTCCTGCCTCAGCCTCCTGAGTAGCTGAGGCTACAGGGGAATTCCACCACACCTGTTAATTTTTCCAAACTGAAAAAAAAAATTTAGTTTTTGTAAAGATGGGGTCTTGCTATGTCATTCAGGCTGGTCTGGAACTCCTGGGCTCAAACAATCCTCCCTCCTTGGCCTCCCAGATTGCTGGGATTACAGCTATAAGCCACCTTGCCCAGCAAGAGTACCTTTTCAAACAACTTTAAATACCACCATTTCAAAAAATTTCCATGAGTAAAAATTTGACAACTTCTCTCTAAATTTTTTTGAAGTCAGTTAGGTTATTTACAGTGTTGCATGAACTGGAGTGTTCTAGATCAATATTCCTCAGAACATGGTGTAAACTAGCAGCATCAACATCACATGGAGCTTGTCAGAAATGTGTAATCTCAGGCCAAACCCCTGCTGAAATGTAGTCTTTATTTTAACAAGATCCACAGCTTATTTATATTTAGGTTGAGAAATACTAGTATAGATAATGCATTAAGATAGAATCTCAATGTAGGAAGTACCTATCTCTGATAATATGTATTAGCCATTTCTATGTCATATGGGTGGCAAATGTTTTCCTACTCTATAATCTGAGTGTTTTTTTTAATTCATGGTATCTTTGCCATACATTTAAAAACTGTTATGTACTCAAGAATGTTTATCCTGTTCCTTATGAATTCTGAGAGTCTTGGCTTCCTTAGAAGAAACTCACCCAACTCAAAAGCATACAAATATTTTTCTATTTTTTTAATATTTTCATTTTACAAAATCACACAACTTCTAAATGTAATCAACACTTTTTATAAGAAGCAAAACATAATAAATTTTAAGAGATCTGAATGTGGAGTTAATTTATTATTCATGATAGGCTGCTTTATAACTAGGCAGCTTTTTTATATCTCATGTTCACTGGATTATTGGAGTATATTTTCCCAGATGCTTTCAGGGCCATTCCAGCCAAGAGTGTAAAGCTTTCTGAAAAATAACTATTAGAATGAAGAAAAATAGTTAAAATTAGCAGATTGATAGGCTAAATGTAGCCTGATAATAGCATGCTGGTCTCTGTCTTTTTTTTTTTTTTTTTTTGAATTAGGTCTAAGGTAAATGTAACACTTTTACAGCCTTTCTAATATTAATTAAAATAATATTGCAGAACCATGATTTGTGGTCCCAGATGTGGATGTGTGATTCATTGCCGTTTAGTCACTCTTGGACCCATTTGAGAAGAGTGTCATGTTGTCTGAGAGATTTGGATCCTGCGACCTGATTAATTGATGTACCATAAACGTCTGCAACATACCTATCTTCAAAGACAATATATTGTAATACTTAAGTGCTCAGATCCTCGACTTTGACTGCCTGAGTTCACATCTCAGCTCCACCATTTAGCAAAGCTGTGTAACTGAGCCGTTAGGTAAACCCTCAGATTGAGTTTCTTCATCTGCAAATGAGGATAATAAAAGTACCTACAACAATAAGTTTAGGAGGAATAAATCATTTCATATTTTTAAAGTGCTTAGTTCAGTATTTGACATGAATTAAGTGTGCTCTAAGAGCTATTATTTTATACTGCTAGATATTATTACTTAAAACATGTTGAGACAAAATATAGTTATTTAGTGTGAAGAAGGGTATATAGATATTTTCTGTATTAGAAATTAATAGAGAACAGGTTTTTCTACCTCCTTGGCATAAATGCAGGTATAAATTTAAAATGAGTTATTTATTTAGATACCAGTTGTGAGATTCTCTATCCCTGTAGCCAATACACTCACTGTTTCTTTTAGGTCTTTTCTTCCTCTGTTTCAATGTCCTTTCTTATGATAAACAGGGACATACAAGAACATAACCTCCAATTAAATCTCCTGAACTTTGTCTGTTATATGACAAATAGGTTTGGGTATTCAGAGCATATTCACTTATTATATTATACAGTCACCAACATAGCTTCAATAATAAAAACAAATTCGGATTTTACTCTTAAAGTGAACATTACTTTTTATAATGAGGAGACATAGTCTTCCTTTGACTTTAATGTTGGGCCTTGTTAACATCTCTGTTTCCTTTCCTTCTCCTCTGTCATAGCAAAGTTTTACTGGAAAGAAGAAAAAAATAAAACAACAACAACAAAGAATCCCTACTCTTAAGGGAAGTGGAAGACAATGACTGTTAAGGATATCAAACTGGTAGCAAATTTTATGTCCAGATTCCTCCTGCTGCCATTGTATTGTTGTTGAAATAAATATTGGCTACTGAAGCCTTATGAAAGTACATAAGTAGCCACATAAATCTGGCTATGACTATGTAATCCATCTCTTTCTTTTTTTGTTGTTGAGATAGAGTCTCACTCTCTCACCCCAGCTGAAGTGCAATGGCTCAATCTCAGCTCACTGCAACCTCAGCCTCCCGGATTCAAGCTATTCTTGTACCTCAGCCTCCTGAATAGCTAGCATTCCAGGTTTCTGCCACCACATCCAGCTAATTTTTGTATTTTTGGTAGCGGTGGGGTTTCACCATGTTGCCCAGGCTGGTCTTGAACTCCTGACCTCCAGTGATCTGCTCATCTCAGCCTCCCAGTAATCCATCTCTTTATAGAGAAAGAAATAGTCCTCCAGGAGCAGCACAAATATTCTGCCTTTAATATCTTCAGATTTTTGTAGAATATGTTAGTAACAAATTTGAAAACGGTTCTGTAACTATATTTAAAGTTTGAAATTGCACCCACTTTTGTTTCATTTCCCAGTAGTTGCTGTGCAGATAGTTCCATTATTTCTCAAGTTATAAGGTAATTTTACTGGAAAAATTTCTAAACACTTCATTGACACAAGCTAAAAACTGCACTTTGCTTACAACCAACTGAAGCAACATTTTTATCATCAAAACCCATTATTTCTTTATTTCCTAAAACCTTGAAAGAAATCAGAATATATATTTTCTCTCTGAATATAAAACTTTTTTTCCTTTAGGTATACATATAATGTTTGTGTCTGACTTTTCCAGCAGAACATTCCAATTGCAGTACCCAAACCAAGAAGAGAGATAGATTATGTAATTTCTTATCTCTATTGCACGAGCACTACATACCCGAGCCGAAGCGTAAAATAACAAGTTGAAAATATTATATATGTGGCGCATTTAGTAAATAGAAACTTCATCTTCTGGAACCATTTGTGTTTTTATGGAAATAAAATTGAAAAAGAAGACTAGATTTTTCACAATGTTACTAATATGGAAATATCACGTTGGTAAAGCTGGAGAGAAAAATGTTATTGTTTTCAATATCTCAAATTTGCTAGCTGTCTGTTATGTGCTTTTACACCACCAGTATAAAAGACTTGGCAAAAACCATTTTTAAAAATAACCTGTTTAGATTTAGATAGTTTTACACTGTGAACCCTGGAGATTCTTCTGGTACAAATAGCTTCCCTAGGAACAATGTTTTTATAGAACCTCTCACACTTTCCACTTTTTTTCTTTGTCCAGGTTATTTTTTTTTAACTCTTTCCTTTTTTTTTTTCTGATTAGCTTATAGCTCTGTAATTCCAGCTGTTTCATTCTGTAACTCTAAAACCCTATCGCTGGGGAGTTCTGTGTAATTGCCTATAATATGTACCACATTATCCATTTCAGGAACTGTGCTGAAAGACAGCAGCAATAAGGGGGTTTCTAAAGGCAGTCTGGCTTACGCTAATGGACCTAACAGGAAGGAAATGCAATTTGAAAGAAGCTGATGCATATGTTCTATTGCTGAATATAATGTTTGATTTAATTATTAACTGTCAGTGATGGAGAGGCAGATCCTGTTCAGCTCTACTTAGAGTGCAATGCTTTGCATTCAAAGAAAATAAATGACAAAAGTTTTGTCTTTCAATCTATAACTTAACAATAGGAAATGATATTTCTTTCTACCAAGAAATCATAGTTTTCTGAATTACCTTTATTTTAGACATAAATTGGGCAATGCTTTATTTTTTTAACCCCTGTTTTAAAAATTTCTGGCTATTATTTTCTTTGCTTTTGGATTTCTTTTCTTTTTTGCTGGTAGCAAACATGAAAACTTCCTTTGACAAGTAGTTTTGAGTTAAAGTCAGTCTTGGATTGAGTAACTTTCTAAATCCCTTTCCTGTTGAGGGTTCTCTCATGTGTTGACTGGCAGTGGACATTTCAGTGAGGAGGGCTGAAATGCGTAGCCGTCTTTGTCTTCTTTTTCTCAGAATGAGTTATTTGGCAATGAGCTTCTGTCCATTTCTTTTAATTGGCATTTTGTGACTTCCAGTAAGGCTCTCCCCTACTTTAAAAACCCATAATTGTATGTGAAAGACAGAGGGCAAGATGTAAAGAACAGATTCACTAGAAAGCAAATATGTTCATGCCTCTTCTTAGTTACTTTATTCCTACATTGATAGAAAATGACTTAATATATACAAAGAAATGGGTATCAGCCCACTGAATTTGCAAGGGAGCTGAATGAACAAAATGCTCTGCTGGGTCAGTCAGCTGGAAAAAAGTGGTTTAGTACTGTGTGTAAACAGAATAATGAAGCTATGTAATTTTAATTGTGCATTTTATATCTATCTGGTGAGATTATTATCTTTGACACTAGCCTAGGCAGATACATAACTGGGGCTGAAATTAAACAATAATGATGATATTTGGAGTTCATCCAAAATGCTCTCTATTGTTTACGTGAGTGGCTTCAACATCATTATTTGATCCATAATTTCTCATTTTTTATTACACATATGTTCTTCATATAATAGCACACAACATCAACTCAGTGGGAGGCATTTTTCTTTATGATTTCAAAAGGAATTGTTTATTTTTGTCATGACGATAATAGAAAGCAATGAAGCTTCCTGGAAATACAATACCACAATTCAAATATCTAATTGATTTTAGACAGATTAAAGAAAAATATAGGGTCAATCTGTGTTTTTGTTTTCTCAAACAGCATAAACGTCTTATTTCAGACTTTCCTTTCTTATTTTTGGCTAAGGGATTCACAACTTTAGTTATGAAGGACTGGAATCTGGCTCATGTAGAATTATTATTAAATTGATAGAGGTTAATTCTAATGTTCTCAATTCTAAGGACTTTAGAAGCATATAATTTATCCATGGAAGTGCCTAGTGAAAGCAGTACTTGATGAACTTTATAAAGTTCAAAAGCTCAGTTCCTAGAAGCATATCAATCACAAATAATGAATGATGCTACTCAAATTCTATCATTTAAATCAAGCCACAAGATAGCCATTCTTTCATTTTTCCCCAGACTGTCTAGTTAGATAAGTTTGATACATTCTCAAAGATGATTTTAATAGGATTTTAAGTCTTCTTATCATTGCCCTTTGTTGTATTTTAAATAATTTCTCATTTATTTTAGTTTAAAATAATTACACGTGTAAGCATTTTTACATTGCTATTAGAAATGTGTTATTTTATGTTTCTAGGTATCAGCTTAAACTTATTTTTTAAATGATAAAAGTTTTAAATATTTTTAAATGTTCAAAGAAAGCAGACATTTGTACCATGACTGCTTGTCCTTTTCAGCATTTGTAAATCTTATGTATGGTACGTGTCTAATCCTATTGCCAGTGTGGGATAATTGCTTATAGGTTTGAACAATTACCCCTCCAAAGTGCACATACAAGTTCTGAGTAACCCCCATGGAAGACATAATACTTCAAGCCCACTTAAAATGCGGTTTTTTAAAAATGCCCGCGAGAGTCTACCAAATGGGACTGAAGTCATTTCAGGGGCTACATTTATATACCTTCGGACTGATGGGAAGGTATTGACCCAAACACTGAAAGATCTGTTTATAAATACAGTGCAAATATTCGACTGTGCAGGTGTATCTTTATTTCTAATATGATTCCTCCAGGCAGCAAAACAGGTGTTCTGGCTGCATGCTAATCAGGAAAAAGAATGTCTGAAATATGCATCTGCACACTGACATCTGGACAGAGATTGTCCAAACACATTCTCAAGTGCAAAGTCTTAGAAAACGGGCCTCTTTTGCTTTACTTAGTACCGAGAGGCATATTTTGCATGTGGAAAAGCCCACATTCGCCTGCCATTAGGGACTGCTACTTATGTGTGGCAGATGAGGCAGCCAGAATGCAGACACCGACTAACAAGCTGGCTGAGTTTAAAAAACTCAGGAAAAGTTTCTAGGTGTTCTGGAAGAGTAAAGTGTTCCCTGACAACAGGATTGAATCTCCAGGAAGGTAGAGGTCAGCGGTTATTGGAAGGAAAGCAGAGAGATGGGTGATGTTTATTCAGAAGCTTCCTATTTGGTTCCTTCTTCATTTCATTCTGTTCAATTCTTTTTGTCTTAATTCTTCCCTTTTCTTCCTCAGGGGCACCTCTGCTCTTTTCCTTCTTCTTAAGAACTGAATTTTAGTTGTTGGGATTTTTAGAATACAAAATATGTTGAGTTAGATTAATTAGAATACTTCACAGAAAGTTTCCTGCCTTCGGTTATCCTCTTGACAAAGATAAATGCAAATTCTTACAGGACTAATAAACTCAAGTCACATTTTCTAGGTACATTCCTATAGGTGCTAGACAACTGAAGTAGCATAATAAAGAGAGAAACAACTGAAAAAAAGGAACAAATGGAAGATATGCTGTAAAATGTATTCACAGCTCCTGAAATGTGTTCAGTTGTGAATTTTTATTTGGTCCATCTGTCCTACCATATATTAACACCATAATTTGTCTCAAAGATATACATCTCTATTTTAAAATATTTAAAATTGAAGTGAATTACCTTAGATTTGTATGTTTGGGGTGGGTATTTTGTGCCTACTTCAGTGTCAACCTAAAAATTATCCAGAGAAAGAGATAAATGCACCCTTTAGTTCATAAAAATACACTACAAATTTTGATTATGTATTAATTCTCCAACTTTTATTCATCAACGAACAAGGAAGCTCTGTGGGAAACAGCCACAATCACAGCAGCCTGTCCTTTTCCAGAGCCCACAACTGTTCACCTTCTTCCCAAAGTCAGCTCCAATTGGGCTTCTGTTAGATTTGTATTCTATAATTTCAGTGACTGACAAAAAGATTCAGTAGACAGCAAAATCTACATTTTAACAACATTTGTAAGATTTATCCAAATCTATTACTTTTTTTTTGTTAAATTCCAAGGACTGCGTGCTCCAGATAATGTTGGTGTTTTCTCAATAATAAAGTCCCACTTTTAAATTGTAAGAGAATGTGAGATCTTGAAGAACATCTCTGAAGATTCTATAGCTTTTTAAAAGTCCACTTTGACAGTAACAGTTATAATAAGTTTTGGAAGATATAATGATGCAAGATTTGATATAAGGTACAAAGATGCTGCTCCTCACTACCTCTCCCAAGACATCCATGCCTGGATGGCATTCCTGCACCCGTGTCCCTTCACATCTACTCCTACTCAAGGCCCCATCCACATGACACCAATTCTGTAATTCTTCTCATCATAACTCTAACTAGAGACTGACTCAATTCATCCTCTGAAAACGTATATTTAATCCACATTATGAGAGAAAGAGAGAGAACAAGATTCTCTTAAGAATCTTAAGAATCTCTTAAGATTGCTTAATTACTCTATGACATCTAAGACAGACACTTTATATGTAAAGATTTAAAAAATAAAATAGACAGTTTTTATGTAAAGATTTAAAAAATAAAATAGAACCTGGCATACAATAAGTTGAAATTACTATTAAGGTTTTTGAACTGCTTAAAATCTTCCTCTTATAACAAGGTGGAGGAGAATAAAAAATAACGAAAACGTTTATTTTACTCATTTCATCCTGAAAATGTCCTATTTTGGTTATTTGATTAAAATTTTTAAAGAGGTTTGAAATAAATTGGAGGTGCAGATGAATTCTTCCCACAGAGGGTTTTGTGTGACATTTTTTTCTTAACTGTCCTTTCTATACAACTTCCAGATTGAATTAAAGCTAACCAAATATCATGGATATGACTTATATAAACATCTTTACATATGTTTGTGGCAAGGGAGCCCTTTCTTATGTCATTACCTCATAGGAGAATAGTAACCTGTATTATTTGGCAGCAGATGTGATTGGCATATATTAAAGCAAGTTATCTACAAGTAGAAAAATATCGAATGGGCTTATTTTGCTTGTGAATAAAGGTAAAGACACAACTGACATAACTGGTGCTCAATTTTAACACAATATGTTTTTTAGCTTTTGTAGATGGAGCTGAAGTTACTTTGGTAAAGCAATATTAAGCTCATTTGGGATTTGTTATAAAGTTCCTGAAATACATTTTGTTAAATGAACAAATTCTGAAAAAGAAAACATCACACGTATACATGCCTACTTATTTTAGCCATGTCTATTCACATAAATTAATTTGGGTAGAGAGAAGTTGAAATAAAATCATCATTTGCTTTAAAATAGCCAATTAGTTTTTGGCTGAATAACTTAACTCTCTTCCCCACCACGACGCCAAACTGCTTTGCCTACTTTCCATCAGCCAATTTAAGTTTTTTAAAAAAGTGTAAAGTGTCAGAAAAAGAGAAAAACAATAAACACTCCAGAAATTCTGTGAGTCTACTTGGTATAAGAAAATTTTTGTTGTTTGGATCTTCAAAGAGGGAAAGAAGAATAAATTAAGAGTCTCAGAGAAAAAAGAAAATATCTCTGAGTAGTCCTTTTTACTTCTTGCTGAGAGCAGAACTTATCGAGCAGGTGACCTTTATGAGATTATTGTTTATGATCACCCGGCGTGTGCCAAGAGTAGCAGGAAAGAGTATTCCAATTTATTTCAAAGGTTACATATCAAAATTGAATATGCAGTACAACTACATTATCATATGGTAAACTTTTACATAAGAAGTTGGAGCTGAACCACTACCATTGTTTCCCTTCAACCCAGTGTGTTTTGATTTCTGTTCTGCAAAACATGTCCCTTCTGATTCCTAAAATGGAATACAGCGCAGTGATGCAAATAAAGGGAAAAAAATGTTGTTGTTTGCTGTTGCTGTTGTTTCTCCAACTGAGAAACTTGATTCAAGTTTAGGAGATCTATGGAATTATTTTCTCAATGTATTCTATGCAAAAGTAATGAAATTTATTCAATGTTCACATTTTTTAAAAACCAAGTAATCACCGTCATCTAGCAATGTACTACAGAAGTTGAAATAACAATACCAAAGAGTCACATGGGCAGCAGCAAGAAAAAATTCTGCTTCTATCAGAGAAGGGAAATTGACCAACAGGGACATATTTTTCCCCTACCCATAAAAGGCTTTTAGGGAGAGGATACTGTGCATTTTGCTTTCTTCAATTTTCCTGCGCATGCAACTTAACGTTTTAGTTCAATAAGTCTGCTCATCTTCAACTTTATCGCTTTGCACAGAGGGGAACATAAATGGTGAGAATTTCCTATCCTCTTCTTTCCTTCTCAGTTTTCAAACTCAATTGTCAGAGAAACTCCAAGTGCAGAGTTGACCACACCTAACCTCGTTTCTTTCTTAAAATGTGCTAATTGAAAAAAGAGTATTCTTGCCTCACAGGGTAGACAAGCAATTCTTTAAATTAACAGATCAATCTGCAAACATTTGCTTAATGTCTGTTAGACCTTTAACATACTTTGGTGTCAGAGTTCAAAACTGAGCCAATCACTTTATCCTAGGGGCAAGAAAAATAAGGGGAGCAACCATCTTCTCAGTTTCCTTTCATCTCCTGCTCCTGAATTCTCCCCAGGAATGGCAGACATGGTAGAACAGCATGGCATATGGCTCCTCAGAAAGAATTGCTATATAAGAGTCCTAGAACAGAAAACATTTTCCCCCTGAAAATGGGAATTTTAAATCAGGACTCTCTATGCTTAAACCACAAATACATTTCAAACTGCTGGCATAGAAGAGTCCAACACACCATCTTCTGGCATCAGAGCCCCTTTAAATAAGAGAATCTGAATAGCTCCTGCAGCTTTTGAAATGCCCTCTGATCTCCACCGTCTCTAATGCCTGCTTTCACGTGTACTTCCATGGGTTCCCGCGGTAACTGACAACGCGGCTCCCTGCAACTTCAAAGCCAAACTTTTCTCTTTGTCTGGTGAAAGAGAATTTAAAGAATGACAACAATGAAGCAGGTATAATGCTGGAAACTGGATACAAACCAGGTAAACAAATCTGAAAGACTTCATGCAGATATAGAAAGTTGCAACAGCTCAGGAGAAAGCCAGCACACACACTCAGGCTATGTGGTTCCTCCTACGTGCAATTAGCAAGTTTCACAGGCCTGTCATTCAACTTGCTAACTGACGCTGATCTTCTAAGAGATACCTTAATGGAATGTTTTCTCATTCTATAGCTGAAAAGCAAGAATGAGTGATTTTACTCTTCCCAGACAACAGTTAATATGCTGTATCATCACAAAATCCATCAATTTATTTTTTCTTCATTCATTCATTCACATACTCATGCTTGTCAAGTAACTCATTTATGCCATGCACAATGCTAAAGACTTTCATACATTTAATCTCATTTAAACATATTTTATTCCCATTTACTGTCAAGAAATTGAGGCTCAAAGAACTTAATTTACTTTTTCTAAGTCACAACTAATAAATGAGAACAAATTGTGAACCAAGGACTTTGAACCACCAAGCCCAGTACAAATGCTCCAAGTGAAAATAAATACAGTGACAGGTTGCTATGGAAGCAGAATAGTGGGGTAGGTTAAAGAGGAAGGGGGAAAATGCAGGGAGGTCAGAGAAGAATTTATAGAGTGTCATGTGAAATAAGATTTGAAGGATGGATAGAGTTATATCAATGGTTTCCTATTTATCCAAAATGGGAAGGCAATTTACATTGGTCAGTAGGGGGGGCATAGAAATAGAAGAATGTAGAATAGATTGAGTTCTGAGAACAATGAAAAATATGATGTGTTCAGAGTCAGGACAATGTAGCAAGATGAAGGGCTGCATGTGTGAGGTGGGTTCAGATAATGAAGGAGCCTGAAAACCACACAAAGAGCTTGGCGTATACAATGTCAGCACAGAGCATTATGTAATGCTTCTGAGCATAGGCAGTTGAGGTTAGATGGTGCTTAAGATGATTTCCTAGCACCAGTTTAAAGCTGGAGAAAGGAAGATATTGGGGGTAGAGATTCCTGAGCTTAGAATGCTGTATAAAGATTTCAGGCTGCAAGTAAAGAAATCCGGACCTTGAGTGAGGGGTGGGAAGAAAAGGAGGTGCACAAAGGAGATTTGCCACAGGAGTGCTGTCCTTCTCATCTGAAAATAATCTTGTCTGTCATAATGATCAAGGCCGGTCTAGCTAGGAAAGATAGCCAAACTGTAGGGATATGTAGCAAATGGGTTAGAACAACTCCCTGGCCGGTTTCAACACCTGTAAAATGGAACCAAGGATGCCTTCCTCCCCACACAGCACACTTTGAGGAACTGCTGTTGTTTTTCGCAGTGCCTCTGTGTATTGTAGCCAGCTCCTTCTTGACACACACATCAATAACTCTGTTCCCCAGCAGTGCTCAGAGAGCTCCTCTGGTGCTTTTTTTCTTCTGCATCCCCAACCTCACTTGCCCTCATCTCACTAGTCCCCAGATTCCTAGACTTATCTCCTAACTCACTGTTCTCCCTGCAGCTTCTTTCAGCACACCCAGACACGGGAGAGCAGTGGTATGTGTCCTTGGTTGGCTCTAATAGTACAACCTCAGCCCAAGCAAAGAAGTAAATTAGAACTGACACCATCCACTTAGAGTTTTAGATATTTGTTTCTGTACTCTCTCAGAGCATTTACTGGTTAGGATCAAATAAAATATATTCTTTTTTGTCTTATCTACAGGCTTTCTTCAAAAGGTCTTTTAAATCCTTGGGAACAACCATTCATTAATTTTCTCACATCTCCGTGGTAAAGGAGAGGCATGGTAACTATTAGCAACCCCATTTTACAGAGAAGGACCCTAAAGCAGGAAGAGGTTTAGTGACTTGCCCAGAGCCAGTCTGTCAATCATTCCCCAGGGAAATCAATACCAGCATTTCTGTGGCCCTCAAGAAGTTTCCTTGCTTTTCATGGGACCACAGAGGAGGGATTTAATTTAAAACTGAGACTTAAACTCTGGTGTCCTCTCATGTACTTAATTTCCTATTCTTGAGGTCAATGATTTTCAAACTGTTGCCTGAGGAAGTTCAAGTGTTCACAATGGTGCTTCAGGGTTTGGAGCAAGTAACAAAATATTTTTCACTGAACAGTGAATATTTAAACTATCAAGGTACCCATTCTTTACTTTTACCTCCTTTATATATTGAAATTCTGAATAAGATTTTTTTTTTTTTTTTTTTTACAATTTGAAAACCACTGCATCAGGTCATGCTATTGTCCAAAATGGGCTAGGGTACAATAGTTATAAATCAGCTCTTCAGTAATGTCACATACACAAGAATCAGAAGAACTAAAAGATCTGAAGCTAATTGTATAACAAAGAATAATTTCTCATCAAGAGAAGTGGAGCCCATTATACTCTTGAAATAATTTGAGATTGAAGCTTTTTTTTAACTATCTAGCCTCATCTTGCATTGACTGAAAAAGGAGTTTTAATTCATAGTATGTATTAATATTTTGTCTAGGAGGTAGATACTTTTGATTTCATATTATATTCTATCACAAAAAATAACACTATATTCAACTAACAGTCTCAGCTTGGATTGGACTGAAGGCCTTCAAATCCTCTCTTAACATCTAAAGATTGCAGGAATGCTTTGGTGGGTATTTACTAGAGGTTTTGGTCAGTTCTCAGATTCTGAGACCCCTTTCAAATAAGTAGCTTTGCTATCAGCTCATGGCAGTAGCAAGCATGCTCAGAAAATCTCCTAGACATATAGACAAAGTCTACATTTTCTGTTCTGCGTAGAAATCACCCTGTCAAGCATTCTTCAAAATGTGCCTTCTCTTTCTGGTGTGACCCAGTTAAACTAGCTAATGCATTCCCACACAGCCTTCAAGCCCCAGCTCAAGTGTCTCCTGGCACCAAAGCCTTCTGCATTGTCTATCTTTTGTTTGCTGCACCATATTTGACTCTGCATTCTTCCCTACTCTGCTCTGTGGCCTAGGAAGCTGACCCATATTGACTTCATCGATGGGATCCCTTTTCCTTTGCCTTCTGCCTGGCTTTGGCCAGTGAGAACACTGGCAGAAAATCAGAAGACAAGGGGAGAGTGAGGCAGGGTTTTATCTCTTTAGCGGCATCCCTGGGGTTGCCATCCATCGTCTGTGTACTGAAGATCATAGCTCCTGTTAAACAGTTTTCTCCATCCAGCTCTTTCTGTTCCAGGATCCAGGAATTACTGTCTCCCCTGCTCTTCCCCTTCACTCCTTGAAGCCTGGAGTATAATTTCCAACGTATTGCACAATCTTGTTTCCCTACACTTGCCCACACCTTTGTAAATGGTCACTGTAAAAGCCTTTCCTCTGTTGCCTAATTTGAGTGTGCCATGTGTTTTTTGTCAGGACTCTAACTGGGACACTTTCCCGTACCTCCATTTCTGAATCAGAGTGAATCTCTGGTTCCACTGTACTTCCACAACTTGCGTATGAGTGACACATATCACGTTACAATGATCTGTTTATAAGTCTATCTCCCTTCCCAGAGTTCGAGGATATTCTTGAATCCTTGCAATGTCTGGCACATTGTAGACTTGAAGTTAAAGTCTGCATAGACATTTTCAGCCACTGCTTACTTTATTGGTCTACAGACATGCTAGCAAGGCTTTGAAAGGGCAGAACTTCCTAATGTTACTACATCCACATGCATACATCATTTCCATTCTCAAGCTTAGAGGAAATAACATGAAGATGTGATGTCTGTATCCCCTATTCCTGACTGTGAGTTCTTCTAGGATACATTTCCCCCCAGTGTTTATCAAGTGCCTGACATTAAGTAAGGCATACATAAATGTTTGTTGAATAAATGAATGGATCTCTTTTTTTATGTAAAACCCAAATAATTAAGAAAGAAACAAAATAAACATGGTATGTTGTTTTATTTTCTTAGTTTTAGCAATTCATATTTTTCTTTATACCTTAATTCTGTGAATGGGAGTAAATGGGCACTGTTGCTTCCCAAATACTCATAAGGATAAAATAAATACAGCAAAGATAGTCAAAGTAGAGATGAATTTTCTATGTAAGATTTGCATAGTTTTATAAAGTCAGTAAACTTTTGATTAGTAATGAGACTCACCCCTACATTTTTTCATAGTTTCTTGGAAACTGGAGGGAATCTTAGAAAGCATCTCATCCAATCTCTCATATGTTAAAAAAATATTTATCATACATCTACTGTGTGCCAGGCACATTTTAAGACATGGGAAATATGCTGCTGAACAACATGCCTTTGTGAAGTTTACTGTTAATAAAAAAGGAAGAAAATAAAGAAGATAAATAAGTAAAATGTGCCGTGGGTTAGTTGGAGATAAGTATTAAGGCAAGAACTAGGAAATGGCAAGAGATTGCTTCTTTTGGATGAGGAATTCCACCGTCATACTCATAACAGAATGACAGCTGGTTCTATCATCCTAATGATGATATTAAAACATTTCCAGTGATGGGGACACTCTACCTCAGAAGGTAGCTACTTGCTTGGATAAATATTTCTGGTTTCTAGAAGACTTTTTCTTACATTTCAACAATCTTAGTTGTCCACGTGCAGGTAAGAAAATGTCAACTTAACAGCAGTCCTTTGGATTTGAAAAGAAACTACTTGAGTTTCACTACTCATGGTTTTAAGGGTATCTCAAAAATTTATTTCTGACTTTGTTTCTTAAACATAGTTTCATCCTGAATATGTAAAATACTATGGAAATAGCAATAATATTCTGTATTTGTTACTGCTTTGCCCTTTAAAAAACATTTTCACATATTTTCTAATGCCTCTTAATCTTCAGAGTAACTTCCAAAATAATAACATCTTTATAAATGAAGAGACCAAACCTGAGATGTTAAGTTAGTGCTTTTGGCACTTTGAATTATATACTGAAGAGATGTAAAAAAATCTGTATACATACCAATGTGTTTGCTCTGAAAAGTCAGCCTGTTACAGGTCTAGTAAGGAACAGGTAGCTATAATCTATTTTTCTATTGATTTGATCCTTATAATCAACTTTTGACCTTGTCTTTCTAGAATGCTAGTTTAATAAGAGCAATTTATAGTGCTATACAGTTTTGGCTGATCATTGAGAATAAACTTCCTAATCTTTTTCATCCTGTTCAAACTAACATTCCTATTGCCAAGAAATTATAAATTTGCGTATGAAAGAAAAAGAAATAGCTTTAGATTCTAAAGTGTTTTCGTTTTTAAAAATGTTTGTCATCCATAGGTTTTGGGGACATATAAATCTCTAGATGCTCATTTTCCAGTATTTAAGTAGGATTGCTTACTCATTCAGGCACTTCTCCTGCTTCAAAATCCTCAGCATAAAATATTCCTCCTTCGTGGAAAATCTGATTTCTCTAACTGCAAAGGTCATGGAATAATGTCAATTTGAAGAAAAAGATAGGAGAACTCATTTAATGTTCCTAAGGTATAATTATGCCCTAGAAAAGTCATTTTCTCTAAACATACAGCATTCTTTCTTAACCAAAGGCAAGGCCATGGAAGCCAGTACAATGAAATGCCTCATTTCATAGAAAAGATACCTAAAAACAAGAATTTATAATACAGCAACTATGTCCAAACTCCTCATATGTCCTGATCTCTGAGTTCAGCAGCCCAGAAATTCTCTTGTCTGTACTAAGTTATAATTTTTAAGTCTTAAGGGAAACTAATCAGAAAATCATAGGTACCTGGAAACAGATCCACTAGGGTTTCCTAACTATTCTCGTAATTTTAACTACCCTACATTTGCCATAACTTATGTTTTCTCTATAGGGAGATAGTGTCATTTATAATCAGAAAAGTAAATAATCATAGATTGCAGGTAGTGTCATAAGGATAAAATACTGAAGGATGGATGGAAAAATGTTAGTAGAAGGTGGAGGCTGGAGGCAGGGAGATGGATTGCTGGAGACAGGAGAAAAAATAAAAAGGACAGCAGATAACAATTAGTTTTTCTCCCTCGTGCAAGGTTGGTGATGAACTGTGGATTGAGAATAGTGATGAGTTATTTATGCTGCTGGTGCACTCATCACCTGGTGGTGTTCATGCAGATTTCTCATAGAGGAAAGAACAAATAGAGCATCACTATAAGAGCTTCAGAAATTGAGAGAGTTTTATTGAAAATACTCATCACATCTCCAGGCCTTCTAAACTGGGCTAGTGCACACATTTAAAATCTAAAATTTGACACCAAAGATGGGGGGTGGGGAGTACTTCCAGTTCTATAAACAACTACTGAAATCATATTGCCTTTTGCTAAACTTGTTAAAGTAATTCAGTGGTAAGAGATCCATATTTCATATTTCAGGCATGTTCAGGCATGCTGGAAAAGGGGCAAATGCCAAGCCTTGTATATCTCAGATCTCAGGAGGGACACTGAGCTATTATCGGGTCTATATACATATATGTGTATCTGTGCATTTGAGTGAGCTTCTCAGACTTAGAGACATACACTTACATATCTGCTAAAACATGCATTGATTGTCCATCACATACATGGTCACTCACCTTACAAACAGCTCTCAGATAGCAATGCATAATAATGGCTACTACAACATCCTCTAGTTTGGGGAACCTATCCTTCATTTTCACCTTCACATATATTAAATCTACCCATAAGACAAAGATACAGAAGTGGCTTCTAACTGCTATGATAAAGAGTAGCATGGCCTTAACTTTCTTTCTTAATTTTTTTTTTTTTTTTTTTTTGAGACGGAGTCTCCCTCTGTCGCCAGGCTGGAGTGCTGTGACTCTGTCTCAGCTCACTGCAAGCTCTGCCTGCCGGGTTCAAGTGATTCTCCTGCCTCAGCCTCTGGAGTAGCTGGGTTTACAGGCACGTGCCACCATGCCCAGCTAATGTTTGTATTTTTAGTAGAGACAGGGTTTCACCATGTTGGCCAGGATGGTCTGGATCTCCTGACCTCATGATCTGCCTGTCTCAACCTCCCAAAGTGCTGAGATTACAGGCGTGAACCACTGTGCCCAGGCTTAACTTTCAAATTTAGGATTAAGAAGGCATTGTTTTCTGTAGACTCTCTTGTAGGACTGTAGAATAGAGTTTTTGTAATTTATAGATCAGCTACATTTTGAATTCAATAAGCTTTGATAGTTAGGTTGAAACACTAGCTAGCATTAAATATTTTATTCCTAGAGGAAAATGCACTCTAAGTGTTCAAGTAAAATTTCCAAACATGGTATTTATCAGGCCTTAATTGCAGGGATATGGAAATTGGAGTCCTGTTTGCTCTGTCTGTAAAGCACAGGGAGAGGAGATGGTCTAATAGCCTTGGAAAGTGCTTTGGAATTTAAACAGCCTTTTCCACTTAGGAGCAAAGGGTACCTTGAACATGTTACCTGAACTCTTTGAGCCCCAGTTTCCTCCACTAGGAAAAATACATGTTCATAAAACTTCTTTCCAAGAGTTTTGTGAGAATTAAATGAGAGAATATATAGAAAGTGCTTAGCACCCAAAGTTTACTCAAATTATGGTAATTCTTTTACCATTTCTTTGACTCAATAAAATATTATTTCTTTTTCATTCTCAGTTTTTCCTGTAACACCATTTCCACATTCTCTTCTCCCCATCTTGATGGCACTTTCTGTTTTCTTTTACTCCTCTCTTTATGCCTTTGCTTTCTCTCTGGGCCTGAAGCAATGTCATCTCATGGGCCACTATTGAATAGATAGAATTTTTTTCTAACACCCACCTCCCTTGAAAGTTCTCTCTCTCTCTCTCTCAATCAATTTAGGAAGCTTCCATAGGTAGTATTTCCTGCATACCTACTATATATCAAAAACTTGATGTAAATATCACAGATATTATGATCTCACTTAATCTTCATAACAACCTATGCAAAATTAGGTACTGGGAAATTTAAGACTCAATTGGATTATATGGTATGCCCAGAACGAGAGAACTGGCATATAAAATTTCTTCTATCTGCAACATTTTAGCTTTCAGTTAAAGTTTCCTTTTGGTAAATAAGCACACGCACATGCACACACACACACACACACACACACAGAGAGAGATAAGGAGGAGGAGAAGGAAGAAGAAGAAGGAGGAGGAGGAGGAGGAGGAAAGAAGAAGAAGAAGGCAGAAGAAAGCAGAGACTGTGAGATATGAAAAAAGAGAAACTAAGTATATGCAAAGTTCATCTGATCTGAATTCCCACCTTCCGCCCATGAAGAGACTGTTCAGGTGTTTAAACGTGATGTCCATGTTTTTGAAAACAAATTTGAGGATGCGAATCCCTTTTCTACTCTTTTCTGTACCTTGCCATAAATACAATGGCATGATCTGAGAGTTCTGTTTGTGAGTTGTATTGACAAAACATTGTCTAGCAAAAACTCAGCAATAAAAGTGTGTGGCATATTCTGCTGGGGTGTAGATATTCCTGTGTGCAGTGGGCTTCTCACTGAAGTATAAGGCATCTCCACTTCTCTAGCATTAGCATGTCTGGCTTAAAAAATAAAAAATAAGGTGACATGTCTGTCACTTCCCTCTGAGATATGCCACATGCCATAAAACATTTCAATCACCCCTTGTGCTTAGAGTAATTCTCTTTTAGGCTTGGCTCCTCCTCAAGATTTTTCAGGTAAACAGCATGAGATTAGTGTATGTAATCTATAGAAGGGAGCATGGATGTTTTTACTTCACTGTTCTTTTTAAATTGAAATAACAGCAAACAAGCTTAATTTAACAGTGATTTTTGAGCATTAATAGAAGAATGAGAAAGGAAGAAATCCTACAAAGGAATACTATTATTGAGGAAAATCTCAATAATCTACATGATATTTCCAAGTGGTAGATTTTATCTCAAAATGTCTATGTCTAGAAATCTGTAGTATACAGTTCCAAGTAGTCAAAGTTTCCTTATATGGCTCCATGTGTACAGGCACATCATGATTGTGTCTGTTTTTCTGTGAGTTTTCCAGGCTAAAGTTTCCCAGCTTGGCAACAATGCGGCACAGGGTCTGTTAGCTTAAGGCAATTGATTCTTCCCCTGATTTTGGCACTGCACTAGAACGGCTCTCAATCCAAAATCAAGGAGAGAAGAAAGAGAGAACTGAAAAGACAAGAAGGGAGGGAGGACGCCAGGAAGGGGAGAGAGAAAGAAAAAAATATATATATTACTGACAAAATACTACTTGATAACCAACGTTGTCAGTACAATCATTGTCACTCGATTTAAGATGGCACAATTTAAAATTCATAATGAAATCTATTTTAACTGTGAAATATATAGATTTCGAAAAGATTTTTCTTTTGCAAAAGTATGAATGCTGTGAAATACATGCTTCTTTTTTTACATTGCATTTTAACCTCTTAGGATAACTTTACCATAAATGATGTGAAGTTGTAGCTATCAGCCATATCCAATTAAAAATGCTAAGCCAGTTTCATCTAGAAAGAGAGACGCTGACAATATCTAAATATATATATATATGATAAATTAGTTATTGTCAAAGCGATCACCACTCATTATTGTGCTTATACAACAGTGTCATCTAGTGGACACTGGTCAGGCAAGTTGTAACTAAGATTCCTGAAGAAGCTTATTTAAAATGAACTATCCTTAAATGAAAATATGCTTTATCTTTTTCAATTCTCTGAAACTAAAGCAATTTAAATAATTATTTCTAGTCCAGGCCATCATTTCAATTCATATTTTACCAGAATAGTAAAGGAACTGAGAACTTGTGTCTGCAGAAAAAAATAATTTTAAGATCACATTTCTTAAGAAGGCAAAGAAGAACAAAAGAAAATAACAAAATTACTATAAAAGGTAGATGTCAGTATATGTATGGCATTAGGAAGAGAAAGTTGGAGCTGGAAGATTATTGAGCAGAGTTCCAGTCTTTAAATCTAAATGACTAGTGGCTACATCAACAATGACAAAACAAAGGAAGTATATGGGAGTTCTGTGGTCTCACCTCCACAGCTTTGCCATTTTTCTAGTACCTTTTTTGTATATTTGTGTAGAAGAGATATCTCCTTTGAAACACATTTTTTAAAAAGGCATCTTTTCTTATAAAAACATTAAATGTCATTCATTTTGAGTATTAAATTTCTGTGTCATCAAAGCCAGTTAGCTTTAATTTTTCCCCAACAAATCAAATGCTGGAGATATATAATGGGCACTGCAATCTATTTAATAATGTTGCTGATTCCCTGCATTTTTTATTGAAAAAATAAGGAAATATTGCATTCACTGGAAAGATGAAAAATAAAGCTTTTTAGCATTTCATCAAAATAAATATGGACACTCATTTTTAAAACCCCGGTATAATATCGTGTGAATTTTCTCACATCAACTAAGCAGCGATTAACACCTACAGGCCCATGCCCTTGCTTTGCATTTTGAAACTACTCAAAGGTAAAGTGTTGTTTTAGGGTTCTTTTTGTTACAGAGAAAGTGGGAGGAAAAGGAATATTAAAGCTATTAATAGGTACAAAGTTTCTGTTTTTTAAGTATCGAGTTCTAGTTGTATGTTTCAGTTTTTCTAAACAGAATGTTTTATGCCAATTTGATATCTTTGATAGTATTATATTATTTGGTTTGAAAATATTCAAGTGATGCTTGATGCTGTAAAACAGATGCTACTAAATATTTCTCCCTTTGATTTGACAATATATTTTTTTTCCTCTTTGTTTAAGATGTTTAAAATATTGTTAGGATGGAATACCTAACATGATATAGTATAATAGATAATTTAGAAAAAAATGACACAATACTATAGTGGTATACTAAAGGATCTTCTTGCCTGTGTATTCCTCCATATTATTAAGAAAACATTTAGTTGTTAAAGTAATTCACCAATTTGAAGTAAAGATGTAGCAAATCTTAGCAATTATTTGAAATAACTACTATTTCCTCAGTAAACAGAAAATACTCAGCTTTTTCCAAATACTGTGCTTTTACCTTTATTTTTTTTAACAGTGTGATACAAGCAAATTAAGTAGAAATTCCATCTGCTTTCTGGATGTAATTTTTATTGACTGTTAATTCAAAATTAGGACGTTGGTATTTCAAGACAGAATATTTACACTGATTAGTACATAATTTGCTTGTAAAATTCGCTAATTCTTTGTAATATAAACCTACCATAAGTGGAAATAACATATTTTAAAGTATATGTATAGGGTGGGCTTATTTGAAATGCTGTTTTTTAATTGCAACACTTGGATCTTAATGTAGTAGAAGTGTGCAAGTTATTTGGGCCTTTTGGGGAGAAAGAAAATCTTGAATTTTGATGGCATCAGAGGAAGAAATATTCTTTTCAAATTTACCCAGTTTTTCATTTTGCATAATAAGTTACTTTATACTCACTCAAAATTAAATTGGCAAGTCACAGAATTGAACTGGCAGCTGATAGGCAGTGCTCAGGTTTGGTATTTTTGGCTGAATCTTTTCCCAATAGGAAGTCAATAACTATTGAGTTCTTATTAGAGACTGAAAAGCATCGTGAGTGGGATAGAAAATTGGATAATGTTCTGTGACCTTCCCAAATCTTACAATCCAGTTGAAGAGATAAAACTACATGAATGAGAAATTAAATGGCAATGCAAGATTTACATAACAGTTCACTTTGATAATAGACATGTCACAGAGAGGTTCATGCTCATTTATCATATGAATAGTCCAGGAATTGAGAGATTCCCCTACCTGTAGCAGAATATTTTGTAATAAATCCTGGAGAACAGATTCCTAATGAAGGTCTTTGTAGAGTAGATGTACAATTAAGAGGAAGTAAATGACACCTGTGACATCCTTGCCCATTTCTCCTTTTGTTTTCCATGGATATTTTAGTAATAACTAGAAGCCAACACTGTTGATGCCAACCTTTCACTGTAGGTAAATGGAATTTGTTTGATTTCTATGAAAATATTAAGTTTCTCAGAAAAATCATTTCCAATATCTGTCCCTTCAGTAAATATCACTCAACAGATAAGTAGCACAACCTAGTGATCTACACTCAGAAGAGGCAAACTAGATTCTTGATGTCTTAACAAGACACTAACTACTGGGGAGCCAGAAGTCTCATAAATTTTAAGGCACTCATCTAGTTCATTTTTGAATCATAGACTCTTTGGAAAGCCAGATCAGTAATATGAACACTTTCTAAAAATATTTAAAAGTGTTATTCTCATAAAATATTGTTTTGCTGCTCAAATTATTTCTCCCTGTTTTGTTCTATTTCTGAAATATTAATATATAATTAATAATGCTACCTTCTACTACTAGGAAACAGGTAAATACATTTTTAAAAAGTGAAAAACTTTATACATTAGTTTATACCAGTTGCCTAATATCATGGAGATTTTTACATTATTTTTAGTAATTCACCTGTTATATTCCCTGATGTTTTCTTAATTGAATTACTTATATAAAACTTTGATATAACATTAAGAATTTGTTAACTTTCATATCTTTACCTCATTGGTTCTTGATTCAAGTAAGGTTTTATAATCAAATTATATTTCTTTGGGTTTTTTTTTTCCATTTCCACTGACCACGGCCATTCTGATTCCATAAGACAGACTAACTTGATTTTTTAAAAGAGACAGACTCTCTCTCTCTGTTGCCCAGGCTGAAATGCAGTGGTGCGATCAACGCTCACTGCAGCCTCAAACTCCTGGCCTCAAAGGATCCTCCTGGCTTGGCCTCCCAGAGCATTGGAATTATAGGCGTGAAGCACTGTGCCTGATATAACTTGATTTTATAAACATTTTTCCCGAGTGTAATTTCTGTCATCTAATGTATACTTTCAATCAAATAGTCCCCATTTTCCAACAGCAAGAGTTTTCCTACAGCAAAAGTTACTCCAGACACTTCTGTTTTAGGTAGATACAATAGAATTTAAAAATAGGTGATATATATTTCTAGGAAGGAATAAAGAAATCCGAAAGCATTCTCACTTATTTTTTTAAAGCAAACTTTGAATTTAAAATGGTGGTAACTAAAATTGTTACAGGACAGATTGTAGAACATATTTAAAAACCTCGCAAGTTGTTGAGAAATCCAGTCATTCTTACATGCTTTCAATTCATTCATTCCTTCAATCATTTATTCAATGAATATGTATTGATTAGTACCAGGCACTTTGCACGGTCTACATGTTTACCTCAAGAAGGTCAAAGAGCAATAGGAAATATGTGTAAAACAATATGTAGACCTACGTCAACTCAGTGTGTGAGACTTCATCCAGTGGCTGCAGGGGTGCAGAGCAAGGAGTGTCTCATCTCACTCTCGCCCTCTGGGAACACCCTAATCTTGACAGAACTCTTTTAATAATGTCATAGTGAACCCAGAGGGACCCAAACCACTGATCATTCCTCAGAGTTGAAATCAGAGTCTCTGATCATGCATTATATTAGGTCACATTTTAAAAAGAATAGTCCCGGTTTCACTTCTGGTTATAGTAGTAATATTGCTTGGTATATAAAATTAGAAAATTATAAATGAGTTTAAGAAGACAATTCACCTAATACCTAGAAGGGAAAAGCACTTGTTACATTACATTTTTTTCTTTTCTCTAGTGTGTACACACACACACTTACACTCACACACAGTCATCTGCTACATAAGACATAAGACATTTCAACACATACAATGGTGGTTCCATAAGATTATAAATACTGTATTTTTACTGCACTTTTTCTGTGTTTAGTTATGTTTAGATAGACAAATAATTACCACTGTGTTAAAACTGCCAACACCATTCACTATAGTAACGTGCTACACAGGTCTGTAGACTGGGAGCAATATGCTGTACCATACAGCCGAGGTGTGAAGCAAACTCTACCATCTAGGTGTGTGTAAGTATACTCTATGATGTTTGCACAATGACAAAAGCACCTAACAACGCATTTCGCAGAATGTATCCCCATCATTACATGAGGCATCGCTCTCTTTCTATTTGTATATATATGTTAATATATATAAATATTATAGGTAAATATCTAGATATATGTAATATTTTTAGATATAAATATTTAACTATAAATATATGGTTTTGGGCTATTTTTTCATAATTGAGACTATGGTGTGAAGTAAGTTTCTTTTCAACACATCCTTTAAATGAATCTATGAACTAGTGTTTACATGATTTGAGGCTTGGAGAAAGCAATTCTACCTTGAAGCAAATCCTGGGAGATACTATCCAAAAGGGCATAGAAGAAGCACTTTCTATTATGTAACCAGGGAATATCCATTTCCAGGACCCGAGGGAGAAAAGATTTACTTGTTCATTTTGTGCCATTATGCTAAGGTCATCATATTATGTTACTTGAGTGCTTGAGCTCAACTGCATAGTCCTTTCTTTATCATGCTCTAGGGAAGGAAGTTCATCCTAATGTACACCAGCTCCATTTTGATCAGACTTTTTCTCCACTCTGACTCTGGGAACATGAATTCTTTTGAGTTTAGATGTGATGCAGACCGTTGAGTTTTTGATGCAACAGTTATAGCCAGTGCATAGTTATAGCCAAATTTCACTGTTCTAGGAATATCATGCAATACTGTCACAACCTCTGAGCATTCAATTTTATTTGAAGAAACAGGTTTTTATGAAGCTAAATGGAGTTTCTTGAAGAGAAAGTTAGTTAGGGAGTTATCTTAGTGATGATGAGAGGAAAGACAAACAAATGGTTTCCTGGTGATATGGGTTTGGCTCTGTGTCCCCATCCAAATCTCATGTAGAATTATAATCCTCACTTGTCAGGGGAGGGGCCTGGTGGGAGCTGACTGGATTATGGGGGCAAATTTTCCCCTTGCTGTTCTCATGATAGTGAGTGAGTTCTCATAAGATCTAATGGTTTAACATGCGTGACACTTCCCCCTTTGCTCTCTCTCTCTCTCTTTCTCTCTCTCTTTCTCCTGCTCCACTATAGTAAGGCATGCTTTCTTCCCCTTCACCTTACACCACGACTGTAAGCTTCCTGAGGCCTCCCAGCCATGCTTCTGTATAGCCTGCAGAACTATGAGTCAATTAAACTTCTTTTCTTCATAAAGTACCCATTATCAGGTAGTTCTTTATAGCAGTGTGAGAATGAACTAATACACTTGGGCTGATACGAAGTAGGATCAAGAATTACCAATTATATAAATGCAAATTTTCTGCAATAGGAAGTATTGCCTAATGAGATCAGCTTGCAACACAAGGCTTTGGGTGATGAGATCCAGTAGTTCAGGAGATAAAGCTGATTCTAGGCAGACAGTTATCTAATAGAATAAGGACTACTCTGCTTCTGAGGAAGATGATTTGACAAATAGCATTACTTTTTTACTAGAGCATAAATCTGAAACATTGTGTATCATATACACTAACTAACACTCTCATTCCCCTGTGGTTGTTTGGCCACTCAGAGACCACTGCTGACCCACTCTGCCTCTGCAACTTAGAAGGCTTTTTACTTGGAAGCCCAACCCCAGGCAGTCCATAACCCACAAAACATTACTTCCTGGCAAAGTTCTCAATCTGGTTTGCATGACTTTGTAAGAGTAGCTTTAAAACTCAGTCCTCTGATGCACTTTTCTGGCTGCCAATTACTATTGCAGTTAATTAACAGCTGTTCCTCCAAAGCGAAATTCAAGAATGGTGAAATAGCAGCTTTGTCATCACAGTCACCGCCTGACATTTCTTCTTCTACCCATTTCTAATGTGACTTCAGAGACTTCTATCAGGAAAAAAGATTATGAAGGTATCTACCCATTAGACAAATTTATCACAGTAATGAAAATATAAATAACTTTGTTCCTCACAACCTGAAAGAAAACTCTTATTAAAATAATACCTTTTGTAGAGTCTCAATGGCACTTCCACACTTTGTATGAAACCAGATGAGAGCTCCCCTTTGTGAGACCTACTAGCACTCTGAGCCCATTTACAATGTACTCCTATGTATCTATGGGTATTACCAGACTGTCAGCTTCTATCAGATCTACCAGATTGTAAACTTCTGTAATGCCAAGGTTATGTCTTATTCATTTTTATAGCTCCACAAAATTAAGAATATGTTTTTAAAAAATTAATTTAATTATTTATATTCTAAGAGAATATATGCTTTTAATACAGTCATAATGTATGAATTAGGTAATCAATAAATACTTTAAATGAATAAACATTTCAATTACTATAATCAAGCAAAACTAGTCTATACTTTCAGGAATCTTGGATGTGGTTAACTTTAGAAGAAAGCTAATGACATGAGAGAAAATAAGGGGCTTTGGAGAGATGGTGGTAATGTTATGTTTCTTCATGGGAGCTACTTATATGGGTGTGTTCAGTTGAATTGTACACTATGTGTAGTTGTCCTCACTATATTTCAATAAAGTAAAAACATATATAGTCCAGGTACTACACAGAAGACCTTCACAGTAGACTTGTTTCCTTGCATTAGGTTATAAAAATGATGACATTTTTTCAAAAAAACATGGAAATTTTGGTAGTAGGTAGAGAGGGAGTAGATTTGGTGAATTTTATTACAAAATTATAGGTTTACTTAATTACACAATTAGATTTTATTCAGATGCTCCCCAGAGTGTCTAATATAGTACCCCAGGTGGAGAACATGTTCAACCAATTATAGATGATTTAGATGCAAATATATACATATATCCATATAAAAGCCACACACTTATGCGTGTGTGTGTATATATATAAAACATATATATAACATATATAACTTTAGAATGTTATTACAAGTTGTATCAATTGAATTAGTAATTACATATGTAACCTACCTATTTTGAGTGAAATATTGGCATCATAAGATTATGTAATTAAGTCAAATAGGTCAAGGGAACTTTTAAAAAATACTTTAAACTGACTCCCTTTTGAGGATGTATTTATTCATTTATTCAATAAATTTTTTTTGAGATGGAGTCTTGCTCTGTCACCCAGTCTGGAGTGCAGTGGTGCGATCTTGGCTCACTGCAACCTCCACCTCCCAGGTTCAAGCGATTCTCCTGCCTCAGCCTCCTGAGTAGCTGGGATTACAGGTGAGCACCACCACGTCCGGCTAATTTGTTGTTGATGTTGTTGTTGTATTTTTAGTAGAGATGGGGTTTCACCACGTTGGTCAGGCTGGTTTTGAATTCCTGACCTCAAGTGATCCACCCGCCTCAGCTTCCCAAAGTGCCAGGATTACAGAAATGAGCCACTGTGCCCAGCCTTATTCAACAAATATTTATTACACCATGCTGGGAGATGGTGATACAAAGATAAATACAATATGGATCCCTTCCCAATAATTCATAGTCAACTAGGGAAGACAGATACATAAATATATAATTTCAGTGGAAAATAATAAGTCCAGTAAAGGAAGCCGATCCAAGGTAAAATTGTAGTGTAAAGAAAGAAATTTATCTAAAAGCAATAGGAAAGTTGAGTAGAAAATGAACCTCCTACACCAGGTGTTGAAATTTGAGTAGGAGAAAATCAGATGAATTAAAGGTTTGGGGAGAAAAAAAGAAGGTGTCATTTTAGGCAGAGATAAAAGCAAGTGCAAGACCTGAAGTTCTGTAGTCGATTTCATCAGTAGCTACTGGATGAATGGCTAGAAAAGCCAAAGCCCTCAGCAGTGTTCAAGAATTTGAGGAGCTATAAACTCACAACTCTTAAAGTCTCTCCCTTCTTCCCTATCTCCTTCCCTCAGTCCGTCATTCTAGCCCTCAGCTCCAGGTTATTTCTCTCCACTTATCTCTTACTCCCCAAATGGAATATTCTTTGCACATAAATTATGCCTGCTTAGAAATGTTTACATATCACACCTGAGCATCTCACTGACCTAACATCCTCTCCACTTCCAGGTTAATCAAAATTGCTGTGCAATAAATCATACCCCTAAAAAACTCAGTAGTAGTGGCAATTTTAATTCCCATTCCGAATCTCTTCTTTAGCTGTTTCAGTATATTCACAGACTATCTAAATGATGGTCTTTTTATTCTTATCTATTAATAATCTGTATCTCAAATAATTTTGGTGTCTTTGCAGCAAAAGTCACAATCTCAAAAGTCTATTAGGGCCAGGATGGTAAGGTATATAGTATTAATTGGCATAAGAAAAACAATGGAAGTTGACACTGAACTTCAGAGTGGGAGAAAAAGTAGAGCAGGGAATCTGGAAGACTTGAGAATACACACCACTACCACAGTGGAAACTTTCTATTTGCTTATGCAATTTTTGCCAACTGAGAATATAGGTTATGTTTATACATATTTGGATTTTTTTAAAGAGAAGCTAAAGATTCAGATCCTATGTGAAATCTCTCAATTTTCAAATGTGATCATCAAATTAAAATTTTCAAAACCATGTTGGGTGGGTCAAATTAAACATGGCTAAGGGCCACATAAACCATCTGGCTGTAATTTATAACCTCTGTCTTATAGCTAAATATACTTACGTTGTCTTCTAAATAGGGGGATCCCTACTTTACTTGTTTACTATAGTCCTCCAGTTACTGACAAATTCTCCTTGAGCAGGAAATGGTATCTTAAAAGTCTTTTTACGCTTAGAACATATGGTAAGAACTCAATAAATTACTATAGTTGAATTAAAATTAGACAGTATTTTTAAGTCACAAGAGTCTCTGATAAATCACCTTCCTTATCTTACTTTTTCAGTTGTATTTTGAATCTTAGAAAAAGAAGTTTGCACAGTAATGACAAAAATATAATTTTTGCTATTTATTAATAAATTGTTTAGGAATTCCTCTCCAGCCATTAAATTTTGGCACAGTTAGTTCTGTTTAACAACTCATTGATTGAGATCTTGTTTCTGGATTTAACGCCCAGATTTCCTTCTTTCTAGACAACTGACCTTAGCTTTGTTTACTTTTGTTCTCTGAATCTCCCTTTCTTCATGTGCAAAATGGAGATGATAATAGTGTCAACCTCATAGGGAGGTTTGTAAAGAGTTTAAGTGAGATTAATCTGAGAAAAAAATACTTGGCACAATGCCTGCCATGCAATCCTGACTGAGATGGTTGTTGTGAACAGTTGGATTGATTATACCCTCCAAAGGAAGGTCTATCTGCAAAAAATTACATTAAGTGAACTAATGCCTCCTTTCTTCATCAGAGATGTTCAAACTTGAGATTTATTTACAGTCTATGCTTATATTTCAAAGAAGTTAACTATGTCAGACCTGTGCTAAAAAATAAAACAAAAAAATACAACCACAACCACAACAAAACAGATCTTGGTCCTCTCAGGAGCCAGGGCCTTAACATCTTTCAGTTTAGCCTACACATCCTTCTTCACGTAGTAATTTTGCTCATAACACTGGCATTGCCTAATGTTCTGTTCACTTAAGCTGAACAGAAATAGACCCTAGGGTTTCAATGAAATCTCAGAATGACACCTCGTCATCCAGCCCTCTTGACACCATTGGGTGGCATTACAAATGACTACATGTTCCCCTCCTCTGGAGAAGGAAAGATGAGAAAGTTCCATCTTCTTGGCTTTGCGTTTGTCTTCACAGCACCACACCTTTTCATACGATTTTTTTTTAGAATGCAATGTGAGAGTGAAGCCAACAGAGAAAAGTTCCAACAAATGGAATTGCCATAGCAACACTCTACATTTCTCATCAAGTTTGGTCTTGTGTGGATCATCACATTAAAGCTTGTTTTTCAGCTTGGCAAAAGCCATGGCTGTAATCTTCAGTGAGAAAATCTCTTTGTCCTATCCAGAAGTTAAAAATAGAAGAGAATAATTTGAATTATTTTACGAACATAAAAATATGGCATTGCAGCTCCTCCACAAATTGAATTAACTTGTAGAATGCTGACATTTGAGACCACTTTAATTTCCCACTTATGGTTTCAAATTGGATTCAGCACTTGTCATTATGACTTAATATTTGTTGAGAGCTGACCAAGTACTCAATTCTAAGCAAAACAATGGGTACAGTACTTGTCTCCTTCTAAGGGACAAGGTACAGAATCATAACATTGAAAAGACAGTGGACAAAGGTTTTGTGTGAAAGTGTGTGTATGTGTGTGTGATTTTACTTGTTTTTGATAAGTTGAAAATTAGTCCACCTTAGGTTTTCCCTGGCCAATAAAGCACTATATTTTAAAAACTTTGCATTTGAGAATGTTTCTTTGTGGTGAATTAAAAGTTTTTTTAAAAACAAGAAGTCTCGCAAAAATAACAATATATAGTAAAGTGGTTTTTAAAAAATGTTCTTCTAGGATTGCAAATTAGTCTTTGTTTGGAAGGCTGCTTTTTCTCTTCAAATGTCTGATGAAAAGCAGGACTTCTGAAAGGAAGGAAATATGAATATTAGGAATGTTTTTTCGAAGTGTACTCTATAGTAGCTAGCATAAAATTCAGATGTATTCTTAGTCCAAATGAATGTTTAAATTTACTATCACATAGTCTTAATTTACCCCAATAAGTCGTCTGTCACATGAACATTTTGCATGTTGCTATTTTAGGTAATGAATGATAATAAAATTATAAATAAAAATACTTAAAATACGCTTCACCATTTTTCCTAGCAACAGGATATTATAAATTGATCATTATTATCAAAGAATATAAACTTGAATTACAAATATTACATCAAAAACTAATCAAATCCTTTATGGTCATAGACGGTACCTAGAATTTACAGAATTAGTGAAGAATAAAAAAGATGAACCTGTAGACATACAAGATTAAGTTGGTTGATGCAGTATTTTAAATAAAAAAGGATCGAAAAACTACTTATCAGTTAGTACCTAAAAACATATGTATAATTAAAGTTGATCATTTTCAAAAGCAGATATCCATGGAATTCATTTATTGTTAGCAATGCTCTAGTCACTTTGATTTGCTTTATACAATAAAAGAGAGCAATTATTATTAAATTTTAAATGTTTCTTCTCCGCCCCTGAAACAGACATGGTCATGCAATTGGCCTATTTTCACAGCCTTTGGCAATGATACATGCAATTTTATTCATGGATATTAATTCTCTTTTTTTAAACCACTATCCACCCCTCCCACCTTCTCTGTTACTTCACATTGGTGTTTATTTTACTGCCATAAGCAGTGATGCATGGAAATTAAACTACAGATATTCATCATTTTCCTGCTTTGGCCTCAGTGCATAAAATGTTCACTTGTACATTGTTAAGAGGTAAAAATTGCATCACTTCATCACAGGTTTATCATCAAGTGACCTCTATCTTATGGTGATTAAATATCAGGAGAGTTTGGCATAAAGATATCAACCAGCGGGGATGACCTGCAGGAACTGGTGACAGGGAAGATGGCTGTGTAACACTGACAGCTGTGAAATAACCTACTATCTTAAGGAAAAGTCAGCATTACACATTATAACCTAACCATCACTTGAAAGCTAAGGTTCTGCAACAGAAAGACTAGAAATTCAATTGTTTTCAAATGACATATTAGATTATGATATTTTTGTCAGCAATTATTTTGTCACAAAATCATTTCTTCTTCTTTTTTTTTTCTTTATTTTTTTCCCCTGTGGAGTTGTGGAGATAGTGAGGGGACTCTGGCTTTTCCCAAAATAACCTTTAATTATAGTTTTTGATCTTGACATTCTTGAAAAATGCCCTACTGACTAGTCTTCTGTAAGTACCATCTGTAAGTTTTGATCATAAACTAACTGGTCCTAGAATCTCCCTGGCAAAGAGCATTGCGAGTCATTTTGGGAAAAGTCAGGCATAGTCAATTTTCACAGTCTTGAAACTTGAAATGATTTCTTCCAGCTTTCAGGAAGAAAAAAAAAATTCTGGCACGAAATTCTGTGTTAGAATTTTCAAACAAAAATAGAGAAGAAAGCTGGAATATAGCAAAAAAAATTATACAGTGGAAATTTGAATATACTAGAAACTGCATTTGTTAATAAAATAAGAATTTGTGACTATATTGTTACAGTTACACCTAATTATATACCCCTAAAATGTGAGGAATTTATGAAGAATGTGAGGAATGTATGCATTTCTGAATAATGCATCTAAGAATGAAGGAAAAATAAAGAAAATACATAGTACAATATATTATAATAATGTAATAATATATACCAGTACTTATGAAGGAAGTTTTGTAAAGTATCTTTGAATTAACCAGTGCCTTAACAAAGAGCTAAAAATGGCTTTAACTAGGAGAAAAAGAAGGGTGAAGAATATCATATTTATGCTGCTCTCTACCAGGTAATGTTAGACACCGCTAATCTGTCACAATATGGCCGGTGCTTAGTGTTGTTAGAAATAATAGCACTGCACATTCACCACGATAGTGAGACATTTAAGAGGCTGTTGCTTCTTTGAACAATCTCAGTGTCTTGAGATTTTGACAAAAATATTCCTTGAGGTGGTTTCTGCCATAAGCAGGATTTTAGAAAAACTACTGCATTAATCTGTTTTATTTGCCTTTGTTGTTCATGCTGTTAACTATAGATTCCTTGAAGTACGGAGACTGTTATAAGGTATTCCTTAAATACCAAAATTTTTCTTCTTTTTAATATTTTATGAAAACATATCCCTGAAGAATCCTGGTGTTTTGTATCTGTGCCAGTCCAGAGAATAATGCATGTTTATACTTTTCTAGAGGGTCAAGAGTCTCTGTGGAAGAGTCTTATATGGAAGATGTACCAGTAGTGCATTGGAATCATAGAATTAGCATGGCCTGAATTTTGATAAAAGTCCAACCTTATATGTACCAGAAAATTCATGTCAATGTTTATTATAAGCAAATAAAGCTATTTTAAGAGAAGTAGTTTGTGGTTCACATTGTCTTTTAATCTCAGTTTCCTAGTGACTCTAATCTATCTTTCTGGAAATGAACATAGAGTGTTGTCATTATGGCCTCTGTTTCCAACGTGAATTTTATTTCTGGTACAACTAAGCTTGCTAATTTAAAGTTATAAAAATACACATATTTGCTCAACTCATCCTCAGACTGCTTTTTTGTCTTTTTTAAAAAATACAAACACAGATCAACAGAAAAACCATTGCTTAATATTTAAATAATACTATGTTATGCTAGTGTTAATAGTCATTGTGGTAGTGTGTGGTTGTAACTTATTGAGAGATTATAACCTGTCAGCTGCTGTGCTCGGCAGGTTCTTCATCATCATCATCATCATCATTATCATCATCATCATCAGTCCCAGGCAATGTTTATTAACTGGTTATCTGGAAATGTACTCTATATGTGCCATCCATTTAAAATCCCACAAACAGAAGTTCAAAAAGGCTCATAACTAGTGAGAAGTGGACCCTAAATTCAAATCCAGACCTATCTATTATAATTTAGCAGCTCTGAAATAGTGCATAATAGGTTTTAAAATTCAATACATTTCACAGTCTTCCCAAATAGTCCGTTTTCAAAACTGAACACACAATCTAATATATTCTGTACCTATTATCTGATGGCTGTATCTGTTTGAACCGACTCTCTGGATATACAAGTTACCTCTTAAGAGCATCTTCACATATAACAATTTTCAAGTTTTCAAAGCTTTTCCTAATTGATTAGAGACAGAAGAAGAGTTCACATCACACTACCGCATCAGCTCCAGCCCCATTCCCCTCCCTCTTCCTCATTCTTACCTCTTTCCTGTGACACTGAAAGTTCCCACCCCTTATCGTTGAATGAGGAATACTCTACACATCAGGGAATTTCTTTGGGGACTGAACTTTGGAGACTGTACCGAAGTCCCAAGTGGGTTTATGAAAGAATTTTTTAGAGAAAATTTATTGTTCTCCCTGGAGGAAATTGTGGTAAATATAATTTTCTTTATCTCTCCTGTTAAATTAACTTGAAATTATTCAAAAAGTAATGGCATTGTAGTTACTGAGAGTAGGCAGAGAACCCATGTATTCTTTTCTCAAAACCCATGTATTTTTAAGCCATGGTGGCTAAGAAATTCTTCCCACGTAATCTGATTAAAGGCTTACCACGTACACAGTTTTTCTGTTAAGGGTAGTTGAAGAAAGCAAGAGAATGGAAGGATTGAAGAAGCAGTGCTTGTGAGAGGTTAACTGTGCATTGAAAATGGCTAGTGACTGAAGACTTAGGAATGCACCACATGGTCAGGTAGAGAATAAGAAAGAAGTTGATCATTTGCTATTTTTACCCCTTGGTTGTTGTTTTTTGTTTTGTTTTGTTTTGTTGTTGTTGTTTGTTTGTTTTTAAGACAGGGTCTCGCTCTGTCACCCAGGCTGGATGGAGTGCAGTGCCACAATCTCGACTCACTGCAGCCTCTGCCTCTTGGGTTCAAAGGAGTCTTCTGCCTCAGCCTCCCAAGTAGCTGGGATTACAGGCACTCGCCACCACCCCTGGTTAATTTTTGTATTTTTAGTAGAGATGAGATTTCATCATGTTGACCAGGCTAGTCTCAAACTCCTGACCTCAAGAGATCTGCCTGCCTCAGCCTCCTAAAGTGCCGGGATTACAGGCGCGAGCCACCGCACTTGGCCTACACCTTGGTTTTGATACAGAAGTGCATTGAAGGATTAGAGAAGCAATCTTCCCAAATGATTCCACAAGTGTCTTAGAATGTAAGAGATGGGATTCTAGAGGGTCTGGAGAAAGACTGAATGGTGGGGAAGATGAACAAAATATCTTGAAATTTGGTTCCAGCTTCTAGTCTGAATTGAAGCTCTTTTTCTAAGAGCGTATCTGAAATAGAAGTGTAAAGGGAAAAAAGCTCAATTAGTACAAGATTCATTCCAAGTTGAGCTAGAAGTGAAAGAACAGAAAGCTAAAAGCATCCCATATCTCAAATAGTCCTGAAAAGTGTACTCAATTTTGGCCATAGACACGGAATCGAGCACATCTGTCATTTCCCATTGTTGTGAATGTCTTAAGGTTACCCAAACAAATGGTCAAAGAATATAGAAAAATCATACCAGTTTAGCAGAGTCTGAAAAGTCTACCTCAGATTTGGAAAGCAGCACAATGTTGTCAGGGGAAATTCGTTATTATTAGATTTAAACATTGCACATGATCATTATATCAAAAGACAAGGCATTCAGTAAAACTTTATAAATCTCATGAAATGCTTGTTGCGAGCAGATACTTTGTGGAAACAAGTGAAGGAACAAAATCACGGCAGAGTACCAGAGACAGACAGAGGTGTCTAGGTAGGTGGAGAGGAAGCGTAAATTCAGTTGCCTACATTACTGACAAAAGGACTGCTTTGGCAAAATGTAAAAGTATATCTTATTATTGCTTTCTTTGGTTCAATCATGAAGGAAAAGTGTACCATCTTAGCAATTAAAATAAGTATGCCAATTTTTCTCTGAATTCTTTTACAACAAGTGCCCTAGCAATTACTTCCTCTTTTCTTTATATCTCAAATTTCTATGGGTTTTACTTCTGCTAGCTACGAACATGGTCTGGAGAATTTTTCTTCTGTCATCCTACTCTATCAAGCTACTTTCCTCCCATAGCCATCTCTCTTCCTTTCATTATCACCATACTTCCCAAATAAGGACTCATTGCTTTCTCTACTACAGTACCCATCCATCCCTTTGCCATTTTTTGACTGTTATATACCAATGATGCTTTTCTTTTAAATGGTAATACTACCCTGGTATTAGCCAAGTTTAATGGCCTTTTATGAAATCAATGTTATTGAGATACACCTTACAAACAATAGAATTCTCCGATTATAGGTGTGCAATTCATGCATTTTAACAAATGTATACAGTTGTTTAACCCCACCCGAATCACAATATAGAACACTCTCATCACCCCAAAAAGACTCCTGGTTCCTGTACTCCTCTGCATGAGGAATTCTCCTTTTTATTTTTAATTATTAAAATTCCTAAGACTACTTTGAATAACAGCAACAGTATCTCTTTTCTTTTTTTTTTTTTTTTTTTTTTTTGAGATGGAGTCTTGTTCTATCGCCCAGGCTGGATTCCAGTGGCATGATCTGGGCTCACTGCAACCTCCGCCTCCCGGATTCAAGCTATTCTCCTGCCTCAGTCTCCCAAGTAGCTGGGACTACAGGCATGTACCACCACGACCGGCTAACTTTGTATTTTTAGTAGAGATGGGGTTTCACCATGCTGGCCAGGCTGGTCTCGAATTCCTGACCTCAGGTGGTCTGCCTGCCTCATCATTTCCTTCTTATTTTGTTAATATTTTCTTCCTAATTACAAGTAATTTCCTCAAATAGCAAGAATGATGCGCTTTATTTCATTTACACCCTCCACAACATTATCCAGGGCTGGTCACAAAATTAAAATAATCATTATAATGACAATAATAATACAATAATACTACTAACATTAACTGAGGGCTTGTCATTGCTGGGCAATGTGTCACGTGCTTTAAATGGATTAAATCACCAAAATCATAGGAACATCTGCATGAGATAGGTGTGATTATTGTTCCATTTTACAGATGAGAAATCTAACCTTCAGAAGGGCAACTACGCAGCAATTAAGTGGCTGTGACAGAAGACAGATCTCAGCAGTTTAACTGGATAATAAAATTGTACTTTGTGTAAGTTATTTCTCAATTATCATTATAGTAAAAGCAAACATATGCATTTGTATTTATTTCCATATCGATGAGTTTCATGCTCAGAATTTTACTTTTAAAGAAAGGCTGTATTGGAGGAGTGGGAAGACAAGTCAGAGAAAGCTTTTTAGGGTTTCCATCCCTAAAACCTCAGCTCTTTTAAAAATAGACTATCACTTCTCCCTCTTTCCTAGGTGCCTTTTGAGAAACAATTAAATTATTGGACTACAACATCCAAAGTGTCTCAGAAAATAAAAGTGCCTTATGAGTGTGATAATGTTAAATTCACCTAATAAGGCAACCTAAAATAATTACTGCTAAAATATGTACTTGATAATTTCTACTTACACTAGATTCAAAACCCTTTAAGCATTTTTACTATATAAAAAGTATATCCATTTTGTTTAAATAACTACAGTAATACCAGATTCTTTTAAGAAAATCCTTCTCAAATTTTTTTTAATTTAACTGACTGTAGAACAAGGCTTGAGTAATAATCAGATTAACTGTGCAAAATGGCATTTTGGCCTTCTGTATTTAAAAAAAAAAGGAAAAC
The DNA here is from genome assembly GCF_000001405.40 of Homo sapiens. Taxonomy (NCBI): domain Eukaryota; kingdom Metazoa; phylum Chordata; class Mammalia; order Primates; family Hominidae; genus Homo; species Homo sapiens. The sequence goes on from NC_000001.11 coordinate 98,485,869, forward strand.
TTATTTCAAACTCCAATAATGCCTCTAGCCTACACATTTGAATTCTATGTTGTTTCAATGAATATATAAGCAATTAAACATAGAAAATGTATTTTTAGAGAAACAGCAACTTTATATACCTAATGTGGGCACAGTCTGAATTGTCTTTGACACAGAGATAGACCAAATGACTTGATATGTTTTAGAAGAGAACAAGAGGTAGATGATCAACTGTATGTAGATAAATACTAAATATACGTTGATATATTTCAGGTTATAATGGTACCCTCTACCCTTTCCCTCCTTCATTTGGCCACTGAGGGAAACATAATAACTGCTGATAATGAAAGTCTTATCCATGGTGAAAAGTCCTATCTTTACTGTACATTGGGGACTAGCTTTTATATTGCTTGGATAACTCTAAACCTTTAAACTGCTATTTCTAGGGCAAATTCTGCCCTCCAAAACTTAATTGGGCAGAATCCTATGTTGACTCAGAGGGAATAAAATGCTCTCAGAGTAAACCACTCACCCATTAATTTTTCCAAGGCATCAAGGTATCATTTAGTGCCTGGAAAGAGGTAATTTACCTCATGGTACTTTGTAGGAGCTACTGACTGAGCAGTTTACTCCTAGGGAGAATGTAACTCACCCTGGTTCCCTGCAGAAACAGCCTCCTGTTATAATCAGGATTATTATCCTCTGTTTACTCCCTTTCTCTGCCTGAGTCTCTCAGTAACAGCTGGGGGCCTCATTTATAAACAACCTGTGCTATAAAATGCCCATGATATACACAGTATGAAAACATAGGAACATGGTTTATCCTTGGGCATATTATTATTTTATTATTGTTTTATATGTATTCAGTGCATTTTCTCCAGAGAGCTGAAGGCATTTCATAAACTTTAAATAACCAGTAGGTATAAATCTATGCCACTGTAAGTTATAGTTATTTAATAGTAATAAAACAACTTGAGGGTGAAGAATTGGTATTATTTATTTATAATTAGCACATGAGAAGGAAAGGACGTTTCAATAATCATAGAAAAATGCTAATGTAAATTTTTCCCCTGATTTTGTTTTTTACTATGGAATTGACTAAGTTTATGAGTTCAAGACTTTCATTGCCTAGAGTACGACAGTCTGCTTATAAAGTATACTCAATAAATATTATTGAATGACCACTGAAATTATATTTTAATTGCAGAAAATTATATAAAATGTGTTGAAATTAACCTCAATTGCTATAGCCTAGTTATTTATAGATTTCCAAGCTTAGGAGTACAACCTTTTCTTGAATATTTTGGCAGATTTGCTTGGATCCTCATTTTACTAGTAGAAACCCATAGCCACCCACTGCACCCATAAATAATTCTTAGATTCCTAAGGGGCTTATTCTTGTGCGTTACATCTTGCTCTAATTTCTTGCTTCTGGTGAATTTACAATTTCGGATAGGTCTTAGTTTCTGAGCTTACTGAATCATTTTCCAGGTGCATTGACTCTACCCCTCACTAGAGACAACTCTTACTGTTACTGAATCTAAACTTGTTCTGCTTGCCACAGGACAGCCCATAAGTCCAGAGGCATGGAGCTAGAGAAAGGGAGGTGACTTTATTTCTGACAGCCAGCAAACCAAGAAGATAGTGGACTAGTATCTTAAAGAATTATCTTAAGTTAGTACAGATTTCAGACTCTTTTTATGTTAAGGGCATGGAGAAGAAGAGGGGTTTGATATCAAGATGTGACTGATGACCACAGACATCTGGGTGGTCTATGGAGATTGGGGACTGCTTTGTGCTCGGTCAGGTCACAATTCCCTTATACATCTTCAATGAAACATAATTAGTTGTTACGTACTTCCCCTTTAATCCCAGAGTTGGTTTCAAAAACTACATGAGTGCTGTTTTTGCATATTATCTAAGTGCTCTAAAATTATCCTAGCCTATGTGCAGGAATGGGTAAAGACTGCTTTATAAAATGGGGTTAGTTATGTTCATTCTTTTGCTGTTACACCATGCCTTTATTCCCTCCCTCCAGTCCTCCAAAATTATAACCAAAGAACACTCCAGATTTCGCGAAGTTTGGGCCATGCTGCTTGTGGATAGGGACAGTAAAAAAGCACTGTTCAGGTGAAGTTTAAAATCTTGATCCGCTGTAACTGTACCTCCACTGGAAATTTCTAACAGACCATGTCCGTCCTCACCTGGCCCAGGTTCTAGGCATTAGATTACTGCCATTTTTCAAGGTATCTCTTTCCAACTCTGGGCTCTTCTTTTTCCTACTTTTCAGCCAACTTACATCCACTGAATTTCTATTTATTTCTTGAATATAACAATTTAAGTCTTGTTTGTTTAAACTCTCTGATCTAAGCTAGGACCAAGGAAATGTATCTTTTATAAGTAAGTATATACAGTAGGTAAAAGGTTTTGCCCTGTCCTCTTCCCATCCCAATCAAAGAAACATTTTTATCTGAGAAGAATTCAACTTTTCTTCTGTAAAGTGTGTCCCAGATGGCATGGGACAGTCGTGGCTTGTGTCTGTTGTCCATGAGTAATTATTCATAGCACCTTTTCTCTCTCAAAAGTTCTCCAGTTGGGATGATAGTGTTTTACCACCCACATGGCAAATATTTTCTTATAATCTTTTAAGGGAAAAGTCTTTGAAGACATATAACAATGTATATATTCATATATATTCACTCACATGTGTGTAATGGAGTAATATGTTTAACTGATTTTACAATGCAGATGATGTGTACACCTTAAACTTAACCAATTCTAATAATGTAAAACACTCCTTTGATTGCATTGGTTACTTTGATTACTTGGTCTTTCTCACCTCTGAAACACCCTACCTCCAAACAAGAGTTCATTTTGAAGATGATGTTTGGGTGTTTGTAACCTCATGATACAGGTGAAAATGTTCTTGGATAAGATGTTTGCAAGTCTTTTTAGTTTTTCACAGGTGGCCCCTCTCCACCCATGCACTGCTTACTAGCCAGAAATTGTGTCTGTAATTGTTGGCTGGACTGATCTAAAGTAGTCATCTCTCTCAGCTTGGTTGAAGCCCAGTGGTCCTCCATGGCTGTCTTCACCTGATTTGGGGTTATTTCAGGCCATCGGTGGTTTTTTGCTGTGCACACGGTTCAGCCCCTGCCTAGATTGATTGCCCTGTAGCCTCACTGAAGAACCACTACATCCCTTTTATATGTCCCCTCTGGCAAGCACTACAGACAGATTCTCCCATACTTCTGTGTGCCTTCTATGAACACAGAAAACAAGAATGCCTCTTGAAGTTAAAAAGCATATTTGTGTGATGTTGACTTCAAGCTGGCTGCTTCCTGGATCCCCAACTGGGGAGTCAGGACAAGAACTCCCCACTCTTCTCCCCACATTGAGTTACCAGCATCTTTTTGTCCCTCTTTGATCTTTTTCTCCCAACCCCTCCCCCACCAATACATTCACTTTGAACTGAAGTCCTTGGAGAGGATTAGGAATCACACACCTGACCACACCCTTCTCCTATTGCTACTTAAGATTGAAAGTTCCTTGTTCTTGCTGCCTTAGGTGGTATTGGCATCTTCTCTACACATTGGGAGAAGCTCTCCAGGTGTAAACTGTGATTGTTTTTATTTATTTTTATTATATATATATATATATATATATATATATATATATATATATATTTTGGAGACAGGGTCTCGCTCTGTTGCCCAGGCTGAAGTACAATGGTGTGATCTCAGCTCGCCACAACCTCTACCTCCTTGGTTCAAGCAATTCTCATGCCTCAGCCTCCTGAGTAGCTGGAATTACAGGTGTGTGCCACCACACCTAGCTAATTTTTATATTTTTTGTAGAGACATGGTCTCATCATGTTGGCCTGGCTGGTCTCGAACTCCTGGCCTCAGGTGATCTACCCATCTCCTCCTCCCAAAGTACTGGGACTACAGGTGTGAACTATTGTGCCTGCCCTGTGATTTTTTTTATGACAATTAAAGAGATTTAGAAAATATTTCTTTTAGAGTAGTAGCCTGGCTTACAAGAAAATTGACTTGTTGCATAATCTATTTTAAATATCAGAAGTGAATTCCTTTTTTTCTTTGCATTCTTTAAATTGCATTTCTAGTTTTCCCCACCTCTACCACATCATCTCCCCCACCTCCATCTCCTGTATAGACAGATGAGCCTTAAGAACAACAATTACTATATACTGAAGCTCAGATGTTAATCAGGTAATCCTAGTCTTAAATGTCTGTGCATTTTTTCCTCCTAGATTTGAGAAAATAAAAGGCACAAGAAATCCTGGCCTGAATGGTCATCAGAACTTCTTGTGTGTTGCTTCCAAAATTTTAGAAGCACTTTTGAGCAGACTGCTTATAAAACATGGCTACTTTCTAGATTCAGCTGTCAACCACAGAATTTTCTACCACTAAGGACAGTATCAGTTCCTAAAATCATAGAAGTGATGGTGTCTAATTGCCCAGAGAAAGAATTAAAAGTTAATGTGGGTTTGGGGATTTTTTGGTGTGTGTGTGGCCAAATCAGCAGTTGTTCATAACATAAAAGTTTCATGATGGTACATGTGGTACTACTTTTTTTTAACGATTGAATTATTATTTTATTACTATTATAAAAATTTGCTCATAGAGTTTTACAGCAACTTTATAGAAATATACCTTTTAGGTATAAAACTACATTCAAAAAACATTCTTCAGTTGATTAGAACAAATTCTCATAAATCTTCTGATTCCATTTATGAATTTCCCACATGAAAGAGCCAAAAAAGAGAATGTCTGCTCTGCTAAAATTCTCTGGAACATCCTCTCAGTACTCAGTGGAAGATGGATGAGATCCTTCTGCAGCAGATGATGAACAATAATTATAAGTAAATGGTAGTGTATTTTAGAGGACACACATTTAGGAAATATTTGAAATAAGAAGTAGGGAAAGGAGGGACTTCTGAACAAATAAAAAATGATCTAGAAAGCAAACCTGCAATCCAGCATGGGAATTTTTATACAGGCAAACTAAAAAATAGGGCCATTGAGGTTTTTTAAAATACAAGAGGGAGCAAGGAATAACAACAATCTTATGCCAGTGAGGTATTATCTTGAATGGAAAAAAGCAATTGTGATAAATAAATTATTAGTTAAAGATATGAAACAATAATAGGGTCAGCTGTAGAACACGTTAAAATTCAGAAATCTATAGAATGATCCTTTACATGTATTCTGCTTCTGTTGAGTTCAGATCAAAATCTACAGCCTTCATTAAATTAATGTCTTATTTTTAAAATATTCTCCATGGCACCATGGAGAATTAAATTAGGCATTAAATTAATGCCTTATTTTTAAAATATTCTCCATGGTGCCTGAATAAGACAGAGGAGTAAGTCTAAATTGGGCCCTTATGCCATACATATTTATTTCATTAAAGTAGGAGAATCTGAAATAAAATTTAAATTACAAATATGGAAGTGGCTTTAGATTTTCATTTTGGTTTTGGCTTTTTTTCTTTTTCTTTTTTTTTTTTGTTCTACTGATAATTCAATCAAATGCAAACTATTAATATGAATAAAATATATTGAGGGTAGTTATGTTTTTGCTCATCTACTTGCTCATTCATTCAAAACAATGTGCCTATTCTCATTTAGAGAATACAGTGAATGGTATATTTTCACCTGTAATATTCTGAATTCACAAGAAGGACACGTGAATTCTGAGATTTGCAGCATGCACAGGGATAATTTCCCTCAGAAGCAAAGATCAGGCTCTAAGCAGAGGGTATCTTTACTCGTTCATCACACTGAGTGACCATCATAGGTCAGACCTTAATGGGCAATGAACATATAATGGTAAGTAAGGAGACAGGGCTTTGTTAGCCCTGCTAACAAAGGCTTAGTTTGGGAAGGTCAGGAATGGCTTGTCAAAGACAGCAACAGTCAAGGCCACCAATAATAGAAAGTATATTATTAAACAGTCCATTTTAGCTAAATTCTGATGTAGTATTAAAAACGTTTTGAAAGATAATTCAGGGCCAGTTCAAGGGTAGGATGAGATTTACAATCAAAGAGTAAGAGTTTACTCTTTATCCAGCTGGCTGTAAAAGGCTATTTAAAATTTCGAGACAAGGAAACAAAATGATTAAAGATGTACTGCCTTAAGGAAAGCAGATGAGTCAACTGGTGAACAAAAGATGCAACAAAGAGGTGAGCAAGTAGAGGCAGTGTGTCGGGGACAGTTTGTAGATTCAATGTGGAAAAGGATAAGGAGATGTTAAGGGGCTATGGACTTGACGGGTAGGTTTGTTTTTTTTGTTTTCGTTTTTATTTTCCACCATGAATGTCATCCAAGCCCTTATGTTAGGCAAACCAGAAAGTTAGTAGATATTGAGCAAATATAAAAGGATAACCGATGGGACACGTTCCATAGGCAATGGAAGAAGTATCAGATGTGGGATACCAGTGGCAGAATTTGTCTTAGAAAAAAATAATTCTTCTTTTCTGAGAAGGAAAAGATGGTCTCAAGTGATAAAACAGCAAAGCACTTCAGTCACATATAATTTCTCACTCTTCCTACATGGGTCATGCTTTTCATGCCTCTTTACATTTACACAGAATGTTTCCTCTGCTTAGGATTTTCTTCACTATCTTTTCCACTTAAATGTGACTTCCATAAAAATCTTCATGAACCCAATCCCTGCTTCAGTCCTAGGCAGATTTGTTTTCACTATTCTATGCTCCCACAATACATTTTGCATGCTAAAATTATAGCCATCATTTGTTCACTCAGTTATTTAAAATTTTTTTTTTTTTTTTTTTTTTTGAGATGAAGTCCCACTCTGTCACCCAGGGTGGAGTGCAGTAGCATAATCTCAGCTCACTGCAACCTCTGCCTCTTGGGTTCAAGCGATTCTCTTGTATCAGCCTCCTGGGTAGCTGGGACTACAGTTGTGTGAGACCACGCCTGGATAATTTTTGCATTTTTAGTAGAGGCAGGTTTTCATCATGTTGGCCAGGCTGGTCTTGAACTCCTGACCTCAAGTGATCTGCCCGACTTGGCCTCCCAAAGTGCCAAGATTATATGTGTGAGCCACTGCACCCAGCCAAAAATATTTTTAAATGCCTACTATATAATAGGCACTTTTTTTAGCCTGTGAAATCACAAGGATTTATAAGATGTGCATAATTACTACCTTCATCAAGTTTACACTTTGATGGAGGAGAACACACTATAAACAAGAAAGTAGACAAATAAAATATTTTCAGTTTTAATAAATGCTTTGAAAGAAACAAGCAAAGGGAAGAGATGGAAAATAATACAAATATAAGGACTTAGAGGGTGAGGCTATTCTGGCTTTGTATAGGAATGTCAGGAAGAGAATGAGTGTTTCTTTAAGCCAAACTCTAAAGGTAGAGAAATAAGTAGCCATTTGAACAGTTTTGTGAAAGAATGCTGGGATGAACAGAGGCACTCCAGGCAGAGAAAACAGCATGTGCACAGGCCCTGAGAACGAACATGACTTTCTATGTGAAAGGAACTAATGGAACTGATAAAAGACCAGAGTTGCTATGTTACAGGACCACCAGGTTCATATTCCCCCTGTGCAGTAACAGACCAATACACCAAGAGAGCAGGGTTTGCAGCAGAAAAAGAGTTTAATGATTGAGGGGTGGCCAAGCAAGGAGACAGAAGGGACCCTCAAATCCATCTCCTCAAGGAGTTCTGGGATGAGGGTTTTTAAGGGTATTGTGGAGAGTGAGGGGCTGGAATACTGGGGACATTGATTGGCCAGGGTAAGGGGGGATGACATCATCAGGATGTAGAAACTGCATTATTTGGTGAGTCAGCTCTTCATAGGCCCCTTCAGATGAGCTGGCATCAGCAATGTCAATGGTATATTGACATTTCTGAAAGAAATTTTCAAAGGGAATATCTGAAAGAATATTTCAAAGGGAAAACTTAATGTTCCACAATGTTCAAGTTGTTATCTATAGAACAGTTAAGAGAAATTATAATCTTGTGACAGGGTCTGCATGATTCTGGGCAACAGGCACCAAACCATTATGAGGAAGCAGGTCAGAGAGCAAGCTGGCCTAACAATTAATGCCGAATGTGCTGCAAGCTTGGTTTATTTTCATTTCTCCCCCTTCCTTCTTCCCCAGTTAATTTTGTAAAGTTTATAGAGATGGTTTCAGTTAGACCTGTGCTGTCAATACACTAGCAATTCACATGCACATTTAAATTTAAATCTAAGTTTAAATTTAAATTAAGTTAATATTAAATAAGATTTGAAATGCAATTCTCAGTCCTACAAGCCATGCTTCAAGTGCTTCATATCCATGTGAGGTTAGTGGCTGCTATACTGGATAGTGCAAAAAGAGAACATTATTGTAATCATAGAAATTCTATTGGTAAGTTTATGGGTAGTACATGGACTAGAATGTAGTGAGTAGTGAGCTGTGGATGCAGAGAAAGACACTGGACCCTGCAGTGTCTGGAGCATGCAGTTATTATGGAACATGGCTTTTCTGTGAGCTTCTTAATGGCAGAAATAATGCGATGTTGCCTCTGTTGTTCTAAACATAGAACACTTTTTGATAAATGAGCTAGTAAATAAATGAGCCAAAGTTGAGGTCATCGTTATACCAAATTGGTTTATACTTTTCAACTCACTTGAAAAAACTGGACAATGTAAAAGTGAGGAAACAAACAAAAAAAGGTATTTGAGGAGCTCATTTGGATCTTAACTAATTAGAAGTAATCTGCTGAAAATAAGAGTGGCAAAAATGGTTTCTAGAAAAAAATGCATTAGAAAATGTGAGGGAGACTTAGGGAATTAAAGAAACTAAATATGCTAGTTGAAATTAGATGGCTTAAATTTATCATACTCCCAATATCAAGATTTTCTCCATTTCCTTTGTAAAAGAAATAAAACATTCATTTGTTTATTCATTTATTAAACAAATATTTATTGGCCACACACTGTGGTCAGTATTATAGATATTGGTGATTCTATGTCAAATGGGATTAGCAGATACAAAAAATAACAATAATAATAAAGGATAATTTTATACTTCAATTTACAATAAGGAAATCAGCAGGCTGGCATATTAAAGAGTAATTGGGGGGCAGGTTGAATATATTAGATGAGTTGAAGAACATGGAGATTAACTAAAAAAATAAACTTGTTGGGATATTCCAGTATGTAAAGTGAGCACCGTTGACACAGAGGCTGATTTGGGGTAGGGAGCCTAGTGGCAGTCATGCAGGAGATGGAGAAAAATTGAGAGTGTGAAGTATGAAATAAGAACAAAGAAGATGCGGCAACATGAGAAACAGTACTGTTAGAAGGCAGTATGACTATGGTCAAATGAAAACTCAGAATTGAGATAATCGGAGCAATGCTAAATGATAGCAAGCCACAATCTTTTACCAACTTTTTTTTTCCTTCAGGTTTTAGCTTAATCATGGCTTTCTCAGGAAAACCTCTTTTGACCTTTCTAACTAGGCCAATTCCCTCATTATGTACAATCATAGCAGAATACATTTATCTTATATAGCATAGTTGTAATTTTAAGTGGTTCTGCTTATTATTTGACAAGAAGATTGATGATACAGTCTTTGGAATTGAACAAAGATGAAAGCAAATAAGTTCAATGGAAGAAGTGGAAGTTTGCAAGTAACTGTGGAGTGAAGGTTTTAGAAGAAATGACAAGAACACTGATGTAAAAAAGGATACTATAGGTTGGGCATGGTGGCTTATACTTGTAATCCTACACTTTGGGAGGCCAAGGCCAGAAAATTGCTTGAGTCCAGGAGTTTGAGACAAGCCTGGGCAATATAGTGAGACTCTTTGTCTCTACAAAAACTTTAAAAATTAGTTGGGCATTGTGATGCATGCCTTGTAGTCCCAGCTACTCAGGAGGTTCAGGCAGAAAAATCACTTGAGCCCAGAAGTTCTAGGCTGCAGTGAGCTGCGATTATGCCACTGCACTGCGCAGCAGAGCAAGACCCTGTCTCAAAAAAAAAAAAAAAAAAAAAAAGAAGAAGAAGAAAAAAAGGATTATGTTAGTAGATGCGTTGGACAGAGAAACTGAATTAGATGCTAATGTCAACCCAGGTAGAAACTGGAAAGGCCTCAAAGAAAGAGTGAAGGCTTGAAAGACAGTGATAAATTGTTATTAGAGATTAGAGACATTGTGATCTTTTTATTCAGGGGCAAAGATTTCAGTATAGTTGCAAATGGAAAATATGTTTAGGAACAGGTGGATTTCAAGAAGGAGACTTCCAGGCGTAATGTTCTAAGTGCTAACTGGCTTTTTTTAGCCATATATGGAAAGGTATGGATATAGAGACATGAACCAAAAAAAGCCCTATTCAATTTTCTAAGAAGTTTCATAGAAAATATAAAGAATTTAAGACTTGCTGAGTTAAAAGATAGGATTATTTTCATCCTCACATTTTACAACTGATGGGGACAAAAAGTAAAAAATGCCTTAGGGCACGTATCAAATTCAGGGCATTGCCAGTAAATTGTAGCCCCAGGGTAAAGTTGAGATCAAGGGTGTGGCTGAGAGAACCCTTAGGATGCAGCCAAAAGATTTAAGACATGCCTTAAAAGAATCTTAAGGGCATTGTCCTTCATTACAATGAATCTCAGCTACAGTTAGAAAATAAACAATTTCAAAGGAATTTGTGGGTGAGGCTTTTTGTTTTTGTCTGCAGTTTTTGATGGACTGAATCCCAATGAGAGTCATAAGTAACTCATGAAGTTTTAAAAAATATTGTATTGGCAGAAGTACCACCAGCTTGAACTAAAAAGGACAGATACAGTTCAAAAATAAGAGACTTTAAAGCTCTAAACTTTTACAGGCAGAAACAGGCTAACAAAGTTAGTCAGTGGCAAACATAGGCAATTTCTAATAAAAAATGAATGGTGACTCAGAGCAAAGACTAGAGAATCACTCCCAGGGCTCATGACTAGACCCTAATCAGGAAGTTGGTGGTATGTGTCTACCTGGATTTCAGAACTGCTGTCAAATAGAGATATATTTCTGTCTTCCATCCCACCTTTAAAATTAAATGTTTATTGCGGTTTATCATGCTTTTTTAAAAAACCATTTTATGTTGAATGTGTATAAAGTGTGTGGGGGAGACACAGATAACTTTGGTCTTTAGTTAACAGGCCTTATAAATCAAACAGAAAATACTGCACCTGGACCCAATTAAATAGTAATCTCTTCAACATCAAGCTTGAGCCAATGTGGTAATGAGATGAGATGCTACAGGTCTGACACCACCTTTGCAAAATTATGGCAGTAAGAGAAATCTAACATAGTTGACTCCATCTTGCTTCTGACCTCCAAGCTCTCCTTGGTCATTCTTGCTTGTAGACCAAGTTAACTTTGGGTGTAATTTAGTTTATGGTTTATCTTAAAAGCAAAGATTATAATAGTCCCTTTCTAAAACTAACCCCCTCCTTGCTAAGGGACCGAGAACAACCTTTGCAAGACTAATGAAAAGCCACACTAATAGGATTTATATGGTTTGGCTGTGTCCCCACCAAACTCTCGTCTTGAATTGTAGCTCCCATAATTCCCTTGTGTTGTGGGAGGGACCCAGTGGGAGATAATTGAATCATGGGAGCAGTTTCCTCCATGCTGTTTGTGTGTTAGTGAATAAGTCTCATGAGATCTGATGATTTTATAGTGGGAAACCCCTTTGGCTTGGCTCTCATTCTCTTCTCTTGTCTGCTACCATGTGAGACATGCTTTTCACCTTCTGTCATGATTGTGAGGCCTCCCCAGCAATGTGGAACTGTGAGTCCATTGGACCTCTTTTGTTTTGTAAATTGCCGAGTCTCCGGTATGTCTTTATCAGCAGCCTGAAAAAGGACTAAAACAAGGACTATGGGAGGGGTCTGAACTCTGCTAAAGTGTAGGCATGCTTTTTGTAATCTGTCACTTGCTCAGCAGTCATATGTCCAGGCCAGAGTTCACAAAATAGGATAATTTCTATAATCCTTTATTGCTCAGGGGTCTTGTGGTCAAACATCACAAGATTGCCACTTCCCAGTTGTCCCTATACATAACATCACTATTGTAGAACCTAAGATTGATTTTTTTTAAGATAATTTTCACACAGACCCAACCTGGACCCCTATAACTCATGATTCAGCTGGTCTTGTGGCCCCATACGGAGGTGGACTCAGGGCAGAAGGACCATTTTCCACACCCCTATGATTTTATTTCCAAGCAATCAGCAGCACCCATTCCGTAGCCGCCCTACCCACCAATTTGCCCATAAAACCCCTAACTTCTGAGCCTTCAGTGAGACTGATTTGAGTAATAAAACTCCAGTTCTTCCATGTGGGCTTGGCCTTGTGTCAATTAAAATCTTTTTCTACTGCAATGCCATAGTATGAGTAAATTCATCCTGTCTGTGTGGTAGGCAGGAAGAGCCCATTGGGCGATTAAGTTTTGGGTGAGGGATGAGTAGATTTTGCGTTCATAAAGGATGTGGATCATTGTCAAAAAGAAAGCAGACACTAGTTATTTACAAAGATGGTCTGAAAATGAGCCATACTTCTCAATATTCATAATACATTCTGTCCCCTCCCCTAGAATCTGGGCTGGCTCAGAATTTTGACCAATAAAATGGTCAAATGTTCCTATGTGATTTCCAAGGCTTGGTATTAAGAAATCTTCAGCTATACCTGGGTCTCTTGGAACACACTCTTGGATACACCCAGTGGGAACTTAACTCAACTTCTGTACAGTGAGAGACTCAAGACACATGGAGAGAACATGGATATGTATTCCTATTAATACCCCTAGGTGAGCTTCCAGCTAATAGCCAGAATCAATTGCTTGCCATTGAGTGAGGCTTGTTGGAAACCCAGTTCACTGGAACTTTCAGATGTCCCCAGCCCAGCTGATAACAGGTTATAACCATATCAGAAATCTCAACTCAAAACCACTAGCTGGCCCCAATCAATAAACATCACTGTGAAAGAGAATAATAAATTTTTGTTTTGAGTCATTCGAAGTCTCTAAGTTTCAGGTAGTTTGTTACACATGGGGATTTCATAAGAACAGATACAATATTTTCTATGTACATATTCTAATTTCCACTGCAGCTCATAAGCTTCTTCAGAACATGATCTATATTATAGATATCTTTGTATCCACAGTAGTGTGTAGCAAGTTTTATACATTTTGTTATGTATATTACTCAATATTTATTGAGTGAATAAACAGATTATTTCTTATACTGTTAATTATCCCACAGAAACTGTACTTGGTTTTTAACAAAGCAAATCAAGTAAATCCCCTTTTAGCAGATCTGCTTAGTAGAAATTCTTTGTTTCCTTCATCTGAGAATGTCTTTATTTTAACCTTCATTCCTGAAGGATATTTTCACTGGACATAGAATTCTAGGATGAAAATTCTTTATTTTCAGCATCTAAAAAAAATTCCACTTTCCTCTGGCCCACATGGTTGCTGAGGAAAAATCCACATTCATTAGAAACTCATGCACCTACATACTATGCATCAATTTTTATTTTTCTGTCTGTTTTTAAAAGTATTTTCCTTGGTCAGTAGTTTGAGCAGTTTTATTATGATGTGTTTTAGCATGGATTTCTTTCAGCTTATCCTCTTTAGGATTTTCTGAGTTGCTCAAATGTATAAGTTTAGACCTTTCAACAAATTTGGGAAATTTTCAGCCATTCAAATATTTTTTATACACCACACTCTTTCTCCTCTCCTTTTTTGACTCCAGTGACACAAATGTCAGATGTTTTAGTTTTATCCCAGTCCCTGGGGTTCTGTTCCTTCTTTTTTTCCAATCATTTTACTCTCTAGAGTTCAGATTGGATAATTTTTCATTATTTATCTTCAAGTTCACTGACTCCTTTGCCATTTCAATTCTGTTATTGAGTCCAACGAGTAAATTTTTAAAATTTGGTTATTGTTCTAAAATTTTCCACTTATAGCTCTAAAATTTTCTGTTGGTTTTGTTTCTATCTTATCTTTGTTGAGACTTTATTTTCCTATTTGCTTAAAAGTGTTCAGTCTTATTTCTTGAGAGTTATTTCTGAAGACTTATAATGACTTTAATGTCTTTGTCTTGTAATTTCAACATGTGTGTCCTTTCAGCATTGGCATCTGTTGTCTTTTCTTTTGTGAGCTGAGATTTGCTTTGTTCTTCATATGCTAGTTCTTCATTTAGATGATATTCTGGACCTTTTGAATATTATGTTACAGACTCTAGGTCTCATTTAAATCTTAGGATTATGGTGGGTTTTTATTGTCTAGTTTTGTTTTAGTAGGCAAGAAACAAACTTAACTTCAGGGTACCTTTTTCCAGCACCACCTACTGTGGGCTATTGTCCCACTGAAAATATTTTTGACAACTCAGTGGCTGGTCTGGAACCTGGGAAGTTGTGTAGACTATAGTTTTTAATGCCTTTGGTATGCTGTTTGGGGTCAGATCCATGCAAGTGCAGCATGGGAATGTGAGTCCAGTAGTTCATACACTAGTTTAAGCAATAGCTGCCTTAGAATTCCCTTCTCCCTGCGGTCTCAGAACTTTCTGCTTGCCTGTGCTTTCATTTCATGATCCTGTAGTCAGAAAGCCAGGCTTTGGGTTTTCCTGTTTTGCCACTTCTGAAAATTGAGACTGCATCTAGCACGAAGCAATAGGAGGACAGAGAGAGAATATGACTCAAAGTAAATTCATACCTTGCCTTTAGAATCACTATTCCTTTTGTCAAAAAAAAAAAAGGTCTCCACCTTGTAGTATTTTAGATGTTGCCCAGACTCTGTGCCTGGGAAAAAGGATAGTGAGAAAGAAAAGAAAAGAAAACAGGGATTTACCCCATTCTTTTTAGACTTTAGGAGTCTTGTTTACAACTTTATGTTACAAAAAATGAGACCCCCTCTGTCCCCACCAGTTGGTACTTCTAGGTGTCAGGTTGGCTTTGAGTCTACGGCATATGGCAGGAGATACTGGTGTGTCCAGAATTGGTTCCTTCCAATGGGTTCTTGGTCTTGCTGACTTCAAGAATGAAGCCACAGACCCTTGCAGTGAGTGTTACAGTTCTTAAAGATGGTGTGTCTGGAGTTTGTTCCTTCAGATGTTCAGATGTGTCCAGAATTTCTTCCTTCCAGTGGGTTCGTGGTCTCACTGACTTCAGGAGGGAAGCCACAGACCTTCGCAGTGAGTGTTACAGCTCTTAAAAGTAATGTGGACCCAAAGAATGAGCAGCAGCAAGATCTACTGTGAAGAGTGAAAGAACAAAGCTTCCACAGTGTAGAAGGGGACCTGAGCAGGTTGCTGCTGTTGGCTGGGGTGGCCAGCTTTTATTCCTTTATTTGGCCCTGCCCACATCCTGCTGATTGGTCCATTTTACAGAGCGCTGATTGGTCCATTTTACAGAGCGCTGATTGGTTCATTTTACAGAGTGCTGATTGGTGCATTTACAATCCTTTTGCTAGACACAGAGTACTGATTGGTGCATTTTTACAGAGTGTTGATTGGTGCATTTACAATCGTTTAGCTAGACACAGAGGGCTGATTGGTGTGTTTACAATCCTCTAGCTAGACAGAAAAGTTCTCCAAGTCCCCACTTGACCCAGGAAGGGTGGCTTCACTTCTCACTGGTAGGGGGAAAAAAAGAGACATTAATCTCTGGTTTTGTTACAGTAGGTATCTAGTCTGGCATAAGCAGGGCAGGAGAGGGCTCACCCTAATCAAGAATGTCAGGTGACCATCAGTTGATGGTCAGGCTGTTGTTAAACTGTCTCTCTGAAATAATAATTGATCACAGCCAGCACCAGGAAAAGGCAGTCTCCCAGTAGATAGAAAATACCTGAAACTGGTGATCAGCAGCTTCCCAATAAGATCTCAGGAGATGGGTGAATGGGATCAAGGAGGTGCACTAAGTGGCAAAATGGTGGAGTTTAACTGGTATATGACATTGGAATGGTAAGGGAAGAATGCCTCAAGTGAGCATGCATACAACTCCAGTAAACACACTGCACATGCTCACCTCCCAAGTGCTAGCAGGCCACTGTGCGTGTGGACAGCCCACCTTAAGGGAAGAATCAGGGAGAAGGGACACAAGACTCTGGAAGCATGCCAACATCTAAAACCCCAGGTCAAAAGGTCAAACTGTACACTTAATCTCTCAAATCACCCGCTTGGCCCTCTTCTAAGTGTACTTTGCCTCCTTTCATTCCTGCTCCAAAGCTTTTTAATAAACGTTCACTCCTGCTCCAAAACTTTGAGTCTATGTCAGGTCTCTCCTTCTGCCTTAAGCTCCCTTGCCCAAATTCTTTCTTCTGAGGAGGCAAGAATTGAGGTTACTGCAGACCTTTATGGATTCACCACCGCTAACACTTTTGGGATTACATCAAATTCTGGACTCCTTCACAAATCTCCCCATTACCATTTACTTTTTAGTCTTCAGATGTCTTCTCTATTCCTTCTGTTCAGAGGTTATATTTATGTTCAGTTGGAGAGCCAGGGTAGTGGGCTTACTTCGTCTTGCCCAGAAGTGAAATCTCTACAGAAATTATTTGAACAAATATTTAGAGAAAATAGAAATAGCTTTTTATATGCTATAGCCAAGGTCTAAAATAATTCCCATCATTAAATGAACATATACAATATTCTCAATGTATTTTTATAATATATGACCTTCATAAAAGCACTCTCATGATTTAATCATTTTAATATGATCTTTGTATTTATCTTTAAGTAATCACATTTTAAATTAAGACAATCATTTTCCTGTGATAGATTTCAATTTGTTAAATGTTATAGGTATTTAGATTTGTTAAATGTCAAATTATTTTCCCTAAAGCCAAATAAAAATATTAACCACAGAGAAAAAAATTAAAAAACAGAAAGAAAAAAATAATAAGAAAAATAATCACAGGGGAAAATAGTGAAATGGTAATAGGGATTAAAATGTGCAAAAATTTAGCCATTCAATATATTTGGATACAGTAATCTGTTAAACATATTGCCATTTATTTTTCTCAATACCTGGATTCCTGATTGAAAGCTTCATTTTTCACTGTGCTGTGGGCATTGTTCCATTCCTTCAAATAGAAAAATGAGTTCATGTATCAGAAAACAAATTAAAATTTAAGAGAAAAAGGGCCCCACCAGGACACTGGTGAAAGCCAACCAAGAAAAAGAAATATAAGGAAATGCAAATCAGTCTTTCTTGTTAAGCAAATCTAAAGCACTGCTTAAAGACTTTGCATAAGGGAAATACACTCTTCTTGCCAGCTGTGGTTTCTGCCTATTGTTGAGTCTAATGAATGGTTATTTTCCTTCTGATGTTTATTCTAGAATAACAATTAAGGTCATTGATCTCAAATTCTAGGTTGTTATTGCCAATCATCCACCCACAATTTTATATTGTCTTATTTTTACATAATGTTTTTAAGTTTCTTCAAGTCTGCAAATAACAATTTTTTTAAAAGAAAGATTTCTTAGGTTTTCAAGCAATCATTTGTCACTCTATAACCAAAGCTAAAAATCCAAGACAGCACATTTTCTTAGGTTTTCTTTTGACATTGTTAGGAATATTTTTATTGTTTTATTTTTAAGTCACATGCTAACAACCTGTTTTTCTCTGCTAAGCTTCATAACATCTTTATGGAGAAGTAAAGCATGTTTTTGGAAATATATACATATATATGTATATATGTGTGTATATATATATATTTTAAATGGAAGAAAATGTTGTTTACATTGATAGGTTAAAACCTGGTTCACAATGCCCGTAGTAAAATGCTTATTTTCCTTGCTTTTTATTTTTTATCTGAATGCAAAAATATGATACATCTCCTAAGTGATAAAATAATTTCATTGGATTTCAAGGAAAATAGATGTTAGATTAATCTGGATCTAACCTTCTTATCACCATAAGCTTTAATAAAACAGAAGCTTTACATCAGCAATATAAGGAAAGTATAAGAAGCTTTAGAAAAGGGTCATGTTGCTCAACCTGGCTCTGAAGAAAAAAAATTATATCCACATGCACATCGTCTGTGCTCTATCAGCAAATGTTCCAAAATATCCCCATCTTAAGCCCTTCTTTTCATCTTGTTCTTGGTGTTGCCTTATCTTTGTCTCTCTACATCAGTAAGAGCATTCTAACATGCTGGATAGAACAAGTAAGCAGCTTTGAACATTTACATCAAAAATTTTATGCTATTAGAGGAAACCAAAAATATTTCACCCCAAAAGATACTTCTTTGACATATTTTGAGATGGTTGCTCAGAAGGCTTGAAGACAGGAATAGCCTTGAAAAGCTGCCTTTTGTGGAGATTTTTTATCTGCAGAGAAAAATCTACATTATTGAAATAAATAGGCTTTCTTTGAGCATCCCCTTATCCCCATTGTCCAGATCAAGGAAAGATGAACTCAACCACAGGCTACCATCATTTTTTTCTGAGGGTAGCTCTGAAATTACCTGACATATTTTCATCTGTATAACATGACAGCCTTTGTTTGACGTGCTTTCCCCCCTTCACTCTCCTATAACCTGTGAGCTATCTCCCCATAACCCAGATAAATTTGGCCCTAGACCACTGTTTTTGAGCTTATTCATTTCCCCTGGAAATAATTTACTTCTACACCTTGAACCCTCATCTTCTGTCTTCCCAATAAATGAAGGGGATATTTCAGCATCGACCATCTGGCTCTCCTTTGAGTTTTCACATTTTATGACTTCCATGCCCATTTACACATTAATAAATTGATATGCCTTTTTTCCTGTTAACCTGTTATCATTTTGTTTTATACACTCAAATTGTTGAAACTTCAGGAAAAATAATTAAACTTTCCTACATCATCTATGAAAAGATTACCTTAATTTTAAAGTAAGCAAATGAGCTGGCCATAGTAGTGTATGCCTGTAATCCCAGTTACTCAGGAGGGATAGGTGGAAGGACTGCTTGAGCCCAGGAATTTCAGACCAGTCTGGGAAACATAGTGAGACCCGCCTTTCAGGAAAAAGAGAGAAAGAGAGAGAAATTTAAAAATATAAATAAAATAAGCTAAAGAATCAAGGGAATTTGATCTGATATAGATGATATCAAGCTTGTTTAAAAATTTTTACTAGGATTTGTCGTTCCAAAATGGCAATATAGAAGCAAGCTGTCTTCATTCTCCCCACAAAAGCAAACGAAAAGAAAATATGTGGTGTCAAGTTTATTACCAGAAATCTCCCAGAACTCATACATGACAATGAGACAAATCCCCAAGCCACAGAGAAGTGAAAACAATTCCATGTGGTTGGTAAGAGAATTGAATTTCCAAGTCCATGATGCCTTTGCCCCAATTCTGTCTGGCAGGAAACTTGTGGAAAAATTTCCCACAACTCACTGTTTCTACACTAAAAACAGATTTAAATGTATAATGAGCTTTTTCATTACCTTGTTTTCCCTGGCAGAAGACCCATTACTGCTTTAACTCACAGAAGCATCGTGAGTGCCTCAAGGGAGAAATGTCCCTGAGGACAGGCAGAAGCAAAGCAGGGAGGTGGAACTACCATCCCCAGCCCTGGAAACTCTGCTTTGTAACTCAGCCAAAAGAGACACCACATCAGAGTAGCTGTTCAACAGCACCACACTGTAGTTTTGTCTCATAGGGTCCCTAGGAACAAACCCTAAGCCAGACTTCCCAAGCTGCTGAGATGTCACCTCTGGGACTGCCCCCATTTAAGAAGGGCAGCTTTTCCATCATCTACTAGAGCTGAGGCAAACTTGGGCTTGAGGCATCACCTAGAGCTGAAAAAGACACAGTGACCAAATGGTAGAGAAGCTATAAACAAATATATCCAATAAAAACCCAAACAAGCCAGATAGAGAAGACTAGAATAAATTACTAATCCTTCAATGGAAAGACATCAATGGACATCTGCAAGAAACAACAACAGAGAACAATGATCTCCCCAAGTGGACAAAATAAGAAACAAGTAACTGACCCTAACAGGATGGCAATATGTGAGTTCTCTGCCAAGAATTCAGAATGGTAGTTTGAAGGAAATTTGGGATCTCAAGGATAATACAGAAAAGCAATTCAGAAACTTGTCAGTGAAGTTCAACAAAGATATTGAAATGTTAATTTAAAAAACAGCAAAAACCTTGGGACTAAGAAATATATTTGCTAAACTAAAAAATTCATTAGAGGCTCTCAACATCAGAATGGGTCAAACAGAAGAAAGATACAGTGAATTAGAAGTCAGGCTATTTGAAATTACACAATCATAGGAGAAAAAAGAAGACAGAATGAAAAGCAATGAAGATTTCCTACAAAATATAGAAAATTACTTCAAAAAGCCAAATCAAAGAATCATTGGTTTTCAAGAAGGATTTGAACAAGAACAAAAGGTAGAAAGGTTATTCAAATAAACAATATCAGAAAACTTTCCCAAACTTAAGAAAAATACAAATATGCAGTAACAGGAACGTCAGAGAACACCAAACAGATCTGACACAAATAAGACAACCCCAAGGCATATAATAATCAAACTAGAAAAGGTTAAAAACAAAGATGCAGTGGCTGACACCTGTAATCCCAGCACTTTGGGAGGCTGATATGGGCAATCACTTGAAGCCAGGAGTTTGAGACCAGCCTGGCCAACATAGTGAAACACTGTGTCTACTAAAAATACAAAAATTAGCCAGGTGTGTAATCCCAGCTACCTGTAATCCCAGCTACTCAGGTGGCTGAAGCAGGACAGTTGCTTGAATTTAGGAGGTAGAGGTTGCAGTGAGCCAAGATTGTGCTACTGCATTCTAGCCTGGGCAAAAAAAAAAAAAAAAAAAAAAAAAGAAAAAAAAAAGGTTAAAGACAAAGAGAGAATCCTAAAAGCATCAAGAGAAAAGAAGGCAATGGCATATAAAGCTGTTCCAATTTATTTGGCTGCAAAATTCTCAACAGAAACTTGCTTTGGGCCAGGAGGGAAAAGAATGATATTTTCAAAGTGCTAAAAATAAAAATAAAATAAACAACTGCCATCCAAGAATACTGTGTCTATCAAAGTTATCCTTCAAAGTTATCTTTCCCAGACCAAAGCTGAGAGAATTTATCACCACCAGACCTATCTTACAAGAAATGCTAAAAGGAGTTCTTCAATCTGAAAGAAACAAAAACCAAAACACTAATACGCAAAACACACACACACACAAACACCACAGATTTGAAGGTATACAACCCACTGGTAAAATTAAGTATACAGACAAATTCAGATACACTCTTACTGTAGTTGCGTGCAATCAATTCATAACTTGAATATGCAGCCCTCAAAATAAATCTATCAGTAGCTAGAGAAACCTGCTGAGAGACAGGTAATAATAAAATATGTAAATTGAGAAGACTAAAAGTCAAAATATGGAGAAATAGTTAAGTGTAGAAATTTTTTTATTTCTATTTTTCTTTGTGATCTAAGATAAGTTGTTAACTCTTTGAAATAATTTTTTATATCTATGTTTTCTTGTAAGCCTCATGGTAGCCATGATGCAAAAGCCTATAATAGATTCACTTAAAATAAAAACTAAGGCATTAAAACTTACTACCTGAGAAAGTCACTTAACCACAGAGGAAGATAGCAAGAAACTAAGAATAAAAGAGAGGAGTTACAAAACCACCAGCAAACAAGCAACAAAACGGCAGTAGTAAGTCCTTACTTATCAATTATAACACTAAATATAAATGGACTCAATTCTCCAATTAAAAGGCATAAAGTGGCTGAATGTATAAAGAAACAAGACCTGATTATATACTGCCTACGAGAAACCCACTTCACCTATAAAGCAACACATAGATTGAAAGTGTAGGGGTAGAAAAAGATATTCCATGCAACTGGAAACCAAAAAAAGGGCAAGAGTAGCAATATTTTAGATAAAATAGACTGCATATCTAGGACTGTAAAAAGAGATAAAGAAGGTCAGTATAAACTGAGAAAGGGATCAGTTCAGCAAGAGGAGATAGCAATTATAAATATCTATACACCCAACAGCAGAGTGCGCAAGTATATAAAGCAAATATGAATAGATTTAAAGGAGAGATAAATTCCAATATTGCCATAGTAGAAGACTGTAATACTTCATTCTAAATAACGGACAGATAACCTAGTCAGAAAATCAACAAAGAAACATCATAAACTACACACTAGATCAAACAGGTCTCACTGACATTTGCAAAACATTTCACCCAACTGCTATAGAATACATATTATTTTCACCAGTGCACAGAGCATTCTCCAGAATACACTGTAACTTTGGCTACAAAATATGTCTGAGTACATTTTAAAAAGTAGAAATTACATCAAGCATCTTTCCTTTATTCCACAATGGACTAAAACTAGAAATCGATAATAAGAGAAATTTCAGAAATTTCACAAACACATGAAAATTGAACAATATGCTCCTGGATGACCAATGGATCAGTGGAGAATTTAAAAATATCTTGACACAAATGAAAATGGAAATTCCACGAACCAAAATTTATAAGATACATCAAAAGCTGTGTTAAGAAGAAAGTTTATAGCAATAAAGAGTTATATCAAAAAAGTAGAAATATTTCAAATAAACAACCTGACTATTCATTTCAAGGAACTAGGAAAGCAAGAACAAACTAAGCTCAAAATTAGCAGAATGAAATAAAAATAATAAAGATCAGAACAGAAATAAAATTGAGACTAAAAAAAATTATAGGAGATCAACAAAACAAAAAGTTGGATTTTTGAAAAGATAAAACTGACAAACAATTGGCTAAACTACGAATAAAAACTAAATAGATAACATCAGAAATGAAAAAGGAGATGTAATGACCGAGACCACAGAAATACAAAGAATTACTAGAGACTATCATTAACAAAAATATCCCAACAAATTGAGAAACCTAGAAAAAATAGATTCATTTATGCATACATACACACTACCAAAATTGAACCATAAAGAAACAGAAAACCTCAACAAACCATTGGCAAGTAATGAGATAAGAGTCATAATAAGATGTCTTTTATCAAATAAAAGCCCAGAATCTGACAGTTTTACTGCTGAATTCTACCAAACATTTAAA
Organism: Homo sapiens; assembly: GCF_000001405.40. Classification (NCBI taxonomy): domain Eukaryota; kingdom Metazoa; phylum Chordata; class Mammalia; order Primates; family Hominidae; genus Homo; species Homo sapiens. The sequence continues at coordinate 98,508,963 of NC_000001.11, forward strand.
GAAGAACTAATATCAATTCTACTCAAACTCTGTTCAAAACATCAAGAGAAAGGAATACTTTTAAATTCCTTCTATCAGGCAGGCATTACCTTGATACTGAAACCAGAAAAGGACACAATGAAAAAAGAAGAACTATAGGCCAATATCACTGATGAACATAGATGCAAATATTCTCAACAGAATACTAGCTAATGACATTCAACAACATATTAAAAAGACATTCACCATAATCAAGTGGGATTCAACCCAGGGGTAAAAAGATGGTTCAACATTCACAAGTCAATAAATGTGATATATCATATTAATAGAATCAAGAATAAAAACCATATGATGATTTCAATTGCTGCCAAAAAAAGTATTTAATAAAATTTAACATCAATTGGTGATAAAAACCCTTATCAAACTGGATATAGAAGGAATATTCCTCAAAATAATAAAGGCTGTATATGACAAACCCACAACTAAAATCATACTGAATGCGGAAAAAACTGAAGGAATTTCCTCTAAGATCTGGAACCAGTCAATGATGCGTGCTTTCACCATTTTTATTCAATATAGTATTAGAAGTCCTGGCCATAGCAATTAGGCAAGAGAAAGAAATAAAGGGCATCCAAATTGGAAAGGAAGAAGTCAAATTAGCCTTGTTAATTCATGACATGATCCTCTACTTAGAGTAATCTGAAGACTCCACCAAAAATCTGATAGAACTAATAAATTCGGTAAATTTACAGAATATAAGATTGACATATAAAAATTAGTAGCATAGCATTTATATACATCAACAGTGAACAATTGAAAAAAGAAATCAAGAAAGTAGTCTCATTTACAATAGCTACAAAAATATAAAATATCTAGAAATTAATCTAACCAAAGAAGTGAAAGGTCTATACAACAATACTACAAACACTAATAAAAGGAATTGAAAAGGACACAAAAAGATGGAAAGATATTCTGTGCCCATGGATTGGAAGAATTATTATTGTTAAAATGACAATACAACTCAAAGCAACTTGAAGATTCAATGCAATCCCTATCCAAATACTGATGACATTATACACAGAAATAGGAAAAAAAAAATCCTAAAATTTATGTGGAATTCCAACAGACTAAGCAGCCCAAGTATCCTGAGCAAAAAGAACAAAGCTGGAGGCATCACATTACCTGACTTCAAAATGTATTACAAAGCTGTAGTAACCAAATCAGTATGGTACTGGCATAAAAACAGACACATAGGCCAACAGAATAGAATGGAGGACTCAAATATAAATTTACATATTTACAGCCAACTCATCTTCAACAAGGTGCCAAGAACATACAATGGGTAAAGGACAGTCTTTTCAATAAGCGGTGCTGTGAAAACTGGACAACTATATGCAGAAGAATAAAACGAGAACTTTATCTCTCACCACACTAAAAAATCAAATCAAAATGAAGTTTAAGACTTAAATCTAAAACTTGAAATTATGAAAGTACTAAAGGAAAACATTGGGGAAATGCTCCAGGACACTGGTGTGGGGAAAAATGTTTGTGTAAGATCCCAAAAGTACAGGCAATCAAAGCAAAACTAGACCAATGAGATTTCATTAAGCTAAAAAGCTTCTGCACAGCAAAGGAAACAACGAACAAAGTGGAGACAACCCACAAAACAATTTAATAGCAAAAATCAAATAATCTAATTTAGAAATGGCTACAAGATATGAATGGACATTTTTTTTTTCAAAAGAAGACATACAAAGGCCAACAGGTATATAAAGAAATGCTCAACATCGCTAATCATCAGAGAAGTGCAAATCGAAACTACAGTGAGATATCATCTTGCCCTACTGAAAATGGCTTTTATCAAAAAGGCAATAACAGATGCTGGCAAGGAGACAGAGAAAAGAGAATTCTTGTACACTGTTGGTGGGAATGTAAATTAGTATAGCCACTATAGAGAACAGTATAGAGGTTCTTTGAAAACTAAAAATAGAACTATTGTATGATCCAGCAATTTCACTACTGGGTATATATTCAAAAGAGAGGAAATATTTAAGGTGATGAATATCCCAAGTGCACCGATTTTATCTTTACAAATTATATGAATGTGTTCGATTATCACATGTACCCCAAATTATATACCTCTATTATTCATCATATAAAAATAAAAATAAATGTGTCAGCATTCCTGCCTGATAAATACAAACACACATCAATAACACTTTTTACTCATATCATAAATATTCTTTGAATTTCTGCTATATGCCAGGCAGTATTGTAAGCATTAAGGCCACAGTAGTGAACAAATCAGATAAAGATGTCATCAAAATAACTTACATTCTACTTGAGTAAGGTGGCCAATCAAGATGATAAATTGATTATAAATACATTCAAAATATTAAGTACTATTAAAAAAGAGGATAAGTCTAAGAACCAGGGTTCGGGTTGCATTATGAAGTATAATTTACTGACAAATTGAATGTCAGTTGTGTAGAGAGAAAGGAGTCACGAATTACTACATTTTTGGACACAAAACCTGAAAGAATTAAGGGAAATGCCCAATAACTGAGATGTGGAAGACCAAAGGAGAATAAGTTTCTTGGGGGGAATATGAGGAGTTCAGGATTCTGTTTTGGATACATTATATTTACAATATCTGTTAGAAATTCAAATTGAGACATCAGGAAAGTATTTGGATATATAATTTTGGGGATAAGGTGAGATATCTGGGCTGAAGTTGTGCATTTTCAATATACGGATGTATTTAATGCATTTAACCTGGTTAATGTCACCAAAGGAATGAATGCAAAGAGACTAGAGGCAAAAGTGCTTTGGAAGAATTTTCTTTCTTTTTTTTTTTTTAATTGATCATTCTTGGGTGTTTCTCGCAGAGGGGGATTTGGCAGGGTCATAGGACAATAGTGGAGGGAAGGTCAGCAGATAAACAAGTGAACAAAGGTCTCTGGTTTTCCTAGGCAGAGGACCCTGCGGCCTTCTGCAGTGTTTGTGTCCCTGGGTACTTGAGATTAGGGAGTGGTGATGACTCTTAACGAGCATGCTGCCTTCAAGCATCTGTTTAACAAAGCACATCTTGCACCACCCTTAATCCATTTAACCCTGAGTGGACACAGCACATGTTTCAGAGAGCACAGGGTTGGGGGTAAGGTCACAGATCAACAGGATCCCAAGGCAGAAGAATTTTTCTTAACTACAGAACAAAATGAAAAGTCTCCCATGTCTACTTCCTTCTACACAGACACGGCAACCATCCGATTTCTCAATCTTTTCCCCACCTTTCCCCCCTTTCTATTCCACAAAACCGCCACTGTCCTCATGGCCCGTTCTCAATGAGCTGTTGGGTACACCTCCCAGCCGGGGTGGTGGCTGGGCAGAGGGGCTCCTCACTTCCCAGTAGGGGCAGCCGGGCAGAGGTGCCCCTCACCTCCCGGACGGGGCGGCTGGCCGGGCGGCGGGGCTGACCCCCCACCTCCCTCCCGGAAGGGGCGGCTGGCCGGGTGGGTGGGCTGACCCCCCCACCTCCCTCCCGGACGGGGTGGCTGGCCGGGCGGGGGGGCTCCTCACTTCCCAGTAGGGGCGGCCGGGCAGAGGCGCCCCTCACCTCCCGGACGGGGCGGCTGGCCGGGCGGGGGCTGACCCCCACACCTCCCTCCCGGACGGGGCGGCTGGCCGGGCGGGGGACTGACCCCCCCACCTCCCTCCCGGACAGGGCGGCTGGCCGGGCAGAGGGGCTCCTCACTTCCCAGTAGGGGCGGCCGGGCAGAGGCGCCCCTCACCTCCCGGATGGGGTGGCTTGCTGGGCAGGGGGCTGACCCCCCCACCTCCCTCCCAGACGGGGCGGCTGGCCGGGCAGGGGGGCTGACCCCCACCACCTCCCTCCCTGAGGGGGCGGCTGGCCGGGTGGGGGGGCTGACCCCCCCACCTCCCTCCCGGATGGGGTGGCTGCCGGGCGGAGATGCTCCTCACTTCCCAGACGGGGTGGCTGCTGGGCGGAGGGGCTCCTCACTTCTCAGACGGGGCGGTCGCCAGGCAGAGGGTCTCCTCACTTCTCAGACGGGGCGGCCGGGCAGAGACGCTCCTCACCTCCCAGATGGGATGGCGGCCGGGAAGAGGCGCTCCTCACTTCCTAGATGGGATGGCGGCCGGGCAGAGATGCTCCTCACTTTCCAGACTGGGCAGCCAGGCAGAGGGGCTCCTCACATCCCAGACGATGGGCAGCCAGGCAGAGACGCTCCTCACTTCCCAGACGGGGTGGCGGCCGGGCAGAGGCTGCAATCTCGGCACTTTGGGAGGCCAAGGCAGGCGGTTGGGAGGTGGAGGTTGTAGCTAGCCGAGATCATGCCACTGCACTCCAGCCTGGGCACCATTGAGCACTGAGTGAACGAGACTCCGTCTACAATCCCAGCACCTCGGGAGGCCGAGGCTGGCGGATCACTAGCGGTTAGGAGCTGGAGACCTGCCCGGCCAACACAGCCAAACCCCGTCTCCAACAAAAAAATACGAAAACCAGTCAGGAGCGGAGGCGCGCGCCTGCAATCGCAGGCACTCAGCAGGCTGAGGCAGGAGAATCAGGCAGGGAGGTTGCAGTGAGCTGAGATGGCAGCAGTACAGTCCAGCTTCGGCTCGGCATCAGAGGGAGACCGTGGAAAGAGAGGGAGAGGGAGACTGTGGGGAGGGAGAGGGAGAGGCAGAGGGAGAGGGAGAGGGAGAGGGAGAGGGATGGAAGAATTTTCTATACTCACTGAATTTACTTCTCATCTTCTTATTCCCTCCTGAACCCACTGCAGTCTGGATTTTGTCCCAGCACCCCAGCAAATAAACTCTTGCCAAGAAAGTAGTAACCAGCATGTTGACAAATCCAATGGTCAAAAATCAATCTTCATCATACTCAACCTCTGAGTACATTTGACGCAGTTGATTATGCTCTCCTTCTTGAAAACACTTTCTTCACTGGGATTCTAGGATACCACATGTCCTCCTTGTTTTCCTCTTACCTTACAGACCATTTCTCCTAAGCCTCCCTTGTTGTTTTTCTTCATCTTCTAAACTTTAAATAATGACATGTTCAACTCTCAGTCCTCAGACATCTTTACTTAAATCATTCTCCATGTGCTGTCCCCCAATCCAATGACTTTAAATTTTATTAATATGCTAACAACTCCCAAATTTATATTCTACACCTTTTTTTCTTAAATGCCAGACTTGTACAGTTGCTTATTAGATATTTCCACCTGGATGTTGTCTTTGTTTGAGGGCAGATGCTTGCACTCTATTATTTTATTAAGGAATATTATATCAGGGATAAAAAAATAAGGGATAAAGAAAGTGAAGAAGGAAATTAGGGAGAGCCAAAATAAGGATGTATCATGGAGCTAACCACTAAGTGTGACTAGTTCTTCAACACTTTGGAACACTGCTGCATTTCAGAATCATGTGTCCATGGAGAATGGGGGAAGAAAATAATCAGTTCCTGTCTCTCGTTGGTCAAGGATTCAACAAATGGGCTATCATTCCTCCCCTCTTACATATATCATATGTGTGAGCAATGTGTGGGGCCTCTGGCATCCTTTATAATGTTGTCTACAGAGAAGTACCAGGGAAGGAGACAAAATACTTGAGGCAAGGGTGGTAAGTGACACTCTGTGGAGACATGCTAGTTGATAATTTGGAAGACCCTGAACAGTCTGCTGCTGTAAGGTTGGGTCTGTAATAATATCAGTGGTATGGTGACCTGGCACCAAGACTGTAGAAATAGTTCAAGTAGTTCTTGGTGTACTACCATCAAAAGGTAAGTGTGCCATGCTGTGTTGATCTGAAGGGTGCATAATTCAACCTATTATAAATGTCTGTAAAATCTTGCATTTTACACATTCAAAATGAATTTCTGATTGTCTACTTCCATAGACTGTTTCCATAAGAAACAGTTTCCAAAGAAACTGTTTCTTTCATAGTTAATTTCTAATCCCTCCCAATAGATGTTCAGTTTCAAAGTTGGAGTCATCCTTAACCCTTTTTCTTTCACACTCCATATCTAATCTGTTAGGACATTAGTTATAGCCAACTCACTCTTTGCCCTACATAATGTCTCTTTTAGGTGACTGCATAGTCCACCAACAAGGCTTCCTGCTTTTATCTTTGTCTCCTTACAGTAACTCATGTGTCAGGGAAATTCTTTTAAAGTATAAGTCAAATCATGTCTCTCTTCAGCTCAGAGCTTTATAATGACATCCAAATTCACTCAGGGTTAAGTCCCAGGAACATTTATGGTGCTCTCCTATCTGCTCCCACTCTTATAATTTCTCTGACTACTCTCCTCCACATTCTCTCAGCACCAATCATACATATTTACTTTCTGTTCCTCAAAAATGCTAAACAGGGGGCAAGCAAGATGGCCAAATAGAAGGCTCCACCAATCGTCCCTCCTATAAGATCACCAAATTAACGACTATCTAAACACACAAGAAAAGCACATTCATAAGAACCAAAAATCAGGTGAGCACTAACAGTACCTGTTTATAAACTCATGTAGCTGAAAGAGGTACTAAGGAGGTTAGGAAACAGTCTTGAATTGCCAATGCCACCCCTCCTCTATCCCCCAGCAGAAGTTACGTGGTGTGGAGAGAGAATCTATACACTTGGGAGGGGAAGAGTGCAATGATTGTGAGAATGCATTGAACTCAGTGGTGCCCTGTCACAGAAGAAAGCCAATCTGGGCTGAACTCAGCTGATGCCCACCTACAGAAGGAGTTTTTAAAGCAGCCATAGCCAGAGTGGAATCACCCATCCCAGCAGTCAGAACTCAAGTTACAGCAAGCCTCGCTACTGGAGGATAAAGGGCTCTGGGGTTCTAAATAAACTTGAAAGTCAGTCTAGGCTACAAGGACTACAATTTCTAGGCAGGTCCTACTACTGAACTGGGCTTAGAGCCAGTGGATGGGGAAAATGTGATCTATGAGACACCATCTGGGGCTACCAAGGGAGTGCTTGAGCTATCCCTTCCTCAATCATAGGCTGCACAGCTCACAGCTCCAAAACAGACCCCTTCCTTCTGCTTGAGGAGAGGAGACAGAAGAGTAAAGGGGGCTTTGTCTGGAATTGTGGACACCAGTTCAGCCACAGTAGGATAGGGTACCAGTCAGATTTGTGAGGTACCCATTCCAGGCCCCAGCTCTCAGCTGACATTTCTAGACACATCAAGGCCAGAAGGGAACCTGCTACCTTGAAGAGAAGTATCCAATCCTGGAAGGACCCATAACATGCTGAATAAAGAGCTCTTGGGCCCTAAATAACCAGCAGAGATATCCCAGTATTATGCCTTGGGCCTTGGGTGAGACTCTGAAACTTGCTGGCTTCAGGTGAGACTCAGCACTTTCCCAGCTGTGGTGACTATAGGAAGAAACTCCTGCTCGAGAAAAGAAAAGGGAAAGTTAAGCAGATTTTGTCTTGCACTTTAGGTACCAGACTGTCCATAGTGGGGTAGAGCACCAAGCAGGCTCTTGGAGTCCCTGATTCCAAACCTTGGCTCTAGGATGGCATGTCTGGACTTGCCCTAGGCCAGAAGGCAGCTCATTGCCCTGAAGGGTGAGTCCTGAGCCAGGTAGCATTCACCAAAAGTTGACTAAAGAGAGTCCGTGGGCTTTAAAGAAACATCAACAGTTGCCTGGAAAGACTCCTCATGGGTGTGTGGTGGTACCCACAGAGTGAGGCTCCTTTGCATATGAAAAGGGAGGGAAGAGTGGGAAGGACTGCATCTCATGGTTTGAGTGCCAGCTCAGCCACACTACAACAGAATACCAAGGAGACTTCTAAGGTTTTTTACTGTAATCTCTGCCTCCCAGGTGACACTTCTGGGTACAGCTGGGGCCTGGGGGGAACTTGCTGCACTGAAAGGAAGGATACAAGCCTGGCTGGCTTCATTACCTGCTGATTGTAGAGCCCCAGGGCCTTGAGCGAATACAGGCAGTAGTCAGGTAATGGTTACTATTGGCCTTGGATGAACCTCAGTGCTATGCTTGCTTCAGGTCTGACCCAGCACAGTCCTCCCTGTGGTGGTAGCCACAGGGGTGCTTGTGTCACACCACCCCCAGTTCTAGGCAGCTCAGAACCAAGACACTCCATTTATTTGTGAGAAAGTAAGGGAAGAGAACAAAAGTCTCAGCCTGGTAATACAGAGAATTCTTCCACATCTTATGCAACACCATCTAGGAGGTACCTCCATGAGTCTGCAAGAATCACAGCATTATTAGGTTTGGGGTGCCCAGTAATGCAGATATGGTTTATATCACAACACCCAAGTCCTTTCAAATACCCAGAACACCTTCCCAAGAAAGACAGGTGTAACAAGTACATACTGTAAAGACTACAATAAATGCCCCACTAACTCTTCAATGCCCAGACACAGACAAACATCCAAAAACATCAAGACCATCCAGGAAAATATGACGACACCGAATGAACTAAATAAGGAACCAGAGACCAATCATGGAGCGACAGACATATGTGACTTTTCAGACAGAGAAGTCAAGATAGCTGTTTTAAGGAAACTCTAAGGAATTCAAGATAACACAGAGAAGAAATTTAGAATTCTATCAGATAAATTTAACAAAGATATCAAAATAATTAGAAAGAATCAAGTAGCAATTATGGAATTGAAAATGCAGCTACACATTGAATAATGTAATAGAATCTTTTAATAGCATAATTGATCCAGCAGAAGAAAGAATCAGTGAGCTTGAAGACAGGTTATTTGAAAATACACAGATGAGACATAATAAAAATAAAAAAGAATGAAGCATGTCTGCAAGATATAAAAAAACCCCTCAAACTGGCAAATCTCAGAGTTATTGACCTTAAAGAGATGGTAGAGAAAGAGACAAAGGTAGAAAATGTATTCAAAGGGTAATAACAGAGAACTCTCCAAACCTAGTGAAAGATACCAGTACTCAAGAACAAGAAGGTTATACAGCACTGAGCAGATTTAACCCAAGGAAGACTACCTCAAAGTATTCAATAATCAAAATCCAAAGGTCAAGGATAAAGAAAGCATTCTAAAAGGAGCAAGAGAAAAAGAAACAAATAACATACGATGGTGCTCCAATACATCTGGCAACAGAATTTTCAGTGGAATACTTATAGGCCAGGAGAGAATGGTATGACATATTTAAAGCACTGAAGGAAAATTTTTTCTTACCCTAGAATAATATATTCAGTGAAAATACCCTTCAAACATGAAGGAGAAATAAAGACTTTCCCCAACAAACAAGAGCTGTGGGATTTCATTAACATCAGACCAGTCCTACACTAAATGCTAAAGGGAGTACTTCAGTCAGAAAGAAAAGGACACTAACAGGCAATAAGGAATCATCTGAACATGCAAAACTCACTGGTAATACTAAGTACTCGGAAAAACACAGAATATCACAGCACTGTAATTGTGATATGTAAACTACTCATAAGTAGAAAAACTTAAAGACAAAACCAATCAAAAATAATAATTACAACTTTGCAGGACATACACGGTACAATAAGATAAAAATAAAAACAAGAAAGTTATAAAGTGGGAGGACAAAGTTAAAGTGTAGAGTTTTTATTGGTTTTTTTTTTGCTTGTTTGTTTGCTTGTTCAAATGGTGTTAATTTGTTATAAGCTTAAAATGATGGGTTATAAGACAATATTTGCAAGCCTCATGGTAATCTGAAATCAAAAAACATACAACAGATACACAAAAAATAAAAAGAAATCAATTAAACCATATCACTAGAGAAAATCACCTTCTCTAAGAGGAAGACACAAAGGAAGGAAAGAAGGAAGGAAGAGAAGACCACAAAGCAACCAGAAAACAAATCACAAAATGGCAGGAGTAAGTCTGTACTTATCAATAATAACATTGAATGTAAATGGACTAAACTCTCTAATCAAAAGACATAGAGTGGCTGAATGAATTAAAAAAAAAACAAACAAACAAGATGCAATGATCTGTTGTCTACAGGAAACACATGTAACATATAAAGACACAAGTGCACTGAAAAGGAATGAAAAAAGACATTCCATGCCAATGGAAGCCAAAAGAGAGTAGGAGGCACTCCACTTATATCAGACAAAATAGATTTCAAGACAAAAACTAAGAAAAGACAAAGAAGGTCAGTATGTAATGATAAAGGAGTCAAATCAGCAAGAAGATGTAACAATTCTAAGTATATATACACCCAACAGTGGAGCACCCACATATAAAAAGCAATTATTAGCGCTAAAGAGAGAGATAGGCCAGAATAAAAGAATAACTGGAGACTTCAATGCCCCAATTTCAGCCTTGGACAGATCACGTAGACAGAAAATCAACAAAGAAACATCAGATTTAATCTGCACTATAAGACCAATTGTATCTAATAGATGTTTACAGATTATTTCAACGAATAGCTGCAGAATATGCATTCTTTTCCTCAGCACATGGATTATTCTTAAGGATAGGCCATAGGTTAGGTCACCAAACAAGTCTTAAAACATTCAAAAAATTGAAATAATATCAAGCATCTTTCCCACCATAATGAAATAGAAATCAATAACAAGAGGAATTTTGGAAACTATACAAATACATGTGTATTCATCCATTTTCACACTGCTATAAAGAACTGCCTGTGACTGGGTAATTTATAAAGCAAAGAGATTTAATTAACTCACAGTTCTGCATGGCTTGGGAGGCCTCAGTAAGCTTACAATCATGGAGGAAGGGGAAGTAGGAACATCTTACATGGTGGCAAGTGAGAGACAGCATGTGTGGAAAGAACTGTCAAACATGTATAAAACCATCGATCTTGTGAGAACTCACTCACTGTAACAAGAACAACATGGGGGAAACCATACCCATGATTCAGTCACCCCCAGCAGGCCCTGCCTTCGACACATGGGGATTATGGGTATTACAATTCAAGATGCGATTCTGGTGGGGACACAGAACCAAACCATATCAACACGGAAATTAAACAATATGCTCCTGAATGACCAGTAGGTCAATGAAGAAATTAAGAAGTAAATTAAAAAGTTTCATGAAACAAATGATGAGGACAACATAACATACCAAAATCTATGGGTTACAGTAGTACAAACAGGGAAGTTTTTCACCATAAATGCCTATATCAAAAAAGAACAAATGCTTCAAATAAATGACCTAATGATTCATCTTGAACTAAAAAAGCAAGTGCAAATTAAACCCAAAATTAGTAGAAAAAATAATAATGAATAGAGCAGAAATAAATGAAATTGAAATGAACAAAACAATACAAAGGATCAAACAAAAAGTTATTTTTTTGAAAAGATAAACAAAATTGACAAACCTTTATCCAGACTAAGAAAAAAAGAAAGAAATCCAAATAAATAAAATCTGAGATGAAGAAGGAGACATTTTAACTGTTACCATAGAAATTTAAAGGATCATTAGTGGCTACTAAGAGCAACTGTATGCTAATAAATTGGAAAATCTAAAAGAAATGGAGGAAATGGATAAATGCCTAGACACATACATATGAAGTTTGAATTGAACCATGAAGAAATCCAAAACTTGTACAGACCAATAACAAATAATGAGATATAAGCCATAATAAAAATTCTCCAAGCAAAGAAAGTCCATGACCCAATGGCTTTACTGCTGAATTCTACCTAACATTTAAAAAAGAACTAATACCAATCTTACTTAAACTATTCCCAAAAATAGATGAGGGGGGAATAATTCCAAACTCATTCCGACAGGCTAGTATTACCCTGATAACAAAACCAGACAAAGACACATCAAACAAATATCATAGGCATCAAACAAATATTATAGGCCAATATCTCTGATGAATATTGATGCAAAAATTCTAACAAAATACTAGCAAGCTGAATTCAACTACCCATTAAAAATAGCATGCATCATGACCAACTGGGATTTATGCCAGGGATGCAAGTCTGCTTCAACATATGCAAATCAATTAATGCAATACATTATAACAACAGAATGAAAGACAAAAACTATGTGATCATTTCCATTGATGCTGGAAATACATTTAATAAAAGTCAACATCACCTCATGATAAAAACCCTAAAAAAACTGGGTGTACACAGAACACACCTGAACATAATAAAAGCCACATACATCACACCCACAGCTAGTATTATACGAAATGGGGAAAAACTGAAAGCCTTTTCTCTGAGATGTGGAACAAGACAAGGATGCCCCCTTCACCACTATTATTCAACGTAGTGCTGGAGGTCCTAGCTAGAGCTATCAGACAAAAGAAAGAAATAAACCACATTCAAATTGAAAAGGAAGAAATCAAATTATTCTTATTTGCAGCTGATATGATTATATATTTGGAGAAACCTAAAGCCTCCACCAATAAACTATTGGAACTGATAAACAAATTCAGTACAGTTGAAGGCTATAAAATCAACATGCAAAAATCAGTAGCATTTCTATATGCCAAAACAAAAAACCTGAAGAAGAAATCAAGAAAGTAATCTTATTTACAATAGTTACAACTAAGATAAAATATATAAGGATTAACAAAAGAAGTGAAAGACCTCTACAATGAAAACTATAGAACATTGATGCAAGAAATGGAAGAGGACACAAAAATATAAGAGATATTTCATATTCATGGATTTAAAGAATCAAAATTGTTAGAAAGTCCATACTATCCAAAGTAATTTACAGATTTAATGCAAACCCTATCAAAATACCAATGACTAGACAAAAATTTTAAAAATCCTAAAATTTATATGGAAGCACTAAAGACCCAGGATAGCCAAAGCTATCCCAAGCAAAAAAAAAGAACAAAACTGGGAGAATAACATTACCTGACTTTAAATTGCACTGCAGAGTTATGGTAACCAAAAAGGCATGGTACTGGCATCAGAACAGACACAACAATCAGTGGAACAAAAATAGAAAACCCAGAGATAAATTCATACATCTACGGTGAGCTCATTTTTGACAAGGATGCCAAGAACATATACTAGGGGAAAGATAGTTTCTTCAATAAATGATGTTAAGTAAACTGGATATCTGCATGCAAAAGAATGAAATAGACCTCTATCTCTCACCATATAAGAAAGTCAAATCAAAATAGATTGGAGCCTTAAATCTCAGACCTCACACTGTGAAACAACTACAAGAAAACATTGGGGAAACTCTCCAGAAAATTGGACTGGACAAAGATTTCTTGAGGAATGCCCCAAAAGCGCAGGCAACCAAAGCAAAAATGGACAAATGGGATCACATCAAGTTAAACAACTTCTACATAGAAAAGGAAAGGATCCATAAAGTGAAAGGACAACTCACAGCATGGGAGAAAATGTTTGTAAACTACCCCTCTGACAAGGAATTAATAATCAGGATATATAAGGAATGTGAACAGCTCTACAGGAAAAAAAAATACAATAATCCAATTTTTAAAAAGGACAAAAGATCTGACTAGATATTTATCAAAAGAAGACATACTAATAGCAAACAGGTATTTGAAAAAGTGCTAAATATCATTGCTTATCAGAGAAATGCAAATCAAAACTACAATGAGATATCATCTCACCCTAGTTAATATGGTTTTTATACAAAAGAAGGGCAATAACAAATGCTGGCAAGAACATGGGGAAAAGGAAACCCTCATACACTTTTGATAAGAATGTAAATTAGTATAACCATTATGGAGAACAATTTGAAGATTCCTCAAAAATCTAAAAATGACACTACCATACAATCTAGCAATCCCACACTTGGGTATATACCCAAAAAAAAGAAAATCAGTATATTACAGCGATATCTGCACTTTCATGTTTATTGAAGCACTATTCACAATAGCCAAGATTTAGAAGCAACCTAAGTGTCCATCAACAGATGAATGGATAAAAAACAAAATGTGGTACATATACATAATGGAGTACTATTCAACCATAAAGAAGAATGAGATCTTGTCATTTGCAACAACATGAATGGGACTGTAGGTCATTATGTTAAGTGAGATAAGCCAGGTACAGAAAGACAAACTTCCTATGTTCTTACTTATTTGTGGGAGCTAAACATTAATATGATTGAACTCATGCATATAGAGAGTAGAAGATGGTTGCCAGTGGCTGAAAAGGGTAGTGGAGGGGGAGATATGCGGGAATAAGGGAAAGTGGGGATGGTTAATGGCCATAGAAAAATAGAAAGAATAAATAAGACCTAATATTTTCTAGCAAAACAGGATAACTATAGTCAAAAATAATTTAATTGTACATTTAAAAATAACTAAAAGAGTATTATTGGATTGTAACACAAAGGATAAATGCTTAAGGTGATAGAGACCCCATTTACCCTGACGTGATTATCACACATTGCATGCCCATATCAAAATATCTCATGAAACCCACAAATATATATACCCACAAAAATTTTTAAAAAAATAAAGACTAAACATAGTTCCCAGGGGTTTTGTACCTGTAGTATCATCAGACTGGAATGTTATTCTTTAAGATAACCCACATAGCTCCTTCCCTCACATTCTTCAGATCTTGGCTCAAATGTCATTACCTCAGAGAAGCCTTCTCTGACCACCCTATATAATAGCACTCCCCAATAACCACGCTACCCTACACTGAAGTACTTCCTGTCTCGTTCTTTTCTGTGTTTCTCACTAGAATGAAGGTTTCTTCAAACCGGATAATTTTCCTGATATGCTTACTGCTGAATTTCCAATATCTAAATCAACATTTGTCACAAAGAAGGTGCTTAATGAATATACATTGAAAAAATGGCGTAGATGACATTTGTTGCACTGTTAATCACTTTTTTTTTCTTTTTTCTCATTATCTCATTAGTACAATAGAACTTTAGCATCTGTCTGCAGAAAATATAGCCCAACTTCACCCATAATTCTTCAAAGGACAACAAAAGGAAATGAAAAACTAAGGTGTCAAATATATTCAATTTCCTTTTAACACCCATTGTCTGGTTTACTTTAAATCCTCTCTAACTTATTTTAAGCTCTTTATTGAGGTGGACAAGAACATCACCAAATTTTCCTTAGTAACCTGGGAGGTGAAATATAAGAAAATTAAATATACTAAAATAATTTCACCAAATAATCACTATTGTGTTCTTATGCCAGATGGAAGGCAGTGAGCTATTATTACTGCTTGTGAGACTTTGAATTAAAGTCTCCTCTAAAAGACATATTTAAAAAATTCCTTAAAGTATGCTGTAAATATCCAGAAATGATACTGAACTTTGCACAACTGTGAGACCAATTTACATTTTCAGGGACTATTAATTCCTTGGATAGAAAGATCAGCACTGAGATTTAAAATATCAAATGATTATTTCTAGATTTTAATGTCTCATCCATGTGAAACATCTGAATATGTCAAATTATGAACATTTGTCCATTTCACTCTACTCAGATCAGTTGTTGGACTCAAAAGGATTATTGAATAACATGTATCTGTTATAGTTATGATAATGTTACAATGGCTATAATTTATTAATGGCTTTAGACATAACCATATCATATTTATTTCCTACTTAAAACATTCCAAAAGCTTTCCATTACATACATTTGTTCCATCTCTTTATCGACACTTGATATGGTCAATCTTTCAAATCTAGCTTTTCTGTTGGGTATATGGTAGTATCCCATTGTGATTTAAATTTCACTTTCTTAATGACTAATAATGTTGAGCATTTTTTTTTCATGCAGCTATTTGTCACTATATAACTTTTTTGGTAAAGTGTCTTTCCAAATCTTTACCCACAAATATGGCTATCATGGTAAATGTTTGTATGTGGACCTAAAAATAATGCATATTTGGCTGTTGGCAATTTTGGAGATCACATAGTGAAAGTGGAAGCAAGGGGGAGGAGAGGTGCCAGGTCCTTTTGAACAACCAACTCTTGCAGGAACTAATAGAGCAAAAGCTCACTCACCTTCAAGGATGGCATTAATCAATTCATGAGGAATCTGCCCCCATGACCCAAACACCTTCCGTTAAACCCCACCTTAAACAATGAGGATCAAACTTCTTTTTCTATTCCTTAATATTGTTATTATTATTATTATTATTTTTAGAGACAGTATCTCACTCTGTTGCCCAGGCTGGAGTGCATTGGCTATTCACAGGTACATCATAGAGAACTGCAGCTTCCAACTGCTGGGCTCAGGTGACCCTCCTGCCTTAGCCTCTTGAGTAGCTGGGACTACAGGGATGCCTGGCTTTGAGGATCAAATTTCAGCATGAGCTTTAGTGGGACCAACAACCAAACCATAGCAGTTTTTTTCCCTTTAGCTGCTTTTAAGAGATTCCTTTTATAACAAATTGTAAGCAATTTGATTCTGAAGTGACTTGTTTTCTTCACATTTCTCTTGCTCAGTATCTTTGAATTTCTTGGAACTTTGGGTTTATAGTTCTCACCGATTTGGAACTTTTTCAGCCATTATTTTTTCAAATATTTTTATGTATTCTCCTTTCTCTGCTCTCAATCAGGCATTCCAAGTACATACACATTAGCCTGCTTGAAGTTGTCCCACTCTTCACTAATGCTGGGGTTTTTTTTTAATTTTTTTTTTCTTTCCATAGTTTCTGTTGGATGGTTTCTATTGCTATGTCATCAAGTTTATCAACTTTTATCCTCCATCTTTATTAATATGCTGTTTATTCCTTGTCATTTTAGTGATTGTATTTTTCATCTCTAGATGGTTACTGTGGGTCTTTTAAAAATACCTTTTATTGGGGGAACCCACCCCCAATATTTCAACGTAGGTTCTTTCTCTTTTCCATAAGTGTCAGCCAGCTGAGAAATAAAGAGACAGTATAAAGAGAGGAATTTTACAGCTGGACAGCTGGGGGTGACATCACATATTGGTAGGACCATGATGCCTGCCTGAGTCTCAGACCAGCAAGTTTTTATTAAGGGTTTCAAAAGGGGAGGGGGTGTAAGAACAGGGAGTAGGTACAAAGATCACATGCTTCAAAGGGCAAAAAGCAGAACTACTAATAAGGGTCTAACAAAGATCACATGCTTCTGAGAGAACAGGACAAAAGGCAAAAGCAGAACTACTGATAAGGGTCCAACAAAGATCACAAGGCAAAGGGCAAAAGCAGAACCACTGATAAGGAGACGTCTATGTTCAGGGGTGCATGTATTGTCTTGATAAACATCTTAAATAACAGAAAACAGGGTTCGACAGCAGAGAACTGGTCTGACCACAAATTTACCAGGGCAGAGTTTTTCCCCACCCTAGTAAGCCTGAGGGTACTGCAGGAGACCAGGGTGTATCTCAGTCCTTATCTCAACCGCATAAGACAGACATTCCCAGAGTGGCTGTTTATAGACCTCCCCCCAGGAATGTATTCCTTTCCCAGGGTATTAATATTAATATTCCTTGCTAGGAAAAGAATTTCACAATGTCTCTCCTACTTACATGTCCATTTATAGGCTCTCTGGAAGAAGAAAAATATGGCTTTTTTTGCCCAACCCCACAGGCAGTCAGATCTTATGGTTATCTTCCCTTGTTCCCTAAAAATCACTGTTATTCTGTTCTTTTTCAAGGTGCACTGATTTCATATTGTTCAAAACACACATTTTACAATCAATTTGTACAGTTAACACAATTATCACAGTGGTTCTGAGGTGACATACATCCTCAGCCTACAAAGATAACAGGATTAAGAGATTAAAGACAGGCATAAGAAATTATAAAAGTATTTGGGAACTGATAAATGCCCATGAAATCTTCACAATTAATGTTTCTCTGCCACGGCTCCAGCTGGTCCCTCTGTTCCGGGTCCCTGACTTCCCACAACAATCTTTTATGTATTTACTTAATGTGTTCAATTTTTCCTCTTTTTTTAACATATGTACTACAGCTTTAATAAGTATTTTAAAGTCCTTGTTTAGTAATTTCATCATCTGTTCCATTTCAAGCTTAGTGTCTGCTTGCTGATATTTTTCTCCCCACTATGGCCTTTATTTTTGCACCTTTGCATACCAGGTAATTTTTAGTTCAATGCCAGCATCGTAAATTTTCCTTTGTTGGGTACTAAATATTTTTGTATTTCTATAAGTGCTCTTGAGCTTTTTTCTGGTGTGCATTACCTAGACACTATTTAATTCTTTCCAGATTGCTTTTAAGTTTTGTTATACAGGCCCAGAAAAGTATTTAGGCTAGGGCTAATTTTGCCCCACTCCTAAAACAATACCCTTTGGTACTTCACCCAATGTACCTTGAATTATAAAGCTTACCTCTTTAGTTGGTAGAAATTAGAAAGATTCTCAGCCTTGTGTTAGCCATGGAGATTGTTCCTGCTGCTCTTTCTGGGCGATTTTCTCATTTTTGGGTAGTTTCTTTACACTGGTGAAGTCTTCCAGTCTTCCAGGTGAAAACTCAAATGCAGACCCCCTGTAGATCTGTGAGAGGTCTGCGTAGAGCTCTCTCCATCCTGTACTCTGTCTTGAGAACTCTAGTTTCCTTAGGCCGCTCCCAGGCTCTGGGCTTATTTGTTTAACTCAGGGAATTTGATGGCCTCTGCTTGGCTTCCGCTTTCATGTGATGCTTCTGGGAAACTCTTTGAGGCAGTTAGCTGGGGAAATTATTGATTTTACTTCCTTTGGTTACTCTCTCTCAGATTGAAAATCACTATTTCTTATATGTTGATCTATTTTTAGTTGTTTAAGATATAATGGAATATCCTGTGCCTGTTATCCCCTTTTAGTTCAAAGCATAAAACCACACAAATATTTTCGAAATATAGAAGACCAGTTCTATGCCTCAGAAAGCTAACACCAACTTTTCCTCCTACCGGGGTATCAAAGGATTAGAGAAGTGATGAATACCTGCTTTTGTGGTGGGAGAGTGCTGCTGAAGCATCAAAATCATCCTGTGTTCACAGAGTTTGTTGAAGCAGGAGTTGCTATGACCCAAATATGGAGTACATGGCAGAGCATCACAAGCTCTCTTCCTGTCTAATAGGTCCTCTTGTTGGTTAAAAGGTTTCAGCAGAATGAGGTGAGAAGTGGACTGCAGGATGCTCAGTAGATGGGCAAGGAAGACCAGTAATCACAAAGAAGATATATGCATCCTCTCGGGTAAACTAGATTCCAGAATCGAAGGCATGAGAAAACTTTCTAAATAGCCTATGAAAACGCTCCAAAAGGTACTCAGCTTTAATCTTCTAGGGATCCACTTAGGCTCACTGACTTTAACAACATTCCAATCCCAGAGAACATGAAGCCAAACAGCTTGGTAAAAATTGTCCTATCCTCTTTACCTCTTTCCCTTGCCTCCTAGCTTCAATCAAAATATTTGCAGCTAAAAGAAAAGAGGAGAGCAAAGAGAGAGCAGGTAGCAGAAGCAGCATGTCTGCCGTCTCCACACCAGCTTCCAACCAACTCCAAAGGGAAGATAAAATTTAACTCTCCCTTTATATGGTTTGGATCTGTATCCCCACCCAGATCTCATGTTCAATTGTAATTCTCAATGTTGAAGGTGGGACCTGGTGAGAGGTGATTGGGTCATGCAGGCAGGTTTCTCATCAGTGGTTTAGCACCACACCCATGGTGCTGTTCTCATGATAGTGAATGAGTTCTTGTGAGATCCGCTCATTTAAACACATTTAGCACCTCTCCCATCTCTTCCCTGCTCCTTTTCTGGCCATGTGATGTGTATGCTCCCCTTTCACTTTCCACCATGTTTGTAAGTTTCCTGAGGCTTCCTCAGAAGCTGAGCAGATGCCAGCATCATGCTTCCTATATAGCCTATGGAACCATGAGCCAATTAAACCCCTTTTCTTTATAAATTACCCAATCTCAGATATTTTTTATAGTAGTGAGAGAATAAATAGACTAACAGAAACTCAAGCAAAGAGTTATCATTACATCGTATGTACTTTCTAAATATTGAATTGTGACTTTGTTGTAACTGAAATTAACCTAAAAAAGATTAGCTGCCTTATTAAGGACATAGAGCTAGTCAGTGACAATGCTGAACTTAAAACATAGGTCTATTCAACCCCAAGTTCCTTACCACCTAATAAGCAAATAAGCCAAGTCTCTGCATTTCACACATACAGACTTATGTTAATAAGATTTTTTAGGGTGAGGAACTCAACTCCTCAGTTTTCCAACATATAAATAGAATTAAATAGTAACTGTTGGGCTGGGCACAGTGGCTGATATTTGTAATCTCAGCACTTTGGGAGACCAAGACAAGAGAATTGCTTGAGGCCAGGAGTTCGAGACCAGTCTGGTCAACATAGTGAGAACCTGTCTCTACAAAAAATACAAAAACTAACAGGGTGTGGTAGTATGTGCTGTAGTCCCAGCTAGTTGGCAGACAGGTGGGAGGATCACTTGAGACCAGAAGTTCAAGGCTGCAGTGAGCCATGATTATGTCACTGAACTCCAGCCTGGATGACAGAAGGAGAACATGTCTCATAATAATAACAACAATAACAACAACAACAATAACTGTTGATCAGTGGTCTAACAATCTCATTCAGTCAAAAAAATTCAGTGCTATATTTAAAGACCTTATGTGTTCTCAATATCTCAGGACAATTCTGCATAACTTTATTCTTTTAAGTCAAGTTATTAAATATGAATTTAATATATATTTATAATGCTTCATGTAAACAAGCTAAGAAATAAAAAAAATCCTTTCTCAGATAATGCATCTTATCTTAATAGTAAGATAAATAATTAAAAAATTGTTTTGTTTATATATAAGAAATAGGTACCTGGGCCCTCCCATGAGCCTGGCACTGGGCTAGTTGCCAGGGATACAGCAGACATAAAGACAGACACAATCACCACAACCTGAACATTCTAATTTAGTAAGAAAAACTGATAGGTGCAAGTAACTGCAAACATAAATTGTATTACAAAATATAAGTGCAATACATTAATGACATCAAAGTCTAATCTGCTTAGGAGTGATAGGGAGGGTTTCCCCAGAAAAAAAAAAATGTTTGAGTCCAAAGAAGGTGGACTAAATGAAGATGGCATTAGTGGAAGAGTAGGAGACTGCTTACACCATTATAATATGTCAATCAATGTAGGATAGAGGCCAGGCTTTGTCAGTGTTGTTGGCGTTTCACTTTTTTTATGATTATAAAACAAGTTTATTTTTGTATAAAATGCAAGTAGTACCAAAAAGAGATACAAAATATAAAACATACTCCCTATAATTACTATGACCCTCCTGCTAACAGTTTGGAGTATGATTTATAGAATTTTTTCTATCTATCAAATATTATGCAAAAGTATACATATCCAAGAAAGGTTTGTACTATAAGGGCTTTTTAAAATTGTTTTTGTTAAGACAGAGTCTTGCTCTGTCACCCAGGCTGGAGTGCAGTGGCACCATCTTGGATCACTGCAACCTCTACCTCCCAGGTTCAAGCGATTCTCGTGCCTCAGCCTCCCAAGTAGCTGCCCGACTAATTTTTCTTTTTTTTTTTGTATTTTTAGTAGAGACACGATTTCACCATGTTGGCCAGGCTAGTCTCAAACTCCTGACCTTAAGTGACCCACCCACTTTGGCCTCCTAAAGTGCTGGAATTACAGGCATGAGCCACTGCATTCGGCCCTATAATAATATAGGATATTATTATATATTATTATACTATATTATTGTAATATATAATAATAGCATCATAAAATTTCTAGAAGATCTCTCTTCATATCAATAATATAAATATAACACATATCCTTAGGTACATGGAGTATAAAAATTGATTAAGCCAATTTATGTCAAAATTGTCTTCGTTTTTGAAAATATTACTAACAATGGTAGAATAAATAATCTGTGTATATATTTTCTCCACTTTCCTAATTCCCTCCAGAATAAATTAGGAGTTGGAATTTCTGGATCAAATTTAAACTTGGTATTTAAACAAAGCTGTTCAAAAATAATATAAATGCTATAGTCAATATGTTCACTTTTTAGATACTAGAATATCATCCTTATTTTTACCAAGAAATAAAATATATATAAAATATATCATAATGTCCTCAGTTGTACTCCACATTTATTCAGAATATCGACTCATTTAGACAGATAAACATGATGATCAATCACCAAAATGAAACAACAATGTCTAAATGTAATCGGTCAACATACACTAATTTCATTGAAATGTTGCAGAGGGAAATAAAAAACACTAAATGAGAGTTTTTCTGAGCAGTAATTACTAACCAACTGTATTAGTCTGTCCTTATGCTGGTATGAAAAAATACCCGCGACTGGGTAATTTATAAAGAAAAGAGGTTTAATTGACTCACAGCTCTGCATGGCTGGGGAGGCTCCAGGAAACTTACATACATGGCAGAAGTCACCTCTTCACAGGGTGGCAGGAGAGAGAAGTGCCAAGCAAAAGGAGGAAAAGTCCCTTATAAAATCATCAGATCTCGTGAGAACTCACTCACTATCATGAGAAAAGCATGAGAGTAATCACTCCTATGAAGGAATTACCTACTACCAGGTCCCTCCCTCAACCTATGGGGATTATAGGCACTAGAATTCAGGGTGAGATTTGGGTGGGGACACAGCCAAACCATACCAAAAACCAAAACATAAAATGTGAACTTAATATTTCAATTTTGATATTTCCCTTTTTTGAAATTATGTTGGTATTTTTGGTAGTTTGGGTCTTGGAAAATCAATTTGGATAATATTGATAAACTTAGTTTTTTAGTAATGAAAATAAAAATGATTCTTTTTTTTTCAGTTGATCTGCCATATTGAAACTTATATATGGACAATACCTTTTCAAAATGGCTACCTTGTGATTTGGAAAGATACCATGAGGTCACTCAAACTTTATTATTATCCAACATTGAGTTGCATTTTAAATTTGCTATTTGATGTGATTGCTATTTGTGGATATCAGCAGAAGTTGTTTACAAAAAGGAATACAGTTTGATTTCCTTTTTCATATTAACATCAACTTTAAATTCTGATCTTAAGGAATAACATTTCACTTTTTTTATTTAAACAAGAATTCTCTCCTTGAATTTGAATCTCTAGCCCATAATAGGTAGAATTTTTCTACTAAGTGCTTGAACACTATGCTCTAATTTCAGTAATGACAATCTGTTTTTCACGGCCTACAACCCATCCTTTATCTGTGACAGCACATGCAAAGTTAAAGTTATTTTATCAGCAAGCATATCTAGATAAAAATGATACTTTTGATACATTGTAGACTCATTGCTTCAGTTATGATGGAAAACTTGAAATTAATGTTACCATAATGTTGTAAGTTAAAAATAAAATGTGCAACTTTCCAAGGAAAGTCCAGCTAGCAGAAACCCTATAGGGAAGTTCATATCTTAATGAATATGTCATGGTTCAGAATTTGGCCCTTAGACTTGAATCACCAAATATTGTGCTTTATCAGTTTCTTTGAGATTATTAGGCTTTCTATGATAAGCTCATACCAACCAGATTCCCAAAAGATATATGTACATAGATGAGTAGATAAATGATATAGTCAATTCCTTAAGTTAATGTCCTAAAAAAATGGTTTTATTATTCATCCCTATGTTGAACAATTTTTTTTTCCCAGTGTCAAGGTACCTATGAAGTGGAATTAATAACTTTAAGGTTGCTTGATGAGGGTGAAATCAGATAAATTACAAGAGAATAATTCAAATAGTTATCTTATTTGGGACAAGATGAGACCTACCGAAGCTTTCTTCTCCAAAGGACAGATGACTTCCCTGAAGACCACATATCTTTTATTGGATAATAAAGGAAAATATCCTAATCTGCCTTTCACAACTGCCTCTGTAATCTGGTCACTGTCATGCATTGAAATTCTTTCTCAGGTAACTATGGTAAAGTGTTGAGAGTCTGCTTATTCCCAACAGATAATTATTTAATTGATTTAATTTTCAAAACAAAACTTTATTTAATTTACAAGTGCTTGGACATATTCCCATACAGTCTACTCACAACACTTGCTAACTTTTTACCATACAGAAATGTTCATAAACTGTTGGATAAGGTCATGTAAATGTGTCTTCTCATTATGGTCATTAGATCTCACAAGCTAGAGAGTGGAAAACAGTTATCAACATCCTGTCTCAATAAAATGTCCTAGGTATACATAAGGAGTGTAAAATTTCCAAATGTCATGGTGCATTTAATTTCAGAGCTTTATATTTATCATAAGGAAAGTAGTATTTAACCATTGTTAAAATTTTGGAATATAAGGAATTATACAGGGAAATAAATAAAAATTACCCATCCATGTAAGGCCCAAAGATAATCACTCTGATAGCTTGTTATATTTCTTAATAGTTATTTCTATGCATATATGTTATTTTTGTATAGCTATGATGATACTAAGTTGTCTTATGTGCTGCCTAAACATTTCCTATTGTTACTAAAATTTCTTTGAAATCATTTTTCCTCAGCACTTAAAAATGTATTGAGCATGTAGAAAGAACTCAACAAATGCTAAAGAGGTTGGGTGCCATGGCTCACACCAGTAATTCCAGCGCTTTAGGAGGTTGAGGCAGGTGCATCGCTTGAGCCCAGGGATTTGAGGCCAGCCCGGCAACATGATGATACCCTGTCACTATAAAAAGATACAATAATTAGCAGGCTGTGTGCATCTATCCTAACTACTTGGGAGGTTGAGGTGGGAGGACCACCTGATTCTGGGGAAGTCGAGGCTTCAGTGGGCTGTGATCACACCACTGCACTCCAGCCTGGGCAACAGAGTAAGATCCTGCCTCAAAAAAATAAAAATAAAAAAAAAAAGGTTGGGCGTGGTGGCTCACATCTGTAATCCCGCATTTTGGGAGGCTGAGGCGGGCGGATCACGAGGTCAGGAGTTCGAGACCAGCCTGGCCAACACGGTGAAACAGAAACACAGTGTCTACTAAAAATACAAAACTTAGCTGGGCATGGTGGCAGGCACCTGTAATCCCAGCTACTTGGGAGGCTGAGGCAGGAGAATCGCTTGAACCCAGGAGGTGGAGGTTTCAGTGAGCTAAGATCACGCCATTGCACTCTGGCCTGGGTGACAGGGTGAGACTCCGTCTCAAAATAAATAAATAGTAATAGTAATAAATAAAAACAAAAACAAATGCTACAGAGATGTTACTACCCAGATCTTCCTCAACAGCTAATTATCTGCTGTATATCTTACTCTTTAACTGCAATTCCTTAGCATTGTTATTTAGCTTCTTCTCTCAACCAACAATTTATTTCAAAAAGATTCAATCCTGTCATTTCAAGTAGTAATAGTATAGTCAACACCTATGTACCTTTCACCTATGGTCACTCATTGTCATCTTCTGCCAAATTTGTTCTTTTCTTTGTTTTTTCCGTATATTCTGAATGATTGGGAAGGAAGTTGCATATTAAACCTATGTACTTCCATGTCTGTATATGTAGTGGAAAACGCCCTACTGTATTTCTTCTAAGAGAATGACAGTAAAAAAGGCAAATAATATTTCAGCATTATTATAAATATACCTTTGTCCTTATGGAGTGCAGAGGAGTCTCAGGGACCAGAGAGTGTTTGTATATATAGTATACCCATGTAAGTACACACATATAAAAAGTATTTACAACACATGATTATAATAAACTTATGTATTGTATATATATATTATACATACATAGTTATGTATGTATATATAGTTCTGGGGTTAACAATATGTAGGGAAGTATTTATGTATCAATAGATAGTTCTTGATTATAGCGTCATAATTGCTGCTTAGAACTTCTTTACTTAATATCATAATTATTTAACTAATCTCCTATTTTTCTATATTTATTTTCAGTATTTTAAGAAAGCAATAATTAGTATTATTACTAACTTTTATTCCTACCAGAAATTTGTCGAGTGTTTTGATGAATGTAGCTTGTAGTTTTCAATCTGTTTGACCAACAATCCTAAAATCGTGTGTTCAATAAACTGTTCATTAAAACTTTACCTGCCATGTGATTTGAAATGCTTACTTCAGCATAGCAATTCTCAAACATTTTGGTCTCAGAACTTCTTTATACTCTTAATATTAGTGAGGACCCCATAGATCTTCTGTGTATGAAATATAAACAAAAACATGTTGTGTGTATTAATACTGTGTTCGACATTAAAAACTCATAAATTTGTGTAATATTTATTAATTGAAAAACAATGATAGACCTATTATATGTTATTATAAATGAGATTTTGTACAAAATAATATTTTACAAAAGAAAAATATTTAGTGACATGAGTGGCTTTGTCTTGTACTTTTACAAATGTCTTTTATATCTAGCTTAATAGAAGGTAGCTGGATTCTCTTATCTGTTTCTGCATTGAATTTATTGCAATATGATGCACCATGTAGCCTCTGGAAAATGCCCCACTGTATGCCTCTAAGAGAATGGCAGTGAAAACAGCAAATAATATTTTAGTATTATTATAAATATATCTTTGTCCTCCTGGACTGCAGAAGAATCTCATGAATCCTAGGGTTCTCCAAAGCGCACTTTGAGGACCTCTGCTTTAGCCTAACATGGAAGTGTTTTAATGCAGTGTTTAAGAATGTGAACTCTGGAAGTCAGAATGTCTGGACACAAATCCAGTCTCCATAACTGATTTGGGTGACTTCAGGTAAGTTCTTTACACTCTTTTAAGCTTCATCCATGAAGAGGAGCTCACCTTATGGAGTTGTGAAAAGAAAAGGAATGATATAATTAATATGCTCGAAAACACGGCTGGCTCAGAGTTAATTTTTAATATGTGCAAGCTGTATATGATGATTCTGGATTTTGCATCCTTTTCCATGGATCTGCCTATTTCTGTACTATTCCCACACTGTTTGAATCACTATAACATTAAGATATATTTTTAATATTGGTAGGGGATAGCCTCTTTTATTAATCTTCATTTTCAAATTTTCAAAATATGTTGGCTGATACAGCATGTTTACTATTTCAGATCATTTTCCCAAGTTCTAACAATATCAAGGATGATTGGCATTACCCAAAAATTAAAATTGGTTTGGAATCATTATATGCTTTTGAAATCTGAAATAGGGTATTTCTTTCCATTTATTTGAGTAGATACTTTAAAATCTCAGTAACCCTTAAATAACTTAAGTGCTAAAGTTGCCTGGTAATTATATGAGAGTCTTTTATCATGAAAAGTTTTCTATTTCTACAACTGAAAAATAAACTTTAGGTTGTTTAATAATTTGAATAAAACCTGTAATAAAATGGTTTTTTAAACATCAAAATAAAAATATTCAATAAGTTTACTCAGACTGGATGCTTAGTTTTACAATCAATCAGTAGCATTTTAATTTGGATAGATAACTTTTCCTTTCCAAAATAAAGCCCACCAGTAGATACATTTCTATGATACATTTTTATCAGCAATAGGAACAGATTTTCTTTTACACTCATTTTTTTTCAGCAGATAATTATTACTACCATTACATATAAATCCCCTTACCTGATTACATGATCAGCAAAGAGCGCTTTACGTTAAATACATGCATAGTCAGCAGACATTGGAAAATTTTGATCAATGTAGAAAATAGCACGGAACCACTTAAACTAAACTAAAGCTAAATTAGAACATCTAAGGGAGAGTTACCTATACCACAGAAACACTATTTCCTTCCTTCCTTCCTTTCTTTCTTTTCCTTCCTTCCTTCCTTCCTTCCTTCCTTCCTTCCTTCCTCTCCTTCTTTCTTTCTTCATTACACTTTAAGTTCTAGGGTACATGTGGAGAACGTGCAGGTTTGTTACATAGGTATACACGTGCCGTGGTGGTTTATCGCACCCATCAACCCGTCACCTACATTGGGTATTTCTCCTACTGGTATCCCTCCCCTAGCCCCCCATCCCCTGACAGACCCCGGTGTGTGATGTTCCCCTCCCTGTGTCCGTGTGTTCTGATTGTTCAACTCCCACTTATGAGTGAGAACATGTGGTGTTTGGTTTCCTGTTCTTGTGTTAATTTGCTGAGAATGATGGCTTCCAGCTTCATCCATGTCCCTGCAAAGGACATGACTCATCCTCTTTTATGGATGCATAGTACTCCATGGTGTATATGTGCCACATTTTCTTTATCCAGTCTATCATTGGTGAGCATTTGGGTTGGTTCCAAATATTTGCTATTGGGAATAGTGCCGCAATAAACATATGTGTGCATGTGTCTTTATAGTAGAATGATTTATAATCCTTTGGGTATATACTCAGTAATGCAATTGCTGGGTCAAATGGTATTTCTGGTTCTAGATCCTTGAGGAATCACTACACTGTCTTCCACAAAGGTTGAACTAATTTACACTCCTACCAACAATGTAAAAGCGTTCCTATTTCTCCACATCCTCTCCAGCATCTGTTGTTTCCTGACTTTTTAATGATTGCCGTTCTAACTGGTGTGAGATGGTATCTCATTTTGGTTTTGATTTGCATTTCTCTAATGACCAGTGATGATGAGCTTTTTTTCATATGTTTGTTGGCTGCAGAAATGTCTTCTTTTGAAAAGAGAAACACTATTTTCAATGGTTATTTACATGCAACACTGTTTATTTTAAGTACACATTTATTGAGTGCCCACCATGTTTTCATAAGTATCATGGAGCATTATATTTGATATATAGTTCCCCCATTAAACTCCAAATGGTTAAGTCATCTGCTGAGATAAATCATACAGCTGTGAAGTAACAGAGTGGGATTGTGAACCCACATCTGTTTGACTTCAAAAGCCTAAGCACCCCATAATTATGTTCAATTTTTTTCTACTGAAGAATTCAGAGCCTTTTAACATTGCAAAAATATCCTGAGAATTAGGAGAAGCTGTTCATAGTGGTGACATGTGTGAGTCTCTAACACCCCTTCATTGTTTGGGCTTCCCCAGTCTTGCAAATGGAAGACTTCATTGCTATCTTTAAAGATATCCTAGTGCCAGTGGAGTCACTGCAGCCAGTTTGAAGGTCACAGTTTTTTTCCTTCTTGCAGCAGTCCCCTTGGCTATCCCCACGCAGAACCCATTTCCTTTTCTTTTTTCCCCAACACTTATTGTTTCATTCACATATTTACTCACTCACATGTAAGTATTTATTGAGTGTCCCCATGAGCCTTAGTGCACAGTTGTAAGAGTTGTTATCTTTCCATACTCTGCTCTCCTGTCCTTTCTTGGTCTCTTACTAAAGTCACATTTTTTATTCTAAGGCCATGCCGTTTATCAGTGTTCTGAAGAGTAGCAGAGGTAAAAATCTTGCCAAGCAAAATGCTATGAAGGCCTAAAATAAAGACTTCCTATAAATTATTCTGCTTAGTGACCTTGCTAAAAACTTCCTTTCTCTGATTTCAGACAATTTTTTTTGAATTCTCGCGAGTATATTTAACTGTTTGCTAAGGATGAGTATTAACTTCTGTAATATTGGATCACCTCCCAGTTCTGCAGTCTCCACATGGGAAGGATCACTTGCATTGTGTTAAGTTGCATGCTATATTAGGGAAACTCTCCTAATAAAATATGTAGTATCACTACATAGTTATCCAGATAATACTGTAACTCTTCTCTGGCTAGAAAATTTCAAAAATTTGTTTCATTATCAAACAGTACTCTTTACACAGTAATGTCCTTGCAGAAAGGAAATTAAAAGGTGTTCCTTGTTCTACAAGGGTGTAAAATTAAGAAGAAAAATAAAATTTAGAAAAGTTTCACTTTTATTTTTTCAGAAAAAAACACCCTAACATTTTATAATTCAAAATAGTACAAGTTAAAATCAAACCCTTTACAGAGATTACACAAATCTATTCTTTGGCCTAAAGATTTGATTTCAATTCATCTATTGTTTTATGAATGTCATAATGCATTAATTAGAAATTATATATTTACTGCTAATTTTATTTTATGTATTTTTAAAAATGTTTATGAATACAAAATAGTTATACACATTCATGGGGTACATGTGCTATTTTGATACAAACATACGATGTGTAATGATCAAATCAGGGTAATTGGAATATCCATCACCTCAAATCTTTATCATTTCTTTGTGTTAGGAACACTCCAATTCGACTCCTAGGGTTATTTTCTAAAATATAAAAAATTATTCTTGACTATAATCACCTTATCATGATACTGAACACCAGATCTTATTCTTTTATTTAACTGCATTTTTGTACCCACTAACCAACCTGTAATTTTTCCCCCCTCCCTATTACCCTTCTCAACATTCTGATAACCATCATTCTACTCTACTGGTAACGTCCATTCTATTCTATCTTCATGAGATCAATTTTTAAAGCTCCTACATATATGATATCTGTCTTTCTCTGCTTGGCTTATTTCACTTAACATAATGTTCTCCAGTTCCATTCACATTGTTGTAAATAACAGGATTTCATTCTGTTTCATGACTGAATAATAATTGTGTATATGTACCACGTTTACTTCATTCATCCATTGATGGACACTCAATGAATGGTTGATTCTATGCCTTGGCTATTGTGAATAGTGCTGCAATAAACATGGGGGTGCAGATGTCCCTTTAATGTACTGATTTTCATTCTTTTGGATATGTCTTACAGCAGGATTGCTGGTACTGCTAATTAAAAAAAAAGAAGAAGAAGAAGGAAGAAAGGATCCACAGCAGTAGAAACAAAATGTTGCATTGACAAAAATCAGTCTTCTAAAGAAGGATAAGGTGAACTGACCAATGCTCCAGGACTGCAATTACACATCTGTTGGTTTTATGAACACTGTAGGGTGCATTTCTATATACTCAAAACAGACATGTTTGCATGAAAGGATAAAAGGCTACATTCCCGAGAGGCTGAATTAACCACACATGTAACTTTACCACTCCACTACACTTGCATAAAGCTCATAGATGTAACTTTTTGAGAAATATAAATTATGGTACTTTTTCTGATCATTATTGTAAGAGATTTGTCAGAAATTAGTAGGGATGGTTTTTCATGTGTTAAAAAAAATTAGGGGTAAGGAAATTCAGATGGCCAATGACAAATATCAAACCAAATGTTATGCTGCAATATTTAATAGGATGCTGTCTTAGCACTCATGCTTTCAAGCATGGTCTTGTCTGCCTAGATTTCTGAACCATGATTCCAACTCTCCAATGTCCACATGCTGTCCACTGAGAAGCTCTTGCACTGTCCTTTAGTTCATTTATACTTAAGTCTATTCTCTACGGTCTCAATTGATTCTAGAGTCCTTTAGTGACTTTGGTACCTGAGTGCTCTGCAATGTCTGGTAATATACCCAATGATTCTCAGTCCTGGTAGCCCACCTGTCCCTAGGCCTATCCAAGGTAATAGGAATGGTCCAGAAGGATGACTGGATCAGACTTTGCTTCTACTTTTTACTTCCCCTCTGACTCTCTAGGGGAAAAAAATAGTTCTGGGAAGCTAAAGTGGATAAAGGAAGGAAGAGCATGCAAATAGGTAAAAATTCTAGAAAATGGCTCATTTGTTTGTGCACAGCAAAGGCCTACCTTTTCATCTACCCAACTTTCCCTTCCTAGGGAACATTTTGAAGTAAAGTTCCAAAATTATTATTTTTATATTTCTCGATTTTGTTTCCATTTTAATTAATGTATTTGTCTCAATTTATTTGTCTGCTAAACCAGGTAACTCCAAGTCTCGATCCTCTTAGGTTCTTTGTGGCAAGGCATCTTGCTCCTCTTTGGCAACCTGCTCTGTAGGAACACAACATTGCAGCCTCTTCTGCTCAGTTCATTCAGTTACCATCCACCTGTTTCTTAGCCTGTAAACTTTTCTTGAAATCAGTCATCCATTAAAGCATCCTTTCTTATTCCTTGTCTTTATGAGTTTATGCAGTTTTTTGTTTCCTTTTAGTGGAAAAGGAAGAGGATCAGGAGGAAAATGCACATAATTAGCTCACATTATTTAGCCAGAAATCTCCACCAATTTCTAATCTTTTGAGGAGTACTTGCATGTAAGCTGCCTGAAAAAAAAACAAAAAACAAAAAACCCTTTTCTAATTTTTAGAAACAAAACACAAATACTAAAAGATCTCACTTTTGCAAGACTAAAAAACACAAGAATTCCAAAGAGAAATTCATCAGGTCATAAAAACTGTGTGTATAGCAAATAGTCAAAATACAAATACATTTACAATGATGAGGCCAGGTGCAGTGGTACACGCTTGTAATACCAGCACTTTGGGAGGCCAAGGCAGGCAGATGGCTTCAGCCTAGGGGTTCGAGACCAGCCAGGGCAACATGGCGAAACCTCGTCTCTACTAAAAATAAAAAAATTGGCCGGGTGTGGTGGCGCATGCCTATAATCCCAGCTACTTGGGAGGCCAAGGCACAAGAATTGCTTGAACCCGGGGGGCAGAGGTTGTAGTGAGCTGAGATAATCCCATTGCACTCCAGCCTGGGTGACAGAGAGGGACTGTGTTTCAAAAAATAAAAATATAAAAATAAATAAATAAATACATTTACATTGATGAAAATCAAACAGGTTTAATGTTATTTTGAAATGAATATTTATGCCGGGCGTGGTGGCTTACGCCTGTAATCCCAGCACTTTGTGAGGCTGAGGCAGGTGGATCACAAGGTCAGGAGATCAAGACCATCCTGGCCAACATGGTGGAACCCTGTCTCCACTAAAAATACAAATATTAGCTGGAGGTGGTGGTGCGCACCTGTAGTCCCAGCTACTTGGGAGGCTGAGGCAGGAGAATTGCTTGAACCCGAGAGGCAGAGGTTGCAGTGAGCTAGGATTGCGCCACTGCACTCCAGCCTGGCAACAGAACGAGACTCCATCTCAAAAAAAAAAAAAAAAAAGAAATGAATATTTATATTATGCACTTTTCTCTTTAAATTATGTTAAAATAAGTAGCATGAGAAATTTTTTCAATAGGCCAGTTTTTATATTATAAATACTAAAGGGTAAAAATAAAATAAGTTTAATGTTATTTTGAAATGAATATTTATATTATATATTTTCTGTTTAAATTGTTTTAAAATAAGCAGTATGAGAATTTTTTCAATATGTCAGTTTTTAAAATATAAATACTATTGTTTGCATTAAAACTAATTTTATAAAAATATTTAGTAATAAATTGGTCTGACATATTTTACTTCAAATAAACTCAGCATATACTATGAAAAAATTTTAAAAGACTTAAGGATTTTTAAAATGTCACTTAATAAATTTTACTGTGAAAGGATTTGTGACTCAATAAATTTTAGAAAGTGCTGAGTGAGATGCCCTGCAGCCCTTTCTAATGTGAGCTAAACCCTAATAGGATGGGATGAAACCCCAATAGTTCTATTATTTTAAAATTATATTTTAACATTTACATATTTCTTTCAGTGCATTTTGAATGTGAGATATTTTAAACTTCTTCCATTTAGCAAGTATTTACTGAACAGTATCTCCCAGGAACTCTTCTAGGCAGTGGGATATAACAGTAAACAAACAGATAAGGTCGTTCATGAAGATTAAGTTTTCAGAGTGAGGTGTAGCGATAGCAGCAAATAAACAAACACATAAACAGAATAAGGGTGATGAAAACATATGAAGGAAATAAAGAAATATGATAGATGTTATCTGGCTAATGGAATGCAAAACATCGTTTTTGGGGTAAGTGATATTTATCCAAATTTTAGGGTTTCTTGAGAGGCTATTAAGCTGGCTGAAGTTTTATCCTTTCTTTCCAATTGCTGAAATACTGTAGAGATGACATGGTGGTTAGACGGTGCTAGCACATTGGCCATCACCTGTGAAGCCTGCGCACAGGTAGCAAACCTTTTGGGTTGTCTGCTCAGTGCACAAAGACCTCCTGTCTTGCCCCCTCTTCTACCCCAGGATTTGGCCCCATAGGCATATACATAAACCAAGATGCTTCTGCCTTGAGTGCAGTTGATTAGACTACGTCATAACCAATACAAAGTTATCTTCTCAGTGTGCTTGGAAATGGAATATGAACATGGGCAGCCAACTTGGACACACATTGTGGACCCACCTTGTGAAAGCCCATTCAATAAGAAAAAAAACCAAAGTAGATGTGCTGAGAGAGGCATTTATAGGGAAGAGAATTTTGACTGTGTTACTAGGTTATCAATTGCCTTCATGTGCTCAAATTTAGGTCTTCTCAGGCCCTGCTTCCACATCCCAACTTTGAATCCTTATCAGAAAATAAAAATTAAAAAAATTAAATTTACTAGTTTACAGTCCCACCAACAGTGTAAAAGTGTTCCTATTTCTCCACATCCTCTCCAGCACCTGTTGTTTCCTGACTTTTTAATGATTGCCATTCTAACTGGTGTGAGATGGTATCTCATTGTGGTTTTGATTTGCATTTCTCTGATGGCCAGTGATGGTGAGCATTTTTTCATGTGTTTTTTGGCTGCATAAATGTCTTCTTTTGAGAAGTGTCTGTTCATGTCCTTTGCCCACTTTTTGATGGGGTTGTTTGTTTTTTTCTTGTAAATTTGTTTGAGTTCATTGTAGATTCTGGACATTAGCCCTTTGTCAGATGAGTAGGTTGCAAAAATTTTCTCCCATTTTGTAGGAAGGGGAACATCACACTCTGGGGACTGTTGTGGGGTGAGGGGAGGGGGAAGGGATAGCATTAGGAGATATACCTAATGCTAAATGACGAGTTAATGGGTGCAGCACACCAGCATGGCACATGTATACATATGTAACTAACCTGCACATTGTGCACATGTACCCTAAAACTTAAAGTATAATAATAATAAAATAAAAAAAATTAAATTTAGCTCCTACTTGTTTCTGTTATCAAAAGTGATTTTTTGAAATAATAGATGAATGACAATACATAATTCGCCTGAGTGTCCAATATTGAGGAAACAACTAATTTTCACATGAGCATACAAGTTGTTAACCAGCGACACCTACCCCACTCATTAAACCTGAAGAAATATTTATACTACTTACAAAATGGCTCTACTGCCTGAGATTAACTCTGTATTCTTGGATTTTATTTGCATCCCCATAAACAAGCACAATCAATTTTTAAGCTTGACGCATCAATCAGGCTACATGCTAATTCTGGTGTGATAAGTTCCAGTAAATTTTTAAACTGATCTTTGGTTAGTCCATCTTTAATGGGTCTAATGTATGCACAGGAAAAATTATGTCTCAATATATAACATTAAAATATTAATTTTTGTTTACCTTCTGTAAAGTTTTAAAACTTATCGTGACAAAATAAACATAACACAAAATTGACCATTTTAACCATATTAAAGTGTACAGTTCAGTGGCATTAAGTATATTCATATTGTTAATTCTGCTAAAATTTAAACACATACACAGACTAGCATTAATTGAATATTAAACAAACTAAAAACAATGTTCCTCATCTACAAGAGATATGCAAAATTTTTATTAATTCATTAATCAAACATTTGCCTGTTTTGTGTCTGTCATTGTGGTAGAAATTAGAGATACAAAGACAAATAACACATTGCTACAAAAAGTTTGCAGTAAAATGGGGAGTTTGATACTTGAACAAATACTTGCACTACAGTTTAGTAAGTAACAGTTTATAGGTAAAATAAGCAAAAGCTTCATATTGGAGGAGATGCAGAAGCTAATTTTTGACAGGTGAGTAGGAGTTCGTCAAGTGGAAAAGGCTAGGAGAGATTTTGAAGCTAAGGTGCCAGCACAGCAAAGGCATAACAGTTGCTAATACAGTCTTATTTGCAGAAAGGCAAGTAGGTTGGGTTGGTGGACATCATAGTTGTTTCCCAAAGTTAGTCATCTGCATCTTAGGTTTCTGATTTGTGTTATATCCATGAAATAAGTGTAATATTTTCCAAAGTTTTTTCCCCCATAGTTGCACGTCATTTAATATTAATATCTGAATATTATTAATGCACTCAATTCAATTCTTAACTGAAATAAATTTATTTTAAAAGGAAGTTCTATTTCACTGCCCTGGAAAAAGAAAACACTATCACTTTGTGAAAATCAAAGATAATACAATAAAAACAAAACAAATTTTTAAATTCTATTTATCCACCACTGACTGCTAAAAGACTCTAAAGCAGAGATTTTGGATTAAAGAAGATTAGTATTAAAAACTCTTACAAATATACAAAATGGAGAACTGCTTCTTGAATTCATCATTAAATATGAAACAGAATTGAAAGAGGAATGTTTTCTCAGTATGTGATTCTGTGTTATTTAAGACCATATTCATGTATCTCCCAAAATCTTTTCAAGCACTATCAGTGAGACACATTGCATATTTTATAAAACCTGGATTACAGAATTTTGATGTTGGAGACAGCAAGTGGAGAATAAAGAAGATTTAAAGTATTTAAGGCCTTTGAAGTCCAGGCCACACAGTTGTTAATACATAGTATAAAAATACAATATAACTGCACTGATGAATTAGGAAATGAATGAGGTGGAATCACAAGAGATAGAGTTATTAAGGCAGAGAAAAAGAGGAAAGCCATTGATGCAAGGCAAATTTCTCTGTCAAAAGTACATTATGGATTCTCAAAAAATGTTTGTTTCCTGGCTCACAGATAGGAATCAAGAAGAACACAAAGTGTTGGACAGTGAGTATTTGAAAAGAGCAAGAAATCTGTTTAGTTAGAGATGCAGTGACTTAACATTGGCTAGACTGAATTCAGCCTTATTTCTGTCTATAATCTATTCCTTCTCTTTACTCTTTAAGGAAATGACACTACTTCCTGGATGTGAATTTTTCTTGTTGCAGAAACAGAAATGATTACTAG
Organism: Homo sapiens; assembly: GCF_000001405.40. Taxonomy (NCBI): domain Eukaryota; kingdom Metazoa; phylum Chordata; class Mammalia; order Primates; family Hominidae; genus Homo; species Homo sapiens. Next base: position 98,545,708 of record NC_000001.11, read on the forward strand.
TTGCTGCAACAGTGGATTTGTTGTTACCTTCCACGCAGCTACATGGATCTTGTTACGATTATGTTTCCCTTATTGAATAACCTACTAAACATCTTTGTGCTGAATTGATTTGTGACCCAACTTTAGCAAGTTTATAAGCTTTCATTAAATATATTTGCATACTCATGCCACTTCTTTTAGTTCTATCTTATTTTGTTATAATACCATAGTTTTCCATTTGTCTCATGCTTTTCTTTTGGTTGCATTTCATTTCTTTTGTTTTGTCTTTAATTTTTTTCTAATATTTCTGCTGTTGATATTTAATCTTTTTAATTTACTCTTTCTAGCCACCTTAAATCATCTTTGAAAACTTGATCAGCATATAAAATAAATAAATAGACTTCCAAGTTCCACTCAATTGCACAAACCAGAATCTGTAGTCACGTTTGATATGATGTTTTTATTACCATATCTAATTAAACAATAAATGTTACCTATTCAGTTCTTTCAACTCCTTTCCAATCCTCCCCATTTATATCAATCCACAATTGCTACATTTGTTATGCATTCAGCTTTCTGAAACAAGTTGCTAAAGGAGCTTTCTAGCTGGTCAGATGGTATCTACTTATTTCTGTGAGCTGTTCTTTATAGAGCCTCCAGAGTGAATTTTCTTAAAATAAAACAAACAAAAACAACAACTCATTAATATATTCCCCTGCTCAATCTCACTTAATGCCTCCCAGCTTTCAGAATCAAGTCCAAACCCTGCAACAGCATGTAAGGCATCTAACAATATGCCTTCCCCCTTTTGCTGACTCTTCCTTTAAACATCCTTGGCCTCTTCTCTCACAATGAGCCTTTTAAATGATACATTATACACCCACTGAACTATTTGTTATTTTCTACCATACTGTGCACTCTCAACTCTCTCTTGCTAGACTACTCTTTCTAGGCTGTACAGAGCCAGAGAAAACTGTCCTTGAACTCTCAAAATATAGAAGAATTTTAAAATTAATAAGTATTGATCAGTAGCTCAGGTCTACGAGCAAGGCATTTTAGGAGGTAGATGTTAAGTGGGTGATTGAGCTACACCTTATCCAAAATGAGAGAAAATAGACAAGTCTCAACTCCACCCTGCCTAAGGCAAGAAAGTTACTGCAAATCTATAAAAGAATATTCTCTCCTACCATCATCTACCACCATATATCATAGATTATTGGAAGAGGGTCTAGTGGCTACGTGATAAATAATGTAAGTGATTGGAACTTCTGGTCAAATTGATATCATAACTTTTTCACTCTGTGATATTTTTCTTCATTTTTTTGTAAAAGTAGATTAAGGAATCTCAGCTTCTGACAGCCTGTGCAATCCCTAACTTCTTGAGAGAATCTGTACCGGAAAAAAAAAAAAAAAAAAAAAAAAAGACGGTCTTGTCTGCACCAATCTGGGAAGTTCTACCTACCTGATCTCAAAAGATGAAGTAAATGTATTACGTAGAATAAAGCTAAAAAATGTTTAGATAAAAGTTATAGGCACAGCATGGTGGCTCATGCCTGTAATCCTAGCACTTTGGGGAGGCCAAGGCAGAACAGTCGCTTGAGACCAGGAGTTTGAGACCAGCCTGAGCAACATACTATGACCTCATCTCTACAAAATAATTCAGAATTAGCTGTGGGTGGTGGTGTGTGCCTGTAGTCCCAGCTATTCAGGAGGCTGAGGCAGGAGGATCGCTGAAGCCCAGGAGTTCAAGGTTGCATGAACTGTGATCCCACTCTTGTACTCCAGCCGGGGTAACAAGCAAGACCCTGTCTCGAAAAACTAAAAAAAGAAAAAGAAAAAAGTTATAACAACTTATTAATTATTTAAATCCTATTGCCTCTTTGCTTTCTGGCATAGAAGACAAACTTTAAACTTCCTTGAGAGACTATATAGATTCTTAAACACATTATCAGTGGCAAAAAAAATAACAGTAATTACTTGGTTGGAAATAAAAAACTGCTCCTTCAACAAATGAGCGGATGTTGGATTTAAGCAATGGACTCCATTTGAGAAAAGTGTACCCATTAAAAAAATCAATACTTCTAGCTCTAGGGGGTCAAGCAAATGTTTTTAAATTCTGCCAATAAAAAATAATAATAATGACTGTGAGCATTTCACCTGGCAAACATTTTAGGCTTAACGTTTGTCATACTTACAGACTTAGGAAGATGACAAACAAACAAACAAAATAACCTCTAAATATCGATTGACAAATGATTTACAGAATCAACATGTCATTAAAATGTCAACTGTATAAACAAGCTGCACAATCATATTTATGGTAGATTTGACTAAGTAAGCAGTCAGTGAGGAGGATACATACTGTTTACTAATATATATATTTATATATACATATATATCAGACACTAAGAAAATGAATAAATCTAGTTTCCTAATAATACAAATTGAATGAGTTTTTAACACTGGTCAGCACTGATTTCCTTTTTTTGGATTTTTTGAAGGGGTTTAAAAAATGTTTTAAATCTTGCCATGTTAGAGAATCATATAAATGCCTACAGGTTTATCTAACATCCCACTGGCATATTTGATAATTCCGCTCAAAATCAATGACAGTTCATCATTCCACACAGGGTTTCAATGTTTGTATTTGTAATCTACAGAAAATGGAGCCAACTACAAACAGCAAATTTTATTTTGGATTTCCAGCTGGGATAATTCCATGGTAAGCTAAAGAATGAAAAGTCTAATTCTCCCAAGGTTCAATCAAACTATCCTGACCTTAGAAATGGAGAATCATCAATGTAAATAACATATTTGGAATTTGTTAAATGTGTTCATTTTTTCCCTCAGCCTACCATATATCAACAATAAAATAGGAAGGAGTTTTTCACATTCTTTCATCCCACTATTTTGGGTTATAACGGATAAAAAACAATCAGAATGCAATTGCATGGAAAGTTGACTCGCCATTGCAAGGTGGTATGAGGGAATTACATGGAGTTCTCCCTAGAGTGCAGGGATTATTTTATTCTGATTGGACAACTGCCCACATTATTTGTTCATGAGATACAGAAGAGATTACTCACAACCCTAATGATATCTTTCACTGGTAGGTTTAAAACACAACAAAACTGTAGGCAACTCTAATGTTTTTATTATAAGAAGCAATTAGACTGGGTAAGGGAACAAAGAAAAGCATTGGTAGATGTGGTTGCTCCAGTTGCATGCAAAAAGCTTCATTCAATCTGTGCACTTAATTTCTACTGCTAAATTAATCTAAGAGATTCAGAGCTTTCAATACTGTTTTTTTCTTTCTTTTTTTCTTCCATATCCTTTACTAAATGCTTATGACATTCAACAAATTTATGTCCTTTCAAACATTCCTTCCTTCTTGCAGGGGTAGTTTTCTTAGAAACTCGTAAATATTAGCTCAAATACTAATATCAATTTGATTCCTGGTTTGGGTAAAATTTTTAAGTCACTTTTGTAGTTTTCCTTGACTTTATTTATCTTTCTTTGAGGTCTCTCTAAATCACTCTATCTTGGATTGCTTTTCAGTAAGGAGTCTGTATTATTCTGTTGGTATAAAGGGCTTCATTTTGAAGGTAGCAAAATCAATATCTAACTAGATATTGATTTGTTGATACACTGTAACTTTACTATCTCCATATCCCATTAGTCTCAGATTTCTGGGCCATGATGGATTCCAAATTTGCTAATGCTGTTGTTTTAAACTATTCAAAAAGTAGCATCCACAAGAGGCAAACAATTATATAGCAGGAATGCACAGATGGGACTTCAGAAGTCATGTACTCTAATCCCTCAGTTTTGTAGATGATGAAATAAACCAAAAAACATTGAATTACCTACCTAAGAATGTACATTTACTATGCAGAAATGACAGCAATTGAAACTGGGTCTTACAAATCCCTCTCTAGGAAGGAATACTACAGATGACTCTCCCTAACTTAAGCTTGTGTTTATAATCAATTATACTTCCTTTATAAGGGTTAGTTACTCATTTGCTTTTAATTAAGTAGTTCTCTTATTAAAATAACAACCAATATGTAAGAGTATAATTTGTATTTCCATTAGCCTCCAGAAACCCAGTGACTCATATTAAAGTCTAAGAACTATCTCAAATCCCAAAAATTAGTTTTCTATTTTGTCCAATTTTTGTATTATTTCTTAATATAAACTCATAACTACCTTATGAAGCAAGTATACATATTGCTTCTATATTATATATGATATAACTGGGACTTAGGAAAGTCTACTAACTTATGCAAGATCATATAACCATTAACACTGTATAGCCACTTAGAGAAGGCAGAAGTTAGGTAGTTCTGCATTAACAGCCAGGGTCTTTCTATGGCCCTTAATTTTGGAACCACCATTAAGGAAGCATTATTCAACAAAATCACAGTTACTTTATTCTTGAAGAATGCCTTTCACTAAGCTGCATTCAGTGTTGTGGCCTTGACTTATCTATCTTGAGGGCTCTGTGTATAGCTGGGCAGTATAAGTCTTGCATAATGTCAACGAGAGCCATTTGTATAGAAGACATTGAAAATGATGCCTCCCAGAGTTGTGAAATGCAGAAACTCTGCATGGAGGCATGGAAATAGAAACTGCTGTGTGATACCATTAGTACATTTATTACAGGGAAGTTATTGAGTAGCTCATTCTCACATGATGAAATATCTTCTTTTTAAAAAATGTTTTGAGAAAAATGGTTTCCTGACTACTAGGAAAAACTTTTTTTTCTAAGGAATAAGTTCACATTTTCTTCATGAAAAATTTAGAGTAATGTTCACCATTTGTGTTTTGACTGCCATGAAGTTCAATTTAAGATATTTGGCAGCACCACAACTTGAACATCAGTAGACTAAACTTTTTCTTAATCTTATTTTTAAACTCTATATTTCCCAGGCTTTTTTATGTTTTATTTTATATGCCATCCCACTGACCTGAACATGAATATTTGGTATACCTATAGTAGAAGTCTGGAAGCAGTAAGTCAAGATTTTTCTGCAAATGGAATATATAAAGCTGGCTATAGTTTTTAATAATTGTATTGTGTAAATTAAAACATTTAGTTTGAGACTTAGAGAGAAAAATGTCTTTCAGTGTCCTAAGAGAGCTTCAAGAGAACCTTAAGTAATAGAGAAATTGTGAATAAAATTAGAAACATCGTTCCCTTTTATTCTTCCCAGCCTTATAATCTTGCCTGTCCTACTTTGGATACAATTCAGATAACGTCCAAGAGGGCTATATAAAAGATTAAGTAAAACGATAGTGAATAGTTTTCTCACAGACCATATTTATCAGCCCAGGAAAGTTGAAATATGCACAGAATAATGGCTAAATGTAAAATAATATATTATATTTGGACTTAGAATAGCAACATAAGTGAAATTTCCAACACGTTTTCCCCGTTTGAAATACTTGGTTTTATTTATTAATAAAAATAGCAAGGAACGTTATTTAAATCCATTTAACTATGCTTAGAGGAATGGCTCATAGTTCCATCATTTTATTACCTATGAACTCCAAAAGGCTCTGGAAGTATTTAAATTTTGAAGCTAATTATTTTGGTGAGAATGTAAGTTAGTACAAACACTATGGAGAACAGTTTGGAGGTTCCTCAAAAAACTAAAACTTGAGCTACCATATAATCCTGCAATCCCACTGCTGGGGATATACCCAACAGAAAGGAAGTTAGTATATCAAAGAGATATCTGCACTCCCATGTTTGTTGGAGCACTGTTTACAATTCCTAAGATTTGGAAGCAACCTCAATGTCCATTAACAGAATAATGGATAAAGAAAATGTGGTACATATACACAATGGAGTACTATTCAGCCATAAAAAAGAACGAGAGCCAGTCATGTGCAACAACATTATGTTAAGTGAAATAAGCCAGGCATAGAAAGATAAATTTAGCATATTGTCACTTATTTGTGGGATCTAAAAATCAAAACAATTGAAGTCATGGACATAGAAAGTAAAAGATGGTTACAAGAGCTGAGAACGGTATTGGGGCTTGGGAATGAGGTGGTGGTGAGGATGGTTAATAAGTAAAAAAAAAATAGAAAGAATAAATAAGACCTAGTATTTTCTAGGACAAGAGGGTGACTATAGTCAATAATAACTGTACATTTTAAAATAACTTAAAGAGTGTAGTTGGATTATTTGCAGTTCAACGGATAAAAACCTGAGGGGATGGATACCCCATTCTTCATGATGTACTTATTTCATGTTGCCTGTATTCATCAAAACATCTCATGTACCCCATAAATATATACACCTACTATGTACTCACAGAAATTAAAAATTCAAACGCTAATTATTTGTGATATTAAAGAAAATATAAGACAAAAAAGACATAAATTATCTGAATAACATAATATAATTAAACAGCTTGAAAAATGTATGTATAAATATGTCTATCAAAAAACCCACATCCTTCTCCAACAGTCACAGAGAACATTTTTATAAAAATTAGCATGTATTAGGCTGCAAAATAAGTTGCAATAAAATCTGAAGAAACCTTTGAACAAAATTCAAGAAACAATGGCCTGTTGGGCAATTGCTCACTGACTGTTTTTATTAAGTTTTTTTATAGCACGGCCATGTCCATTAATTTACATGCTGTCTATGGCTTCTTTTAACTACAGTGTCACAGTTGAAAATTTGAAAGTTACAATTATAGAATTCCAGATTAGGTTAAAAAAATGAAAATAAGTTTAAAAAGAAAGTACAATGGAGGTGGAAAAATATTTAAAATTGAACGATAATGAAATCATAATATAACAATGATTATAGAGATGCAGCTAAGCATCACTTGGAAGAGTATTAAATGCATTCACTACAAGAAAGAAGGAAAGAATAAAAAAAAAGAAAGAGAAAAAAGAAACTTGTTAAACAGAATTATACCCCCAGTAAAATGGACAACATAAAGATCTTTTTATATAAACATGACATAGTACAGTTCATTACTAGCATTTATACATATGAACTGCAAGGTGGCAGCGAGGCTGGGGGAGGGGTGTCTGCCTTTGCTGAGGCTTGAGTAGATAAACAAAGTGGCTGGGAAGCTCGAACTGGGTGGAGCCCACAGCAGCTCAAGGAGGCCTGCCTGCCTGCCTTTGTAGACTCCACCTCTGAGGGCAGGGCATAGCTGAACAAAAGGCAGCAAAAATTTCTGCAGACTTAAATGTCCCTGTCTGACAGCTTTGAAGAGCATAGTGTGTCTGCCTGCACGGAGTTGGAGATCTGAGAACGGACAGACTGCCTCCTCAAGTGGGTCCCTAACCCCTGAGTAGCCTAACTGGGAGGCACCTCCAAGTAGGGGCGGATACTGACACCTCATACAGCTGGGTGCCCCTCTGAGACGAAGCTTCCACAAGAAGGATCAGGCAGCAATATTTGCCGTTCTGCAATATTCGCTGTTCTGCAGCCTCCATTGCTGATACCCAGGCAAACAGGGCCTGGAGTGGACCTCCAGCAAACTCCAACCGACCTGCAGCTAAGGGTCCTGACTGTTAGAAGGAAAACTAACAAGCAGAAAGGACATCCACACCAAAACCCCATCTGTACATCACCATCATCAAAGACCAAAGGTAGATAAAAACCACAAAGATGGTGAGAAACCAGAGCAGAGAAGCTGCAAATTCTAAAAATCAGAGTGCCTCTTCTCCTCCAAAGGAATGCAGCTTGTCACCAGCAACGGAACAAAGCTGGCCGGGAAATGACAGAAGTAGGCTTCAGACTATCAGTAATAACAAACTTCTCCAAGCTAAAGGAGGATGTTCAAACCCATTGCAAAGAAGCTAAAAATCTTGAAAAAAGATTAGACGAATGGCTAACTAGAATAAACAGCATAGAGAAGACCTTAAATGACCTGATGGAGCTGAAAACCATGGCCCGAGAACTACATGACGCATGCACAAACTTCAATAGCCGATTCAATCAAGTGGAAGAAAGGGTATCACTGATTGAAGATCAAATGAATGAAATGAAGCGAGAAGAGAAGTTTAGCATTTATACATATTAAAGGAAATCCTTCAGACAGAAACTTGGACGTATACAAAGAAATGAAGAGCGTTGGAAATAGTAAAAATTAAGGTAAATATAAAAGAAATAATTTAAAAATTATCTAAACAAAGCAATGTTTTGAATTTATAACATAGGTAAAATAAAAGGTATGATAAAAATAGCAATGGATGGGAGAGAGGAAATTGAAAATATATTGTTATATTTCTCACAGGATATATAAAGTGGTATTCTAATATTTGAATCTAGATTGTGATGAATTAATGATGTTTACAGTAAACTGTGGAAACTACTAAAAAAAAATTAAAGAAAGTAGTGTAACTAGTAAGACAATTGTGAAAGTAAAGTATAATCAGAAAAAAATCTAATAAAATATAAATAACATTATATTTAAATTTAATACTCACAGTGATTACATTAAATATAAATTATCTAAACTCTGATTAAAAGGCTGATTTGGTCAATGAGAAAAGAATACATACTACATAAAATTTAATCAGAAGAAAATGGGTCAGCTATATTGACATTAAAGAAATTTCAAAACAAGGATTATTTTAAAAAATAAAGACATCACATGTTTTCACTGTAATTGCTAATAATAAAAAAACCTAATCACTAAGGAGATTGAGCAATGTTAAATGTATACATATTTAACAGCAGAGCTTCAAAATACATGAAATAAAACTGATAGAACTGAAAGTAGAAATAAACAAATTCACAATTATTTGAATTACTTTACACACCTAGGTAATTGATAGAACATGTACACAGAAAATCAAGGATATAGAAGAACTGAAAAATGACCTAATTGACATGTATGGAACATTATACCCAGAAGTAAGCAAGGTACATAATTTTTTGAAGTACATATGGGCATTTACCAAGATAGAACATATTGAGCCTTAGAACAAACTTTAACAAAGTTTAAAAAATGGAAAATATACAAGGTGTATTACCTGACCACAGTGAAATTTAACTAGAAACCAGTAGGGTATCTTGATAATACTCAAATATTGAAAATTAAGCAAGATATTTCTAAGCAATTCATGGATCAATGAGGAAACTACAATGGAAGTTAGAAATTATTAGTTAAGTGAAAATGAAAACACATTATATCAAAATATTTTGAATACATCAAAGAAGTCTGTAGAAAAAAATTTATAACATCAAATGATTAGAAAAAGAACAGGTATCTTTGTTAGGCTGTTCTTGCACTGCTATAAAGAACTTCTTTCCAACTTCTTTCCAACTTTCCAAACTTAATTTTTGGTTAAGACTGTTACCTTTAAAGGCATTAAAATATTAAGGGAAATCCCAGCACTTTGGGAGGCCAAGGTGGGTGGATCACCAGGTCAGGAGATCGAGACCATTCTGGCTAATACGGTGAAACCCCATCTCGACTAAAAAAAAAAAAAGAAATACCTAAGATTGGGTAATTTATAAAGAAAAGAGGTTTAATTGGCTCACAGTTCTGCAGGTTGTACAGGAGGCATGGCACTGGCATTAGCTTGGCTCCTAGGGAGGCCTCAGAAAGTCTTTACACATGGTGGAAAGCAAAGCAGGAGCAGGCATGTTACATGGCCAGAGCAGGAGCAAGAGGGAGAATGGGAGACGTGCCACACACTTTAAACAACTGGATCCCAGGTAAACTCACTCACTACCTTGAGGACCACACTAAGCCATGAGGAACCTGCTCCAATAACTCAAACACTTCCCACCAGGCTTCATCTCCAACACTGGGATTACATCTCAACATGAGATTTGGAGGGGACCTGCAAACTATATCAGTATCCAAATCAGTGATTTTATGTTCTACCTTAGGAAACTAGAAAGAGAAGAAAAAATTAAATGAAAAGAGAGCAGAAGTAGGAAAATAATAAAGACAAAAGAGGAAATCAATGAAATTGAAATACAATAGAGAAAGTCAATGTAACAAAATATCAATTTCTATGAGAAATCAATAAAATCAGTAAACCTGTAGCTAAATGTATCATAATAAAAAGAGAACACACAAATTACCCGTATCAGGAATAAAAGAAGGGCATTTATTATAGATGCTACAGATACTAAAAACTAAGAGAATATGATGAGTGACTTTTCCCACTAAATTCCACAAAAATGAACAAATTTTTTTAAACGCATAAACTTCAAAAACTCACTCAAGATGAAATTGGTAAGTTGAATAGTTACATATCTATATCTGTATCTATTTGAATATACAGTTAAAGAGAGTTTTTGTATTTATGAAGTTCAATTTTCACTAACTATATGACTCAGCAATTCCCAAAACATGTGTAAACCTAAGAACAAATAAAACATATGATCTGAAACATAGGATCTAAAAAATAAAAGTCTGTATATTTTATTATCATTTCATTTATATGACATCCTTGAAATGGGGACACTATAGGGGTAGAAAACCAATCAGTCATTGTCAGGGAATGGAAAAGGAAGAGGGGAATTAACAACAAGGGTCCACCAGTGAACTTTCTGGGGAAATGTAAATGTTCCATTTTCTTATTATGATGATAGAAGTAACATTATTGTAAGTATGTGTTAATATTAATAAAATCGTACACCTAACAAGGATGAACTTTATTGTGTATAAATTGAACCTCAAAAAATCTTACTCTAAGAAAGAAATTATAGCCTCTAAAATAAGATTTAAGACAAAATTGTATGAATATAGCTCATTAATTTGGCATTATCATCTAATTAAATTCATAAAGAGCATTTAATAAAATTCAAACCTATTTTAGTTCATAAAAAAATAGATAACATGAATATAGAAATATATTAGTATCTCAGTTTGGGTTCCTGCCAAAGGATCCTGACACAAGGATTCAGGTACAATTCTGTTGCATTACAGATGATTTCAGAAAACGCTAATAGGGAAGTGAGGAAGTGAGGCAGAGGAAAAAAAGGCAATGAAGCATATGTTGGCAAAAAATTTATTACCATAGGTAATTTGAATTTAATTTCACCAAGAAACTCTAGGGGGCATTGTAGAGCACACATCTCAAAGTCAGTCCATTGAAGGCACAAGAAATCTAGGTATTTATCTACCAACTCCTATCAGTCTCATTGGTATGTTGCAAAATTAGAGAAATTAAAACAGTGTCTTTTTGACACAAGAGTATGTAGATAGATTAGTAGAAAAGAATAGAGAACCCAGAAAGGGATACAACCAGTTTGGAAACCTGGTGTAACATGTAATGTTGCAAATTAATTAAGAAAATATTATATTCCATTAAAAGCATTGACTCAATTGACCTTTTCTATGGAAACAGTGATGAAATCATAGCATACCACACTCTGTACACAAAATAATTTCCAATTGGATTAAAAATCTAAACAAAAGAAAAATCTTTCTAAAACTTGGGGAAAACGTAAGATTAATTTTACAAACTTGAGATAGACTGTCTTCCTTAACCAAGGTAGCAAAAACTAAATTTTAAAGAAAAATTATTCGACATAAAATTATTAATATTTTATTAAACAGAATGTACCACAATATTTTATAAGGAAAAGAGTAGGGGAAGATATCCCAACTCATTTAACAATAAAAAAGTAAGCCAGATGGATGTTATTACATAAATAGATTAGATAGATGGAGATAATTTCTTTTAAGAATACCCATTAGAATTTAGTTAACCACCTTCTCCATATCTTTTCTACGTTAAGTAGACTTAAATACACATATTGTACCATCCAAAAAGAAAAAAAAAGAAAAAAACACTTCTCAAATTGTGGACTCTAGCCCAAGAAACATAATTCAAATGTTCACTACTATATTGCTTATGTTAACTTTCACATTGAACAAATAGGGCTTGCTTTTCTATGCATTATAAGTGAAATTCAGATTATTTCTCAAGATTTTTGGGGGGCATTCTCAGATAATAAAAATTTCTCTGGTTCTTGAGAAGTCACCTACATATATATTGATTTGTTTTATATTTTTAAACAATTAAGTCGTTCAGTATTCTCAAGGAACTTCCACTTTTAACCAAGATATAGTAGCAAGGATGTGATTTTCCCTCACTTGAAAAAAAGACACAAGAAAGTAGACAATATTTACGAACAAAAAAACAAGTTTTTTTTTCCCCGTACAACAAAGGCTAGTGATTCCTGAGAAATGGAAAAGAAAAGAGGTGAGCCCCACAGTTATTACAGCTGACAGCCCTGAGAATGTTTCTGGAATGCAGTGCATGAAGGGGAAACTGAAGAAGAGCTCATTTGATTACCAGAGCTGAGGAGATAGAGCTGAGAGCTTGGAGAGATTAACACAGCTGGAGCCTGTGGGTCAGAGTGACAGAAAATAGGAAAGAATACTGGCGATCTGTAGCAAGTTCCCACAGAGAGAGTTCTGCAGAATACAGATCAATGTGTGTGTGTGAAGAAACTACCCAAGGCTGAAGAAAGAATTATCTGTAAGGAATAGAGGGAACAATGTCTGGTTTTCACACAGGACTGGGAATGATGCCCATTACCACCAGCCCGACTGAAAAACATAATCATAGGGCACTGGCAAGAGTATTCAGGAAGGTCTTGCCTCAGGAGTGGTGAATAATTAGTACTACACTGAATGTTCCTCTGATTCCATCCAACAATCTTAAAGACTCTAAAGGATCAAACTGTTTTCGAGTAATTTAACTGAGTCTTAGAACACAGCTCAAGACTAATAATACAAATATAAAATATCCAACACTACCCAAGAAAAAAATCATAATCTCTACATCCAATCAAAGATTGCCCAACAGAAAAGAAACAGAAAAATATTACCCATAATAAGAAAAATCAATCAACTGAAACCAACATAGCACCTGCAAAGATGATAGAATTAGTAGATTCATTAAAACAATTCTTATTATTACTTTTCATATAATCAAAAGTTAAGTTGATACATGAAAGATTTAACAAATCCCAGATTGAAGTTCTAGATATGGAAACTCCAATGTTTGAGATGAAAATAATAGTAGTCCCCCTTATCTGTGGGGATACATTCTAGACCCCCAATGGGTGCCTGAAATCACAGATAGTACTGAACCCTACATATACTATATATTTTCCTATACATACATACCTATGGTAAAGTTTAACTTATAAATTAGGTACAGTAAGAGATTAACAGCAATAAGTAATACAATAGAACAATTCTAACAATATACTATAAAATAAGTTATCATGGGAACTGAACAATGAAAACACTTGGACACAGGAAGGGGGACATCACACCCCCGGGCCTGTTGTGGGGTGCGGGGAGTTGGGAGGGATAGCATTAGGAGATATACCTAATGTAAATGATGAGTTAATGGGTGCAGCACACCAACATGGCACATGTATACATATGTAACAAACCTGCATGTTGTGTACATGTACCCTAGAACTTAAAGTATAATAACAAAAAAAAGAAAAAAAATCTCATACCCTGTGGCCATAACTTTTGCAGTTTGAGGTGTGACAACAGAACTACATGAATTTCTTCACAATTTGATGAATAAAAGGTTTGTTCTTACTGTAGATCTTAGCAACCTCACTCAGTATATGATTTTTTCTTTACTTATTGAGAATTTTCATTTAATCACTTAAAGGAAGTGCTTCATAGCTTTTCTTTGCCATATCTGAGTTACCAGCACTTTGGGGACATTATTAAGTAGAATAAGGGTTAGTTGAGCACAAGCACTGCCATACCACAGCAGCTGATCTGATAACAGAGCTGGCTACAAAGTGACTAATGGGTGGGTAGCATATGCAGTGTGGATAGATTGGACAAAATGATGATTTATGTCCTGGGCGGGCTAGAGTAAGATTCTATCATGCGAATCAAAACAGTGCATAATTTAAAACTTATGAATTGTTTATTTCTAGAAATTTTCATTTAATATTTTCAGATGATGGTTAACCACACATAACTTAAACAGCTTGAAAGCAAAACTGCAGATAAGGAGAAACTACTGTACACTGGATAGGACAAACAGCAGATACAACATTACACAAGAAAATACTAACAAACTTGAAGACATAACAGGAGAAAACATCCAAAATGGAGCAAAGGGAAGAGAAAAAAGAAAAGAGCAGCAGTGAATGGAAGGAAAACTTCAAGCTGTTTAATATATGTGAAATTCCAATACTCAAAGGAGAGGAGTGAGAGAGCAGGGCAAAAACTTGTGAAGAAATAATGGCTCAAAATTTGCCATATTTGATAAAAACTATAAGCCTCTTATCCAGGAAGTTCAATAAACACCAAGTAGAAGAAATATGAATTCATTCATATAATAAATTCATCTCATAATAAACTTGCTCAAAACTAGCAATAACAGAAAATCTTAAAAGTAGCCAAAGAAATAAGACACCTTTCATTCAGAGGACCAAAGATGAGGACAACAGCAATTTTTTCAGTGGAAACAATGCAACCATTAGCATCAACACCTTTAAACTACTGAAAGAAAGAAAAAAAAAAAGCTGTTGACCTAAAATTTTATACCCACATTTAAAATGCCTTTCAAAAGCAAAGGCAAAATATACATGTTCTCAGACATACAAAAGTTGAAATAATTCAGCAGCAGAAGACAAACATGACAAGAAGTACTTCTAAAAATCCTTTCAGGAAAAGGGAAAATGACATCAGATGGAATCATGGATCTACATGATAAAGAGAATGAACACCAAAACTGCTAAGTACAGAGGTAAATATACAAGATATTTTTTATATTATTTAAATCTCTTTAGGATGACTCACTCTTGAAACAAACATAATTGTAATGTCTTGTTGGGTTTACAGCATATGTGCAAGTAAAGCATATGAAAATATAGCCAGAAAGGGGTAAATGCATGCATACTATTGTAAGGTTGTTATACTATATGTGAAGGACATACAATCACTTGAAAAATGACCATGATAAGTTAAAGACATATATTATAAATCTCGAATCATGTACTAAAGTAACAAAACAAAGTGTTATAGCTAATAAGCCAAAGAGAAGATAAAATGTCACCAAAAACAATCCAAAAGACAGCAGAAGAGAGAGAAAATGGAACAAAGAACATATCAATAGAAAACAAATAGCAGGATGATAGATTTAAATGTAAATATATCAAAAATAGTTTTCTACGAAAATGGTTGGAATATCCTCAATGAAAAAGCAGAGATAATGGCTACATCTAGATATAAAGAGGAGTATAGGATGAGGAAGGGACTTTAAGGTCCTGGTAATGTTTCATTGTTAACCTTAGTGGTGAGTGTGTGCATGTTGACTTTATTATTTTCCTTTGGCACATGTGTGTTTTTTCCATATACCATCATTCTCAATGACCTATGCATGTGTGTTTTATGTGCTCTAATATACATACTATATGTCACAATAAATTACTTTTTAAAAACAGGTGAGAGAGAGTACGGAAAGTCATAAGAGAAGATAGGAGGCAGCCTTTTTTGGAAGATTCTTGAGGTAGTTTACTCTAAAGAGGAATAGAAAAATGCTGTAATAGCCGAGGGGGTTATGAAGTCATGGGAAGGATTACTTTCTTTTAAAATGGGAGATATTACAGCATGTTTATATAATTATGGAAATGATCCCCTAGGCAAAAAAAAATTGCTAATGCTAAATTGAGAAGTTGCAACTGCAGAAACCAAGTTATTTGTTGGGCAAAAGCATTCGGGATCCAGTGCAGTCATCAAAGAAATGACCTTAAAAATGGATATTTCACCCAATGTAGCAGAATGAAATGTAGAATATATTAGTGTAGACTCAGTCAGATGATAGATCTGGTCATAAGAGACTATGGAAGCACAAGAATAAAGATATTACAAAGTTAAGAGTAAGAGAAAAAGAAACCAAATATAAAATATTAAAAATGATTAGAAAAAAGAAATTAATTGACATAAAACATTTAAATAAAATAAAAAGCTGGCAATTTAAAGGAGAATTTTTTAAAAATGAATACCTAAGAATAGGATTATTAGATAAATCTAGAATCTCAACATTTAAGAGTGTATGATTCTGAACTAATTTTAGAATCAATTAGAATCTAGAATTCTAATTTTAGAATCAAATATAAGTAATAGAGAAGATAACATATTCATGTTCTTTGTCCTTAAGCTCTTCTTTAAACATTCCTTATATTTCTTTTTCTAATGAAAGTCTGACTCCTTAAGATGTGAATTCACCTATACTGCCTGCAAGTTGTAGCTGTTTTCTCTCACAATTTCATTACCACTTGTACAGGAGGTAAATTTTGCATCTTCCCTGTTCTTCACTGCCATTTCCAGATTACTCTTTCTTCCTTCTGAGAAATGCACGTAATATGGTTTGGCTGTGTCCCCACCCAAATCTCATCTTTAATTGTAACTCCCACAGTTCCCACCTGTCATGGGAGGTAATTGAATTATGCAGGTGGATCTTTCATGCACTGTTCTCATGATAGTGAGTGAGTCTCAAGAGATCTGATGGTTTTACAAATCGGAGTTTCCCTGCACAAGCTCTCTTTCTTTCATTGCTGCCATCCATGGAAGATGTGACTTGCTCCTCCTTGCCTTCCACCATGATTGTGAGGCCTTCCCAGGCATGTGGAACTCTAAATCCAGTTAAACTTCTTTATTTTGTAAATTGCCCAGTCTCGGGTATGTCTTTATAAGCAACATGAAAACAGACTAATACAGTAAACTGGTACCAGTAGACACTGCTGAAAAGATACCCGAAATATGGAAGTGACTTTGAAACTGGCAAACAAGCAGAGGTTGGAACAGTTTGAAGGGCTCAGAATAAGACAGGAAAATGTGGGAAAGTTTGTAACTTCCTAGAGACTTTGTTGAATGGCTTTGACAAAAAGTGCTGATAGTGATATGAACAAAAAGGTCCGGCTAAGGTGGTCTCAGATGGAGATGAGGAACTTGTTGGGAATTAAAGCAAAGGTAATCCTAGCTATGTTTTAGCTAAGAGACTGGGGCATTTTGCCTCTGCCCCAGAGATCTGTGAAACTTTGAACTTGAGAGAGATGATTTAGGGTATCTAGTGGAAGAAATTTCTGAGCAGCAAAGCATTCAAGAAGTGACTTGCGTGCTGTTAAAGGCATTCAGTTTCATAAGGGAAGCAGAACATAACGATTTGGAAAATTTGCAGCCTGACAATGTGATAGAAAAGAAAATCCCATTTTATGAGGAGAAACTCAAGCAGGCTGCAGAAATTTGCATAAATAACAAGGAGCCAATTGTTAATCCCTAAGACAATGGGGAAAATGTCTCCAGAGCATGTCAGAGGTCTTCACGGCAGCCTCCCCCATCACAGGTCTGGAGGCCTAACTAGAAAAAGTGGTTTCATGGGCCAGGCCCAGGGTCACCATGCTGTGTGCAGCCTAGGGACTTGGTGTCTGGCATCTCAGCTGCTCCAGCAATCACTGAAAGGGGCCAGCATAGAGCTCAGGCTGTGACTTCAGAGGGTGCAAGCCTCAAGCCTTGGTAGCTTCCACTTGGCATTGAGCCTGCCAGTACACAAAAGTCAAGAATTGGGGTTTGGGAACCTCGATCTAGATTTCAGAAGATGTATGGAAATGCCTGTATGTCCGGGCAGAAGTTTGCTACAGGAGTGGAGCCCTCATGATGAACCTCTGCTAGGGCAGTGCAGAAAAGAAATGTGGGGTTGGAGCCCCCACACAGAGTCCCTACTGGAGCACCAACTAGTGGAGCTGTGAGAAGAGGGGTGCTGTCCTCCAGACTCCAGAATGGTGCATCCACTGACAGCTTGCACTGTGAACCTGGAAAAAGCTACAGACACTCAATGTTAGTCTGTGAAAGCAGCCTTGAGCAGATCCACCCTGAAAAGCCACAGAGATGGAGCAAAAAAGATAATTTTGGAACTTTAAGATTTGATTGCCCTGCTGGATTTCATACTTGCCTGTGGCCTGTAGCCCCTTTGTTTTGGCCAATATCTCCCATTTGGAATGGCTGTATTTACCCAATGCCTATACCTCCACTGTATCAGGAAGTAACTAACTTGCTTTTGATTTTACAGGCTCACAGGCGGAAGAGTCTTGCATTGTCTCATATAAGATGTTGGACTGTGGACTTTTGAGTTAATGTGGAAATAAGTTAAGATTTTGAGGGGCTGTTCGGAAGGAATGATTGTTTTTGAAATGTGAGAACATGAGATTTGGGAAGGGCCAGGGGTGGAATGATATGGTTTGGCTGTGTCCTCACCCAAATATCATCATTAATTGTAAGTCCCACAATTTCCATATGTCATGGGGAGAACCCAGTGGGAGGCAATTGAATTATAGGGGAGGGTCTTTCCTGCACTGTTCTCATGATAGTGATTGAGTCTCAAGAGATCTGATGGTTTTAGAAATAGGAGTTTCCCTGAACAAGCTCTCTTTCTTTGACTGCTGTCATTCATGTAAGTTGTGAGTTGCTCCTCCTTGCCTTACACCATGACTGTGAGGCCTCCCCAGCCATGTGGAACTGTAAGTCCAATTAAACCTCTTTCTTTGGTAAATTGCCCAGTCTCAGGTATGTCTTTATCAGCAGCATGAGAACAGACTAATACTGCACAATTTTTAACTTCATAATATTAAACTATTCCATCCAACATCCACTCCTTACTGCAATCATCTATAAATAATGCCAAAATAAGTGATTCGCTCTCATTCTTTGAATATTTTAGCTTCCGGTTCACTGTCATTTTCTCTAACACTACTTCTGCCTTAGTTCTCATAAATTTCAAAGTTGCATAAGTAATCCTTTCTATACTATGGACTCTCAGTTCTTTGACATCTCTCTCCAGCTACCTTGCCCTCACCCAATCTCAGCCAATTCTTGTCATTACCAATAACTGCACTCCCTCTCTAGTCACAGTTTAAAATTTCCACTCTTGAACCACCATCTTCTATCTTTCAGGCTTACACTATCAGTATGGTGACTGTAATAATTTCACAGCGAAACAAAAGAAAACTTGAAGACACCACTATAATTAATAACACCCAAAAAGATAAACTTTATTGCATTTCTAAGATTAAAAAAATGCGATGATAAAAGGACAATAAAAAGCATTTAGAATACTACAACCAAAATTTTAGAAATTCAGTGGAATGGTAAAAGACACTTCCAAATAAACAAGACCGAAAAATATGCTTTTCATGCTCCATTTCCTTGAAAGCTATTAAAGGATGTCATCCAGAAAAGCAAAGCAATAAACTAAGAAGGAGGAAGACATAAGATCCTGGAAATAGGGATATAACACAGACGAGTGGAGAGGGAAGTCCCTGAGGAGACAGCCGTGCAGTAGACCTAGAGAGAAATCTGCCCAGAATAGAAAATAAACAGAAGTCTCTGTACATTTTCCAGAAAGAGCAAGAAATAAAAAGAATTATAGATTAGTTGTCTAAGTTTTTGGAAAACTATATGAACTTATCAGTGCTCTTGAAAACAATTAGCAAAACATACACAAGGATAAGTACATGAAATAGCAAAGGAATAACAAATTCTGGGCATGCAAAGGATAGAGAAGGTTGTGCTATAAAGGAAACAATCATGATATGCTACTTGGCTCCACAATGAATAATATCCTTATTGACAAAGTGCAGCGGGAGCTGACTATTGACTTGACTAAATGTTGTGATATGACAATTTTTAGAAGGATAAGGGGAGGAAGAATCAATTTTATATAGCAGAATTTATATAAAATGAAGTTAATAATATATGTAAAAGATTAAGTTGAATAATAGCAATGTAAGCATATTACTTACAGTATCAAGAAAGACAGTGAAAGAGTTAAAAGAATATTTCTAGGGAGAAGGACTTGAAGGAGAGAAGGCCACTGTGTTTCATTATGGGCCTGTTAATACTATCTGACTTGTTATTTTTTTGATAAAAATAAAAAATTATTTTAAAATATTGATACAAACATTTTTATTGTAAGCCACCTCAAATTCTTTTGAGAATTAAATGAGATTATAAAAAATAAATAAGACTCTTTGGGCATTCATTTATCCACCATTGGTCATTGATTTAGTAGATAATGGCCCTTGAGCCAAAATATGTGAAAATAAGCTTCTATAATGCTTCTTCAGAGCAGTTATCAAGTTTATTGTTAATCTGGCTCGGCATCCAGAATTTCATGACAGATGTAGCCCAAACTGTGAAAGTTTACAAACATGGCTTTGCTGTAGCTTCCCATTTCTTAATCAAAACTGTTTTCATTATTCTTATGAGAGTTGGATATATATTATCTTTTGAACAAACAAAAGATAAGCATCCGCCTTCACACTGATGACATGGACTATTTCTATGAAATGAAAGATTTCCAGAAATTGCTGTACTCGTTGACTGAGTGTGTGGCTCATTCTCTCTTGTATCTATCTTCTGCTTTAGCTTTGCAAGAAGTTAAGCTAATTATGGCAACTGCCTCCCCTGGGGTGCTGCTGATTAGCTGGTAAACACAGAGTGTTACTGCTGTTGTTTATTGTCTCCTTCTGGCCAACTCTGCTTGCATCAGAACAACTTTATACACTGCTTTTGGCTGGAGTATTAGAAAAGGCTCATTTCTGGAAATTTTATGGCACGATGCTGGTATGTAGAACCTCACTGATCCTAATTAAGGACAAAACCCAACATTGAAAAGTGGTGTGCCTTTAAGGTACAAAGAAGTCAATAGACCCCTGTCCAAATGCCTGATTACCCTCTGAAGCATTCTGATCTTGAATTCAACCTGTAACAAAGCTTATGAAAACTGTTTTACTCCTCTTTCTATGAATGAATGCCGACCATGCTGTTTCTATCTTCTGTCCATTCCTCCCTCCTGAGCTCTGGGCCACTCTATGCAGCATCTGTTAGACATCTCCACCTGAATGCATCCAAGATGACTCAACTACAGCTTGTTCAGTATGAAACTCATCATATTCTCCCTCCTTTATTCTGAATCGTAGTAAGTGTATTACAATATACCTTACCCTCACTCTACTTCCTGAGTTTTTCCTAGTACCTCTCTACCCTGGCTGACAGAATTAATCATAAAAACTTTTAAAAATGCAGGTGTTTAGTTCACACTCAGGTCCATTGTATTAGAATATCCAGGAATGAGGTTTAGCATGTGAAAATGTTAATAGTGCTGTAGTAACTGCGCTAGGGAATTAAGTTTGATAACCATTATATTTGTCATCTCTTCTCCCATTCCTCCAATCACTGTTTACATTTAGACCACTACCATCTCTTGTCGAGATCCTTGCTGTAGTTTCCAACTGTATTTCCAGTATCCTATCTCAGCATCTTTAATAATATGTTCTCATATGCCTGGCATTGAGTTTTTCTCCAGTACGTTTCTAGAACCACTTTTCTAGCATCTTATCTTGACATTCTGGTGCTTGAAATCCTGTAATAGTTCTTTTTTCACCCTCAGGATAAACTCTGAAGTCATTAAGGGAGCATTGCTCTTGCCCCATCTCTTCCACCAACTAAAATCCTTAGTCATGATATTTTCTGTTTCCTAAATATTTACAAATCTGATGGGGTCATATATTATATAACTTAAGAGCTTGCTTATGGAATCCTTTAGATTTGCTTTCAAAGCACCGCTCTAGTCCTTGGTGTCCATAGCAAGTTGCTTAATTTTTTAAGCTCCAATTTTCTTCTCTGCAAAATAGATTCAATAATGACTACTTCATAAGGATATTGGGATGAGTAAATTAATCTATGTAAAGTGAGTAACACAAAGCAAGGACTCAGCGTTGGTGACTGTTATTGATGGCCATTCTTATTTGCACATGTTATTTTCTTCCTAGGATGCTATTCCTTTACATATTCACCTGAATTATCTGTACTATTTAAAGCTCAGCTAGTCACACTCTTCTCAGGAAGACTTCCCTTGCAACCACTCCTTACAGGAATGCTCATCTTTCCTCTGATTTAGGGATCACCTGACTCTGGCCCATGGACCAAATCTGACTACCACCTGTCTTCCTATGGCCTGTGAGATAAGAAGAAGTTTTACATTTTTAAATAAGTTTGAAAAGAAAACAAAAGGCGGTATGTGGAAATTATATAAAATTTAAATCTCAGTCTCCATAAATAAATTTGTTGTGGAACATAGTCATGACTTCCATTTGTTTATATATTGTCTAAGACTGCTTTAACACAACAGTAGGATTGAGGAGTTGCAACAGAAAATGTATGGCCAACAAAGGCTAAAATAGTTACTATCTGGCCTTTTTCAGGAAAAAAAAAAAAAAAAAAATTGGTCTGGTGTGGTGACCTGTAAACCCAGCACACAAGGAGGCATAGGTGGAAGGAATACTTGAGGCCAGGAGTTTGACACCAGCCTGAGCAACATAGTGAGACAACATATCCAAAAAAATTTACAACAATAAATTAGCAGGGCACAGTGGTACACACCTGTTGTCCTAGCTACTCAACAGGCTGAAGTGGGAAGATCACTAGAGGCAAGGAGTTTGAGGTTATGGGGAGCTATGTGATCATGACCATGTACTCCAGCCTGGGAGACAGAGCGAGACCTTGTCTCTAAAAATAAATAAATAAGAAAATAAATAAATAAATAAATAAATAAATTTTTTGACTCTTTCTCTATGTTATTTTACCAGTTATTATCTGTTTTCCTGTCTCCTTACTTGTCTCCCCACAACAAGTGACCTCCTTTAAGTCAGAGACCATGTTTTATGGTTGCCCCAACACTTAGCACATTGACTAACAGATAGTAAACTCTCAATATATTTTTACTGAATGAATGTGAGAATTATCTTCCCAAAGGTGTTTTATTATTCTTTATCAAACATGGAAATAATTTATAACTCAACATTTTGTGATAATTCAGAATAGTAATAAGAGCTTCTCATTTTAATTAGGTGCTACCTATGTGCCAGTTCATTTTCTAACCCCTACTATATGTTATCTTATAAAGAACACCCTAGGAAGCAAAATCACTTATCATTCCCTTTTTATATATAAGGAACCAGAGGTACAAAGAACCCAAGTAACTTGAGTAAGGTCTCAGAATTAGGAAGTGATAAAGTCAGACAGTTTGGCTCAGAGTCCTCTCTTAATTACTGTGTTAGAATGCTATCTTACAGAGAAAATGAAGAGAGAGACGAAATAAGGTAAGGTTTTTGTTTTAATAAGCATTGTCTTAAACTAATGTACTTTAAAATACATTGAAAATAAAAATTTAAAATATAGGCTAGCTTATTCTGGACAATCTTTCCTGGAAAAATATACAAGAGTATTTGCTGAATCACAGTGTATGCTCAAATCTTAATTATCTGTTGTTGCTGTCACTTTTGCCAGGCAAATGCTGGCAAACATTCAAAATGCATATTACTTCTCTATCATAAAATGTACCTTAATAGCTAGACTATCTATTATGGTTAAAATTAAAAGTGAGTAACAAGAATATATGACAAATGCAACCATTTAGAAATACGATTCTGTCAACCCCCAGAACATTCCTCATATCTCACATGAAATGTAAAGAAATTTTATTGAGCAAAAAACTTCAAAGGTCATATAAAAATTAATAAATAATCATTGAAATATTATAGCAGAGAAAAATTCAAGTACATTGAAAGCATTTGCTTGGACATTGATGAAATATGACATAAATAAGGTCTTCAAATATAGACAAATTGAGATTATATACTGTTGTAATCTCAGTAACTGGGACTCTATCTCAAGTCTCTTTAAGTTTATTAAGTAAATTCACTGTTAGTGTTTTAGTTAAAATTCTCTCTATTTTTCATAGCCTTTGTTGTTATTATTACTACTTTTTAGACTATAGGTAAGTCTATCTACACATAAAGAATGATTATACTATTTATCAACTCTTTAGAATGAACAATTAAGATATAAAAAGCTGTAATTATTTATCAAGAACTTACAGCAATAAATTGTTTCCCAGGAGAGTTAAACCATTCTCATAATAAAATGGAAACAATAAGTTTAATTTTCCATTAGAAAATAATGAGCAAAGATAATAAATCTTTAGATGTGCACAAATATGATTAATCTAAATGCTTCAGCAAATATTTAAACAATCTTTTTCATACAAGTTGGATGAGAAAATATCATGTTTAGTTTTTTGGACCTATCTAATGGCCACCCTTGATTATGTGCTGAATAAAATACTATCTCTGAAAGAAGTCGCCAGAATGTAAAAGAGGATTTCTTATTCTCTCCTAGAAGAATGGAAAGCAAGAATGTAAAGTAAAAGAAACTGAAGATTTATTTTTTTCAAAAACACAGAAAGGCAAACTTTAAATTTATTTAATTTTTTCTATATTTTTAATTTTTTAAAGATCAGAGCTTAGAGATTGAACCTCTTTCTCTTCAAATAAAAAATTATGATAAAGGAAGAGTAGGTTTAATTTTCCATCAGAAAATAATGGGCAGGTTTGTATATATTCTTATGTCATCTGTGAATAAAGGCATTTCTACATCTTTCTTTCTGGACTATACGCCTCTGCTTTGTTTTCTTGCATATTACACTGTATAAGAACTCAGTTAAATATTAAATAGCAGGGGTGAGAGAAGCCACTCTGACTTGTTTTCAATATTAGGGGAAAAACATTACATCTTTCATTATTAAATATGTATTAGAAATAGGGTTTTGTTTAATTTAAAAGATAACTGATAGTTTAAATCAATAGTAGTAATAACATATTTGGGATTTAGTATGACAAACTTAGCACAAAGGATTGGAAGTAAACACTTATAAAAGTCTTATAGGTGAAATGACATTATATTACTTGAAGGTCGATTATGAAAAGTTAAATATGCATATTTTAAAATCTCTAGAAAAGAGGGGAAATTTTCTTATATAGATGAGAAAATCTAAAATCTCATACAAAAATGATAGATACAAATCCAACATAGCAGTAATTATATGTAATAAAAATGACCTAAGCACTTAAGATAAAAGACAGAAATTAACAGACTAAATTAAAAAAGAAAAGAAATTATAAGCCCAAACTCCATGCTGGCTTGAAACAGACTTTTAAATATGAAGACATATATAAAAAAAGTAAAAGGGTAGGAATAAATATACAATTTAAGTATGAAGCATTAAAAATCTGGAGTTGCTGTTCTAATACCAAAGTAAATTTCAGAACAAGAAATATGATCAGAGAAATAGAGGGTCATTTCATTATGATAAAAGGATCAATTTAACAAAAACACATTCAATCCAAAATGTTTAAATATCTAATTACAGAGCTTAACAAAACTGAAGCAAAACTGAAAGAACTTAAGGGATAAATAGACAAATCAACAATTACATCTTGAATCTGACTAAATATTTATATCCAAACTATATAGATAGATAATGGGTAGATGATGATAGATAGGCATATGAACTCCTACAATTTTATAATAAACAACTACATTTGTTTAAATGAGCAAAGATTGAATGAACATTCATAAAAGAAGAATGTCCAATGTATACATGTAAGGATACACAATATCCTTTGTCAAGAGAGAAATGTAAATTAAAACTGTAGTAAGATAGCATTACAGACTCACCAGAATGGCAAAAATGTAAAAGACTGATAATACTAAATGTTAGCAAGGATGTGGGACAACTGGAACCCTCATACATTAATGACAAGAATGAAAAATTATACAACTAGCTGGTTCCATTTGACAATTTCTACTGAAGTTTGACCTAGAGATTCCCCAAATTAAAAATATTTAAGTATTTTAAATATTTTCCCCAAATTAAAAAAAAATTTTGCACATAAAAATTTGGACACACATGTTTGTAGTACCTTTATTCGAAGAGTCAAAAACTAAAAATAAATCAAATATCCATCAATAGATGTATTAATAAACAATTATATTTTCATGATGGAATACTACTTGGCATTAAAAAAGAACTGCTTATACACACAAAAACAAGGTTGAATATCAAAATCCCTAAGTGAAGCAAGAGAGTCTGGCATAAAGAGACACCTACTATTCAATTCCATTTAGGTGAAACTCTACAAACGAATCCAAGACAGATGCTCCTGGACTTATGATAGGATTACATTTATGTCATAAAATAACTAATCTCAAGTTTAAAATATCATAAGTTGAAAACGCATGTAATACACCTAATCTGCCAAACATCACAGCTTAGCCTAGCCTGCCTAAAACATGCTCAGAATACTTACATCAGCCCACAGTTGGGTAAAATCATCTCATACAAAGCCTATTTTATAATAAAGTGTTGAATATCTCATACAATTTATTGAATACAGTATGATACTGAAGTATAGTTTCTACTAAATGCATATTACTTTCACACATTCATAAAGTCAAAAAATTGTTACATTAGGGACCGTGTATATAGTAATAGAAAGCAAATCAATGATCACCAGCTGGCAAGGATAATTGGGGGAATCAATTGGCAGAGGCTCAAGGGAACATTGGGATGATTAAAAATGTTTTCATCTTTGTTGTGGAGATAGTTATGCATGTGTATAAGTTTGTCAAAGCATATTAGAGTATACACTAAAAATGGGTGTTTTTTCTCAGACGTAATTTATAACTCAATAAAGATGATGTTAAAATATTATAGAAGACATAGATTTTCCTTCAACAGTATAGAACAAATTAAAATTTTGGTAATAGGCTGTGTTAAAATACACTGGTATCTGAAATTCACAACTTTAAACAAAGGTAATTTCACAACATTTTCAAAAGCTGCAATGCATATATGCAGCTTCCACGGTAAATAATATATACTAGAGTTACACATTTCCACATTCAATATGATTTATGTACAATGCTATTCATTCCATAACTCTTTGTAATAGTAAAACAAGAATGAAATAGCTTAAATGCCTATGGATAAAAGATTATTTGGTTAAACAAATGAGGCAATATTCATTCAATGGAGTACCATCCTGCTACAAAAAAGAATGAGAATGTGCTTTATATGCTGAAGTGTAATAATATGTAAGATACACTATTAAACAAAAAGTAAGGTGCAGAAAAATTTTATAATATACTACTTTTGTGACTTAAAATTTGTTTACTGTTATGTGCTTGAAGTTCTGAGGGAGGATATACAGGAAACCTATCACACTGGGTGTTCTGAATGGGAAATTCTATTAATGGATACTACAAGTTGAGATAATTTTTAATATACATGGTTTTAAATTTTCTTCCTTCAAACCATTCAAAAAAGAATTAAACACAATATAAATTTTTAAAAATAAGAATATCATTGGTATAATAATAGATAAAATAGACAAAGAAATGGATTGATATTGAGAAACAGACTCATTTTTTTTCAAATTGAGGTCAGAGTAAAGGAGGCACTTCAAATCAGAAAGATAGAATTAGCCACTTCCTAAATGGCATTAGACAGCTGAAAACAATTAGACCTGAATTAATAAGCAACATTTTCATATCAAGTATCAGAAAAGCAAATTCAAACTGGTTTTAGCAAAGAAGGAATTTCTTGGCTTACTCAACGAATGTTTAGGGGAGTACTAGGTTCATATGTGGCTTGATGACAGTGCATACAATATTTCAAAGATCTGTATCTCTTAGTTATGCTCTGTTTTTTTCTGTGCATTGTCCTCATTCTCAAAGTCTTTCCCTGAGGCTTTGCAGCTCTAGATTGCACATTTTTTGTCTCCTCACATACTGTGAGTACTTCTATATTTATAAAATAAATTAATTTCATATGTCAATTGTAATTCACTGCATTAATAGAATAAAGAGATAAAATATGTAATTTTCACAATAGGGGCTAGAAAGGCATTTGATAAAAGGCAAGTCTTTTTTCATAAAATGTGTTAGCAAATTAAGAATACAAAGGGGCTATCTTTAACTTGGTAAAAGATATACTGTATAGCAAAACCTATAACAAACTTTGTACCTAATGGAAAAACTATTAATGCATTCCCTTTGAGACCCAGAATAAGACAAAAAGGTACACCAATACTGCTACTGTTAAAACACACTATTAGAAGTTTTGGCAAAGGCTATAAAGAAAAAACAAGAAATAAGAAAAGCATTAGAAGGTAAGATGTAAAACTGTCATAATTTGCAGGTAAAGTGAATATCTTCTTATGAGAGATTTGACTCTCTACAACAACAATAACCAAAGAGACAATAATTTTAAAAGAATAACATTGTCAATAGCAATGAAAATAATGCATTGTTTAGAAATAAATTTTATAAAATACAAAAGACCTCTATGGACAAAACTTTAAAACTCAAAATAACATGGAAGATGATCTGATTAATGGAGAAGCATTTCATGTTCTTGTTTTCTTTATTATAAAAAGTCATTATTCCTTAAATTAATGTAAATATTCAAGGAAACTACAACAAAAGAAGGAAACTTGTTCTACCAGATGTAAGATATTCTACAAAACTCAGTAATAAATATAATGTGCTATTGGTGCAATAACAGGTGAATGAACCAACGACTATTCCAAGGAGTCCAGAGACAGATCCATGTGTGTATGATAACTTTATATATAATAAAGGCAGCACTACAAATCAATGAGGAAACTTTTCAAGACCAAAAGTTGTCAAGAATTTAGTTCAATAGGAATTTTTATACCAGGACGAGGGTAAATTACTACAACCACTTTGGGATGTAATTTGAAATGAGCATTCTCATACACTGTAACAGATCAAGTTTTGCACAGGTGCCCTGAGAGTCTTGTATAAGTATGTTCATAGCAACACTGTTTATAATAGAAAGAACAAGGAAACAATTCAAATTGCCAGCAATCTAGAGAATAGATGGGAAAATCAAATGATTGATGTATAGCATAAAACTGTATACACAGCAAAAAAAAAAATGAAAGAACTGCAGGTATACTCAAAAATACAAAGAGTTTTAGCAACAATGTTTAATGAAAACAGCAAGTTCCAGAAAATCACATAAGGTGTGATATCATATTTATTATACCACAAAGCTAAAGGCATGTGAAACAACTGCATGTTGCTAAGAGGCATGTATATGTGTGTTTGTATGTGTGCATACGTGTGTGCATAGAAAATTGAATTATTTTAAACAATACTTTAAAAGAAAAAACAGTTCTTCTGCCTTACCTTGTACACTCCAGTGAAATCTCCTAGGCAGAGTTAGAGGTGCTTACAGCAAAATCCTTCTGCATTTATAGGAATGATGAATGCCCAGAAGATACAGAGGGGACACTGACAATGCCTGCTACACAAAGAAACATAAACATAAAATTCAAGCTAGTGATTACTTGTGGGGTTGCCGCAGGTGTATACAAGAGGTGAGAGCATTTAGTAAAGGAAATATTTGTGACTTTCTAGTTAGTGAATTTCAGCTGGCAAGGGTAAGTTTGTGTCATCAATTTTATTAATAATATGTTTCATAACATATATATTCTTTCAATACTTCATTAGAATCATAAAAAGAAAAATAAAACATTTTTCTTGCAAAGAAAAAGCAAGCAAAAAAAAAGAAAGAAGGTCCAATTAGGAAAGAATTATTCCCAGTTACAAAACAAAAAGCTGTTAATTGCAGCTCTGTTTTCTATAGAGTACAAATAAGAAAATGTTTGATTTTTCTTCAATAATTGCCTTGTTTACTTTTCCTTTTCTGTCTCTTAAGATATCTTGGGCAGAATGTATAGCTATGCATTCATTAATATTAAATATAATATATTAAAAACCTAGCTGATTCTGTCTCGTAGATAATTCGGTACTCACCTTTTCCCCATGGACAGTGCCTGCTAGATATCAAGTGAGAAGGACATGCTGTGGGGTGGACATTCCCATTCCTCTTATCCCCACAGTCCCTCTCCTTTTCCTTATAGCATCTCCAGAGTTGGAAAAGGAGAAAGGCAATAGAGGGAAGGGGTGAAAGTCTTACTAACTTGGGCTACTATAATCTACTCTTGGCTTATGTTGTCCTCTGCCTAAGTGGGTACCTTCTACTACTCTCTGAATCATTTGGGAAGCCTCATCAGAGGAGTCTAATCACCACTGCTCAATTCCCTGATGTGCAAGATGCATTGTCTCTCTAGCCTCTCATGCTCCCACTACCTTTGGTACTCCTCACATCTGGCTGCTGGTGTCCCTTCTGCTGGCAGTGTTCTTAAGAAGGGTGCCAACTTGGAGCACTGATATCTGGAAACTCAGATATCTGCCATCTCCATTTTACTTAGGAGATTTCCCTTTAGTTTATTGGCTTTAATCATCATAGCTAATTATTACAACAGTCCTGTAAGTACTTACTTTTAATGTCATTTTACAAATGAGGAAAGTGGTGTTCTAAGAAATTAAAGAAAGCTGAATTTAACTACTGAATGCTGGGGCAGAGCAGAACTGAAGCACTCTGACCTCAAAACCTGGAGCCAAATGATAATCAATAGGATGCTTGGAGGAAATGAAATCAGACAAATGGAGGTAATTTCATTCAGGCCATGTTCAGATGTGATGAATCATTCCTGTCTGCAACAGAAATCTTATTCATTTTCCTTGAGATTTACTGTTCACCTTCCCTGAACTGTGCTGGTTGTTAAATCACTAATCTATAAATGCCAGTACTTTGCCCTTTTGGCTTATTCTTTCTAAATTCCATACCCATTAACATTTTCTTTAGATACATTTGAAGACATCAGTTTGGCTACAGTTGTATCTGATTAGAAATTTGAGAACTTGTTCTCCTTAATTTTTTTCAATGTGGACATCTTTTTTAAAATTGGCAAGTAAAAAATATATATACTTATGGTATACAACATGATGTTTTGATATATCGTGGAATGGCTAAGTCAAGGCAAAATAATAGAATAATTAAAACAATTCTAAAAAAGATCAAAGTTAGAAGACTCAAACTGGTATCTAGATGATCTGATATCTAGACTCCTTAAAAAAGCTAAAGTTATGAAGAAATGAAAGAACATGGAGTATCTGATGAAAGGCTAGATACACGGATTAGTGGAACAAAATGAAGAGCTTAGAAATAGATTCACAAAACCTAGTCAACTGATTTTGGGGATAGATGCAAAAACTAAGTCAATAGAGAAAAATACTATGGTCTTTTCAACAAAAGGTGTTGGAACAATTGGATGTACATATAAAAAACAGTGAACCTGACCTAAATATCAAGCCAATACAAAAACTAACTCAAAATAGAATTATAGACATAATTGTAAAATATAAAACTATAAAATTCCTAGAAAAAACTGCATCTTGGGTTTTCCAAAGAGTTCTAAGATATGATACTAAAACATAATATTTAAAAATAATAGTGCCACAATAAACATAAGTGTACATGTGTCTTTGTTGTGCACATGTACCCTAGAAATTAAAGTATAATAAAAAATTTAAAAAAATAATAAATTAGACTTCATACAAATTAAAAACTTAAGACAATTTCTTCTAAAGTTAAACATACGCTTGCCATACAAATCTAGCATTCCCATATCGAGGTATTTATTCAAGTGAATTGAGATAATCTGTTTATGCAAAAATCTTTATTCATAATCACCAATAACTGGAAACAATCAAATTGTCCTCCAATTGTGAGTGGCTAAACTGTTATATCCACACAAAGAAGTTATTGAATATAGGCCTTGAGCTGGGGAAAACAAGGTGAGCCTGGAACATATTGTGATGTCAGAAAGGAAAGAAATACTCAAAAAAGGAAAAGAAATAAATAATAAATAAAAAGAATGAAAACGATGGAGGTAAGCCAACCAAAAATAACCTCTAATGGCCAAACCTGGAACAATTTGAGCAAGAAAATTAATAATGTAGGATTGAATTACAACTGAAAGTATAAAATAAATATTCATGAGTTCACATTGAAATAAATAAATGATTGAATGAATTAGTGAGAAGACACAATTAAAATTATTTCAAAATAAGCAGTCAAAAAATTCCAAGTGTAGCTACATGTGTCCCTTGGTTTGATAGTTTTAAAATGTTAAATCAATGCACAGCAAATACACAAAAAAATGCATAACTCGGCCGGGCGCGGTGGCTCACGCCTGCAATCCCAGCACTTTGGGAGGCCGAGGCGGGCGGATCACCTGAGGTCGGGAGTTCGAGACCAGCCTGACCAACATGGAGAAACCCCGTCTCTACTAAAAAATGCAAAAAATTAGCCAGGCGTGGTGGCGCATGCCTGTAATCCCAGCTACTCGGGAGGCTGAGGCAGGAGAATCACTTGAACCCGGGAGGCGGAGGTTGTGGTGAGCCGAGATTGCGCCATTGGACTCCAGCCTGGGCGATAAGAACGAAACTCTTGTCTCAAAAAAAAAAAAAAAATGCATAACTCATTTAAATTGTCTTTCCTTTCTTCAGATATACCTATGTTCTTTTGTTTCTTCTATTTTTTCCAAAGGAAATAAAATTTGTTTTTCCTTTGCTGTACAAAATGGTAGTTTATTTTTGAGATTCCAAATGTTCACTCTGCATTATTTTTACTCAATTTTTTCCTTTTAGTTATTTCTTCATAGCTTTATTAAGATGTGTTAGATGCAATACACTGCACTTATATTTTATATTGTACATGGCATTTAAATTTTTTAATTTTAAATTTTTGTTTATTATTTTTCACTTCCTTTCAGTTCTAGACCTGCAGAAAAATTTTTAATTTTTGACTGTTCTTTGCTAGTATATGAATCACAAGTAATTTTTATTTTATTTATTTATTTTTTTTTTGAGACAGAGTCTTGCTCTGTCACCCAGGCTGGAGTGCAGTGGCACGATCTCGGCTCACTGCAACCTCCACCTCCTGGGTTCAAGTGATTCTTCTGCCTCAGCCTCCTGAGCAGCTGGGACTGCAGGCGCACACCACCACACCCATGTATTTTTTGTGTTTTTGGTAGAGACGGAGTTTCACCATATTGGCCCAGCTGGTCTCGAACTCCTGACCCCATGATCCGCCCACCTCAGCCTCCCAAAGTGCTGGGATTACAGGTGTGAGCCACCGTGCCTGGCCAAGCACAAGTACTTTTTATATATTCACCTGGCATCCTGCAACCTTTATAAACTAATTTTTTTATTTCTTTTGTATACATGATCATGTTGTCTGTGCATCAAGACAGATTTACTTCCTTCATTATCATTTGGATGTATTTTATTTCTTTTATTGCCCTACCTCACAGGATAGATCCTCCAGAACAATGCTTAATAGGAATTATAAGAGCAGAAATCCTTACCTTCTTTAAGATCCTTGGAGAAAATTATTCACTCTTTAGCCAATATGCATGATATTATCTGTAGGGTTTTTTGTTTTTAAAGTCATCCTAGTTTTTTTGACAATCAGATGGGCTTTCATTCTTCTTTTCTGGGCTAGATAGATTGAAAGAGAATCTGGCCATTTTTTCACTGAAATGTTAAAGGTATTAAGTGTTTTTTTATTATTTTATTTTAGATTCAGGGTTATATGTATGGGTTTGTTGTATAGGTAAATTGCATGTCATGGGGGTTTGGTGTACAAATTATTTTGTCACCCAGGTAATAAGCATAGTATGTGATAGGCAGTTTTTTTATTCTCACTCTCCTTCCACCCTCCACCCTCAAGTAGGTGCTGGTGTCTGTTATTCCCTTCTTTGTGTTCATATGTCCTCAATGTTTAGCTTCCACTTATAAGTGAGAACATGCAATATTTGGTTTTCTGTTCCTGTGTTAGTTTGCTTAAGATAATGGCCTCCCACTCCATCCATATTGCTGCAAAGGACATGATCTCATTCTTTTTTATGGCTGAATAATAGTCCATGGTGTACCACAGTTTGTTTATCCAGTCTACTATGGATGGGCA
This sequence comes from Homo sapiens, assembly GCF_000001405.40. NCBI lineage: Eukaryota > Metazoa > Chordata > Mammalia > Primates > Hominidae > Homo > Homo sapiens. The sequence goes on from NC_000001.11 coordinate 98,579,491, forward strand.
TCTATGTTGATTCCATGTCTTTGCTATTGTAAATAGTGCTGTGATGAACATACACATGCATGTGTCCTTATGATAGAATGATTTCTATTCCTTTAGGTATAGACCCAATAATGGGATTGCTGGGTCAAATGGTAATTCTGTTTTAAGCTCTTTGAGAAATTACCAAACTGCTTTCCACAATGGCTGAACTAATCCATATTCCCACCAGTAGTGCATAAGCATTCCCGTTTCTTCACAGCCTAGCCAGCCAGCATCTGTTATTTTTTTCTTTTTTTGACTTATATTTTGACTTTTATTATTACAGCCATTCTGAGTGGTGTGAGATGGTATCTAATTGTGGTTTTGATTTGCATTTCTCTAATTATTAGTGATGTTGAGCATTTTTTCATATGCTTGTTGGCCACATAAATGTCTGTAGTAGTTTTGAAGATCTCTTTTATTTGGTTGAGAAAATTCCTTTCTATTCCTAGTTTGTTGAGTTTTTTTTCTTTCAGAAAAGAATGTTGGATTTTGTCAAATACCATTCAGCATCTATTCAGATAATCTTATTTATTATTATCATTGTCAGATGTGGCATGATCAATTACATTAATTTATTTATGCATATTAAATCAACCTTGTATTGCTGGAATACAATTCACTTGGTTATGACATATGTTTTAATTTGCTAAAAAAAATTTTTAACACTTTTGCAACGGTTTTTTCTTGTAATGTCTTTCCTGATTTGAATATCAGAATAATATTTGGCTCATAGAGTAAATTAGGAAGCATTTCCCTTTCTTCAATTTCTTAGAAAAACTATTATTTCTTCCTTAAATAATGGTAGAATTTTCCAGAGAAGCCAATTGGAACTAAATTTTTCTTCATGGGAAGATTTTTAATTATAAATTTATTTTCTTTAATAAATGTAGAGTGATTCCATTTATATACTTCTTCCTGAGTATAATTTGTCTACCTTGTCTAACTTACTGATTTAACATAAAAGTTTTCATAAAATGTTTTATAATTCTTTTAAAGCCTTAAGGATCTGTAGTTATGTTAACTCTTTTATTTTTGATATTGGCAATTCATGTCTTCTCAAATTTTTTTCTTGATTGGTCTACATCTGTTCAATTTGGTTTATCAATCTTATTGATCTTCTCAAAAAGAAAGCATTTGTTTCTGATTCCTACTTCACCGATTTTCCCTACAACCTTTATTATTTCCTTTCTTCTGCTCAATCTGAGTTTCATTTGTTCCTCTTTCTCTAGTTTCTTAAGGTGAAAGCTGAAGTCATTGATTTAGGTAGGACATATTTTCTTTTCTATTATAAATGTTTACTGGCATACATTTTCCCCTAAGCATTGCTTTTGCTTTATCCCACCAATTTTGGCATATTGTGTTTTAATTTTCTTTGAGATAAAAATTATTTCTAATCTTCTTTTCAATTTCTTCTTTGACTAATGCATAATTAAGAAGTGTGTTATATATTTTCTGTGATAGTTAATTTTAATTTTATGTTTCAGCTTGACTAGACTATGATGAACAGTTGCTCAGTTAAACATTAGTCTACATGTTGCTGTTAAGGTATTTCTAAGGTGCGATTAATGTTTAAAGTCAGTTGACTTGAAGTAAAGCAGATTACCTTCCATAATGTGAACCGGCCTTATCCAATCAGTTGAGGCCCTTAAGAAGAAAAACAGATTTGCAAAAGAAGGAATTCTGTCTCCAGAATTCAATACAGAAATTCTGCACAAGTTTGCAGTCTTCAGACTCAAAATACCTTGAGCTGACCTTGCATAAGAAGGGTTTAAACTGTATAGGTCTACTTATATGCAGATTTTTTTTCAATAAATGTATTGGAAAGTGTTTGGAGATTTGCAACAATTTCTTAAATTTTTGAATTTTTATATATTTAGGGGGTACAAGTGCAGATTTCTTACATGTACATATTGATCAGTAATGAAGTCTGAAGTTTTAGTGTAGTCATCACCCAAACAATGAATATTGTACTCAATAGGTAATTTATCAATCCTCATCTACCTCTCCCACCTTTTGGAGTCTGCATTGTCTATTATTCCACCCTGGAAGTCCATACACTCTTGTTTAGCTCACACTTTTAAGTAAGAAAATGTTGTATTTGACTTTCTGTTTCTGAGTTATTTCACTTAGAATAATGGCCTCCAGTGCCATTCATGTTGCTGCAAAAGACATAGTTTCATTCTCTTTTTTATGGCTGAGTAGTATTCCATGGTATTACATATAGTTATATATTTTATTATAAAATATTATATATTTTCTTTATCCAGTCATCCATTAATGGACACTTTAGGCTGATTCCATATTTTTGCTATTGTGAGTAGTCTTGTGATAAACATATGAGTGCAAGTATCTATTTGATATAATAATTTCTTTCTACTTGAGTATATACCCAGTAGTGGGATTGCTGGCTAGAATGGCCTTCTGTTTTTTATTTCTTTGGGAGATCTCCATACTGTTTTCTATAGAGGTTGTATTAATTTACATTACCACTAAAGGTGTATAGAATTTTCTTTTTATCATATCCTATCTAACATCTTTTGTTTTTTGACTTCTATTAATAATTACCATTCTGACTGGTGTAAGATGGCATGTCATTGTGGTTTAATTGTATTTCTCTGATTACTAGTGATGTTAGCTTTTTTTCATATGTTGGTTGGCCATTTGTATGTCTTCTTTTGAAAAATGTCTGTTTATATTTTTTGCCCACTTCCTTTTTTCTTTTCTTTTTTTTTTTTTTTTTTTTTTCTTTTTTGAGCCAAAGTCTCACTCTTGTTGCCCTGGCTGGAGTGCAATGGCGCGATCTCGGCTCACTGCAACCTCTGCCTCCCAGGTTCAAGCAATTCTCCTGCTTCAGCCTCCTGAGTAGCTGGGATTACAGGCACCCACCATGATACCCAACTAATTTTTGCATTTTTGTAGAGATGGGGTTTCACCATGTTGACCAGGCTGGTCTTGAACTCCCGACTTCAAGTGATCCATCTGCCTCGGCCTCCCAAAGTGATGGGATTACAGATGTGAGCCACCGAGCCTGGCCTTTTGCCCACTTCTGAATGGTCTGTTGTTGTTGAGTTGTTTGAGTTCCTTGTAGATTCTAGATACTAGCTCTTTGTTGAATGCATAGTTTCCAACATTTTTTCTCATTCTGGAGGTTATATGTTTACTCTGTTGATTGTTTCTTTTGCTGTGCAGAAGCTTTTTAGTTTAATTAAGTCCCCTTTGTCTATTTGTGTGTGTGTGTGTGTGTGTGTGTGTGTGTGTGTGTGTGTGTGAGAGTTTTCTTTTGAGGACTTGGTCATAAATTCTTTGCCTATGTCAATGTCCAGAAGAGTTTTTCCTAGGTTTTCTTCTGGGATTTTATATTTTCTGGTCTTACATTTATGTCTTTAATCCATCTTGAGTTAATTTTTGTATATGGTGACAGGTGTGGGTCCAGTTTCATTCCTCTGCATAAAACTATTCAATTTTCCCCAGCATCATTTATTTAATAGCATGCCCTTTCACCAGTGTATATTTTTGTTGACTGTCAAAGATCAGTTGATTGTAGGTATGTAGCTTTCAATCTGGGTTCTCTGTTCTATTCCATCTCTCTGTGTGTCTATATTTATTCCAGTACCATGTCGTTTTGGTTAATATAGCTTTGTAGTATAACTTGAAGCCAAGTAATGTGATGCCTCCACCTTTGTTCTTTTTGCTTAGGATTGCTTTGGCTATTCAGACTCTTTTTAGTTTCCATGTGAAGTTTAGGATTGTTTTTTCTAATTTTGTGAAAAGTGATGTTGACATTTCAATAGGGATTGGGTTGAATCTCTAGGTTTCTTTAGGAAGTATGTTCATTTTAATTATATTGATTCTTCCAATCCATTAACATGGAATTTTTTCCCCATTTGTCTGTGTTATTGATGATTTCTTTCATCAGTGTTTTGTAGTTTTCCTTATGCAAATCTTTCACCTCCTTGGTTAGATATATTCCTAGGTTTTTTTTAGGTAGAGATTTGCAACAGTTTAAAAGAACTTGCAGATGAACTGCATAGCATAGAAATATAAAAAATTAACATAAAGTCAGATACATCATGAATGCAAAAATATATGCAGATCCTAGTCTATTTTATAATTTACTACCATAAAATATACATAAATCTATCATAAAAAGTTTAAATGTATTAAAACCAATGCACTCAAACATATACAGAAGTGCCATTCCCAGTTGAGAGAAATGTAAAACAAACATAATGATGCTAAACTAGAAAACCTAGAAGAAATAGTCAAATTCTTGGGCATATACATACTCACAAGAGTGAACCAGGAAGGAAATGAATCCCTGAAGAGACCCATAATGAGTTCTGAAATTGAGGCAGTAATAAATAGCCTACCAACCAAAAAAAGCATGGAGCAAACAGACTTACAGCTGAATTCTACCAGAGTATAAAGAGAAGGTGGTACCATTTCTTCTGAAACTATTCCAAACAATTGAAAAGGAGGAACTCCTCCATAACTCATTTTATGAGGCCATCATCATCCTGATACCAAAACCTGGCAGAGACACAACAAAAAAAGAAAAACTCAGGCCAAAATCCTTGATAAACATCAACGCAAAAGTCCTCAATAAAATACTGGCTAACCAAATCCAGCAGCACATCAAAATGCTTATCCATCATGGTCAAGTTGGCTTCATCCCTGGGATGCAAGGTTGGCTCAACATACGGCAATCAAAAAAAGCAATTCATCACATAAACACAACTAAAGACAAAAACCCCAAGATTACCTCAATAGAGGCAGAAAATGCCTTCAATAAAACTCAATATCGCTTCATGTTAAAAACTCTTAATAAACTAGGTATTGAAGGAACATACATCAAAATACTATGAGCCATATAAGACAAACCCAGAGCCAATATCATACTGAATGGGCAAAAGCTGGAAGCATTCCTCTTGAAAACCAACGCAAGACAGGAATGCCTTCTCTCACCACTCCTATTCAAAATATTATTGGATGTTTTGACCAGGGCAATCAGGCAAGAGAAAGAAATAAAGCCTATTCAAATAGGAGAGAGGAAGTCAAATTATCTTTGTTTGCAGATGACATGATTCTATATCTAGAAAATGCCATCATCTAAGTCCAAAAGCTTCTTAAAGTGATAAACAAGTTCAGTAAAGTCTTACAACACAAAATCAATGTGCAAAAATCGCTAAGATTCCTATACACCAACAGCAGGCATGCAGAGAGCCAAATAATGAGTGAACTCCCATTCACAATTACTACAAAGAAAATAAAATACCTAGGAATACAGCTAACAAGGTAAGTGAAGGACCTCTTCAAGGAGAACTACAAACCACTGCTCAAGGAAATCAGAGAGGACACAAACAAATAGAAAAACATTCCATGCTCATTGACAGCAAGAATCAATATCATGAAAATGGCCATACTGCCCAAAGTAATTTATAGATTAAATGCTATTCCCACTAAATTACCATTGACATTCTTCACAGAATTGAAAAAATTACTTTGAAATTCATATGGAAACAAAAAAGAGCCCATATAGCCAAGACAATCCTAAGCAAAATGAACAAAGCTGGAGGCATCACACTACCCAACTTCAAACTATACTACAAGGCTACAGTAACCAAAACACCATGGTACTGGTACAAATGCAGACACATAGACCAATGGAACAGAATAGAGAACTCAGAAATAAGATCGCACACCTACAACCATCAAGAGATGGGGAAAGGATTCTCTATTTAATAAATGATGCTGGGAGAACTGACTAGTCATATGCAGAAAACTGAAAGTGGACTCCTTCCTTATATATTACACAAAAATTAACTCAAAATGAATTAAAGATTTAAATGTAAAACTCCAAACAATAAGAACCCCAGAAGAAAATCTAGGCAATACCATTCAGGCCATAGGCCTGGGCAAAGATTTCATGATGAAAACACCAAATGCAATTGCAACAAAAGAACAAATCAACAAATTGGATCTAATTAAACTAAAGAGCTTCTGCACAGCAAAATAAAATATTATCAGAGTGAACAGGCAATCTACAGAATGGGAGAAAATTTTTTCAATCTATCCATCTCACAAAAGTCTAATATCCAGAATGCACAAAGAACTTAAACAAACTTACAAGAAAAAAAAAAAACATTAAAAAGTGGGCAAAGGAGATGAACAGACACTTCTTAAAAGAAGACATTCATGCAGCCAGCAAACATGAAAAAAACTCAATATCACTGATTATTAGAGAAATGCAAATCAAAACCATAATGAGATACCATCTCATGCCAGTCGGAATGGTGATTATTAAAAAATCAAGAAACAACAGATGCTGGCGAGGTTGTGAAGAAAAAAGTATTTTTACACTGTTGGTGAGAATCTAAATTAGTTTAACTATTGTGAAAAACCGTGTGGTGATTCTTCAAATATCTAGAAGCAGAAATACCATTTGACGCAGGAATTCCATTGCTGGGTATATACCCAAAGGAATGTAAATCATTCTATTATAAAGATACATACACACGTATGTTCACTGCAGCACTATTCACAAAAGCAAAGACATGGAATCAACCTAAATGTCCATCAACGATAGACTGAATAAAGAAAATATGGCACATATGGCTGGGCGCAGTGGCTCACGCCTGTAATCCCAGCACTTTGGGAGGCCAAGGTGGGCGGATCACAAGGTCAGGAGTTCGAGACCAGCCTAGCCATTATGGTGAAACCCCATCTCTGCCAAAAAAAAAAAAAAAAATTAGCCGAGCATGGTGGCGGGCACCTGTAATCCCAGCTACTCAGGAGGGTGAGGCAGGAGAATTGCTTGAATCCAGTAGGCGGAGGTTGCAGTGAGCTGAGATTGCACCACTGCACTCCAGCCTGGGTGACAGAGTGAGACTCCATCTTAAAAAAAAAAAAAAAAAGAAAGAAAACATGGTACATACACATCATGGAATACTGTTCAGCCATTAAAATGAATGAGATCATGTTTTTTGTTAGGACATGGATGTAGCTGGAAGCTGTTATCCTCCAACCTAATGCAGGAACAGAAAACCAAACACTGCATGTTCTCACTTATGAGTAGGAGCTCAACAATGAAAATACACGGTCACATTGGAGGGAATTACACACACAGGGGCATGTTGCTGAGGTGCGGTGAAGGAGAGCAACAGGAATAACAGCTAATGGATGCTGGGCTTAATTCCTGGGTGATGGGTTGATCGGTGCAGCAAACCACCATGGCACACATTTGCCTATGTAACAAACCCGCACATCCTGTGTATGTACCCTGAAACTTAAAATAAGTTGATGAAAAAAATATATTATGATTCAGTATTAAATTATAACTGCATAAAATTAACTGTAGTACATACTGTAATACCATAATAATTTTGTAGCCACCTCCTGTTGCTATGGCAGTGAGTTCAAATGTTGAACGTATCCACTTTAAAATGCCATATGACTCTAATCTTCTCCATATAAGCAGTTTGTCTCTCTAGTAAATTACGTATCACAGTAAAAAGTGATCGCTCACAGTTCTTATTTATTTTTCACTGTGTTAGTTCAATACCATAAACCTTGAATAATACTAGAGAACTCAAATGAAATGCCACTGGTAGAGCTGGAACTGCTCCCAAGAAGCAGACAAAAGTTATGACATTACAAGAAAAAGTTGAACTGTTTGATAAGTACTACAGATTAAGGTCTACTGCTACAGTTGCCTACTATTTCAATATAAATAAAACCAGCATAAGACAATATTTAAAAAAGAAAAAAAAATTAATAAAGCTGTTGCTGCAGCTACATCACCAGGTATGAATCCTTGCATTTTTTTTTTAGTTTTGTAAAATAACTTTTTATATCATGTAGAAAATGCAGCGCTCATGTGAGTACAGGATTTTCCTAAGAAAGTCATATCTATAGACTCTTAATATGATCTGAGGAAAAGTGAAGTTACTATATGGCAACTTAAAGCAAAAGGAAGATGAAAGATATAAAGCTGGAAAATTCAGTGTCAGCAAAGGACAGTTTGATGATTTTAGAAGGACATTTGACCTAAAAAATCTCAAGAAGCTGGCTGTGGTGGCTCACGCCTGTAATCCCAGCACTTTGGGAGGTTGAAACTGGAGGACTGCTTGATTTCAGGAGTTTAAGAACAGCCTATACAACATAATGAGATTGCATATCTACTAAAAATATAAATTAAAAAAAAGTAGCTGGGTGTGATAGTGCATACCTGTAGTCCCAGCTACTCAGGAGGCTGAGATGGGAGGCATTCCTTGAGCCTGGGAGATTGAGGCTGCAGTGAGCTATAATTGCACCACTGCACTTCAGCCTGGGCAACAGGATGAGACCCCCCCGCCTCTAAAAAAAAAAAAAAAAAAAAAGTAAAGGTAACAAGAGAACCAGCTTCTGCCAACCAAGAAGCAGTAGATGAGTTCCTAGATACTATTAAGAAAAATACTGAGAGGAAAGGATATCTGACTAAACAGGTTTTTAGTGTAGACGAAGGTGCCCTATGAGAGGCCACAGAGGATATTTATTAATAAGGGAGAGGAGCGAGTACCAGGACTTAAGGCAGGAGAGGATAAGCTAACTCTCCTATTTTGTGCAAATTTAGTTGGGTTTATGACCAAGTCTACCCTCACCTATAAATCTACTAGCCCGCAGGCCTTGAAAAGAAAAGATAGACACCAGTGCTGTTTCAACAACAAGAAGGCCTGAACACTTTTTCTTAAAAAAAATAAATAAATAAATTAAAAGTGTTTGAAGATAAGTTGTCCCTCTGTCACCCAGACTGGAGTGCATTGACACGATCATAGCATCATAGCTCACGGTAACCTTATACTCCTTGGTTCAAGTGATCCTCTTGCCTCAGCCTCCTAATGAGCTAGGACCACAAGCACACACTACTATGCCTAGTTAACATTTTTTTTTGTAGAGATGGGATCTTGATATGTTGCTCAGACTGACCTCAAACTCCCAGCCTCAAGCAATCCTCCCACCTTGACCTCTCAAAGCACTAAGATTACAAGCTTGATCCACTACGCCCAGCTATGAACACGTTTTCTGCATTGGTTTCATGATGGTTTGTCCCTGACATTGGGAAGCCCCTTAGCAACAAAGGCCTGTTTTTGAAAATTCTTTTGCGATTATTTGCAAGATGGCCGAATAGGAACAGCTCCAGTCTACAGCTCCCAGTGTGAGTGACGCAGAAGACGGGTGATTTCTGCATTTCCATCTGAGGTACCGGGTTCATCTCACTAGGGAGTGCCAGACAGTGGGCGCAGGTCAGTGGGTGCACGCACCGTGTGTGAGCCGAAGCAGGGCGAGGCATTGCCTCACTTGGGAAGCGCAAGGGGTCAGGGAGTTCCCTTTCCGAGTCAAAGAAAGGGGTGATGGACGCACCTGGAAAATCGGGTCACTCCCACCCAAATACTGCGCTTTTCCGACGGGCTTAAAAAACGGCGCACCACGAGATTATATCCCGCACCTGGCTCGGAGGGTCCTACCCCCATGGAGTCTTGCTGATTGCTGGCACAGCAGTCTGATATCAAACTGCAAGGTGGCAGCCAGGCTGGGGGAGGGGCGCCCGCCATTGCCCAGGCTTGCTTAGGTAAACAAAGCAGCTGGGAAGCTCCAACTGGGTGGAGTCCACCACAGCTCAAGGAGGCCTGCCTGCCACTGTAGGCTCCACCTCCGGGGGCAGGGCACAGACAAACAAAAAGACAGCAGTAACCTCTGCAGACTTAAATGTCCCTGTCTGACAGTTTGAAGAGAGCAGTGGTTCTCCCAGCATGCAGCTGGAGATCTGGGAACCAGCAGACTGCCTCCTCAAGTGGGTCCCTGACCCCTGACCCCCGAGCAGCCTAACTGGGAGGCACCCCCAGCAGGGGCACACTGACACCTCACACGGCAGGGTATTCCAACAGACCTGCAGCTGAGGGTCCTGTCTGTTAGAAGGAAAACTAACAAACAGAAAGGACATCCACACCAAAAACCCATCTGTACATCACCATCATCAAAGACCAAAAGTAGATAAAACCACAAAGATAGGGAAAAAACAGAGCAGAAAAACTAGAAACTCTAAAAAGCAGAGCACCTCTCCTCCTCCAAAGGAACGCAGTTCCTCACCAGCAACAGAACAAAGCTGGATGGAGAATGACTTTGACGAGCTGAGTGAAGAAGGCTTCAGACGATCAAATTACTCTGAGCTATGGGAAGACATTCAAACCAAAGGCCAAGAAGTTGAAAACTTTGAAAAAAATTTAGAAGAATGTAAAACTAGAATAACCAATACAGAGAAGTGCTTAAAGGAGCTGATGGAGCTGAAAACCAAGACTCGAGAACTACGTGAAGAATGCAGAAGCCTCAGGAGCCAATGCGATCAACTGGAAGAAAGGGTATCAGCAATGGAAGATGAAATGAATGAAATGAAGCAAGAAGGGAAGTTTAGAGAAAAAAGAATAAAAAGAAATGAGCAAAGCCTCCAAGAAATATGGGACTATGTGAAAAGACCAAATCTACGTCTCATTGGTGTACCTGAAAGTGATGGGGAGAATGGAACCAAGTTGGAAAACACTCTGCAGGATATTATCCAGGAGAACTTCCCCAATCTAGCAAGGCAGGCCAACGTTCAGATTCAGGAAATACACAGAATGCCACAAAGATACTCCTTGAGAAGAGCAACTCCAAGACACATAATTGTCAGATTCACCAAAGTTGAAATGAAGGAAAAAATGTTAAGGGCAGCCAGAGAGAAAGGTCGGGTTACCCTCAAAGGGAAGCCCATCAGACTAACAGCAGATCTCTCGTCAGAAACCCTACAAGCCAGAAGAGAGTGGGGGCCAATATTCAACATTCTTAAAGAAAAGAATTTTCAACCCAGAATTTCATATCCAGCCAAACTAAGCTTCATAAGCGAAGGAGAAATAAAATACTTTATAGACAAGCAAATGCTGAGAGATTTTGTCACCACCAGGCCTGCCCTAAAAGAGCTCCTGAAGGAAGCACTAAACATGGAAAGGAACAACCGGTACCAGCCGCTGCAAAATCATGCCAAAATGTAAAGACCATTGAGACTAGGAAGAAACTGCATGAACTAACGAGCAAAATAACCAGCTAACATCATAATGACAGGATCAAATTCACACATAACAATATTAACTTTAAATGTAAATGGACTAAATGCTCCAATTAAAAGACACAGACTGGCAAATTGGATAAGAGTCAAGACCCATCAGTGTGCTGTATTCAGGAAACCCATCTCACGTGCAGAGACACACATAGGCTCAAAATAAAAGGATGGAGGAAGATCTACCAAGCAAATGGAAAACAAAAAAAGGCAGGGGTTGCAATCCTAGTCTCTGATAAAACAGACTTTAAACCAACAAAGATCAAAAGAGACAAAGAAGGCCATTACATAATGGTAAAGGGATCAATTCAACAAGAAGAGCTAACTAACCTAAATATATATGCACCCAACACAGGAGCAACCAGATTCATAAAGCAAGTCCTGAGTGACCTACAAAGAGACTTAGACTCCCATACATTAATAATGGGAGACTTTAACACCCCACTGTCAACATTAGACAGATCAACGAGACAGAAAGTCAACAAGGATACCCAGGAATTGAACTCAGCTCTGCATCAAGCGGACCTAATAGACATCTACAGAACTCTCCACCCCAGATCAACAGAATATACATTTTTTTCAGCACCACACCACACCTATTCCAAAATTGACCACATAGTTGGAAGTAAAGCTCTCCTCAGCAAATGTAAAAGAACAGAGATTATAACAAACTATCTCTCAGACCACAGTGCAATCAAACTAGAACTCAGGATTAAGAATCTCACTCAAAACCGCTCAACTACATGGAAACTGAACAACCTGCTCCTGAATGACTACTGGGTACATAACAAAATGAAGGCAGAAATAAAGATGTTCTTTGAAACCAACGAGAACAAAGACACAACATACCAGAATCTCTGGGACGCATTCAAAGCAGTGTGTAGAGGGAAATTTATAGCACTAAATGCCCACAAGAGAAAGCAGGAAAGATCCAAAATTGACACCCTAACATCACAATTAAAAGAACTAGAAAAGCAAGAGCAAACACATTCAAACACAAGCAGAAGGCAAGAAATAACTAAAATCAGAGCAGAACTGAAGGAAATAGAGACACAAAAAACCCTTCAAAAAATTAATGAATCCAGGAGCTGGTTTTTTGAAAGGATCAACAAAATAGATAGACCGCTAGCAAGACTAATAAAGAAAAAAAGAGAGAAGAATCAAATAGACGCAATAAAAAATGATAAAGGGGATATCACCACCGATCCCACAGAAATACAAACTACCATCAGAGAATACTACAAACACCTCTACGCAAAAAAACTAGAAAATCTAGAAGAAATGGATAAATTCCTCGACACATACACTCTCCCAAGACTAAACCAGGAAGAAGTTGAATCTCTGAATAGACCAATAACAGGATCTGAAATTGAGGCAATAATCAATAGCTTACCAACCAATTAAACTAAAGAGCTTCTGCACAGCAAAAGAAACTACCATCAGAGTGAACAGGCAACCTACAAAATGGGAGAAAATTTTCGCAACCTACTCATCTGACAAAGGGCTAATATCCAGAATCTACAATGAACTCCAACACATTTACAAGAAAAAAAACAAACAACCCCATCAAAAAGTGGGTGAAGGACATGAACAGGCACTTCTCAAAAGAAGACATCTATGCAGCCAAAAAACACATGAAAAAATGCTCATCATCACTGGCCATCAGAGAAATGCAAATCAAAACCACAATGAGATACCATCTCACACGAGTTAGAATAGCAATCATTAAAAAGTCAGGAAACAACAGTTGCTGGAGAGGATGTGGAGAAATAGGAACACTTTTACGCTGTTGGTGGGACTGTAAACTAGTTCAACCATTGTGGAAGTCAGTGTGGTGATTCCTCAGGGATCTAGAACTAGAAATACCATTTGACCCAGCCATCCCATTACTTGGTATATACCCAAAGGACTATAAATCATGCTGCTATAAAGACACATACACACGTATGTTTATTGTGGCATTATTCACAATAGCAAAGACTTGGAACCAACCCAAATGTCCAACAATGATAGACTGGATTAAGAAAATGTGGCACATATACACCATGGAATACTATGCAGCCATAAAAAATGATGAGTTCACATCCTTTGTAGGGACATGGATGAAATTGGAAATCATCATTCTCAGTAAACTATTGCAAGAACAAAAAACCAAACACCACATATTATCACTCATAGGTGGGAATTGAACAATGAGATCACATGGACACAGGAAGGGGAATATCACACTCTGGGACTGTTGTGGGGTGGGGGGAGGGGGGAGGGATAGCATTGGGAGATATACCTAATGCTAGATGACAAGTTAGTGGGTGCAGCGCACCAGCATGGCACATGTATACATATATAACTAACCTGCACAATGTGCACATGTACCCTAAAACTTAAAGTATAATAAAAAAAATTAAAAAAAAAAAGAAAATTATTTTGCTATTGAACAATGTCTCTGCTCATTCAGAACCTCATGAGTTCAGCACTGAAGGGATAAAAGTGGTCTATTTGTCCCTAAACACAACATATCTAATTTGGCCTCTAGCTCAAGGGGTCATAAAAACTTTTAAGACTCATTACATATGGTACTTTATGGAAAAAAATTGTCAACATCATGAGAGAATCCCAATGGAGAGAACATCATGAAAGTCTGGAAAAATTACACCACTGAAGATTTTGTCGTTGTTATAGAAAAAGCCAGGAAAGCCATCAAACCCAAAACAATAAATTCCCACTGGGGAAAACTGTGTTTAGATATTGTCCATGACTTCACAAGATTTATGACACAGCCAATCAAGGAAATCATGAAAAAGTTTGTGGATACGGCAAAAAGGGTGAGGGGTGAAAAGTTTCAAGATATGGATCTTGGAGAAATTCAAGAGCTAACACACACCACAGCAAAGGAATTAGAAGAATTAACAAGATAATTTCATGGAAATGAGCATTTCCAAACCAGTGCCAGACAATGAGGAAGAAGATAGAAACGGAGCAGTGCCAGAAAAATTGACATCAGGCAATCTGGCAGGAGGGCTCTGATTATCCAAGACTGCTTTTGACTTATTTTACAAAATGAACCCTTCTATGATACAGGCACTTAAACTAAAACAAACTGGAAGAAAGATTGGTACCATATAGAAACATTTTTACAGAAATGAAAAAGCAAAAAGTCGACAGAAATCAGTGCCTTTTGTAAAGTTACACCAAGTTCGTTTGCTTTCCACGCCTCCCATTCCACCTCCTCCACCTCTTTCACTGCTGCCACCCCTGAGACCACAAGACCAATCGCTCCTCTTCCTCCTCTACAATCTACTCAATGGGAAGACCATGTGGATGAAGATCTTTACGAAGATCCTGTTCTGCTTATTGAATATTACATATATTTTCTCTTTCTCATGATCTTCTTAACATTTTATTTTCTGTAGCTTACTTTATTGTAAAAACATGGTATATGAAGCATATAACACACAAAACATGTGTTAATCGATTGTTATCGGTGAGGCTTCTGGTAAACAGCAAGTTATTACTGGTTAAGTTTTTGTGGAGTTAAAAGTTATATGCAGATTTTTACCTGCATAGAGTGTCTGCACCCTTAACCCCTATGTTGTTCAAGGGTCAGCTGTATATATCTTATTGGTTCTGTGTCTCTGAAGAATCTTGAATAAAACAGTTTCCAAATATTTGGAAATATTCCAGAGGCCTTTTTATTTTTTAATTTCTAATTTTTCCATTGTAGTCAGACAACATACTTTGTATAATTTGAATACTTTTAAGTTTAGGGAGAATTATTTTATTACCCAGAATATGGCCTATCTTGGTAAATGTTGTGTGTACTTAAAAATAATGTGTATTCTGTTATTGCTGGGTAGAATGTTCCAAAAATGCCTTTTAGGTAACCTTGATTGGTATTGTTGTTTAAGTTTCTATACCCTTACTTATTTAGTATTTTATTATACAGAATATTTGCTTTATCCGCTTTTGCAAAAGGAACACTGAAATGTGCCACTATTCTAGTGGATTTGTCTATTTTTCCTGTACTTAGTTTTTGCTCCATTATTTTTAAATTCTGTTAATAGGTTCATAATGTTTAAGAATGTTATGTCCTATATATTTTTTCTCTTTTAATTTTAACTTTAATTTTTCATTTTTGTGGGTACATAGTAGGTGTATATATATTTATGGGTCACATAAGAAATTTTGATACAGGCATGCAATGCTTAACAATCACATCAGGGTAAATGGGGAAGCCATACCTCAAGCATTTACCCTTTGTGTTACAAACAATCCAATAATAATCTTTTAGTTATTTAAAAATGTACAATTAAATTATTTTTGACTATAGTTACCCTGTTGTACTAACAAATACTAGGTCTTATTCATTCTTTGTATTTTTTTTGGTACCCATTAAGCCATCCTCATCTCCCCTCCACGCCCCAACTACCCTTCCCAGACTCCGATAACCATCCTTCTACTGTATCTCTGTGAGTTCAATTGTCTTAATTTTTACCTCCCACAAATAAGTGAGAACACAGGAAGTTTGTCTTTCTGTTCCTGGCTCATTTCACTTAACATAATAACCTCCAGTTTCATTTATGTTTGCGAATGACAGGATCTCATTTTTTTTATGTCTGAATAGTACTTCATTGTATATATGTACCACATTTTATTCATCCCTTCATCTATTGATGGACACAGGTTGCTTCCAAATCTTGGCTATTGTGAATAGTGCTGTGATAATCATGTAAGTTCAGATACCTCTTTGATATACTGACTTCCTTTATTTTGGGTAGATACCTAGCAGTGTGATTGCTGGATCATATGGTTGTGCCATTTTTAGGTGTTTTTTGTTGTTGTTGTTATTTGTTGGTTTGTTTTTGCTGTTTGTTTTTTGGAGACAGAGTCTTGCTTTGTCATCCAGGCTGTAGTTCAGCAGCACAATCCCGGCTTCCTGCAACCTCCACCTCCTGGGTTCAAGTGATTCTCGTGCTTCGGCCTCCCAAGTAGCTGGCACTACAGGTCTGTGCCACCATGCCCGGCTAATTTTTTGTATTTTTAATAGAGACGGTGTTTTGCCATGTTGGCCAGGCTGGTCTCGAACTCCTGAGCTCAGGCAGTCCTCCCTCCTTGGCCACCCAAAGTTCTAGGATTACAGGTGTAAGCCACCACATCTGGCCTATTTTTAGTTTTTTGAGGAACCTCCAAATTGTTCTCCATAGTGGTTGTACTAATTTATATTCCCACCAACTGTGTACAAGGGTTGCCTTTTCTCCACATTCTTGACAGCATTTGCTATTGACTATTTTTTTTTTTTTGGATAAAAGCCATTTTAGCTGTGGTGAGATGATATCTCATTGTATATTTGATTTGCATTTCTCTAATGATCAATGATGATGAGCACATTTTTATATGCTTGTTTCTCATTTCTATGTCTTCTTTTGAGAAATGCCTATTCAAATCTTTTGCCCATTTTTAATTAGATTATTACATTTTTTTCCTATAAAGTTGTTTGAGCTCCTTACATATCTGGTTATTAATCCCTTGTCAGATGGGGAGTTTGCAAATATTTTCTCCCATTCTGTGAGTTTTCCCCCTCTAGCCTGTGTGCTGTTTTCAAACATTTACTTCTACACATTATAAACTTCAGCACCCAAATAACTCTTATTCTTCATGTGCTGCTGCTTGTCTACTTGTAGCTGATTTACATAGTAGGATACTGTACTGATGCGGAAACCTTCCCCTGCTCTTTAGAAAGAAAAAGATAACCTCCCCTTGCATATACTTAGAGACACCCAGGTAGAAGAGGACAAACTACAATCTCTCAATGCCTTTACTAAATTGTTTTCTATTGTAAAATAACTATTTTTAACTTTAGGTCTGTTTTGCCAAATTCAGTTGAGATTGTTTTATTTTGATGGTTTCACGCAATAATTGCACTAGGATCTATTGCTCCTACAGGGAAAAAACAAACAAACCACACTTGTCATTGTATATGTTAACATTGATAACTAATGAATGATCATTATTTATAAGCACATAAAATCTTTATAATTCGATATTGAATTTCTACTTTGTGTAACATTTACCATGTCCACTATTTTGTATCTTTGTATAATGCATTCAATATTTGTTAAAATTGCAGGCACATTAGTCTCTTGGTATAGACTCTTGATAAATTGGCTGATGGCTTCTGAAAAATGAATATAGTTACTGACAAGTATATGGCAACTTCTCAAGTAATGAATCATTGGACCCATTAATTATCATATGAGAAGACAATGAAATATATGAATAAGTAAATAAATCATTTCAATATTTTGGTAACTATTAAGATCTAACTGAATGGTAGCTGCTGTATCATGTTGAGCATTTTAACAAGGAAATTACAACTTATTATACAAAACTATAAAATCTTATTGAAAAATGTATAATATAACCTGAATAAATGCTGAAACATTGCATGTTTCACTATCATTTGACCTAATACCCTTAAAACATCAATCCTTTACAAATTCATGTGTGTATATATATATTTGTATATTTAATAGAATGAAACTGCATTTGATGCAATCATCAGCAGAATTTTTTGAACTGTACAAAATTATTCTAAAGTTCACAGGAAAGAGTAAATGCATTTGAATTTTCAAGGAATTGTCTTATTTAAAAAGAATTAAGTAGATCTATACATTATGAGATATTTAAACAATCAATTTATACTTACATACATATGTATATATATGAATATATATTCACTATATTTCTCATATAAAATACATGTATATTTGGGTACATCTGTATGTACTCAAAACCTTGGAAAGGGTATAGAACGAATTATCACTAGAAGTTGCATATGGATAATAAATCTATATGGGAAAAGTGAGTGAGATATTTATATTATTACTTTGCACAATTATTTTAAAAAGCTTCTTGGGATTACAGTAACTTGGTTGCCCAGACTGATGGCATAATCAAAGAAACAGCTAGCAAAATATACTTTGAAAATATCTTTTTTCCTTATTTGCCTTTCTTAAAAACTTTGGAGGGAAAACATAGATCAAAGTCATGCTCTTTAAAATTTATTTTGCTCCACTTCCTCACATGCAAATGTTTCTGTGTTTCTATCTTTGAAATCTAACCTATATTCAAAAATCTTGCTCTTTTTTCTTAAACCTCTCTCCTACACCAAAATTCTCCATAATCAAACCCTGAAGAACCAATCAGATCCTAAAGAACAGTGTAGTATATTTAATACTATTTCCAAAATATTTCTTCCTTACCCCAACGATGTCATGGGAGGTATACATTTCCCTAACACGTTGAAGTTGTGTTTCCATGTGTCTTGTTTTGGCCAATGGAATGTGTCATGTGTCTAGGCTTACAGAGGCATCACCATGTTTTTACTTGTCCCTCTGAGTACTTCTATGCTTGACCTTAATAAGAGCGTGCCTGCAATAACTGCTGCCCTTCAGTCTGTGCCCCAGCCGACCCACAGACCTACTATGTGGCAGGCCTTTTCCTAATGGCTTTACGTGAGTTAAGCAAATTCTATCTTCAAAACAAGTCTTTGGGTTAGATAAAATTATTCCCTCTATTTTACAAGTGAGGAAATTGAAGAAAAAAGAACTTAAGTAAATTACCTAAGTTTATAGCAACAGAGGAGATTTTAAAATACTTTAGCTTCAGATACTGTTCTTTGACTACATATTAAAAATAATGCCTTCTGCTATAGACTGAATATTTGTGCCCCTCTAAAACCTATATGTTGAAACCTAATCTCTAATATGATAGTACGAGGAGATAGAGCCTTTGGGAAGTAATTAGGAGAGCAGCACCCTAGAGAATGGGATTAGTACCCTTATAAAAGAGACTTCCTTTCCCTTTCTACCATATGAAGACATAGTGAGAAGATTGCTGTCTATGAACCATGCAGCAGGCCCTCACCAGACACTAATTCTGCCAGCCTCTTAATCTTGGATTCCAGCCTCTAGAACTATGAGAAATAAAAGGTTTTGATGTGTATAAGTCATCCAAGCTATGATATTTTATTATAGCAGTCCTAACTGAATAAGACACCTTAGTTTTACAAAATGTCACAAAAATATCATTCTGTATTTTATTCTAAAAAGTTCTAAAGTTTTATCTTTCAATTTCATACCTTTCATCCAAGAAAAATTTGTTTTTGTAAATTTTTTTGTAAAAAGCTTTTTGTTTTCATAAATTTGTTTTTGAAGTGAAGTAAAATTCTCTTTTAACATAGAATACCAATTAAAAACTTCCTCAGTACCTGGTACATACGTTTTATATGGAAGGCAATCAAACACATTTCTGTAGAATTAAAATAATTTTGCTTTTGGTGTTTGAATTTTCTTTATTTCAGGACAATCATTTATAATTTAAATCAGAGCACATTAGGAACTGTCCACTCCTGATTCTTCATGGCACCATTGCCCTGGTAGGTATTCACATGGGCGAGTAAATGGGTGTTAAAAGTTTAATATAAAAAAGAAAAACATTTACATCTGATGCAGGAACATTTTTTGGTTTACCATCTGAAAGCTACCAAGTAATCTTCATCCTCAAATTCATATATAAACTAGACAACAGAAATTTTATTTCCATATGACTAATTCCAACAAAGAGACCAATAAGCAAGTTTATTCATAAGTTATTATTGAAGATCATTAAGAGCTTGGAATGAAGAAGAAGAAAGAGAGTAAAAAAACGCTAACATGATTAGTGTACTTTATAGAACCTCCTTATTAAAAGTTTATACTTACATTATTTATTTTTAGATGACAATACAAAAGACAGAAAGGTATGATATATAAAGACTGGTGTGAATTCATCTGTCACTAAGCCTTAAAAGTACATTAAACTAAAACTATATTATAATATGACAAAAATAATGGATTTTTGCATTTTATCATTACTAACTTTTTAAAAGTAAAAAGATGAATTAAAATAGAATTTAGGTTATTTTTTAAAAACCTCATTTTATTAGGTGTTTATATATAACATATCAGTGATTTATATTGTATGTGCTATAGATAAAAGATTAATGGAATTGTTCATGGAATATTCAAGACTTGAAGGAAGACAGCTTTTAATGGAAGTATAAGCTCAATGCTGTTTATGGATTATTCATTATATTCTGCTTCTCACAGCATTTATATAAAGTTATATATTTAAGGTGCTATGCAATTGTTTCTACATTTTAGCTTATCACTTGCCAATGATCTAGCTCAATTTTCATCTCCATTTAACTGGAAGGAAATGTGAAATGAAGTACTTTAGCTTCTCACACAAAATTAGGATACGTGATAAGGCTATTCTTTTTATATTTTTTAGACTAAGCTCTGAACTTACTTCACTGAATTATAGTTGACTGAAGTTTAATGTACTCTTTAGTCAATTCTGGGTGATTCCAACGTTAGCACAGAATGTTTTCAAACAGAAAGAAAGCTTATTTTAATGAGGGTGTGTTAAATAAAGACTAAGTTATGCTTCTAATATGTTTGGATGTATGCATGGACTTGTGTGTGTGTCCATTAACCACTCACCTCCTGTTTTAGTCTATTTTCTGTCGCTATAACACAATACCACAGACTAATTTATAAAGAAAAGTAGTTTATTTGGCTCATGGTTTTGGAGGCTGGGAAGTACCAGATTGGGCAGCTGCATCTGGTGAGGGCCTAATGCTGCTTCAGAGCAACTCAGAAAAGCAGAAGGGGAAACAGATCATACCTGTGTGAAAGAAAAGGGAGCCAAACTCTCAAAATACCTAATCATTCCCATAAGAAATGTATTAATCTCTCTTAACAACCTAATCACCTCTTAGACACCCTACCTTCTAACACTACCACAATGGCAATCAGATTTCAACAGGAGATTCAGAGGGGAAAAATCATATTCAAATCATAGCATCCACCAAGAATTCTTCTTCTTATTGCCCTATTGTAGCACTTTTCCTAATATGACTGCACATTCCAGAACATAATGCAGAATATAATGTATAACCCATCATCTACTGTTTCCAGCATTTGCTTCCTGGAAATTGAAATCTCCTAATGGATGTACAAATTGTGTAGTACCTGGTGCAGTAAGAGAAAAAGGGAAGAGATGAAATGATGATGTGATAAAAAAAAAGTCAAGGTTAGGGAAGGACACTGAGCATTGCTGCATAAAGTTCCACCTCATGTTCTGATGAGAATGACCTCTGAAAACTAGATACCATTTCTAAAGGCCATTAAAGCCTTTAATGCCTTCTTTTGGCCAATAATCCTTTTCTTATTCGGGATGTACAGCATATATACTATGAGTTTCTTCTTTTTAAAAAATTGCCTATATCCCTGGTAGTCTACCGACCAGGAAAAAGTTTTAAAAATTAAAAATAAATTAAAATTGCCTATGAAAATTCAACTAGTAAAACTCCAAGTAAAATTCCAAGTAAGGTCTATTTCTAATCTTTATTTTCAAGCATACATGAAAAGTATCTGTGTGTGTGTGTGTGAGTGTGTGTGTGTGTGTGTGTGCGTGTGTGTGTATTTACATATCAGCCTAAAAGTTAACATCAGACTGATTCTTGCTCTAATATAAACATTAATATCAAAACTAGAAATACGAAAAATGCTCATGATTGGTGCTCTTATTAATAAGGCAGCTCTAACCAAGGTAAATAGCAAGGAAAAGAAGTGGCATAAACTTTAAAAGGATAATGCAATATTATCATTAATTGCAGATCCTATTATTATATACTTAGAATATTCAAGAGATTGAGTTGTTTAGCTATTAGACATAAGATAATTTACTTAGTTTTCTAGATATAAAAGAGATTATTGCCTTTCTAACCAATTAGAAAATATAATGGAAATAAAAGTTAAACTTACAAAAGAAACCTCTATGAGACATCAAAGAAAAAACTTAGTAAGAAAAATGTTCACTATGTATAATAGAAACTTTAACTGCTATTGAGAGATGTCAAAAATTTTGGAATAAACGCCAATATTTATCATATTCTTGGATAAGAGGAACCAATACTATAAATATTGCAGTTCTCTATATTTTGAAGCTAGACAAGAGAATTCTAAAGTTTATATGGAGAAAAACAGGTCAGTGAGAATAGCTAGCCAATTTTAAAAAAGGAAACAAAAAAAGACTAATCCCATCAGGCATTATAAACGCACAGCAATTAAAACTGTACTTATAAAATTTATATGTGATAAATGTGGAGAAAGGATGGATTCTTCAATATAAGATATTAAAGTAACCACTACCACATACCTTTTTTTCAAATTCCTTTTATCCAGTTAAGTTTGAAATATCAATGATTTAGTAAAATCATAAAAGTTCTAAAATGAAATACGGGAAGGTTTTTTCTTCAGTAATATTTGAACTGGGAATGCCTTTAAAAGAAATAAAATCCAGAAAAAAAGGGGAAAGATTGATGAATTTAACTGCATGAAAATTAAAATATTTGCATAAAAACAGAAAGCCCAAGGACAAAAAGTAGGAAAAAATGTAACACATGTTACAAATGGCTAATTTCTTTCATCTACAGAGGCATGTCAAATCAATAAGAAAAGGAAAACACCAGCAATAAAAAAGCAAAGGACAGTTCTCAGATAATAAAAATATAAGGTGTTTAGATATTTTTAAAGTAAGGGTATGCAAAATAAAAATGGGGATATTTTATTATTTTAGGAAATGAAGAAAATTAGAAAATTCACACCATTGGAGAGGGTATGTGATAAAAGTCATCTTCAGACATTGCTAGTAGGAGTGTAAATTAACATAAACTTTTTGAAGAACAATTTGGCAGTGTCTATGAAAATTAGAACTGTACAGTCCGGGTACTCTTGTGGGGTGGGGGAGGGGGGAGGGATAGCATTAGGAGATATACCTAATGCTAAATGACGAGTTAATGGGTGCAGCACACCAACATGGCACATGTATACATATGTAACAAACCTGCATGTTGTGCACATGTACCCTAAAACTTAAAGTATAATAATAATAAAAAAAGAACTGTACACACTCTTATGTAGTAGTTCAACATCAAGAAATGCCTATAGATTATACTATCAAAATTTCCAAATGGCATATATGCAAGCTATTTATTGAAGCCTTGTCTAGTAACAAAAGATTTGGTTTTATAGATGTCCATAAATGATTAAATAAATAATGGTTCACCCACACAATGACATAGTTTGTAGTAATGAAAAAGAATGGGGCATATCTCTATCTCTATGTGTTGATATGGAATACATTAAAGATAAATTTATAAAGTCAAAAACAAGATGCAAGACAAAGTGGATATTTCATATTTGGAGGTAATGAAGTGTGACTAAATGAATTTATATATGTATCTATTTGTGTGGAATATTTCTGGGAAAATGGATACTACAAGAAGCTGCCAATGATTATTGTCACTGAATCAGTGATCTGAAGGACTGTTCTAATACTTGCCAATCCTATTTATTTTAAATAAAATGTTTAGCCCAGCTCAGTGGCATGTGCCTGTAGTCTCAGCTGCTTGTGAGGTTGAGGCAGGAGGATCATTTGAGCCCTGGAGTTAGACACCAGTTTGGGCAACATAGGGACCTTGTCTCAAAACAAAAAAACAAACCAAACAAATAATTAAATAATTAAAATTAAAATATTTTACAGATAGTAGCATTTGTGTGTACGTGTGTGTGTGTGTGTGCATCAAGCAATCATAAGGAAAAAGAGAGAAGTGAAAATATTATCAAAATCTTTGTTCACAATGAAACAATGTGAGTAATTTTATGCTAACAAAATTCACAATCTGCTGATAAAAATATATCACTGTTATTTGTTATTGGCAAATAGTTTATCATCAAGCTGTCTAGATTATAAAAGTTTGAAAACACAAGCAGGAATTTAGAGAAACACAATGATATTGGGATACTGAACACACTAATACTAGTGCCTGACTATTTGAGTAGAAAAGAATACGGAGAGAGAGGACTTTTAAATAAAATTGCTGAATAAAACCTAATAAACATGGCATAGAACCTATGCATATGAAAAAAAACCCAATAAACAGAAATAAGTTTGGATAATAGAAACAAAGGATATGCCCTTTTTGTTGAGATTCCATGGAATTATTTCCAAAAAAAAAAATGGTCTACTATAGACTGAAAGAATTTCCAAGAAGTAAAATATTTTCTCTGACTACCTGCAATAAAGGATACCCTAACCAAATGTAGGCTTCCTTGAGGCCCGTGGAATAACGTAGAGATGAAAAGACCTTAACAGTATCAAATCAGTTTTATTTACCACTTGGCTTTACAAGGCAAGGGTGTGGAATTTCTCAAGGTGTGCACACGTTCTTGTTCAGTTCTGCAAACCCCTTTCCTTAAGACTGCACTGAGTTCTTCTCTTGTCTTTATCATATCCGTAACACTAATGCATGCTTTGATATGTGTTGGAATAATGTAGTCCTTTTAACATTTTTAACTATCCCCCTATCCTGAAAGGACACCAGAAAGCAGAAATCTAGTGGACCATTTCACTGTTACCTAAGCTTGTTGTCACCATATATGTCCTCCAATTTATTTATAAACTATTTATCCTATGGTTCTTCAGTTTCTTCATTGTGATTCTTCATATCCCAAACGTCTCTAGTTTTGAAATGATGCATTATTGACCTACCATTACATGGCACACTTGATATTATATCTGGAAAAATATTAATATCACAAACTCATATTTAATTAAATATTAACACTTGAAGTGAATAATAAAAGCTTATATTTTAAAAATAACTTGGAGTTTAACAATTCTTTAAAGAACAAATCAGTCAAAAATATACAAACTGTGTGGAAGATAGTATGGCCATGTTATTAAGAGGCTTTTTCCTTTCAGGGCTATATAAGGAAATGTTTTGAGATTAAATGACATCCTATCTAGGATTTGCTTCAGAAGAAAATCACAAGTGAGAGAGAAATATATATGAAATTTTATTGGCTATGGGTTGGTAATTGCTGAAAGTAGAAAATAAGTATGATAATTATACTAAAGAAAATGGTTTTAAAAACATCGTGCTTGTAGTTTTGTCTCTTTTAGTTCAATTGACACTTGTTTCATGTAATTTGAGACCATGTTATTTGGTGCTACAAATTAGAACTCATATCTTCCTAGTGTGTTATCTATTTTTATCATTATAAAATGTCTTCCATTGTTTCTAGTAAAACTTCTTAAAGTGTAATTATCTGGATATAATGATAATTAAATATACTTTATTTGGTTAATAATTGCATAGTATTGTTTTTCATTCCTTGAAAACATTTCTGCATCCTGTTTATAGTGTGTCTCTCGTAAAAAATGTAGACTTGGATTCTTTGTTTTCACCTAGCCTGAAATCTATGTGAAAGTATTTGATTTTAATTTTATAGTTAAAGTATTTGATTTTAATTTTTTATTTTAGGTAAATTTTGATATATTTGAAAATAAAAAAATCAACTTATTTGTCTTCTACTTATTCTACCTATTCTATGTTCCTTTTTCTTCACTATCTTGGCCTTTCCTGAATTAATCAAGTATTTTTTTCCATCTCCCATTGGGTTGGTAATTATACATTGATAGTTATCATATTGATTACAACATGCATTATTGGCTTATTAAAAGCTAATGTTACTTTTACCATTTTTCAAACAAATTAAAGGTCTGCCATCACTTTAAGTCCATTGAACTCTCTTCCATCTCTTGTGCTGTTGTTGTCATGTATTTTAATTCTACATTTATTTTTAAGCCCATAAATATTATTAGAGTATTAGTTAATACTCACTTAAATTTATCCACATTCTTACTGTTTTTGTACTTATTTGGTTTCATTCTATACTTCTATGATTTTATCTGGCAGCATATTCCCAGGCTTACAGAACTCACTTTAGTTACAGTTTTGTGTGACTCTACTGAGAAAGAATTTTCTCAGTTTTTGCTCGTTCAAAAATGTCTTCACTTCATCTTCACTTTTGAAGAATAGTGTTATTGGTTAGCAGTAAGTCTCTTTCAACACTTTAACACTGATTTTAGTTTTCCTTACAATGTTCTTCTCTCAAATAAGTTGAACCTCTTATTTTTCTATTTTAAAGCAGTGTGTCTGCTTCCTTTTGACAATTTATGATATTCTCTTTGAGGTGACTTAATCTGCTTTCCTTTGTATTTATCTTGCTTAGGGTTCACAGCAATTCTTGGATCTTTTACTGATTAATCTTTAATTTTTAAAATATTCAGCCAATATCTCTTCTAATATTAACTCCTTCTTATTCTTTTCTCTCCTTGAGACTCATAATACAAATATCTGAGAACTTTTCATCATTTATATACATCTTTCGAGTTTTTTTCTGAGTATCTTATGTCATTTCCCTGCTTCAGTCCAGATAATTTCAACCGACCTTTCTTCCAGTTCACTAATGTTATCTTCAGCTGTCTTTAGTTTGCCATTAAACCAATCTATTGATTTCTTAATTTTAATTCTTTTATTTGTCCATTCTAGAATTTTCATCATGCTCATTTTATGGATTTCAGTTTTCTACTAAAATGATCCATTTTGTCATCTATTTTAAAACATATATGAATCGGCATTATTTGAAAGTCTAAGTTTAGTAAGTCCATTATATGAATCATCTGTAGTTCTATTTATACTGTCTATGTTTTTCTCTTGCCTTCATTTATGTAAGTGTATCTTGTTCTATGGGGATTTCCTTTTGTTTTTAGTGCCAGATAATGTGTACACACATATTTAGGCTAATATGAGGTCCTTGGTGATGTTGTTTTCCTCCAGAGAAGACTTATATTTGTGTCTGGCTGTCAGCCTGACTTGGGAGTAGATTACCTTACACCAGTATAGACTGAGTTGTTGAAAAACTGGGTTTCAACTTTTGTGAGGAATAACCTATTTTCTATTTGTCCTTATTCCTAGTATATAACCCTTCAGGGATCCCAACTGAATGTCTAGGGCTCTTATCTTCGGAAAGTCCTGAACTGAATTTTGTCTCCATCATATCATGATAGTGCTGAAAATTCTGCTAGGTTTCTAAGATTTTTGGCCACTGCTTTCTGCTTGACTTCTCAGACTCTCAGTTGCAACTTACAAACAACAAATACTTCAAGGAATATGGTGACACTGAATGTTAGGCTAACCTCAGTGCATTTTTGTTTTCTCAGAAATCTTGGTCTCTCAGGGTCTGACTGCCTCATAGTTACCTAATTATAAACAGTTTTTATTTTTTAATTTATATTTTTTTCTGTTGTTCTTTGTGGAAATACTGGTTTTATACAAGTTAGATCTTTACACCCAAAATTGGAAGTCTGAATTAGGTATTTCTGTGGTGTTGAAATTGTGAATAACTTTTTATTACTATTGTAATCAGAAAAAGTAATAAATTCATTTATTTTATATATGTCTATTATATAAATTGCATTTAGAGATTAGATATGGGAGGAATACGTTTGCAGATGACTAAAAAGGATTGAATAGAGGAATAGAAGTAAAACCAAGAGAATGTGGAATAATGAAAGTCAAGAGAAGAAAGTTATTCAAGAGTGTAGAGGAGACAATTTGTTGACTGATACTAGGATAAGCAGTATAAAGAAAAAAGGAAATGTGTAAGAATGTCAAGGTTAACTCCAGATATTGGAATTAACAAGTCACAAATACTACAAGTGTGGTACAGGTGTCAGATATATCAATTGAATAAACTCAAAAACCCATAAACAAACACAAAAATCTATACAACTGTCACTGTCATTAGTTTACCATAAAGGTGGTATTTCAAGTCAGTGAAGAAAGAATGATTGATTAAATAGAGAGCATTGGAACCCCTAAGTACACTTACTGAAAAGCAAAAAAGTTAGATACTTAATTCACACTTGATATAAAAACAAATTCCAAATAGATCAAAGACAGAAACCAAATAAAATACCATATGGAGATAGAGAAAAATAGGTCTCAAAGATTTTCCTATTTAACAAAGCAATAAATTAGTTTCATAAATATTCATGAAGACATTATTGTTAAAACTTTTAAAAGATTCAGAAAATAATTTGAAAACAAATTAAGATTATAACAAAATAAAACTAGAAATCAGGAAAATATTGGAACTACTAACTCTATGAAACAAGTATACTGGAAAAACTAAAATAGATAATTCTAATTATAAAAAGTGAGAAAAAAGCCAGGCACAGTGGCTCATACCTGTAATCCCAGCATTTTGGGAGGCTGAG
The DNA here is from genome assembly GCF_000001405.40 of Homo sapiens. NCBI lineage: Eukaryota > Metazoa > Chordata > Mammalia > Primates > Hominidae > Homo > Homo sapiens. The sequence continues at coordinate 98,607,869 of NC_000001.11, forward strand.
ACAAGCAGATGGCTTGAACTCAGGAGTTCCAGACCAGCCTGGCCAATGTGGTGAAACTCCATCTCCACAAACAAACAAACAAACAAACAAACAAACACAAATATTAGCCAGGTGTGATGGCATGTGCCTGTAGTTCCAGCTACCCGGGAGGCTGAGGTGAGAGGATCTCTTGAGCCCAGGAGGTGAAGGTTGCAGTGAGCCAAGATCACGCCACGACACTCCAGCCTAGGCAATAGAGCCAGACCTTATCTTATATTTAAAAAAAAATGAAAAATAAAAAAAGAAAATGCAATAATTAATAATAATTGGTTGTTGTAATTTAAAAGAACACTATGTACAAACCTAAGCTAATACACCTCGATGAAATAGGTGTTTTTGTAGAAATTTTAAATATTACCATAATTGATGCAGAAATATATCTAGTAATTATGCAGACTATTTATGTAAGATAATTTGGGGGGAAAGTATTACGTAATTATCATTGCCCAAAAGGTTCTGAGCCATACAGTTTTGTGAAAACAGGCTTTCAGTACTTTTAAGAATAGATATTTCTGATGTTAGCATAATTTATTCCTGGCAAGAAAAATGATAAGGAGCTACCCAATTAATTTGATATATCTAGGATAACTCTAAAGTAAAATCAATAAAGGAAGCCGAAAAAAATAATAAAGACAATTTGATTTGCATAAAGATTCATACATCTTAAGTACATTAAATGAAACTCAGCAACTTATTTTTAATTTTTCAAAATCGATTGGTTTTGTTTAAACAGGTATTCAATACCATTCAACAGCTACTTCTTATTTTTGAAATGCTTTTGAAGAAGTATGTATTAAAGAATATATTCTTAATATAAAGAAAAGCTTACACCAATGATCAAATCATATTTAGGAGTAATTTTAATAGTGTCTACTATCTATTGGGCATTTAACTCAATCATTTCAACAACACTATAAAATAACTTATTGTCCCTATTTTAAATAAATCTTTACACAGATTGTAAATGGAGGACCTAGTATAGGAAGACTTAACCATTGTAGTGAAACGGTGGAGATATTCTCATTCACTGGGGACATAAAAGAGATTTGCTTCATAAACAATAAAAATCTCACACCAGAGAACAACGAAAGGAAAAATGAAAGGTCAGCTGCACCTGGGAAAAACTCATGCAACCTATCTGATAGAGAATGGTTTATTATCATTAATATAAAATCAGGATGTGGTATTTTTATTTTTTTAAGAAAAAGCCATCAACTCAAATCTTACTTTGGATGTTGTAAACATTTTCTTCCTGATAACAATTTGAGATTTCCTCTTCCCCAGGCTTTTTGCCTTTTCTGGAGAGGGAGAAAAAATAAGCATTAGGGAAATTCTAGATAAAAGTTATTCTGTATTTAACTTTTATTAAAATGCATTATCTTTGATGATTCAATCCACTTTGATTTAAAACTACTTTTAAAATATTCACGGGTTTTATAGTAAGATACTATCACAGTTGTATTTTTTTTGACTCTTCAAAACACAAAATTAAATTTTCTCACTTTCATATATTTAGTTCATTCTCAGACTGAATGTGTCCTAACTGCATATTTCAGGAGATTGCTGTCGTTAGCCATTGAAGAAATTTTAATTCCCTTTGATCAGCTAACCAGGTTAAACAACTTCATTAGGAGATAAAATTTTAATTAAGAAGGAAGCGCTTTGGGATTAAAAGAAAAAAGTTGCTAAAACAAGTTGAAATGTCATCAAATTTTATTCGTTCATATAAAGTATTGGCTCGGCATATATGGGGTGTGCGGTGTTTACTACATTTTGTCCTTGTCTCTCTTTTTTTGCCTTTGTCCACATTGTTTATTTAGATGCTACAAATGGGTAGTCAGAGAATTAAATGTACTTATATTTTCAAGGAGACATTCCTGAAATGGTTTTTATTCTCATTTTCATGGGAACTATGTGTGAAATAGACAAATACAGGCAAGTCTATGGAGGCTTCAAGTGGCAATAGGTCAATTCACTTTATCTTATTCACTCTTCCCCTTAGAAATAAATACCTTGTGGTGGGTTGTCTGTCCAATGGTAATGTTCCCTGGGCTCCACCATCAGCTTCAAACAAACATGGAGTCAACGGCAAAATAATATTCTTTCATATTCTCTTACAGTTCTCTCATGTTTATTCTTCCTATCCTGGACACTTGAATCTACTGTCAAATCAGCATCCAGAAATGTTAGTTTACTGTCTGGTCATAGCTATTTGTTAAGCAATTTTACTGTGAGACAAACACATTATTTGAGTCTACATTTGGGGTTCTACTGCTACTTCTTTAGCTATCTGATTCCTTCGAAATTTAATGGCAAGCTATAGTCTTGTGGCCTCTCACAATTTATTACCATTATTCTTTTCTTTGGGAAACATTGACCTATACTGTGTTCTGAATGATCCTTTATTTATTCCATTTGCCCATCAATATTTATTGAATTCTTATGATGGGCCTAACACTACATAAGTTATGAGGGTTACATATAGACATAAGGTACATGTTCCCACCTATACCTTCAGCCTTATCACTTCTCTCTCCTTAGGTTGCAGGTTATGCTCAAGGAAAATTACATTGCTCAGGCTCTTCACCTCTGTATTTTCACTCATCCTTCAAGATTAAGTTCAAGCCTTATTCAGAGATCACTTTTTTTCTGTCTTTTTAACATCCCTTCTTGCTGGAAGCTTTACTAATTTCTCCTCTTCTGGGTCTCTTAGTGGGTAGGTAACTATTGTATTTGCCTCATTGTATTAAAAATATCAAGCCAAGACTATAAGGGCAAAGCTGCATCACATTCATCATTATATCACCATCTTTTGACTGGTTGGATACATTAATAGTAGTCACTCTATAACTGTTCATTGAGTTCGTATAAACTTTACTGAGCTAAGTCTAATAAGTGAGTAACAAATCCAAATAGAGATGTAAAATGGTAAAATAAAGTATCTATGAGCTAGGACCAAAGTGTTACAGAACGACAATGCAAGGAAGGAAAAGGAGCAAAATCTGTCTGCAAGTTTTATAGCTATTATGTCTCAATTTGAGAAGTAATGCCCCAATACAAAGATATGAATCCAATTGGGAGCCATGTCAGTGACCACTATATTGAATCTTATTAATGGTAAAATTCCTTGTGGATGGCTCACGTCTGTGATCCCAGCATTTTGGGAGGCCAAGGCAGGCGGATCACAAGGTCAGGAGATCGAGACCATCCTGGCCAATATAGTGAAACCCCATCTCTACTAAAAATACAAAAATTAGCTGGGCATGGTGGTGCATGCCTGTAGTCCCAGCCACTCAGGAGGCTGAGGCAGGAGAATCGCTTTAACCTGGGAGGTGGAGACTGCAGTGAGCCAAGATCGCGCCACTGCACTCCAGCCTGGCGACAGAGTGAGACTCTGTCTAAAAAATAAAAATTAAAAAAAATTAATTCTTTGTGGTTAATATGTATAATCTTCTTTGATCTTTTCAATAACATTGTAAAAATGGAGAAGAGGAAGGAAAAAGAAGAACATATAAAATAGTCTATGTAGACATTTTTATAATTTTATTGTTAAAAAACTAAGGTTTTAAATAGATTTTTCAAATTCATATAATTTGTAGAGTTAGTTTCTTTTGTTTGTTTGTTTTGGTTTTGGTTTTGGTTTGAGACAGAGGTCTTGGTTTGTTGGCCGGGTTGGTCTCGAACTCCTGGCCTCAAGTAATCCTCCCGCCTCAGCACCCCAATGTGCTAGAATTATAGGCTTTAGCCACGTGCCCAGACTGTAAAAGATTCTATCATAATCTGAATTTTATAATATGAAATCCAATGCATTGTTCACTACACCATGTTGTCTTTTATTGCATATGTGAGATGTTTGGAAGCAGAAAGGGTTTAAAGCTATGCCAGATCATAGCATGCTCATAAGGGGCCCTCTACACATGGGCATGGCACTCTTTTTCCAGTAACAACTAATATTCATTTGGTATTTCCTATTTGCAGGGCATTTTACTAAGTTTGTCTGAGGAATTAAATTCTTACAGCTGTTATCTCCACTTTGGCGATGAGAAAATTAAAAGGCTTGGAGATGTTAAGTCACTATCACATAGCTGCTAAGTAAGGGATAAAGTCAGAATTTATACTAGGCATTCTGAGTCCAGTATCCACATCTTAATCACTGCACTCTTATGTGTCCTATATGCAGATATTTTTAAAACAGTATTGTGGGAAAAAGTATTTTTATTCCAAATATCTGAGTAAATAAATATAATTTTATATTAAAAATTAAACTTGAATTAACAGTTTATTTTCATACCTCTGTGTTTGAAATAAAAATAGATTTATTATATTAAAATGTTTTAAAGTTAGTAGAAATACTGTGTTGTTATCACAAAATAAAAAAAGAAAAGAAACCAAACCAACCCCTCAAAAATGTGAGATGGACATTGAGAAAATTTTGGAGGTGATGGATATGTTTATCACCGTCATTTCAGTAATGCTTTCATGAGTATATATGTATGTTCAAACTCATCAAATTGTATACATTAAATATGCACAGATTTTTATATTAATTATAACTTGATAAAGCTTAGAAAAATAAAACTGTTAGAAACAACTCAATTCAAACACTAACCTGAAATTGCCTTAGTTTTCATGAAGTAACAAAGCTTAAAACAATACTTACGTATTATTTTATACCAAAACTTACTAACACTGGAAAATTGAAATTACCTATATAGTAACTACTAATGTGGATACCTAAAGTTTCACAATTATTCCGAATGGATACTTTTGTTTTGTGAATTTAAAATGTGATACCACATTCAAAAGTTAATTCTGTTTAAAAGACTGCTATTATTTTTCAAAAGACCTTGATATTATTAAATATATTGTATGCCAGAGTATGTACTATCCTTATACTCTGCTTTCTTCCATTTATGGATTCTAATGAAAGGCAAAAGCCACATCAGTTTCTCTCACTTGATCTGTCTGCAGTATTTCAATTCGTAAAGTACTAACATCAATTACTTTTTAAAAGCTATTCACTTGTCAACTGTACTGACAAATAAAATCAGGCATAAATTATGAGTCACTGCTTTTGTAGACTAAATTGATTCTTTAGAACACTAATAAAGAAAACATTTATAGAAAATTTCTTTTTAAAATATAAATGAATGCCTATTAATTGCATCAAGTAACAATATGTCACAAAAACATTTTTCATAAAGGTTTTTTAAAATAATCACAATGGAAATTGTCATATTTGGAAGATGATGTAAAAAAACTTTAAAAATTGGTCTGTTCTGGCCAGGGCAATTAGGCAGGAGAAGGAAATAAAGGGTATTCAATTAGGAAAAGAGGAAGTCAAATTGTCCCTGTTTGCAGACGACATGATTGTATATCTACAAAACCCCATTATCTCAGCCCAAAATCTCCTTAAGCTGATAAGCAAATTCAGCAAAGTCTCAGGATACAAAATCAATTTGCAAAAATCACAAGCATTCTTATACACCAATAACAGACAAACAGAGAGCCAAATCATGAGTGAACTCCCATTCACAATTGCTTCAAAGAGAATAAAATACCTAGGAATCCACCTTACAAGGGATGTGAAGGACCTCTTCAAGGAGAACTACAAACCACTGCTCAATGAAATTAAAGAGGATACAAACAAATAGAAGAACATTCCATGCTCATGGATAGGAAGAATCAATATCATGAAAATGGCCATACTGCCCAAGGTAATTTATAGATTCAATGCCATCCCCATCAAACTACCAATGACTTTCTTCACAGAATTGGAAAAAACTACTTTAAAGTTCACATGGAACCAAAAAACAGCCCGCATCACCAAGTCAATCCTAAGCCAAAAGAACAAAGCTGGAGGCATCACACTACCTTACTTCAAACTATACTACAAGGCTACAGTAACCAAAACAGCATGGTACTGGTACCAAAACAGAGTTATAGATCAATGGAACAGAACAGAGCCCTGAGAAATAATGCCACATATCTACAACTATCTGATCTTTGACAAACCTGAGAAAAATAAGCAATGGGGAAAGGATTCCCTATTTAATACATGGTGCTGGGAAAACAGGCTAGCCATATGCTGAAAGCTGAAACTGGATCCCTTCTTTACACATTATACAAAAATCAATTCAAGATGGATTAAAGACTTAAACGTTAGACCTAAAACCATAAAAACCCTAGAAGAAAACCTAGGCATTACCATTCAGGACATAGGCATGGGCAAGGACTTCATGTCTAAAACACCAAAAGCAATGGCAACAGAAGACAAAATTGACAAATGGGATCTAATAAAACTCAAGAGCTTCTACACAGCAAAAGAAACTACCATCAGAGTGAACAGGCAACCTACAAAATGGGAGAAAATTTTCGCAACCTACTCATCTGACAAAGGGCTAATATCCAGAATCTACAATGAACTCAAACAAATTTACAAGAAAAAAACAAACAACCCCATCAAAAAGTGGGTGAAGGACATGAACAGACACTTCTCAAAAGAAGACATTTATGCAGCCAAAAAACACATGAAAAAATGCTCACCATCACTGGCCATCAGAGAAATGCAAATCAAAACCACAATGAGATATCATCTCACACCAGTTAGAATGGCAATCATTAAAAAGTCAGGAAACAACAGGTGCTGGAGAGGATATGGAGAAATAGGAACACTTTTACACTGTTGGTGGGACTGTAAACTAGTTCAACCATTGTGGAAGTCAGTGTGGTGATTCCTCAGGGATCTAGAACTAGAAATACCATTTGACCCAGCCATCCCATTACTGGGTATATACCTAAAGGACTATAAATCATGCTGCTCTAAAGACACATGCACACATATGTTTATTGTGGCACTATTCACAATAGCAAAGACTTGGAACCAACCCAAATGTCCAACAACGATAGACTGGATTAAGAAAATGTGGAACATATACACCATGGAATACTATGCAGCCATAAAAAATGATGAGTTAATGTCCTTTGTAGGGACATGGATGAAATTGGAAATCATCATTCTCAGTAAACTATCACAAGAACAAAAAACCAAACACCGCATATTATCACTCATAGGTGGGAATTGAACAATGGGAACACATGGACACAGGAGGAGGAACATCACACTCTGGGGCCTGTTGTGGGGTGGGGGGAGGGGGGAGGGATAGCATTAGGAGATATACCTAATGCTAGATGACGAGTTAGTGGGTCCAGCACACTAGCATGTCACATGTATACATATGTAACTAACCTGCACATTGTGCACATGTACCCTAAAACTTAAAGTATAATAATAATAAAATTAAAAAAAAGAAGCTGTGGAAGGAACAAAAAAATTGGTCTGAAAAGAGTAATCAAATGCTAGTGTGAGAATAAAATTTGTTCATTTTATTTGTCCAGTGTGTTCACTTTTAGATCAAACTATACCAAGTGCTTTTCAGCTAGCTTTTTTTCTTCCAGAACCAGTGGCAAAACAGCTGCTCAGCCTATTAATAGCGTTTGCCCCACAAACCAGCAAAGTTCGGAAATTGCCATCACTGTTCCTCATCTAGAGTCTAAGGTTTATGCAACTGAATCATTCATGTCCCCACAAAACTCCCATAGGGCAACTAAGCTGTCTTGCTGGAATCTTTTGCTGAAGGCTTTTAAATGCTTCATTTTGCTATCTCTCCCAGGACATTGATGCCTATAGGAGAAGCCTTGCCCCAGCCTCCGGCCATCTCCTGCACACTAAGCCTTGCTTCTTTTCTCCTTAGTCTTCTATCTGGACAGAATGTTAGGAAGGATACCCCTAGCCCTGCACCTGACACACTTACAATCTCTGTTCAGTACTTACAAAGCTGTGTTTCCTCCACCTCCCAACCACTTCTCTGCAGCTCACTTTGGCCTTTTATTTCCTCAAATTCGGCTTCAGACACTTCATGATCATAGCCAAACATTTATATAAGATTAAATATAAATACATATGCATATAGGTTTTCAAATTCATTGTTTTAGAAAATATATTTTTGTACATGGGTGTATTTCTACTTGTAGGCATGACAATACTTTGTAAATCTCTCTAAGTCAACAGTAATGTCTGGAATTCATTAACAGCACTGGCTGTATAATACTGCAGGATATAGTTCCCAATGTCTTCATGTATAAATATGTTTAAATATTTTCCAGTTTTAGCCACTGTATATGCTGCTGTAATTAAAAATTGTGATATATAGGCTGTTTCGCTTTAAAGGAGTAAAAGTTAATTTTACAATTATACTAGGTTAAGTTTTATACTTTAACATGTATCCTGAAATTGGTTTTAAAAAATGCTGCAATAGTTTACCTATCCCCTGTTGTTTAGGAGGGTAGTTTCTGCTTGCATCCATAGCGGAGGTAGATATGATTAATTTCCTGTGTTCCTCTTGATGAGGGGAAGAAGGAATGTCACTGGCTGCAGGGGACAAGGAAAGGCATCTGATGCAGAGTATCTAATTGTTCTTCAGTCTTTGCATTCAGGAATCCCCAGTCCCCAGGATGCGAACTTCTGCAGGTCTATGGCCTGTCAGAAATCAGGCCACACAGCACGAGGTGAGCAGTGGGGTAGCAAGCATGACCGCCTGAGCTCCGCCTCCTGTCAGATCAGCAGCCTCATTGGATTCTCATAGGAGTGCAAACCCGATTGTGCACTGTGCATGCCAGGGATCTAGGTTGCCCCCTTCTTATGAGAATCTAATGCCTGATGATCTGAGGTGGAACAGTTTCATCCCAAATCCATCCCCCACTCCCCTGACTCCTGCCACCCTTGTCCATGGGTGAAAGAAAAAAAATTGTCTTCTACGAAACCATCCTTGGTGACAAAAAGTTTGGGGACCGCTGTTTCTGAAAGGCCAATTTTTTTTCACTTTCCCCACTTTTCTTCCAACTCCACCAGGCTTGCTTTGGAATGTTATCAGGTACTCCTCACTCACCTCAGTTTCATTTGCTGAGCTTCATCTCTGGTCTTTTGTTAACTTCTCGTTTATTCTGTTTGCCTTTATGTGCTTATGCCCTTTTTAGTCTTTTGCTCTTATTTTCTTGGGGTTTCAGGAGGGAGTAAAGAAAAAGAATATGTTTCTCCTATGGACTTTTTCAATGGCAGTTGTTTATTCAACTTTCAGATAGATAGCATGTAATTTCTCTATTGTAGTTTTTATTTCTTTCTTTTTCTTTTTTTTTTTTTTTTCCTTTTTCTTTTTTGAGGCAGGATCTTGCTCTGTTGCTCAAGCTGGAGTGCAATGGCACCATCTCGGCTCACTGCAACCTCGCCTCTCAGGTTCAGATGATTCTCCTGCCTCAGCCTCCCGAGTAGCTGGGATTACAAGTGCCTGCCACCATGCCAAGCTAATTTTTGTATTTTTAGTAGAGACGGGGTTTCACCAGGTTGGCCAGGCTGGTCTCGAACTCCTGACCTCAGGTGATCCACCATCCTCAGTCTCCCAAAGAGGTGGGATTACAGACGTGAGCCACTGCGCCCAGCCAGTTTTTATTTCTCTTTGGTTTTTGTTGTTATTCTCTTGTCACCTTAAGTCATTTTATTTTGCCAGGAATTATCCACATCCTACTGTTTTTAACTCTGTGGCCATAGAGTTTATATAACATTCCTTTGTAATTATTTTAGTCTTTGTGTTTCAGTTACAACACCTCTCTCATTCTTAATCTTTTATGTTTTGGTTCTGTCTTTTCTCCTTTATGGTTTTCATGAGGAATTTATCTCCCTTGGTAATTTACAAACGCAGCTTTGCCTTTGTATTTGTTTTGGCTTTATCCTATTTTTTCTCTTAATTATTTCAGATTCTATTGTGTAATTTCTACCTCCTATTTTATTTTTTATTGTTTTTGTTATTTTTCCAATTTCTTGATATGTGTTTAGTTGTTTTGTTTTGCTGTTCACCTCCTCTTTAGTGATGAGGGTAAAGAGAGCCACACATTTTCTTCTGGCTCAGACTTCACTGGGTTCGTAGATTTTGGTGTGATGTATTCTTCTCTCATTATTTTCTAGATAGTTTGCTATTTTAAAAAAATTTTTTTAGTAAAAATGTTATGACATGTATATATTTTTAACTTCTGAGCAGTTATACTTTTGGAGATCTCTTTTGTATTTAAATCTGGTTGTACTCACGCTGTCAATAAATACTTACATTTATTTATATAGCCTACTATATGATCAGAATGATTCATGATAACAGAGATTCACTGTGAACAAATTCACAATGCAGTCTCATTTATTATTTATCCTGTAATCATCTTGAAATATTCCGTGCTTTATTTCTAGGTTGATTCTGAAAGTTGATGAACAATAAAAAACACTTACAGTACTATGGCTATATAAATGTGATTCACCTCAAGGCAAGGTAGTATGCTAAAACTGCAATCACTGTTCCTGTAAAAGAACAATACTCCAGACCAAATGAGTTGTTTTTTTTTTCATACATTAATATTAAAATGTTTCACCACATTTTAGTTTCCCTCCTATCTGTACCAGGGGTAACTTACACAGTTTTACCATTTTTCTTATGTTTCTTGTGCTTCCTTTCCTTTCTCTTTATTCTAAGAAGAAACATACTTTTCTCCTTATCTCACCTGTATCCAATGTTTTAAATATGCTATATGTTTCTTAACATATACTTCATTCATCTTGCTGAAGTTCATTGATTTTCTGATCTAATTGGAACCAGGTACTCTTGCAAAACTGCCATCTGAGGGATGGCTTTTACTAGATTTTGGGGTTATTTTCATCATTTATTTTGGTATATATCTTTCTTTCTTATTTTTCTTCTTCCTGTTGCTCAGTGTAATCCTCTAGTGAGTAAATGATTGGAACACTTGCATTTCAGAAAAGGCATAATTTGCCCATATATTTGATTCATGGTTTGGGTATAAAATTCCAGGTTGAAAATAATTTTAATTAGAAGTTAGGAGGATTTTCTTTTTTGTCTTCTAGAATTTAATTTTAGTGATGAGGTATCAGATAACAGTATAAATAACATTAGTTTATAAATGACTTTTTTTTCCCTCACAATTTAAACTTCTAGGACATTTTCTTCATCCTTGGTATTTTGAAATGTCATGATGATATATCTATTTTAGGATACATCTACATTTATTCTATTCACAGTGAACATTTCAATATGAAGGCCAGTGTCTCTTTTCAACACAAGCAACTTTTCTTCTATTAGCTCTTTGATAATTTCTTCCCTCTTTTTTCTCTCTCTTATTCTAGAAATCTTACTTATAGGATTTTAAACCACTTGGATTCATTATCTATATATGATTATTTATCTCACACTTTCCATCTCTTTGTTCTTTTCTCTATGTTAAGAAATAATGCCTTAAAATTATTATTATACTTTAAGTTCTGCGGTACATGTACAGAATGTGTAGGTTTGTTACATAGGTATACACGTGCCATGGTGCTTTGCTGCACCCACCAACCCGTCATCTACATTAGCTATTTCTTCTAATGCTTTCCGTCCTTTAGCCCCTCACACCCCGACAGGTCCTGGTTTGTGATATTCTCCTCCATGTGTCCATGTGTTCTCATTGATCAACTCCCACTTATAAATGAGAACATGTGGTGTTTGGTTTTCTGTTCTTGTGTTTTTATGCTGAGAATGAAGGTTTCTAGTGTCATCCATGTCCCTTCAAAGGAAACAAACTCATCCTTTTTTATGGCTGCATAGTATTCCATGGTGTATATGTGCCACATTTTCTTTATCCAGTCTATCATTGACAGGCATCTGGGTTAGTTCCAAGTCTTTGCTATTGTGAACAGTGCCACAATAAACATAAGTGTGCATGTATCTTTATACTAGAATAATTTATAATGCTTTGGGTATATACCCAGTAACGGGATTGCTGGGTCAAATGGTATTTCTAGTTCTAGATACTTGAGGAATTGCCACACTATCTTCCACAATGGTTGAACTAATTTACACTCCCACCAACAGTGTAAAAATGTTTCTATTTCTCCACATCCTCTCCAGCATCTGTTTTTTCCTGACTTTTTAATGACCACCATTCAAACGATGTGAGATGATATCTCATTGTGGTTTTGATTTGCATCTCTCTAATGACCAGTGATGATGATCTTTTTTCATGTTTGTTGGCTACATAAATGTCTTCTTTTGAGAAGTGTCTGTTCATATCCTTTACCCACTTTTAACGGGGTTGTTTGTTTTTTTCTTGTAAATTTGTTTCTCTGTAGATTCTGGATATTAGCCCTTAGGTGGATAGATTCAAAAATTTTCTCCCATTCTGTAGGTTGCCTGTTCACTCTGATGGTAGTTTCTTTTGCTGTGTAGAAGCTCTTTAGTTTGATCAGATCCCATTCGTCAATTTTGGCTCTTGTTGCCATTGCTTTTGGTGTTTTAGTCATGAAGTCTTTGCCCATGCCCATGTCCTAAATGGTATTGCCTAGGTTTTCTTCTAGGGTTTTTATGATTTTAGGTCTTTAAGCCATCTTGAGTTAATTTTTGTATATGGGGTAAGGAAGGAATCCAGTTTCAGCTTTCTGCATATGGCTAACCCGTTTTCCCAACACCATTATTAAATAGGGAATCCTTTCCCTATTGCTTGTTTTTATCAGGTTTGTCAAACATAAAATGGTTGTAGATATGTGGCATTATTTCTGAGGCTTCTGTTCTGTTCCATTGGTCTAGATATCTGTTTTGGTACCAGTACCATGCTGTTTTGGTTACTGTGGCCTTGTAGTATAGTTTGAAGTAAGGTAGTGTGATGCCTCCAGCTTTGTTCTTTTTACTTAGGATTGTCTTGGCTATGCAGGCTCTTTTTTGATTCCTTATGAAATTTAAAGTAGTCTTTTTTCCAATTATGTGAAGAAAGTCAGTGGTAGTTTGATGGGGATAGCATTTAATCTATAAATTACTTTGGGCAGTACGGCCATTTTCGTGATATTGATTCTTTCTATCCATAAGCATGGACTGTTTTTCCATTTGTTTGTATCCTCGCTTATTTTCTTGAGCAGTGGTTTGTAGTTTTCCTTGAAAAGGTCCTTCACCTCCCTTGTTAGCCATATTCCTAGGTATTTTATTCCCTTTGTAGCAATTGTGAATGGGAGTTCACTCATGATTTGGCTGTCTGTCTGTTATTGGTGTATAGGAATGCTTGTGATTTTTGCACATTGATTTTTTATCCTGAGACTTTGCTGAAGTCGTTTATCAGCTTAAGGAGTTTTTGGGCTGAGATGATGGGGTTTTCTAAACATACAATCATGTCATTTGCAAACAGAGACAATTTGTCTTCGTCTTTTCCTAACTGAATACCCTTTATTTCCTTCTCTTGCCTGATTCTCCTGGCGAGAAATTCCAATACTATGTGGTATAGGAGTGGTGAGAGCGGGCATCCTTGTCTTGTGCTGGTTTTCAAAGGGAGTGCTTCCAGCTTTTGTCCATTCAGTATGATATTGGCTGTGGGTTTGTCATAAATAGCTCTTATTATTTTGAGATACTTTCCATCAATCCCTAGTTTATTGAGAGTTTTTAGCATGAAGAGCTGTTGAATTTTTTCGAAGGCCTTTTCTGCATCTGTTGAGATAATCATGTGGTTTTTGTCATTGGTTCTGTTTATGTGATGGATTACATTTATTGATTAGCGCCCGTTGAACCAGCCGTGCATCACAGGGATGAAGTCAACTTGATCGTATTGGATAAGATTTTTGATGTGCTGCTGGATTCAGTTTGCCAGTAGTTTATTGAGAATTTTTGCATTGATGTTCTTCAGGGATACTGGCCAAAAATTTTCTCTTTTTGTTGTTTCTCTGTCAGGTTTTGGTATCAGGATGATGCTGGCCTCATAAAATGAATTAGTGGGGAAATCTCTCTTTTTCTACTGTTTGGAATACTTTCAGAAGGAATGGTAACAGCTCCTCTTTGTACCTCTGGCAGAATTCAGCTACGAATATGTCTGGTCCTGGACTTTTTTTGATTGGTAGGCTATTAATTGCTGCCTCAATTTCAGAACTTATTATTGGTCTATTCAGGGATTCAATTTCCTCTTGGTTTAGTCTTGGGAGGGTGTATGTGTCCAGGAGTTTATCCATTTCTTCTAGATTTTCTAATTTATTTGCATAGAGGTGTTTATAGTATTCTGTGATGGTAGTTTGTATTTCTGTAGGATCGGTGGTGATATCCCCTTTTTCCTTTTTTTATTGCATCTATTTGATTCTTCTCTCTTTTCTTCTTCATTAGTCTGGCTAGTGGTCTATCTATTTTGTTGATATTTTTAGAAAACCACCTCCTGGATTCGCTGATTTTTTGAGGGGTTTTTTGTGTCTCTATCTCCTTCAGTTCTGCTCTGATCTTAGTTATTTCTTGCCTTCTGGTAGCTTTTGAATTTGTTTGCTCTTGCTTCTCTAGTTCTTTTAATTGTGATGTTAGGGTGTTGATTTTAGAGCTTTCCTGCTTTCTCTTGTGGGCATTTAGTGCTATAAATTTCCCACTACACACTGCTTTAAATGTGTCCCAGAGATTCTGGTACATTGTGTCTGTTCTCATTGTTTTCAAAGAACATCTTTATTTCTGCCTTCATTTCATGATTTACCCAGTAGTTATTCAGGAGCAGGTTGTTCAGTTGCCATGTAGCTGTGTGGTTTTGCGTGAGTTTCTTAATCCTGAGTTCTAATTTGATTGCACTGTGGTCTGAGAGACTGTTTGCTATGATTTCCACTCTTTTGAACTTGCTGAGGAGTGTTTTACTTCCAATTATGTGGTCAGTTTTAGAATAAGTGTGATGTGATGCTGACAAGAATGTATATTCTGTTGATCTGGGGTAGAGAGTTCTGCAGTTGTCTATTAGGTCCACTTGGTCCAAAGCTGAGTTCAAGTCCTGGATATCCTTGTTAAATTTCTGTCTCATTGATCCATCTAATATTGACAGTGGGGTGTAAAATTTTCCCATTATTATTGTGTGGGAGTCTAAGTCTCTTTGTAGACTTCTAAGAACTTGCTGTATGAATCTGGTTGCTCCTGTATTGGCTGCAAATATATTTATGATAGTTAGCTCTTCTTGTTGCATTGATCCCTTTACCATTATGTAATGCCTTTCTTTGTCTCTTGATCTTTGTTGACTTAAAGTCTGTTTTATCAGAGACTAGGATTGCAACCCCTGCTTTTTTTTTGCTTTCCATTTTCTTGGTAAATAGTCCTTCATCCCTTTATTTTGAGCCTATGTGTGTCTTTGCACTTGAGATGAGTCTCCTGAATACAGCACACCAATGGGTCTTGGCTCTTTATCCAATTTGCCAGTCTGTGTCTTTTAATTGGGGCATTTAGCCCATTTACATTTAAGGTCAATATTGTTATGTGTTAATTTGATCCTGCCATTATGATACTTGCTGGTTATTTTGCCCAATAGTTGATGCAGTTTCTTCATAGTGTCGATGGTCTTTACAATTTGGTATGTTTTTGCAGTGGCTGTTACTGGTTGTTCCTTTCCATGTTTAGTGCTTCCTTCAAGAGCTCTTGTAGGGCAGGCCTAGTGGTTACAAAATTTCTTGGCATTTCTTTGACTGCAAAGAATTTTATTTCCTCTTTGCTTATGAAGCTCAGTTTGACTGGATATGAAATTCTGGGTTGAAAATTCCTTTCTTTAAGAATGTTGAATATAGGCCCCCACTCTGTTCTGACTTGTAGGGTTTCTGCCAAGAGATCTCCTGTTAATCTGATGGGCTTCCCTTTGTAGGTAATCTGACCTCCCTTTCTGGCTTCCCTTAACATTTTTTCCTTCATTTCAGCCTTGGTGAATCTGATGATCATGTGTCTTGGGGTTGCTCTTCTTGAGGAGTATCTTTGTGGTGTGCTCTGTATTCACTGAATTTGAATGTTGGCCTGCCTTTCCAGATTAGGAAAGTTCTCCTGGATAATATCCTGAATAGTGTTTTCCAATTTGGTTCCATTCTCCCCGTCACCTTCAGGTACACCAAGCAAACATAGATTTAGTCTTTTCACATAGTCCCATATTTCTTGGAGGCTTTGTTAGTTTCTTTTCATTCTTTTTTCTCTAATCTTGTCTTCTCACTTTATTTCATTGAGTTAATCTTCAATCTCTGATATCCTTTCTTCTGCTTGATCAATTCGGCTATTGATACTTGTGTGCTTCGCGATGTTCTCATGCCGTGTTTTCCAGCTCCATCAGGTCATTTATTTTCTTCTCTAAACTGATTTTCTAGTTAGCAATTTGTCTAACCTTTTTTCAAGATTCTTAGCTTTCTTGCACTGGGTTAGAACATGCTCCTTTAGCTCGGAGGAGTTTGTTATTACCTGCCTTCTGAAGCCTACTTCTGTCAATTCATCAAACTCATTCCCATCCAGTTTTTTTCCCTTTCTGGTGAGGAGTTGTGTTCCTCTGGAAGAGAAGAGGTGTTCCGGTTTTTAGAATTTTCAGCCTTTTTGTGCTGGTTTCTCCCCATCTTCATGGATTTATCTACCTTTGGTCTTTGAAGCCGGTGACCTTGGGATGGGGTCTCTGAGTGGATGTCCTTTTTGTTGATGTTAATGCTATTCCTTTCTGTTTGTCAGTTTTCCTTCTAACATTCGGGGCCTCTGCTGCAGGTCTATTGGAGTTTGTTGGAGGTCCACTCCAGACCCTGTTTGCCTGGGTATCAACAGTGGAGGCTGCAGACCAGCAAAGGTTGCTGCCTGTTCCTTCCTCTGGAAGCTTCATCCCAGAGGGGCACCCGCCAGATGCCAGCCAGAGCTCTCCTGAATAAGGTGTCTGTTGGCCCCGACTGGGAGTTGTCTCCCAGTCAGGATACACGGGTGTCTGGGACCCACTTCAGGAGGCAGTCTGTTCCTCATCAGAGCTCGAATGCTGTGCAGGGAGATCCACTGAAGGAGAATTGCGTAAACTTGAGAGGCAGAGGTCGCAGTGAGCTGAGACAGAGCTATTGCACTCCAGCCTGGACAACAAGAGCGAACTTCTGTCTCAAAAAAAATTAAAAAGTAGATTAGATCCCTAATATTTTACCTTTTCTCAGCTAAAGTCATTATAATTTCTCGCCAAAATATACCAGCTACCCCCTAACTGGCTTCTCTGCCTCTAGCTTTGCCCCACCTTCAATCAATTTTCAGTTCAACACCCAAGTGATTTTTTTTTTATAAAGAGAACTACCACATTTTTCAGTTAACAGAGCTAACTCCCCTTTATTGTTTATGTGTTCATTAGGTTTTCTTTTACTTTCAACTGAAAACATACTAAGTGCTACCATGTAGATATTTTGAAATGTTTTCTCTCCTTCATACCAACTTGAATAAAACCTAAAATAGTATCTCTAGCTCTTAAATTTGCAGTCTTAACAACGAAAAATCAAAGCCTATATAACTTTCTGAATTTTAATTTGAGAATTTTTTGACATTGGACCATCAAGATTCTCTTAAGAAGTAAATTAAGTATTTTTAATTAAATTATGTACTTCTAAGGTATCTCATGAATGCACCAGAAACCGAGTTAAGCATAAGCAAAATCTTATTCAGGAGGCTGAAGTAGGAAGATTGCTTGAGGCTAGGAGTTCAAGACCAACCTGGGCAACGTAGCAAAACCCTGTTTCTCTTTCTCTCTCTCTCTGTAGATAGATAGATAGATAGATAGATAGATAGATAGATAGATAGATAGATAGATACAGATAGATAGATAGATAGGTATAGATAGATAGATTGATAGATAGATAGATAGATAGATAGATAAAGATAATTTTTTTAAAATTTTAAGTTGTAAGCCAAAATTTGAAACTTTTGGTTGTTCAACCACAGATTTGGTATTCAAACCTTGATTGGAAATTGCTTTTGATTCACTACTGAAAAGACAGTATAATGATATTAAAGAAACTCCTTTGGATAACCATACTCAATCAATCATTCGTGCAATAAATATCTAATGAGCATTTCCTATTTGCCAGGCATTTTACTAGATATTGGATATATAGTGGTAAGAAAAGGAGATGTGTCTGTTTCCTCATGGACTCCTCCTCTCCAAATTCAGTAGTAGGAAATAGACAATAAATAAGTAAACAAATGCTGAATTAAATAATTACACAGTTGTGATAACAACTATGTAGAAAACAAATAGGATGAAGTGATACAGGATAATGGGTAGAGGAATGGTTAACTCAGACAAGATGTTCAGGATTGATTTCACTTAGAAAACAACATTTTAAGCTGATGGTAGAGCTCTGTAATTGTTAGAAACTGAAAGAAGAGCAATGTGGCTAGGGCACAACGAGCAAGGGGAAGAGGAACAGGGTTAAATTGGAAGGGTTGTCAGTGTTCTTATCATTTAGGAAGTTGTAGGCCATGGCCAATGGTTTGAATTTTGCTGGACATGTCTATCCCCTCAACAATGTCACCATTATCTCTTCCTGGGCTATCCTCCCTACTTGAGACCCTCTTTCACTGTCTTGCCTCTTCAATGAGCTATTCTCACCACAGCTATAAGAACATTTTGTTTCTTTGTTTGTTTGCTTGCTTGTTTTGTTTTGTCTTCACAGGGCAAGTTCTATTTTTTTTAATTTGTTTTTATTTTTTACTTTTAAAATTTTAAAAATACATATATTTTATCATGTTGTTTCTTTGTTAAAAATTCAAAACAAAATGAAGTTGTACCATGACATATAAAATATGGCAAGAATTTAATTTTTTTAGCTGTCTTTTCATTTGTATTCCTCTCACACAGACGAGCCAAAAATGTATTGATTGCTGTGAGATAGTGTGTCCCTGAGAGAAGGAGTTCTCCTGAAGCTTTTCCTCTCATCTTGTGGTCTTCCCTGACAGTTTCCTGGGGCCTGCTCCATACATAATCTCTCTCTCAATGTGCACTCTGTGCCCTATTACATATCACCTCAGTGTTTGGAAAGAAAGATATAAGGCCCAAAACCATGTCCTGGAAAACTGAAACTAAAATATTCAGGTGAGAAGATGAATGCTGTGACAGACAAAGAGACATGAAGAGAGACATAGATGGGAGGAAGACCAGCCAAGTAGGTGTTGACTCATTTAACATGCTTTCAGTTCCAAGAAATGGAAAATCTAACTCAATCTAACCAACAATAAAAGGGATTACTGACTGTCTTCAGTGAGAAGTCCAGAGATTTAAAAAGTTTCAGGCATGAGTCCCTCAGGATTCTGTTTCTGTCTTTCTGAAATTCTTTCATAATTGTTTTCTTCCAGGTGGTAGCTTTTCCCCAGGATAGTGTTATTTTTATCACAAGATGGATGTCAGCAAAACACAGAACTACTTGCTTCCTCATTTCTTCCAAAGGAGAAAGAAGAGCCCTTTCAACAACAACAACAAAAAAAAAAATCAATGAAAAAAAAAGTCCCACCAATGTCATCAGGTGAATGCTATGAGCTGACTGACATAAATCTCAGATCCATACTTGGTATTGAACCAATCACTATGGGCAAGGGCAAGGTGTCCAGTAAAGACCCAATGCTAAAACTGGGGTGGACTGAATCCTACCCCAACTCAAATCTGCTACTTGATGGGGGAAAGAAGGCATGGATGCTGAATAACAAAAATGTCTTTATAGATGTCACGGATGTCAAGGTAGGTAACTGTATCAAGACTGAAGGAGCCATCAACTATGTTTAATTTTATAAAATCAAGTTGACAGAAGCCACATTGGAGAAGGGGGAGATGTGAATGTGTGGTGAGAAGATGTGCACAGCATGTATAAGAGATGCCACTAACATGGCTTAAATGAGAGCAAAGGAATAAAGCAATAGCTGGAGTGGAGTGTGGAGTCAAAGGGTGATTTTTTAGAATAGGAAATTCTACAGCGTGCTTTATGCTTTGGGTAATGATGCAGTTGTGAGACATAAAGAAAAAATAAACTTGATAAGGTAGAGAGAAAAGGCCCTAACTGATTGTTCCGGGCTGGATTGTGTTCTCTCCAAATGCATAAGTCGAAGTTTTTTTGTTTCTTATTTTTTCAAGATGGAGTTTAGCTTTTGTTGCCCAAGCTGAAGTGCAATAGTGTGATCTCGGCTCACTGCAACCTCTGCCTCTTGGGTTCAAGTGATTCTCCAGCCTCAGACTCCCAAGTAGCTGGGATTACAGCCTCTCCTCAACCATGCCCAGCTAATTTTTGTATTGTTAGTAGAGGCAGGGTTTTACCATGTTGGCCAAGCTGGTCTCGAACTCCTGACCTCAGGTGATATGCTCATCTCTGTCTCTCAAAGTGCTGGGATTACAGGCATGAGCCACCATGCCCAGCCTATAAGTTGAAGTTTTAACCCCCAGTCTTAACCCTCAGAATATATCATATTTGAAGATGAAGTTTTTAAACAGGTAATTAAATTAAAATCAGATCTTTAGGGTGGTGCCTAATCGAGATGATTGATGTCCTCATAAAATGAGGAAATTCAAACACAGGCTCAGAGGAAAGACTATGTGAAGACAAAGGGAGAAGATAAAGATGGCCATCTACAAGCAAAGGGGAGAAGCCTCAGAATAAAATCAACCCTGCCAACACATTGATTTCTGATTTCTACCCTCCAAAACTGTGAGGAAATAAATTTTCATTGTTTCAGTAACCTAGCCTGTGATATTTATGTCAAACCTTGCAAATTTATGACATGATAAAGCCAGCAAGACAATGAGGGGGCTTAGGAGCAGGAGCATGGTACAAGAGACTAGTCTTTCGTAAGAGGAAGGAAATTTATTTCCTTTTAACAAGGGAAGAAGGTTGGCATCAACACATCTGCTGGTGGAAGATGATTAAGTTCCCATCAGATAGTTTCGAAATTTTTTCTTGAAATGTGATAGCAATTACAGATTTTTTTAGGCAAGGAGGATAGGCTGTCAGCATTAGAAATTTAAGAAGAAAATCAAAGGCATGAAATAATAGCTTTAGTGAGTGGGAAAGGAAGAAGGATCATCACTTGACACATAATTTTGCCTTAATACTTATCTTTGGAAAATAAAAATGTCTCACTTTAGTTCTTATATAATATAGCACTTTTTGAGTTTTAATTTAAAAAATATGGAAAAAGGAAAAAATTAATTTCTCATGAGTAATTCAAATTTATTATGTGTTGGTACCTAGATAAATATAGTGAGAATTGAAATGAATATTACTTTTTGAACTTAAATTATTTTACCTAAAAATGTTAATTATTCAGAAATGAGATAAACAGAATTGAACTGTAAGTTTCACAATTTACTGTCAACTGAAAGCATCAGAAATGTCCTCCATGTCAGGAGTGTTATATATTGGTCAGAGAAGATGGGTCAGATAGAATGGGGAAACGATTCCCTATTTAATAAATGGTGCTGGGAAAACTGGCTAGCCATATGTGGAAAGCTGAAACTGGATGCCTTCCTTACACCTTATACAAAAATTAATTCAAGATGGATTAAAGACTTACATGTGAGACCTAAAGCCATAAAAACCCTAGAAGAAAACCTAAGCAATACCATTCAGGACATAGGCATGGGCAAGGACTTCATGTCTAAAACACCAAAAGCAATGGCAACAAAAGCCAAAATTGACAAATGAGATCTAATTAAACTAAAGAGCTTCTGCACAGCAAAAGAAACTACCATCAGAGTGAACAGGCAACCTACAGAATGGGAGAAAATTTTTGCAATCTACTCATCTGACAAAGGGCTAATATCCAGAATCTACAATAAACTCAAACAAATTTACAAGAAAAAAACAAACAACCCCATCAAAAAGTGGGCGAAGGATATGAACAGACATTTCTCAAAAGAAGACATTTATGCAGCCAAAAGACTCATGAAAAAATGCTCATCGTCACTGGCCATCAGAGAAATGCAAATCAAAACCACAATGAGATACCATCTCACACCAATTAGAATGGCAATCATTAAAAAGTCAGGAACAACAGGTGCTGGAGAGGATGTGGAGAAATAGGAACACTTTTACACTGTTGGTGGGACTGTAAACTAGTTCAACCATTGTGGAAGTCAGTGTGGCGATTCCTCAGGGATCTATAACTAGAAATACCATTGGACCCAGCCATCTCATTACTGGGTATATACCCAAAGGATTATAAATCATGCTGCTCTAAAGACACATGCACACATATGTTTATTGTGGCACTATTCACAATAGCAAAGACTTGGAACCAAGCCAAATGTCCAACCATGATAGACTGGAGTAAGAAAATGTGGCACATATACACCGTAGAATACTATGCAGCCATAAAAAATGATGAGTTAATGTCCTTTGTAGGGACATGGATGGAGCTGGAAACCATCATTCTCAGCAAACTATCGCAAGGACAAAAAACCAAACACCGCATGTTCTCACTCATAGGTGGGAATTGAACAATGAGAACACATGGACACAGGAAGGGGAACAGCACACACCGGGGCCTGTTGTGGGGTGGGGGGAGGGGGGAGGGATAGCATTAGGAGATATACCTAATGTTAAATGATGAGTTAATGGGTGCAGCACACCAACGTGGCACATGTATACATATGTAACTAACCTGCACGTTGTGCACATGTACCCTAAAACTTAAAGTATAATAAAAAAAATAAAAATAAAAATCAGAGTCAGAGAAGCAAGCATTATCTATGACCATCTAAGTAACTTCTAGGGAATGGAGAGTCTCAGCCCCTGAACCCCAAGTATTTTACATTTCATTGGCATGCCATCCCTATTGTTGAGATAAATGTGTGAAATTATAGTCAATTACTTCAAATCTTTCCATTTGCATCAAAAGACCACTCTTACTTTATCATAGCTATATTATGTCCCAGTTTCTTACTTAGCCTAATACTATTGAACAAATTATTCCTCTAACTTCCTTTATTCAATGTAAAAAATCACTTTCTGATACCCACGTTGGTCTGCCAACATAAACAAGTATAAACTGCCGTCTTCCATCCCTGTGAGAGTGATGTCTTAAGACAAACCAGTGCAGTTGCATCTTATGACTTGGGTTCTTTCTTTCCTCCGTTGCTTCACTGGAGGGAAAGAATGTGCTGATTATACTGAAATGTGTATTTTTGGACAGTCTCAAAATACTTTTAAGGAAGAATCAATTGAATCTTTTGGTGTATTAGATGATGGGGATGAGAAGGGAGAGGGAGCGTTTACATCTAGGTATCTGACTTGGCTGATTAGTTTGATAGTCATGCCACTTGCTGTAATAGGGAAACGAGGAAAATCATGATTGGGGAGGGAAATAACGAATTAAAGTCAACATAAGCTCAGGAAATTATTCTGATAGGATGCAGAATCTTTTCTTACTCAGCAAGTAAATAAAAACTATTTACAATCTCTTATAAAGAGCAGAACACTAATTGAAGAAAAATTGTCATTTTTAAGTGAAGAGAAAATCAAATTGTAGTTTTCTAACAGTATAAAATTTAACACTAAATCTTCTTTAAGAAATCCTATAAATAAACCCATCAAATTTTAGCTTTGAACAAGAAATAAAATTCCTAATTTTTTTTGCAAACCTCCTACAACTTTTCATATCCATTCACATTTTGTCCTATACTTCCCTCTTTCTCATCCTGGAATGACTAGTCATTTTACTTTAGATCAAAATTACTCTTCTTGTTTCTTAACCAAAACACAACCTGCTACCTTGCATAATTAATTTACAAAAGCCTAAGGTTTTAAATTCATGAAAGACCTTAGAAACTTTGGTGTGATGTATTACATACAAACATAACTACTGTTGAAACAAAGTTTTGGCAAAATAAGTTTACTTTCATTAATTTCTGGGAATATTAGAAATAATCTAGGTCCGATGTGGTGAAAAGGAAGAAAAGGTAACAGGAATAATGGAAAGGGAGAGATCTCAAGATGTCAGATGAGCCAATTTAGAGAGTTCTTAAGTTTCGCAAAGAGGCCATTATGTTCTAAATTGCTTTTGGTGAAATATGACTATTTCTGAGGATATTAAACTGAGTCAGTGCCATAGGGTGAAGTATGTTGTCACATGTAGTCAACAGAGAAGAAGAGGAAAGAAGGAGTCATAATGAGAGTTACTCATTGGATTATCATATAGTTAAGACAGTCAGAGAACCAAGGGAAAAGGGAACCACACACACAATCTCTGAGGTTCTGGAAGCTGAGGAAATTCTCATCTGTAATCCCCAGATTAAGAATCCCTCAAGACATGGAAGAGGCTTCATAGAAGTGGGCGAAGGAAACTCTCTTTGCTACAAAGAAGAAAAGTAACTTCTTACTATCATGCTACAACAGACAAGTATCCTGAGCACTGGATTAAATGAGGAGTTGTGATGCATCACCATGGATCCTGATTTCTCCCACCAGGAAAGGACACAAGGGCTTCCAGAGCCAGCATGGATACTTGGATGAAGACAGTGGGATCCAAGGGGTGGTCAGCACTTCCTTGAAGGCAAGGAACCATTAATTATCAAATAAAAGATAAATTCTGATTTAGTAGAGAGAAACTTTATTCAAAAGGATCATTGCAGAAAGCGGGGGAAGGGACTACAGCAATAAGGTGAAGAGACTGTTGCATAGGAACTGTTGGATCCATATGACCACAGATCTGCAAGTATCTCTGAATTTAACTTAGAAAATGTTAAGATCAATGATTCTGAAAGGGGAGGTGACCTGCAGAGAGTTAGGTGTGCTAATCTGAAGCTTAAAAGAGCAAAAAATAAAAGTATACATTTAACAGTTGTTGACTTACAGAAACCATTGAAACCCTTTGAGTGGATGATATAACTGAGGGAGTGTTTGTGCAGAGAGAAGGAGGTAAAAGACAAAATTCTGAATAGCATTGGCATTTAAGGACAGGTTGAGGAAGAAAAGCCTTACAAAGAGTAAAGAGGAGCACCCAGAGAGGTAAGAGAATAATCAGGAGCACAGAGTCCACAAAATCCAATCGAATAGTATCTGTCATGAAGGAAACAGAGATAGGAACTTGTGGAATAAGAAGGTTGAATAACACTGCAATACAGGTCATGCGTACTAATGAAATGGACCAAACTTTTTTTTAAGAAAAATTAAAAGTGGTAGTCAAAAAATATGACCACAGGGGAGAGGGGAGAGTAACTGTAGAAAATAGCACACTATTGCCCCAGCCATGATCCAGCGTACCAAAAGGCATCCACTTGGAAAATGCTTAATTAATTAATGAATGAGTTGTGCCTATCCCTATTGCCTATCACTCTAGTTGCCAGTATAGATCCCCTATACTACCTGCAAGTTGTGACACATAACATATCAGACACTTCCTATCAGGAATTCGAAACTTAATTAAAGTAGACAATCCATCTTTCTACTTTTTTTGGCAAAATAAGTTTTGGCAAAATAATTTCTGGTTGAATTGCTTGTCATGGAGTATTATTTCTTACTATCTGGTGACACAAATTATCTTGGGGTGAGTTTGCTATGATACCTCATGGTTTATGCTGAGGGCACCCTAAACACCCAAAAGTGACCTTGAAGAAGGTCTACTTTCCTATTATGGATTTCACCTTTTCCATATTTTCCTGAAAGTAACATTTAGGTGGTATTCTCTGAAGAACTTTTTAACAATTATTTATTAAAGAGTTCATATGTTGGGTACTGTGAACATTATTGGATGTTTATTCAAGATCTTACTAACAAATCCAGACTGCCTAAATAAAAAAAAAAAAAGAAAAGAAAACCAAATAAACAACTGAATTTTCCAATCTCTTCTACAGCTAGGGATGACCTTATGACATAGATGCAGTTAATAAGACATAAGTGGGTGACTACTCATTCATGCTTCCAAAAACGCTATGTCTTTCCCTGATTTTGAAAAGAAAGGACAGATTGATGATATTTACATTTTGCTATTTGCCTTTCCTACTTCTTCCTAACTAAAATGCAGATTCAGTATATAAAGGTAAAGCAGTCATCATAAAACCTGAAGAACAGAAGTCACATGTTCAGTAAGGATGGCCAAGCGTGTAGCTAGAAGAATCATCAAACCTTGACCAGCTACCTAATATTTGGAATGCCTGACTTCTCGTTGTCTAAAATAACAGCAACAGTAATAATAACTCCTTACTTGTTAAAGTTACTCCAGATATTATGCAACCACTATAGTCAATATGCACCCACATGCAATTCTAACAGATCCATCCTATCCAAGACATACTTCTGGGCGAGCTATCTGTTGTTAAATGACCAACGTGTTATCTGCCTTTCTAAATTCTTCTCCCACCATTCCCTTCCTGCTAAATTCCTGAAGAATGCTTCTCTTTATTTCTGTGCCTTTACACATCTAATTCCTTCTTCCTAGAACTCACTTCACACATTTACCCCTCACTTACCTCACAGAGATTGTCCGTATTTTCCCCGTAAGTTTCAGCTTAGATGTTACCTCCTGCAAGAAATCCTATCAGACCTCACATGGATGCCCCCCACTTAACACATACACACACACACACACCCACACACACGTACATACAAACACACATACAAACCCAATGGTGCCTTGGGCAGAGTTTCTATCTTTGAAGAACTTATTGTCTATTTTACTTCCAATGCACAGGATGATCATGTGAAATAGAAAGAAAGCACTTTGTAAGTAAATCTGTATTCATACCTCAGTTTTACTGCTTACTAACCCTGTGAGCTGGGATAATTTACATATTTCTTTTGAGCTCCTATACACTAATTGGTATAGTGACTTTATAAATAATCAATGTTATGAGTTATTTGTGAGTACAAAATGGGATGATATACGTAAGTGCCTACCATAGTCAGCTTGCAATAATGTTGGTCCTCTTCCTCTCTCAAAATGCACCTTCTTTTTAAGTTAACACAACCATCTGCTCATGCCTTCATTTAAGCGACTTAACTTTATCAGTTGTCTCAAAATGCTCTGCTTTACACAAGTCCTTTTCCTTTCCTCGCTTATATAATCAAAAATATACTACAATTTTTACATAATATAGAAGAGGGTAAAAGGAAATATTTATTTATAGATTTTATATATAAATATAGTAAACAAAAAGAATATGTACATATGAAAAATATATTATGTTTTTAATTTAAACTTAGTGAATTCAGATTTTTTATATGACAAACACTACCAATAAACTTTTTGACTGATGGAAATATTCTATTTCATAATTTTGGTCCTGGTTACATAATTGTATAAAATTGTTAAAACTCATCAAATTATACATTTAAAGTTAGTGAAATATGGCCAGGTGTGGTGGCTCATGCCTGTAATCCCAGCACTTTGGGAGGACAAGGCAGGCGATTACCTGAGGTCAGGAGTTCAAGACCAGCCTGACCAACATGGTGAAACTCCATCTCTATTAAAATTCAAAAAAAATTAGCCAGGCACGGTGGTGCACACCTGTAATCTTAGCTACTCTGGAGGCTGAGGTGGGAGGAATGCTTTTGCATGGGAGGTGGAGGTTGCAGTGAGCCGAGATCATGACACTGCACTCCAGCCTGGATGACAGAGCAAGACTCTATTTCAAATAATAATGGTGATAATAAAGTTGGTGAAATATACTGAATGTAATCTACAGCCCAGTAAAGCTTATTATAATTTTAAAAGCTATAATAGCATCTATTTCCAGTAATAGATTAGGTATTTCAGATCAACCTCTGTATCAGAAAAAAGTTGAATTAAGTATTCAAAATATATGAAATGTGCTTTTGTTTTGAAGGTTTTTGGCAACCCAGAAATATAGAATTTTAGAGTTTTCAGCCTCATCGAAGTAGACAAAAGAGTCCATGTCCTGTATAATGTGAGAGTCTAATAGGAGCACCTCATGTCACCTGTCACAATAAGCTAGCTTCCCAAAGGGCTACACATCTGAGTAGGAGTATATTGGGAGTGAATCTCTCATGTAGCCACTTTCAAATCTCTTTGAATTTAGTATTTATTTTTCAGAATGTGGAGTTCTTTGCTATGTAAATACCAAGAAAAAGGGATAATTCAAATAACTTAAATAACAAAGATATTTATCATTTCATTCTTCATACAAAACTGTGACATGTCTGATAAAGTCACTTCCAAATATACTTGATAAAATACTTAATACTGTTATCAAAAATGCAGATATTTTCCCATTTCTGGTCTGCTACATTCATCGTGCTGGTTTTGTTTTCAGGATAAATCTTCTTGCAGTCCCAAAATAGGCTCGAAATTTCCAGATGTCATATGCAGAATTGACAAAGTCCAGGTTTTCAAAAGTGGGACAAGGATTCCATTAAAAAAAGAAGAAAGCAGGATTGCATGTAGGCAGACGTTACTGGGTCTTTATGTTTGAAAACTGGAGCTTCTATTTTCTTTATAAAGTAGAAGATAAAGTCACCTGCTGAGAGTAAGAAGGGAGGCTGGGCAAGCAAGTTTCAGAAGACATTTGAAATAGTCATTGCAGGGAGTAATAACAAGAGTTGAACAAAGAAATACAGTAGAATAACTGAGCATCAGTGAGGATCCAGTCGAAGTGGGTGACTATAAAGTTATGCTGGTAATGACTTGTCATGTTCAGTGATTCTCTCTTCCACGAGCACTCAGCTACTCCGGTGTGAATACTGGGAAAGGAATAGTTGTAAGATTGGAGGCATTAGAGGCACAAGCAAAAGAAGAAAAGAGGAAGAAGGTGTTTGAGTATTAGAATACTTGGACTGAAGAACTGGGAAATCTAAGCTGCACAGAGAAGTATTAGGGAGAAGTAAAGGGCCTCAAGAGATACTAGAATGTTTATAGAGACAATGGTTGAAAGAGTAAGCTAGAACAATTTAGTATTGTACTTAAGAAACACAATGCTTGAATTGGTGTATTTGACAGAAGAAACTTTAAAAATTTTAAATTCTTTATAAACCAGGAAAACATGAATGTATTCTCCTTTTATAATAATTTTAGAGATAGTTTTTTGATGCATCTTACGAATAAAAGCTAAAGTTGCCTTTGGCCTCTCATATCCCCCTCCCTCTCTGCAAAGGCAAACCATGATTTTAAAAAAGAACTTGGAAGGCAGAGCAAGATGGCAGAATAGAAAGCTCCACTGATCAACCTCTGCCACAAGGACACCAAGTTAACAACTACATACTCAGAAAAAAAATTCTTCGTACAAACCAAAAATCACTCACAGTACCTGGTTTTAACTTCACGTTGCTGAAAGAAGCACTGAAGAGATAAAAAAAAAAAAAAAAAAAAAAAAAAAACCAGCCTTGAATTGCTGATGCCTACCCTCTCCCACCCCTGGCAGCAGTGGTGTGGTGCGGTGAGCATCTCTGGGTGCTGGGGGAGGGAGAGCACAGCAATTGTGAGACATTGAACTCAGTGCTGTCATGTTAGAGCAGGAAGGAAAACTGGATCAAATTCAGCTGATGCTAACCCACAGAGGGAGCATTTAAACCGCCCTAGTCAGAGGAGAATTGATGATCATAGTGGTCTGAAATTGAGTTCCCTCAAACCTCACCATGATGAGCTATAGCACTCTGTGTCTGCAAGTAAACTTGAAAGGCAGTCTAGGCCATAAGGACTGCACTCACAGGCGAGTCCTCAAGCTGAGTTAGGCCCAGAAACAGTGTACTGTAGGGGTATTTGGGGTGCAGCACACAACATACTGAGATACCAGCTGGGGAAGCCAAGGGAGTGCTGGCATCACCCTTCCCCTAGCCCCAAACTGTACAGCTTGAAGCTTCAAAAGAGACCACTTCCTTCCACTTGAGGAGAGGAGAAGGGAGAGTGGGGAGAACTTTGTCCTACTTCTTGGATACTAGCCCAGCCATGGCAGGGTAGGCCGCTGAACAGAGTCAAGAGGCCCCTGTTCCAAGCCCTAGCTCCCAGACACACCCTGGACCAGAAGAGAGCCTGCTGTCTTGAAGGAAAGGAACAAGTGCTGGCAGTATTCATCATCTGCTAACTGAAGAGCTCTTAGGCCCTGAAAAGCCAGCAGCAATACCCAGGTAACACATCAAGGGTCTTGGGTAAACCTCTGAGACTTGCTGGCTTCAGATACTAGCTTGATCACAGTGGGGTAGAGCACCAAGTGGGCTCTTGGGCTCTCTGATTCCAGAACTTGACTCTTGGATGGCATTTCTGGACCTGCCCTGGGCCATAGGGGAGCCCACTGTCCTGAAGGGTGAGTCTCAGGCCAGGCAGCATTCATGACAGGCTGACTTAAGATATCTTGGGCCTTAAGGGAAAATCAGTAGTAGTCCGGCAATACTCTTTATGGCCTGGGGTGGAGGGGGCGGCTACGGGGTGAGGCTCTTCTGCCTTTGGAAAGGGTAAAGAAGACTGAAAAGGTCTGTGTTGTGTGGTTTGAGTGCCACCTAAGCCACAATACAATACACATGGTATAATACCATACCAGAATACCAGGTTTTGACTCTAGTTTGACTCCTGGACAACACTTCTGGACCCACCTGGTTCTTGGGGGACTTGCCACCCTGAATTGAAAGACACAGGTCTGGCTAGATTTGTCACCTTCTGATTTTATAGCCCCAGGGCCTTGAATCAACATAGGCAGTAGCCAGGGAGTGATTACAGCATGCCTTGGGTGAGGCCCAGCACTGTGCTGGCTTCAAGTCTGTCCCAGTGCAGTCATAGTGGTGGTGGTCACAGGGGTGTTTGTGTCATTCCACCCCCAGCCTTAGGTGGCTCAGAGAGATATTCTTTCTGTTTGGGAGAAAGTAAGGGAAGGGAACAACAGTCTTTATTTGGTAAACTAGAGAATTCTCATGGATTTTGTCCAAGACCTTCAAGGCAGCACTTCTATGAGTCTGTAAGAACCACAGTGCTACTGGGGTGCCCCTAAAGAAGAAACAGCTTAGATTACAACACCAAAGTTCCTTCAAATATCTGAAAAGCCTTCTCAATAATGATGGCTACAAATAATCCCAGACAGTGAAGAGTACAATAAATACCTAACCCTTCAGTGCCCAGTCACTGAAGAACATCTACTAGCATCAACACCATCCAGGAAAATATGATATCACCAAATAAACTAAATAAGCCATCAGGGACCAATCCTGGAGAAACAGAGATATATGACCTTCCAGTCAAAGAGTTCAAAATAACTGTGTTGAGGAAACTCAGATAAATTCAAGATAACACAGAGAAGGAATTCAGAATTCTATCAGATGAAATTAATAAGAGATTAAAATAATTTAAAAGAATTAATCAAAAATTATAGAGCTAAAAAATGAAATTGACATACTGAAGAATGCATCAGAGTCCTTTTATAGCAGAACTGATCAAGCAGAAGAAAGAATTAGTGAGCCTGAAGACAGGCTAATTGAAAAGACCCAGTCAGAGGAAACAAAAGAAAAAAAGAATAAAAAAAAAATGAAACATGCCTATAGGATCTAGAAAATAGTCTCAAAAGGGCAAATCTAAGAGTTATTCCCCTTAAAGAGAAGAAAGGGAAAGAGATAGGGCTAGAAAGTGTATTGAAAGGGTTAATAATAGAACTTTCCAAATCTAGAGAAAGATATAAATATCTAAGTACAAAAGGTTATAGAACACCAAGAAGATTTAACTGAAAGAAAATGACCTGAAGGAATTTAATAATCAAACTCCCAAAGGTCAAAGATAAAGAAAGGATTCTAGAAGCAGCAAGAGAAAAGAAAAAACATACAATGGAGCTCCAGTATGCCTGGCAGCAGATTTTTCAGTGGAAACCTTACAGAACCGGAGAGTGGCATGACATATTCAAAGTGTTGAAGGAAGAAAACTTTTACTGTAGAAAAGTATGCCCAGTGAAATTGTGCTTCAAACATAAAGGAGAAATAAAGACTTTCCCAGTCAAGCAAGAGCAGAGGGATTTCATCAATACCAGACCTGTTCTACAAGAAATGCTAAAGGGAGCACTTCAATCAGAAAGGAAAGGAAATTAATGAGTAATAAATAATCACCTGAAGGTAGAAAACTCACTGGTAACAGTAAGTTTGCAGAAGAACACAGTATATTCTAACAGTGTAACTGTGGTGTGTAAACTATTCTTATCCTAAGTGGAAAGACTAAAAAGTGAACCATTCAAAAATAATAACTACAACAACATTTCAAGACAAAGTCAGTACAATAGGATGTAAATAGAAACAACAATTTAAAAAGTAAGGAAATAAAGATAAGGCATAGAGGTTTTTTTTAGTTTTCTTTTTGCTTGTTTATGCAAATAGTGTTAAGTTGTTATCAGGTTAAAAGGATGGTATTTTATATAGTATTTGTAAGCCTCATGGTAACCTCAAACCAAAAAAACATACAATGGATACACAAAAAATAAAAAGTAAGAAACTAAATCATATCACCAAATAAAAATTACCTTTATTAGAGGAAGACAGGAAAGAAAGAAAAAGGAAAAAATTATAAAACAACAGAGAAAAAATAACAAAATGACAGGAGTAAGTCTTAACTCATCAATAATAACGTTGAATATAAATAGACTATACTCTCCAGTAGAAAGACATAGACTAGCTGAATGGATGAAAAAACAAAACCCATTGATCTGTTGCCTACAAGAAACACACTTCATCTAGAAAAACACATATACACTGAAAATAAAGGGATAGAAAAAGATATTCCACGCCATTGGAAACCAAAAAAAGAACAGGAGTTGCTATGCTTATATCAGAAAAAAAAAATAGGTTTCCAGGCAAAAACTATAAGAAGAGACAAAGAAAGTCATTATATAAGGATAAGGGGTCAATTCAGCAAGAGGAAATAACAATTTTAAATATATATGCACCCAACACTGGAGTACCTTGATATATAAAGGAAATATTATTACAGCTAAAGAGACAGATAGGCCCTCATACAATAATAGCTAGAGACTTCAACACTCCACTTTCAGCATTGGACAGATCTTCCAGACAGAAAATCAATAAGAAACAACAGACTTAATCTGCACTATAGACCAAATGGATCTAGTAGATATTTACAGAACATTTCATCCAAGAGCTGCAGAATATGCATTCTTTTTCTCAGCACATGGATTATTCTCAATGGTAGACCATATGTTAGTTCACAAATAAGTCTTAAAACATTGAGAAAAAATGAAATAATATCAAGCATCTTTTCTGACCACAATGAAATAAAACTAGAAATTAATAACAAGAGAAAATTCGGTAACTATACAAATACATGGAAGTTAAACAGTATGCTCCTGAATGACCAGTGGGTCAATGAAGAAATTAAAAGGAAAATTGGAAAATTTCATGAAACAAATGATAATGAAAACACAACATACCAAAACCTATGTGCTACAGCAAAAACAATACTCAGAAGGAAGTTTATAGTTATAAGTGCCTACATCAAAAAAGAAAAATAACTTCAAATAAACAATCTCACAATACATCTTAAAGAACTAGAAAAGCAAGAGCAAACCAAACCCCAAATTAGTAAAAGAAAAGAAATAACGAAGATCAAAGCAGAAATAAATGAAATTGAAATTTAAAAAAAAGATCAATAAAATAAAAAGTTTGTTTTTTGAAAAGTTAAACAAAATTGACAAATCTTTAGCCAGACTGAGAAAAAAAGAGAGAAAATCCAAATAAAGTCAGAAATGAAAAAGGAAACATTACAACTGATACTGCAAAAATTCAAAGGATTATTAGTGGCAACTATGAGCAACTAAATGCCAATGAATTGGAAAATCAAGAAGAAATTAACAAATTCCTAGATAAATACAACCTACCAAGATTGAATCAGGATTTCCAAAACCTGAAAAGACCAATAACAAATAATGAGATTGAAGACTTAGTAAAAAGTCTTCCAGTAAAGAAAAGCCTGAGACCCAATGGCTGCACTTCTGAATTCTACCAGACATTTAAAGAAGAACTAATTTCCAATTCTACTCAAACTATTCCAGAAAATAGAGGAGTAGAGACCACTTTCAAACTCATTCTACAAGCCAGTGTTACCCTGATACAAAAACCGGAAAAAGACACAAAAAAAGAAAACTACAGGCCAATATCACTGATGAATACTGATGCAATAATCCTCAACAAAATACTAACAAACCAAATTCAACAATACTTTAGAAATATCATTCATCATGACCAAGTGGGATTTATCCCTTGGATGTAAGAATGGTTCAACATATGCAAATCAATCAACATGACACATTATATCAACAGAATGCATGGTAAAAACCATATGTCATTTCAATTGATGTTGAAAAAGCATTTGGTAAAATTCAAAACATCCCTTCACGATTAAGAAAAAAGGCCTCAAAAAACTGGGTATAAAAGGAACGTAACATAATAAAAGCCGTTTATGACAGACTCACAGCTGGTATCATACTGAATGAGAAAAAACTGAAAGCCTTTTCTCTAAGACCTGGAACACAACAAGATGCTCACTGTCACCACTGTTATTTAACATAGTACTAAAAGTCCTAGCTAGAGCAATCAGACAAGAAAAATATATGAAGAGCATCCAAATTAGAAAGAAAGAAATCAAATTATCCTTGTTTGCTGATGATATGATCTTATATTTGGAAAAACCTAGACTCTGTAAGAAAACTATTATAACTGATAAACAAATTCAGTAAAGTTCCAGGATACAAAATCAACATAAGTCAATAGCAGTTCTATATGCCAATGTTGAACAATGTTAAAAAGAAATAAAAAAGTAAATCCATTTATAATAGCCACACAAAAAATTAAATACCTATGAATTCACTTAACCAATGAAATGAAAGATCTCCAAAATGAAAAGAATGAAACACTGATGAAGGAAATTGAAGAGGGCACCAAAAAAAAATATTCCATGTTCATGGATTGGAAGACTCAATATTGTTAAAAAGCCCGTATTATCCAAAGCACTTTATAGATTCAATGTAATCCCTATCAAAATGTGAATGACCTTCTTCACAGAAATAGAAAAAACAACCCTAAAATTTATATAGAACAACAAAAGACCCAAATAGCCAAAGCCATCCAAAGCAAAAAGAACAAAACTGGAGGAATCACATTGCCTGAATTCAAATTATACTACAATGCTATAGTCACCAAAACAGCATGGTACTGGCCTAAAAACAGACATAGACCAATGAAAGTGGATGTGAAGACTGCTGCCCAGCCACTTGGGGCTCCTCATACCTCTAAACCAACAGGCAAAGAAGGGAGTTACCTTGCTGGCTGGGGTGACTGATCCTAACTACCAAGAAGAAATTGGACTACTACTCCACAATGGAGGTAAGAAAGAGTGTGTCCAGAATTTAGGAGATTCATTAGGGCATATCTTATAACCATGCCCTATGATTAAAGTCAATGGAAAACTACAACAATCCAAATGACATAGTATTACTAATGGTCCAGACCCTTCAGGAATGAAGGTTTGGGTCATCCCACCAGGGAAAGAGCCATGACCAGTTGAGGTGCTTGCTGAAAGGCAAAGGGAATGCAGAATGGGTATGGAAAAAGGTAGTTATAAATTTCAGCTACAACCACAAGACCAATTATAAAAATGAGGACATAATTGTCATGAGTATAAAACAAATGTCTTTGCTTTCTTTCCTTTCTTATTCCTTTATCATGTAATATAAGATACACTGAGTTTATATCATAGTATTCAGATATTGTTAATTTTACATCATAGTAAAATTACAAGATATAAAGAAGAGTAATTATCACTCAAAGACTTTGCCTTCTCCTCTGGAAAAGGGGTTAGTGAATATACAGTCGTATGCAGGACAGTGGTATCATGTTAGATGGAATTATGACCTTGTTATTGTCTTTATTTGGAGATTAAGTATGCTTAAAGTGAGGTGATGCGTATGAGTGCTGAAAAGGAAAAACTCTGGTTTTCTTCTGTACATTCCCAACACTCTCAATACTTCACTCCTGACATGGGATGTGTGTGTGTATGTGTGTCTCTGTGTGTGTGTGTGGTTTTATTTTCCACAACAAATCAATTTAATTATCCAACAAACACCAACTGGATGTCATCTGATTAAATGCAATTCTGCAGCCATCTACTTGTAGTTAGCATCATATCCCCAGATTAAGGGCTCAGTTCCACTATACTACTTCCTATCATCTCAGATGCCAATTGCGAGTAGTGTCTCCTCAGGTTACCCACAACATCTCTACAACTTGGCTATAGAACAAGGGTTCCCATACCCCATTTTCAGTTTTAATAATTTGCTAGAAATACAGAATTTGGGGGAAAAGTCTACTTACTAGGTTACCAGTTTATTATAAAAGGATAAAATTCAGAAACAGATAGAAGAAAGAATTAGGGTGAGGTATGGGGGCAGAGTGTGGAGCTTCCACACTGTTTCTAGGAACACCACTCTCCAAGCACCTCCACATGTTCACCAACCAGGAAGCTCTCTGAACCCCAGCCTTTGGGATTTTATAAGAAATTCATTACATAGGCATGATTTATTAAATCATTGGCCATTTGTGATTAAGTCAACTTGCAGCTTCTCTCCCCTCCTTAGAGGTTAGAGGGTAGGGCTGAAAATTTCAACCTCCTTATCACATATTTGATTCTCCTGGCAACCAGGAAAATCACTTTAGAAATTACAAGGGGTTTAGGAGAACTACCCAGGAATCAGGGATAAAAAGCAACTATTAACTTCTTACTATATCACAATATCACAGGTGCAGTTGACAAAGGGTAGTTTATGATGGTTAGTTTTATGTATCCACTTGACTGGGGCCATGGGGTGCCGAGTTATTTGATCACATATCATTCTGGGTGTGTCTGTGAGATTGTTTAAAAAGATTAACATTTAAATTAGTCAACTGAATAAGGTAGACTGAGATGAGTAGACCAAATGGATTAACATTTAAATTTGTAGACCAAATAAAGCAGATTTCCCTCCTTAATGTGGGTGGGTCTCATCCAATCAGTTGAAGGACCAAATCAAACAAAAAGTCTGAGTAAGAGGGAACTCTTCTTGCATAACTGCCTACAAGATGGAACACTGCCTTTGGACTCAAGACTGAAACATCAGCCTCTTTCTGGGTTTGGAGGCTGCTGGCCTTTGGAATGGACTATACCATCAGCAGTCCTGGTTCTCACGCCTTCAAACTCAGACTGCAATTTTGCAAGTGACTCCCCTGTGTCTCCATCTTGCCAACTGTAGATCTTAGGACCTGTCTCTCTCCATAATCACATAAGCCAATGCCTTATAATATACCTCTTTATTTATAAATATAGGTTGGCAGATTAGATAGATAGATAGATAGACAGACAGACAGATATCCTGTATTATTTTTGTTTCTCTAGAAAACTCTGACAAATACAACTAGAAAATAAAATTAAAGTAACCTATATTGGAAAACAAGATGTGAAGCTATCTCTATCTATAGATTACTTGGTTTTATTTATTGAAATCCTAAATAATCCATTTAAAAACAATGAGAAGTAATAACCAAGTTAAGCAAGGTTGTAGGATAAATGATTAATATTATCCCACAAGCACAGGCGACCAAAGCAAAAGTGACAAATGAGATCACATCAAGTTAAAAAGCTTCTGCCCAGGAAGGGAAACAATAAACAAAATGAAGAGACAGCCCACAGAATAGGAGAAAATATTGGCAAAGTACCCATCTGACAAGGGATTAATAACCAGAATATATACAGAGCTCAAACAACTCTATAAGAAAATAATAATCCAATTCAAAATGGGTAAAAAATCTGAATAGACATTTCTCCAAAGAAGATATTCAAATGGCAAATGGATATATGCAAAATGCTCAAATCATTGATCATCAGAGAAATACAAATCAAAACTACAATGAGATATCTCACCCCAGTTAAAATGGCTTTTATCCAAAAAAAAAAAGCAATAACAAATGCTGGAAAGGATGCGGAGAAAAGGGAACTCTGGTACACTATTGGTGGGAACGTAAATTAGTACAACCACTATGGAGAACAGTTTGAAGGTCCTTGAAGAAAAACTAAAAGCTACGATATAATCCAGCTATCCCATTTCTAGGTATATACCAAAAATAAAAGAAATTAAGATATCAAAGAGATATCTGCACTCTCATGTTCATTGCAGCATCATTCACAATAGCCAAGATTTGGAAACAACCGAAGTGTCCATCAACGGATGGAAAAGTAAAATGTATTGATACCCAATGGAGTACTATTCTGACATAATAGAGAATGAGATCCTGTCATTTGCAACAACATGGATAGAACTGCAGAACATTATTTTAAGTGAAATAAGCCAGGCACAGAAAGACAAACTTCCCATGTTCTTCACTTATTTGTGGGAGTTAAAAGTTAAAACAACTGGGCCAGGCCCAGTGGCTCATGCCTGTAATCCCAGCACTTTGGGAGGCCAAAGTGGGTGGATCACAAGGTCAGGAAATCGAGACCATTCTGGCTAACAGTTGAAACCTCGTCTGTACTGAAAAAATACAAAAAATTAGCCAGGCGTGGTGGTGGATGCCTGTAGTCCCAGCTACTCAGGTGGCTGAGGCAGGAGAATGGTGTGAACCTGGGAGGCAGAGCTTGCAGTGAGCTGAGATAACACCACTGCACTCCAGCCTGGGCAACAGAGCGAGACTCCATCTCAAAAAAAAAAAAAAAAAAGTTACAACAATTGAACTAATACTGATAGTGTAGAATTATGGTTGCTAAGGCTAGGAAGTGTAGTGGGGAGGGGGGTTATGGAAGTGGGGATGATTAATGGGCATAAAATAAGTTAGAAAGAATGAATAAGATCTAGTATTTGATAGCACAACAGAGTAACTAAAGGCAATAATAATTTAATTGTGCATCTTAAAATAACTAAGAGTATAGTTGGATTTTTTGTAACATGAAGAATAAGTACTTGAGGTGATAGATACCTCATTACCCTGATGTGATTATTACACATTACATGCCATCAAAATATCTCCTGTACCCCATAAATACATACATTGACTATGTAGCCACAAAAATGAAAAATAAAAAGTTTTTTAAAAGATCAATATTAAAAATTCAATTATATGCCATACAATAACAATGAACAACTTGAAAATCAAGTTAATAATACAATTCCATTTCAGTAGCATTATAAAGAATAAATATCTAGGAACAAATTTAACAAAGCAAATTCTAAATGTATATGCCGACAATGGCTAAACATTGTCAAAAGAAATTAAAGAAGATCAAATAAATGGAAAAATCCCTTCATGTATAGGAGACTCAAAATTGTTAAGATGGCAATGCTCCACAAATTGATCAAAAGATTCAATGAAATCCCAGCAAAATTTTCAGGTGTCTTTTTAAGGAATTTGCCAAGCTGTTCCTACACTTAATATGTAAGCAGAAAGGACCCAGAATAGCCAAAACAATCTTTAAAAATAACATGGTTGGAGGACTGACACTTCTGAATTTCAAAATTTATTATAAAGCTGCATTAGTGTAATATTGTCAGGAGAATAAACGTATGGATCAATGGATAAACATATGGATCAAAATTGAAAGTCCAGAAATAAGCCTTCACAATTACAGTTAATTGATTTTCAACAGAGATGTTAAGAAAATTCAGTGAGAAAAGAATCATCTTCTCAATAAGTGGTTCTGGGACCGCTGAGTATCTACATGCAAAAGAATGAAGCTGGGCCCCTTCCTCACACCATATAGAAAATATAAACTCATCAACCGAAATGGATCACCAACCCAAATGCAGAGGTAAAGCCATGAAACTCTTAGGAGAAAACATAGGGGTGTATCTTGTATCTTCGTGAGTGTTTTGTTCTGTTCAAACTGCTAAAATAACATAGACTGGATGGCTTATAAACAACAGAAATTTATTTCTCACAGTTCTGGAGGCTGGGAAGTCCAAAAGGAAGCCACTGGTCTTAAACAAGTCCAAATTCCAAGACAGCAAACAATATTAAAACTGAAGTCTCAAGAATAATCTTCTTTGATGCTCTGCCCTCTAGGTCCACTGGTGTAGAAATCTCACCCTGCAAATGTGGGCAGCCTTGACTGCATGGCTTTGCTGGATGCTACCCATACAGCAGCTCTCACTGGTTGAAGTTAGATGCCTGCAGTGCTCCCAAGCTGTAATCACAGGCTCTTGGCTCTGTCTGTATGGGATTGTGGAGTTGGCACTACTCCCATGGATCTGCATTGTCCTAGTGGGGAGTCTCTATGGTGGCTCTTCCCAACAGCAGTGCTCTGCCTTGGAGATCTAGACAGAGGTAGCTATACCCTCACAGCTTTGCTAAGCACAATGCACACTGCATCTGGCTTACTGGAGCTGCATCTGGGGTGGCTGCAGAGTGCTGTGACAGAATGTGGGGAACAAGTCTGCCATGTGAGGTGGCACCAGCATTGGTGGCCCCTTCTTTGAAATAGTTTTGCCTCCTATGCCCTTGCACTCTGGGACTGTAATAAGAGGGACAGCCTTGATTGCCTCCAAAATGGCTTTAGGGTCATTCTTCCATTGTCTTGGATAGTATGTCCTGGCTTCTGTTTAGATGATTGACAAATCTCCCCATTGTCTACAAGAATATCACGTAGCTTTTGATGGGATGGTTGATCCATAATAAACTCATTAAGTTTTGTCACACCATTTGTATTCTTTCCCAAAAAGCTTTCTCATTTTCTCCAGTATGGATAGGCTGATAATTTTCCAAATTTTTACATTTTGCTCCTTTTTGATTAACTATTTCATTATTAAGTCATCTCCTTTCTTGCGTTTTACTATAAGCACTCAATTAAAAAGTCCAACCATGCTGCTCCTTAAATGCTTTGCTTAGAAATTATCACAGCCAAATATCCAATTTTATTGCTCAAAGTTCTATCTTCCACACATGATTAGGACATAAACATAATTAAGCCAAGTTCTTTGTCACTTTATAATAAGGATGGCCTTTTCCCAGTTGTCCAATATTATATTCCGCTCTGTCTGAGACCTCATCAGAATGGCCTCTGCTATCTATATTTCTATCAACATTATGTTCATGACCACTTAGATGTTCTCTAAGAAGACTGAGGTCTCTCTACACCCCTCTTCTTCTTCTATTTCTTCATCAAAATTTTCTTTGATGTTCTGTTCACCGCAATTCAGTCTTTTTCTAGAATGTACCTCAAAATGCTTCAAGCCTATACCCATTACCCAGTTCCAAAGCTGCTTCCATATTTTTAGGTATTTGTTACAGGAGCACCCCCACTTCTCAGTACCGATTTTCTGTTTTAGTCCATTTGAACTGCTATACCAAAATACCACAATGGGGTAGTTACAAATAAACAGAAAGTTATTTTAAAGTTTCCAGAAAATTTAATGATTTCCTTTTGGAGCCTGGAAAATCCAAGATTAAGGTGCTGGCAAACTCAGTGTCTGGTGAGGGTCTTACAGGTTCATGGATGGTTATCCTTTTACTATAACATCACATGTCAGAAGAGACTAGCTTTCTGGGGTCTCTTTTCTCTTTTATAAACACACTAATTCCATTCTTGAGTACTCTGCTATAATTATCTCATCATCCTGGGAGTCAGGATTTCAACATATCAACTTTGGGAGGCACTAACACTCAGACCATAGCAATGATCTAGAATTAAGGCAAAACTTTCTTACACATGACACTAAAAGAACAAGAGTAAAAATAAATAAATTGAACACCATCAAAATTAAAAACTTTTTTTATTTAAAGGATGTCAACAAGGAAGTGAAAAGACAACTCATAGGATGTGAGAAAATATAAGAAATGTGAGAAAGTATATAAAATATAAGTCATAAGAGACTTCATCTATAATTCTAAGGAACTCTTATATCACTATAATAAAGACAAATGGCCAAATTTAAAAATTGGAGAAAGGATATGAATAGATACATTACTGAGAAGATTAACAAATGGCCAATAGTCATATGAAAAGACGCTCAATATCATTAAACATCAGAGAATGCAAATTAAAATCACAATGACATATCACTTCACATTCATTAGAATGGCTATAACCAAAAGGAAAATACCAAGTAATATCAAAATTGTGAGGAAATTGGAATCCTCATATACTGTTGGTGGAAACGTAAAATGGTATGGCTGCTTGAAAAATCAATCGGATAATTCCTCTAAAGGTTAAACACAGAGTTATGACATTGTGACAGGATCCTTGGGGTGTTGCTTTGCCAGCTGGAAACCTTGGTGGCTAGTGGTGGCCTTTGCCAGAGTTTTGCTGGGGATCACTGGGCTCTTTCTTCCCATTTGGCCTGGCAGGCTGCACTCAGTTTGCACTACTGGCCCGAATCCCATGCCTGTCAAGGATGAACCAAGTGTGGAGTGGTGAGGGGTGCATGAGTGAGCAAATGTGGGGTCCAGACACACTGGCTGTGGTGGGGCAAGCAGCTCCAGGTACAGGCACAGGTGTCAGCTCCCTGTGATCCTGAGGCTGGACCAGGTGTACTGCAAGTGGGTTCCACTGCTGGCACCAGGGAACATGGTGGTGCATGGAAGCTTGGAGATGCCAGAAACTGCAGAGCCTCAAAGAGAGTGTCAGAGACCTGGCTCAGGGAGATCCTAGGTCTGGGCCCCCAAAGGGCTGCAGCTCTTCTCTTCTCTCCTCCTCTCTTCTCTCTTTCTTGTCACCTGCAATGTGGTAAGCAAGGGGCAAGTTTCAGCCCTGTTTGTGTTACAACTCTTTCAGTCCTGCCGTTTGGTGGGTCCTATGTTCTTGTCCCACATCCAGGAAGAATGAGGTACACGGACAACTGGAGGGTCAGTAAGGTGATGAGGTGCTTTACTGAGCAACAGTACAGCTCTTAGGAGATGGGAAGTGGGTAGCTTCTTTCCGCAGGTAGGTCATCCTGACGAGTGCAGCTCTCAGTGGAGAGGCGAACGAGAGTGGGTAGCTCCTATCGGCAGGCAGATTGTCTTGTCCAGTGTGTAGCTCTCAGTGGAGAAGATACCTGGAGTGGGTAGCTCCTATCCACAGGCAGGTCGTCTCAATGTCTGCTCAGCTCTCAGCTACAGGAAACTCAACAGTGGGTAGCTCCTCTCTGCAGGCAGTTCATCCTGATGTCTTCCCGAGTCTGGCTGAGTCAGGGGTTTTTGTGGGCTTCGGGTGGGAGGAAGTACATGCTGATTGCTCTGTGGGCAGCCATGTGTGGCTGGGAAAAAGCACCATGAGTTCTCATGTTGGTCCATGGAACTGGCAGCCTGGCCCTCGGGCTTCAGGCTGTCCCAGGCCTGAAGGTGGGGCATTACCAGGGACCCACTCCTTTCTGCCCAGGAGCCTGTCTGCCTCCCACTGCCATCAACCTAATGTCCCTGGCACCCAGGATGTTCGTGCTGAGGGGCGCCTTCAGGCCCACACTGAGCCACCCTCAGCTCCCCTTCAGCCTCCCACCAGTGCTCATCGGCACCCAAAGTCCAGAGAGGGGGCCAAGGCAGCAGGGCCCTGGCATGCCAGCACTTCCCTGAGTGCACGCACACTCAGCTGGGCCAGGACAGGGCCCAGGCTTGGCCTCAACTTTGTACCAAAATTGGAATGGCAGTGGGAGCGGGGAGAGGCTGGGCAGTGGGAGCAGGCATTTCTGAGTCTGCCAGGGCAGAGGGACTTCCAGCTTGCCCAGGGAGGCGGGGCTCCCACCCCTCCAACTCAGAAAGGGGCGGGGCTTCTGCCTGTTCTTGGCTCCAGCTGGCCTGTGGAGTGCACATCCCCAGTAGTGCCTTCCCAGCTGCAGCCAGTGTCTTTGCAGCAACTGCTCCAGGTGGGTCGTTGCTGTCATCAATATGACCTAGTAATTCTACTCCTAATGTACCCATGGGAAATGAAAATAGCTGTCCATACAAAAACTTGCATGAATTATTCATAGCAACATTATTAATAATAACCAAAAAGTGGAAACAACGTAAATGTCTATTAGCTGATGAATATATAAATAAAATGTGGTATATCCACACAACAAGATATATTATTTCGTGATAAAAAGGATGAAGTACTAATATGTGCTACAGCATGGATAAACCTTGAAAACATTATGCTAAATAAAAGAAACCAGCCACAAAAGACAATAATTATATGATTCCATTGATATGAAATGTGAAGAATAGACAAATGTATAGAGATAAAAAGTAGGCTTGCAGTTCCAGGGGCTGGGACTGGGGACAAATAGGAGTGACTGCTAGTGAGTGTAGAGCTTCCTTTTGGGGTTGATGAAAATGTTTTATAATT
This sequence comes from Homo sapiens, assembly GCF_000001405.40. Taxonomy (NCBI): domain Eukaryota; kingdom Metazoa; phylum Chordata; class Mammalia; order Primates; family Hominidae; genus Homo; species Homo sapiens. The sequence goes on from NC_000001.11 coordinate 98,651,983, forward strand.
GATTTTGGTGATGATTGTACAACTCTGTGGATATACTCAAAACCATTGACTTGTATGCTTTAAGTGAATTCTATGCTATGTGAATTATATATAAATAAGTCTTATTTTTAAAAAAGAAAAAGAAAATAAATGTCAGAGTCTTGCTTTTAAGATATGGTTCCTCTATATTCTAAAACACCTTCACTTAAGGCCATCAACAAATGTATATGATTTATTAAAACAATTTTTTTCTAAAGTTTTGTTAAAGGAAATACATTCAAAGGAACTCTTGTTATAGTAATGAAATGAACAGCAGATAAATTTTCATTATACTGGTACCACTTAAATGAAATTCTGTGATAGCAATGATCTGTCCTGTGAGTCTGTCCATGGAAGCTGAGTACAGTGAATCTGAGAAGCTTTCAAAAACAGCTAAATATTCATTTTAAGTTAAAAACATCAACACTTTAGAAAAAAGCTTGGCAATATTAAGCCATGTTTAAATTAGTTCATTTATAGAATTAATTAGGTAATATTTACTGAACAATTATCTCACTGTGCTTAGAGTTTGACCTACTCTGTATTTTCAGTTTTGTTAAATAATAAATTTGCTTTTTGTTTTTAAAGAAAATCATTCCTAGATTCCTTTCTTTGGTAGTAGGATTATTGTATCCAGTTTAAGAGAAAAGCAGGCCATAATAGGTCACGGAATTACATGCGTATTCCATATCCTTTGGGTTTTGCTAGTCTAAAGATGTTTAAAATCATGTTACCTTATTATTCTAACACATTTATTTGTTTGTTACAGTAAATGACAGAAGACTTGAAATTGCCAGTTTCCCATAATAGTAAGGAAAACCTTTTTACAAAACGCATATTCTAGTCAAAGCTACGAAGCATTATGTTACATTACAAGAACTAACCCAAATATTATTGCGAGAGAGTCCAAATGAAATTATGGGTCAAATTTGGCAACCATATGCTACAACTGAAATTAATAATATTAACAGTAATAGTAATAACACAATTAAAATTGATATAGGTCTTTAGTTCACAAATGATTTCACATATATTAGTTTCTTTGATTCTCATAACCTTTGAATATATATTTCAATTATCTCTACTTTGTTGATGGGAAAATTGAAGCTAATAATTTAAAATACATGCCTGAGTTCTCTAAGCTAGTAAGGAGTTTCATGTAAAGATCTGTCCATTTGCAGAATAATTGGGTGTTAATCACAGGCTTAGGGTTATAGCCTCTCCATCATATTAGCTATACCTCATTTTAATCACCCAGAATTAAGTGCTTTTAGGTTGTAACTGTCATTTGTGCTATTCAAGTATTTTTGACCTCTGACTACTGAGCACAGGGTATGATTGTACTTCATGACCCCCTTTAGGTTGAGTGGAGCTGCGCAATCATTTCTGGCCAATGAGTCACAAGCAAAAGAAACATGAGTTACTTCTGGGCCAGAAGGGGTAGGATGGAAAGCAAAAATTCTGCAAGTGGATTATTAGGCGTAACAGCAAGAAGAGTCACTCCTACTTCCACTCCTTGATTCCTGGTCCCATGTGTTCTACCTATGGGAGAGACCACACCATATAATGGACTCTGATGCAAAGTGTACATTGCATCCTCTAAGATAGAACCCCATTATTTCAGGATGTTGTCTCCAAAATGGCAGCATAACTGAGTCTACAGTATGCCAATCCACCTTTCAGTCAAGCCAGCTACTTCCAACCTATGAAATATATAGTAAGAACAGTTGATTTTATGTGCATTAGCCCACAGTGACTTCTTTCACCATGAAGTGAGTTCCTTGATCAGATGTGATGCTCTATGGAATGCCATGGTGGTGAATAAGACATTCTGTGAATCCATAAATAGTGGTGCTGGAAGAAACACTAATGGCAGGGAAGGTATATTTATATCCAGATTGTGTTCATTTCAGTGAGGATGAATCTCTACCTACTTCATGAGGGCAGAGATCCAACATAATCAACCCGCTGCCAGTTGGCTGGCTTGGCCCCTATATCCCAGGAATGGTGCCATATTGAGGGCTCAGTGTTGGTTTGTGCTGTTGGCAGATTAGGTATTCAATGGTTACATTAGCCAGATCAGCCTTGGTAAAGGGATGTTCATGTTATTGAGTCCATGCGTAGACTCCATCCATGCCACTATAGCCACTTAGTTCGTGGACACATCAAACAAAGAATATAATGGCTAGGGAGAAAGGTTGACTGACATCCTGGAGTGCATAATTCTACCCTCTTAAAGCTACCTCTGCAGTAGTGGCCCTCTGGTGGGGCAGTAGTGGCCCTCTGGTGGGCATTTCACATTCACAAATATTTTAATCTGTGGCCATTCTGAAAAGTCAACTCACATACTTCTTCTGTAAGCTCCCTTTTGACTAATCATCTAAAACTGTTCCTTCCAAGTCCTTGACAATCCGACTAAACTATCTGCAACTACCCATGCATTATATGAACCTGTATTTCTAGTCATCTCTCTCTCCAGACATATAGATGACCAAATGTCACACTTGAAGTTCTGGTCAATGGGACAATGTTCCTTCACCACTGCCCTTCAGGTTTACCCTTGAGTGGGGCTGCAGTGCTGCAGCTGCTCTTTTCAGATGGTGCTAGCATATTGTGAAGACCTAGCTCTATGCCAGGCTCAAGGTTTTTCTTCCTCAGTCACCTGGTTGTAAGGAGATTCCCAAAATGCCATTTTTGTAGGTCTATCTTCTGGGACCATTCCTGGTAGCAATTCTGTATTGTTCCAGGTCCAGTCAGGCAATAAAAATCACACAGTCATTTGAGGAGGCAAAATTTTATATAAAGCATTATTAACAGGGAATTGGAGTGATGAAGAATTAGCTAATGAGAGTCAAAATAATTCTAAAAGTACACAAATATAATATAAAATGCGACCACTACCCATAGTGCTGAGATAAGTACCCACGGACAAGCCCTTTCTTGCTAGGAGTGAGATCCAGATGTCACCACCTTAGCTCCACCTTAGCTTCCTGAATGTTGGAGAAGTCAATGAAGTACCTCGTGGTAGGACTCAATGGAAATCTACCCTCTGGTAGGTGTTGAGCTTCAGAACTTGTTAGATGCCAGAAGAAGCTGCTGCCTGTTGGAAACTATCAGACTCAGGAGTCTCACAAAGTCCTCCTCTTCAGGAGTCTAGTGCACTGGGTCAGCTCTGGGCTGCTGTGCTTGACAGACGTCAGGGAATGGCTGGACTACAGTGTCCTGGTGTGTGTCCATGCCTGGAACTAAGAAGAGGGAAGGGGGTGCAGCAACCTGGGCTGGGGGCAGGCCCACAATATCTGGGACTATGCCAACACAGCTGTGTGAGTTTGATAGTGAGTCAAATATCATAAAAAGTTTTGCCCTACAGGAACCTCACATTGAACAGTGGAGAAAAAGAGCTCTCTGCAGGACACTGGTAAGAGAGCACACCAGAAACATGAAGAGGAAAAACCTTTCCTTCTGCAGTATCCCTCCAGATTCTCTACTGACAATGTTTAACATCTTGACAGGTGGCAAAGGAGAAATATCTATAAGGCTCATCTCCATTATCACAGAGCAGGCAATGAGAGTCCATTTGGAGCAGAGAGGCAAAGAATTAACAATCAGCACACTGACTATACTTTTCATTTCTAGACTTTTTGGTTCTTTTTATAGTCTGTTGTAGTTATTCTTTTATTTATTTAATAATGTATATTTTGTATATTGTTTATTTAAAGTTCTTTGAGGCTCTACTCCTAAAAGTTTTATATGATGCTTCTGATCCATGATAGTTTCCTCAAATGCTTTAAATTATGTATTATGATCTCATCTGCAGTATAGTTTTATCTGTTGAAACTGTCGAGAGTGAGTTGAGAAAGAGATCTTTTTATTTGATTATGCCAGAGTTCCCAGTTATATCACTAACTCAAGAACACTTTTAATATTTTGAACTGTGACTTCCCAAACCATGAGTAAGATTTTCGGGCAGATATCTTTCCTACGTGGAGCCCAGGCTGATCCAAAAGAGTATTGTTATTGACTGAATCTCTTATAAGTTTATATTTCCCTTATTCCCATGATAGCTCAAACACAAACCTTTAGATTATTGAGACCAATCCTACACATTCCACCCTGGGGACAGGCAGACTAGCAGCCCAAATATTTACAAATTTCATTCTCTGACATAAGGTTACTTTGTTTCTTGTCTCCTTAAAGTTAATTACTTTTTTGCAAATTCAACCATGAATTTAAAGATTCTTGTTACAGTTCTTCAGGATTGGTAGTGGAAGAATTTTAGAATTATCTGTTCTGCTAAATTCCAAGAGCTGAGAATCCCTGAATATCCTTATAAATCCTCCTTTATATTTTATTTTTCTTTAGAGTCTTACTCTGTCACCGGTCCGGAGTGCAGTAACACAATCATAGTTCAGGGCAGCCTCAAACTCCTGAGCTCAAAAGATTCTCACACCCCAGCCTCCCTAGTAGCTGAGACTACGGGCATGCACACCACCACCAACAGCTAATTTAAAAAAAGTTTTTTTTTTTTTTTTTTTTTTTTGAAGCAATGGGGTCTCCTTATGTTGCCCAGGCTGGTCTCGAATTCCTGGCCTCAAGTTACTCAAGTTATCCTTCTGCTTCAACCTCCCAAAGTGCTAGGATTACAGGCATGAGCCACCATATTTGGCCTCTTTTCTATTTTTAAAGACAACATTATGTAACATTCTTTTCAGTGAGGAGTAAATTATTTCCCACTTATTACTTACCTTGGGTAAATTACTAAACTTCTCTGTTCATCAGTCTCCTCATCTGTAAAATGGGGATGGTAATAATAGCGTCTACATCCTAAGGTGTTTGTGAAGATTAAATGAGTGCCCATGCATAAAGCACTTATAAGAGTGTCTGACTCAAGTAGACATTCACTACCTTTCACTGTTTTTTTTTTGTTTTGTTTTGTTTTTTGTTTTTTTGAGACAGAGTCTCGCTCTGTTGCCCAGGCTGGAGTGCAGTGGCGCGATATCGGCTCACTGCAAGCTCCGCCTCCCGGGTTCACACCATTCTCCTGCCTCAGCCTCCTGAGTAACTGGGACTACAGGCGCCCACCACCACGCCTGGCTAATTTTTTCTTTCTTTTTCTTTTTTTTTTTAGTTGAGACAGGGTTTCACCGTGTTAGCCAGGATGGTCTCGATCTCCTGACCTCGTGATCTGCCAGCCTCAGCCTCCCAAAGTGCTGGGATTACAGGCGTGAGCCACCACGCTTGGCCTACCTTTCACTGTTAATATTACTGATGAGCCTGTAGAGAATAAGGATACTCTGTGGGGCCTGTGACAAGTTCTGAAAGAAAATCAAAAAGACTAATGTTTTAGAGCAAAATGTGCTCTCTCTGATAGATTTAAGAAACCAGCCATTGGCTTGTTACCAGGTTTTGGCGAAGATGAGTGCGTTAGTCTGTTTTGTATTGCTATGAAGGAATACCTGAGGCTGGGTAATTTATAAAGAAGAGAGATTAATTTAGCTCACAGTTCTGAAGCCTGTACAAGCATGGCATCAGCATTTTCTTGGCTTCTGCTGAGGCCTCAGGAAGCTTACACTCATGGCAGAAGGCAAAGGGGGCACAGACAGGCATGTCATAGGACAAGAGAGGGAGTGAGCGAGAGAGAGAGATTCAGAAAAAGAGTCAGAGTGAGAGAGAGAGAGATAGGTGCTATGCTCTTTTTTTTTAAACAATCATTTCTTGTGTGAACTAATAGAGCAAGAACTCACTCACTACCACAGGGAGGGCACCAAGCCATTCATGAGAGATCCTCCCCCATGACCCAAACATCTCCCATTAGGCCCCACCTCCAACATTTGGGATCACACTTCAACATAACTTTAGGAGGGGACAAATAGCCAAACAATATCAACTAGATACATAAGCATGTGACATCAGGTGACTATGTGATCCAAGCAGCTCCTCATGAAATGGGTGCTATAATGAAAAAAATCCTAAAATTGATCCAGCCTTACTTCAGCAAGCCATGCTCATGTGGAAATGTAATATTTGAAAGTGGTCCTATAAGCATACATTGCATGAGCATTTGGCTTTTACTCTCAGCAGGTCTACCCCTATGATCTCATAGGGAGTTTTATCTGAACAGTTAACTAAGGGGTAAAAACTCCAAAGTTGGTTTACAGATGGATCTTTATCATTTGCGGGAATCAGTTAGTAGTTATTGCAGTGCAAAAGGGCAGTGGACAAGGGAAATCCTCCTCTTGGTATACAACAGTGCCCACTATGCTTCAAAGGGCAGTTAGAATGAGGCTTCTATGCTCTTTCCAGGACAAAGGCTAGAGGTTTGACTTGATGAGACTTAGAAGAAACAAGGTAGGATCTCGGGGTCAAGAAGGTTTGAGAAAATGTATGTAGGTGACTTTCTTGGAATGGCCCCAGAATAAAAGCATATTTGTATGTAGCCCACAACAATGCTCTCCAAAAAAGCCTTTTCATTTGATGAATTTATGTCATCAGAAATAAGTTTGAAAATAATGCTTATTCTCCTGTGGATGTTAATCTTACTGCTTTTCTAGAAACTCCAGTGCTTGTTCTATGGCTTCACATACCATGTGGCCATGGTGGCAGGGATTTATGCTATGCATTGGCTCAAAAATAAGGATTTCCTCTCACTAAAGGATAATTGGCTGCTTCCATTGCTCAGCACTCAGCTTGCCACAGCAACTATGCAGGACCCTTACCCTGCCACACTGGAGGATGCCATGATTTGTCTTTAGTGGAAAAGTCAAATTGGCTTTGCTTTTTCTGCTCATCAGATTTCCCTCAACACGCTCGTCCATGAACTTATTGACTGGTCTATTCCTCAGTAGATTTTGCACATTATATTTTTTTCTAACTAGTTAAATCACTTTCTAGCAAAAGAAGTAAAGCCTTTGGGCAATGCCCATGGGGTAACTTGTCTCATCACAAAACCCATTACTAGAAACAGCAGACTTCATAGATGGTGGAATTGAATATTAAAGATCCAGTTATGGTCTGAAGAGATCCCATCTGGAAAGTATAAGGGAGAGAAAGCTTTTTGACAAGATGTATATTCATGAAACCATAAATTAATGTATGATATTATTTCTCTTAAACAGGACAGGAGTGGGTAGGGCTGCTCTTAATATTATACTTGCACTCCAAGTTTTGGACTATGCTGGTTTAAAGGCTTTAGTACCCAAGTAAGAATTCTTCCATTAAAAAACCTAGTGATAGGCTGGGCACGGTGGCTTAAGCCTGTAATCCCAGCACTTTGGGAGGCCGAGGCGGGTGGATCATGCAGTCAAGAGATCGAGACCATTCTGGCCAACATGGTGAAACCCTGTCTCTACTAAAAATACAAAAAATTAGCTGGGCGTGGTGGCGCACGCCTGTAGTCCCACCTACTCAGGAGGCTGAGGCAGGAGAATCGCTTGAACCCGGGAGGCGGAGGTTGCAGTGAGCAGAGATCACGCCACTGCACTCTAGCCTCGGCGAGGGAGTGAGACTCTGTCTCAAAAACAAACAAACAAACAAACAAAAAAACCCAGTGATAGTCCCACTTAATAGGAAGCTGAGACTACAGGAGGAATAGACATACTGCTTTGGAGTTGTACTAATAATGAGTAGGTTTGGGATTATCTCCCTTTGAGGGGCTGTGAACTGCATGCTCAGGTGCTCAAAGCATGGAGGTAGGGGGAGTATGTGAAGAAAGGTAATATTAATTGGACAGCCAAAGGGGCAAATTATAGTCACGTTTTCCCTACTCTTCTTCCTCATCCTACCCCTCTTCCTATTTTTCTTGTTTTTGGTTGACAAGCATCAATATGGCCTTTCTATGTTTAGAAAATTCTCTGCCTTAGGAATTTCCATGAAACTTGGCCAGATTGGCCAAGCACACATACTCTCCAGGGTTTTAATACTAGAAAAATCAACACAGAGAAACAGGGTGATGGAGACATTTTTGTGGCAGTAATAGCAGGGAAGTTCTCAGAGGTAGCTGTGGTACTGCTGCCAGGGAAAGCAACTGGAGTCCAGTAACATCAGTGTTAATGACAATATTGACACTGGTGAAGATGGTGTGGCAACCAGTATCAGGCAATGGTAGCAGCAATGTCTGTACCACTGGTTCTGTGGCCTTGCTTTTGGCTATAATCCAAGCTGTGCAGCCTTGCTTTATTCTGCCCATTTTCTGAGCCCATTCTCTATGGTTTCTAGCAATTCTGTGAGTTACAGCATTATTAAGAATTTCCTGGTTCAGATTGCAATTAGAAAACCTTGAATCTTCCTTACTAGTCAGAATAAGCTTATCAAGGAAAAAATAAAGTCTTTTAATAACTTATATTATTTACAGAAATTAGCAGAGAGCATTTTGAGAGTACATCTGATACTGTGGTTAATACATATCAGGATCCTCAACCTGAAAATGTTATCATTTACTAAGGAATGGAAAACTTGTACATGAAACAAATACAATCTGCAAGATGGAATAAAATTAAATGCTAAATTGAGAACAGACTGTCATTTAGAAAGTCTTTCTGAAAGAGATGGGACTATATTTAATTTCTGAAGGATGGGCAGGAGATGGCATTTAAAGTACAGAAATCATCAAGCACAGAAACAAATGTGGATACTCATGGGGCAGTGACCAACCTGACTGAAGGGTGGGTGCACGTCTGAAATCAATGGGAATACATTTGAATGATTAGGAGATAATATATTATTAAGGCCTTGCCTCTAATCAGAAATAAAGATATTCTCTATTTCCCCAAATAAGGAATTCTTACATAGAGCTTAATGTATTTAAAAATTTTTAAATGGGCCTACAGAAAAGAGGTGGGGCTGACGGAAGTAAATAAAACCTGAAGATAAATTAAAGAATATATCAACGTGGGCAAAATTTTCCATTAGTTTTGGAACTTAGTTTTGTTTTTGAATAATAAGCAGTTAAATAATTAAAGCTTTGCCTTGGCAATGCAAGGACTGAAGATTATTTCTCGGTGGCAATTTTCCAGACTTGCTAGTTGTCCTTGGGTCTTGGTAACATTCTGCTCATTAACTTCAGGAAGACGTCCAGGAGTAAAGATGCATTTGAAAGTGGCTGAAAATAGTTTGTAAAGCTCAGCTTTCCTGGCTCGACAGTGAAATGACCGCACAGGCCAGTCACTGGGTCAAAAATCAATTAACAAAACGGGAAGTTTTCATGTCTTTATTTTTACATTAGCTCGAAAATCACAACCAAGAAGAAAGGCAACCACTGAATACAGGAAATACAGTATTGTTATTGCTGTTTTTTTTTTTTCTCTTGGCAAGGCTGGGTCGGGTGCCTTCCAGCCTCGCTGTGGATCCCGCGAAGTGGACGGTTCGCTTCGTGGCTTCTTCCCAGACCCCGCCACTGCGGAAACCGTCACTCGGTGGCCCCCGACTGGGTCAATGCGAGGACGCCCACCTCCTACCTTTGAGTCTCTCCTCTTCTCCAGGGTACAGCCAACCCTTTCTCCAACGTAGCCGGAGTCCGAGAGTCCCAGTTCCGCCCCTCCAGCCCGCCCCAGGCCAGGTGGGGATGCGCCCGGCCCGGGCCAGCGCTGGTCCCGGCAGTTCCGCGTCTGCGCAGCGGGCGAGGGGCTGGAGCGGGGCCGGCCGGGGAGGTGCAGGAGACGTGGGAGCCAATGGGCACGCTCGGGGGAGCCGGGCTGGCGGCGGCGGTGGCGGCCGGCTGGGCGCGCACTCTCGGGATGGAGGGCGAGCGCCGGGCATCGCAGGCGCCCTCCTCGGGCCTCCCGGCCGGGGGCGCCAACGGGGAGAGCCCGGGGGGCGGCGCCCCCTTTCCGGGCAGCAGTGGCTCTTCCGCCCTGCTGCAGGCGGAGGTGCTGGATCTGGACGAGGACGAGGACGACCTGGAGGTGTTCAGCAAGGTGAGGGCGGCGGCGGCGAGTCCCGGGAAACTTCCAAGGCAACTCCGGGCGTTGCCAGCATTGCGCCGACGGCTGCCTCTGGCGCGCTTGCCCTCCCGGGGCGGTGGCTCTGAGCTGGGGACGAGTGAGGTCCCCCGGGCTGCTGGACCCCGCCTGCCAGCTCTGGCCGCACCCGGGGCCGCGTCGCCTCGGGGCCTCAAACCGCAGCCGCTCCCTCCTCCGCACTTTGACCTTCCGTTCGGCGGGGCTGTGGCTTAGTGGAGTCTGCAAAGTTGTGATTTGTTTTCCCTTTCTGCTTCTCTGACACAGACATCTTCCTCGCGGCAGCTCCCGAACCTGGGAGGCTGGTGGCTCAAAACCGCTCCCGCCAGCTGCTTTTCGGGCGAGGCCAGCCCTGAACTCTGGGAGAGCAGCCAAGTTTAGAGAAATTATTCTTAATTTAGTGTTGTTGCTTGTGGATTTGAGACTTGGGTGAGTCTCGGGTCTTGTGGGAATAGGTTCTAGGAAATCTCCCTGAACAGGAGAAAACGGTTGTTTCTAACAGGAAGCTCCTCCGCTGAGGAGCTAAGGATTTTTCAGATGGTCAGCTACTGCCACCCAACCCACAGCCAGTGCTTTCGTTTTTCCTTGCCCCCGGGAAATTTAGGACCAAAGGCTCTTATTTGCTTATTTTACTGTTGGAGGGAAATTGACTTGTGGGGGCTAGTGGTAGACTTTTGGTACGTGTAGACTGGTGTTTGTAATTTCTTAAAGGGTTTTAGAAAAGAAAAATACCTTTCTTGCAGGGAGGTTGAATGTCACTCCAGTTTCTCAAGTTGCTGCTGAGAGAAGACCTGAGTTCAGATCACAACGCTGTATTCATTACTAAGAAGCCTGTTCATTTTAACGTTACCTGGAGATATTAGGTAAAGCAAACGACCTACTTAACCACCGCATTTACTCTGGGAGAGCAAACCAAAGTTAGGAAGTGACCATGCATACTCTGACTCCAAAGAGGAGTATATAAAACTTATTTCTACTTCGGTTTAAATGGAATGATAGGCCCAGGTTTGTATTCCGAATATTTAAACAGACTATCACAGTTTTGTGCTCTTGACTTTTCTGTTAAGTAGTAAAACAATGGAATTATTTTATGTTTAGTTGTAAACTCTGCCTTTTTATATTCCACACATACTTCATGTTCAGATCAACGACAGTTGGCCAGTTGGTTATTTACTTTCTTTCCTTCTTTACATTGCTGTTTGGATAAGGAATATTAGTCTATGGTTATGCATTGTGAAACTTTGGGATGGGATGTTGGAAATAGCAATGGTGTATCAGAATCATCAGGGTTTCTTTCTGGTTTTTTTTTTTTTTTTTTTTTTTTTTTTTTTTTTTTTTTGTCGGGGCTGGACCCATCTGGCCTCAAGGGATTCTACCACCTCCAGCACCCAAAGGGTTTGGGATTACAGGCTTGAGCCACAGTGACTCGGATTGTTTTAAACTTGTCAAGTGGTTTCTCTTTCCCCAGATTCTAGGTGTTCTAGCTGACTCTTAAGAATCAATGTTTAAATGAGGTCCTCTTGTCAGAGGCAGATCCAAGGTGAAGCTAATGAAATTGAAGCTTCAGCGCTATTCGTTTGCTTAGACCTCTGGGCGTGTTGGGGGTTGCTGGAGTCGCAGATGTTCTAGGTGGGAAGGAAATGACAGGTCCCGACCAGAAGCATTTCTAAATAAGCATTTCTGGTGAATTGCCTAAAGCTCTCTCAGACTAAGGAATCTAGATCTCCATGGCTCCAATCATTTATTGAGATTTCTTTTCTCATTCTGAATAATGTGTTTTTCCACCTAATTTTGTATTCTTTTAAAAGGGGACCTTCCAAACTCTAAAAGCCCGTACACCTGGGTCCACCCTGCTTGTTAGTGTTAACTGCGCGTGTTGGATGCTTAGAAAAAGTTAAGAACAACTTCTGTAGAAACTGCCCACATAGATTAAGGCAAAGATATAATATTAGTGAAAATCCAACAAGAGTAGTTGGAAAAGTTTAAAATTAGCCACTTTCATCCATTTCAGTAAGTTGAATTTCTCAACCGTTATCTGTAGTTAAGCAAATTTAAGAAAGCCTGCTCCACGTGGCCTTCCCTTTCCACTACCTTCCTTGCCTGCTCCTCTATAAAACAAACACCACTGCTGTTCAGCCTATCCTAGGATGGAATCTCACAATTACTTATGAAGCAAACTGTCCTTCCCTTTTAGTAATTTGAGATTGGCAAACTACATATTTAATTTACATTCACCTTTATAGTCCCCTTATTCTCTTAGATTATTTGTGAATATGTGTCTGGTATACTCTTCCAGAAGCTTTTTAAAGAGTATGAATTTCCCCAGCACTTTGGGAGGCTGAGGCTAGCGGATCACTTGAAGTCAGGAGTTCACAACCAGCCTGGCCAACATAGTGAAACCCCATCTTTACTAAAAATATAAAAATTAGCCGGGTGTGGTGGTGGGAGCCTTTAATCCTAGCTAACCGGGAAGCTGAGGCAGGAGAATCTCTTGAACCCGGGATGCAGAGGTTGCAGTGGGCTGAGAGATCACGCCACTGCATTCCCACCTGAGTGACGGAGTGAGACTCTGTCTCAAAAGAAAAACAAAACAACTTCTTATTATTTTTTTTCCACAACGTATTACAAGTACATGGCAAATATACATTTTGTGTTAAGTATGCTTTAAAAAAAAGAAATACAAGATTTAGTTCTTGCTATCACAATCTTATACTCCAGGTGGGAAGATGTGACAAACTCTAAATGGCAATATAAATCAAGAGGGATGGAAAGTAAAACAAAGTTGTTCTGAATTTTCTTATAATCCAGTGAGAAGAAAATGATGCCAGACCTCAAGAGAATGCAGAGGACATTGATTTAAAAGAACGGGGATAGATGTTAGAAGGAAGAGAACAGAACCAATCATACAAAAACAGTAAAAATAAAAAAATAAAAAAGATACACAAATGGTAACAAGAGCCTAAGAATTATTTTAGAACTAGGTCACAATGAGATGAGGCTTCCAAAAAATTTAACTGGAGAAAAAGGGCCAGTTTCTTCACGTTTAAAGGAAAAAATCCTCCTCTTTGGGGAAAAACAATAAATTAAAATAAATTGCCTTTATTTTTATTGAATACTGTATAAAAGAAACAGCTGTGGATACAGTGTATGTGATTAGGCCACAATGAAGCACTGAGATGCTTATCTGGTACTCAGTAAATGATAGCTCTAATTGGCCTCTTTAAAGATATTCGGGATCATAAAAGTGAGATATATATCATCTAGGATAATCAGGGAACTTACAGGTGTAATCATCCTCATCACCACTAGTCATCTTTGAGAAATCATGAAATGCAATAATGGTTCCCTGAAACTAGAGATAGGTAAATATTGTTTTTAAAAATAATGGGCAAAATGGGAGTTCTGGAAGGTAGCGAACAGTAGGTTTCATTTCAATCTCCAAAAAAGCCATGAAATGAATTATTTAGTATGTTGTTTATACACACTTTGAAAAAAACATGATCAATAGAAGCTACAAGTTTTATAAGAATAATGAAAGACTTAAGATTGTGTTTATGGTAAATCAGAGTTATAATGACATGATTGAGCAAGGCTTTTGAAAAAAATCACTCATTTCTTCAGAAAAGGTTATTTATTTATTTGTTTATTTTTTGAGATGGAGTTTTGCTCTTATTATCTAGGTTGGAGTGCAGTGGCACAATCTTGGCTCACTGCAACCTCTGCCTCCCGGGTTCAAGCAATTCTCCTGCCTCAGCCTCCTGAGTAGCTGGGATTACAGGCATGCGCCACCATGCCTGGCTAATTTTTTGTATTTTTAGTAGAGACAGGGTTTCATCATGTTGGCCAGGCTGGTCTCAAACTCCTGACCTCAAGTGATCCACCCGTCTCGGCCTCCCAAAGTGCAGGGATTACAGGCGTGAGCCACCGTGCCCAGCTGAAAAGTTTATTTCTGAAAGAATAAAGTTGAGACATCTAACATACACATGTATACATATCTTTATATGTATATATATATTTTTTTCTTTGTCAATTTGGAAATTCAGTATAGTGATGGAGCGGCATAATTATACTATTCATCTATTCTATCAAATAATTAGAAAAAGATTAGGAAGTCCTGCTTACTAATTTCTCACATATATTCTCTGCACAGTCTATTTGGTTTCTGTTGTGTGCCTATATCAGTCATCACTCTGATAAAAATCAGAATTCTCTCCAATGATTTAAATGAGAGTTGAATGCGGGGACTATTTATGGAATTATTGGCAGAGTTAGTGAACAAACAAGGAATACTGAGGCATTTAGAGAGTTGTAGTGGGAAAAAGCTATTAGCATCCCTAGCTTTAAAGGGACAAGAAATGGAAATAGCATTGCTGGAAACCAGTCAGACCTGGAGCTGTGGAGATGGGGACACTTCTTCAGGAACTGCATTTACAGAGAGAGGTAGCTACTGCCGGAAACGTGCCAAAGCAGGAGGAAATAAGGGGTATGTTCCCTGAATTCCTCTCCTCCTGCCTTTGGATCTCCTGCTTGCACTCCTCTTTGAGTGGTCTTGCTAAGGTGATGTCATCTATAGGTGCCAGCCTCCTAGGGCACAGAAAATAGATGGGTGGGGTCGTAGGACATAGTACAACAATGTGGAGAGTTACTTTCAATAAAGGTGACTGTGTCAGTATCTCTCATTGTATATGCTCTTCTATGATGTGACCTGCCACTCTCCTACGGAGAGATGGTATAAGTGCTGCTTTCCTTGAACTTGGGTGGGATTATGACTGCCTTGATCTATAGGATATGGTGGAAGTGATGCTGTGCAACTTCCCAGGCTAGATCATGAAAGGGAATGTAGGTTTCGTGTTGTCCAGTGGGACACTGTGCTTTTTGGAGCACCATGTAAGAAATGCAACCTAAAACCTCCATGTTAGGAAACCCATGTTACATTGAAACCATATGTAAATGCTTGGTCAGCAGCCCTAGCCGAAGTCCCTGGCACTATCCAGCATTAAGTGGCAGGCTTTCATGTGAAGATGTCTGTATGATTTCAGCCTCCAGCATTCATGTGCCCTCAGCCATCAAGTCTTTTCAGTTGAGCCCTCATGTATAATGGAGGAGAGACAAGACATTTCTGCTGTGTGCTTCCTGAATTCCTGCATAAACCAGTGAGCATAATAAAATCTAAAACAATAAAATCGTTTTATACGACTATGTTTTCAGATTGTTTGTTACACAGCAGTAGTAACTATAACAATAGCTAATAGTCTGTATATCATAATCAGCCTTCCAAATCTTTTGATAAGTTAGAACATTGTATTCAGAAGTAGACTATGGAATTTAATTGGGATAAATATGAAGTTCTGAAGAAAGCTCCATTAGTCATTGTAAGTAAAAATACCATTAAGATATAAGCTTAGTGGTTAGGAGTAGAAACTCTCTTTTCTTTTTATTTGAGACAAGGTCTCACTCTGTCACCCAGGCTAGAGTGCAGTGGCGTGATTTTGGCTCACTGCAACCTCCACCTCCCAAGGCTCAAGCTATCCTCCTACCTCAGCCTCCCCAGTAGCTGGGACTACAGGTGCACACTGCCACACCCAGCATTTTTTTTTTTTGTATTTTTAGTAGAGATGGGGTTTTGCCATGTTGTCCAGGCTGGTCTCGAATTCCTGACCTCAGGTGATCTGCCCACCTCGGCCTCCCAAAGTGCTGAGATTGCAGGTGTGAGCCACCACACCTGGTCCAGGAGTAGGGACTCTAACTACATTGCCTGCATTTGAAATCCTGGCTGCACTGCTTACTAGTATTATTGCCTAAGGCAAGTAACTTAATGTCAATGCGTCAGATTTTTCATCTGTAAAATGAGGATAAATACTAATGACGATTACATGCCCTAATATGTATGTTCCCCTTTCCCTAAGGCCTACATCCTGATCTTGTCTTAGTGGGCCTTACCATTTTGATGATTAGGAAAAAAAAAACAAAAAAAACAAAACAAACAAACAAAAAAAACAATAAAACAAAATAGGGCTGATCCAGGACTACTTATATTTCTCTTGCAAAAAATTTCACTCTGTGCCATTATAGCTCTCTTATAGGTTAAGTATTCTTTTATATTTCTCCTTGGGGAGGAAGTCTAGGTAGGTGAAATAGAAAGAAGGTGAAAAGCTCTAAGTTTCTCTTTTTGAGGTAGCATATATGATCAACAATAAAACCAAAACAAGGAAACTTCAGAATAAGTTTGGGGAGACCTTGTATAGGACCATTTTATGTGCAAACATTCCTAGTGGTTTTCAGTGACTGAAAAACCAGTATACACAAATGACATGATATTGAATTTAAACACCATATTTTCAAGGTCATATAGGGTATTAATTTTAATGTAAATTTGAACTCTCCATGCCACTTCAGAAGATCCATTCCACTCTCAGCATTTTAAAAGGAGAATTAACAGTTGATGTCAAAAAATGGCAGAGGAATAAGGCCTCATCTTCAGATGCCAGTGCCTTGTTATGGATTCTTTGGAATACTGTGTTAAGATGGAGCTGAAATCTGGTCTGAGCTTAGAAAGAGGGCTTAGATCCATTAACACTGTCTTCCTTTGGCACAGGAAGTAGCAACAGTTTTGACACACGTATTTGCTATCCATGAAAGAGAGTCCACTAAGGGATTTCACTGATGATATGTTCTGTTAACCATGGCCTGTGAAGAAAGTCTGGTGAAGAACAAAAAGTGATTTAGCTTGGAAGAGATGGGTTAATTCTTTTAATAACTCCTTATGAACACTTACTATGATCTAGGTGGATTAAATGTTTACAGTTTTGAAGGGCAAAACTAGGACCACTGGGTCAAAAAATAGAAGTTTCAGGTTAATTCAGAAAATAGATTTCTAATTAAAGTTTCCAAAATGAAAGGGATTGCCCAACAGGATCGTGAATTCTGTCACTAAAAATGTTCTGGTACAAGCTGGATGACTAACTGTCCCAGAGGAGAGGAGGGTGTGACAGTTGAACTGTCCTTTTTTACTAAGGCTGTTCCAGTGGAATTTTAACTTACTAAATTTAACTGTAAGAGCAGTGGAAAGTCTTAATTAGATGGGCCTATTCATCCCTTCAGTTTATTTCCAACTGGACTATGTTCTGCCATTCTCCAATTCTTAATTTCTCTTCCCCAACCCGTTGTCTTTTCCATTTAATTTTCTCCTAGTGATGTAATAATTCCTTAGGTGTCCAGGATAAAATCCTCAGTGTTTACCTTCTAATCATCCCTCTCATGCACTCTCCATGTCTGTTCATATATCTGAATGTCCCCATCATTTTTACCTTTTTGATATCTCTGGAATTAGTGCCTCCTTTCAGTTTCCTCTCCTATGTTTGGGGTGGTTGTGTAGTTACCTCTGAGAACTATTGAAATAGCCTCATAAGGTCTTCATTCTCCTAATATTCTGCCCCCATTCTATGTGTTCCCAGCAAATCAGTGTTTCCAGAGCACACAGCTCTGATCATATTGTCACCATTTGCCATTCACAGCTGTTGATGTTTAGGCTGTCAGCCTTCTCCTTCACCCCCACTCTCTTTCCTGGAGAGCCTCACTATTCAGTTCCATGACTGTTACATCACCTGGGAGCTGGTTACAAATGCAGTCTCAGACCCCAGTGAATTGGAATCTGATTTAAACAGGATTTGTGGTAATTTGTTTCCACCGTACAATTTGAGAAGCACTGATCTAGGTTGGTCCACTTGCCACTATGTGAACTTACTGTGTATTTTTCTACTTTTGTGTAGTTATTGTTAGGGCAGTGAAACAAAACCTTTTCTGTTACTCATCATCCCTAAGAACCTTCTTCAATCCTCAGCTGGAATTAATTTTTTCCAGTCTGTGCTCTCCATACTAGTGTTTTGAATCATCTAATGCTTAATACATTCTGCCTTATAAATAGATATTATTTCTCTTTTCCAAAATCTTGATTGCTTGTCTGTTTTCAATAGATTAAGCTCTCAAAGGTAGGAGAGTAGGAACTCTATTTACAGAATAAATACATAAATGAATGACGTAGCCTCTGACTTTTTTCATATTTATAGAGACAGTTATTACAGCAATTTGCTGGTGATCTGTTTTTAGTGAATTCAGTTTGTATCATACTGGTCTTTCCTGTCAGGATACTAAACTACATAGAATTAAATTAGTCTTAATTAATGGTGAGTAATGTTATTGTTTGATGATACAGAGAGCTATGTTGAGCCTCAATCCTGAACAAAATCTCCCATTTAGATTATATTAGAAGAAATAAACACAAAGCATAAAAAATCCAAGATAACAATTTAGAAACATTCTTTTACTTGAAAAAAAACCATATTAAGCTATTAATACTATAATAGCACCTGCCTCAGGGAGCTTGATTACAAGTAGTGGAAGCCAACTCTGGCAGGAAAGAAGTGCAATCTTGAATATTAGATTGCTCACAGAGTAGATGTAAAGGCTGGAAATGCAGCTGCAGAAAGGGACAGGCGCTAGCAGAAACTATAGCCAATCGTATATAGTCATGTGCTGTGTAAGGAACGTTTTGGTCAATGATGGACTGCCTAAGATTGCAATACTGTGTTTTACTGTACCTTTTCTAATCATGTGTTACAGCTGCCTACAGTTTTCATAACAGTAACATGTACAGGTTTGTAGCCTGGGATCAATAGGCTATACCATCTAGCCTATGTATGAAGTAGGGTATATGATCTAGGTTTGTGTAAGTGAACTCTATGATGTTCACACAATGACAAAATTTCCTAAGGATGCATTTCTCAGAACCTGTCCCCATCATTAAATGACACATGCCTGTATTTGGAAAGGGGATTGGATGTTGTATAAACAAAGAAAAAAAAATTATGAGGACCTATAGGAAAGAGAGCTACAGCTCTTTTATGTAGAGACAGTGAGTTTTATTTATTTATTTATTTATTTATTTATTTATTGGTCAGGAGCAATGAGGAAAGTTATTACAAATATTTTGAGAAAATGATGTTAAAAGGCTCCAGATTTAAACTTAGTGTACTCTAAAAAGAATACTTTATTTCCGTGAGTTTTAAAGATAAAGTTTTATGTTTGTATCCTTGAGGGTCCTCATAGCCTGCTGTAGTTTTACAAGTAGCTAGTGTGATCAAAAAGAAACACAGATTCAATAGCTATGTGGTTACAGTGTTAAAAATTTATTTTATTCATGTTTATTTATTTGTGTCCCACACTTTCCAAAGAAGATATGAGACTAAAAGTTAAACATTTTCATTGGAGTCACCTTAAGTATATACAGTTTTCTCAATAAACAGGTAAAGAGTTATATGCTTAAAAGATTTTGCTCATTTTAAACAGAATATTTGATTAACTTTGGATTGCATGTATCAATCAAGCTGGATAATAGTGTGTTACCTCTAGTATTAATAAAAAAAGACAATTAAAATTATTAGCAAATACTGACATAAAAATCTGCTTGTGTTAAAACATAGGGTTAAACCAACAGTTTTAACATTGAAATGGAAAAATTTTATTATTTTTGACTTTGAGAAATGCTTTTATATGACATGCTCTTTTTTTCTTTTTAAATTCAATTTTATTGAGTATAATTTACATACCATAAAATTCACCCATTTTGGGTGAATGATTTTTTTAAGATAATTAACCAGATTGTACAACTATCACTATAAACCAGTTTTAGAACATTTTCATCTCCCCAATATGATCCATTATGCCTGCTTACAGTTAATCTCTGTTTTCTCTCTGTCATAGACAAAAACCACTCATCTAAATTTTCTGTTTATATAAATTTGTCTTTTTAGGTAATTTCAAATAAATAGAATCATATCATATATGCTTTATCACAATTTTGAGATTCTTTCATTTGTCATATTTTTAGGTTCATTTCTATTAGAAAAATGATTTTATATCATAGTTTTATTTTTAGATAAGTTTTTAAGATAAACAAGCTGAATCATTTAAAGTGAAATATTAAGAAAAAAAGTCTGTTTAGAATGAAAATTAAAGCCTTATGTGTAACCAGAAACAAATGGCAAATTCTTGTTATATGAATCTTGAAAATTAGAAAAAATGAATCCCTAATTTGTTCTGAGAAAAATGTGCATGTGTATTTTGTAATCTAATTGAACACTGAATACTCTCTTCATCAGCTTTCATTAGGTTATGCTGCAGTACAACCTCGAGATTTCAGTGGCTTGCTTACAATTAAGTTTTCTTTCTTGCTCGTTTATCTGTCAGCTGTGGCTAAACTGTGATTCTGCTCTCGGCTTTGACTCTGTTCCACATATCTTCTTCATTTTGGGATCAAGACTGAAGCAGTAACCCCTAACTGGGACATGCCACTCCTGTGACAGAGGGAAAATAATATGAGCACTGGTGGAAATAGACAATGGCTCCCAGATCTTCTACCCAGATACTGCCATTGTCCAAAGCAAGTAACTGGTCAAACCAATTGGGAGGCACTGAAAATCACCTGGCAGCTGGCCAGGAGATGTAATCCGCTCACAGGAAGAAAGAAGAGGGATCATTAGGAACAATCAGACCACCTCTAACAATGGTTTTGTGGCAAAGTTATAGGCAAATGGCATCTTGGACCTTTCTGAATGAATAAAACCAAATTTTTAGAATAGAGTATTAAATACAAGAGGTAAAATTTTCTACTAAGTAAGAAATTATTCAAGTGGCCGGGCGCGGTGGCTCACGCCTGTAATCCCAGCACTTTGGGAGGCCGAGGCGGGTGGATCTTGAGGTCAGGAGATCGAGACCATCCTGGCTAACAAGGTGAAACCCCGTCTCTACTAAAAATACAAAAAATTAGCCGGGCGCGGTGGCGGGCGCCTGTAGTCCCAGCTACTCGGGAGGCTGAGGCAGGAGAATGGCGTGAACCCGGGAAGCGGAGCTTGCAGTGAGCCGAGATTGCGCCACTGCAGTCCGCAGTCCGGCCTGGGCGACAGAGCGAGACTCCGTCTCAAAAAAAAAAAAAAAAAAAAAAGAAATTATTCAAGTGTAATCAAGATAAATGGAGCTGCATTTGATATGATTAATCACCTCCAATTGGCTAATGCTCATGAAGAGTCTGAATAAGACCATACACATGCTTAACAATCTCTAGCTGTGCAACAAGTGTTTTACTTTGGGATTTTCAGGTGTAACATTCATTTATCACAGAGTGCTCCTCCCTTTTTAAAAGACTATTAGATAAAATGTATGAATACTTGAATTCTGATACAGCAAATGTGAAAATGAGCTTTGCTGGTCATTCCTTCATCACAGTCTATGTTCCAGCCATATGTCTTCTTTCTGTTCCTCAAATATTCTTCCTGCCTTGGGCCTCATTGGTTGGTCCGACTGGAATCCTGCTCTCCAAGTGTTTTGTATAGCTGACTCCTTCTCACGTTACCTCCTCAAAGAAGCTTTCCCTGACAGCTCTATGGAAAGCATTCTTCCTGCTCCCTGCAGCCCCTTTATTCAGCAACCTGCTCCATTTTTTCCTAACACTTATTCTTCTTATCTGAAATTATCTTACTTATCTATATATTTATTTGCTCATTATATGTACCCTCCCCTTCCCTCTCAACTAAAGTATAAGCTTCATGAGAGCAGGAACTCTACCAGTCTTGACCACTATTGTATCCCCAGCCCAGTGCCTGACACCTGGGTGACATGCAGTGAACATTTGTTAAATGAAATCAAAATACTATACTGAGTGCTTTTCATGTGCACATGGATGGTGAGGGTGGTTGAGTCTTGCTATCAATTAAGAGATAAGTGATTTGGGGAGAATGCTTATCATCCCTATACCACAAATTTATTCACCTGTAAAATATGGACAATGATAATTATACTTCCATCAGATTGTGGAGAGGATTAAATGAAATAATGCATGTATGTGTTGCTAAGGCACATAGTCTCTGGCACTTAGAAAACTCTCAGTATTTGCTATTATGGTATATAAGATTAATATTTTGTTTTTGACTTGTGTAAGCAGCCACTTTGAATTTGTAGTGAGATCTTCAGAGGATCACAGAAATATACTGGTTTCTATCTTTGAGGAAGCTATGTGTTTTATTTATTTCAGTGGTAGAATGTTGGAATCATCTAATTGCATTAAAGGAGGGTGGAAAAAAACATTCCCAGAAATTCCTGGAGTTGACTACTAACCTGTTAAAAAGAATGGAGCAAAGTTGAAATATTTTAATCATGATTTCTTCCTTTTAGCTTTGCCTCCATCCTCAAATTTTTATTGTGTACCATTTTAAGTGCAGAAATGCTGTGTGAGTTTGCCAGGGCTGCTGTAACAAAGTACCACAGACTGAGTGTCTTACATAACAGAAATGTATTGACTCACGGTTCTGGAGGCCAGAAGTCTGACATCAAGAAGTCAGCAGAGTTGGTTCCTTCTGAGGGCCGTGAGAGAGGGATCTGTTCCAGACTTCCCAACATGGCTTATAGATCCATGTTCTCCCAGTGTCTCCACACATCCTATTCCCTCCATCCATGTTTCTGTGTCCACATTTACCCTTTTTATAGAAAGATAGCAGTCGTAATTGGATTAGGGCCTATCCTAATGACCTCATTTTAACTTTATCAGATCTGTAGGGACCCCATGTCCAAATAAGGTCACACTCCACGGTACTGGGGATTTGGGCTTCAGCATATAAATTTGGGTGAGGGAACAATTCAACCCATAACAAATGCTTATAATAAACCCCGAGTAACAACAGAAAAACTTACACTTAATTTGTGATTTTTGCAATAAATTCTATTATCATGCTAACACCAATCTAATCCATTTATTTCAGTTAAGTTATTTAAGTGGTTTTTCTGACAGTGGATGTATTGTTTTGGAGTAAGGATAAAAGACCATGAATTCTTGCAACACAGGCTTTCTTCTCTATGAAACTCACTCAAATCTCAGCCTGAACCCATCCCAGGACTTTCTTGTGTGTGTGCATTTTCACTGTTCTAGCTACAGGAGTAAACGTGATTTAAGAAGTAGAGATTTGTCACACAGATAATTTTTATTATGCTATAATCTGTTGAAGGAAAAAATAAAAAGATATATTTTCACCATTTAAATGACCCTAAGATAATGGTCTTATATCCAAATAGAGACAGAGAGACACACATCCATTATTGTGGAGGTGAGACCTTTGTTTGGAAAGAACAAATTTTATTGATCCATTTCTCCTGAAACGCATCAACCGCAAAAGGTTAAATGGAGTTCTTTTTGGTTAATTGCTACTTTGGATCTTCCCAAACACTTATTTTCTTCAGTTATTCATGTCCAAATGTTAAGTCTTTTAAGTATTGTTAGTATATTTTCTTTCCTTTTATTGAAGTGAATATAAAACACTTTAGATAGTCAGTTTTATTGAGGTTTTAAGAATGCTTTTGAGTGATTCATAGTAATTTAAATCCTTCTACTGAAATCTTGGATGTTGCTAAATTTCAGCCTGTAATTTTCTGCCTTTGCTAGATATCGAAGCATATTTTTATGACACCACACTGTACTCATTGGAATTGTGAGCCTTTTGTAAATTCATGCAGATTTTTCCCACTCCACAAAAGGATGCATTTCAAGCGGAAGAAATAGAATGCTAAATTATGTAGTAGGTAAAAGAAGTAGGCTGTGGTGAGTTGGGAGGATGAGCAAAAAGAATGCCAAAGCACGTTTGTACGTAATGTCAGTAAAATACAAAGTACGTTTGCCCACCAAATTAAAATTTGTCAGCTTACAAAGTTGCTATTTATATACAGTGGTTTTTGAGAGAGATTTTTGTACATGCTGATTACACATTTATTTGGAAGCTCTAAATTCTGGTTTTAATGGCTGCTTAGTATTTCATTGTGTTAGCATCCCATAACTTATTATTTATCTATGCAACCTTGTTAAGAAAAAAATCAAATATAATCCGAAGTATTCTGCCAAAACAACTGTTTTATCACTACGGTTCTTACTGTCTCTTAGCACATCATGTACAATGTTGACTCTAACAATTTTAACGGTTTTTCTGGTTATAAAATATAACATATGTTTTAGAATATTTGGAAAATAAAGAAAATCACATAGAAAAATATTAAACCCAACAGCAATCCCAACATCTGGAATAATTCCTGTTAACTTTTTTTTTTAATAGCTGCTAAATTCCCTCTCTCCCTCCCTGCCCATCCCCCCAGTCATACACATACACACACATTGGAATCTGGTTTTACACAAATTTTATATTTTGCCATTTTTTTCTGAATAACATACTGTGAAACTTTTTCCAAGTTATTGTATGTTCTTCTAAATCATCTTTAAGTCACTATGTTGTATTCTATCATATGGATAGAATTCATTATACCCTCCCATAGAGATATAAAATGATTTATTTCACTGAATTTTTTTTGCAAGACATTTATTGCTTCTAAATTTTCTGTGTCTGATTAATCCAACTGAAATTTGTCTTCTACTCCTTGTGTAATGCTTAAATGATCACAAATCTTTTTGTGATAATAGGCTGAACCTTCGTAATCTTTATGACTATTGTTATTCTTCTTTCTTCAGTTAGCATATCCTGTGATAATCTCTCTTCTATTATTACATTGAAGGATGACCTAAATGTTGCATTGTAGTTCACAGAGCTAAACTTTTTGTGGGAAGAGCCTTTAAAGCAGTGCTCTGAGTATTATCGATGCTTCAAAAGCATTTTTATTGATTTGGTTTGAAGAGAAAACAAGTCCATATTATGATTTCATCTTTTTTTCCTATTCATAGTTTCACAAAAAAGTATCTCTTCCTAAAACATCAGAATTTATTACATTGTACTATATTAATGCATTTGGATCTGAGATATTTTGGAAATCATCAGGTCCAACTTTGTAATTTAACATAGAAAGGCTGAATTAGTGGTTCAGTGCCTGCTTAGTCAATGGCAGAGATAGGACCAGAAGCCATTTTTGGCCTCCTTTATGATTTTTTTTTTACTCAGTACTGGCCAACTTTGTTGCTAAGCTAAAATGGGCTTTGTTGCAGATTTAATATTCAAATACATCAGTTAACTTTATAATCTTACACATAACAACAGACAAAACTTTTGATTCCAACATCTGTATCACTACTTTAGGGGAACAAATGTATCTAAAAGAAAAAGTATAGAGTTGGAGAACAAGTTCTTACTACCACTGCAGAGATAACTCAAATATTCTATTGAGAGTGTTAGTTTTATCTTTGCATGTGAAAGAACCATTATTTGAATTTAAAGTTTACTGTAATTATCCTTATGTTTCAGTTAATTTTATTTATAAAGAATAACATGTAGCCCTTCCTTTCCCATCTTTTTCTTTCTTTTATTTAGACAAAACTATTGAAGGTGACTGAGCAGATGACCAGTGTTGCCAATTGAAATTGAAGCTGAGGAGGCATCCTGCATGGTTGGGGTTGAGAATAAGGCTGCCTTGGCCTACGTGGTCAGAGCAGAGGAGGAAGCCGGTGTGGTTGGGAGATTGGTTACATACAGGGGAATTGAGCCAATAAGTAAACATTTGGGATAATAGGAGCCAGGTTTCTCACTGCTGACTAAAAGAGTTATAAATATGGAAAAGGGAAAGGCTAGACAAGCCATGACATGTCAAATTAGAAATAGAGGTATATAGGCCAGGGGCAGTGACTCATGCCTGTAATCCCAGCACTTTGGTAGGCCGAGGTGGGTGGATCACGAGGTCAGGAGTTCAAGACCAGCCTGGCCAAGATGGTGAAACCCCGTCTCTACTAAAAATACAAAAATTAACCAGGCGTGGTGGCAGGCACCTGTAATCCCAGCTACTCGGGAGTCTGACGCAGGAGAATTGCTTGAACCCGGGAGGTGGAGGTTGCAGTGAGCCCAGATCGCACCACTGCACTCCAGCCTGGGTGACAGAGCGAGACGCTGTCTCAAAAAAAAAAAAAAAAAGAAATAGAGGTATATCATTCTAATTTGTGAACTCTTGGTATTTTATATCTGTATCTAGCCATAGATCTAGAGCTGTATGAGTCTGTGTGTGTGTGCGTGTGTGTGTGTGTGTGTGTGTGTGTGTGTGTGTTAGTCTGTTCTTGCATTGCTATAAAGAAATACCTGAGGCTGGGTCATTTATAAAGAAAAGAGGTTCATTTTGGCTCATGGTTCTGCATGCTGTACAGGAAGCATGGTGCTGGCATCTACCTGTAGTGAGGGCTTTAGGCAGCTTACGATTGTAGCGAAAGGTGAAGGACGGCCAGCATGTCATGTGGCCAGAGAGGGAGCAAGAGAAAGAGGACGATCCAGGGTCTTTTAATAAATCAGATATTGCCTGAACTCATAGACTGAGAACTTACTCATTAACATGAGGATGGCTCCAAGCCATTCATGAGGGATTCACCCTAATGATCCAGACACCTCCCACTAGGCCTCACTGCCAACATTGGGGGTCACATTTCAACATGAGATTTGGAGAGGGCAAACATCCAAACTATATCAGTGTACATATGTATGTGTATGTCTCATATATTTATTTCCTAGCATTAATATCTTGGTTTTGTAAATACCAATCTTCTCTAAAAGGAACCAGAGCTCCTCGGAGAAATGTCTCATTCCAGAGCTTGGGCAGGGAAATAACAAAATATTATAAACTTGAAACATCTTGTTCTAAAAAGTAAAGTGCTCAAAGAATAATGAAGACATAGCAAAAACATACTGGTGCAGCTTTAAGGGGCTCCCACTTGTCAAACTTGGGACTGTTTAGACATCAAAATAAATTATGATGTTAATGAATTATATCCACTGAATAAAATAGGAATCTGTGAATCTGTAGTCATATAATTAATTTGAGTCTATAGTCATATAATTAATTTAAACAAAATATTATACTCTTTAGTCTCCTTAGTGGAAAACCTATTGATGGTATCAACATTGAAAAATAAAAAATAGCAGTATACATATATACACTAATATAGTTTGGAGTGAGAGGGAATGAATAAATGAATAATGAACACTCAGGAAAACAAAAACTGGGCTGGCACAGTGGCTCACACCTGCAATTCCAGCACTCTGGCAGGATGTATTAATCTGTTTTCACACTATTAATGTGTTTTCACACTGCTGATAAAGACATAACCAAGACTGGGCAATTTATATAGGAAAAAGGGTTTAATGGACTTACAATTCTGCATGGCTGGGGGAGCCTCAATCATGGTGAAAGGCAAGGAGGAGCAAGTCTCATCTTACATGGATGGCAGCAGGGCAAAAGAGCTTGTGCAGGGAAACTCCCATTTTTAAAACCATCAAATCTCGTGAAACGTATTCATTGTCATGAGAACAGCATGTGAAGACCTGCCTCTATGATTCAATTACCTTCCACCAGGTTCATCCCACAACACATGAGAATTGTGGGAGTTACAATTCAAGATGAGATTTGAGTGGGGACACAGCCAAACCATATCACTCCACCCCTGGCGCCTCCCAAATCTCATGTCCTCACATATCAAAAACAATCATGCCCTCCCAACAGTCCCCAAAGTTTCATCTCATTTCAGCATTAACTCAAAAGTCTGCAGTCCAAAGTCTCACGTGAGACAAGGCAAGTCCCTTCCACCTATGAGCTTCTAATATCAAAAGGTTAGTCACTTCCTAGATACAATGGGGGTACAGACATTGGGTAAATATACCCATTCCAAATGGGAGAAATTGGCCAAAACAAAGGGGCTACAGGCTCATGCAAGTCTGAAATCCAGTGGGGTAGTCAAATCTTAAAACTCCAAAATGATCTCCTTTGACTCCATGTCTCACATACAGGTCACACTGATGCAAGAGGTGGGTTCCCATGGTCTTGGGCAGCTCTGCCCCTGTGGCTTTGCAGGGTATAGCCTCCCATCTGTCTGCTTTCATGGGCTGGCATTGCGTGTCTGTCTGTGGCTTTTCCAGAGGCACAGTGCGAGCTGTCAGTGGATCTACCATTCTGGGGCCTGGAGGATGATGGCCCTCTTCTCACAGCTCCACTAGGTGGTGCCCCAGTAGGGACTCTGTGTGGGGGCTCCAACCCCACATTTCCCTTTTGTACTGCCCTAGCAGAGGTTCTCCATGAGAGCTCCATCCCTATAGCAAACTTCTGACTGGACATACAGGCATTTCCATACATCCTCTGAAATCTAGGTGGAGGTTCCTAAACCCTAATTCTTGACTTTGGTGCATTGTCTGTCCCAACACTGTGTGGAAGCTGCCAAGGCTTGAGGCTTGCACCCTCTGAAACCATGACCTGAGCTCTATGTTGGCCCCTTTCAGCCATAGCTGAAGCAGCTGGAGTGGCTGGGACACAGGACACCAAGTCCCTAGGCGGCACACAGTATGGGGACCCTGAGCCCAGCCCACAAAACCACCTTTTCCTCCTAGGCCTGTGGGCCTATGCTGAGAGGGGCTGCCATGAAGACCTCTGGCATGCCCTGGAGAGATTTTCCCCACTGTCTTGGGGATTAACATTCAGTTCCTTGTTACTTATGCAAATTTCTGCAGCTGGCTTGAATTTCTCCTCAGAAAATGGGATTTTCTTTTCTATCACATTATCAGGCTGCAAAAGTTCTGGACTTTTATGCTCCGCTTCCCTTGTAAAACTAAACGCCTTAAACAGCACCCAAGTCACCTCTTGAATGCTTTGCTGCTCAGAAATTTCATCCACTAGATACCCTAAATCATCTCTCTCAAGTTTAAAGTTCCACAAATCTCTAGGGCAGGGGCAAAATGCCACCAGTCTCTTTGCTAAAACATAGCAAGAGTCACCTTTGCTCCAGTTCCCAACAAGTTCCTCATCTCCATCTGTGATCACCTCAGCCTGGGTTTCATTGTCCATGTCATTATCAGCATTTTAGTCAAAGTCATTGAACAAGTCTCTAGGAAGTTCCAAACTTTCCCACATTTTCCTGTCTTCATCTGAGCTCTCCAAACTGTTCCAGCCTCTACCTGTTGTCCAATTCCAAAGTTGCTTCCACATTTTCAGGTATCTTTTCAGCAGTGCCCCACTCTTAGTACCAATTTACTGTGTTAGTCCATTTTCATGCTGCTGATAAAGACATACCTGAGACTGGGGCATTTGTATAGGAAAAGGGTTTAATGACTTACAATTCCACGTGGCTGGGGAAGCATCACAATCATGGTGAAAAGCAAGGAGGAGTAAGTCACATCTTACATGGATGGCAGCAGGCCGAAAGAACTTGTGAAGGGAAACTCCCATTTTTGAAACCATCAGATCTCATGAGACTTATTCACTATCAGGAGAACAGCACGGGAAAGACCCGCCCCCATGATTCAATTATCTCCCACCAGTTTCCTCCCATGACACATGGGAATCGTGGGAGTTACAATTCAAGATAAGATTTGGGTGGGGACACAACCAAACCTTGTCACAGGTCAAGGCAGGAGGATTGTTTGAAGCCAGGAGTTTGAGACCAGCCAGGGCAACATAGCAAGACCTTATCACTATAAGATATTTTTTAAAGCAGTAGAAGAATGAAAATGTAATCATAATTCACTATATGGCTTGGCTGTGAATAAAAATAATTTTTTTCTTAAACCTCTATCTACCTTAAAATGGTGATAAGATGATGGGAGAGAGAAAAACGTATGTATATATTTGAGAGAAAGGAAACATTGCCTATAAAGTAGCTTCGAATAGGTCTATACCATAATAGAAAGTGAAAGGTGAGAAATGGTTCCGGATTGAAGGGGACCAGAGATATAACAGTTAAATGTAACAGATGAACCTGGATTTAGTTCTGTACTAGAGGGGAAGAACATTTTAGGATATTTTTGGGACAGAGAAATTCAAAAGGGTCTGTGGATTAGACTGTTGTATTGCGTCAGTGCTAATTTCCCGATTCAAATACCTGGATCGGTACTATGGTTAGGTAGGAGAGTATTCTTGTTTTCTGAAAATACACACAGACCTATTTAGGAATAATGGGGCAACATGTTTCTAGCTTACTCTCAATAAGTAAAAGTTTTCTCATCCCTCCTTTTCTCTCTTTTGCTTTCTCTCTCCTTAACTTTCTTACACCAATTATAATTTATCTACAGATCTAACATAGGCATGCTTCCTATCACATTTATGTCATTATCAGTTTTCTTTTCTTCCTTTTTTTGTCCTTCTTTTACTTCCTTTTTTTAATTCCCTTTCTTCCTTGTTTTTCTCTCTCACCTTCTCTGTTTCCTTTCCTCCTCTGCTTATTCCCCTTTCGTATTCTGTTCTCCACCATCCCCTTTTCCTTCATCCCTCGCTTCCTTTATTCTTTCTCCTTGTCATCTCCTTGATACCCTGGATATTTATTTTCCTGGTCCAGTGTATATGGGCTGTTCTCTAGGTTTGCTGCAAAACTGTCAATGTAGAACATTATTTTCCAGGGAATTCCCTTTACTTTGATCTTCTGTTGTATCTCTTGTTTTTAGATTCTATTTTTTTCTTTCTTGGCATATTCTCTTATTTTGGAGAAGTAAAGAAGCTTCCAAAGAATAGGTACATGGGAAGTAAGTTTTTGAAATCTTCTATTTCTGAAATGGCTTAATTCTACCTGTATATTTGAATGACAATTGCCTGGATATGTATAATTCTAGGTTGAAAATACTTTTCTCTCAAAATTTTGAAGACATTAGTTTATTATCATGTAGTTTCCAGCATCACCATTTAAGAACTCTGATGCCATTCTGATTCCCAAGATTCCTCCTTTATTTTACTTATATTGTTTCTTAAATCTTTAGGGAATTTAAAAATCTCTAGTGTTATGAAATGTCATGGTGATGGATGCTTGTAGGAGTACTACCTACCCAACCAGTGTCCTGTTCATTTTGGGGAGACCTCACAGGCCCTATCAACTTTATGTCAAGGATATTTTTCTTTCTCATTTTCTGGAATTCCTTTTATTCAGGCACTGCCTGCCTGTATCCTTCAATTTAAAAAATCTTCTCATTTTCCATCTCTTGTTCTTTTGGTTCACATAGTAGGACAGTTCTTGAGCTCTGATTTTCAGACTTTCTGTTGCATTTTTATATTGCTATCATATTTTAATTTTCATGAGTCTCTTTTTTGGTTGGTGGTGTTGCTGTTCTCTGAATTTTCTTTTTAAAAAGAGCATGCTTTCATTCATGGATTTAATATTTTCTCTTATCTTTCTGGTGATTTCATGGTTTTTTAAAAAGTGTTTATGCTCTGTTCTATCTGCTTCCTCTAATCTTCTGTTTTGGTTTGTTTGTGACTTTATTTCACGTCAGAGCCTTTCCTCGTGTTTGGATGTTTGGTAGATCCTACACCAAATAATAAAAAGCAGAGTAGACATTCTGCATGCATGGTAGGGGCTTTGATGTAGGGTGGTTATGCAGAGACCTGGCTAATTCATTAGGGGACTACAACTGTCAGTTTTTCTCCAAGATCAGCTAAGAGAGGAAACTTCCAACTATGGTGGGTGCTGTGGTATGAATATTTGTGTCCACCCAGAATTCATAC
Organism: Homo sapiens; assembly: GCF_000001405.40. Lineage (NCBI taxonomy): Eukaryota > Metazoa > Chordata > Mammalia > Primates > Hominidae > Homo > Homo sapiens. Next base: position 98,683,443 of record NC_000001.11, read on the forward strand.
ATAGAAATGCTACTGCCAAGCTGATGATAGTAGGAGGTGGAGCCTTTGGGTGGTGATTAGATCATGAGCGTGGAGCTCTCATGATTAGGATTGGTGCCCTTATAAAGGACCCCAGAGAGACCCTCCCCCCTTTTACCATGTGAGATTATAGTGAAAGGAAGCTGTTCTGTAAAGTGGGCCCTCACCAGACGCTGAATCTGCTGACATCTTGATCTTGGACTTCCTAGTTTAGAACTGTGAGAAATAAATTTCTGTTGTTTGTAAGCTACCTAGTTTATTGTAGTTTTCTTTAATAACAGCCTGAATGGACTATGATGGGGTGGGGGTTGCACCTTCCTGCCAACGTTCTTGGGACCAGATGAACAGGTTTGCATGTCTTTTAGTCTGGTATGCAGGACTTTCACTTGATATCTGTATTTTCATAGGACTTCTTCCCTATCCTACTGGATGCCCTCGAGCTCAGACCTTTCAGAAAGTAGACTTCCAGTGTTCTACCAAATTGGGGTGGGAAAGTTACCTGATTGCCTAGGGTAGGTGAGGGAATCTGAGGTTCTAACTCTTGTTTTATTAGATCTTCTTAATAACCAATCATCTGGTTTCTGCTCTGCCACAACCTTTATGTCCACAGGTTCTTGGTGCCTCCAATTCTTGAACCTTTCTGGCATTCTACATCATAAATATCCTTGCCTCTTCCTAGTTTACTGTTCTCTTCTAGATTACTTTTCAGTTTTCTCTGCACTGCTATTTTAGTTACCACTTGACGATCAGATCTCCAGTTTCCAAAAAGCAGTTGGCACATTTCGTTTACCATAGTTTTTTTCTTCTTATTCTTGCCTGAGTCCATTAGTGCTACTGTGACAAAATATCTGAGACTGGGTAATTTATAAATAATAGAAATTGATTTCTCACAGTTCTGGAGGCTGGGAAGTTCAAGATCAATATGCTGGCAGTTTTGGCCTCTGGCAAGGGATGCTCTCAGCTTCAAGATGGTGTGTGTCTTTTTGTTGTGTCCCCACATGGCAGACAGTGAAAGGGCAGGAGAGGCACTAGCTCGTTCCCTACAGCCCTCTTATAAGGTGGCTAGTACCATTCATGAGGGCTCTACCCTTATGACTTACTCACCTTTAAAGGCTCCACCTCTTAATACTATTGCATTGGGGATTAAGTTTCAACATGACATTTGGAGGGAACAGAAACATTCAAACCATAGCAATCCTTGAGGGTTTATACTTTTCATTTGTTTGTTTCTTTCTTTACTGTCATCTTTTGGGTGGGATTTTCAAGAGGAAACAGATAAAAATACATGTTCAGTATACCACATTTAACTAAAAGTCCAATAATCCCTTTTGTTCTTGATATATTTCATTAATATTGATAGCATCTAGAAATAGAAGAGTTTAATTTTTCTATTGATACTAATTTTTGAATGTTTTATTTCTTAGGATGCCTCATTGATGGACATGAACTCCTTCAGCCCTATGATGCCAACATCCCCTTTATCAATGATAAACCAAATCAAGTTTGAGGATGAACCAGATTTAAAGGATCTCTTCATCACAGTTGATGAACCTGAAAGTCATGTTACTACAATAGAAACTTTCATTACGTATAGGATTATTACTAAGGTAAACATTTGGTGAATATTTTCTTGAATATAGCTGCTTTTTTTTAAGCTTTGGAAGTAAGTACCTCTTGTTCATTATAATTCTGAACATTCCAAGATCTTAGCTGAATTGACTTTTACTTTTTCAAACCTTTTGGCTAACACATTGCTTCTTATCTGCCCTTCACTTGTTCTGTATTAAGTCAGTGAAATTCAACTTGACTTGAGAAATAGTCACTCATTTTATAGCAGCTATACTTCTTAGAATAAGAATATCTAGGTTTTTAGTTTAAAAAAGTATTAAGAAATACCTTTGGAAAAGATGGGCCTCAAGTTGTTAATAAAAAAAGAAAATGCTTAAACAGTTCGCAATATTATGTATTCAGATTTCTTTGGAAGATTATAAAATATGGTACCATTTGTTTTTCAAAGTGGGACAGGTGGCCACTTTGTCTCATGTATGAGATACTGTTATGTGTGCAATAATTCAAGAGCAAAGTAGATCTAGAACACAGATCTCTTTAATCGTAGGGCGAAGTGCTACAAAGACAATTTACCTCAGACACAATTAAGCAACCACCTAGTATAATCTGTATTTTAAGTCCTTTATTTAATAGCATTTGAAAATAATTCTCTTTATAATATTTTGTTTATGAAGCGTCACCCTAGACTTTTATATTTCATAAATGTAAAAAGTACATCTCTTTTTTTAGCTGAAAAAGTTCTGAACTATGTTTCTATAATCACTTCTTCCAATGAAACTGCCACACTGCTATTAGTTATGTTTCCTGAAGATATATATATCTTATTTCTTCACTTGAATTCTTAAAATCCTTTCTTGGCCCCTTATTTCAGGCAGAGCAAAGTGCCGACTTTCTTGTATGACATATAAAGAGGCTTCTCAGTCTGGTGCCCACTTACCATATAAGACTTATTTGTTACACCTCACATTCAGTACCTTGCTTTCCACTCAGGTAGAGCTGCTTCTGTTTTCTGAATATTTAGGGGATCTCTTGCTCTCAAAACTGCATATAGTTTTCCTTCTGTTTGCTGTGTCCATCCCCTTCTTAGACAGAAGAAGTCATGCTTAGTTTTCAATATACAACTCAAAATGTTAGATGCCTGTGAAAGCTTCTCTAGTTGTTACTGTCCCCTGGCTGAAATAGTTATTCTTCCTCTGTTTTCTCATACTGTTCTATTGAACTCTTAAGGAATGTAAAACATAAGAGTCAATATAGCAAAATATCAAAAGCATATATTTAATCCAACTAAGCTGTTTTTTTAAATCAATGAAACTGAGATAATAGAACTCACTTCTGTAGGGTTGCAGTAGAATAAGTAATCAATGCACACCCCACTTAGTAAAGTGCCTAACACACGATAAGTGTTCAGTAATTGCCATCTACCTGTATGTGAATAGATGTTTATTTGTATTTATTCTCAGTGAGTTTGTGAGTTTCTCAAGGAAGGTAACTATATTTTAAGTTATCCATAATTCCAAACACAAATCTTAGGACATAATAAGTAAACTATTTATTTTGTTGATGAATGAGTGAAGGAATTATCTTAGCTATATCAAGATGTGGTAGAGCAAGACAACATGGAGTTGAATCTTGATTTCTCTCCTTCCTTGCTATGTGACTTGGACAATTTAATTAACCTCTCTATATTAGTTTTCTTGTTTGTAAATAGGATAACAGTACTAACCTCATAAGGTCTTTATGAAGATTGAATATGTTAATACAGGCATACTGCTAGAGTAGAGCCAAATTTCTTCTATTACTACTGTTATAATTATCTATTGTCATTATCCATTCTAGCAAATAATTTGTGAAACTGAATTATTTTTCCATCATTTGCGTCTCTCAGAAAGACACTCTTTCTAAAGCCACCTTGTGAGTTTCATTCTGATCATAGACATACTGCTCTTCTGAGTTTTTCTATTTACACATACTTTAAATGGACTGGTCTTATAGAAGTAGTAATAGTAGTAGTAATAATAATATGAAAATATATAAACTAGCAAACATTTACTGTGTGACTGCTTTGTGCCAGGTAATATTCTAACCAGTTTCTACATGTTAACTCATTTAGGCTCACAGTAATCCTCAAACGTAGATATTATGATTTACCCCCATTTCATGCACGAGGACACCGAAACTTAGTAGCTTGTTAAAGGTTACACAACATTGTAATTAGCTGAGCTGGGATTTAAATCCAAACAGTTTACTTTCATAGTATACATTTTTTCTATTATATTTTTGTGCATTTAGGTATGGATGTGGTAAACTTTCAGTTTAACTATTATAAATGACTTCCATTGTTCTACTTCTAATTACTTTTACTATTTCATAGTATATAGACTATATCTATATATACAGAAATATATATTACAGATACAAATATATAAATAGTACATGTAGATCATGTTATCAAATAGTCTTTTCTTATTATCATTTACTTACTTATTCCACAAGTTTTATTGAGTACCCCGTTTGTCCCAAGTATTGTGCTTATATATTAAGAATATATCAGTGATCAGGATAGGTCTGACAAAAGGAACTTTCTGCTTTCCTGGTGTTTTCACTCTGAAGAAGGGGTGTTTGCATATGATGATATTAAATAATTAATTTTGTACTGTGTTAGTTTGTTCTCATGTTGGTAATAAAGACATACCCAGTACTGGGTAATTTATAAAGGCGGGACATTTAATTGACTCACAGTTCCACATGGCTGGAGTAGGGGGCTCACAATCATGGCAGAAAGCAAGGGGGAAGCAAGACACATCTTACATGGAAGCAGGCAAGAGAGAGCTTGTGCAGGAAAACCCCCATTTATAAAACCATCAGATATCATGAGCCTTATTCACTACCATGAAAACAGTATGGGGGAACTGCCCCTATGATTCAATTATCTTCACCTGGCCCCGCCCTTGACACATGGGGATTATTACAATTCAAGATGAGATTTGGATGGGGACACAGCCAAACCATATCATATACTAAGTAATTTCTTTATAGTTATAAATATTTTGAAGGAAAAATATTGGATATTATGAGCATGGGATACACCATCTAATTTGGAGGTTGAAAGATGGCTTTCCTGGGAAAATCTTAGTTTTGTAAATATTTATATTCATGGGTACTAAGGATTGTAAGGGTAAATGAATATACACATACATACATGGACAATCACCTATTTAGGAATACTTAAGAATGATCCAACTGTGAATGATTGTATCGGGAAGACCACATTTGTGGCATCTGTTCTTTTTATGGGAAATTACCCTTTGTTGTCTAGGTTAGCATATTTTAAGTGACTGTTATAGAGAAGTATTTTCTCTTTTGGAGATCTAAAGATGTACGTTCTCTTAGTACATATAAGAGTAAGAATGAAGAGATTTAACAAGGTACTTTCCTTCCACTTCCTCTTTGTGAAAACAAACCTATAAATGCCTGTCATTGTATAGTTAGGAGTTAAGCTGTATTCTTGATTGGCTGAACTGACTATTAAGTTTCATTTTCCCTCAAAAAAAGTTTTCTAAATAATGAGTTTAGAATAACTGTTCACACTTGACTGAAGGTTGGTATTTTTGGAATAAATGCTTTTGGGGGTAGAGATCACACAAGTTCATTAGTACTAAACTTCAAATACCCAAGCTTTTATGGTCAAACATGAAAAATTGGCCAGCATTTTCAATGTTGCTTCCATAGAAAACTGTATTCTATGTTAGAAGCATTATTTATACTCCAAATGCACTTTATGAAATACATGATATTTCTAAGTTGGATATATGTTATCAAACCCAGTTATTTCTACAGTTTGGAAGCTTTTGTTTGGAAGCTTTTGTGCATCTTTTTTCTTTTTTTCTTTTTTCGAGACAGAGTCTCGCTCTGTCACCCAGGGTAGAGTACAGTGGCGTGATCTTAGCTCACTGCAACCTCTGCCTCCTGGGTTCAAGTGATTCTCCTGCCTCAGCCTCCTGAGTAGCTGAGATTACAGGTGCGTGCCACTACGTCTGGCTAATTTTTGTATTTTTAGTAAAGATGGGGTTTCACCATGTTGGTCAGGCTTGTCTCGAACTCCTGACCTCGTGATCTGCCTGCCTCGGCCTCCCAAAATGCTGGGATTACAGGCGTGAGCCACTGCGACATCTTACAGTGATCAAATTTGTCCACTTTAGAAGGGACAATGATTCTATTACTTGCTGTAGGGAAATTAGTCTTGTTCCAAACCCTGCTGATAATGACTGTTTTCCTTATCATATTCCTACATATGTGTCTCTTACAACCCTTCAAGAGAAGAATGAAATCTTACAGTAGGAAGAAATAACATATTCTTCTCGTTGCTTGCACTTATCCTCTGTTTTCTTCTTCTGTTGCACTACATTAGAGAATTCTTTTGAGTCAGTGACAGAGTGATGAGGATAGACTGAACCAATTATTTGACTTGATTTTATATCTTCTTACTGGAATTTATACTAGATTGTTTTATGCTTACTTAAAATGTTGGATATTCTTAGGGACGTATACAGCTCAATCTTATTTTAACTGCTGGTTTTTTTCTTTTGAGTGCTTCATTGTTCGTTATGGCAATTTATATTCTTAGAAATTGGTAGTGGACCTGTACGTATGTACCCGGTACAAGGAGATGCTCAGTAATATTTTTTAATGAGTTACTCTAAACCATGTTTTGGGTGCATATGTATGTGTGCATGCATCTATTTGCATATGGACATACACTGACCAGTCTATATTATTAAACTGTGCTGGTATTTGATATAGTTTTCCTGTTTTTACCATTTCCATATCATGTACCATGTTGCATAATAGTTAAGATTTTGTAGTGTTTTGTGAACATTTAGTTTCTTAGATTTCTGCATTTCATTCGCTCCCACTTTTTCCCATTATAAAGGGAATGTTGTACAAAGATACATTGTATGATATTCTGAACATTCATTTTAAGAGAATAAACTTTGGAAAGTATAGCTTTCATGGACCTTATTTTATGACATTGAAGATTGCATCTTATGACTTGGACTGTTTAATTTACAATTGTGTACATCTGTGTGGGTGATGGATATTTCTGGTGAGTGTGAAATATATATGCAATGTGTTATTCCATGTTTACTTCTGCAGGAAAATTTCAACCTAAATATTACTGCATGTAATTTTTAATATGCAAAAATTCAGTTAAATAAGGTATTGGTGTGAGTGACTGTTTTCCTATGAGAGGTGAGTGTACATTAGATAACTCATATTTTTATCTTTGGCTTGGGACTCAGGCAATAGAAATGAGGTTGATATTGTACCCATGTTCTTCTTGTCATATGTGTTGGCATGGATTTTTGGTTTGTTGAGAACAGATATTTTAATGTATTTGCTTAATTTTTAGGAGTTTAGGCATATAACCCAAAATAAAATTCTTTGAGAAATGACAGGAAGATTTTCTTTTCACATCAAATGTCTATTAATTACTTTTTAAACAGTGGTAAAATCACTCTAAAATGTTAGAATTTTCATATACTAAAAGCAAATCCTAGCACAGCAATTCATTTGAGCAAATTCCAAGAAAACATTTTTCTCAGTTACATTCAGGTTATTTTCCAAATTGCAAAAATAGGACTTTCCTCAAATTCTGAATTCTAATCATCTTGAGAAAAGAAATATATTTGAAACCTAAATTCAGAACACACTTGCTTGTTAGCAAGAAAGTCATGCCAAAGATAATAGTAGTTAAAATCTTGTGGAAGGCAGATGGTTGTTGTAAGACAGATTTTTCAGTTTGGATTTTAAATTTAAGTATGATATTTGCTTTCTTTCTGGAAATACCAGAAAGTTTGCTTTATTTCATCTGCTACATGAATAGATGACAAAAAAGAAAAAAATTACAGGCTGACAAACACTGAATAATTAGGATGTGTTAATTTTTCTTAGAGACCCATTTATTTCACAATGTCTAAAATAACGTTAGGCAAATACCTTCTATCTTATATTGCATGTGCTGTTATTTTCTCTTACTTTCTTCAGACATCTCGTGGGGAATTTGACTCCAGTGAATTTGAAGTTAGGAGACGATATCAAGATTTCCTTTGGTTGAAGGGAAAACTGGAAGAAGCACACCCCACTCTGATTATTCCAGTAAGTTTGCAAAATTTTTTTTTTCATAGAATAGCTACCAGTTTTCTAGTGAGTCTTTTTGAATGCCTAAAACCTAATTTCAGACCTTAAGTTCACTGTAATTCATTTATCTTAGGAATAATATTTATTTCTAAGTGTTTCAATCAATGTACATTTTTTTTTTAAAAAAAACTCTTCATAATGTGTTATGATTTCTCATTTTTGGTTCTAACATTGTGAATTTTTAAAAATTATTTTTATAAGAAATGATCAGATGTTCAACTAGTCTTCCAAACAGGGAAAGCGTAGAATTGCTTATAAACCTATGGCTAATAATACTTGAATACCTTTTTAATTTTTTTTGCCTTAGCCATTGCCAGAAAAGTTTATAGTAAAAGGAATGGTGGAACGCTTTAACGATGACTTCATTGAGACACGCAGGAAGGCTTTACATAAATTTTTGAACCGAATTGCTGATCATCCAACTTTAACATTTAATGAAGACTTCAAAATTTTTCTCACTGCACAAGCTTGGGTAAATGATTTTTATTTATACTCATATAATCTTTGGGTGTCTGTATCTATAGTAGATTGTATTGTTCCTCTTGTTTACCGTTACAAATCATGCAGTGGTGTACTTGAATTGAGATGGAATTTTTCAGAAACACTGGAGAGTTATCCTTCAGATATAACCCTGTGTCAAATCTACATATAAATATTACAGAAATCTTGTATCTTCTCCATATATATACACACACACACACACACACACACTCTCTCTCTCTCTCTCTCTCTCTCTCTCTAATGTTTTTATGTCAGGGTGCTTCTTGCATAAATAGCAAATACTGAACAGGTATAAATATATTTCTTTCATTGACACTGTAGTTGACCCTTGAACAACATGGCGGTTAGGGAAGCCAACCCCTTATGAAATTGAAAATCCATGTGTAACTTTTAATTTCTCAGAAACTTAACTACTAGTAGCCTCCTGTTGATTGGAAGCCTTAACTGTAACATAAACAGTTGGTTAACACATATGTATACCTTTTGTGTATTATATACTGTATTTTTTGCAATAAAGTAACCTAGAGAAAAGAAAATGTTATTTAAGAAAATCCTAAGGAAGACAAAATATACCAACAGTATTCTACTGTATTTATTGATACCAAGTTTATGTTGTCTGTTTACAAGATGAATTGTCAGTCTGAAATGGAGGGCAATGACAGTGGCAGACCTCAGTCTATGGTACTTAGCAAGCAATTCAACTTTTTTTGTAATGACATGACTTTTCTCTGCTTCTTGGGAACATTTCCAGCATCACTAGTGGCACTTCATATGGGTCCCATGGTATTATTTCAGGTTTATAGTATTGCACTAAACACAATAAAAAAAATACATGGGAACCACAAGAGATCACTTTTTACTGCTACACCCAATTTAATGGAGAGATGAACTACTCACATGGAGATGATCAGCGTCACATGGCATTTTAAGCAGATATTCACAACACTGGAGCTCACCACAAATAGCAACAGGAGGGCTACAAAAATAGTACAATAGTACAGTGTGTAGTGTAGTTAATTTTAAGCAGTTTTGATTTAATACTGCATCTTTATGTTTGTTTACATTTCTCTCAACTGCATATGGTGGCATGTAAGTCAAAATATGTGCATACGTTTTGATAAATTTTAACTTTTTATAATAGATTTATACACATTTTAGGGTAGTAAATGATAGACTAGTATCCACATACATTTTGTGGATTCATGACATACCTTTCTCTCAGTTTTTTCTACATTTCTGGACTATGTGGTTTGTGAGGTTTTTTTAGTTGTCACAAATCTCCAAAAAATTTTCCAGTATATTTATTGAAAAAAGTCCACATGTGTGGACCTGCTTAGCTCACACCTGTGTTGTTCAAGGGTCTACTTTATTTTGAGTAATAATGGATCAGGGCTTTTTAAGTTAGGATAAAAGTCCTTATTAAATGGGTAGATGGATGAATGGAGATGGATGGATGGATGGATGGATGGATGGACGGACAGATAGATAATATAATCTCCTTACTTTTCCTTTAATTATCTAAGTGGGGGAGTGTCTAATTTCTAATACAGAAACCTTATCCATTCTACTTGTTTTTTCTTTTATTCTATAAAGCTATAACTCTGCAAGAAAGATACCAGACAGGACAAAGGGTCAATATTAAACAGTTACTGGCAAATGTTGAGTTTTATATCTCTCAGTTGTTGCCAGTGGTAGAAGCTAAAAAGTGGTTCATTTCAATCTTGACAGATAGTCCTCTATGGAAGCCCTTTGTGACTTATGTGAAATGAATATGCGGCCTGACTTCAGAACCTTAGAAGCTGTTAGAAATATTTTCTACAGTCAACAGTTTCAGTAACAGCTTGCCAGTTGTGACGTGAGCTGTCTCTGATAATGTTTACTCTATCAAATGAGGCTGTAGCACTCTTGGATGGATGTATTGCCTGGTCAAGGATGGCATCTGTTATTATTGGCACAAAAGAAATCACACAGAATTGGAAATAAACAAGTTTACTTTGTATGTATTCTGCAAGATATTCAGGAATGAAAACCTGAAGGAAGATAGACAATGTGTTATTTAATATTTGGGTAAATAATATATAATATTTTTATCTGTAAATTAGGTAGTCAGCAGTATTTTATTTGATCATATATTTTATTCGATCCCAAGCTTGTGTCTCAACAAGGGCCACAATGATTATTAAAATCCCTTGTCCTTTTTTGTTTGTATTTGTTCTTTTAACTTATGCCATACTTCTCAAGGGATATGTTTCTGTGCAGTATATTCTTTTATAGGATGTTTTCTATTTTGCAAGTCTATAGTCGTCCCTCCTAGGTTAAGTATGAAATAACTAGTTTCGTATCTTATTACAAGTTTTCTCAGCTGGGCGCGGTGGCTCACGCCTGTAATCCCAGCACTTTGGGAGGCCGAGGCGGGCGGATCACAAGGTCAGGAGATCGAGACCATCTTGGCTAACACGGTGAAACCCCGTCTCTACTAAAAATACAAAAAATTAGCCGGGCGCGGTGGTGGGCACCTGTAATCCCAGCTACTCAGGAGGCTGAGGCAGGAGAATGGCATGAACCCGGGAGGCGGAGCTTGCAGTGAGCCAGGATTGTGCCACTGCAGTCCAGCCTGGGCGAAAGAGCGAGACTCCGTCTCAAAAAAAAAAAAAAAAAAAAAGTTTTCTCTGTAGACAGCCAGTTGGTGAAGGTGGTGTCACTGTTTACCCACTTCATTTGGCTGAAGTGCTATGTTCAGGTAGTATCTATTTACAAACCATCCTAATGACTTTAAGCGGGCAGAGCAAGTTGGTGCTTAATAATGAAGCCTCTGGAATCAGACTTCCAGGATTCCAGTTCTTGCTCTACCACTTAATTGCTCTGGGATTTTTTTTTTTTTTTTTTTTTTTTTTTTTGAGATGGAGTCTCGCTCTGTGGCTCAGGCTGGAGTGCAGTGGCATGATCTCGGCTCACTGCAACCTCTGCCTCCTGGGTTCACGCCATTCTCCTGCCTCAGCCTCCCAAGTAGCTGGGACTACAGGCACCTGCCACCACGCCAGGCTAATTTTTTTGTATTTTTAGTAGAGAGGGAGTTTCACCGTGTTAGCCAGGGTAGTCTCGATCTCCTGACCTCATGTATGCCCTCCTCGGCCTCCCAAAGTACTGGGATTACGGACGTGAGCCACTGCACCCGGCCTGCTCTGGGATCTTGAGCAAGTTAGTTAACTTTCCTGTGCCTCTATTTTCTTCTGTAAAATGAGGAAAATAATAAAACCTACCTCATAGGTTTATGGTGAATTACGTGTATTAAAATGTCAGTATAGTGCCCAGAATGTATTAAGCTCTAAATAAATGTTAGCTACTATTACATCTAAAGAATTAATGAAGTTTTCCAATTTTATTTTTTGGAGTATAACTTAGGCCCTGAGAAATCTTCTCTCAATCATTTTCCATTAAATTCCTATTATAAAATATAGATGGTATGTCATATTATCCTTATCTCCTCTAGTATCTCATTGAGCACTATTCTGTCGGTTAAACCCTGTTCTTTTAAAGATTTACGGTCTGAGGAAAGACTATATACCTGTTTTACATGAGTAGTGTGAAAGGGAATATTATTGAGGCTGCCACTTAGAGGAAACACTGTACCTTAATAAAGCTCATCTGCTTCAAGCTAACATTAAAAAAGATTGATGCCTATGAAACCATTTTATCTTGATTTTATTCTCCTAATTAGGTTTATTTTTGTATTGAGTCTCGGAATATTGAGACTTGTTTCACTAGAAATACTTGGTTTTTTGTTTCTAGGAACTCTCTTCTCACAAGAAGCAAGGTCCTGGCTTGCTAAGCAGGATGGGGCAAACCGTCAGAGCTGTTGCGTCCTCAATGAGAGGAGTTAAAAACCGCCCAGAGGAGTTCATGGAAATGAATAACTTTATTGAACTATTTAGCCAGAAAATAAATTTGATAGATAAAATATCTCAGAGAATTTATAAGGAAGAAAGGGGTAAGTAGAATTACTGAAATGTGATTTCAAAGTTGTTCAGTTTCTGATGAATCTTCACATTTGTTGGTGTAATATAGCAACATTCAGTTAGAATGTCAGCTTCAAAGTGTGGCTTATTCCTAGCCATCTTATGGACATTTCTGATTCCTAAATGATTTCGAAGGTAGTTATGGCCAGTCTCCATTTTCACTTTTATCAATCACTAGCTGCTCTACTTCCCATTCATAGATAATAGTGGTAAAGTAAGCCCGAGTTAAAGATTGTGGATGTGGTTGTTTGTATTCAACATGGAACAGAGCTCAGAATCAAAGAAGTGATGTTTCAGGAAATAGGGTTTTCATATTTTCTGGTAATTATTTTTTTCTGGAGGGAACAGATACTCTGTATTAAACCTGTCGAAGTATGGCAGAGAGATTTACGTATTGGAAAATCTGCCTCTTTTCCTATTTTCTTTTTTTTTTTTAGTTTATAAATCAGAATTGTTGGTGAATTTTTTTCTAATTCTAATCACGTGATGATTTTTTCCCCTAATTTTCTAATTGCATTTACTTACATTAAAAAATAGATAACTGAGTCAGCAAATAATTTCCTAATATAATTTGTTATTAGAGATGAGGAACTACATAAAGACAAACAAAAGTTCCTAAGTTGATGGCTTATTTGTTAATTGACCTCTACTTAACTGTACTGCCAGTCAGGATAAGCTGGGAAATATCTTATTTCTAGTATCCGGGCAGTGTTTAAACATAATAAGTACTTAATTAAAATTTGTTCAGTGATTGAAAAAAAACCACGAATGAACATAAGATTTGGAATGGTGTAGGAAAAGGTGCTTTATTAAGAATTGATTGGTTTTAAAAAGAGATATAGAAAAAAATTATAACTGCATGTACTTTGCCCCTTTTCTAACTTTTTTTCATGCATTGACCCCTGATGAGATTACTGTAGTGACTGAATGTAGTATAATAATTTATTTTAAACCTCTTTGGTTTGCCCTTACATTTATTATTTGTCTTTTTTTTTTAACCTGAATAAGTGAATTATTTTAACTAGGTTCTGTGATTCCAGTTCTATTAAGTAGATTCTGGATGCATAGTTAGGTGGTATGGCAATTCAAAGAGATGTCTGGAAACTATTGGTAGTTAAGAGCTTTATAAACTATCAATGAGTATCAAAGAGTAATTAAGATGGTACCTGTTAAGCTCACAGTCTAGTTGGGAAATATGTATATTAACAGATAAATTACAGTGCAGCTAACTAAATGTTTGCATACAGATTGATTTGAGTGGTATGTAAGCACAGTTTAGAATTTTAGGGCAGCTTTGCATATAAACATAAATATTGTTCAGGTTTAATGACTGACATTGACATATATTGAGAAAATGAGAAATTTGAGATTTCTCAATTGACTCAATTGAGAAAAGAAAGTGGAAAATTTTCTTTTCCAGAAATTAGTTCAGTATGGTCATTATTTAACATAAAGACAGGCCTAGGATCAGGAAGGTGGAGTTTGGAAGGACTACAGAGGTGATTAAATGTTCATTACATAACAACTAGTATCTCCATTGTTTTTAAATTTCATATTTTTAAACTTTTTATTTAATACAGACTTTTAAAGTTTTAGTAGTTTAGAGAAATATGACAGATATCAGCAAACCCTAATGAGTTGTAAGATGGTTAAATATAGATAATTTGATTGTATTTATATGGATAGTGAACAAAAAACGGTCACTGCTTATAAATTTTCCACCACAAAAAGCTATACATCATTGAAAATTAAGTGTGAAAGTAAGAATGTAAAATTGTAAAGACAGTCACATTTTAAAATGAAATCCAAAAATTTTTGAATACATAGCGTATCAAACACTGAATGGTCTTTGGTTACTCATGTATGCATTCTTTCATTGATATGAAAATATTTATTGAACTCATTACATATAAGGGTTTGAGATAGAAAAATAATAAGACTCAGTCCCTGTTTTAAGGAGTATGTGGCCAAGAGCATTTGAGTTATAAGACATCTATAATACAGTGGGATAATGCTTTAATAGAAGTATAAAATTATGATAAGCTCATTGAGGGCCAAAGCATCTATGAATCCTTTGGAACAGAATCAGAGGAGATTTATTTGAACTGGAATTTAAAGGATTAGAAGTAGTTTGTCAGGTGATAGAAATGGAGGACAAGGCAGAGGGACATGTGCAAATGTTTTTGTAAAGAGAAATCATGGGTTATTCATGAATGAACAAGCAATTTGGCTTGAGTTAAAATCTTTGGCAGAGAATTTCACATTGGACCTGGAGAAGCAGACGGTGAGGACTAATTTAACTAATTTAATTTAACTAATTCTAATTTAGCTACAAAGAGTCAATGTTTCTATACTCTGATAAAAATAGAGGGAGAATAGTTAGGAGACCCTTGAAGCAGTACAGATTAGAGATGCTGATGGTGGTGGAAGTGAAGATAAGTACATAGGTAGATGGATAGTTTAAGATCTCGAAGTTTTGGAATTGGTGATTTACTGGCTCTGTGTAAGTATGATTCTAGGATAACCTCCCAATTTTTTGCTTAGATTTATGGATAGTAATTACCACTAAGTAGAATATATAGTCAGAAGAAGGGGAGAAAGAAGATGCTAAGTTTTTTTCAGGGCATGTTGCCTGTCAGGTACTCAGATATAGTTGTGTGGTAGGCAGAAGCCTAAATAGATATGATGGTCATATAATTTATTTTTCAAGCCAAGACATTTTTGACACTGAAAAGGTATGTTATTATTGATTACACTTGGACAGTAGTCATTCAAAGACTGACCTGGGGCAAACTGTGATGGCTGGTTGATTTAATGAAGGATGATATCCGTTTTCTTATGTTCTTGTGTAAGAACATGTGCACTGTGAGAGAAATAAGGCCCTTTCTTACTCTCTAGGATACAGGTATTTTGAAAACTTTTGTTTATTGAAGAGCTTATTAAGTCTTTTTTTTTTTTTAGAATATTTTGATGAAATGAAAGAATATGGCCCAATTCATATTCTGTGGTCAGCGTCAGAAGAGGATCTGGTTGATACTCTAAAGGATGTTGCCAGCTGCATTGACAGATGCTGTAAGGCCACTGAAAAGCGGATGTCTGGACTCTCAGAGGCCCTGCTTCCTGTTGTACATGAGTACGTGCTTTATAGTGAAATGTTAATGGTAAGAACACCTAATTCTAATTTTACCTCAGTCCCTTACCTGATTATAAGCTCCATAAAGGCAACTGTATTTCTTTTCTTTAAAACCACTATCTTTTTGTCCTAGCAGGTTGTTTTGCATGTAGATGTTCAATAAATATTTATTCACTGTGTGTCTAAATAGATGAAGGAAAGAATCCGTTGTTAAAAAGCAGGAATACTCAATAGCAACACCAACAATTTATCAGATTATACGTAGACTTGAAGCATCCTCAATCAAAATTTACATAGGGAATATGATTAGTTTTTCCAAACCTTGTGAAATTTTACTTTAAAATTTTTTAGTGCTTTGGGGATTTTGAAAGAACTGCTCTCCTGCTTCTAGGTACATTTGATTTAGCAATATATTTAGTACCATTATGTAGAAAGTACTTGAGTTGGATCTTGATGTTCTGCCTTCTGGTTGCTTTTAAAAGAAATCTTTCAAGTTAAAATGTTTTTCTTTCACTACTTGAAAAGGCTTTTATTCCTCTTATATCAAAGTTTTGCATTTTACTTCCTCAGTTCAAGTTAAGGTTTCCAGATATTTGGAATTTAGCAATGCTATCTGCAAAGCTAATATTTTTCATCCAGTATTTTTCTGTGCCTACAATACTTTACACAGGCAAATTGGCACCCTCAGTGTTTTAGGGTGGTGATGGGGACAGGAGTCAGCTTGCATTCAGATACAGCTCCTTTTTTCCGTTCTTTATAATTGGAACCATGGTTTCTTTGGACATGTACCCTTGATTTCTAGAGATTTCTTTCAATTTTTTTCTTTTTTAAAAACTTTTCCTTGTTTTGGTCTGAAAAGCTCACTTTGTGTTTCAGCATGAGATCTGCCTCTCTCTTGTTGATCATGTTTAGGTTTAGTTTGACAGAGTCATTAAATATTGCACAGACATTTCAGGCTTTGGCTGTACTTAACTTTATTGGAGTCCTCCTGTAAACAAAGCTTCTTGCTTCCCAAAAGCCTTCGATGTTTCACTGTTGATGATTCTCTTTCCTCTCTCTATCCATTTCCTTGGCTACATCCTTTGGTTTCACTTCATTATTGGGGTCACCCCCTTGTGTCAATCTTCAAGAAGATCAGATTTGTATGTTCTGTTCCATTAATTAGTGTTTTCTCCTATATTATATCAAGATGGAAATTATGTAATTGAAGTATTACATTATTAAGGGTATGGAAAAATAAGAATTATTTTATAGGTCCTCGTTTGATTGAATTAATTTTTAGATGCCTAGGGTATAATAAGTAGTACTTATATTGCATTTCTTGTTCTGTTTGATATTGGAACATTCTCTTCAATTTCAGCTAAAGTAATGAAAAATAATCCTTCCATAAAAATGATTAATTTCATGTAATTTTCACCAGTTGTCCTCTGAAGCAACCTTTTACTCAAAATGTATTTGTGCATATGAAAACCAGTGCTTCATCTTTTTTGAAACAAACCTTAAATAAATAGGACTGAATTAGAGAGTGAGTCATTTTGGTCAAAGAAAGGAAGGGCTTTCTTGACATTAATGGTATTTAAACATTGAGGTAAATATAAAGGAATTTGAGATATCAGTTGAATTTTCTATGGACTTCTTTGCAACTAGGAAAAATGTTAGCTTCCTTTGATTTTTTTTTTTTTTAAGAGACATGGTCTCACTCTGTTGCACAGGCTGGAGTGTAGAGGCATAATCATAGCTCACTACAGCCTCGAACTCCTGGGCTCAAGTGGTCCTCCCACCTCTTTCTTCCAAAGTGCTGAGATGTGATATAGGTGTGAACTACTGTGCCTGGCCTGCTTTGAATGTCTTAAGAGTCATTCCACCAGGTGCAAAACTGTACTAAGTGATTCTTAATCCTTAATGCTTTTTGGTTATCATTTAAATAGTGTAGAGCCATCTTGTTTGACCTCCATGTAACTGATTTGTGTCTAGTTTCTTTCCTTCTTCTTTAAAACACCAGAAGGCCCTTCTCTTTTATGTCCTGTACTTCTCTAGCTGGTTGAATTGTTTGCTTGTCCAAACTTAGTTTTATTTTTTCCTTAACCTGTTCAGGCCATTTGTGCTTCTTATTAGAATTTCATTATTTAATATTGTGAAAACCAGTAAAAGATGAGTACAAATAAAAAGAGTCCTTGTATCCTTAAAGTCTAAGTTACATGTCTCGGAAGAAATGTGAATCACTTAAAGACATTGTAAAAGTTCGGCAAAAATGAAAGATGTAGTTGAATTCTGCACTCAAATTTCTTCACATGGGTGCTTTAAGTTTAAAAACTCTGAAACATGAAATCAAGAAAACAAGAAACTCCTATCAAAGAGGAGGCTATGATCTCTCATCCAAAGCTTGGCTAACTGATGAATATTTTATATTTTGAGCTAAAATAAAATGCTTAGGATATGAATGCATACTTCAATTTTCTGATTTCCTACCATAATTTCCTGTTTGATTATCTGATCCTTTGGAGTCAGGTAAGAAGGTTGCCACAGAGTGTAGATATGGTCCATGTGACATCCCACCCATAACTAGTTTATGCCATAGTGTATTTCTCCAGTGCTTCTACTATTTTTTGTTTGTTTTGCTCTTTACTATTTTTGAAGAATTGTACATGCGTATTCCACCAAATGTAGTACATATGTACAATGCTTAAATGGGTAAAATGTGCATTAGGAAAACTAATAAAACATTTATAGGAAAAAAAACCCTCTTAAATACTTGCTTTCAATTTAGTTTTTAGAGAGTAACAAAAAAAAAAAAACAACTTTTTAAATGTATTATATCCCCAAATGACTGATGGCTTGGGGAAGAGATGCTATTTATATTCTGAAATATATATTTTTGCTATAGGAAAGATTATTAAAACTAAGTACAGCCTATTTTATCTGTGTGTTTTAATGTAAAGGGTGTTATGAAAAGAAGAGACCAAATACAAGCAGAACTGGATTCCAAAGTTGAAGTTTTGACCTATAAAAAGGCAGATACTGATCTGGTAAGTTTTTAAGTTTCTTGATACAATCATATAGAATTCATTGTCTAAAATTTTTATTAGCAATGTCCTTACATGATTGTCCTTACATGATTGTTTCTTATATGATTGTTTCTAAGCATTAAGCAAATTATAGTAAAATTTCTTCCTAAAATCTGTTATACATTGGATACCATGTGAGTCTACAAGCTTAACAATGACGGTTTTCTGCCTTTCTGACTTATGTCTCATACTATTAAGAAAGTATAATTTTGTAAAAAGGAAATAATGTGTTAGAAGAAAGTATGAAAGGCAATGCTAGCATTATTCCAGGCTAGTAAGTACTCAGTAAGTAAATCTACTTTTTTATAGTTTTTTGAGATATTTATATACATTAATGTTCCTGTATACTTCTTTTCTAAGTGTTGTTAAAATCTTTATGAAAGGGAATATCTTTGCGTTTGCAAGTTTAATCTTTCCCTTAAGATATTTTATTATGGAAATTTTCAAACAAAATGAGATCTAATAATACAATGAGCTCTCATATACTCATAACTGGGCTTCATTAATTCTCACCATTTGGCTCAACTTTTTTTATTGTCTCTCCTCATTTTTAAATTTTTACTGAAGTATTCTAAAGCAAATTCTAGATATAGATTATTTTACCCATGGTATTTTTATATTTATATTTTAGTATCTTTGCATTTTCAGAGTAATACTATCAGGTTGGAATAATTATTCTCACTTTAAAGGTGAGAAGACTCTTGAAAGGTAGAGTAATTTGCCTAAGTTTATATATAGGTCTTGAAATGCAGAATAGGATTGGAGGTGATGACGTCTCTTGCCTGCCTCAGACAGTGCTGCCTATCAGAAAGCAGGTATAGAAGTGGGAAAAATGGACTTTTAACCTAACGAACTTCTACTGAGTGCATTATGAAATATTTTTAAAATTTTTCTTTAAATTTAAGGATTTAGGTTGTTATTGAATACAATATTGAGTGCACTTACATCAGGTGAGCGGGGGAGTCCTTGAAACTTCCCTGTAAATCTGTAATATTGCAGCCTCCTCAGCCCTGACCTGGCCAAGGACTCTGCATCCCCCCTCCCTGCTTTAATTTTCTCCCTAACTTTAATCACTTCCTAACATATGACTTCCTAATTAGTTTTCTTTGTATATTTTTCTCTCTCTTTCCCTCTCCATAATTGAAACTCCTTAAGGGCAGATTTTTTTTATTTGTTCACTGGAGTGCTCCCAGGCCCTTGTGCACTGCCTGGCACATGGTAGTCACTCAATAAATATGTAGTGAAGGAATGAGTGGAAGCCACAGGGACTACTCTGATTTGTGCAAGCATATTGAAGGCTTGAAGCATGAAGTCTCTACAAAATCAGAATGTGCAATTATTTCATTATTTAATTAATATTGTGAAAACCAGAAAAGATGAGTACAAATACAAAGAGTCCTTGTGTCTACGAAGTCTAACTTGCATAGTTCTATGCAACTTAGAATTATTATACTATGAATTACTCTCACGTTTCTTGACTATGTATATTAACTGAAATTCTGTTCTCTCCAGTGGAATGTGAGTGGGGAGTGGTGGGCTGCTGTAGACAGAGTAGGAGAAAGGAATCTGTGAGAGGGAATAACAGAAAATGTAGAACTAGATGAACTAGTGCTCAAGGGAAAACTCATCTTTATTATTTAGAGAGAACCCCAGATTAACCTTTTCTATTTGATAAGAAACAATTGACTCCTAACACTCTTTCTATATATAGTTAAGAAACATATATATACATATGTGTATAAACATATATATACATATATACATATAGTTCTTAACTATATATAGAGAGAGAGTTAAGAGTCAATTAGAATTGACTGTGAAAGGCTGCACATGTGTATAGAAATTGTAATTGCATCTTTTGAATTTTAGAATTTGTTTTTAGGTGTTAAGTAAGGATATCGAAGTTAGTGGTTAGACAAAATTTTGCTCTTGATGAAATACTAGAAACAGTAGAATATTTTAAAGTTTCAGGAGAATAATAGCATGGCTGAAAAACCAAGCATATGTTAAGAATGGCCTATATTCATGTTTTAAAATGAAAAGAAGATTAATCGGGATTGTTCCAAACACAAAAGCACAAGGAAAAAAATAGCCTGGGTCCAAATATGGCTGGGATTTCCCAACTCAGTTAAAAAAAAAAAACACATTATTTTTCCACTGGGCTTGCAAATATTTTGTCTTCTGCTGTATAAAAATTTTTTTGATATTTTGTTATAACTTAATCAGTGTATATTTATGATTTCACTTGGGTGTGTGTGTCATGTCTACTCTAAAGTGTTTAATACCCATGTAGCTGCTACATTGTAAGACTGGAAAAATTTGAAACTTTAATTATCTGCATTATATTCTGTAAGATACTTTTGGTTGATTAAGTTTCAAAACAGACACATTTAACAGAGAGATTGCAGGTATTTTTTTGTTTATCATCAAAACAAATTTTTCCTAAAGTTTATGGGGACTGAGTTAATGATTTGTGAATGGAACTGTTTATATTTTCAAATAATTAATTTGTTTATAGGCCTTCTCACTTTTAAAATCCCTGTGCCTTATGATGGTATCTTCAGGAGAAATCTACCAGAGTTACTCTAAAAATGAACCGGCCTTGATTGGTCACAGAAAGACTGAAAGGAAGTTGCTTAGAAATATGCAGGATAGGGTCACCATGGCAACGTGCCCTTGTGAGGTCCTTCTAAGGAGCCATCCTTTGCAGTCACCATGGCGACCCTGGCAGAGAACTGAATATAGCTGTCTGCCTGGTTGTTTACCATGGCAACTCAGACAGGGCCATTTTGGAGACAACCCAGGGGCCATTTCTATGGAGACATTGGGGCAGCCTTCAGAGACTCCATCAAAGTCACCTTTGGGTGGGATGCTACGTGCAAACCCAGCAAAGCAACTGATAATGAAAAGGTCAGTGAAATGAAGCTCTAGTAAGAAAAGCAAAGATTAGAGGAGTTATAGTTATTGGGTAGAAAGACAGCAGTTATGTAACATTCCAGAGGACATTTGACTATGTCAGATGACCTTTGTGTGGATTTTGTGGCATGCAAATACAAGGGCTCTGGTCTTTTTACCTTGCCTATAATCCTGCATTTGAACAATAATGGCATTACAGTTACTTTTTCTTACCACACAGATATACCCACAAAAGGTATGTGTTTTTCTGCAAACTAAAATAATATCTGACAGTGAGTCCTTGATGCATTACATGGTTAGTTGCAAAGTGGCTCCTTCTTAGAGTTTGTGGTTTGTAGTTCTTATCTCACAGCAATAAAATTAATGGTTTCAAAATTACCTAAGTCAGTAAAGACATTCGGAATATTCATTTGAAGGTCAGTTCAGCTGTTCATGTAGAGTTTTGTCATCTAAGCTTTGGAACTTGATAAATCAAAGATCAAATCCTAGCTTACCTGTTTATGAATTTTGTGACCCAGGACAAGTTTTCTAACTTCTTTCAGCCTCATTTTATCATGTATAGGTTGAGGAAATTATTAGTACCTTTCTAATAGGCTTGTTTAAGGATTAAATTGTGTAATGCAAATAAATTGCTTGGATCATAGTAAGCACTCAGTAGCTTTTAGCTGTTGTCATTTTGATGACAGTATAGAGGTAATGTTTGAGATTGGTCCTATAAAATGACTATGGAATTATTCATTGCAAAGCACAAGGAATATTTCAGGTAGAATGGGTATTATGAAAAGCTTTAGAAGCTCAAAAAGCATGCTAAATTGATTAAACCAGATTGGTTTGTGGAGGGGAGGGTACAGTAAGGAAGAGGGGATGTGACTTAAAGATGGACTGTAGTCAGGTGGGAAGGAGGCCTTATCTGTCAGGTTGAGAAATATGTACTTTATCCTTTGCTCAGTATGGATGCAGTGGGAACCTGAACTGAAGAGGTGGCAGTGGAGTTGCAGAGAAGAGTTAATATGAGAAAGACGTAGGCAGAGGGTAGAATCCACATCACTTAAAGAATGAAGGGCAGCCAATGTTTCAAGTTGTTAATAACTAACATTTCTAACTTGCAGCAGGGCAGATCGTGGCTCTCTACACTGAGCTACAGAATAAAAAGTGAAGAAGAAATCTGGAGGTGTGCAGCTTTACATAATGATAAGATGATATTTAAGATGAGGTATTCAACAAAAACTTTTCAGCAAAGTTAATTGACTATTTACCATATGAACGTCACTGTTCCCAGCACTGGGGAAAGAAACCAGGTCCTCATGAGGCTTATGTTTTAGTGGGTTAAAAAAAGAGTAAATAATTAAAATTTATAATATATTATCATATAGTGATAAGCGTGGAGGAGACAGAGTGTTGAGGAGCAGTGCAATTTAGGATTAGGGGTCAGTAAAATATTCACCAAGGAGGTAATGTTTTAGTAATATGTGTACCTGGGGGAAGAGCCTTTCAGGCAGAGGGGACAGTACATGCACAATGAAAGTATGCTTGTACATTCCAGAAGAAGCAAGAAGACCAGTGTTGCAGAAATGAAGTGAGCAAGTAAAAGAGTTGTGGGAAATGAAGTCAGGTCTAACCAGGGGTTAGACCATATAGAGCTTTATAAGGTTTTGGTCTCAGTGAGATAGGAAAATAGTTGAACAGAGGAGTAACATAATCATATTTAAGTTACAAGATGATTATTGTGCTTGGAGAAAGCACAAGATGATGTGCATGTGGTATGTGCATGGGATGGAGGAAAGCCAGAGCCGGAGAGTAGCTCTTAAAGTATTTCCAGTGAGACATAATAGCTTGGACCAGAGCAGAAGTGATGTTAAGGGGTCAGAAGCTGAGTATATTTCGCAGGAAGAGCTGTTTGCTATTTGGTGGGCTGTGGATCGTGAGCCAATAAGGAGAGGCAAGGATGATTCTGAGGTTTTAGACAGAGCAACTGGAAGGTAATAGTTGGCATTAATTGAGATGAGGAGACTTTGGAAACAACAGGTTTAATGGGGAAGATAATTTTCTCAGATTTGGAAAGGTAAAGTTTGATTTGCCTATTAGTCACCCAATGGAGCTATTGAGTAGGGAGTTACATGTAAAAATTCATAGGTTCAGCTGAAGATATGTATTTGGAAATTATTAGCAAATAGATGGTATTTAAAGCTATAACATTTGTCAAGGTCATTAAAGTATGAGCCTTTACTTTATCCTGTCAGAGCCTTGGCATATTTCAACATTAAGAGATTAATGATAATGGAAGAATCAGAAGTTTTGGCTGAGGAGGAGAAGGGAAAGAATTTGATGTAGCTTTGTCTGGTGATAGATCATTGCACCAGTAAGATTAACTAAACGGATCTGATTAGGGTCATCCAACTTTTTAAACCATTTCTCCATTTATGAGGCATTTCAAAAAATAATTTGATATATGATAATTAAAATATTTCAAGAGTAATTGAGTTGCATTATGTGCACCAGTAAAGAAGATATTCAATGTGATAGATACCATCCTATGAAAGCCATAATTTTTGACTGGGATGATAAAGGTATAATAATAACTGAGATTATGAGGAAACTCAGATATTTGGAGAAACTTGTGGGTTTTGCCATTTTGTTATAAGTTTTCAGAGTCAGAGCTTCTGTTTGAAAATGCTTATTCACTTCACTGCTTAACTGTAAAATAAATAAGGTTCATCTGTGGTGCTAAATAATACTGCATATCTATTTTATTTTTATTTCTGAATGGATGATTTATAGTTTTCCACTGAAAGCAGCATTCAAATATAAATGAATATGAATACATTTGACATTTAGCAATATGTGCATAGAATTGGAAAGTTGGATCTAGATATAATGCCATAGCTGTTTAGCAGTATATTTATGTGAGCAAAGAAATGCATTTTCATAAGATCATCATAGTCTGGAATTTTGCACAGCCACATTCAGTAGATAGAAACAGATACCAGATTATTCAAGCTGGTCCTTATTCAGTATGACATGCTATTTTTGGCTGGTGTTTTACTCTCATCCTTAAATAGAGGTTATTAATTTTCAGATGATCTTGGTAGTGTATAAATGGTGCACAGAGCAAGATTGCCTTCTCTCTCTAATTCTAGGAAGCTTTAAAGAAATAATTTTGACATAGCAAGCCTTGCTTGTGATCAGAGGTGAAGGTTGCTTCTTCCTTTTCTTAAATATTTTCTGGCTCACTTCTCTCCTGAACTTTTTACAAATTATTCCTTTCTATATGCCTCATTTCCTAATATAATCTGTTTTCTACTCTGCTTCTTTTTGTCTGTTTACAGCTATGTGTCTGTCTCTCATGCACAGATACATATCCATCCACACATGTATACATATACACACACACACAGCAGTAAAGAACATGACAGTGTCCAGTGGGATGAGAAAAGGCTTTTTTTCTTGCATATTTCCTTTTATCAGTTTATCCTAAAAGGCACCTGGCTGACATTTCCTCAAAACTTGTTGGTCAGAATTGTGAAAAGTCAGGATCAAACCAGTCACATGGAGTGGGAATGTGGCCATCAGAATTTACTTATCAGCTACAATACACACCCAGTTACAGATACCTGAAAAAACTGGGGCCTTTGCAGAACGTAACGTGGAGAGTAGAGGATGGATTCTGGGTAAAACACTAATAAATGCTGGTCACAGACAGTGCAGCAGGGTAGTGGGTTTGCACACACACAGCTGGCGGGGAATTTGGAATGGTGCATGAGTGATGCTGTAATCAAGAAGGCCCTCAGCAGCCAGCTCCTCCCAGAAGAAAGTACCAGGGAGTACCTAGAATTCCTCTCCCTTTCTGTCTTCTCCGGCAGCCCTGTCTCATTCAAGGCTTCATTGGCTTGAGTGGTAGGTACAAAAGCAAAACTGTGTTCTCCTATTTATATAAACTTGTAAAGGATAATAATGAATATTTGATTAAATTGCAAAAATCACCGTATCTACCTTATGAATAGGAGTCTGTTGAGCCTGAGATCTCTGGTTGGAATTTTACCATATTGGATTTTTCTCTCTGTCATTTATTTTTGTGCCCCTGGCCACTTCCCAACAGAGCAGTCTCTGTAAAGTATTTAATATAAGGTCTTAATCCCAGTTGCAGAGTTGTGTGTAATTTAAAGCACAGCATTTTGTGGCATCTGGGCCATTTACTGCCTTTGTAGTTCTGGGCCAAGTTCCTTAACATTCTCCATACTTTAGTTTACTCAACTGTGAGAGATGTGGGTAATGCCTTCCGTAGAGTGTTGTTAAATGAGCATATTGAAACCTTAGCCCAGTGCCTAACCAGGATTAGATTGTAAATATTTCTATAAACGATGTTAAAGGAACTTTCTTTGAAGTATATATTAGTTTCATTCTTCTAGATCAAAGTTTGGAAAGTGTTAACTGCAGTCCTGCTTCTGAGACCTCCACAGTGTTAAAATAAGAAAAAAGAAAAAGCGAGGCAGCAATTAGCTTTAGCTGTGTAGTGACCACTCCCATTTGCCCTACCTGGTCGCTCTAGGCAGTTGCATAGATACTTTAAATTGTATCTGAATTTATGCAGACTATTGAGAGGTTGTGCTTTGGACTCCTACGGAATTATTTTAACTCAACTCACTCGATGTTGTACCATTGATGCATCAGAAGGACATTTTAAGGAGAACCATAAATCTATTTATGATAAACATCAACAGCACTATTTTATATTTTTCTTTTATGAGACCTCATGAGAAAGCTTTCATTTACATCTCAGCACCAGCAATATGGTTTCATTTCTCCTGAGTAGCTAGTGTATTTTCAGCTTGTACACATCTTGGGTTTTATATCTGATCTTATCCCATTTATCTCACTTTTTACAGTAGTTACTAGACTATTGAGAGCCCCAATTCTGATCCACTTCTGTCTAGAAAGTGTGTCTTTTTTGTGTCAAACTCACCCTTGGCTTTACCTTGTTTTTTTCCTTACTCTCATGTTCTCATTGCACTAATGTCTTTACTTTCTGTCTTTAAACTTGTAGAGTACAATTGTGGAAGCTCTCTTATATGGAATATGGAATCTAATAAGGAATAAATTAGAAACAAATTAATAAGAACTAGAGGTAAAGTATTCCAAATCATTTTAAAGACCACACATTTCTTACAACATACTGTGACCCACCCTGCCCAAGTGTGTTTTTAGTCATTTCTTTTGAAATTCATAAACAGCAGCATGTCTGTTATGAACACAAACCTGAACACGGAATGACTCATGTAACCGTTACCCAGAAAACTTGTCAAGAGATATTAGAGGGTGAGGTGAAAAATACCGTACTATTTTCAAAATTTTACCAATGAAATTTGCTTAGGGAAGTAACTGCATATTAAGGTTTGCTAATTTGAAAGTAGAACATAAAAATGTACAGTCTTGATGAATAAGGCCTGTGTAGGTTTGTGGTGGGTGAGGGTGAAAGGGGAGAAGAAGGAAGAAGACAAAGACTGTGGAAAAAGAGAGGCAGCGTAACAATGTTGCAGATAATTTCTAACGAAAGACTAAGCTCTGTGTCTTTCTCTAGGAAGATTTTTTTTTTCTGTTGCCTTAACTGCAACCGAAAAAGTAACAGATGGACAAGTAAAAGGGGTAGTTTAAAATTCCAGTCATTTCTTCTCAGGGTTTTAAGAAATTCTACTTACGGTGTCCTTTGGATTTGTGGTGTGTTTTATGGGGTTTGCCTGCCGTAGATAGAAAGTTTAAATAGCTTTCATATATAGAAACTCAAACCAGATTCAATTTCTTTTTAATTTAGACTTTTTGTTAATAAGAAATATGTCCTAAGGTTCTGTCTTACGTATCTCTTTCACTCCTGGCCCTGCCTGGGCACTTAATAAATATTTCATAATGCTTAGAGCAGTAACACACTAGGAATTAGAAGCCAGGAGAAGGCTTTGATTCACTTTTATTTAACTTGTGACCTTAATCAGACATTAATTATTCTTTATCCATTAACATGCAGAAATTACGCTTAAAGAATTTTTTTTGAAGATGAATTAACGTTTATATATCTAGGACTTGTGTTAGTAAAAATTTTGGTAAGTTATAGTATGAATATGTAAAATGTTAGATAATTCATCATAGTGTTATAAAACATTATTTAAAGTATAAATAGTTATTATTTTGAGACAGAATCTAGCTCTGTCACCCAGGCTGGAGGGCAATGGCACGATCTTGGCTCACTGCAACCTCTGTCTCCCGGGTTCAAGTGATTCTCCTGCCTCAGCCTCCCAAGTAGTGGGGATTACAGGTACACGCCACCACGCCCAGCTAATTTTTGTATTTTTAATAGAGACAGGGTTTCGCCATGTTGGCCGGGCTGGATCTCGAACTCCTGACCTCAAGTGATCCGCCTGCCTTGACCTCCCAAAGTGCTGGGATTACAGGACTGGCCTAAAGTATAAATAGTTTAGTACTAAAAATCAAAAATTGTATTCCCACCAAATAGAGAACCAGTAGTTTTCCTCTAGCACATTTGGATATATTAAATTAAATGCATTTTGATTTATTACAGGCATACCTTGGAGATACTGTGTTCAGTTTCAGACTGCCACAATAAAGCAAGTCACAAGAAATTTTTGGCTTCCCAGTGGATATAAAAGTTATGTTTGCACTATACTGTAGTCTATTAAATATGCCATAGCATTATGTGTAAAAAATGTACATAATTTAGTTAAAAAAGATGTCATTGTTAAAAATGCTAATGATCATATGAGCCTTCAGAGAGCTGTAATCTTTTTGCTGGTAGAGTGTCTTTCCTTTATGTTGATGGCTGCTGACTGATTACGTGTTGGTTGATGAAGATTGGGGTAGCTATGGCAATTTCTTAAAATATGAGAATAAGGAAGTTTGCTGCAGAGATTGATTTTCCTTTCACCAGTGAATTCCCCGTAGCATGCAATGTTGTTTGATAGCATTTTACCCACAGAACTGCTTTTGAAATTGGAGCCAATCCATTCAAAACTTGCCACTGCTGTATCAACTAAGTTTTCATAATATTCTGAGTTCTTTGTTGTCATTTTAAGAATACTCACAGCATCTTCACCAGTAGATCCCGCCTCAAGAAATCACTTTCTTTGCTCATCCATAAGAAGCAACGTCTCATCTGTTCAAATTCTATCATGAGATTGTAGCAATTCGGTCATCTCTTCAGGCTCTACTTCTAATTATAGTTCTCTACTATTTCTGCCACACCTGCAGTTACTTCCTCCACTGAAGTCTTGAACCCTTTGCTCAAAGTCATCTATAAGAGTTAGAATCAACTTCTTCCAAATTCCTATAAATGTTAATATTTTGGTCTGTTCCCATGAATCCCATATATTTTTCATGGAATCTAGAATGGTGTATTCTTTCCAGAAGATTTTCAATTTACTCAGTTCCATCAAGGGAATCACAATCTATGGCAGCTACAGCCTGACAAAATGTATTTCTTAAATAATAAGACTCAAAAGTCTAAATGACTCATTGACTCATGGACTATGGAAGTTACATTAGCTGACATGAAGGCAGTATTAATCCCCTTGTACATTTCCGTCAGAGTTTTTCAGTGACCAAGTACATTGTCAATAAACAGTAATATTTTGAAAGGAATCTTTTTTCCTGAGCAGTAGATCTCAAGAGTGGGCTTAAAATATTCAGTAAACCATACTATAAACAGATAACTCTGTCATCCAGGCTTTGTTATTTCAGGTATAGAGCACAGGCAGAGTAGATTTAGAGTAATTCTTTAGGGCACTAGGATTATCAGAATGGTAAATGGACATTGGCTTCAACTTAAAATCACCAACTACATTAGCTCCTAACAAGAGAGTCAGGCTGTCCTTTGAAGCTAGGCATTGACTTTTCCTCTCTAGCTATGAAAGTCTTAGATAGCATCTTCCTCCAATATAAAACTTTTGTCAGCTGGGCACAGTGGCTCACACCTGTAATCCCAGCACTTTGGGAGGCTGAGGCGGGCACATCACCTGAGGTTGGGAGTTCGAAATGAGCCTGACCAACATGGAGAAACCCTGTCTCTACTAAAAATAGAAAATTAGCCAGACATAGTGGCACATGCCTGTAATGCCAGCTACCCGGGAGGCTAAGGCAGGAGAATTGCTTAAACCTAGGAGGCAGAGGTTGCAGTGAGCCGAGATCGTGCCATTGCAGTCCAGCCTGGGCAACAAGAGCGAAACTCTGTCTCAGGAAAAAAAAAAAAAAAAAACTTGTCTACATTGAAAATCTGTTGTTTGTAGTGTAGCCATCCTTATCAATGATCATAGTTAGATCTTCTGGATAACTTGTTATAACTTGTACATCAGCATTTGTTGCTTCATCTGGCATTTTTATCTTACGGAGACAGCTTCTTTCCTTAAACCTAGTGAACCAACCTCTGCTAGCTTCAAACATTTCCTCTCCAGCTTCCTCACTTCTCCTAGCCTTCATAAAATTGAAGAGTTAGGACATTGCTCTGGATTAGGCTTTGGCTTAAGGGAATGTTATGGCTGGTTTGATCTTCTACTCAGACCACTAAAACTTTCTCCATATCAGCAATAAGGCTTTTTTTTTGCTTTCTTATAATTCATGTGCTTATTGGAATAGCATTTTTATTTCTTCCAAGAACTTTTTCTTTGCATTCAGAACTTGTCTAACTGTTCTGTGCAAGAGGCCTAGCTTGCAGCCAGTCTCAGCTTTTGAAATGCCTTCCTCACTAAGTTTAATCATTTGTAGCTTTTGATTTAAAGTAAGAGATGCTCAATTCTTTCTTTCACTTGAACACATAAAAGCCATTGTAGGGTTATTAATTGGTCATATTTCAATATTATTGTCTCTCAGGGAATACGAAGGAGAGGAACAGAGACAGGAGAATGGTCAGTGATACAGTCAGAACATACACATTTATGGATTAGATTCACTACTTTATATGGACACAATTCTGCCCCCTCTTCCAAATTACAGTGGTAACATCAAAGACTGCTTATCACAGATCGCCATCACAGATAGGATAATAATGAAAAAGTTTGAAGTGTTGTAAGAATTACCAAAATGTGACACAGACACGTGAAGTAAGCACATGTTGGAAAAATGATGCTGGTAGGCTTACTCAGTGCAGGGTTGTCACAAAGCTTCAATTTGTTAGAAAAAAAATGGAATATCTGCAAAGCACAGAAAAGCACAGTACAATAAAATGAGGTATAGTTGTATAATTAGTAGACTTTGGAGAGTAAGCCTTTTCTCTCTGGTGAATCTTAGTCAGTAGTCAATTTAGAGGGGTGTCAATGCCCCAGTCACATGGCTATTCAACTTTCAGAGAATTTCTAGACCCAAACTAGTGTTTTCATTTTATAAGCATATTTAACATCTATTTAGTACATGTTGTATGCCAGGCACTATGCTAAGCATTCACATATATCAGCCAATGTCTAATCCTGTGAGATAGGTAGTAATTTGTTCCCATTTTTGTGGACGGGAAAATTGAGTCCTAGAGAGTCAATCAGCAAATAGTTCTTGGCTCCTTAAGAAGACTGAAAAAGCCCGTCTCCCTAGGAGCTTATTCTCTAGTGGAAGGATGCTGAAAATAAGTAAAAAAATTAAATGAATATGATAATTTTAGACTGTGATTAGTGCTATAAAGAGAATAAAACAGGGTAACATGATAAAGAATACCAGGAGGGGAAGTATCTAGAGTGATCAGAGAAGGCCTTTCTGAGGAGATGACCTTGAGAAGAGAGCTGAATCATCATAAGGGGCCATTGATCCAAATTCTGGAGCACCAGTGTTGGAAGAAGGAGGAAAAGCCATGATCCTCTGAAATGAGAATGAATTCACATGTTCCAGGAGGTTTGTTAGGTTGCAAGTAGCTAGAATATGAAGGACAGAGGCGCAGCACTATGGCATGAGGACTGAAAGCGAGCGGACGAACAATGTGTAGGCCTTGAGTTTTCTTCTGTTTGCAATGGAGAGCCCCTGAAGGGTTTCAAGTGGGGAAGAGTTGTGATTTGATGTGTTACATGTTTTTAAATTTATTTCCAAGTGACAAACTTACAGAAAATTTGCAAGTACACTTCAAAGACCTGCATTTCTTTTGAACCATTGGAGAATAAGTTGTAAATCTAATAACCTTTGAATAGTGTGTTTCTTACAAACAAGAATATTTTCCTATATAACTATAGTACAACCATCAATATCAATAAGTTATTGATATATTTATATTATCAAATGCTCAGACCCATTCAAGTTTCACCAGTTCTCTAATGTTTTTTTGACAGTATTTAGTTAGATGTCTCCTTCAGTCTGGAACAGTCTTTCATCTTCCCTTAACTTTCATGGCCATTCTACATTTGAAGATTATTTTGTAGCATGCCTCCTATTTTAACTTGTTTCATATTTCCTTAAGCTTAGATTTATATTATCAGTCTTTGACGGGAATGTCACTTAAGTGTTACTGTGATCCTTTCATTGATTCTTTTTAGGTAGTATATGATGTTTATTTGTCCCATTAATGATTCTGCACCGTTTGATGACTGATTAAGGCAATGTCCGTCCAGCTTCTCCACTATAAAAGTCACTCTTTTTCCAATGTAATTAGTAAGTGTTTTGTGGGGAGCGTCTTTGAGACTGATGATCCCATGCCTTATCATACTTTAACTTTCAATTTATTCATGTATGAATTTGTTTTTATTTTAAGACATGGGTTTTATTATCATTACTTGTTTTGATGCACGAGTTACCCAAATTTGATGAGTGGGACCATCTTCAAGCTGGCTTCTATGCCCTTTTGATATGTTCACATCATTTTGATCACCTCTTTGCTTCTGATACAACAAAACGTTCTGACTCTCGTATGCTTTACCTGGCTCAGCCCTGGAATCAGTTATTTCTCTAATGAGCCCTGGTTCCTTTTGGTAGAAAAAGTTATGTTTAGAATACAATATCTTGGCATTAGATGTGTTCATTGCTATTGAGGTATCACTATCCAAGACCTTCTGTATGAGCAGAGCTAGGGAGTATGTCTGTTTAATCATATTCACACACACACACACACGTTTTTATATCTATGATGTATTTCTGTATTTACATATATATAAAAACAATGAATTTACACCAGTGCCTCCAATTTTAATCTAGTTATAGGGATTCATTCTTGATATCTTTTATTTTCCGTATTTGTAGTTCCCTTTCTGACAGCGAGAGACAGGCTCTCATCTTTTTTATATCTACTTATTTGATTAATCCCCCTGTATATAACCAATCCTGTATAGCCCAAGTCATCTTTCCTAAGTTGGTGGCACTTCCCACTCCACTTGGGCTTTCACACCCTGCAAGGGCCATACCTCCTCTTTAACACACTTCTGTTTCCCCATGGTAGGTTTGCCTCCTATCCCCATATGGTGCCCTCTTCATCCTACTTGGGCAGTTACTCCCTACTCTAGGCCACTGTTTGCAGGAACTACCTCCTCATCTCGCTGCTTTGACAATCTGTACTAGGCCACCATGACTTTGCCTCCTTTTCTCCACCAGTGTGGACATTAGTCTTGTTCTACCTGCAGTGATTAACCTTTAGAGCTGAGTTGTTCATGAAGGGAAAAGAGAAAGGAAGAGTTTATAGTTGCTCTCAAATGCTCATTATGTTTCCTGCATGGGAAAACAGAAAGCTGTGTTGAATCCACTACCATGAGTAGGGGGTGATGATGGCATAAAAAAAGAAGGTAGTAGTGGAGATTTTGATAAGAAAGTTAAGTGATTTGCTCACAGTTATACAGCTAGTTAAATAGAAGAGCCAGAGTTGTAACCTAACTCTGTACTCCCTGATGTATCATAAATACAATTTTTTTTTTCCCAATGGGTGGGTCTGAAGTCCATGGAGATGAGAAAATTTTAAGGCAAGTAACAATTATCTGCTACTAAAATCAAAGCAAAAAGGAATAAAAGTTTGGTGTTTTCTTCTTTTATCTTCTTTAAAAAATATACTTAGATTTCATAATAAATTATAAATTGCAACTTGGAAATGCTTTGAAATACATAGGGAGATGAGAAAATTTTAAGGCAAGTAACAATTATCTACTACTAAAATCAAAGCAAAAAGGAATAAAAGTTTGGTGTTTTCTTCTTTTATCTTCTTTAAAAAAAAAAACTTGGATTTCATAATAAATTGTAAATTGCCACTGGGAAATGCTTTGAAATACATAGAGTTATAATTATCTCAGAGAGTTGAAAGTCTTTTTTTCTTTCAAGGAATTATTATATGGAATTATGTGTTAACTAGATCAACAAGTCATACTAAAACTAATTGATGATAATAATAATAATAGCTAACATTTCTTGAGCACACACGATGTGCCAGGCAGAGTCCTAAATGTTCTGTGTGTATTGTTTCACTTCAGTCTCACACAATACAATGGGGTGTAGGTACTATTATTTTCCTCATTTTATAAGTTTTATATGTTTTATAAATGTCACAGTTGAGGAACAGAGAAATAGAATTACTTGAACAACATTGCACATGCAGGAATTTTTGAAGCAGAACTTCAGAAATTGTGCTATTAACTATATTTCAGGACTTCAAAACTGTATTCCAAGACGATACTTGTACATAGCCTACTACTGCTTTACCCGTTGCAGAAACCGCTATATCTAATCCCAGAACAATCCTCAGAAAATACTTACCAACATGCTTCAAATAATTAATACCAATCAGAATTTGCACGTGATAAATTCTCTTTGCCAGAACATCATTGGTGACTTGAAATATTTTATTACAGTGAACTGGCAGTCTTAATAGTGTTTATTTTAGGTTAAATTGACCTGCCTTGTTTATCTCTCAGTCACAAAGAGGGTATGAAATGAGATAAGGAGGTACAGTTTCTTTCCTTAATGTATGTCAGTGGTTCTCATAAGCAGTGTGGGTAGGGAGAGGGTAAGAGGCATTTTCAAAATACACAAAATTACAAAGATAGTGTCCTTCCCAGGGGGCAGATTCTGTTGCTTCTGAGACCTTCTTATTTAGAAGCTTTTAATGTAAACTTAGTGAGAAAAAAGACATATATCCGTGAAATGCATTCAAAATAAACCTTAATGCATTTAAAGAGCTGTTGCAGACCCTTGTACCAGGAAAATGCAAGACATATAATGGGCACTCCATAAATGAGGAAATGAAAGGGGCATGCACATAGGTCAGATGGTAAGAGAAGTGCCAGATGTGCGAATTACTTATTGCACATAGAAGTGCAAATGTAAGGCTTCCCTAACACACTTCCTGAAGAAGGTCCCTCACCAAAAAACATAGTTTTTGTCCAATGTCAAATTTTTAGTTACAATATTTAAATTAACTTTAGGTCAAGATCACACATGAATGTGTGGTTTTTAGTATATATTAAATAATACATTAATATAGAAATAACACCTTTTCCACTTTCACATGCATTTTCAATACTTCTTTTATCATCTAACACTTTTATTGGAAGAGGAAATATATACACACATCAGGAAAAAGGAACTCAGAGTCTCCATTTTTATGCCTTATTTTCTGAATCCAGATGTAATGTGTCCCTACAAATATTACTTCCCAACAACCACTACTCATTTATATAACATTAGGTACTTCAACATTTCATTCATCCCGTAAGATATATAGTCTTCAGCTCTAACATAACTAATTAGTGCATTGCTTATAAAAATAACCCCAAATTATGATTTATTTGAAAAGATAATATATTCACATGGCTCAAAATTCATAAATTTAGAAAACACACCCAGTGAAAAGTGTGCCCATCCCAATATCCTATTCTCCCAAGTCCCACTACCCATGTTATTAGTATAAGCACATCCTATTGTTAGTTACTTCTGTAGCCTTCCACTTTCTTTATGCATATGCAATAAATACCAATATACATTCTGACTTTTTAATTCGTGTGGTAATACACTCTAAAGATTTCTGCACTGTGCTTTTTTAATGTAGTAAGATATCTTGGAGATCATTCCATTTATTGATGTTTTACAGCTACATGATATCCCATTGTATGGCTGTGCAGAATTTATTTAACCTGACCCCTGCTGGTAAATATTTATTTCTGATATTTTGTGACTATAAATAATGCTTTAATGAAGAATTTTGTACACGTTATTTGTAAGTATACCAGTAGATCTTTAGAATACTTAGAAGTGAAATTGCTAAATCGGAGGGTATTTAATTTTGATAGCCCTTTGCTAGATGAGTGATCTTGAGCAAATTAGCTAACTTCTCCATGCCTCAGTTTATTACTTCGTGGATTAGAGATAATAATAGTACCTAGCTCATAGTGCTAAATGTGTTAACCCATGTAGGGTGCTTAGAATATTGCCTGGCCCATAGGAAGGGATAAAAGAGTTAGCTCTTCTGCTGCTGCTGTTCTTGTTACCACCCAGCTGCTGTCCACAGAAAAGCTATTTACATTCTCACCAGCTGGCTTATTCCTGTACCCTCCACCCGCAGTCTTGTTAAGGGGAGATATCAAACCGTTGAATTGTTGCCTCCTCAAAAGTGAAAAATGGTATCCCCTTGTAGGTTTAATTTGGCATTTCTCATCTGATGAGTGGGGTTAAGCATTGCTTTATATATTTAAGTAAAATTTGTATTGCTTTTATCTGTCAGTGTCTGGTCTTTGTTCATTATATTTTCTCTATTAATTCTTGATCTCTGTCTTTCTGATTTATAGGAACTTCTTATTCGGGAAATTAGTCTTTATTTTTTATTTATATTGTAATTTTTTGTACTGATTTTTACTAGCAGAAGTTTCTAGTTTTTATGAAGTCAGGTTTATCTATCTTTTTCTTAAAGATTTTACCTTTAAGGATGAGTTAGAGAGTGTTCTACTTCAGGTGACAGAAAAAAATGTCTCGTGGTTTCTTCCATTAATTTTTGAGTTTCCTTTTTTACAATAGAATCTTTGAGCCATTTGAAATTGATTCTTATAAATATGAGGTTTTTGAGTCAACTATATATATAAAATATATATTTTTAATGGTATATATCAACTATAATATATATTTCAACTATGTATATTATATATATTATTCAACTGTATATATTTTAATAACTGTCCCAGTCGTACCCGTTATCTATTGAATAATCATGTTTTCCCTAGTGATTTGATGCTGCCTTCGAAATATACTTAATTCGTTTTCATATGCAACGATGATAAGACTTTCTATATGTTCTCTTGGTCTGTTAATGCTCCAAGACCATACTGTGTCAATAATGGAGGTTTTGTAATATGTTTGATAAATGGCAGGACTTGTCTACCCCCACTCTTTGTTCCTCTTGCTTGTCTATTTACAGAGCTTTTAAAAGTAAACTATAAAATATTTATAATAATAATCAAATACCTGAATCATGAGAGATTTCCTAGAAATAACTGTTGTTAATCTTTGTCTCCTTTCTTTAAAAAATAACTCCGTTAGTAGACTACTATGTATATCTAAAACTACCATTAATTGAATTTGCCTCAGGCTAATATTTCTTATAAAATATTACCTCATTTTTCAAAATGAAGTGATTGAGAAAATATTCAGTAATATTAGAGTATTTCTAGGAAAACACATGAAAGCAATTTTATCCTTATTAAAGGATACTTTTTTGAGTGAACCCCTAATTTTTATACTTGAGCTATACATATGACACTATTCCAGTTACATGATCACAACTTTCTAGAGCCATGCTATACATTATGGTACCCACTGGCCACATGTGCTGTTTACTCTTACATTTGAATTAATTAAAATTAAACACAACTAAAAATTCAGTTTCTCAGTCACACTAGCTGAATTTCAGTAGTCACATGTGGCTATTGGTACCATTTTGGACGGTCCAGAATGGAATATTTCTATCATCACAGAATGTTCTATTTGGCTGGATTTGTTTTACAGTATGTTGCAGCATTAGGAGCTGTTTTTTATATATGGTAGTTTGGTTGATCGAATCAAAGAAGGGAGATCATTTCTCATGGAAGTTTTAGCTTTGGTAGGGATTCAGACAGAAAAGAGATGAATGTCTGAAAGAAACATCAGGGGAATTCACCTGATTAAAACTACAGTGTACACAGTACTAGAGCAAAAATACTATGGTAGTCATCAGACTCTTGATCACATACTCCATCAAATAAATATTTTTTAAGCACATCTCCCAATAGATGTTCATTTTTAATTTACAGATTATTTACTTGCACCTCAAGTTTGTGTTCCCAATGCATTTCTCCAAAACCCAAAATGCTCCAAAATCTGGTACTTTTTGAGTACTGACATGACGCTCACAGGAATGCTCTTTGGAGCATTTTGGATTTTGGATTTTCAGATTAGGAATGCTGAACCGGTAGGTGTAGTGCAGATATTCCAAAATCTGAAACACTTCTGATCCTAAGCATTTTGGATAAGGGATACTTAACCTGTACTATACTCATGTTTTACTTGTGTTATAAACTGTGCACGTAAGTAGACATTAAAGACAATGCATAGCAGTTAAATATAAATGGAAGTTCCTTTGTGTAGTATTGTGAGCTGTCTTGTATATGCCTTAAACCTCATCTACCCAATTTTGGAGTTTTGTAGTATGTTAAGGTTTGCATCACAAGCTATAGAGAACCTAGGTTCTAGATCAAAGTTTCAAAATAAGTCACTTTTATACTTCAATAAGCCTTATTTTTTCTTGTAAGTAAACTGGGAAAAATAATATTTACCTTACAGGGTATATTGAGAACTAAATGAGATAATATATGAGATATTGTTTAGTTAAGTAGTGAGTAAAATAAAAATATTTAATAACAGAAAATTGGCCTGTGAAGTTCTGTGAAATAAATAAATTTTGATTTTTGGCTTTGAAATAATTTTTAACTTTGGAAAGCCTAATGGTAATTGAACATACTGCTTTTCTAGGCTTAGGTTATATTTTGCAGAAAAGTACAGGGAATTAC
Source organism: Homo sapiens (assembly GCF_000001405.40). Lineage (NCBI taxonomy): Eukaryota > Metazoa > Chordata > Mammalia > Primates > Hominidae > Homo > Homo sapiens. The sequence continues at coordinate 98,721,832 of NC_000001.11, forward strand.
ATCTAAAGAGGTAAAGGACTGTGAATTTTTTTGTTTTATTTTTAAGGAGCCACATCATTTCTTTTTAATAGAAATATATTAATGACTGATAGAAGCACCTAGAAAGAAGTGAATCCTTTATATTCTGATGTATATTTAGTGGCTTTTGTTGTATAGAAGATTCTGAGGAGATCTCTACCTGTTCTAAAATGTGGCCCTTTAAATAATTGGTTTTCTGTTTCCTGCAATGTCACAAAAAATTATAATCATGATTTGAGGGATGTTAATGGTGTTGAAGGTGCTGGCTTGAAACGTGATGCGTTAACTACATTTGTGGGTGTTTTATGACTCAATTTGTCATTTTTAGAAAATGCATTGTGTTTTACTGAACAAGTTACGTTTGGATAACAAAATCTGCAGTGGGTTTCAGAGAGAGAGGTTTCCACTTTTTAAGAAAAGTATGTATTGTAAAGTATGTAAAAAAGGTACTACTTAGTAATCACATGTATGCTTAAGCAGCATTGTATAATCAAGCATCTAATTTCTTTAGACACATCTCACCTCTCTCACGAATCAGAAAATAATACAGTTTTATTGTTAAGAGCCCTCTTATCTTTCCCCTGCAATTTAATTAATACTTGTTAAGAAGAGGTAGCTGTCAGATTAGAAATGAATTTCAGAATTTTCTATTGTCTTCTGATGGAGTGGCAATCTTAATCCTTTTATTTAGATATATTATTTTCAAGAACTTTTCAAAATGATAATTTCCCAGCTTTTCTGATTATGAAGAGAAATTTTTAGCATTTGAATAAATGGATTGAATGGTTGATTTTTTTTTCCATAAAAGGAAATAATAGATAAGCCATTTAAAAAGGAAAACAATGATGATATTTTTAAGTAAGAATAACTATCATCCTCAAATTTTATTATTTTGCTCAAAAATGTTGGTGATATAGCTTCCATTTAAAAAGGAAAACAATGATGATATTTTTAAGTAAGAATAACTATCATCCTCAAATTTTATTATTTTGCTCAAAAATGTTGGTGATATATCTTTACGTAGATACACATCTATGTAAAGAAATAATACTCATAAAGCCAGTAGGAGAAATAAGCCTGGATTAATTACTAACCTTTCACTTTCCTAAAATCACCCATTCAATCTACACATATTTACCAGATTCCCACCTAGTGTAAACACTGGGGATAACAATGAAAAGATGAATAGACCCCAGGCCCCTCATGGTAGACCTTACATCCCAACAGAAAAGTACAAGACAAATAAATAAAATAATTGCAAGATCTAATGAATGCTAAGGAAATGAATGGACTGAGATAGGAAATAGCAAAAAACAAAGACAAAAAACAAAAAGAACAACAACCCTGCTTTGTACATAAATGTTTTGGGAAGCATTATCTGGGAACTATTATTTAAGCTGAGATGAAAGAAAACCAGAAAAAGACTTAAAATAGATGATTTGTTTTAGATACTTCACTCTTTGAAACTCCTTCAGTATCTCTCAATAAAGTTTTAAACGGTTTTTTTTCCCCAAAAAGGCTGTGTATACTTTTTGTTAAATTTATTACTAAGTACCTTATTTTTTTGGCTTGTATTTATCATAAATTTTGTATTTTAAAACATTTTATGGCCTTTTTTTTGGCCAGAATTAGAGAAAAGTAATTCACTTTTGCATACCTATTCTATATTTAATGATTTAAGTTATTTTTAATTTTAATAATTTATAGATGGGTTTTCTACATAGAAAATTCTAGGTCGGGTGCAGTGGCTCACACCCGTTTTGGGAGGCCTAGGTGGGCGGATCACCTGAGGTCAGGAGTTCAATAGCAGCCTGGCCAACATGGCAAAACCCCATCCCTACTAAAAATACAAAAAAAAGCAGCTGGGTGTAGTGGTGCATGCCCGTAGTCCCAGCTGCTTGGGAGGCTGGGGCAGGAGAATTGCTTGATTGATCCCGGGAGGCAGAGGTTGCGCTGAACTGAGATCGCATGACTGCACTCCAGCCTGGGTGATGGAGCAAGACTTTGACTCAAAAAAAAAAGAAAGAAAATTCTATTACGGGTGAATATTGGCAGTTTTGTCTTATTTATTCAATAATTAGACTTCATATTTTCTTTTTCATTGTTAGCTGGCAAAAAAAAATTATAATGTTCTTAGTGATAGAACATTCTTGTATTTTTCCTGATTGTAAAGTAAATGCTTCTAAGATTTTTGTCATAAGTAATAATGTTTGCTATAGTTTTTTATCCTATATATTTTTAATCAGGCTGGGGCAGTTCTTACTCCTATTTGATGAGAGTTGATTCATAAGTTAATATCGAGCTTTCAGAATGATTTTCTGTGTCTACTCAGATAATTGTACATTTCTTATTATTTTCTTGTGGCAACTTACACTAGAGATTTTCTCATGTTAACCATTCTTGGGGCCCCGGGTAAACCCACTCTGGCCATTGCTGGGTTTGGCTTGCTCACTTTCTTTTTTAGGACTTTTGTATCCACATTTCTGAATAAGAATGATTTGTAATTATAGTTGCTTCTGCCAGAAATGCCGCTTTTTGTATCAAAGTTATGCTAGCCTCGTAAATTTTTACATACTAGATTAATTTGTATGAGAATGTTATTATTTGTTAATGAAGAAATAACTCTTTTCATAATGTATTAGGAGCAGACCTCATAAGATGTTTAGACATTAGGGGCTTAGTAATAATATTGGAAAGACTCTAAATTTTAATTGTGCTAACATATGACCTTACTATTGTATGTATAGAGACAATCACGGAATAAGGATAAAGGATGCTTATTTGCTCTAGTTCTAGATTACAAAATCAGGGATAAGTGATGGAAGATTATTAATTAAATAGTCAACATGGGTGGCTCTTTCTTAGAGAGAGAACTGAAATTTCTCCCTAGATTGCTTTTTAGCAATAATAAATTGCAGTGATTTAAAAAGGTTTTGACTGGATATTTTCTGCCATTCTGGCAGCTATTCCTAGAGAAACAGACTGTAGGGAAGCTGATTTCTCAATCCATAATTTTTATAATTGATACTTTGATAAAACTGTTAGTGATTATGAAAATTAACTCCTCTAGAATCATCATGCTAAAGTATATTAATTATTTATTAAATGTATAGTTTAGCAGTCAAGCAGAGTTTCTTTTAACACATATTTTAATATGGTGTACGGTTCAAACATTTTTACCAAAGGAGTTTACTTTCTATGGTATAGGAAAGTTGGAATATATGCTCCAGTAAGTCTGAGAGGTACCCCCTCATGGGCAATGCAAACTCAAAATTTCTTTAAGCTCTCCTGTTTTAAATCTTGTGTGAATATCACTACTCCATGATATATTTATATTTGTTAATTTAAAAATGGTTTAATCTCTGTAAAATATCTATGAAAATTATTCCATGTTTATTCATGACTTTGGCGATCCTTAGGCCATCACTGTGTGTTGATGTAGATATAGGAATCCCAATTTGAGAAAAACATGTTAAAGCATTCCTTAGTGGTCTCATCGTGAGACTATATCCGGATTGGAAGGACTTTGTGATATTAGGCAAATATTTGCCTCTATGAAAGAAGTGTTCCAAAAACGAATGAGAAAGGAAGAAAAACATTTCACAAGGGGGCACTGTGCCTGGTATGGTACTTGGCATGAAGTAAGTGCTGAAGAAACAGTTGTTGGTTGAGTTAATATACTTTAAAAAAACTGATCTCTAATAAAAAACTAAAGGCCTAAAAAGATGTTTGGAAGTCGAAAGGGATGGTCTTGGCTTTTATTCTTCTTAGATTGCTAGACAGCTTTTTTTAGTTACCAGGAAGTATATTCTAAAGTGCTTTCAGATTCAGGGGGAAAACATCCATTTGCATATTTTTGTCTTAGGGTATTTACATTCCATAATTTGCAAGACACTAAAATGTCTTGGATTTGAGAGGAATAATTTATTGAGGTAGCGTGGCAACCTAAGTTTCTAAAATAGAGGTAATTTCTGGGCTTTTTGGCTTCAACTATCTGATTTGGAGAAGGGTCTTACTATAATAGAAGACTTTTTGGCCTGAAACATTTCATTGTTCAGTTCACCCACCAACACTCTCAGGCTTTGTCAGGGCTATTGAGGAGCTTACTGAGTTATTAATAACATAGCTCTTTGTTTCTCCTGTGGTTTTCTTTTCTTACAGGTCCTCAGTTCCTTAACACAGGATAAGTGAGAGGGCAGATTCATTTAGGACAATTCTGATACCTTAAGAAAAATCTTCTCATAATCACACCAGGGTGCCGCATTTTACAGAGGGGGAAACTGCACCCTCTGAAGGAAATGACCTTGTCTGCATTCACACAGTTAGGACTCGAACCCACAGGACTTCAGAGCCCAGACTTTAGATCACTGACTGATAAATGTGTGTCTTTGTAAATTTTTAAAGTTCAGTAAGAAAGGAGCAAGAGAAGCAGGTAACACCAAATTGTTAATACCCTAAGGCAACTGAGAAAGATGGAATGTTATTTCTTCAAAGTGGAGCTGCCTGAGTGGCCAGTATAATCTGAGTCTTGACCTAAAGCCAGAAGCATTTGTTATTAGGAGACAGGAAACTTATCGTTGAGGCAGGTGTTGCATCCTCTTCATAACAGGTACATGTCTTTCTCACCACATGTAGCAGAGCACTGGACATGTAAAAATGTCCTGGAAATAAAGATGTCATTCAACTGAGCTTGATTATGTCTGATTGTTTACTTATCTATATTAGTATGTACCTTAATTTCATCAAGTGAATATTTAGTCCAGTAAGGAATATCCATTGAATATGGAGATATATTTCCTTTTTAAGGGGATTTTTTTTGGATCTAGATTGTCTGGATTTCTTAAGATTTAGTTTGGAGGGTACTTATTTTATTTTAAAAAGAAAACTCATTGAGAAACTCTAAGGCAACTGTTAAGGTAGAATGCCAGGGAATGCCCAGTGCAATGTGAATCTTAAGTCCCTGCTAGACTGTAAGCTCCCAGAGGCAGGACCTTCCCTCTCATATTCATCCTGTGCCCTTTGTCCTGTGTCTAGGCCAATGCCTGGCACATAATAGGCACTTAAAAATAAAGTTTTTTTGGCCGGGTGCAGTGGCTCATGCCTGTAATCCCAGCACTTTGGGAGGCTGAGGCGGGTGGATCATGAGATCAGAAGATCGAGACCATCCTGGCTAACACAGTGAAACCCCGTCTCTGCTAAGAATACAAAAAATTAGCTGGGCATGGTGGCGGGCACCTGTAGTCTCAGCTACTTGGCAAGCCAAGGCAGGAGAATGGCGTGAACCCGGGACGTGGAGTGTGCAGCAAGCTGAGATTGCGCCACTGTACTCCAGCCTAGGTGACACAGCGAGACTCTGTCTCAAATAAAGTTTTTAAAAAATGATTGTTTACTTTTCTACCAAATTTATTTTGCAAACCACAGCAGCCCTGTAGAAGAGAGGCCTGACTGTTAAAAGAAAAACAAACAGCAGCAACAACAGCATCAATAAAAGTGTCCCCACAAAAACCCATCCAAAGCTCAGCAACCTCAAAGATTAAAGGTAGATAAACTCAGGAAGATGAGAAAGAATCAACCAAAAAATACACGCTGAAAACTAAAAAAGCCAGTGTACCTCTTCTCCTCCAAATGATCACAGCACCTCTCCAGCAAGGCCACAGAACTGGGCTGAGGCTGAGACGGATGAACTGACAGAAGTAGACGTTTCAGAAGGTGGGTAATAACGAACTCAACTGAGCTAAAGGAGCATATTCTAACTCATTACAAAGAAGGTAAGAACCATGATGAAACATTACAGGCATTACAGGAGCTGTTAAACAGAGTAACCAGTTTAGAGAGGAACATAAATGACCTGATGTAGCTGAAAAATGCCACATGAGAATTTCACAATGCAACCATAGTATCAATAACCGAATAGACCAAGCGGAGGAAAGGATTCCAGAGATTGAAGACTATCTTGCTGAAATAAGACAGGCAGACAATATTAGAGCAAAAAGAATGAAAAAGAATGAACAAAACCTCCGAGAACTATGAGATTATATAAAAAGACTAAACCTATGACTGTTTGTGGTACCTGGAAAAGATGGGGAGAATGGAATCATGTTGGAAAAGAAACTTCAGAATATCATCCAGGAGAACTTCTCTAACCTAGCAGGACTGGCCAACATTCAAATTCAGGAAATCCAGAGAATCCCAGTAAGATATTCCATGAGAAGATCAATCCCAAGACACATAATCTTCAGATTCTCCAAGGTCAAAATGAAGGAAAAAATGTTAAGAGCAGCCAGAGAGAAAGGCCAGGTCACCTACAAAGGAAGCCCATCAGAATAACAGTGGACCTCTTAGCAGAAACCCTGCAAGCCAGAAGTGTTTGGTGGCCAATATTCAACATTCTTAAAGAAAATAATTTCCAACCCAGAATCTCATATCTGGCCAAACTAAGCTTCATAAGTGAAGGAGAAATAAAATCCTTTTCAGACAAGCAAATGCTGAGGGAATTCATCACCACCAGGCCTGCCTTGCAAGAGCTACTGAAGGAAGCACTAAAGTCTATAAAATAACCAGCTAGCATCATGATTACAGCATCAAATTCACACATAGCAACATTGGCCTTAAATGTAAATGGGCTAAATGCTCCAATTAAAAGACACGGAATGTCAAGCTGGACAAAGAGTCAAGATCCATTAGTGTGTTGTATTCAAGAGACCCATCTCACAGGCAGAGACACACATAGGCTTAAAATAAAGGTATGGAGGAAAATCTACCAAGCAAATGGAAAGCAGGAACAAGCAGGGGTTGCAATCCTAGTTTCTGACAGACAGACTTTAAACCAACAAAGATCAAAAAAGACAAGGGTATTACATAATGGTAAAGGGTTCATTTCAGCAAGAAGAGCTAACTAATCTAGATACATATGCACCAAATACGGGAGCATCCAGACTCATAAAACAAGATCTTAGAGACCTACAAAAAGGCTTAGATTCCCACATAATAATAGTAGGATACTTTAACTTACCACTTTCAGTATTACACAGATCATCAAGACTGAAAATTAACAAAGATATTCAGTACTTAAACTCAGCTAGGGATCAAGTGGACCTGATAGATGTATGCAGAATTCCCCACCCCAAAATGACAGAATATGCATTCTTCCCAGTGCCACATGGCACTTACTCTAAAATCGATCACATAATTGGAAGTAAAACATTCCTCAACAAATACAAAAGAACTGAAATCATAACAGTCTCTCAGACCACAGCACAATCAAATTAGAACTCAAGACTAAGAAGCTCACTCAAAACCACACAACTATATGGAAACTGAACAACCTGCTTCTGATTGACTCCTGGATAAATAATGAAATTAAGTCAGAAATCAAGAAGTTCTTTGAACAAAGAAACAACGCACCAGAATCTCTAGGACATAGCTAAAGCAGTGTTAAGAGGGAAGTTTATAGCACTAAATGCCCACTTCATAAAGCTAGAAAGACCTCAAGTCAAAAACGTAGCATCTCAACTAAAAGAACCAGAGAACAAAGAGCAAACAAACTCCAGAGGTAGCAGAAAACAAGAAATAGCCAAGATCAGAGTGGAACTAAAGGAGATAGAGACACAAAAAACCCTTCAAAAAATCAGTGAATCCAGGAGCTGATTTTTTTTTTGAAAAATTAATATTAGTAATGAAGAAAAGAGAGAAGAATCAAATAGACACAATAAAAAATGATGAAGGGGATATCATCACTGACCCCACAGAAACATAAACAACCATCAGAGAATACTATAAACACCTCTATGCAAATAAACTAAGAAATCTAGAAGAAACTGATAAATTCCTGGATACCTAGACACTTTAAAGACTGAACCAGGAAGAAGTTGAATCCTTGAATAGACCAATAATAAGTTCTGAAATTGAGGGAGTAATAAATAGCCTACCAACCAAAAAGCCCAGGATCAGACAGATTTACAGCTGAATTCTACAAGGGGAACAAAGAGAGGCTGTTACCATTTTTACTGAAACTATTCTAAACAACTGAAAAGGAGGGACTCCCCCCTAACTCATTTTATGAGGCCAACATCACCCTGATACCAAAACCTGGCAGAAATACAATAAAAAAAGAAAACTTCAGACCAGTATCCCTGATGAACATCAGTGTGAAAATCCTCAGTAACATACTGGCAAACCAAATCCAGCAGCACATCAAAAAGCTTATCCAGCATGATCAAGTAGGCTTCATCCCTGGGATGCAAGGCTGGTTCAACATATGCAAATCAATAAATGTAATCCATCACGTAAACAGAACCAAAGACAAAAACCACATGATTATCTCAATAGATGCAGAAAAGGCCTTCGATAAAATTCAACATCCCTTCATGTTAAAAACTCTCAATAAACTAGATATGAATGGAACATAACTCAAAATAATAGGAGCCGTTTATGACAAACCCACAGCCATATCATACTGAATGGGCAAAATCTGGAAGCAGTACCCTTGAAAACCAGCACAAGACAAGGATGCTGTCTGTCACCACTCCTATTCAGCTTACTATTGGAAGTTCTGGCCGGGGCAGTCAGGCAAGAGAAGGAAATAAAGAATACTCAGGAAGAGAGGAAATCAAGCTGTCTTGTTTCCAGATGACACGAGCCTATATCTAGAAAACCTCATTGTCTCAGCTGAAAAGCTTCTTAAGCTGATAAACAACTTCAGCAAAGTCTCAGGATACAAATAAATGTGCGGAAATCACAAGCATTCCTATTCACCGACAGTAGACAAGCAGAGAGACAAATCATGAATGAATTCCCGTTCACAGTTTCACAAAAAGAATAAAATACCTAGGAATACAGCTAACAAAAGAAGTGAAGGACCTCTTTAAGGAGAATGCCAAACCATTGCTCAAGGAAATCAGAGGACACAAACAAATGCAAAAAACATTCCATACTCATAGGTAGAAAGAATCAGTATTGTGAAAATGGCCGTACTACCCAAAGTAATTTATGGATTCAATGCTATTCCTGTTAAATTGAGCTGGAAGCCATTATCCTCAGCAAACTAACACAGGAACAGAAAACCAAACACCACATGTTCCCACTTATAAATGGGAGCTGAACAGTGAGAACACGTGGACACAGGGCGGCAGAGGTGGGGAAAGAGAACATCAGGAAAACTAGCTAATGCATACTAGGCTTAATACCTGGGTGATGGGTTGATAGGTGCAGCAAACCACCATGGCACATGTTTACCTGTGTAACATATTCCCCTCTCAGGAAAAATAGTTTTAACTAAAAACAATTCAGAATGTATTCCTGCCTTTTTTTTTTTTTAGAATGAACAAAAGAAAACTCCAAAGTATAGGAATACTGTTTTTTATAAGAATAAAAATTTTTTAAAAAGTATAAGAATACTGTTTTATTTAGCTTCAAGTGCCTCAAGGAACTATGTGCTTATTGGATTGTATCTCTCATAACATCTACCATGTGACTGGCCCATAGTAGACAGGAAGAATATTTATTAACTAAGTGAATGAACTTCATAGTTTTAGTTCATAATTCTCACAAAGTAGTTTTCTTGGTGAGCATGAGCTGCTTCAGAATTCCCTCATGTTGCCGTCTTTGTCTTTGGACTTCAGTAGAAAAATTTTCAGTTATTTTTCATGTCAAACTTTCCATAACTCAATTACTATACAGTCATATGTTATTAAATGATTGGGATATGTTCTGAAAAAATTTGTTTTTAGGCTTTCTCATCATTGTGTGACTATTGTAGAGTATACTTACACAGCCTTGAGATGTCATACTCTGCTGCACACCAAGGCTCTGTGGTGTAGCCTGTTGTTCCTGAGTTAAAAACCTGTATAGCATGTTATTTTAGTCCATTGAAACACAGTGGTAAATATTTGTGTATCTAGACATAGAAAAAGTACAGTAAAAATAGCATATGATTATCTTATGGAATCACTGTCATATATGCAGATTGTCATTGACTGAAATGTTGTTATGTGGCACATGACTCTACAAAGTTTCCTGAATTTGTTTGCATTTCTTATTAACTTGATTCTGCTATGGGTACATCAAACTTAAAGCTTTTATGTAATTAAATGTAAGTTTTCAGATAGCCCTGAAAGCTTAGCACTTCAAAATGCAGATGGTCCCTGAATTCTGATGGTTCCATTTAGGATTATTCAACTTTAAGATGGGGTTACCGTTTCTATTGAATGTGGTTGGCTTTCTCACTATCCTAAAGTCAAAAAATCCTAAGTTGAATGATTTTAATTTGGAGACCGTCTGCTGTGTTGCCAGCATTAAATACATTTTTGGCTTACAATATTTTCAACTAACAGTGGGCTTATTGGGAGGTAGGTGTAGCCCAAAAAGTATCTGAGATGTGTCTTAATCCATTTAGTTTATTTTGCCAAGGTTAGGGACATGCGTGGAGGAAATAAACATGGAATCACAGAAACAGTCTATGGCCTGTAACTTTCTCCAAAGATGATTTTGAAGGCTTCAGTATTTATAGGGGAAAAGTGGGCTGGAGGGGAAATAGGGAGGGTACTGTTATCCACTTGTTGCAAGAGAAAAGGAGCAGGTAGGGGAGTAGTCAATTATGTATTCCTCTCCGTCTCAGTGATGGGCACTTTACATAAGATAAGGTGAACATAGAGTAGCGACCTGTGGAGATAATTTAATCTTTTTATCTATAGGTATCTGCTTAGGAACAAAAGGAAAGGCAGCTTCTTGCATGACTCAGCTTTCAGCTTAATTTTTTTCCTTTAGCATAGTGAATTGGGGTTCAGATTGGAGTTTTTGTTTTCTTTCACATCGGTAAGTCAAGAGCATCCATAATTGATTGTATCCAAAGAGGTATCAAAGAGGTCAGGGTCAATAAATAAAAACAGATTTATATATTTACGTGTTTGAGGAGGATTATCATTTTAGAGGACCAAATGTTTTAACAGTTTCCAAATGAACAGATTCCAAATCAGTTTAAGCATCATTGAAACATCAAATAAAAAACCTTGATAATGGAGAGAGGTCTCTCCCAAAAGAGCAGAGCTGCACATCAGTTTTACTTATTTCCTTAGACATATTCCTGTAGCTTTTAATTTAAAATGTCAGGTCTGCTTCGGTGCAACTGGTATGTCAATCGGTGTATCCATATTACCTCCCAGCCTGCCCAAACCACCCAAATTAGTGTAGCAAAGTGTTATTGGAAGCTTCAAAGCTTAACTTTAATCTTGATTCCTGCTAGCCTCCAAAAATTCTTTGCTCTGTATGCAACTGAGTGGTTTTGAATGTTTATATAACAGTGTCCCTCACTTTGCGATACTATTTGGCACAGTGAATGTATTACCACTGTTAACCTTCAGGCCATCATCTCCTATCACACCCTACGGTATTTGTTCTTCCAGTTAACCTTATCAGCAATGCAGACTTTTCTCTCAGTGCCCACCATCTAGATCAGGGCTAGACCCTCCTGACTCTGCCTCCTAGCATTTCAGTTGCTGCTTTTCAGTTTCTGTGGCATCAGGAGTCTGATCTTTACCACTGGTCTCTAGTCCTCTTTCTTAAACTCCTTCAGCGCCTCCACTTGTCCTCTGTGAAAAGACGAACAACCTGCAGGAGAAATCCCTTTAGGACCTGGCATTGCCTGCCTCTCTGTCCTTTTCCTTAGCTCTTCACCTACTCGTACTCTAGGTATCAACCTTAAAGAACTATCTGTAGTTCTTCAGAAACTCCAAGGTAAACATGCTTCTGTGAACTAACGTCTGCAGTTTGCTTTGCATGAATGCCTTTCAAGTTTCCTTTTCCTGATTACTTATTTATTTCTCCCCATTAGCATGAGTCTGTGAGGGCAAGGTCCATTTCTTCCCCCTCCATTTTCGTTCCTAACGCAGACTAGATGGATGCTGAGTGGAAGCTGCTGGGTGAATGAGTGAGAACCAACCAGATCCTCCCTATTGCTTTTTATGGTTGATTCCTTAGTCCCATTTCAGATGAACTGGTTTCCTTTCTTCTCCTCCTTTGTTTCTCTCTTAACAATTTCCACATATCTCTGACTCAGTCTGTCTGAAGTACAGCTCTGCCTTGATCAAAACCTTCAGTGGATTATCATCTCTTGCAAAATCCTTTTCATGCTCAATATCATTTCCAGCCTTTACTGGTCAGTCTCTAATATGCATTTGCAGCTGTATTTCCCATGCTTCTCCTTGCCAACTCCAGACCAGCCTCTTGTCCATTCTTCTGTCACACTCTGCAGCATACTATTTCTGTGGTTGTGTTCATATCATACCCTCAGATAGGTGTTTCATTGTCCCAGTCACTGCCTAGTGAATTAAAAGTCAAAATGTCCCCTACCCCACAATCAGAATCAATCTTCCATTCTGTATCTGTAAATACCACTTCTACGTTTTTCCTTCCATTATGGTATGTATCCCATTCTACTTTTTATTATAGCCTTTGGTTTTTTGCTTTACTTTTGTGTATCTGTATCTAATTGATTATCCTTGAGATAACAGCTATATCAGTTTAAGCTTGAAAGCCACAGACAAGCTTGTCCAATCAATGGCTGGTGCTATTCAGTCCGTATGAATAGAGCATGTGTCTTGACTGGCAGACATCGGTTTGAATCCCTAATATGCCACAAATAGCTATATAATCTCTGCCTCTTCTTTCTTCTAGTTTCCCAGCTTGTAATAGGAAGATGATAATACCAAATTTGTAACATGCTTATGCAGATTAAGTGGAATAATGTATGGAAAGCATATAGCCAATGACAGAATGCAAAAAATAGTCATGATTACTGCTGTTACTGTTACTATAGATATGTAGTCACCATCGTAGAAACATATTGTTTTGTTTGAGCTTTTAGAATTAATGACTTTGTGTGGCTAATTTCTAGCTGAATATAACTGAAGCTAGAAATTACCCATTAGTCTTACGATTAAATATAAAGCATTTTTTCACTATCTTACAGTCTTTTATTATTACTTATTTTGGCATTACAACGTTTTGCTGGCAACAAGGGTTGCTTGCTTCTTCAATTTTTCCAATAACAGAGGGCTAAACTGCTGTCAGTACTTGTGAAAAGAAGAATAATACCAAGCCTTAAATCCTATCTAGCCCAGTCTTTTCCATGCTATTTTGCAGTATATGGATTGAATTTCCTATGGTTAGAGTTATTGAAACCCGACATCTGGTGTTGGAGGGAACAATAAAATACCAGAAGGACTTTAGCCTGCCAGTGGGCTATTCTCCCCCTCAGATTAACTTTTGTTGAGTATATTTGTTCTTTTAGAACTTGGATGGACAGCACAGTCAGAATGCATAGTCTTTGTACCAAAGAACGTAGTAAAATTGAAGTCAACTAAGGGGAAGGACATCTAATTATATTATGCTTTTGTAAGTTGTTAGGAAAGATATAGTGCAGATTATTCTTAATTTGAATTAGGTGTTTTGTGCTTATTATGTTAGTGTTTCTTAGAATTGAAATTATGGAAAGATGATTCACTGTGAGGAAATACCTAATTTTTTTACCTTCCTTTTTTCCAACTAAACTTATGAATAACTCGTCAAAGAAAGAAGAAAACTCTGATATAGTCACCAAAAAATGACAAGAATTGATCATACATATTTAAGGCATATGTGTCATTTTCTGCACTGGTGAAAATAGATTGAGGAAACTGCACTAGAAATTGACTTAATACCTAGACACTAGTAGAAGAATGACATATTACCAGAGACTAAAATACTGGAAGAAGACAGTGAATTAATGTCATTTTCACCAACTGATGATGATGGTGATGATGGTGGTGAGAACATTTAGTAGGCAAATTTTCAGGCCCTGTGTAAGTCAATTAATGGTCATTGTTTCATGCTGCAGTTTTTATAAGAATCCCTATGAAATGTATGTTATTATTTTACCTTTATTTTACAGATAAAAATACTAGGGCTTCAACAGATAGTCTTACCCAATGTCACATAACTTGTAAAAGACAGAAGTGGGACTTAAACTGAGACCAGGCTAACCTACTGTCAGTCCTCTTAATCCCAATGCTGTACTGATAAGGCTACAGTCCTTCTTTCTGCAGGTGACAGTGAGGGCAAAGTTCTGAGAGTGAGTTCTTAAGTTCTTCTCTAGGAACACAGTACCTGTTGGTTAGAGCAGAGCCACCAACTAACCAGACCACCACTTCAAAGGCTTTAATGAGGGAGATTTACAGATTGACATGAAAAAACTCTCTGCAGTAAATCCTTTCTGGCAGTGACACCATTATAAGCTCCATCAGGCAGAAGAGGAAGATAGACTATGTGATTTAGACACAGTGTTTCCTGAAAGCCGATATCAGTAGAACCACTCTGTTGGCATTCTATGCCATTGCATGGCAATTTAAACTGCAAAGCCTAAGCAGAGGAGAGTTAACAGTGTGGTTACAATTGATGTACGTACCCCTTGATCCTAGATGGAGGCATTCTGTTAATAATCCCCACCTGGCTCTGCAAATGGCAGGATTCCATCCAACAATCCAGAGGAGGCTCTCTAACGTCCCTGAGGTCTCCTAGCAGACCCAGATCCTGTTTGAGTTTGGCCTTTCAACAATTTTATTATGGCTGTGGGTGCCTATTTCCAAACACCCACAGCCTATCATTATTAGTTATTCAGTAACATCCCATTAGACATGTTCTTTAAGATTCAGCAAAATACCCAGAAGACTACAGATTCCCATACAGTATTCTCGCTGATATAGTTTGACCCTACAAACTAAACAAGAGAGTGAAAAAATAAAACACAGACACAGACATGAAAGTCAGCCTTTCTACTGAAATACATCTTACATTGGTCATGAGAGATTTATGTAATACCAAATATCTATTATTTCAGAAATGAAAGCACACATGGCTGCTGTGAAATAAGAACAGAAGTGAAATTTCATATTTAAAAAGGAGCTAATTCAAGCATCAGAAGTAATACATTTTATTGGTTCTAAGACATTTTTACATTTTAGCATCTTGAAATGGGAATTCTTTTTAAAAGATGGCCTCTCACAAATACTTTGTCATGAAATGGTAGTAACATATAAGGCCCCTTTTAAAACATAAGAGAGATGATGTCATTTTTGCTCAAATCTTCCTGGCTTTGAATCTCCATAAAATCCAAGAACCTTACCATAGACTACATGGCTCAGTGTGATCTGGCCACTCACTGCTTCTCTAACCTCACTTCCCAGGACTTTTCCCCTCGCTTTTTTTTTTCTCTTTTTGTTGCAACCATGCTGGTCTTTCCGTTCTTAAATCACCTAGGCATGCTTCTACCTCCAGGTCATTGCCCTTGGTGTTTCCTCTGCTGGGAATGTGTTTCCACTGAGAGTCCCATGGTTCATTCTCACATCTACTTCAGATATTTATTCAAGTCATACTTATTTAGGCTTTCTCTGGCCACCTTATCTAAAATTGCAGCATCCTAACATTCCCTGTCTACCGTTCTGCTTCATTTTTCTCTTTAGCATTTATTACCAGCTGACAGTTCCCATTTTTTATTTACCTTGCTTGTAGTTTGTCTCTCCCCAGTACAGTATAAGCTGTGGTAAAAACAGGGATTTTTGTGTATTTTCTTCACTACTGAATCTCCAGGTCTTAGACGAATGCCTGCTACAGACAAGACACTTAGTAAATATATACTGAATATATGAATAGCTATAAATATAAAAATACATATATATGAATATGCCAAATATAAAAGAATAAATCAATGGATTACATGCTCAAAAGTTGATAAGGTGGGGAAGAGGGTAAATATTACACTAAGCCTGTCCAGTGGCTCATGGTCTAGGATTTGGGCATCTTGAATTATAAACTTGCCTCTGTTACTAGCTATCTGAGTAGAGTTTGCAGGTTAATCCCCTGGGCCTCCAGGTGGGACTACAGAGTATGGATGTTATAACCTCTCAGTTAGTTGAGGCTTCAGCTAAAAACCATTAAAAAATGAGGGCCAGAATGGGGAATCTGAAGTGAAAGACACCATATCTTTTAATATAAATATTATCACCAGAAATGGTAGTTGTAAGGAGAGTCTTAATACAAAAGACTTTGGAGTTAATTTTTGGTTCAGTTGCCTTTGTTTTATAAATAGTGAAACTGAAGCCCAGGATTTGAGAGACTTAGCCAAGGCCAGGTGCTAATTGGTGGCCAACCATAGAACTGTACTCTACAACCCTGACTCAACCTGACTGAACCCCTGTTCTTTTTACTTTAATTAGTACACAGAGTAAATACTGGTGATTAAAAACAAAAAAGAGTTATATTTAGGCTGTTTTGGTATTTTGTTCAACTTAAATTTGATGAATTCACCTGATGGAAAGAATTCATAGATCAATGTATCTCTCTTTGTGACTTAATTCAGCTTCCAGAGGAGATTGGAAAACTTGAAGATAAAGTGGAATGTGCTAATAATGCCCTGAAAGCAGATTGGGAGAGATGGAAACAAAATATGCAAAATGATATCAAGTTAGCATTTACAGATATGGCTGAGGAGAATATCCATTATTATGAACAGGTAATTAGTGTTGTTTGATATTGCTTCATTTTAAAGTTATATGCTCATTTACTTTTGGTCCGTCCAATGTTGAAAGAGTGTATTAAAGAACAAGTGTCACATTCTAATGCCTCTCTGGTAGCTTGGTTTTGATGAAGTTGTCAGTTACCATTTGGTTTTGTTTATCCTCAGTTTGTTGTTTTGGATTTGGATTCTTCAAAAGCATTTGATAATGCTTTCTAATGATTGTCCTAACTACTCCTCTTTCCTCTCCCTTCTCCATTTATGAAGAGTTTGCAAAGGAAGGAAAGGAGCAGAGACTTGAATGAGCAGAAAATCATTTCAGGGCCTGTTCTCTATGTCCTTGCTATCCCTGTCTTCTGTAGCTATTCTGAAACCATCAACAAAGGAGCACACCATTCCATCAGCAAAAGAGTAACAACATCTTTTTTTAAGTTCATTTTGTTTTTCAGATGATTGTATTTCAATTTTTTTACAGCTGACTTTTCTCAGAGAAGTTTTTTTTTTATTGTAAACATACTTTTTCTAGAAAGTATATTTTAAAATAACATCTTTAACCTTATCTCTGGCTGAATTAATGAATATATGAAATTATTACATTAACAAAATTATGTCTTACAGCAGTGGTCCCCAACCTTTTTCGTACCAGGGACAGGTTTCATGGAAGACAAGTTTTCCTAGGTGGGGGGCGGGGTTAGTTTCAGGATGAAACTGCTCTACCTCAGATCATCAGCCATTAGTTAAATTGTCATAAGGAGCACGCAACTTAGATCCCTTACATGCGCAGTTCACAATAGCGTTCACACTCTTGTGAGAATCTAATGCTGCCTCTGATCTGATAGGGAGTAGAGCTCAGGCAGTAATGCTCACCCGCCGCTCACCTCCTGCTGTGCGGCTGGGTTCCTAACAGGCCAATGACCAGTACCAGTCCATGGCCCAGGGGTTGAGGACCCCTGTAATTTATAGTATGTAGTGCTTATCCGTTTAAAAGAACTTTAAACTGAAATATTATATATCTTGAAAGATTAACTGATATTGATGTTTTTATTCACCAAGAGTTAATTAAGCCCCTTCTATCACCAGACATTGTGCCTGGCCCTGGAGAGACCACAGTATGCAAGACAAACACAATCCGTTTCTCATGTAGTTACAGCCAATGAAGGAAACAATCACAAAGAGAGCATGATAAAATGGTATAAGGTTCGGTATAGAAAGACATTGCAGGGTCATATAACCTAATCTAGAAAAAATAAGGATATGTTTATGCAGAGACCTGAATGATGAATAAGGAGTTGCCAGATAAGAGTGTGAGAAATGGAGTTGGAGCAGAGAAAACACATGCACAAAAGTGTAGAAGGGAGAGAGAACATGTTCAGATAACTGAGGTTCCATTTTGGAGGAAGAAGGAGTGAAGGTAGTGTTGAATTGAAAGATTAGGCTGAAGAGTGCATTATAAATTTATTCTTTTACCTTTAAGGGAAATGGGAGCCATTGAGTAGTTTTCAGGAGGAAACTGACCGGATCAGACTTGCCTTTTGGAAAGATTGCTCTGACTGTACATGGGTCAGAGTTAGGCAACACTGGACATGATGAGACTAGTTAGGAGGCAGGAAAGGCAGAGATGTGAACTGACCTAGGAGTTTCATGTTAGTGGGCTAGAGATTATGGAACAGATCCATGGTTTTGTTTTGTTTTGTTTTGTTTTTTAACTAGGTAGAACTGGAAAGATCATTTTCTATCTCTCCATAATTTTTTATTCTGGTAACAACCCTAAGTAAATTCAAGTATCTAAAATGAATTTCCCATAAATCTCAGATTTTGAATGATATAAAGTATTTCTTTTTAATAAAGCACATTTATCAACATAAGGCTTTATTACCATTTAACTGTTTAAATCCACAGAACTAACCTTACCTCTCCTTTATAGTAGAACTTGTCTACGCTTACATTACAGAATTGTTAAGAAAGTCAACATGTGATGAATAACAAAACAATAAAACCAAAATTTTAATTGAGATAATTTATAAGAAAATGCCTTAAATTAAAGCATGCAGTTTTCTATAAATGATTACAAAACCTAAGTATATTAGGGTATAAAAATCACATGACAAATGCACTTAATATTATTTTCCTTTAAATGTTAAGATCTGCCAATTTTTCTAAATTTGGATTTTTTTAAAAGTGTTCATAACAATTCCACAGAATTTCAACTAAAATGTTTGGGTTTTTACCGTACTTCTCACATAAAAATGTATTTTTTTTCAGTCTCATTGATTGAATTCAGTTTATACAAAATGTTCCTTTCTTAGAAACAGCTAAATGAGCATCGCTGTGCCATATTGCAAATTTTGTTTTTCACAGCAGTTTCTATCAGTGTGTGATGTTTTTAACTCTTTCCCCAAGTGTACTACATTTCTAAATGTTACAAAATTATATTGTGTCCTCCATCTTAAATGTATAAATTTGGAGGGATCATTGTTTCTCTTTTGTATAACTTCCAGAGATCCTTATAGCTCCAATTGTTTGTTGAATTTTTTCCTGAGTGGAAAACTTTTAACAGATTTGGCACATCAGTCCAGTAAAACAAAATCAAGAAGTTGGAGCCCTTAAATGATCAGGGATTCTTAGCAGAAAGATTAAGGCCTAAACAGCAACAATCTGTCACTAACTATTAATATCAGAAAATCTCAGATATACAGGGAAGTGAAATGTTCCAGAGGTCATTCATTTCCTGTTTAATTTCATCACATTCTAATGGAAATACTTCTTTTTTCATCAGTATTCCCAAAACGGTCTGTTCCTAGTGTGATGGATGAAACAGGGTATACATACATTTGCCTTTGGATTTACCTGTATTAAGTTCTGGTCACAGATTGTTTAGAAATTAAAAGTTAAATATCAAAATGGCAGAGGGAAATTATATTATAAATACATGGTATGGGTCTGTATCCAACTCCAGTTATTATCATATTGTGCAATAATTGTGTCATGTTATATTTAGAGGCATCTATTACATCTAAGAACATGTAATAATCAATGTCATGTTGTACTTAGATGTATGAATTTATTGGGAGAGAGTTGATTCTAAATCCAGAACAGGTGTCTCAAATGAAACTTTTACTAGGTAAAATGATGTTGTTCCCATTTTGTTCTGTATGACCAATAATTAAGGATAAATGTGTTGAGTCTTTTTAAACAAATGAATAACGAAACAATAAAATTACAAATCCATTTGAGCAGGGTGAATGATTTCAAAGTATATTGATACCCAAATAATGAAAGAAAATGACTTCCTGCTAATGTGAAGGGATTCTAAAACAGTAAAACATCCATGCCCTGGATACAGGGCATGGATATTTCCTAACTTTTTTCTTGAAGGTGCAAAAGAATATCTGCTTTGTTGCTGTCAATGCTGATGATGCTAATGATGAAGGCTTGAGAGCAAGTGATTCCTGGCTGATCTTATGAACTGGAAGAGCACATTCTTCTCAAAGCTTTATTTTAATATCATTGAATTCACTTGGCTATCCAATGTCCTCTTACAATTAGACTTTGAGGGCTTATTTGGAAATTCTGGCAGGAAAGTGCAGCTATTTAGGAACTGCTTTAGAATAGCTCTGGACTTGGCAACAGCTATTAATATAAAATAGAACAATTACCTTTTGTCAGTATGAGCACAAAAAATGGGGAACCATTTACCCAGTCCAGTGAAATCACCTTTGTTATTAAGGAGGTGACAGACAGCTCTGATGTCCTTTTGGTCATTTAATGTCTTTGCTTTCTTTGTCTCTAACACATCAGGGACAAGGTGGATAGTAAGAAAGGGTAGGGAATTCACAAATATTCCCAATGATGAGGGTAGGGCTAGTAAAGGGAGCTATGTTCAAAGGTGTCTATGGCACATAGCAGATTCTTAATGTGTGCCTGCTAAATTACCATTTCTGAGTACCTGCTGTGATCCGGCCCTGCTCTATATCTCACATGTGGCATCTCACATGACCGTATCTGTTACTCTTGGAGATAGCGCTGTCCTCTCTGCAGTCTTGCTGGCCCAAGTTTCTACTAATGTTAATTTTTGCCAAATTACGCAGTTTGTCGTTAAGTGAATATGATAAAGGAATATAGTTTATTCCTTTGCATAGCTTATTTTATAATATAGTTCATTCCTTTGAATAGTTTATTTTAAAATTATTAGTAAATATATGGAAATGCTTGTTTTATTATCTTATTTTTCTGGTTATAAAATTAATACAGGCTCACTGAAAACAATTACAGCAACAAAAGCTCAGTACACAAATGTATGATGAGGATAAAGAATACCCATATAATCCTTTCTCCTAGGGAGTGGTTCATTTAAATATAATTATAGAAAATAATTTGCTATTTTAAGATTAAATTATTGTTAGATTTTCTGCATGGGTCTTTGGAATGTGTCAGCATAAAAACACATATGTTTACTTATTTTGTGTCACAATGATTAAAATGAATAGTATTTTGAGTTCCATATTTTTCATTTATTTTACATATGTTTCCACATAGTGTCATAATTTTCTTATGATACATCATACTGATGTATATTTATTAGCTTAGATAATAATAGTTAAACATTTGTTTTTTTTCTTTTCTTCTATCATTACTATTAAAAATAATTATAAATATTAGCTTTTTGAAAACTTGGTAAGAATTTCAAGAAATAAGCAGGTCTATCTATGATTACTGCATTTCTTATTCTATCAGTCTTATTTAGGAATGTCAGTTCCCTCATGTAAACTCATTTATGTGAGATTCTGTTATCATCAAAGCCCTGTGCTAATAAACACAGGGGTGGCGTGGCATGGGGAGAGGTGATCCAAATTCACACTTAAGTCTTGCTGTTAGGAGGCTAAAGTTGATTAGGGAAAAATAATATATAAAAATATTTATTCATTTATTTGATTAATACAGCCCTAAAGTTATTTTTTTCTAATGGTGAAGTATTTAAATTAGTTTTTTTGCTTGATTGTAATGGATAGACTGAATAAAAGGTTCTACTCTTAGCAGATAACACAAATATATTTATATGGACATCTAGCAAGCAGAAAAACAATTCTAGCAAAGGAAAATTTCTGAAAGATTTTGAGGAAAAGAAAAAAATCGTTACAAGGGTATCTGTCTAGCCAGATGAACAGTACTACTAATGTTTTCTTAAAATCCAAGTCTAGTTATTTATGGCTCATTTAAAAATTACAGAAATTTTGTAAAAATAGATCTCACAGCAGTCCTCTAAAAACTAAGTCTGAATAAGCACTGAGTGTCCAGAAGGTTCTTCAAGTGTAGTTTTACTTATTTAGGGATTTATTTCTTGTTGTGTTGGGAAAATGGTGAAATAAATTCTAGTGACATGGTTGTTTGTTTTAAACTTAATACTACACTACATACTTCGGAACATTTTGTAGATTTTGTAAATATTTACTTGAAAACATCCTGGTCCAAATTAGGACAATTTCCAAGTATTCTGACCTTAAGAGGTTAAACTATATTGATAATGATGATAAAACTGCTACCTAAGCAAGATTTGGATGGATGGCATTTAGATTCCTGTCAGAAATTTCATTCTATTCAAAACTGAAAATCAGAAAAAGTATTGATATGTGCTCATCTGTGAGTTGAAAGGAGCAATGAGGGGAATAGTCTCCCTAGACTTAATTCTGATTAACAAAGAACTGTTATCTTAACATGACAGTTCCATCAGGAGACAGTACTATTTCCAGAATCTGGGAGGTGAAAGCAAAGGAAGGAAAATTTGGCCATTCTCAGTCATATTTCCTAGAATTTAGTAAAGTAGCTTAAAAAATTAGATAAAAGTTAGTTATACTTTCTCAAAATCATACACTCTAAATGAGAATATGACTTGAGAGGAGTGGACAATTCTAAAAAGTGAAAAGAATGAAGCAGGTGAAGAATCTGACACAATTGTACCTGTGGACCATGGATCATGGAAACAAAGATGATAGAGGAGGATACAGTCAAGAAGGAATACAGAAAAAAACAGGCAATGTCAGTGAAAGCATATGTCAGGAAGAAGAGAGTTTTGGGGGAAAAAATGTGAAGAGTTTCCAAACAGCACCAGAGTCAAATGAGAGTAGGTATGAGGAGCATCTCTGGAAGCAAGAAAATTAGGAATTAATATGTTACCAAAAATATTAATAAAAATGAATTGCTAGTGGAAACTGTGTAATGGAAACTAAGAAAACAGAACTAACTCATTTCTATTTCACTGCTGTTTTCTCCATGAAGGAGAATGAAAGTATAAGATGAAAGGATTAGGCAAATACAAATAAACGTTAACTAAAATCCAATACATTTGAAGAGGTAATAAAACAAAAACTATCCATTGCTGCAAAAAAGAGATGGCTGGGTATCTTCTGTTTTTCAGTGAGTGGTGCAAAAGCCCACCCTTTACCAACCTGAAAGCAGTACTTACAAAGCCCCAGTTGAAGCCCTTAATTCTAAATTTACTCATAGAAGGAAGACTGACAGACCTTTACTTACCCAGAAGAAATGCAGGCCATGTTACTTTCCTAGGTGAATCCTAAAATTACCCCCAGAGAAGGTTTTCAACAATACTGGAACAATGTTTCCAAAGTAACCTCCTCTGTAATTTCTGATACACACCATGCACAGTCATCTAATACTTGCTCAACCCTTTGTCAATAGCCTGTCTTAGAGAAGGATGGATATGGTAGGAGAGTTACCCAGATAGAGTTGTTCAGCATAGTTTTGAGCCTAAGAAATGGCAGGTAGTGTTTGAGTTTTCTTTTAAATTGTTGCAATAGAGGTGTAATAGATGGTCTGTATTGAATCATTTTTTTTTATGTTGGCCATAAAAAAGGCTCCTAGGCTGAACCTCTGTCAAGAGGCACATTCTTTAAAGTTAAATTCTCTTTCCTTATTATGAAACAAAGAAGTTGACTAGAGCTGGAATAATCCGGAGTTATCCAGGACAGGGAATTTTGAATCCATAACAAGGTGCATTTCTTTTTACAGTCATGCCTCCTAATAGTTACTGAAGCCTGACCTAAACCCTAGACCTCAGGAGACAGACGCCCTGATGGTGCTAAAATGGGCCTTCAGAAAAGAGCAGTCTATATCTTTGGAACTATGTGCAGAATATCTCAGAACTACATTATACACCCTAAAATTGAATAGATTCCACTTACATGTAGGCTATATTTCTGGCAAAGCAAACACACCAGCTTGAGAGGATAAGAAGCTTAGAAGTTTACTCAGTCTAGCCATTTTTATACCAGTTAACTTTTCCAATTCGTTACATCCTTGTACCTGCATTATCTTACCGTCTTATTCATTGGGAAGTACTCACTGGAAGCCTGAATGCATTAAGAAATTCAGGTTACATCATTGCTACTTTTCTGTGGATCATCTAATTTATTTAGGGATGATCATCAAAAGGAAAACAACAACTTTTCATCTTTTTAATGCCATTAAATGGCAACACATTTAATAGAGTTTTCTCCTTGTGTTTCGAGAGCCCAGCATTGTTATTGATTATTTAATGATTAACCTTGTCCTTTTAACCAAATATGTCACTTTTTTGTTGAGCAATCAGTTCTTTTTTCAAATAGAATCTGAAGGCACATAGAAATGATCAGAGCAAAAGATACAGAAATGGAATAGCCTTCTGTGATTCTAGAACATCTTTGGAGGCAAGCCACCATAGACTCCGAGAAACTGCCTTCTCAGTTTGACACATTATTACCAGGAAATTTGGATAAGTGAAGAAGCAAGAATTGTAAGCTGAACTCAGGGAAATCTACATTTAAGACATTTCACAAATAACTTTTTAAAAATTGACTATTATAAATATCAGAGGAAGTCCCTGGGCATAGTTCTTTGGGTCTCGAATTATTGTATATTTGTGGTATACATGATCCTACAATCCTTTACTTCCACTGATAGAGGATGGCAACTTGATAGCCAGATTACTCCCATTTAGGTTATACTGTTTCATTTTGTTGGAGAAGGTTGGCAATGCATCTTAGCCTGTTTTAAGTTTCTAAGAAATTCTTAGGAAAGAAACCTAGTCACCTTTCTTTATCCTCTCACATACTGAATTTGTTTGCTCACAGAAGCCATTTATGGAGTAATTGTCTGAAATGTTCTCTAGAAAACAGGGAAAACACATGATAGAGATATAAGATTTCTAATGCTCATTAGAGTGTTCATTTTAACACCACTTGAACGAGCTTGGGTAACCATGAGGTCTTGACAGAGTAGATTTTAATTCAACATGGCTTAAAACACTGCTCTGTTATAGCCAACTGCCTTTGAACTTATGTTTGCATAATTTGATGCAACTTTTCACTGATGTATAGATGAATATTCCCCTACCATAGCAAATAAGAAGGTAAATATTATCTTCTATGTTATTGATAAGGTCCTGCTTTCACATTCCGGGAGGTAAATCTAAAATCTAACTAGTTTCTTTCTGCAGGAATCTTTATATTCAAGCCAAAGTTAGTTTGAATAAGATAATCTTTAGCATGGAGAATGATAATATGCTTTTTAGAGGTCAATTTATTTAATTTTCTGGGTATTTGTTTTGGTGACCTCTTAATTAATTTTGAAAAAAACTTAATTTTCTTCAAAAGTTAAGTTTTATGAGAGTCATATTAAGGTCCTGTTGTATTAGAAGACACTTCTGACTTAAAAAAAGTAATTATTAAGTAGTTAAGCAGGTTTATTTACTAAAGAAGTTCTCAGAGTACTTTATGTGCTTGTATGGTTGTGATTGTGAATCTGAAGACATAATAATTTTCTTGACTAGATCAGTGTTTCTTCTTGCAGAATGAGTGTTCTACAGAACATAGTTTGGGAAATCTTGGGTAATAGTGTTGATCTCTAATGCTACTTTAAGTGTGGACTGATATTCATTCCATAAGTTATTACAGATTCAATTTAGAAGTTGAAAGTAATCAGTTGGAATCTTCGATAGCAATTAGACATTGCCAAGACAACCAAGTAGGTGATTAGGAGGTTTCACTTGTTGAATTCTATGGAACAATTCAAATATTGTCCAGCTTTTGTGGTGATTTGCATGTGGCATGAATTACAGACTAGTCATGGCCAGTAAGACCATTTAATGGTCCTTAGATGACTGAAAGAAGAAAAAACAAAACAATTGTTCTTCACCACAGATAGTTTAAGAAGCATTGCCTGAAGTTCCTTCTGGTTTTTACAAGTCTGTTGATCTCTTACACTTAATATAGTGTCCTTTCTCATTTAAAAGTTTATAGTCGATTTAATATTGAAGCATCATATAAAGCATGTAAAACACAGTCAATGGTAGAATTAAGTTTAAATGCAGCAGGATTTTATTTTTATTTATTTCTAAAGAAACTTTAGAATCAACTAGTTGTCATTTTTAGAATTCTTAAGTATTATGTACTTATTTTGTTGTTTGATTAAGTGTGATTTCTGTTCTGAATTAAATTTTCAAAATCCATAGCTATAGCTCATGTTTCCATCTAGTTTTGAACCTTTTATTATGTGTCGTATAAGTCTTAAATATTTTTGTTTTACAGGTTTTTACTTTTTTTTTTTTTTTTGAGATGGAGTCTTGCTCTGTCGCCCAGGCTGGAGTGCAGTGCTCCAATCTCAGCTCACTGCAACCTCTGCCTCCCAGGTTCAAGCGATTCTCCTGCCTCAGCCTCCTAAGTAACCAAGTAGCTGGGATTACAGGCACCTGCCACCATGCCTGGCTAATTTTTTATATTTTTAGTGGAGACGAGGGTTCACCATGTTGGCCAGGCTGGTCTCAAACTCCTGACCTCAAGTGATCTGCCTGCCTTGGCCTCCCAGAGTGCTGGTATTATAGGTGTGAGCCACTGCACCCAGCTGGGTTTCTGCAGTCTTAAAAACTTCAATTGAAAAATATTCTCATCAGTCCCCTATATTCTGTAATGTAATTTGTTCTCGATTATCTATGCAAATAAAGTGAGCCTAGGTATGAAATAGACAGTTATATCATGGCATAGTCTGTGCTTCTTCCCATCCTTTGGGCTACATAAGTTTTTATGTAGTTAATCAGGGATTTGCGTAGAAGGAGATTACACATAATAATGAAATAATTTCTAAAAATGTCTAGTTTCTGAATCAAGGACATTCTGCTTATTGTGCTTTGTAAATGACAGACTACATACTATGGGCCAATATAATAGTTTCTGTATAGAAAAGGAAGAAATGATTTAAACACACACACACACACACACACACACACACACACACTGCATTTTATCACAAATAAGAAAGATGGGTCTTCTAATGGAAAAAATTAAAGTTGGGTACCATGATGCCTGCATTAGCTAATTATAAAGTCCTAATCATGTCTTCTCTATATACCCAGTTTGCTAAACTGCCAAATAGAGGTATTCCTCCCTTCCCCCACCCCATATCCCATTCACATACACCCCTTACAAGTCTTTAGGAGAATAAAACTGGAACACATATATAACATGCTATAAAATAATGTGCTTAAACATCATAGTTGCACCTTAATAATTTTCTAATAATCCAGAGGTAAATGTGCTTATCTGTACAGTTGGTTGTACTTTCAGCGTATGCTAACACAAAAACAGATAAGCTTGATGTCTGAAGTGTCTAGCATTAAACTGGATAAACTTCATGTAATTGGCTTAGCTGTAAGTAAACAACAATGATGTGGTATAGAAAAAGTATGAGTTTGTAAGGATATGAATTTAAATTTTGGCTCTTACGTTAATTTCTCCTATAAAGATTTCCAATATATTAGACCTTTCAGAGCCCCAATTTCCCCATGTATAAAAATGAGAGAAATGGAATAAATTTTATCTAGGGCTCCATCTGTCTTTATCAATCTTGAGTTAGACATCTACAGAATAATGCTACAGAATAATAAAAAAATGGACCACAAGATGGCGTTTGTAGCTAATGAGTCCTTTTGCATTAACTATCTGTGTTGCAGTCATTTAAATATTTGCAATAATTACAAGTGTACACTTATCACTTACATTCTTGAGAGATATGTAAAAGTAATTTTTAGAAAAATAATATGCAAATCCTGTTATTTTTAAGTTATTGGTATTTCTAAAATTATAAGTTGGCAGATGATTCTCAGAAGCTGAATTTAGACTTTTCCAAAAATGAAATATAATGAATAATTTTGAGCTATTGCAAAATAATAGAAGTTGTTTTTCTCTGGCAATATCAACTCTAATTTCCAGATTGATTACATTTCAGAATTTGAAAATATGTAGCTCCTGAAAGTTTTAATTAGTGTTTCAATTTTAGGTTTAGGAGATTTAAAAAGTTACTAAAATGTTACACACCCTATTGCCCTCATTTTAGGCATAACCTAATAATTTTTATAGATGATAAATAATTTCGTGGTGCTATTGGCCTAGTATAGAAATGATTGCGAATTTGGGCTTCAACGTTTTCTCAAATGTAGGTGATATCATCTGTGTCCAGGATCATTTGAGACAATGTTAAAATACTTAGAAGAAACTCAGTCATATTTCCAATTGGTAGCTTACTGAGAAAGATGTAATTATCATGGTACTCTCTCTAAAAGTTGCTTTTTGATTAGAGGTGAAAAGTAGAAGCACAACAGCTTTATATGGCTTAATATGGGAATTTCCAGTTTTAAAATAAATATATGGGAAGGTGTGGCTTTTACATATTCTATAATAATAAGTATCATTATTATTATTAGGTAAATGTCTAGTTATTTTACTTTATTACCACAGAAATATATAATTATATTTTATTTTGACTTATATAATAATTCGAATGAAAGTAAATTTTCTATTAGCTGTTTCTGTCAACAGTGTGGTGTCATTACCTATGGCGATATCAACTTGTTATGTAGGCATCACATGGTGGCTAAGGGGATGGGCTTTGGACAGGCATGACTTCTGACTTTTAGCTGAGTGACCTTGAGGACTTTTTTTATTTTAGTGAGCCTCAGTATCCTCATCGATGAAGTGATGAAAATGCCATAGATTTGTTTGGGTGTTAAAATATAAATGTACATGCATATACATATATGTATTTATGGAAAGGAATATGTAAAGATGAAAGAAAAGTCTTAGAAGCAAAGTTTAACATTCCCAGTGAGTCACTAAAAATAGTTTATAAGATTTTATGCTCATCAGGTATTTCCAGGAGTCTTAACCAGCATATGCCTTAAGCCACTAATTTTACTTGAGCCCAAAATTGCCACCATAGAAAATAGGTTTCAAAGCTGCTAAACGAATGAATGAATGAATGAATGAAAGAAAAGCAGTTAACTCAGTGTCTAATAAGGATTCAGTAAATGTTGGCTACTAGTAGTACTAGCAGCTGTAGTGGTACTGAAAATATTTCTCATATATTTATGAATCTTATATTTGGAAATTATAATGACAGTTATCTTATAAATACCAAATGCTAGGAGGAGAAGTAAAATTTTATGTTTGCTGTATTCCACGCTGGGTCAAGCAAAGCAGAGCGAGGCATATTTATACATTACATATGATTTCATTTGCCAACTTTTTGTCAGCCACAGTTAGCCTCTGGAAATCTTCAGTTTTAGTTCTGGGATGAAGCTTAATGGACACACATAGTTCAAACCCCTTACTATGAATAGGTAAACAGGCCCAGAGCAATAAAGAAATTTGCCTGAAGTCACACTGTAGGACAGAACATCTTCATATCCCACAAGCTTGAGAAAATAGTGATTCTCAAATGTGGAAGCTTCCATTGAAAGCTGTATCGTATCTGTAGAAATACCATTATTGTCACCATTTACTCTTTAGAAAACTTGATCACATCTGCTTGTGGGATTACTACCCACTTATGAGAGCCGAAGAGACATTTACCTCTTCTAATGCAAAATGTCACCACCTTTACTGAAGTAGCAAGAGATTTATTTTCAAAACTGAAAGTCAGTTTTGGAATTAAAACTTAATTTTCTATGTATTCCATCTGTGTGTACTGCATTTAGGAAGGTTTTCAGCCTGTGTGTAGAAACAAAAAGGCTTTGTTTACCTGTTGGGTCTGTTTTCCCCACCTCTGGCTCACCTTCCTGTGGTGGCTCTCTTTCTCTGAGTTCTCTCCTCAAAGAGAAATTGCACTTGACTTTGGCTACAACTGCAGCCACCTGGGGGAAATGTGTACTGGATTCTCAATTAACAAGGATTTGTGATAAGCTTTTTTTCTGGTCAACCCACATCCTGGCTAATTGCATGTATAGCATATTTATCAACTTAATTTTTTCTGCAGTGAGAAGGAGCTGTTCACCATGGTTTCATGTAGTAGAGCACTGGAAAAAACACAGTACTGCACTATGAGAGTCAGTTTTCTTAACTGTAAAATGAAATTACCTGATTTCATCAGAAGATTATTGCATGAAATAAAACAGTATGTATGGAAAATGATGACATCTTATTCAAATGGAAGTGGAACTCCTGTTGTTCTTGGTTCTCCCATGATAGTATGAGAATCCAAAGCTAGAATGAGCTAACCAGAACTATTAAATGTCAGGCCAGCAGTGATGCTGGATATTTTTTATTACTACTCTGATTTTGACAGATACTAACTTTTTTCACTCACTGTAATGATTTAAAAGTGAAAAAAAATTGATGACAATGCAAAGCCAAATAACAAATAGAAACATGTTTTAAAAATACTAACTTATAAGCAAGTCTCACACCAGGTTTTGAGATTTTTTTGGTTGTATTAATGATTCTTTATATCCTCCAATTATGATCCTGAGGACAGTAAATACTCACTGTAATAAATTACCTAACTATATGGTATAAACAATATATTTCTTGAGTTTTTCCTTAGGTTTCGTACTCAAGAGCAAAGAAATTTAAGGAGCCTTAGAGATCATCTTTTTGTTGTTTATAAAGATTTGTGTACATTAATTTGATATATGTGCAGGATATCAGGTAACACAGGTGAATATTAAACATTGGTGGAAACAGGCAATTACATTTATTTAATTAAAAATCGGCTATCAAGAATCCCAAAGTGATCTGGTAGCGTCAGGAGCTGCATAGTTCAAGGTCAGATTCTCAGCTTTACAGGCCTAGAAAAAAACCATATTGGTCAGCAACATGAATGGGGATCGGGCTCTTAGGGCAAAACTTAATATTTACATGTTTGGAGAGCAATAGAAACCAAGATATCAGTTGGTTAGTGTTCAAATAGAAAAGTGCAGTTTTCTGATGGCCAGCATCTTAGCATCAGTTGTTCAATATATTCCTTCTCTATAGAGTCATCTGCATTTTCTGAGCACTTACCATATTCCTGGCATGTATTAATTCAGTCTTCTTCAAAGTATAGATCTGTTCCTAGAAATATATGCAGAATTTCCAAGATATATAAAGGGAATTAATTTCCATACCCTCACCTTTTGTAAATACTCTTTCCTAAAATGTGATCAGCCTGATGCCCCTGCAGTCAGGGTTTCTTACCTACTTCTCCTTCCAAAATCATCCTTCTACTATGTGAAAGAAAGGCATCTCATTCTCTTGGCCCAGTGACTTATTAAATGTACCCTGGTGATGGTTCAGGACATTGACTATCCATTTGTTAATGGATAAATACTGGCATACAATTTACGAGATTTATCATATAAACACACTTAGACCATTTGAGCCTCAGCTTTCTCACCTGTAAAATAGGATTCACAGTAATCATTATGAGGCTTAAAGAAGGTGATACATAAAGCAATCATTATAATGCCTGACCAAGTATTCATATCAGTATATGGCAGTTGTTAATGTTATTTCTGTTGCTATCCTATGTCAGTTGTTCTATAATGTTCTGTATTTCAAAACACATACTTTTTCTGCCTCTGGTATGGAAGATAAGGAAATCGTGAAGTAGCTAATTTGTCTGTCTTACCATGTTTTACTGTCCCTTTTAGTACTTAATTTAGAAAGGAAGATGTTAATTCACATCACTAATTAGCATGGACGACTAC
The DNA here is from genome assembly GCF_000001405.40 of Homo sapiens. Lineage (NCBI taxonomy): Eukaryota > Metazoa > Chordata > Mammalia > Primates > Hominidae > Homo > Homo sapiens. Next base: position 98,753,400 of record NC_000001.11, read on the forward strand.
TGAATATCTTAGATCTTTATTAAACTAGTATCGTTAATGCAGAATATGAAAATGATAGGAGTTTGTTCACTTGAGGGCTAATGCCATCTTTGGTGCAATTTGAATCACTTATTTGACAGGAATTCTAAATAGAGCAGACTGCTTAGAATTTCATTTTGAATTTTACCTGGAGAATGTTCAGAAGTTTATTTAAATGATAGTTTTGCAGTTATTAAAAATATATCTTCTGAAAGTAGTAATTGCTTTGGGGCTGCCCTGTAGGGGTACCAGATACAAGATTGTGTATGGGTTTGCAGAGAGCAAACCAGAGCGGTCTAGTAGAAAGATGGTTTGCAAAGGAAACTGAGGGCTTTTCTCTAAATGTAAAGTGTGGTGCTGTTCCTGTCAGCCCTTTCAACCCAGTTAATAGTTTTCTGTTTTATAAACATTGTGGGTAGATTTTTTAAAGATATACTTTGGCATTTTTGTATTTCCTTCTTTTTTATACTTGACATTTGGTGAAGGAGATTTGTGAGTGGTTTATGAAACTGAGTTTTAATTTCTTTTTTTTCTTGGTATTGAAAAATCAATAAAATACTAATAACAGCTAATATTTACTGCATATCTGCATATGATGTTAATTGTAGCTTTTTGTAGATGTTCCTCGGGTTGTGGAACTTCTCCTTTATTCCTAATTTGCTGAGAAATTTTTTTTAATAAGCAATGGACATTGGAATTTGATAAATTTTTTGTCTGTTGAGATAATATTGCATTTAATATCATCATTTGATAAATACTTGAATGTTAATCCAGTCTTGCCTTCGTGGGATAAACTCCATTTGGTTATGATGCATAATTCTTTATAGAAATTACTGCCTTTGATTTACCAAAATTTTATTTAGAAGTTTTGCATCTATGTTTAGGAGGAATAATGGTCTGTAGTTTTCTTTTCTTGGAATGTCTTTGGCTCTGGTATTTTGGACAGCATCCCCATGTCTTCAATTTTCTGGAAGAGATTATATGGAATTAGTATGATTTCTTCCTTAAATGTTTGCTATAATTCTCTAGTGAAGAACTCTGGGCCTAGAAATTTGTGTATGTGTATGAAGATATTTAACTACAAATTCAAATTCATTTGGGTTATTGGTTTCTTCTGTGGTGAATTTTGGTAGTTTATGTCTTTCAAGGAATTGGTCCATTTCATCTACACTGTCAAATGTATAGGCATAAAGATCTTCATAATTTTCTTTTTTCCTTTAGTGGAATCCGAACTAACATTAACTCTCTCATTCCTGACCCTTGGCAATTTATGTCATCTCTTTTTTTATGATCAACATGGCTAAAAAGTTTAATAATTTTATTAATTTTCTCAAGGATCTAACATCAGTTTCATTGATTTTTCTTTACTGTTTTTGTTTTTTCTTTCATTGAGTCCCACTTTGCTCTTTTCTGTTTTTTGTTTTTTTTTCTTCTGCATTTAATTGTTCTTTTTTTGGTTTTCAAGGTAAAGACTAAAGGCATTGATTTGAAATCTTTCCTCTTTTCATGTGTAGGCATTTAGTGCTAAAAAATCTCTCTGTTCTACTTTAATGGCATACCAAAATTTTTGATGTGTTGTGTTTTCATATTCATTCAGTTCAAAACTCTTTCTGATTTCTCCATTGATTTGTCCTTTGACACTGGAGGCTTTTTATAATTGTCCTGTTTAGATTTCAAATATTTGGTGATTTTAAAGATATCTTTCTGGTACTGATTTATAATTTAATTCCATTATGTTCAGAGAACATACTTTATATGACTTGAATCTTTTAAAATTTATCAAGACTTATTGTATGGCCCAGAATGTGATCCATATTGGTAAATGTTTTATGGGCATGTGAAAGAAAATATGTATTCTGCTTTTGTCCTGTAGATCTCAGTTAGGCAAACTTGATTGATAGTGTGGTTCAGATCTTATATATGAGTGCTGATTTTCTGTCCACACATTCTGTCAGTTCTTGAGAGGGGTATCAAAATCAATTATAATTGTAGATTTGTCTTTCTCCTTGTATTTCTGTCAGTTTTTATGAAACTCTTTTATGTGTGTAAACATTTTAAATTATGTCCTCTAGATGGATGGCCCTTTTATCATTATGAAATGATCATCTTTATCTCTGATAATGATCTTTGCTCTGAGATCTACATTTCTAATACTAATGTAGCCATGCTAGCTTTTCTTTTGACATATGTTACAATAAAACATATATATGTATTTTTAATTAAAAAAATAAACCCAGGATCTCACTGTGTTGCCCAGGCTTATCTCAAACTCCTGGGCTCAAGTGATCCTCCCACCTCGACCACCCAAACTGCTGGGATTACAGGCATGAGCCACCATGCCTGCCCATATATATATTTTTTAATCCTTTTAATTTTAACTATATTTGTCCTTATATTTAAAATATTTATAAGAAATTTAAACAAAGTATAGGTAGGTCTTGTTTTTTTATTCAGTTGGCAATCTGCATCTTTTAATGGTGTGTTTAGCATGTAGACATTTGAGTAGGATTATTGATATATTTGAGTCTTTTATCTTGCTGTGTTTTATTTGTTCTGTCTGTACATTGTTCCTATTTTCTTCTTTTGCCTTCTTTTGAATTGATAGACAATTTTACATGATTTCATTTTACATCTCTTTGTGGTGTATTAGATGTAACTCTTTTGTATTAGGTATAACTTTTATTATTTTAGTGGTTATTTTTAGGTTACTGTATGTGTCTTAAATTTATCATAGTCTACCTTCAGGTAGTATTATACTTCATATATAAGAACCTACAAATGTGTTTTTTCATTCCCTTTCATCTGGCTTTTATGCTGTTTTTGTCATACATTTTGCCTATACATGTATTATAAGCCCTGCAAGATTTTGCTATTTTTAATTCATTAGATTTTAAATACATTTAAATAATAGGAAAAGTATGTATCATATGTACTCATGTCGTTACTATGTCATTTGTTTATAGATCCATATTTCTATCTGGTCTCTTTTTTTTCTGCCAGATGAGTTTTTTTTTTTTTTTTTTTTTTTTAATATTGGTTGTAGTGTGTTCTGCTGGTGATAAATTTTGCAGATAATGAATTAAGTGATTTTCCAGTCTGCCTGATGGGATTCTGTACTATTGTAGGCCCTATGAGAATGCTGGATACTGTTTAATCCTTCCCGATGGCTTTTTCCCCTGTCTCTGGTAGTCTTCTCACATGCATGTGCCAGTCAGTACTCTGCTTGGTGTGGGGCACCCTCCGCATATCTCCAGAGCTTTCCATGCACCACTCTCTTCTCTGATACTCTGGTCTATGAACTCTAGCTGCATTTTCTCGAACTCTTAGCTCTATCCTTTTAACTCAGTGAGTCAGCCAGGTAATGTCTCCCTTCACCATGGCCTCGAAATTCTGTTAAGGCAATAAGCTGGCATATTAGAGGGATACTAATATAGTTTAGATATTCGTCCCCACCCAAATCTCATGTTGAAATGTCATCCGCAGTGTTGGAGTTGGGGCTGGTGGAAGGTATTTGGATCATAGTGGTGGATCCCTTATGTATGTCTTGGACCATCCCTTTGGTGATAAGTGAGTGCTTGCTCTGAGTTCACAGGAGATCTGGTTGTTTAGAAGTGTGTAGCACCACCTCCACCACTCCTGCATACGCCATGCGGCATGCCTGCTACCACCTCACCTTCTGCCATGATTGTAAACTTCATGAGGCCTCCCCAGAATCTGAGAAGATGCTGGCAGCAGCTTCCTATACAGCCTGCAGAACTGTGAGGCAATTAAACCTCTTTTCTTTATAAATTACCCAGTCTCAGGTATTTCTTTATAGCAATGCAAGAACAGCCCAATACAGATGCCATAACAAAATTCCAAAGACTAGGTGGCTTAAACAACAGAAATTTGTTTCCTCACAATTCTAGAGGCTAGAAGTCTAAGATCAAGGTGTCAGCAGGCTGCTTTCTTCTAAGGCCCCTCTCCTTGGCTTGCAGATGCCCACCTTCCTGCTGTGTCCTCAGATGATTTTTCCTCCTTGCTCACATTTCTGGTTTCCTCTCTGTGGCCAGATTTCCTCTTCTTATAAGGACACCAGTCATATTGGATTAGGGCTCACCCACATGACCTTATTTTACCTTAATTACCTCTTTAAAGGCCTTATCTGCAAATATAGTCACTTTCTGAGGTACTAGAATTAGAGCTTCAGTCCATAACACTGGGGTAATCATGGAGCTTACTCTTCCCCACCCCACCCCAGGGACCACTATCCTTTGTTGCCTGATTTCCAGGGTGTTGAAAACCATTGCTTTATATATATAGTATCTACCTGATTGATTGATTGATTGATTGATTGATTGAGGCAAAAGAGCCTTTCCAGTCCCTGTTATACCCTCTGGGTCAGCAACAGAAGTCCTGAGCCTGAGTTCTTGATCACTACACTATACTTCCTCACATTGACCTTTCACAAACATGCAGAGATTTATGGGATCTACCTTTTGCTCATCTTTTAGTCTGCATTCAGTGATTACTTCCACTAGGAAACATTAGGACACTCCAATGTGACTTAGATCCTATTACTGTTACTCCCATCATGTCCTGTAACATCACAGACCCTATACTTGATTATATTTGCTTACTTAGGTTTCATGCTAAATCATAATTTCTATTAGTTTGTGGGCTGTGTGCTAGCATCATCACAGTGCCTGGCATATAGTAAGAACTCCAAAATATTTGTTGAGTGAAGAGATTTTTGTATGTCTACCCTCCATGCCCCCCAAATCATGCATAGTTTGGACAATTATAAATTACAGTCCAAAATTTGAAAAATATACTAAATGTGAAGTATTCATCTTTTATGCCTTTTCATGAGTATAGACATTTGGATACACTTAAAGATATCTAAATTCTTCTCCTGTACCGTCTAAGAGGAGGCCATTCTTACTAGTTGGCTCCTGTAGTAACTACCTGACCCTGACTCCTCTACTCCCCTCCCCTCCTCTTCCTATTTTATTTTGTTATTTCTCCATCCCTATGAGAGAGGCTATTATTATTATATATCTGAGGAGCTACAATATCATAAAGTTAGTAACTTACTGGAGGATAAAAGCAAATCCCAGAATCAATTCATTACAGTGACTGTGCTTCTTGGATTGTACTTGGCTTTCAGTACCTTCTAAAGCTATTTAAAGCAAAAAGTATCCCTTAAAGTCTTGATAAACTTGATTATTCTAATGAGGCCTACATTACCCCAAGCCTGGCCTTCAAAATATATGACAAAATAAATACCCACTATTTAATCCAGTAATTTATTGGGTAAATTTTACCCAGTATCTTTTTATTTGACAATTAGGTCTTTCAGTGTTTTACTGTTCTCATGTAATTATACGAATCTTTTAGCTTTATTATTAGCTTCCTAAGTTATTAGAGCCTATCTCAGAATTAAATCACAGTATGTAATCTTTATGAAAATCAGATTTGACATAGTATTTCCCATATTCTAAATCTTCAGTTTGAAAAAAATGTGTTTGTGCATACACACACACACACACACATAAGTATATACATACATACTTTTTGAAATGCAACACACTTATAATTTGAGAGCTTTAAACATTTGAGTTTTTACAGTGTTTGAGAAATCTCTAGTCTGTTATTAGTGCTGGTTGTCCGATATAGACACTTTAAAGCTGTGAAAGCATTAGAGGCAGAAGAAGTGACATGGAGGTAGTTGAGCCAGGTGGACCAGTGTTAATCAGTCCAGCTTTGGAGTGTTTATGTAGAAACATACATGTCTATGGCAGTCTATCCACATTTGAAAAAAAAAAACATAATTTCTTTCCAAATTCATTATAGCTCAGGCTGAATATATATTAGAGTAGTTATGATTTACAAGAATCCTAAATGTGTACAGACTATTAAAATTATGCTGTAGATAAACTTCATACAGATACTTGAGACTAGTCTATTAGGAGGATCATCCCCAGGCAAAATCAAATAGGCCACATTTATGTTTATGTGTTCCCAGCGCCTTCAGACCCTTACAATCCTGTTTCATTTCCTGTGGCACATTAATAACTAAGTCTTTCCACCCAGTCCCAACAGACCATCATAACAGTTGCTAACTTTTGGAGCATTCACTTTATGCTAGGCATTCTGCATAGAGACTTATACAGATTATATACATTTAATTCTCACAGTTGTGCTAGTGGTAAGTACTATTATTAACCTAAGTTATAGCTGAAGAAACTCCAATAAAGATTAATCAACTTTCTCAAACTCACAATTGACGTAATGGGATTCAAATCGAACTGAAGTATGTTTGTATCATCACTCCTCCTCAGCTCCAGCTGGGTCCATCTTTGCCTCTATAACGTGAAGCTCTTATTTTTCTCTTAATATGGGGTAATAGTAGATTATTTCAGCAAACTAATCCTTGCTAATCTTTTTAACCTTTAATATGTTTTCCCCTTACTTAGCAGTAGCATCCCTCATTAAGAATTAAAATATGTAGAAAATGACAAGGATTCTGACAAGCTGATGGGAGAGAAGAATAGAGCAGATTGCAGTAGGAACAGATGTGTTAGAATTTATTAATCCTTTAACACTGAAAGTAAACTATTGTTGATTGCCTCATGGTGTGTTTCCATTATTCAGTGCCTTGCTACGTGGGAGTCATTCCTTACATCACAGACCAACCTTCACTTGGAAGAAGCCTCTGAAGATAAACCTTAATCCCATTGAGGACTTCTGTTTGATCTTTGGGAGACAGCATTTATTAACCAAAGTTATTCTTTCTGGATCTGCCGTGTCCTTATAAAGTGGATGAAAAATGTTTTGTACCCATCTGGAAAACCAACAACTTGAAATCTCAGGTATTCCAGGTCACTGACATGAATTTGAAGATATATCTATCTGTATGGATATATATCTATATGTATATAGATATATAAATACAGAGAGATATCTGGCTTGGTTTTAATTATGTTCTTAAATTTGTGTGCCAATAATTGCATATAGATTTTTTTTCTTAAATATTTGACTGTGGAACATGCCATTTTAAATATGTTGTAAGGACTGTTTTAATAAAAAGTTTAGTATGAAGTGGTTGGCTGCAGTGTATTCTTTTCCTCCTAGTAGCTCAAGCCTCTTAAACATTCTAAAATGAGTTCAGCATGTGTTAACAAGTATACTGCGTATTCATTTTTATTTCATTATCATTTCCTCTGAAATACTATTCAGTTTAATATTAGGAACTCAAAGTAATATCTAAAAATTGACATTATTAAAATTGATAACTGTTCAAAAATTAATTTGTTAAAAGTTAAGTAATTGTTTTCCACAATTAAAAAGTTTCCAAGATTTAAATTGTTATTTGAGTTATTAGTTAGAAATCCTTATATAATTATATTCCCACTAGTAGATATATTTGGGCTTTGTAAAATTTGTGCATATTCTTTACAATTCATACCTAGCTTTTATTTGTTAAGATATACAGTGTTTATCCAGTTTATTTTCCCATTCATTTATTGTCTACTCCATGCAAGGCACAGTTGTAGGTGCTTATGTTCTGTAGTGATGAAAAAGATACTTTCAGAGCTTACATTCTAGTAATACTGATCATACAGATTTTTTCTATTAATTTTATAACCATATAAAAAAGCTAAATGTGTTGATTATTTAATTTTTGCTGATTTTCAGAAATAGATATTTCTCAGGACTGAAATTTGAGGAGTTTGGTCATGCTTGCTGTCTTACACATGTGACTTCATATTTTGGGTATTATCAAGTGTCACAAAACTAGACATTTAAATTGTTTTAACTGAGACACGAGATTCACTTATACACACACAGCTATAAATATAAAATGAAACACTTTTCTTAAATATTGGCAAATATAATTTTTAAACCATTTGTAATAAAAAAATCTTCCTCCATTTTTTGACCTTTGGCTGCTGACAGCTTATAAGTCCCACGCCTCTGTCTTCCTCTTCTGCCCCACATCTTCTGGGCAAGCTGCTTGGAGAGCCCAAGTGCTCCCTCCTTTGGCACTGACTGGAATAAAGTTCAAACTGTGCAAGCCCCTCCCGACAGATGGGAATCTACCTGCTAACCACCATAAAAACCTTAGCTGGTCTGCTTTTCCAAATGTCTCAAACCATTTTTGAATCAGTCCAAGAGGCCAGCCTTGCTCTCCCCAGAAAGCCTCATGATGTAAGCGATAAACCTTGTCATATCCTCTTGGTGTGTTTGTGGCATCATGAGTCTTGACATCCAAAACAAATTTTAGGTGGGAGTCCTTCCTGTTTATCAAAATTGCCCCAACAGTATTGTTTTGCAAGCTCTTTAAGCCTTCTGAACTTCAGTTTCCCCATCTGGAGGTAATGGAGATAATAATCTCTAACCCACAGGTTGTTAAATGATACAGTAAACTTAGAAAACCTGGCAGAGAAATGATAGTTAATCAGATCATTAAATGATTCAATGGGATAAATGAAATGTGCTTTGTTTTTAAGTGCAATACCTTTTCCCCCACTCTTTAGTGCACTGTATGCCTTTCCTCATCCCTCTCCTCCTTTTCCATCCACGTGACTGCTATCCCAAATACATACCATGCATAGCCGCACAGGTAACCCATGTTAACTAGCATGTACCCTTACACTTTTCCATTCTCATAATATACTGTACATACTTATACACACATAGCTTTTATCTTTGATCTAAAAATGACATCATACTATACATGCTATTTTGCTTCTTTCCTCAACAATATCTTCTGGAAAGCCTTCAAAGTCAAAAATAGCTCTACTCTTTACATGACTGCACAGTATATATGACTGCACAGTATATCATGCAGTAAATGAATCTACAGCAATTTATGCAGCCATTTTCTTGTTTATAATTATTTACTTCGCTTTCACTTTTTCATCACTGCAAAAAGAATCCCCATCCCTTTTAACTGTCACTGTCTTAGTCCTCAACCCCCATCTCCCAAGGCCTAAGGAATCTTCTTTCTGTCTCTATAGATTTGCCTATTCTGGATATTTCATATTAATATAATCATATGTGATCTTTTGTGACTGGCTTCCTTCACTTAGGTTCATCAATGTTGTAGTATTTGTCAATACTTCGTTATTTTTATGGCTGAAAATGCTCCATTATGTGGTTATACCACATTTTGTTCATCTATTATGTTTATCCTTTCACTGATGGACATTTAGGTTGTTTCCAACTTTGGCTATTATGAATAATGCTGCTATGAATATTGATATACAGGATTTTGGGGGGACATATGTTTTCACTTTTCTCTGGCCTATACCTGAAAGTGGGATTGCTGGGTTATATTATAACTCTGTTTAGCCATTTGAGGAGCTGCCAGATTGTTTTCCAAAGTGGCTGCACCATTTTACATTCCCTCCAGCAGTGGATAAAGGTCCTAATTTCTCCACATCCTCACCAATACTTGTTACTATCTGATTTTTTTATTATAACCGCCCTAGTGGGTATGAAGTGGCATCTCATTGTTTTTTATTTGAATTTCCCTGATGCATCTTTTCATGTGCTTAATGGCCATTTGTATACATATTTTTGGACAAGTGTCTATTCACATATTTTTCCCACTTTTAAATTCAGGTTTTGTGTGCTTTTATTATTGAGTTGTAAGAGTTCTTTATGTATTTAATGTACAAATCTCTCGAATTATGAATTTCATTTTCTTGATTATGCCATTTAAAGCACAGAAGTTTTTCATTTTGATGAAGTCCAAAGTATCTATTTTTTCTTATGTTGCTCATGCTTTTGGTATCATATTCATTGCCAAGTATGAGGTTATGAAGATTAATTCCTGTTTTCTTCTGAGAGTTTTAGGGCTTTAGTCCATTTTGATTTAAAGTTTGTATATGGTGCGAAGAAAAAGCCCAATTTTATTCTTTTGCATGTAGGTATCCAGTTGTCCCTGCATTACTTGTTAAGAGACCATGCTTTGTTTCAGGATTCTTATTATTGCACTTGACAAAAGAACAAATCAAACTACTTTAAAAAAAAAAAATATATATATATATATATATATGTGGAATTGACTAGTTTACATAATCAAAAAGAAAAGGATATATTTGGGCATGACTGGTCCTAAACAGATATCTTTTTCTTTCTGTCTATTCCCTACTTCTCTTGAATGGTTGGCCTCACTTTCTTCTATTGCTGCCTTTACGTGAAGCTAATTCTGTGGTTCTCAGCTGGCGCAATGTGATCCCCAAGTGACAATTAGCAGAGCCTAGAGCTATTTTTTGTTGTCACACTTGGGGAGGAGGGTGCTACTGGTATCTAGTGGATAGAGGTAAGAATGCACAGTAGAGCTTCCAACTACAAATAAATTTTTAACCCCAAATGTCATTGCTGAGGCTGAGAAATCCTGGGCTAGATTAATGTCTGCTAGTAGCTCCTGGCTCTCCAGTGCCCAGCTTTGCTACTAGGAGGGAGAGAGCTATTCCCTTCCACCTTCAATTCAGTTAAAACTCTTGAGAGAAGAACTGGCTTGGGATACAGGCAAACCCCTTCTTATCCCCACCCCCAGGTCTGAGGTCAGTCTTTGTGGCTAGGAGCCAGTGTGCTATTATTATCATAGCCAAGGTCGGTTCCTACTTTTTTACACAAATTACAGTAGGCAGAAAAGTTATGACCAAAGGGAGATGGCAGTTTTCATTCAACCACCTTATGTGTTCACCATCTAAAGGAAGGGGCTGCTTTATCCAGAAGAAAGAAAAGTACTGGGGAAGATAGAGTAATACATGTCCACACGATAATTTTAAATGAACATACATTTTTATCTATCTAAAATTATATTAGTTCTATATATTTATATAATTAACACTTCTTACGCCTAAAATTCTTCAACAAGCAAGGACTCATGTAAAAATAGCTCTTCGAAGAATATCTATTCAAGATTACAAGTGTGAATAAACCATTAGTCCAGCACATATAATTACGTAGGAAGTCAATCATAATTGTGTTAGCTAAAAAATAGCACAAGACTGTGAAATTAGAGTTGTTAGTGCATTCATCTGTATTAAAAAATCAACCTTTACGTTAGAATTGATTGAATAAGGAGTTCAATATGTAAGAAATATTCTTATGTGGAAATACTGAATTAAGATTCCATTGAAACACATGAGTTGTTAGAACTAGAATTAAATTCTGAACATACTGTAAAAAAAAAAAGTCATTTTAGCATTTAAAATTCTGAGTTTGTGAGTTAACTATTCTAGGCCCCAATTTCCCATCTGTGGAAAAGGGGAATTAATCTGCCAGATCTACATTGCTGGAAAGTGTAAGAATAAATTAGAAACAGCTGACTTTGACTACTTACTTTGAATTTAAAAAGTTAAGTTCTGCCTCAGCTTCCCCTTGTTACCTATTAAATCTTTGAAACTCCGAATCCCTTCATAGGTGAATCCTGAGATAAAGCAAACAATAGTCATATTTACCAAGGCATGTCATAGTAAGATATGTTCAGAATGTCATGCATATGTGTCAATAGAAATAGATATAGATACATATTTAAGCTCATATTTATATACATGATATATATGTGTTATGTGGCGTGTTTGTATACATGTGTGGTGTGTGAATGTATATAGTGATCAGTGGAAAGACGGGAATAAAAATCAATGGAGCAGGAAGCCAACTGCATGCCTGCTGTTACTTATCTCCCAGTCTTCATGTGTTACAGTTCACCTAGGTTTGATTATGTATTTATGTGCCTGTTCATAAGGTTATTGTGCAGTGAGATCCCTTAAAATGGGACAGCTATTTAAATGTGTTTGCCATCACTTTTGCTTGTGTAATTCTTTAAGGCTATAATTACATACGTTCAATTTGTACTTCTGCAATTCCTGTTTATATTTCTCTTAATGTAAATCGTGAAGATTGAAGAGATTGTTTGTGCTTTTTATCTTAAAACATGACAGGGTAATCTTTTGGTAAGATCAGAAGAACAATGCTTTCCCATTTTAAGGGGAATCATCCCACAACATGCAATTTAATAACTAATCAGAGCTGGTTAAATGAAGTGTTTGATAATTAGGCATCAGAAATTTTCTTTTCCTACTTGAAGCATTATGATTACTGATTTTAAGATTAAATTAGTGTTGCTTTTAAGTGGTTTATTTGAACAATCTGAGATTCTAAATTCTTTTGAAGGACCTTGCATTAAAATATTATCCATGCATCCACTTATTCAGTAATTCACTAATTCCACAAATACTCCACTACTAATAGGTGCCAGACACCATCCTCTGTGTTGCTGTAAATAATTATGATAAGTAAACATACCCTACTCTCATAAAGCTAAAAGTCTAATGAGACAGACATCATACAATAAATAATAAATAAATCTCGATTAATGCATATATTATTTCCTAGGGATGCCTTATAAAAGTATCAAGAACTGGGTGGCTTACAACAATAGACACTTGTCTCACAGTTCTCAAGGCTAGAAGTGGGAAATCAATGTGTCTGCAGGACTGTGCTCTCCCTGATGGTTCTAGGGGTGAATCCTTCTTTGCCACTTCTAGCTTCTGGTGTTTGCGAGCAATCCTCAGCATTCCTCGGCTTGTAAAGGCATCACTCCAATCGCACGGACATCTTCTCCCTGTGTGTCCTCACATTGTCTTCCCTCTGTGTCCCTGTGTCCAAATTTCCCTTTGGCACAAGGACACATGTCTTACTGGATTAGGGCCCACCTTAATGACATCATTTTAATTTGATTGCCTCTATAAAGACCCCATAGTGAAATAAGGTCACATTCTGAGGTATTGAGGGTTAGGACTTCAACATATGTTTTTTTGGAAAGGAGACACAATTCAACCCATAACAATGCATAATTGCATATTGTGTGAAGTGCTGTGATGTAAGAGAGGTAATAATGTGGAGCATCTATTTTAAATTGAGTAGACAGTGAAGCACGACTTAAGACCGAGAAAATAAGAACAAACCAGGCAAAGGGGAGTAGATTGTGGCTGAGTGAAACAATGCATGCAAGGGCCCAGAGATGGGAAAAAGCTTAATGCATAGGAGGAAGTGAAAGAAAACCAGGGTGTCTGGGCTGTAGTGAGCAAGAAAGAAGAAGTTCCAAGATGAGTTGTTGAAACTTACCGGAATTTGTTGTTGTTGGTTTATTTTTTTGTTTTTTTTTTAGGAATTGTGAGTGATTACCAGAACTTGGTTGGGGATAGCGTGAACTTCTAAGGGACTCAATCAATATGGTTTTTATTACCTCCTTTATAGTGAGTGACAAAGGTGGGGATATTGGAGAACATACGAAGCTAGGAACAGCGGAAGAATTAGGAAACCTAAAGCATAAATAAGAACATCAGTAGAACTAATAGAAATTCAAGATACCAGGCTTCAAATTGTCATAAGTAGTGTTCATATTCAGGGAGGTTTGTACTAGTACAGCCATACTTGTTATTTAACTATTTGATGCTATCCAGAGACATATGCCAGTAGGAAAAACAAATCATTTAAATACTTTGATAATAATTGCTAAATAGCTGCTGGCATAGGCCTCCAATCACCCCACTGACTCGTGTTCTAGAACTGTCCCCAGACAGATTGTCCCCAAGTTTCAGAAATGAAAATGTCTCATGAGACAGTAGGGGCCTAGGAGACCCCTGCATTAGCTCTTTATTCGGATTAGTTCTTTAGATTAGTTCACCCATGATACACTGGATATATCATAATAAGAACTTTCAAACGTGATATTCAGACATAAATATATAGAAAGGCATTTTTCTCTATATATAGATATGTCTCTATGTCCATATACATGTGCATGTGTGCAAAAATATATATGCAAATATGTTTGCACACTTGCATGTATTAGTGAAAATTAGCAGAATAAGCTTAAAAGTTAATTATTTTATATGTCTGTCTTTATATGCCCATAGTCTCTGAAATCTTAACGATCCACGGAGACGCAAAAGCGTTAACTGACAGGGTAGTTGTAGGGGCTAGAGACAGAAATGTAGCTGGGTAAACAAAGAAGCAGAAAATCCAATAAACGACCAGGTAGACTTTGATTCAGGCTGGTATTCACTTCCAAATTGGTCCCTTTCCACAGAGAAAATATAAGAAGTGGGAGGCTGAGGCAGAGGCAAAGCCCAATGTCCAGATAAACAACTGCATCCCCATTCCAGGAAAGCAGCTGAGACATAAAGGACAGGATCCACTGCACATGGGAGGGAGCTGGGGCAAGGTGGATTCCAGGCAGGTTCCAATGTAAGTGGAGGCATGGAAGGCTAACACTCTCAAATAAGTGGGATGCATTTGGCCGTGATAGGGAACTGACTCTAGCAGGTTAAAATGGAGAGAAAATGTATCCTCATTTAACTAGGAAGTCACTGAGTAGAGTGGGCTTTAAGATCAGCTTGATCTGATTGCTCCACCCCTGTTTCTCTGCAGTTCCCTGGTCTGTGAGCATGTTGCTTATTGGCTTCCTTTCCTTACAGTATGAAAGTGACTTGGTGGCTTTTAATTTTGTATCCATATACATGGTATAGAAAGGAAGCAGGAAGTTATCTTTTCCAATGGTTACTTTTTTAAGAATAGGAAAACTCTTTTCCAGAATACCCAACATTCTCCTTGTGTCTCATTTCTCCAAATTGAAATTTATGCCTATCCTGAACAAATCCCTGTGACTATTTTGTCACACAGTTGGCCTAGGCCTGAGTTTCTAAGCTAATTCCAAACTAGGGGAATGAGATTACTTTTACTCTATTTAACCTACTCCTGGATGTATTACCAGTTTTTAAAATTACTGTTTAGCAAAGGATCTTTTGCTTAGATTCTCTCTCAATTTTGTTGAAAGTAAATAATCAGAAAAGGATTTGATGCCCTGGTATTAGAGTGTCTCAGACTGGGAGGCAGACTCCAAGACAAAATTAGAAATGTCAAAGATTGATAGAAACTATGGGTATAAGAGATAAAGAAGACAGGGCCAGAGAAAGGCTTCAGACTGCCATGCAAGTCTGGATCTATGAGGGGAGAGGTGAAAGGAGAAGAAAGTTGGTTCAGAGGGCCTCAGAATACAGCACAATTCTCAAAAAGTCTTAGGCCAAAGAGATTCCCAGAGCAAAACTTTTCTGTTATGGATCCTGGCCTGGCAGAAGTGACCCCCAGCTCTGGTACCTCTGCCAGGCTGTCACTGGCTGAGAGCAGTCTGGGGGAAAGTAGGATGTTTGCATGGAAATCGCAGTGGATCTGAAGATGTGGCAGTCGGGGGCTGCCTGCTAACTACACTTCTCATGACAGGGTCTCTCCTGGAAGAAGAGCTAAGCTACAGACTTAGCTGCTGTCTAAGTGACTGTCACACAGAGTTTTTCTTCTCTTTTTAGTTTCTGGAAAATAGCACAGATTTTACCAAAACTTATTGAATGACAATGACTCATCTTTTACTCTTTCACTTTAGAGGCACCTTGTTTAATAGAAAAGGTTAGGGAAATTTAAATATTGCTAATTTTAATAAACCTTTGCTATGACAACAATTTTTGATAAAGTGCTTTATTCTTACGTATTGTAAGTTTTTTTGTCAAAACTTTGGAGTTACAGACTTAGCTCATGAAATTTATAGAAAATGTCAGCCATATAACCTAATTGATCAAACCAGCCCTCATTGTGAAGTCAGTCATTATATTTCAGTTTAAATAAACATACAAATTCATATTTTCATGAGAATCATCTCCCTTCTGAATTTTAAGATCATTACATGGACAGATAGGTGATAGCTGGGAGGATGGGTGCACAGATAGGTAAATAGATAGTTCACCCTTGCTACTAGCTTGTCATTTGCATAAAATAAAGCATCACAACTTTCCGCATTTCTTAACAGACTTATTGCTTTGCTCTCATGAGACACGGTCACTGGAGCAAAGCATTCTTTGATGATCTTCCAGAGGCAGATGAGATTGAGGTCACTAAATGAAAATGAAATAAACCCTACCTCACCCAAAATTATTCTGAACATTGCAACATTGACAAGAATGCAGCATTTGTAATTACACAGCACAAACACACACCCCATATATATATATGAGAAACATTTTAATTTTCTCTTTGTTTAGCGACTAGTGGATTTGCACTCTTAGGCAATTAGCCATAGTAAAATTCCAGATGTGTAAGAGCTATGCCTCTCTTTTTTAAAGTGAGAGAGCATCTACTGTAAAACGGAAAGAAAGAAAATTAGGTATGACTTCTAGAAAGGAGGAATATTCTCAAGCGGACAGTTTTAGAAAAGAATAGATTTAGGAATTTAGTATCTAGAAACTGATAACCAAAAACACTACCCATACCAGAGTACTTTCTGGAAATTTTCTTCTGTAGCCCCAGGCTAGTTTGAAGACTACTGGTCTGAATGACCTTCCATACTTTTCACCTCCTCTAAAGTCCAATCACGTAGACTGACTTAGCATTCTCCAAACACAGTTGCACTTTCATTTTTCTGTAATTGTGCTCATGTTTTTCCTTGTATTGATGAGTTCTTCCTTCCTGCCTTTCAAACTCCTACTCATTTAAGACCCACCTTAATATCATCCAGTCGTTGATGAATTTTCCTATTATCTCCAAGAATCACTCTTCCCTGCATCCTCCTGTGGCACTTTATAGCTACGTTTATTTATTGTAACATGTGCCACTGTTCTTGAAGTCTACCTGCTTAGATCATTCTGGGAAAAATACAGTCACAGGAATAATAATTTTTCTCTAATTCTCTGTGTCATATTCTCAGCTGCAAACTGTACTAGTTCTATGCCATTAGAGAAAAATATGAAAATGTTCAGTGCATAACAAACTGAAGAGCTATATTTGAACCAAAGGCTGAGATGGTAATTTAGAATTTATTGCTGTAGTCCCCATTAGAGATTACTGTGATCTTAACCAAACTTG
The DNA here is from genome assembly GCF_000001405.40 of Homo sapiens. Classification (NCBI taxonomy): domain Eukaryota; kingdom Metazoa; phylum Chordata; class Mammalia; order Primates; family Hominidae; genus Homo; species Homo sapiens. The sequence goes on from NC_000001.11 coordinate 98,770,335, forward strand.
CGGTAATAGATATTTGAAAAGAGTGTCTAAAACATTAGAGGAAAAAAATCAGAATTTTTTATTTTGAAAGCTAAGGAAGGACAGAGTTTCAGGATACATAAAAACATAAAGTGAATTGCTCCAAAGAGAACTTATAGGAAATGGACCTACTGAACTAAGCAATTAGGAATTACATGCTAACTATAATGAATAGTTTTGTTTATAATTCAGTGGCCAGATTTCACCACAAATTCAATGGCCAGTCACACAGCACACCTACCTTTAAGGGATACTGGATAATTTAGTATTTATTTTTACACACAGCTTCCACAGAATAAAATTAGAGCTCCATTACTAGGGTAAAATGGAAGTCTAGGTATAGGGTGGATAACCAGCAGTATCTGTAATACATCACAACCTCCAGTGGACAGTACAGAAATCCCATTTCTCACTGCTGTCAGTCTGCTGCAGTGAATTGCCGACCTGAAGACTGAGTCTTAGGAAATGTCTGCAAGCCTGATCCCAAACTTCATGATTGCCCAGAGCTCCTCTCAAAGGTCTTATAGATTCTTTCCCCACTATTTCTTCTGAATCACCATTGCAGTCTCATAATTTTACTTTTGAATATTCTTTAATATAAAATATAAACACTCCTTAGAATAGCATCACAGTAACTTACCTTTTTCCCTTCCTTTCTCCATTCCTCTTTCCCCTTTATTCATTTCTTATAATCATTCTTTCTCTTGGTATTTCATGCTCCTGTATATTTCTGTCATAATGTAACACATCCCCCTTTAAAGGAATTCAGATTCTAATATTTCAAGAGAGAGAGAATTGTGCTAAAATCAATACTTTCCTGGAGAGAAAACCCTTTAATTTAATTATCATATTACAAAAACATAAAAAACTCAAAGTGGCTTGATGTCATAATTTGTATCCTTTAATGAAGGCTTAAATACAACCAAAGAACTATAACATCTGCTTCTAAACTTTAAATTTTAAGATTCAAAATACGTAATAGCTGCATTTTTTTTCCTTCTAGAAGGACTTATGCAAATTCTAACAGACAAGATTACTTCGTGTTTCTTTAGAAATATGTGATAGAAATCAAAAATTTCGTTTATGAGATTATTGTTTTTTTTTCTTTAAGGCAAGGATGCTATAAATACTGGAAGATATTTTGGTGAGTAATTCACTTTTAGAGAAAAACATCATCAAATTCTGTTACAGCAAGTGAAGGTTATAACCTTTTCCATATAAGAAACATAAGATGTTATACTGTCATGATGTGGAATTCTAAATTCTGGATGGGACCATGGAGACAAGCTAACTTAGCAAATCAGTTCCTGAATTCACAAATAAATTGTGAATCCAGGTCTTTGGACACAGTATGTGACCTGTTTCGTTATGCAGGTTCCTAGGCTTACCAGGGCCCGACACTTGGTTTAATGCTCTGCTGCCACAGTCTTGGAAATGTTAGTAATTCTTGAAAAAAAGGCCCAGTGTTTTCATATTGCAGTATTTCATCCACACATTATACAGTGGGCCCTGGTTCCAGTTATTTGAAAACAGAGTCAGAATTAGAACTGTTCATCCCCTCTCTTCGTACTCTCACTTCCATAGCCAAACATGGTTTCAAGTGAATCTCCTTACTCCTTAAAATAACTTTCCTCCTAATATTCAGTGTCTGGCTGCCTTACTCCGGATAGTATACAAGCATCTAATGCCATCTTTCTTAATTACATCAAGTAAATGGCAAAGAGGTGGAAAGGGAGATGCTTTATTTACAGTTTCCTTGCTCTATATAGGAGGCATTTCCTTGCTCTATATAGGAGCCAACCCCTTTGGTTGTCGTTCATCATCAGCGCAAGCTCAGTGCAAAGTACACATCCACAAAAAGCTTTTAAAATTAAGGATCAGGTTGGGCATGCTGGCTTACACCTGTGATCCCAGTGCTTTGTGAAGCCGAGGTGGGAGGATCACTTGAGACCAGTTGAAGATAAGTCTGAACAACATAACAAGACCCTGTCTCTACAAAAAAATACAAAAATTATCTGGGTGTGGTGGTATACACCACAGTCCCAGCTACTCAGGAGGCTGAGGCAGGAGGATTGCTTGATCTTAGGAGGTTGAGGCTGCAGTGAGCTATGATTGTGCCACTGCACTCCAGCCTGGGTGACAGAGTGAAACTCTGTATCTTAAAAATATATATATATATTGCTAGTCTGACAGTAAATAGGAAAGTTTATTTTTTAGAAAACTAAAAGTTAATTTTTTTATATTTTTAAAGCATTGCTCTACATATACAAGATGGGTGGGGAAATAATAGTCAATAATACATGAAAGATATTCAATATCTGGGAAAGATATATATGTGTATATATAGTGTATTTATAGCTTTATGTATTATAGATTATATGTTATATAATGGTTTAGGGAGGGATAATACCTAATTACTCTTTTCAGATATAAATCTTTCCTCCTTCCCACTTGGTATCGATTGTTTTTTACATTTTACATTCTGAATGAAGATGCTTCTCTTCTTCTTTGGCTGTTCTCTGTCCATTTTGAGTAAATTACAGCCCCAACTATTACTAAGCTGAAGAGTTTTCCAAGTAAACATTTGCCAAATCTTTTAAAAAGAACTCTTTTCTCAGAGGGAACAAATGTGTGAAGCTGCCCTGACCTCAGCTAAGAATCTGAGGCACCTTGCTCCTGAAATAATTCAGAAGCACCTGGAGATTTTGTGTTTGCTTTTTGCACTGTTGACTGGTGGATACACCTCAGCCTCAGCACATGGGCCAGCTTGGGCCGCTAAGTCATTGGAAGTTTTCAAAATTTTCTTCATAAAGTAAAAATTTTCTCAAAAATGTTCTCTAAATTTTATGTCACTCAAGAAATGAATGCCCCATATTCTCTTCCCTCTTACACGTAGAACAAGTATTTTTCTTTACAGCTTCATGCCTCCTAGATATTAATTTGCTTGACAATCCTTGAAAAGACTGGTGAACAAATTTATCACCAATTATTAATTGTTGACCACCTAATGTGCCGAGCATAATCAAAACCACAGAAGTACTTGACATTAGTTATGCAGATAAGGCAACCGGGTGCTCTCTTAACTAATGGTCAAGAATGAGGGCTCTGAGGTTACGAATTAATCATTTATTATCTGTGTTACTTTAGGCAAATTTATCAGTTTTTCTGAGTCTCAGGGTTTTTATCTATCTGTGTATCTATCTATGTATCTATGCATCTATGTATCTGTCTATCTATCTATCTATCTATCTATCTATCTATCTATCTATCTATCAAAATAGTGCATTGGTTTGCTAGGGCTGCTATAACAATAGACCATAATTCTGGAGACTAGAAGTCCAAGATCAAGGTGTCAGCAGGTTTGGTTTCTTCTGAGTCCTATCTTCTTGTTTTTGTTTTTAAGGATTGCCACTTTTTCACTGTGTCCACACATGGTGAACTGTTCCCCACCATCCTGAAGCAGCTGGCTTGATAGAATAGTGGAATGGCCTTTTGAAGACTCAGTTTCAGCAACATCTGAGGGGTGGTACCTTGCCCGGCTGGGTCAATATTCTGCAAGAGGCTGTACATACTCTAAATTAGTGTGCAATATATCATGTTGTTTCTTCCACAGCAGACACTCAAATGTCCAGGAATCAAGGGGTAGAAATGGGAGCAGCACCATTTATAACCAACTAGCAAAATATATGCTTTCTGTTCCTGTAACCTTGTGCTCTGCTTGCCTAGAGGTCTCAGTTCCAAATGGGGGAATGCTTCCACCAGGACAGATAACAATGATCCCATTGAACCAGCAGTTAAGACTACCACCCAACCACTTTAGGCTACTCATGCCTCTGAATCAATAGGCAAATACAGGAGTTACTGTGTTAGCTGGGGTGATTGATCCTAACTATTATACCAAGGAGAAATTGGACTGACACTAAGTAAGAGTCCGTCCAATACAAGAGATCCCTTAGGGTTTCTCCTAGTATTACTATACCTTAATCAATATATTACTATACATTGATTAAGATCAATGGAAAAATAACCCAATCCAGATAGAACTGCTAATGGCCCAGACCCTTCAGGAATGAAGGTTTGGGTCACCCCGCCAGGGAAGGAACTATGACCAGCTGAGGTGCTAGAATGCAGAATGGGCAGTGAAATAAGGTAATTATAGATCTCAGCTATGACCATGTGACCAGTTACAGAACTATGTACTGTAATTGTCATGAGTATTTCTTCCTTATTTTGTTATCAATATGTTTGTTTGTATATATGCACATACATATGTATGTATTTATATATATAATATATAGTATCTTTGTTTTCTTCCCTTTTTTCCCCTTATTATGTGATATAAGATGTATTGACTTCATGTCATAGTATTAAGTATTGTTGACTTCATATCATAATATTTAAATTACAAGATATCAAGAAGAGTAAACATCATGTAAGGACTTCACATCCTTTTCTGGGAAAAGAGTTAGTGCATTTTCAGTTGTACACAGGACAGTTGTGTTATGCTAGATGGAAGTATGACCTTGTTATTGTCTTTATTGGAGATTAAAGTACAGTAGCCCCCTTATCTGTGGCAGATACGTTCCAGCACCCCCAGTGGATGCCTGAAACTGAGGATAATCCCAAACCTATAAATAGTATGCATGAATTTCTTTTCACTTCTTCACAATTTCACAGATAGAACATGCATTTTCACTGTAGATCTTAACAACCTCAGCATATGTTTTTTTTCTTTCCTTATTAAGTCAAGAACTTCTACTTTTTCACTTAAAGGAAGTACTTTATAACTTCTCTTTGGCATACCCAAATTGCGAGTATCACTACTTTTGCGCCTTGGGACCACTATTAAGTAAAATAAGGGTTACTTGAACACAAGCACTGTAAACCATGACAGTCTATTTGATAACCAAGTTAGCTACTAAGTGGCTAATGGGCAGAGAGAATAGACAGTGGACATGCTGGACAAAGGGAGGATTCACGTCTCGGGGTCAGAGTGGGATGGTGTGAGATTTCAGCACACTACTCGGAACAGTGTTCAATTTAAAACTTATGAATTGATTATTTCTGTAATTTTAATTTGATATTTTAGGACCATGGTTGACTTGAGTAGCTGAAACCAAGGAAATCAAAACAATGAGTCTGGGGGGATTACTGTATGGTTAAAGATGTGTGTGGGCACCAAGTTCACATGGAGTGGACTTGTGATGATTAATTTTATGTGTCTACTTGGCTGAGCTATGGTGCCCAGAGAGTTGGTCAAATGTTATTCAGAATGTTTTTGGATGGCATTTACATTTAAGTGCATGACCTTTGAATAAAATATATTGTTTTTGGTGATGCAGGCCTGGATAGGACAAAAGACTGACTTGACCTGGGCAAGAGGAAATTCTGCCAGCAGACTGCCTTGGACCTTCATCTGCAACATTGCCTCTTTCCTAGGTCTCAAGCCTGCTGGCCCACCCTGCAGATTTTTTTTTTTTTTTGGCAGCCTTCATAATCTTGAGAGCCTTCAAATAAATCTCCTTGACTTACAATGGGGTTATATCCTGATAAGCCCATCATAAGTTGAAATATCCTATGTCAAAAATGTATTTATTACACCTAACCTACTGAAGAGATATCTTAGTCTAGCGTACCTTAAATGCTCTGAGAACACTTACCTCAGCCCACAGTTAGGCAAAGTCATCTAACATAAAGCCTATTATATAATATAATATTAAATAGCTCATATAAATTATTGAATATTGTACTGAAAGTGAAAAACAGAATAGTGCATGGCTGCACGAAGTATGGTTTCTAATGAATACCTATTGCTTTTACACCATCATAAAGTTGAAAAACCCTAAATCAAACCATTGTAAGCCAGGCACCATCTGTATATAAAATCCCATTGGTTCTGTTTCTCTGGAGAACTCTTAACTACTACAATGCCTCATAGTCTGTGTGTTGTCTGAGTCCTAATCTCCTCTTCTTATAAGCATGTTGGTCATATTGGATTAGAGATCACCTATATGAGTTCATTTTACCTAACTCATTTTTTTAAAGACCCAACTCCAAATACAGTCACATTCTGAGGTACTGAGGTTGGAAATTCAACATATGAATTTTGAGGGGGATGTAATTCAGCCCATAACAAATAGCGTGATAATAGTGCCTCAGAGAGCTCTGAAGTGAGAATTAAATACGTTAATACATGTCAAGTACTAAATACAATGCCTGGCACACAGCAACAGAAATACAATCACTAGAATTTTTTTTCCACAATAACCTTTTGCGTTCACTAAAATTTTTATGAAAAACTTAATTTGCGTGGCTAATGAGTGTTGGAATTGTGGGGCTCTGTATATCTCAACATTTCCTGGGTTAAGTTAACATAGTAAATTGAGGTATCCCTTTTCTCCTTAGGCAAATCCATAGCAGTGATGAGTACTGGTGATCATTTTTGCAAAATATTCTCAAAATATGTCTCAAGAAAGTCAGAATTAGACCATTGTTTTGGAGTTTTGTTTCTAATCTATAATGAACTAAGAAAGTCCAAATGAATTTATTCGTAACACATGTAAAATATATTTTTAAGTAAATAAGAGCAACCAATTGAGTCATTTATTTAAGAAATACTTATGTACTTATTGAATGATACTATGTGCCAGGCACTATTATACACTGGGAGGAGCCAGTGGTGAAGAAAATGACAAAGTCTGCTCTCTTGGAGCTTATATTCTAGTGGAAAGAGATCTAGAGTAAACAAACGGGCAAGTATTTAATATGATGGCAACAAGTACAGTGAAGAAAACTGTATCAAGGCAAGGGGTTAGAGAGTGGGGCAGCTATATGACACAGGGTAGTCAGTGACTGTCTCTTTGAGAAGACAATGATATATATGAAGTAGTGATGAAGCCAGTCTTGCGGGTACAGAGGAAGGAATATCTCAGGAGAGGGAACAGTAAATACCAATACCCTAAGCCAACATTAAACTTGGTGTCTTCAAGAACAACAGGGAAGCCAGGATGATTGGAGCAATGTGAATGAGGGAGGGGAAGAGTGCTGGGGATGATATCAGAGTGGTCACAGGTAACAGATCGTGTGATATATCCTCTGCCTTTCTGCACAAATTATGTTAAATCATTTTTAAATTGAAAATTTTAAAAGTTTGCTTATGTTCAAATCTTCAAAGTGATCATGCTAACATATTATCGTGTATTTATGACTTTGAAAAGATATGATATACATGGAAGCAGCCTACCCATTGAGACTATTCCAAACATTGTAGCTATTATTTTTATTTAAAATGTATATTAATCTCCATAATTCACAGTTTATGATTTATGTACTATTTGATTCAATAATAAACAGTATGTTTTGAGTATGTGTGCCAGTCACTCTCATTGGTGATGGAGTTAATGTTGGAAAAGATGAACCTCTCTGCTCACAGGCAGTCACCAGCAAGTACCTTTCTACCAAGTGTGGGCACAGGGATATTAACACTATAATAGCACTTAGAAGAAAACCTAGGTATCAGATTATTAAAATCTGAGAAATTTAAATAAAATGGTTTTATTTGATTTTGCATTCCTGGTTTGTATTCTCATTATATTTGGAAAGATTTATTCTAATAGTTATTTTACACCTGGCTATTAGATACTATTGTGATATTTAGTCTAGAGCAAATATGGATATATAGTTCCAAGAATCAAATGCATTTTATATTCCTTTCTGTGTCCTTCTTTTAGGATGATGTAAATACTCTTGTCCTTGATGAGGATTACTGTACAATCGTGGAAATATTAACAATCAGATAGAGAGAACAACTTTATTACAGATTTGGCACAGTTAATTTATTCCTTTTAGCATTCAGAAATCCTTCATAAAAGTAGATAACAAAGAGTCTAATGTATAATCTTGTTGTGAGTGGGTGGTTATGCATTGAGATATCTGACACCCAGTTGTTAGAAGATCAGAAAAATGCAAAACCCAACTGAAAATTTAATTGTGTTTTCTTGTCACATGTGGCTCAGCAGAAAAAGGGAGGCACACTGTGCAGGGAACACTCTTTCTGAAAGCTGAGAGCCATTCATTTTGCACCATGTCCAAACAAATCTTATGGAGAAGAATAAATTTGTTTATATCATGCTCACCTTCATTCAATAATTTAATAATTCATTCACTCAAAGTTCTTTAAACAGAAATAAGAGAAACATAATTTATATAAGTGATTACTATTCCAACATACATTGACTCTAGTTCTAGTACAGGAAGCAAAGAGACACTTGACTGAATTAATTCAGTGATTCTCACTTTTCTCTTTTACCATTTCATTCTCTCCTATTACACTGCTACATTGAGTTTTCAGGAGCTGTTACCAACAAGCCACACGGCTCCCAGCCCTTCTTTGAATCCAGCTTGTTTGAGGAAAAAGAGGATGTGAAGAGGGTAAAGAAGTGCAGAAAGACATTTTTCCCAATTCCACATTTTTTTTTTTTTGAAATGGAATTTTGCTCTTGTAGCCCAGGCTGGAATGCAGTGGCACGATCTCAGCTCACAGCAACCTCCGCCTCCTGGGTTCAAACGATTCTCCTACCTCAGCCTCCCAAGTAGCTGGGATTACAGGTGCGAGCCACCACGCCTGGCTAATTTTTGTATTTTTAGTAGATATGGGGTATCAGCATGTTGGCCAGGCTGGTCTCGAACTCCTGACCTCAGGTCTCAAACTCCCGCCTAGCTTGGCCTCTCAAAGTGCTGGTATTACAGGCATGAGCCACCACACCCAGTCCCAACTCCAGAATCTTATGGGTCATTGCCATCACCATTAGACTGGCATTGAAGCTCCATTGACACTATATTTTCAAGCCCACAGTCCTTTGAGAAACCTGTGACCCCAGATAAATATGAAAGAGAAGTTTGTAATAATATGGTGTTGATTTCATTATGATGTGTTTACAATACTTCACACTTGATGTGTGACAATTTTTTCCACGGCTGCCTCAATAACTTTGTAATCTATAAAAATGTCATTTCCCCCCATTGTGAATCTAGAGTAAAATAAGGGTCTACCAGACAACAATGCTCTTCCAGGTAAAGAAACATAGGAGATGAGCAATGCTATTTTATTGTGACAACGGATAATATTTTTTGACAGATACTGGGTTAAGCATCTTACATGTGATTATTCCTTCTCAGTATTATGAAACTGGAACAATTATTGTATTTATTCACATAAGGAAAGTAAGCCTTGGAGAAGTGAAATAGCTCATACAATTTCACAAAACAATCAGTGTGATTCACACCTAAGTCAGTGCTCTCAACCATGCCCCTAAGTTCCCTTCCCCAGTCTAAGAAATCAAGAATTTATTTTGGAAGCATCAGTCACTTTATGTTTCTCTGAAACATTAGATCTACAGTGATGGGAAGCAGTGGAGCTTTCTCAGCGAAGTCCCTTGGAAGATAGAAAGAGTGCCAGCCACACTATGTAGAGGCAGAAAGAAGCACTGCGTGCTGCCAGCGACAGCCAGCCTCCCTCACCTTTAGAAACCCTGTTGAACCTCAGGGAAGGGGAACTATCAGTGTCCACAAATTTGGTGATCTACCTGGTAAGTCTTTGAGAACTGCTAACAATCAGTCTGTTTGGGTGGACTTTTATCCTGTGTTCATGTGAAGTCGCTTCACTTCCTAGAATATCTGCAAAATTAGGGAATATGAGCTGGCTGTTTCACTATTTTCTAACTCTAAAGTTAATTGGATCTATGAGATATCACATTTGGATAGTCATTTACCCTCACCTTTACCTCAGCCCTCATTTTATATCATGATATTTCTTTTCTAATGCTCAGTCCGGCCTGCATTCTTCTTTCTTAGCAAAATCATTCAGAGTTAGGAAAGAAACTAAACTAGTGAATGTGCAATTGTCAACTCAGCTTTAAACTACAAGATTTCAAAGAAACTATACTATTCTTCCCAGTTAAGCTTTGTCTAAATCTCTTAATCCCCCAAATAACATCCTAAGCAAAAACCTCCGTTCTTACTTTTAGGAAGAAGTTTTAAGCAGGTCTATTGGTAACTGTAACGCTTACTGACTTTTCAGTGACAAGAAGTGCTGAGGTATACCTTGTAAATCTAGCATGAATATACTAATCTATTTATTGAATGCCATTTGAGGTTTCTGTTTAAGCTTTTCAGTGGTCCTTGGGTAAAGATTGGGCCAGTTTCTTGCTGGTGTGTGTTTAATTTAGTTATAACAGGTGTTCTATTTATTGTGTAAATGGGATAATTCTAAGTTCTCGCTGTGATTTCCTCTCATTTACTATTATGTCTATAATACATGCCATGGACAATTTGCAAGTACCCAGCATCATTTCTCTAATGACATACACACCTTAGATTTAAGGAGATTAATACTATTGTAACTTCAAAGTCCTTTGATGAAAAACAGCATAATTATGGGATAAAAAATATTCACAAATGTTTTCTTAGTTCTTTCTAGTACCCTTAGCACCCAGCATGAGACTACTATTCCAGATTCATGTTATAGCTCCACATACAGCCAATTCAACCATTTTTGAATAAGCAATCTGCCAGTTTCATACTATGTAATGATCCAACCAATTTAACTGAATTTTCAGGGATTTTGAACAACCAAGCAGTCAATTCAGGCCAAATAGCTCATTTTACCTGCAGGTATAGTCTAAGCAACTGATTTGAAGGTTTATAAGTTAGTAAGTTTTCTCCACACAAAAATTATGTGTTATTAGAAAATATTGCCATTGCTTTACTGTGCTTTTAAAAAATATTCAAATATTTTTCTAAAATTAAGTTTGCAGAGAAGTATCCTAAATTTCAAAAAAGAATAAAATGTAAAACCAATAGTTTCTGAATTTATCTCTATAGTCTATTGAGAACAGCTTTAAGTTGGCAATGAAAAATCAAAATTAATATCTAGTGCTTTAATAAACATAGCTACTCAAGAATAGTATTAAAATATTAATTTTAAAAGGCAATTTTTCAAAAGATAAAGTGAGAAATATTTATTCAAAGCAATGCTCCTTAACAACAACAACAAAAAACAATTCTGGTTGAAGCCATCATTTTTTTTGTTTTGTTTTTGTTTTGAGGTTTTCTTATGTGAAGTATTTTACAAAGGAAGATTTGGGTCTACATGGTTGGTTAGACGTAACAGTTGCTATGGGAATATTTTATTCATTATTTAGAATTCTGAGACTTACGAAGTTATCATTTAGAAGAAAAATGAATGCACTTAGGGACATACACTTCACCCAACCTGAAAAATAAACAAATTGACAAAATATATGAAACAAAAGTTATCAAAACACTAGCATCAAGCAATGTAGGACAATGATCTCTGAGAGACAGGGGAAAATGATGTGAGCCCTGTTATTTCCCTATCTTATTGCCTTCAAGAGTGTTTCAGGACATAGTATAGGGATGCAGAATCTAGGCAGAGCCGGGCCAATTCTCTGAGTTGAAGAGACAGAGCTGAGAGTATGTGGGATAGTCTGCTGGAGAAGAGAGGGCTTCACAGAGAGAGAACTCCAGAGGTCAACAGCAAGCCCCTCCATGTCTTTAGCAGAGTGCTACTGAGTGCCCATGTATGAGGAGACCACCCAAGGACAGAGGAAAAAACTGACTAAATAGACTAAAAGTGACATTGCCTAGAAGTGACTCAAGGCTGGACATATCACCCATTCCCACCGGCCAAACTGGAAAAATCTCATGTTTCATGGAACACTGGGTAAAGCACACTGACCTGTCTTCAATAGTAGGAAATAATTAAGCTAAAACACCTTTCCAGTCACGCATAACAAACCTTAAAAGGAAGCTCCAACAGTATCCAAATAAATTACTCATGTATCAAGAACAAAGCTCAAGAATATCTATAGGAATCCAAAAACATTTAACATCCAACAAAGTAAAGTTTGCAATGTCAGGAATTCAATAAAATATTATAAACTGGCAAGATAGTACAAAAATATGATTTATAATGAGAGGAAATATCAACTGAAAACCACAACTGACTTAGACATTACAATTAGCAAATAAAGACATAAAACAGTTATATAACTATTATATATGTTCAAATATTAAGTATAGAAATGGAATTTATAAGAAAGACAAAAATGGAATTTCTAGAAAGGAAAACTAAAATGTGTGAGGGGAATGATATATTGGATGGGATTAATGACAAATGCAACATTGCAGATGTAAATATTGGTAAACATGTTGACATGAAAATAAAAACCATCAAGATAAAACACAAAAATAAAGGATAATATTTTTTAAAAAAATGAATGGACTATATAGATATGAGACAATTTCAAGTGGTCTAACATGCTTGTAAGTAAGTGGCCAAAGCAAGGAGAGAGACAGAAAAAATATTGAAGAAAGTAAGTTTGAAAATTTTCAAATTTGATGAAAACAGTAAACTCACAGATCCAAGAATCACAATGAACCCCAAATTCAAGAAACATGAAGACAATTATAACAAACACAGTTCATCATAATCCAATTAATTGGGTTTTTTAATTAAAAATTTTTTTTTTGAGTCACCCTTTTTTTTTTTTCTCTCTGTCACCCAGGCTAAAGTTCAGTGGCACAACCATAGCTCACTGCTGCCTCAAACTCCTGGGCTCAAGTAATTCTCCCACTTCAGCCTACTAAGTAGCTAGGACTACATAGATATGCTACCACACCTGGCTAATTTTAAAATTTTTTTGTATAAACCCAGTCTCACTGTGTTGTCCAGACTGATCTTGAACTCCTGGCCCCAGGTGATCCTGCCTCCTCAGCCTCCCAAAGCACTGAAATTCCAGGTGTCATCCACCAAACCAAGCCTATAATCCAATTGTAAAAACCAATGATAAACAGAAAATTTAAAAATATATCATTAATTTATATCCTCCCCAAACTCAATAAAAGAGAAACAATTTGCTTATTAAATATAGTCAAAAGATTTGAATAGATACTTCACCAAATAAAATATACCTTTATGGCAAATAAGAAATGAAATAATAAACAATTCTGTTAGTTATTTAAAAATGCAAATTAAAACCACAATTAAATAACACCGCATACCTATTACAATGGATTAAACTAAAGACAGAACATATCAAGTGCTGACAAAAAAATGGAGGAACTGAACCCTCATATACTGCTAGTGAGAATAGAAAATAGTATAATTGGGGGTGGAGCCAAGATGGTCTACTAGAAACAGTTGTGTTCAGAGGCAACCATAAAAAAAAAACCATAATAAGCATGTGAATCCTTCACCAGCAACCAAAGAATCCAGATTCTCTCATCAGAACTGACTAGGAGGCTGACGTGACCCATGAAGAGAAGGAAGAACAGTGTGGTGCAGTGGCCCACCTGAGAGCCACATGGGATCGGGGAGCCCCTCTCCACAGTCAAGGGAAGTGGTGAGTGAGCATGCTACCCAGGCAGGGAAACCGTACTTTTTCCATGGAACTTTGCAACCCATGGATTGAAAGATCCCACTCACAAACCCACACCACCGGGGCCTGGCATCCCAACCCTGGAACGCGCAGACTCTTAGCCTCTCAGCTGGAATTTGCTCAAGCCTACTAAACTCTCAGGGAGAGGGGCAACCAGCATCACTGGACTGTGGCTGCCTGCCATCTAAGCCATTTGAGCTCCTTGGGGGAGGGGCAGCCACCAGCACTGGGACTTGCAACTGCCTAAGCTCCCTGGGCGGGGGAAGGGCAGCAACCATCTCTATAGTCCCAGACTGTGATTTTCGCCTGCTGGAGCCAGGGAGGCTGGATGGCTTGGTCCTAAGACTTGTCCCCCACAGCCTAACACACCAGTTGTGGCAGTCTGTGGCCAGAGTGCCTCTTCGGGCCTGACCCTGACCCATCCTTCCTCGTTGGATGGGGCTTCCCTGCAGGAACTCCAATAACTCCAGCCAGAGGCTCAGGGACAGAACCTGGATCCCCCTGGGCATTAGCCCCTAGTGGGAGCGGTGGCTGCAGTCTCTGCGGACCAGCAGACTTAGCCTTTCCTCCTGGTAGTTCTGAGGAATCTGGGCAGCCCAGATGAGTGGGTTTTCCCTCAGCGAGGAACACACCAGAAGCCATCCTACTGGCATCAGGTTGGTGCCCGTTAAGGTCAGAGGTCCCAGAACAAAGAGGAGGCACCCATCTTTGCTGTTCTCCAGCTTCCTTGGGTGACATCTCCAGGCTCTGGAGTGAATCAGATGAATACGGCCTGAAGTGAACCCCCAGAAAACTGCAGCAGCCCTACAGAAGAGGGACCTGATCATTGAAAGAAAAACAAATGAGCAGAAAGCAACAACAGCATCATCATCATCATCATCATCATCAACAACAACAAATCCCCCACAAAAACCCCATCCAAGGGTCAGCAGCCTCAAAGACCGAAACTAGACAAACTCACGAAGATGAGAAAGGATCAACGAAAAAATGCTGAAAACCCAAAAGGCCAGAGTGCCCCTTCTCCAAATGATCACAATGTCTTTCCATCAAGGGTACAGAACTGGACGGAGGATCAGATGGATGAACTGACAGCAGTAGGCTTCAGAAGATGAGTAATAAAAAACTATGCTGAGCTAAAGGAGCATGTTCTAACCCAATGCAAAGAAGCTATGAACCTTGATAAAAGATTAGAGGAATTACTAACTAGAATAACCAGTTTAGAGAGGAATATAAATGACCTGATGGAGCTGAAAAAACACAGCACGAGAACTTTGCGAGGCATACACAAGTATCAATAGCTGAATTGACCAAGTGGAAGAAAGGATATCAGAGTTTGAAGACCATCTTGCTGAAATAAGGCATGCAGACCTTACTAGAGAAAAAAGAATGAAAAGGAATAAACAAAGCTTCTAAGAAATATGGGACTTCATAAAAAGACCGAACCTATGATTGATTGGAGTACCAGAAGGAGATGGGGAGACTGGAAACAAGCTGGAAAACACACTTCAGGATATTATCCAGGAGAACTTCCCCAACCTAGCAAGATAGACCAACATGCAAATTCAGGAAATACAGTGAACACCACTAAGATACTCCATGAGAAGATGAACCCCAAGGCACATAATCATCAGATTCTCCAAGGTCAAAATGAAGGAAAAACTATTAAGAGCAGCAAGAGAGATAGGCCACGTCACCT
Organism: Homo sapiens; assembly: GCF_000001405.40. NCBI lineage: Eukaryota > Metazoa > Chordata > Mammalia > Primates > Hominidae > Homo > Homo sapiens. The sequence continues at coordinate 98,785,509 of NC_000001.11, forward strand.
ACAAAGGGAAGCCTTTCAGACTAACAGCGGACCTCTCAGCAGAAACTCTACAAGCCAAAAGAGATTGGGAGCCAATATTCAACATTCTTAAAGAAAAGAATTTTCAACCCAGAATTTTTATATCCAGCCAAACTAAGCTTCACAAGTGAAGGAGAAATAAAATCTTTTCCAGAAAAGCAAATGCTGAAGGATTTCATTACCACCAGGCCTGCCCTGCAAGAACTCCTGAAAGAAGCACTAAAGCCAGGTGTGGTGGCTCACACCTGTAATCTCAGCACTTTGGGAGGCCAAGGCGGGTGCATCACCTGAGGTAAGGAGTTCAAGATCAGCCTGGCCAAAATGGTGATACTTTGTCTCCACTAAAAATATGAAAATTAGCTGGGTGTGGTGGCGGGCCCCTGTAATCCCAGCTACTCGGGAGGTTGAGGCAGGAGAATCACTTGAACCCGGGAGGCAGAGGTTGCAGTGAGCTGAGATCGCACCATTGCATTCTGGCTTGGGTGACAAGAGTGAAAATTCTGTCTCCAAAGAAAAGAAAAGAAGAAAAAAGAAAAGAACAGAAAAGAAAAGACTAAATATGGAAAGGAAAAACTGGCATCAGCCACTGCAAAAACACACCAACATATAAAGACCAATGACACTATGAAGAAACTGCATCAACTAGCGTGCAAAATAACCAAATAGCATCATGATGACAGGATCAAATTCACACATAACAATACTAAAAAGGTAAATGGGCTAAATGCCCCAATTAAAAGACACCGACTGGCAAACTGGATAAGGAGTCAAGACCCACTGGTGTCCTGTATTCAGGAGACCCACCTTATGTGCAAAGACACAAAAAGACTCAAAATAAAGGGATGGAGGAAAATTTGCCAAGCAAATGGAAAGCAAAAAAAAAAGAAAAAAAAAGCAGGGGTTGCAATCCTAGTCTTTGACAAAACAGACTTTAAACCAACAAAGATCAAAATAGACAAAGAAGTGCATTACATGATAGTGAAGGGAACAGTTCAACAAGTAGAGCTAACTATTTGAAATATATATGCACCCAGTACAGGAGCACCCAGATTCACAAAACAAGTTCTTAGAGACCTACAAAGAGACCTAGACACCCATACCTAGACTTTAACACCCCACTGTCAGATCAATGAGACCGAAAATTAACAAGGATATTCAGGACTTGGACTCAGCTCTGGATCAAGTGGACCTAGTAGACGTCTACAGAACTCTCTACTCCAAATCAACAGACTATACATTCTTCTCAGTGCCACATGGCACTTATTCTAAAATTGACCACGTAAGTGGAAGTAAAACACTCCTCAGCAAATCCAAAAGAACTGAAATCATAACAGCCTCTCAGGCCACAGTGTGCTCAAATTAGAACTCAGGATTAAGAAACTAACTAAAAACCACACAATTACATGGAAATTGAACAACCTGCTCCTGAATGACACCTGGGTAAATAATGAAATTAGGGCAGAAATCAAGAAGTTCTTTGACACCAACGAGAACAAAGAGACAATGTACCAGAATCTCTGGGACACAGCTAAAGCAGTGTTAAGAGGGAAATTTATAGCACTAAGTGCCCACATCAGAAAGCTTGAAAGATCTCAAATTGACACCCTAAGGTCACAATTAAAAGAGCTAGAAAGGCAAGAACAAACTAATCTAAAAGCTAGGAGAAGATAAGAAATAATTAAGGTCAGAGAAGAATTGAAGGAGATAGAGCCATGAAAAACTCTTTAAAAAATCAATGAATTCAGGGGCTGGTTTTTTGAAAAAAATTAACAAAATAGACCACTAGCTAGACTAATAAAGAAGAAAAGAGGGAAGAATCAGATAGACACAACAAAAAATAATAAATGAGGTATCACCACGGACCCCACAGAAATACAAACTACCATCAGAGAATACCATAAACACCTCTGTGCAAATAAACTAGAAAATCTAGAAGAAATGGATAAATTCCTGGAAACATACACTCTCCCAAGACTAAACCAGGAAGAAGTCGAATCCCTGAGTAGACCAATAACAAGTTCTTAAATTGGGGCTGCAATTAATAGCCTACCAACCATAAAAACCCCAGGACCAGAAGGATTCACAGCTGAATTCTACCAGAAATATAAAGAAGAGCTGGTATCATTCCTTCAGAAAATATTCCAAACAATTGAAAAGAAGGGACTCCTCCCTAACTAATTTTATGAGAGCTGCATCATCCTGATACCAAAACTGGAAAGAGACACACACAAAAAAGAAAACTTCAGACCAATATCCCTGATGAACATCAGTGTGAAAATCCTAAAAAAAAATACTGGCAAACCATATCCAGCAGAACATCAAAAAACTTATCCACCACGATCAAGGCAGCTTCATCCCTGGGAGGCAAGGCTGGCTCAACATATGCAAATCATTAAATGTAATCCATCACATAAACAGAACTAGGCAAAAATTACATGACTATCTCATAGATGGAGAAAAGGCCTTTGATAAAGTTCCACATCCTTGCACGGTAAAAACTCTCAATAAACTAGGTACTGATGGAACATATCTCAAAATAATAAGAGCTATTTATGACAAACCCACAGCCAATATCATACTGAATGGGCAAAAGCTGAAAGCATTCCCTTTGAAAACTGGTACAAGAAAAGGATGCCTCCTCTCACCACTCCTATTCAACATAGTATTGGAAGTTCTGGCCAGGGCTATCAGGCAAGAGAAAGAAATAAACATATTCAAATAGGAAGAGAGGAAGTCAAATTGTCTCTGTTTGCAGACGACATGATTGTATATTTAGAAAACCCCATGATCTCAGCCCAAAAATTCCTTCAACTGATAAGCAACTTCAGCAAAGTCTCAGGATACAAAATGAATGTGCAAAAATCACAAGCATTCCTTTATGCCAACAATAGACAAGCAGAGAGTGAAATCATGAATGAACTCCCATTCACAATTGCTACAAAGAGAATAAAATACCTTGGAATACAGCTAACTAGAGATGTGAATGACCTCTTCAAGGAGAAATACAAACCACTGCTCAAGGAAATAAGAGAGGACACAAGCAAATGGAAAAATATTTCATCCTCATGGATAAGAAGAATCAATATCATGAAAATGGCCATACTGACCAAAGTAACTTATGGATTCAATGCTATTCCCATCAAGCTACCAATGACTTTCTTCACAGAATTAGAAATCTACTTTAAATTTCATAGGGAATGAAAGAAAACCTCGTATAGCCAAGAAAATCCTAAGCAAAAAGACAAAGCTGGAGGCATCACACTACCTGACTTCAAACTATACTAAGTCTACAGTAACCCAAACAGCTTACTACTGGTACCAAAACAGACATACAGACCAAGGGAACAGAATAGAGACCTCAGAAATAACACCACACATCTACTACCATCTGATCCTCGACAAACCTGACAAAAACAAGCAATGGGGAAAGGATTTCCTATTCAGTAAATGGTGCTGGGAAAACTCGCTAGCCATATGCAGAAAACTGCAACTGGACCTCTTCTTTATGCCTTATACAAAAATTAACTCAAGATGAATTAAAGACTTAAATGTAAAACCCAAAACCATAAAAACCCTAGAAGAAAATCTAGGCAATACCATTCAGGACATAGGCATGGACAAAATTTCATGACGAAAACGCCAAAAGCAATTGCGACAAAAGCTGAAATTGACAAATGAGATCTAATTAAACTAAAAAGCTTCTGTATAGCAAAAGAAAATATTATCATAGTGAACAGGCAACCTACATAATGGAAGAAAATTTTTGCAATCTACCCATCTGACAAATGTTGAATATCCAGTACTTACAAGGAACTTAAACAAATTTACAAAAAAAAAAAAAAAAACCATGAAAAAGTGGACAAAGGATACAAACAGACACTTCTCAAAATAAGACATTTATGTGGCCAAGAAACATATGAAAAAAAACTCAACATCTCTGATTATTAGAGAAATGCAAATCAAAACCACAATGAGATACCATCTCTTGCCAGTCAGATGGTGATTATTAAAAAGTCAAGAAACAATAGATGCTGGTGAGGCTTGGATAAATAGGAGCGCTTTTACACTGTTGGTGGGAATGTAAATTAGTTCAACCATTGTGGAAGATGGTATGGTTTTGGTTCTAGATCAAGGATCTAGAACCAAAAATATCATTTGACCCAGCAATCCCATTACTGAGTATATACCCAAAGGAATATAATTCATTCTACTATGAAGACACATGCACACATGTGTTTATTGCAGCACTATTCAAATAGCAAAGACATGGAACCAACCCAAATGCCCATCAATGACAGACTGGATAAAGAAAATGTGGTACATAAACATTACGGAATACTGTGCAGCCATAAGAAGGAATGAGATCATGTCCTTTGCAGGGACTTGGATGAAGCTGGAAGCCATCATCCTCAACAAACTAACACAGGAACAGAAAACCAAATACTGCATGTTCTCACTCATAAGTGGGAGATGAACAGTGATAACATGTGGACACAGGGTGGGGAACAACACACACCAGGGCCTGTTGGTGGGTGGAGGGTGAAGAAAGGGAACATAGAGGACAGGTCAATAGGTGTAGCAAACCACCATGGCACACATATACCTATGTAACAAACCTGCAAGTTCTGCACATGTATCCTGGAACTTAAAGTAAAATTTAAAAAAAATACTGAAAAAGAAAAAATATTTATAGGTCTATTATATAGTTATAACTATTATTAATATTTGCCATAACTTACCTACATTTTTGTACGTAAGTACATGTTATAATAATACTATGTAAAACTGTGTATCTTGCTTTTTTCACTTGATATTAAAGAAGAAATTTTTGTACTAAATATTGATTTTAATAGCCATTATAAATTCAATCATTTAGACATACCATAATTTATTACCAATCTCCTGTTGCTGTATGTTTACATAGTTTTAAATGTTCCACTATTATAAATAATATTGCAGTATTCATCTTTTGAATAAAGCTGCTTTCTTGGGAAAGTTTCTCTGAGTTGGAATTATTTTCTTAAGCATATCTGTAACCTAAAAATGTCTCTTTCTAGCATAAGAATTCATTATTATCTACTGAGCACTTACAATGCAACATACCAAGATACCGTTATGGCATAAATTATGCTTTGGGTGGTTGCATATTTACATGTGTTAAGTTGGTGCAAAAGTAATTGGTTTTACTTTTTGCAATACTTTTGCACCAACCTAATATGTCTCTCCCATCAGACTATGGGAGTCTCCCATTGGACTATGTCCTGAGGGCAGGACATTTGTCTTTCATCCTTGTATTTCTGACACTCAATGTAATATCAGGAAAATGGATCATAACCAATACTTGAACTGAAATTAGAATAAAAATATGGACTGTTATCAAACTCACACTTCACTTTCATCATAATCTCAGGTGAGGCCAGTAGTTCTGATAGGAACAGGAGGCAGGGAAATTCTTGGCAGAAGAGAGTGGGTCCCCAGTGAGGGCCCCACCCTCAAGCCTGGAACCGCGGCCCAAAATGAGAACATACATTCCTGCTTTCCTGCTTCAATAATGCCTTTTCCAAAACCACCCGTGGCCCGCCCTGTCCCCTATCCTGTGCCCATTAAAAACCCCGGGCTCTCCAGCAGAAAGAGGAGGAGAGGGGAAGCAATTGAATGTCAGAGACTGTGGTTGGATGTCAGAGAGAAGAGGCTTGACTTCAGAGGGATAGCTTGATGGTGTAGCTTTGGAAAGTAGTCCCTCTGAGTAGGGCTGGACTCCAGGAGAAGATTACCTCCCCACTGCATCCCCTTTTCATCTCCTCTTCCTGCTGAGAGCCACTTTGATTGGCAATAAACCATCGCCCCCCCCCATTTCCATCTCCAATTTGTTCCTGCAACATCATTCCTCTTGGACACTGGACAAGAACTCCAGTGCAGGTGCAAAAGGCTGTCACACTGACCCTCCACTGAGCTGTTAACACTTAAGCCAACTGCAGATGGCAAGCTAAACAAGCACTGAGTGTAACACTCCTTCTGTAACACTCCTTCTGGGGCTTCAAGAGTCCCAGGCATCCCCCTAGACGCTGCTGTGGGGGCAATACGGAATTCATTCCTGCTGGCACCCAAAAGTGCTTGCCCTGGATCCTGCACCTGCTCACCTGTGCGCCCCCTCTTGTGAGGGGTAGAATGCAGTGAGTTCATGTGAGTGGAGTTTGTCCCTGCTGCCACTGAAGCACCCAGCTAGGTCCAGCGCCCGTGTACTCCAGTTCCTGCCCACAAAGGGGTCACGGAGATTTCCTGCTTCAGTTAAGAGTTTTACCTTCACCCATATTTGACATTTTCCAGTCACTGTGAATTTGGCTGTTATATAGTCTGTGTGTTTTCATCCAATTCGATGGTGCTGTTTATTTAAACACACACACACACACACACACACATAAGATATTCTCTAAATTGTGTAATAATGTGCCTGCATTTTACTGGAGATGGCTCCCCACTGAAAACTATTAATCCCACCACAAATATGTTTACTTTTTGAGATTCAAAAACCAAAAATAGTGATAGGATCTTTGACTTTATCTCTGTGTTTGGTCTTGCTACCAACTGCCAACTGATTTTGAGATTCCAAAGGAAAATCTTTTCATATGTGCCTTCTGAGCATTGCATACTTTATGTCCTAAGAATTTAGGATTCAACTAGCTCTGCTCTGAGGGTGGGGTGTTTTGGTTTATAGAAATATTGAGGCAGCAATGCATCAGCAAGTTTGTATTGGGAAGAGAGATGAATATTTCAAGCTCATATTCATACTGCCTTGGGAGGAATTTGTAATCTGGATCCCACAGCTGTTGCTAAGTGAACCAATGGGGTCGTTTTCCTCTGGCTAAGCCAGTAGGGGGTTCCCAAAGCCTGTCTCTCCTGCAAGATGCTCTCTGCATTTTTATTACTTGCTATAGCCTTAACAACTGTGTTTGGAAATGCATGATTTTTTTCAAAAAAACCCTCTTATAAATTATGTATGTCTCTATTGACTTAAAATCACACTCATTCACAGGTTCTGTGTTTGGGAGAAAACAAAGAGCATTTGGATGGGGCTGGATTCTTAAAACATTTCTCAAGACAGGGAGCTAAAAGGAAAGACTAACTTATCTGAGTATTATATGTGAGGGTTTCTGAGGTGATTTCATAAAATCTGGGGAGGGGGGAGTTGTGTGCCTAGCATGCTGAGATGGGGTCCATCCGTTTTATCTGCCTCTCCTTGGTAGCACTGTGCTGCTTCAAAAATGGACTCTAGATCTTAAGGCTGGAAGGCTTTGTGATGGCATGAGGCTGTCAGCTAAGGGACAGTAGAAGGGATCACGTTTTAGAGGAAAGAATTTTTTATAAAGTAGACATTGGGGACAAACAGTTTGTGCCAAATTTTCTATATCACTATGCAGCTCACAGCAAAACAGTGCTTTGCATATAGTAGGTTCTCTGCAAATCTTTGTTAGTCTCCTATTGTATTCTTTGGTTTTAGATTTGAGGAATTCCTTGGGTCTGTTTAATTCGTTTACTTTTGAAGGATAAACACATAAAGATATATTAGCAAGATATGGTTATATAATATAAACATAGCAGCCTCTGAAAACACTTGCTGTTTTTTTGTTTCCATGAAACTTGCTTTAGAAAGAAAAAAAATCAAGATTTTCCCCGATATTGTTCTCGTTTTTAGAGTTTCTCACTTTAATCTGAAAGGAGGCATTGAGTTCTTTGAGTCACACTGTTCTTATCCTTGACCCACTTAATTCCTAAAGTTGATTTCTTGTTTTTAAAATGCACATTACATCATCTGTTTGTATGAATAATTGCAAAAAAATGAACTTATGGTTAAAAATCCCCTGTGATTCAAAAAGCTGGTTTTTATGACTTTTAAGTGTGCAATATTGAGTTGATGAACATCATAAGTCTTTTTTTTAATTTAACAGCAATATATTTCCCTCACTGAGCTTTGACCGGGTCTTATGAAGAGGATTCTCAAGTGGAGCCTCAGAGAGCAAGGCAGTCATTATTGACTTTACTAAAGCTTTTGTGAATATATGTTGCCATATCACCAACATTTCCGTGATTTAAATTCAACACTAAATTGGCTCTGGTAATGTTAACCAACAGATTGGATGCAATTCCAGTAGCACATATTCTGACATCTTATCTAACGGATCTTAGCTGTTCTCCTGCAGAAATAAGTTTGGAGCAGGGCTGCAATGCAACCTTAATTATGGGGTAGATGGGCCAGCTACAATAGGATGTTCTGCTGCTAGATGTTCTGTTCCAGAGAAGGATGCAGTCAGTTCAAGCTGTTTTTGACTGATGTTTCAGATTGTGGTCTAGTAAACAGGTCTGAAAATAGCTACTTTTTTAAAGACTGTAAATTCCTGTAAATTAGGGTATGATTTAAAAATTAACCCTAAAAAGAATAAGTGTTGAAGGATGGAGCAACTTTCAGTTTTGAATTACTAGCTGGATGCAGTAGTACTCCATTCTTAAAAGACAAGGAAGCGGGTCATTAGAGAGGATGCATCTAAATGCTATGTGTCAGAAAGGAAAGGAAAATGGAGTTTCTTTACTGCTGAAAAACTGTGTAATTAGCTGAGATAACAAGCATTGATATTTATTGTTGTGGAATGCAAGGAAGAAACTGAAAAACAAAACTCCTGGTGTCTCCACTCCACATCTGCTGAACTAATTTGGGGGTAATTTTATCATTTTAATCTGCATGTTGCTCTTCCCCAGTTGCTAAAGTACCCTGGTGCATACCAGATGTCAGACATTTAATGAGGCCTCCGAGGTTTGGGATAAATTTGATTGCAGGTGTTTAATGGCTGTCAGGCCTTTGGACAAACCCGTAAGCTGGTGGTTCCTGGTTTGCAATGATTCACAGTACTCAACTCTTTAGTAAATGTTAGTGGCCATTCTAGCCACTAGGAGGAGCTGGAGGCTACTCCATCCACTACTCAACAGGCAAGACTGGTCCAGATGTAAGAGCAAAAGATTTTACTGTAGTAGGGTACTACGGAGTCAGTACTATAAAAGATGGATTTAGATCTCAGCCCATAAAGATATGACTTGAAGGAGCATATAGTGGTTAAGAGTGATGGTTCCTAGGGTCTAGGTTTCAAGTCCTGCAAAATAGCAAATTTTCCTAAGTCTCAGTTTCCTCAACTTTGAAACAAAGTTAGTATTAGTACCTATCCCTTAGGTTGTTGTGAGCAAGAAATAAGATAATCCAGGTAAAGAACTTAGCTACACTGTTAGTACTGCCTCATTAAATTTATATATATATATAGTGATCTGATGCTTAGGTGTTCACTTTATCTTGGGGAATCCTCTTCTGTAGAGCTTGGATTCCAGCTAAGGTAGATGATGACTTGATCACCTATGCTAGGATCATCAGTTCCCTTACAGATGTAGTTTAGCCTAGTACTTTGAAGCACAGATTCTAGAGGCATACAGTTCTGAGTTGGAGTCCTGGTTTGGACACTTAGTAACTCTGTGACCTTGGGAAGGTTATTTAATCTTGTTAGATCTCAGTTTTCGTAATCTTTATATGAATAAAACAATAATAACTTAGTTACGTAGTTGTTAGGATTACAATGAAATGACTCTTGGAACTATGTTTTCAATAGTATCTCGTGCATGGTAGTACTCAATAAATGTTTTCTAGTATTATTATTCCTTACTCCCAATACTTTATTTACTTAAAAAAAATCTTCTGTTCTCTCTATTATACTTTACTTCAAAATTTCAGACATCATTGGCTATAGAAAATTTTTTTATAAGACAAGTAGGTCTTCCCATTTCCCCTGAACTAATTACAACTTTGATTCTGATCATCTCTACCTCGGTCACTTTAAGATTACAGACTGTTGGATCAGAATATACAGTGTTCATTTTCTTATTCTTAGATGTCTCACATTTTAGCTAACATGCCTGGATTTGAAGACCTGTTAAATGTGATATTGTGAGAAAGAACCTCTCAACATTAGTTTCCTCATCCTTAAAAAGGGACTAATAATATCTAATTTATAGCATTGCATTTTAAAATACTCTTATTTGGGTAAAGCACAGTGCCTGGCACATGGTAGGCACTCAAAAAATGAGCCAGATTGCTGAGGAAGATGGGGGTTGAGGGGCCAAGGGGTTCACATAAATTTTCACCTGGCTTCTTAATTTAATCCTTTCTCTTCCTTCCTTTGGGATAGATGTTTTCTCCTTTGTCCATTTTTATTTCCATTACTTTCCATGCCACTAGATCCAACCTCAAAATCTACCAGCCATTAAGTAAGGAAATATAAGCTGGTGCCAGTTGTATTGATCACTGATGCTTTGGTATTTTCATTGCTGATGGGAACAGTAAACAAGAACTGAATACATTGTTTAGATTCTCAAGAAAGTCAAACATTAGGGGGCTGTCAGGCTAGGATGGAAATCCGTGGACCATTATGGTTGGAAAAGGGCAAGGAGCCGATGGTCAGGGCCAAGTAGGAAGACATTTGGTGTATCAACGTATAAGGGACTCTAAAACAACTACAGCCCTTGAAGACATGGTGCCATTTAATTCAGGTTTCTACATGTAATTCCTTTTGTAGCTGGCCTCTTTCATAGTTTGGCTTCTGCCAAATTGAAGTGCACTTTGGAGTGAAAATTAAAACAAAACAAAGCATTCCTTGCCACCTGTGATGGATCTCTGTTGAGAATTTTTCCAACAGGTGACAATCACTCTGAGAACAGCCAGTTGACAGCTGCCTGAAGTCAGCAGTTAGAGCTGAAATTGAAAAATGCATGTGATAGTGCTGTTTAGTGAGAACTGGAAATTTTACCCCTAAACTTTAAATGCTCTAATATACCTGCCAAGATGTTTTCTGATTTAGAATATTGCAAAAGAAACTAAAAAGAGAGAAAGAACTACCGAGAAGGTAAAAACATTTTGCTGACATAAAAGACACTAGAAAAGAGCTTTCAATGGTACTTTGAACAGAACTTTGTAATATATTCTTATAAGGTACTTCTATATTCATGCATATAAACTATGAATAAAGAAAACTACAAAAGAAAAGAATATTCCAAATTAAGTTAGAATATTACATTAAATGCAGTGCATGTGACTATCTTAGTTATCTTAAATACAATGAAAGAAGTATAAAAAGACACTTTCTCTCTATTTTAATAAATAATTGTTGGATGGATATTTTGGAGATAGTGGTTTAGATGTGCATGGAATTACTAGCTAGTCCAATTTATCCATATGTCTAGATGTGACTCTGGTATGGAGTACAAGATATTCTGTTATGAAGTTAGATGAGCTGTCTCTGCTTTGATAAGAAATAGGCTACTAATATGTCTAGTGATAGAGATGCTGAGAGTTAATCCTGGATAACAAATGAAGGGGAAATTAAGTGAAAATGTTAGCAACACTGAACTCGACAAGGTTCGTTTTGCTATGTCACATTCCATAAGTGTTGACTCATCATCTCTAACATATCCTCTAAAGTTGGTGAAGATCCTTTTATCTGTTTTTAAGGGATGTGATCACAGACAGAAATTTTATTTTATGTATTTGCTACTTCTAGCATCTACAGCTAGTTACTGGAATCTCTGTATTCCAATTAAAAGTTTCTGGGAATAAATGGGACGGGAGTGGAGAGCAGAGAAAGTAAAATGCCCTGTGTGGATCAGGTTGAACAAGGCATGGGGCCATGAGTTAAAGTTCTTTAAGGGTAACTCATGGGTAGGGGAAGGAGAGGGGTTGAGAAGATGTGGTAGGCTGCGCACCCAACCCCAAGTGTGTCAAAAATACATTCCCTTTACAAATGAGGAAATGAGGCTCTGTTTTCCTCACTGTTTAGGATCTGAGTGCGATCTGAAGGCTCTGAGCCTTCAGGCAATTAAAAGGTAATTCAAGGTAATTCAAAGTGAGAATGGTAGTCATTGTTAAAATACACGTGGCAAAGTCCATCAATGTGTTGATAACTACTGTAATACTTTTTGAAATATTAAATTCTGTCACATATATTTTTCTTATTTTTGTGTGTGTCTGTTTTATTGTTCTCTAAGCATATCAACTAGGGAATAGGCAAGTCCTTCACCACTCAGAAGAAAATCCTATGCTACTCTGAAGGATGAAAAATGAAAGCACTGACTTTTAAGTTCTTTGTGGTTTCCTGAATATAGACTTTGTCTTAGAAGAGGTTTTGTGAATTGGGGAACTTTTTTCCTAGTGGCATATGATAATATGGGGCTTTTTGCTTTCTGGTACGTAATGCCCCAAAAACCGTATTTAATGAGAAAATATAGCATGATTTATAATCCATTCAAAGGCATTCAAACACAGATTTATTTTTTATGTTAATTGAAGGCTGAAGGGTAACTTTTGTTGCTTAGATTAACAGTAAGCAGAGCTTTCAAATAAACTACTTTTGATGTATTGAGTATCAAATGTATTGAGTATTGATGTATTGAGTTACAAATACATGAGTCTTGCCCTTGTTTAAATGACCTGAGCTCCCTTTCTGTTTCTTTGGAGAGGGGATAACTAGATAACATTGAACATAAATGAAACATATTCAAAGTTAATTGTCTTTCCTTTTCTGTGATGACCAATCTTTCCTTTTTTGTATTTTTATTGATTTACCATAGTTGTACATATTTTGGGGGTACATGTGATATTTTGATACATGTACAAAACATGTAGTCATCAAATCAGAATAATTGGGATATCTGTTACCTCAAACATTTATCTTTTCTTTATGTTGGAAGCATTATAATTCTTCTCCTCCAGCTATTTTGAAATATTCAATAAATTATTGTTAACTGCAATATCCCTGTTGTTCTGTCAAATACTAGAATGTATTCCTTCAATCTAACTGAATTTTTGTACCCTTAACCAACTTCTTTTTATCCCTTCCCTCTTCCCTTCCCAGACTCTGGGGACCACCATTCTACTCTCTCCTTCCGTGAGATCCATTTTTTTTTAGTCCCCACATATAAGCAAGAACATGAAATGTTCTCTTGTCTTTCTGTGCCTGGCTTATTTCACTTAATGTGCCACCTCTAGTGGCATCCATGTTGTTACAAATGACAGGATTTCATTATTTGTATGGCTGAATAATATTCCATTGTAGAATACTTTTCTGTATTCATTCATCTGTTGTTGTACACATAGGTTGACTCCATATTTTAGCTGTTGTGAATTGTGGTGTAAGAGCCATGTGAGTGTAGATATCTTGTTGATGTACTAACTTCCTTTTTTTTTTTTGACAGAGTCTAGGCTGGAGTGCAGTGGCGTGATCTCGACTCACTGCAACCCTGCCTCCCAGATTCAAGCGATTCTCCTGCCTCAGCCTCCCAAATAGCTGGGATTACAGGTGCGTGCCACCACACCCAGCTAATTTTGTTTTCTTAGTAGAGATGGGGCTTCATCATGTTGGCCAGGGTGGTCTTGATCTCCTGACCTCATGATCTGCCCGCCTCGGCCTCCCCAAACTAACTTCCTTTCTTTTGGATACATATCCAGTAGTGGGATTGCTGGAGCATATGGTAATTTTATTTTTAGATTTTTGAGGAAACTCCGTACTGTTTTCCTTAATGGGTGTACTAATTTACAGTCTCACCAGCAGTGTACAAGCATTCCTCTTTCTCTCCATCCTCACCAGCATTTATTTTTTGTCTTTTTGATAGTAGCCATCCTAACTGGGGTGAGATAACGCTTTATTATAGATTGCATTTCCCTGATGATTAGCGGTGTTGAGCTTTTTTTTTTTTTTTTTCCCCAAGATACTGGTTGACCATCTCCTTTTTTTTTGAACTTTTATTTTATATTCAGGGGGTGCATGTGCAGGTTTGTTACCTGGGTTACTGACAGATGCTGAGGTTTGTGTTACAAATGTTCACATCACCCAGGTTCTGAGCATAGCACCTAATAGTTACTTTTTCAAACCTTGCTCCCCTTCTTCCTCCCTCTGGTAGTCCCCAGTTTCTATTGTTGCCATCTCTATGGCCATGAGTACCCAATGTTGAGTTCCCTCTTGTAAGTGAGAACATGTAGTATTTGGTTTTCTGTTGCTGCATTAATTCACTTAGGATAATGGCCTCCAGCTCCATCCATTTTGCTGCAAAAGACATGATTTCATCCTTTTTATGGCTTCATAGTATTCCATGGTATACATGTACCACATTTTCTTTATCCAGTCCACCATTGATGGGCACCTAGGTTGATCTCCTGTTTTTGCTATTGTGAATAGTATTGTGGTGAACATGTGAGTGCATGTGTCTTTTTGGTAGAATGATTTTTTTTTTCTTTTTGATATACCCCTAGTAATGGCATTGCTGGGTCAAATGATAGTTCTGTTTTAAGTTCATTAAGAAATCCCCAAACTGCTTTCCACAGTGGTTGAACTAATTTACATTCTCACCAGCAGTGTATAAGTGTCCCCTGTTCTCTGCAATCTTACCAGCATCTGTTATTTTTTGACTTTTTAATAATAGCTGTTCTGATTGGTGTGAGATGGTATCTCATTATGGTTTTGATTTGCATTACTCTGATGATTAGTGATGTTGAGCACATTTTCATAAGTTTGCTGGCTGCTTGTATGTCTTGTTTCGACAAAATACATGGTTCCACAAGTATTTTGCTCATTTTTTTAATGGGGTTATTTGTTTTCTACTTATTCAATTAAATTCCGTATAGATTCTGGGTACTAGACCTTTGCCAGATGTGCAGCCTGTGAATATCTTCTACCATTCTCTAGATTGTCTTTTACTCTGTTGAGAGTTTCTTTTGCTGTGCAGAAGCTCTTTAGTTTCATTAGGTCTGACTTGTCAGTTTTTGTTTATATTGTAATTGTTTTTGAGGACTTGGTCTTAATTTCTTTCTCAAAGTTGGTGTCCAGAATGGTGTTTCCTAGGTTTCTTTCTAGGATTCTTACAGTTTGATGGCTTACATTTAAATTTTTAATCCATCTTGAGTTAATTTTTGTATGTGGTTAAAGGCAAGGGTTCAGTTTCATTCTTCTGCATATGGACAGTCAGCTATGCCATTTATTCAATAGTGTCCTTTCCCCATTACTTGTTTTTGTCAACTTTATCAAGATCAGATGGCTTTAGGTGTTCAGCTTTATCTCTGGGTTCTCTATTCTGTTCTGCTGGTCTATGGGTCTGCTTTTGTACCAGTACCATGCTATTTTGGTTACTGTAGCCTTGTAGTATAGTTTGAAGTTGGGTAATGTGATGCCTCTTGTTTTTTTTGTTTGTTTGTTTGTTTGTTTTCTTAGCATTGCTTCAGCTATTCAGGCTCTTTTGTGGTTCCACATGAATTTTTGAAAAGTTTTTTCTAGTTCTGTGAAAAATGACATTGGTAGTTTGATGGGAAGTATATTGAATCTGTAGATTGCTTTGGGCAGTATGGCCACTTTAATAATATTGATTCTTTCAATTCATAAGCATGGAATGTTTTTCCATTTGTTTGTGTTATCTGTGATTTCTGTTAGCAGTGTTTTGTAGTTCTCCTTGTTTTCACTCATGTCCATGTGAAGAGACCACCAAACAGGCTTTGCATGAGCCATAAAGCTTTTAATCTCCTGGGTGCAGGCGGGCTGAGTCCGAAGAGAGAGTCAGCAAAGGGAGATAGGGGTGGGGCCATTTTATAAGATTTGGGTAGGTGAAGGAAAAAGGGGGGTTGTTCTCTGGCAGGCAGGAGTGGGGGTCACAAGGTGCTCAGTGGGGGAGCTTTTAGAGCCAGGAAGAGCCAGGAGAAGGAATTTCACAAGGTAATGTCATCAGTTAAGGCAAGGACTGGCCATTTTCACTTCTTTTGTGGTGGAATATCATCAGTTAAGGCAGGAACAGGCTATTTAAATATCACTTCTTTTGTGATTCTTCAGTTACTTCAGGCCATCTGGATGTATAGTGCAGGTCACAGGGGATATGATGGCTTAGCTTGGGCTCAGAGGCCTGACATTCCTGTCTTCTTATATTAATAAGAAAAATAAAACATAATAGTGTTGAAGTGTTGGGGTGGCAAAAATTTTTGGGGGTGGTATGGAGAGATAATGGGCGATGTTTCTCAGGGCTGCTTCGAGTGGGATTAGGGGTGGCGTGGGAACCTAGAGTGGGAGAGATTAAGCTGCAGGAAGATTTTGTGGTAAGGGGTGATATTGTGGGGTTGTTAGAAGAAACATTTGTCGTATAGAATTCTTGGTGATGGCCTGGATACGGTTTTGTATGAATTGAAAAAAGAACGGAATAAGACAAGGAGAAAAACAGGTATTAAAGGACTAAGAATTGGGAGGACCCAGGATATCCAACTAGAGAGTGCCTAAGGAGGTTCAGCATAGCCCTGCCAGCAAAGATTATTTATTTACTTTAAGAGGGATTTAAGAGTAGCAGTTTGGGGTTAGCACCAAGAGATATCAGCTCTGATGGCTTGGAGAAACAGTGTAAACCAGCAGTGTAAACAAGAGCAGGGCATTAATGAGTAGTTGAGAACGATAAATAGGAGTATGTCTAGACAGCAGATAGTAGGGATGACAAGTTTTTTGTTTTTTTTTTTTTTGGTGGTGGGGTAGGAGGGTGCAGTCCAAGCTGATCTGGTGTCTGGAATGAGACTGGGGCCTAATAAAAAGGAGCATCTATACAGGAGCTCAAATGGGCTGTACCTTGTAGCATTCCGAGGACAGGCCTGAGTTCTGAGAAGGGCAAGTGGTAAAAGTATTGTCCAGTCCTTTTTAAGTTGGTGGCTGAGCTTGGTGAGGTGTGTTTTTAAAAGACCATTAGTTCACTGAATACTAAGAGCCTGAGAAACTGCTTGGGTAATTTGACTAATAAAGGCCAGTCTGTTATAGGACTGTATAGAGGTGGGAAGGCCAAACTGAGGAATTATGTCTGACAGAAGGGAAGAAATGACTGTGGTGGCCTTCTTAGACCCTGTGGGAAAGACCTCTACCTATCCAGTGAAAGTGTCTACCTAGACCAAGAGGTATTTTAGTTTCCTGACTCAGGGCATGTTGAGTAAAGTCAATTTGCCAGTCCTGGGCAGGGGCAAACCCCTGAGCTTGATGTGTAGGGAAGGGAAGGGGCCTGAATAATCCCTGAGGGGTAGTAGAATAGCAGATGGAACACTGAGTAGTTATTTCTTTGAGGACAGATTTCCACGATGGAAAGGAAATGAGAGGTTCTAAGAGGCAGGCTAGTGCTTGTACTATAGCATAGCCCACCTTTGCTGGTGTGTCGCAATTAGGCCTGGTGGAACTGCTATCAGTAAACCAAGTGTGATCAGGGTAAGGAACAGGAAAGAAGGAAATATGGGGAAATGGGGTGAATGTCAGGTCGATCAGAGAGATACAGTCATGCCGGTCAGGTGTGGTATCAGGAATAATGTGGGAGGCCGGATTGAAGTCCAGGCCAGGAACAATGGTAATTGTGGGAGACTCAACAAAGAGTGAGTACAGCTGAAGGAGCCAGGAGACAGTCTATGTGTCAGGTGTGAGGAAGAAAATAGATTTTGGAAGTTACGAGAACTGTAGAGAGTGAGTTGAACATAGTTTGTGATTTTAAGGGCTTCTAAAATATTAGGGCAGCAGCGGCCGCCACATGCAGACTTGAGGGCTAGGCAAAACAGTAAGGTCAAGTTGTTTGGATAAAAAGACTACAGGGCACAGTCCCGGTTCTTGTGTAAGAATTCCAACTGCACAGCCCTGCATTTCAGCTGTGGGTAATGAAAAGGGTTGGGATGAGTCAGGGAGAGTTACGGTGGGTGCGGTCTCTAAAGCTGTCTTCAAGGAACGGAAAGAGGAGTGGGGAAAGGATTTAGGGTCTATGGGGTCAGCTAGGTTTCCTCTTGTGAGTTTATATAATGGTTTTGTTAGGATGGCAAAACCAGGTATCTAAAGTCGAAAGTATCTAACCATGCCTAGGAAGGAAAGGAGTTGTTGTTTTGTAGGTGTTGGGGTTTGAGAGATCAGTCGGACACGATCAGCAGGGAGAGCACGTGTGTTTTTATGAGAATTACGCTGAGATAGATAACAGATGAGGAAGAAATTTGGGCTTGACTGAAGTAATGGGGGCTGTCCGCAAGGCCTTGCAGCAGTACATCCCAGGTAATTTGCTGAGCTTGATGGGTGTCAGGGGCAGTCTAAGTGAAAGTGAAGAGAGGCTGGGATGAAGGGTGCAAAGGAATAGTAAAGAAAGCATGTTTGAGATCTAGAACAGAATAATGGGTTGTAGAGGGAGGTATTGAGGATAGGAGAGTATATAGGTTTGGCACCACAGGGTGGATAGGCAAAACAATTGGTTGATAAGGTGCAGATCCTGAACTAACCTGTAAGGCTTGTCTGGTTTTAGAACAGGTAAAATGGGGGAATTGTAAGGAGAGTTTATAGGCTTTAAAAGGCCATGCTGCAGCAGGCGAGTGATAACAGGCTTTAATCTTTTTAAAGCATGCTGCGGGATGGGATATTGGCGTGGAGCAAGGTAAGGGTGATTAGGTTTTAATGAGATAGTAAGGGGTGCATGATTGGTCACCAAGGAGGTAGTAGAGGTATCTTATACTTGTGGGCTAAGGTGGGGAGATACAACAGGAGGATGTGAAGGAGGCTTTGAACTGGAGGAAAAGGCAGCAATGAGGTGTGGCTATAGCCCAGGAATAGTCAGGGAAGCAGATAATTTAAAGTGTCTCGGCCTAATAAGGGAACTGGGCAGGTGGGGATAACTAAAAGGAGTGCTTAAAAGAGTATTGTCTAAGTTGGCACCAGAGTTGGGGAGTTTTAAGAGGTTTAGAAGCCTGGCCGTCAATACCCACAACAGTTATGGAGGCAAGGGAAACAGGCCCTTGAAAAGAAAGTAATGTGGAGTAGGTAGCCTCCGTGTTGATTAAGAAGGGGACGGACTTACCCTCCACTGTGAGAGTTACTCAGAGCATCTGTGATGGTTCTGTAGGCTTCCAAGGCAATCGGGCAGTGTCAGTCTGCAGCTGCTAAGCTGAGAAGCTCTGGAAAGGGGTCAGAGAGCCTTGGGCCAGAGTTCCAGGGGCTCTGGGAGTGGCTGCAAGGTGAGTTGAACAGTCCGATTTTTCAGTGGGGTCCTGCACAGATGGGACACAGCTTAGGAGGAATTCCTGGCTGTGGGCATTCCTTAGCCCAGTGGCCAGATTTCTGGCACTTGTAACAAGCTCCTTGGGGAGGAGGTTCTGGATGAACCCCTGGCAACTGTGGTTCAGGCGTGTGGAGTTCTTATGTGCTGGAGATGTGGCTGGGGTTTGTCTCACAGTGGAGGCAAGGAATTGCAACTCAGAAATATATTGCTACTTGGCTGCCTCTACTCTATTATTGTACACCTTGAAGGCGAGGTTAATTAAGTCCTGTTTTGGGGTTTGAGGGACAGAATTTAATTTTTGGAGCTTTATTTAACGTCGGGAGTGGATTGGGCAGTAAAATAAAATGCATATTGAGAATAAGATGGCCTTCTGACTTTTCAGGGTCTAGGGCTGTAAAGTGTCTCAGGGTTGCTGCCAAACGAGCCATGAACTGGGCTAGGTTTTTATATTTGATGAAAGAGCCTAAATGCTAACTGATTTGGGAGAGGACAGATAAAGAAAAAGGAGCATTAACCTTGACTATGCCTTTAGCTCCAGCCACCTTTTTAAGAGGAAATTGCTGGGCAGGTGGGGGAGGGCTAGTGGTGGAATGAAACTGTAAGCCAGACCGGGTGTGAGGAGGGGAGACAATAAAAAGATTATAGGGTGGAGGAGCGGAGGCTGAGGAAGAATTGGGACCTAGCTCGTCCTGGTAAGGAGCAGTCTGGGGAGGAGGGGAGAGGTCAGATGGGTCTGTAGAAAAGGAAGATTAGAAAGACTCAGTGAAGCTTGGGGTTGGGACTGAGGGGACAGGCAAGAGGGAAAGAAGGATGATTTGGGAGGAGTTGCATTGGGAACAGACTAGGGAGGGAACAATGTGTAAAAGAATGCCTGGATGTCAGGCACCTCAGACTGTTTGCCTATTTTATGACAAGAATTATTTAGATCTTATAGGATGGAAAAATCAAAAGTGCCATTTTCTAGCTATTTGGAACCACTGTTGAGTTTGTATTGGGGTCAAGCAGCATTGCAGAAGAAAATAAGGCATTTAGGTTTAGGTCAGGTGTGAGTTGAAGAGGTTTTAAGTTCTTGACAGCACAGGCTAAGGGAGAAGAAGGAGGAATGGAGGGTGGAAGTCTGCCCATAGTGAAGGAGGCAAGCCCAGAAAAAAGAGAGAGTAGAGACACAGAGAGAAGGGGTGGGGGGTGCTTGCCCCCCAGGAAAGTGGAGAAAGGGTAGAGACATGGAGAGAAGGGGTGGAGGGGTTCTTGCCCTCCAGAAAAGTGGAAAAGGGGTAGAGACACAGAGAGAGGGGGTCGGGGGTTCTTGCCCCCCAGAAAAGCAGTACTTGCCACTAAGGGTGAAGGAGCAAGGCAGGCATCCCCACGTGGTCAGACACCTCTGAAATGTGGGTGAATAATCAGGCAGGCATCCCCGCGGTGATTAAACACCAAGGGAAGTCTGTCTTCCTGAGTCCGTGAGGGCCGGAGTTTTGGGTTCATGGATAAAATGCGTCTCCTTTGTCTCTACCAGAAAAGGAAAGGAACTGAAATTAAGAGAAGGGAGAAATTGAAGTGTGGCGCCAAGATTGAAAGGAGAAAGAGGTTGAGGGATAGTGAGAGAAGTTGGAGAAGAGAGTAAAAAGAGGCCGCTTACCTGATTTAAAATTGGTGTGATGTTCCTTGGGCTGGTCGATCTGAGGACCTGAGGTCGTAGGTGGATCTTTCTCATGGAGCAAAGAGCAGGAGGAGAGGGGATTGATCTCCCAAGGGAGGTCCCCTGATCTGAGTCACGGCACCAAATTTCACTTGCGTCTGTGTGAAGAGACCACCAAACAGGCTTTGTGTGAGCAATAAAGCTTTTAATCTCCTGGGTGCAGGCGGGCTGAGTCCAAAAAGAGAGTCAGCAAAGGGAGATAAGGGTGGGGCCATTTTATAAGATTTGGGTAGGTGAAGGAAAAAGGGGGGTTGTTCTCTGGCAGGCAGGAATGGGGGTCACAAGGTGCTCAGTGGGGGAGCTTTTTGAGCCATTATGAGCCAGGAGAAGGAATTTCACAAGGTAATGTCATCAGTTAAGGCAAAGACTGGCCATTTTCACTTATTTTTTGGTGGAATGTCATCAGTTAAGGCAGGAACAGGCCATTTAAATATCACTTCTTTTGTGATTCTTCAGTTACTTCAGGCCATCTGGATGTATAGTGCAGGTCACAGGGGATATGATGGCTTAGCTTGGGCTCAGAGGCCTGACACTTGTAGAGTTCTTTCACCTCCTTAGCTAGATGTATTCCTAGATTTATTTGTGGTTATCATAAATGGGATTGCATTCTTGATTTGTCTCTCAGCTTGAATATTGTTGGTGCACTGAAATCCTACCACAAAAACACACTTAAGTACATAGCCTACAGGCCCTATCAAGCAACTGCACAATAGAAACTACAAAGCAACAAGTTAATATTCGATATCGGATCAAAATTTTATATATCAGTATTATTGTTGAATGTAAATTGTCTAAATTCTCTCCTTACAAGGCATAGAGTGGCAAGTTGAATAAAGGAAAACAAGGTCCATCTGTCCACTGTCTTCAAGAGACCCATATTACAAATAAAAACACCCATAGGCTCAAAGTAAAGGGTTGGAGAAAGATCTACCATGCAAGTGGAAAACAAAAAAGAGCAGGAGTTACTGTTCTTAGGTAAAACAGGATTTAAATAAAAATAGTAAAATAAAAATGACAAATAGGGCATTACATAATGATAAAGGGTTCAATTCAACAAGAATACGTAACCTAAATACATATGCACCCAACACTGAAGCACCCAGATTCATAAAACCAGTACTTATAGATATACAAAAAGACTTATACAGCCACACAGTAATAGTGGGGGACTTAAAGACCCCACTGACAACATTAGACAGACCATCAAGAGAGAAAAATAACAGAAAAGTTTTGGGCTCACACTCAACACTTGACCAATTGAACCTAATAGACATTTAGATTACTAAACAAGTAACAGACAATAGATTACTCCACTCATCAACCACAGAATATACATTCTCATCTGCACACAACACATACTCCGAGATTGCCCTCATGCTCAGAAATGTGGCCATAAAGCAAGTCTCAATAAATTCAGAAAATTGAAATTATACCAAGCATACTGTTGGGCCACGTTGGAATAAAACTAGAAATCAATACCAACAATATCTCTCAAAACCACACAATTATATGGGAAATTATATGGAAATTAAACAACTTGCTACTGAATGACTTTTGGGTAAAGAATGAAATGAAGGCAGAAATAAAAAAATTATTTTAAATAAATGAAAACAGAGATATGTCATACCAAAATCCCTGGAATGCAGCAAATGCAGTGATAAGAGAAAGGATTATAATGCTAAACGCCTACCTCAAAAAGTTAGAAAGATCTCAAGTTAATGATTTAGCATAACACCTAGAAGAACTAGAAAAACAAGAACAAACTAATGCCAAAGCTAGCAGAAGAAAGGAAATAATGAAAATCAGAACAGAACTGAACAAAATTGAGATCCAATATTTCATACAAAGAATCAATGAAACCAAAAGTTAGTCTTTGGAAAAGATAAACAAGATCAATAGACTGCTAGCTAGATTAACAAAGAAGAAAAAAAAGAAAAGAAAGCGGTTCCAAACAAGCACAATCAGAAATGATAAAGGTGACTGCATAGTCTGTTCTCATGCTGCTAATAAAGACATACTTGAGACTGGGTAATTTATAAAGGAAAGAAGTTTATTGACTCACAGTTCCTCAGGGCTGGGGAGGACTCAGGAAAGTTACACTCATGGTGGAAGGGGAAGCAAACATTTCCCTCTTCACATGGAGGCAGCAAGGAGAAATGCAGAGCAAAGGAGGGGAAAAGCCCCTTATAAAACGATCAGATCTTGTGAGAACTCACTCATTATCATGAGAACAGCATGGAGGTAACTGCTCCATGATTTAATCACCTACCACCAGGTTCATCCCATGACCCATGGGGATTATGGAAACTACAGTTCAAGATGAGATTTGGGTGGGGACACAGCCAAATCATATAAGTCCACCCCTGGCCCCTCCCAAATCTCATGTCCTCACAATTAAAACACAATCATGCCCTTCCAACCATCCACCAAAGTCTTAACTCATTTCAGCATTAACCCAAAAGTCCAAAGTCTCATCTAAGACAAGGCAAGTCCCTTCCACCTATGTGCCTGTAAAATAAAAAACAAGTTACTTACTTCCTAGATACAATGGGGGTAAAGGCATTGGATAAATACATCCATTCCAAATGGGAGAAATTGGCCAAACCGAAGGGGCTACAGGCTCTGTGCAAGTCCAAAATCCAATATGGCAGCCATTAAACCTTAAAGTTCCAAAATGATCTCCTTTGACTCCATGTCTCACATCCAGTTCATACTGATGCAAGAGGTAGTTTCCCATGGCCTTGGGCAGCTCCTCCCCTGTGGCTTTGCAGGGTAAAACCCCCAACTCTTAGCTGGTTTTATGAGCTGGCATTGAGTGTCTGTGGCTTTTCCAGGCTCACAGTGCAAGCTGTCAGTGGATCTACCATTCTGGGGTCTGGAGGCCTGTGGCCCTCTTCTTAAAGCTCCACTAGGCAGTGCCCCAGTGGGGTTGCTGTATGGGGGCTCCAACCCCACATTTTCCTTCCACACTGCCCTAGCAGAGGTTCTCCATGAGGGCTCTTCCACTGCAGCAAACTTCTGCCTGGACATCCAGGCATTTCCATACATCCTCTGAAATCTAGGTGGAAGTTCCCAAATCTCAATTATTGACTTCTCTGTACCTGCAGGCTCAACACCACATGGAAGTTGCCAAGGTTTGGGGCTTGTACCCTCTGAAGCCATGACCTGAGCTTTACCTTGGCCTCTTTTAGCCATGGCTGGAGCAGCTGGGATACAGGGCACCAAGTTCCTAGGCTTCAGAGAGAAGTGGGGCCCTGGGCCTAGCCCAGGAAACCATTTTTTCCTCATAGACATCCAGGCCTGTGATGAGTGGGGCTGCTGCAAAGCTCTCTGACATGTCCTGGAGACATTTTCCCCATTGTCTTGGTGATTAACATTCAGCTCCTTGTTACTTATGCAAATTTCTGCAGCAGGCTTCAATTTCTCACCAGAAAATGGGTTTTTCTTTTCTATTGCATCATCAGATGGCAAATTTTCCAAACTTTTATTCTCTGCTTCCTCTTGAATCCTTTGCCACTTAGAAATTTCTTCTTCCAGATATCCTAAATCATCTCTTTCAAGTTCAAAGCTCCACAGATCGCCAGGGCAGGGGCAAAATGCTGCCAATCTCTTTGTTAAGCGTAATAAGAGTCACTTTTGCTTCAGTTCCCAACAAGTTCCTCATCTCCATTTGAGACAACCTCAGGCTGAACTTTATTGTCCACTTTACTATCAGCATTTTGGTCAAAGCCATTCAACAATTCTCTAGGAAGTTCCAAACTTTCTCACATTTTCCTCTCTTTTCCTGAGCCCTCCAAACTGTTCCAACCTCTGCCAACCTCTGCTTGTTACCAGTTCCAAAGTCTCTTCCACATTTTTGGGCATACTTATAGCAACACCCCACTCTACTGGTATTTTGGGTATACTTATAGCAACACCCCAGTTTACTGTATTATTCCATTTTCACACTGCTAATAAGGACATGCCCAAAACAGGGTAATTTATAAAGGAAAGAGGTTTAATTGACTTACAGTTCTGCAAGGCTGGGGAGGCCTCAGGAAACTTATAATCATGGTGGAAGGGGAAGAAAACATGGCCCTTCCCATGGTGACAGCAAAGAGGAAGGGGAAAGCCTTTTATAAAACCATCAGATCTTGTTAGAACTCACTTACTATCACAGGAACAGCATGGAGGTAACCACCCTCATGATTAAATTACCTCCCACTGGGTCCCTCCCATGACACATGGGGATTATGGAAACTACAGTTCAAGATGAGATTTTGGTGAGAACACAGCCAAAGCATATAGGTGACACTACAACTAATCTCACAGAAATATAAAAGATCCTCAGAGACTATTATGAACACCTCTATGCACACAAACTAGAAAATCTAGAGGAAATGGAAAATTCCTGGAAACACACAATCTCCCCAGATTGAATCAGGAAGGAATTGAAACCCTGAACAGACCAATATTGAGTTCTGAAATTGAGTCGGAAATTAAAAATCTACTAACCAAAAAAAGCCCTGGACCAGATGGAGTCATAAATTCTACCAGATATACAAAGAACAACTGGTACTAAACTCTACTAAAACTATTCCAAACTCTACTAAAACTATTCCAAAAAATTAAGGAGGAGGGACTCCTCCCAAACTCATTCTATGAAGCCAGCATCACCCTGATACTAAAACCTAGCAAAGACACAAATAAAAAAGAAAACTACAAGCCAATATCATTGATGAACATATACACATAAAATCTTCAGCAAAATACTAGAAAACCAAATCTAACAGCATATCTAAAAGCTCATTCACCATGATCAGGTAGGCTTCACTCCTGGGATACAAGGTTGGTTTAACATACACAAATCATTAAATGTGATTCACCACATAAACAGAATTAAAAGCAAAAACCACGTAATCATCTCAATATTCATGTAAAAAGCTTTTGATAAATCCAACATCCCTTCATGATAAAAGCCCTGAAGAATCTAGGCATCAAAGGAACATACTTCAAGACAGTAAGAACCATCTATGACAAATCCACAGCCAATATTATACTGAATTGGAAAAAACTAGAAGCATTCCCCTTGAGAACTGGAACAAGACAAGGATGCCCACTCCTATTCAACACAGTACTAGAATTCCTGGTTAGAACAATCAGACAAAAGAAAGCAATAAAAGGCATCCAAATAGGAAAAGAAGTCAAACCATCTCTCTTTGCAGACAATATGATTCCATACCTACCTACCTAGAAACTCTGAAGACTCCTCGAAAAGGCTCTTGGAACTGATAAACAACTTCTGTAAAGCTTCAAGATACAAAATAATTGTGTCTTTTTTTTTGAGAAATCACTGATGCTGAACACCATTTCTAAATACCCCACGCTTTCTGGTAGGTCAGCTGTCTGGCTAAGTGCATCAGTTTTCTACAGAGGAGCTCTTGAGGCTAAGCTCACAGGGAGTATGAAATGATGGCTCTTTCCTTACTTTCTCAATATGCTTATCAAACAAACAATTTTAGGCCACACCTAACAGTTTGAGGGATCTTGGACTCATTTACTTTTGTTATGTCTAGCTTCTACCACAGTGTCTCACGCATAGTAGGTACTCAATTGTTATTTATTAAGTGAATAAGATAACTTTTTTCCTTAAGAGTTTACCTGAAATAAGACATTTATTTGGAAATTTCTGTCACTGGAAGGTGTTCAGACAAGGCACAGTAATCCAAGTTGAAAATAAACCATAAACTAACCCAGACTGAGCACAATTCTTAGTGACCCTAGAAACCATCCAGTATTCATCATGCCATTTTTTTCTGGGATATTCTGACAGATGCAGTCTTCCATATTCACTCAAGGCTGATGTGATTCTAGGCCAACTCTGCTCATACGTGGCCAGAATATAGGATACAGAATAAAATAATTCATTTTCCACTATCTCTCTATATTCGTATTCTCTCTCCTCTTCATTCCCATTCTTTCACAAAAAATTAATGATGTCAACAATGTTGTGGGCCATGGGAACAGAGGTAGGTACCTACCTTCAAGGATCTTTCAGTATTCAAATTATAGTGGGAATTAATAGCTTAATGAAATATTATAAATCCTCTGATTAAGAGGTTATGGTAGGTACAATACTTGTACAGCAAAAATGAGATTGTTTTCATCTTGAAATTTGTAACATGGCATCATGATATCTTTGTAAAGTTTGTAGCACTTTAAAAAAGTCTTAAAATATGAATAGTTATTCTTTAGATATTTCTTAAAGTTTATGATTGTGTCACTTTAGAGGATAAAGAAAAGAAAATCAGGTGTTAACCTGTAAATGAGAACTTAAAAAAATGAAAACAAAATATGATAACAAAACATTGAAAAATATGAAATTGAAAACAAAATATGAAAACAGAAATTGAAAACAAAGTATGTTTAAGCTTATCTCCTTTTAAAAAGTAGTGCATGTCATACTAAGCCATCTGCTGCGGACATTTATCAGGTAGACTGTGAAGTAGGAGGATATTCCCAAGCACAGAGGAGGCAATCAGCATGGTGTGCTTTGTGAGCACAAGTTGTCCACTATGAAGCACAGGTTGGAGGTATAGATGATGCTAGAGATATATCTCTCATTTGCTGATATGGAAAATGCATGGCTTTCTTCTCTCAAATGTCTTTACTGCCTATCTGTATCTGAGATTTGAATTTTGGAAGTTTTCGAAGATATTTAATGGCCATTTTCTAAGGTATGGCTATATAAAAATATAAGGAAGGTAGAAAGGAGAGAATACAATCACAAAATGATAAAATAAAAATTATAAGAATATATTTATTAGCTCTAAGTGCTATTCTCTAAATCTTAAAATTTCTAATGGGGTTTCATATCATATGGGTTTTTTTTTCCCAAACAGATATTCATAGACAATTTCTACTTGCAAAAAAGCTGTGGGAAATGTCCAACCAAAAGGAGGCTGGAGTGAAAAATCTGTGGCAGGTTTTTGTTGATGAATTTATTCAGATTACAAATACAATTTACATACTTAGATGCTTATTGTTATTGCAAAAGCCTTTGGAAAAAAATATTTGATCCACTATTTAAGATCTCTAATATCACAAATGTCTTTTAAATTGACCTATATCTAACCCTGCCTGTCATCTCAACTCAGCCTGTTCTATTAACATCACATTTTTTTTCTAAATCCATTGCATGGAATTTAGAAATGGAATAGTGTTCAAATAATATGATGAAAAGGGAAAACAAAGAGCCTTCTAAATTGGGTTTCCCAAGTGTTTTTTTTTTTTCTCATTGTGCTGTCTTTCTCACATTTGTAGACCCAGTAACACAATGACATGATCATAGTTCATTGGTCATAAAGACTAACTCATACTAACCAAATTTAAGTAAACTGATTTTTATTTCATCAGTTCACAATAAGGGATTTTCATTTCCAGCCATTAAGATATCCTTCTTCTACCCAAGTAAATTCCTACCCAGTTATAGAGTCTGGGGTTGTTGAATTGGCTATTAGGATGTTCATTGATAGGCACAGAATCAGAGAAAGAGAAACAGAAAGTTTGAGATAGGTTTTACTCGTCCATGGTGAGGCTCTTCACATCTTCCCTGCTGCACAACTGGTTCCACTTCTCTAGTGAGTAAGAAATGTGTTTGTAAGATTTCATGTCTGTTTTCTTTAGCAAGTGTTGAAGAACTACTGCCAAACTCATTCTCTGCTTTTCATTTTTCTATGACTCATAAAGATTGTTTCCACTTTTCTTAACACATTTCTTCTTTATGAAGATTTTTGTCACCCAGATTTGGAAGTCACATGGTGTAACTTCCACAGTACTCAGTGAGTAGAGGCAGTCACAAAGCCCTACCCATGTTCACTAGAAGGGGACATAGATGCCACCACAAAATCACAGGAGACTCAAGATCACATTGTAAGATCACATAATGAGAGATGCTGATGATGGGCATCTTTGCAAGTATAGTTTGCCACAATCCAGGCTCTGGTCACAACAATTCACGTTACTCTTAGAGGTAAAATGCATCCACCCCTGCCCCAAGATTTCCAAACTGTAATTCATTACAGCATCTGCTCAAAGCCCAGTATTTCATTATTTAGCTCAGGTCTATGTTCCTTAAATGCAGTTCCTCAAGTACAGCTTCTTCAGTACTGGAAGGAATTCAGTTCCTCTCAGTCTAAACACTTTTGAACTAAAAGAGACAAATTATCTGTTCTCTACCTTTCTCCTCACTGCCCCAACATATAATTCTGGGACAGGAATAAGATAACTACTCAAAACCGGGGGATATGATAGACAGTATTCACTGGTTCATAGCAGCTCTAATATGCAATGGGACATATTTTGCCAATTCTTTGATCAGTCCTATTCCTTGGGAGTTGTTCTCAATATTTCTCAGTTGTGTCTTCTGAGTTTCTCCTTTTCCACAAGAACAGGTCTTTGGTTTCATTTGAGGAGCCTTTTCAGCCTGCTCTCTGCCTGTAGAATATTGTGAGTACAAAGGTTTCTTCTCATCTGGTACTGTTTCTGCTCTTTTCCATGTGTGATCTCAGTGCTTGTGCCAAAACATTTTTTTTAAATGTTGTGACTGTTTTATGAATCTTATTACGGTTCATCCCAATTTTAAAAAGTCACAAGTAGAAGTATCTTTAAGACTGGCCCTTGTCTATCTTGGAATCACTCAGGGCAGCTACCCACCAAAACACAAGCTTCATATTTTGGTGCAGAGAATCTGCAAGACATTCTCTTAAGCACTTGAAAGTGCTTTTTGTTTGTCTGAAAGCTTTTATGAGGCACTATATTAGAACTTTCTGAAGTTTTAACAAAATAGCTTATAGTCCCATCCAGAGTTTGACCTTTGGTGTGGTCCTTTCTTAATTTGAAAATCATTTCCAACCTGGAAACACTGGAAATGAAAAATAGTCTTATTTTCAAGCCCAACACGTCCTTAGTCCTTGATATTTATTAACAGTTTTTTTCTTATTCCTCAACTTATTCCTTTCATATTTTATCAAAGGCTTAGAAAGGAAGCCAGGTGACAATTGTAATATTATGCTAGAAATCTCCTTAGCTATATCATTATATTCAAGAAGCACATGAGGTACATATTCTATTTTTTTTTTCACATTACAGAGGGCAATGGTGTTGATAAACTCTCCATCATTATGTAACAAGGGACACATTCCTGTATTTGCAGTAGTTTTTTTGTTGTTTCTGTTTTTGTTTTTGTTTTTTTTTCCATTTAAGCCTTCACTTAATAAGCTTCTGGGCTTGAGACCTTCTAAGTATACATTAAAACTCTCCTCAAAGCCATTTCACACATCACTAACAATCTTCTCAAGTTCCTTCCAGTTTCCGTTCACCACCGCACCCTCAAACCAATACCAGGTGCTTTAGGTTTTTGTCATGACAGTATCCATTTACAGGTATCAAGTTATGTATTAGCTGCTCATTGTTACATAACAAATCACTCCAAATCATAAAGGCTTAAAACAACAAAAATCATTTATTTGGTTAACAATTCTATAATTTGGGCAGATGTAACTCCTTTTTGCTCCATGCAGTATCAAACGTGACAGCCATTTTCATGAGGGTTTACTCACTGGAGGCTACTGCCTGCAAGCTCAACCAGGGTTGTCGGTCAGGGACCTTGGTTGCTCTCCACATAGGTCTCCCCATGTGGTGCTGGGTCTTCCTCCCAGCTGGGTTCCAAGGCTGAGAATTCCAAGAAAACAAAGGGGAAGTATGTGACATTTTTGTAATCCTGACTCAGAAGACGCATAACGTCATTTCAGCTGAAATCTATTGGTTGAGAAGTTTCAAGGTCATATTGTTAGAAGAATATGTGGAATGGAGATAATTGTACTGCCATGTTTGGAAAAAAAACTGCCTGCTACAATGAGTACTATTGAGAAAGGTCCTGTTTATGGGCCATTCCTGAACTACCTATTCATACCCATTGCCCATTGTAAAATCTTCATTTTTGAATTTTTATTGATTTGTATACATGCTTTGTATATTCAGAATATATTAACCTGGTCTATCATATGTGTGGCCAATATATTTTTTTTTCCTGAGGACATTTCTTTTAATGTGGATTCCAGTGGCTTCTTAACGGGGATACACTGGGATAGGCATCCCCAGCACACATGCTTGAATTGCGCTGTGGCTAAAATTTATAGGAATATTCAATTCCATAGGGCTCTTATTACATATTTGAAAATAAATAATTCATAAGTTAAAATGAGAACATTATACTTGCTTTGGGGTGGGGAAACAATATCATTCTGGGAGGACGTTAAAGGGAAGTATTTCCAAGAGTAAGTAATAAAATATATTTCTTATGTGCGAAAATTAGACAGTGCCTAGCACCTAGTAAGTGTTTGTTTAATGGCCAGCTTCCTTCCAAGTTCTCTTTCATCAGCGTTGATCTTAGTTTCAGTTCTCCCCAAACGAATCTCCCAAAAGCATTCACTGGGAGAAGGAGGTGGGTCTAAGTAGTTTATTTGGGAAGGTATTCCAACAAGCAGAGTGAGGTAGTGGGAAGAGGAGACAGGGAAGAGAGGATGATGTTACACTGGGCTGCCCATGTGGACAAGAGGGACTGTGTCTACTGGGGCTCTTTATAAAGTTAAAAAAAAAAAAAGAACTCGGAATAATTGCATCTAGTGATGAGAAAGCTGGAGTACCAGACCATCAGATGTAGCCCCTCACTGGTTGTGTTATTCCTGGGATCATTAACCTATTGGTACTTCTACCCTTCCATAAATGCAAGTGCTTGAGATAAGAAGTCATGGGCATGGACAGGAACTGCTTATGAAGCCACAGGTGACCTCTGTGGCAGACACAGGTATATGGGCAGGGCTCTGGCCGCATTTATTGCAGTGATATATTGGATAAAGTGAAAAAGGAAATAACATCTATAAAGATGAA
The DNA here is from genome assembly GCF_000001405.40 of Homo sapiens. Taxonomy (NCBI): domain Eukaryota; kingdom Metazoa; phylum Chordata; class Mammalia; order Primates; family Hominidae; genus Homo; species Homo sapiens. Next base: position 98,817,256 of record NC_000001.11, read on the forward strand.
ATAACAGAAATGGAGCAAGGAAAAAAGGAAATCCATTTGTGGAGGAAAGATTAATTCTCCTATAACTTCTAAGAATTATGTAAAATCAAATACTTTTACTATAACTTTGGGGGTCAAATAAAGAGCTTCAAAAAAGTTTTATATTATCTGAGATGAATGTGTGAATGGGTATATTTCTAAGTCAAAAGTAATGACTTTACCTGAGTTATCTACTTAAAAGCTGTCTTTTTGAATGAAATAGAAAAAGTATTAGAAAAGAGAATGATGATTTACTACAGAGAGATATGACTCACAAAATGAAAACACAAAATGAAAAAAATTCATCCTTCCCTTTCCCTCCCTCCCTTTCTTCTTTCTTTCTTTTTGGGAATGTGCAAATCAAAGAGAATGTTGTTGAAAAATGTATACAAAGATAGATTTAACCTTCTATAACTTTACCTTTAATTTATAAAGGACCTCTTAAGATAATAACATTCTTATGATTAATTGTTGCCAATCTTTTAGTATTTATTTGACCCCTAGAAACTGTATACTGTTTACATTAGCTGCAAGCTGCCACAGTTTGATAACCATTCAGTGAAGATCTCCCTGTAAATGATACTAGAATTAACTTAACATACAGAGTAAAATTAAATGTCAACTTTTATTCCATACTTTTCTTCCATCTGCCAGAGTGATTTTAAATGCCAGCTTTAAAAAGTGCAGAGCAACCAACCGGCCTTTCAGCGGGGCTTGCACATGGCTGCCTATGGCGTGTGGTGTTCGGGTGTTCTTCTGCACACTGGCTCCCAGCACTGCTGAGCCCTAGCCTGGTGGTGGCACTGGGCTGCACATGGCAGTAATCCCTTGTCCATCTGTGCCCTTTCTCTGCCTGGAATAAGATGTTATGGTTGAACAGCTCTGTTTGTCCTTCTTTTTCTGATGATTTCTTGAATTTTGTATCTTTGCTATTACATTGGCAAAAGTTCTGCTTTCCTCTTTCAAGAGAATGCTGTATCTTCTCTTTCCTTCTAGACTGCTGTATTTGTTGGTTGTGAACCAGCATTATACAATGTTATGTTTTGGGATTTGGTGGTAATTATCTGATGAAATATGAAATCCTGTGAGCTAGATCGTGGGAGAAAACAAGAGTTTAATTTTTAAATTTATCTGTATAAATCAAATAGCCTAACCTGGGATATTAGTAACCTACCTGGAATAAATTACTCACTTCCATCAGATTCTAGTATAGCACTGTACATACCCCCTTCACATTACTAAATGATACTTGCTTAATATATATTTACCCCGCTTGTTTATTTTTTAATAGTCCCATTAGAAGGCAAGTTCTAAGAAGACAGGGACTCTGAATTTCTTCTGTGCAGATAAACATCCAGCATACCTGGTACATAGTAGGTGTTCAATAAACAAATCTTGAATAATTAAGTGAATGTCATCCTGCTGCCTGTTGATCTCATCCACCTCAAAGTGTGTTGTGTTAGGAATCAATAAAATGGGCAACAACTATGCCTACCTTTGTAAAAATATATCACTTGGAAGGGTCACTGCAAATTTGCCTCAGAACAGTTTTTTTAAATCAATGTAGCATATAAGGAGTTTAAAAATGAACAAATTAGAAATAATACACTATTTCTAGTTAAAATACATGTATTTTTCTAACAGCTTGCACCTACGTTAATCTGAATTTGTGGCTGGGAGGCACATTGTTTAAGGCCAAGTTTCACACAATAATAGGTAAAGATCCCCAGAAGGTAGTGATGTAGATATGAAAGCAAAACTGTTGAAAGAGAAAAAATGCTAGCTAGAAAAGCCAGGGTCAAAAGCTGTGGGCACCGGTGAAGGTATCATTGGAAGGATATTTGGGAAGCTAAGGAAATTTGCCAGTTCACCAAAGGTGGTGGTGAGGCAAGGTGAGGGTTAAACTGTTTGGTCACAAGAGGTGGCTAATAGGCTAATATGTATATTCTTGCTGCCATTTGAGTCAATAACACACACCTTCCAAGCAGCCTTGCTGTAGGTCGTTCCTCTTCTTAAAAACTACCACTTCCTCCAGGCTCTCTGTTGATGTCCTGGCCTAATCACCTATGAAGCACTCCAATGCCTTCTACAATGTTCTCATAGTGACCAAATACCAGTAGTGCTCATTTTTTTAAGACCCCAAACCATCTTGGTATAGTTCTGATTGTTAAAAAAATAAAATAAAATTTATCTTTTGGTTTTAATTCTATTCGTTAGGAACTGATAGATCATATCTTGTTACTCTTATATATGACTGGCTTCTTAAAATACTTGAAGACAGTCATTATTCCCTGTACTGGTTTGGGTAATTATTGACCATATCAGACAAACCCTGAAATCTTAGGGTCTTAGAAAAATAAAGGCTTATTTCTTTCTCGTGTGGGCCAGGATGCCTTTCTGAATCCTGTACTATGCTTTCTGGAACATGTGGCCTTCAGGATTACTTTTCCAGAGGAAAAGAGAGATGGAAGTAGCAGAGTAACTGTTCATTGCCATGTCCTCGAAGTGATGTATCTCTCTGCCCACTGGCCAGAACTCGTCTTGTGACCATAACCCAACTCTGGGAAATGTAGGAGAGCACTTGGATGTTTAGACAACACTAAATGTGTTGTCTGCTATGTAATACTCCCAGAGTTTTTTTTTTTTTTTTTTTTTCAACTGGCTAGATTTCTCAGAACCTTTGATGAAACATTTTATTTTCTCTTTCAATTATTTCTTATAGGACAGAATCTCAAGTAACCTAATTCCCCAAAACCTCTAACATCTTCTATATAGTTTTTAACTGTACTTTAGTACAGTTTTTAATGGATAAAACTGTAACACAGTTACATTGTATCCAAGCACTTTCCCTCACGTAGCTTAAAGACTACTGGGACAAGCAAATAGGAAATTCAAGTAGGATGTAAGAAGTATATTGATGATGTAAGTACAGAGGTCATAGCCACACACACAAAAAATACCTAACCTCAACCTTGCCTGAATGAAGAGATCTAATCTGAAATCTAAGAAATTAATTGGAGTCAGCCAGGAAGGAGGAAAACTGAGGCTGCCAGCGTCAGGGCAAAGGGAAGGGCATGCATGAAATCCAAGGCCCAAGTGCACAGTGAACATAATGCATTCAAAGAACTATCGGAACTTCATTTCTACTGGAGGATGTAATGTGAATGGGGATTGGGCAGGGATGAACTCAGATTTAAGCACTGGCCCAATCATTCAGAAGCTGGAAAATATACTTATGGTTTTTACTTTATAATAAAAGCAATGGGATTCATTGAAGCTTTTAAGCAGGGAGATGGAAAGGTCAGACATATTTTAGAAAGATTTTTTTGGCTTCAATGATCAGATCAGATTCAGACTAGAATGGGCTAAATTTAAAGGTAGAAAGATCAGTTAGGTGACATTCATAACAATCTCAATGGGAATGTACAGTATTCTGTAAGAGGATTTAAAAAAAAAAAAGATAATGAGGAGTTTAGACAGCAGGTTTCCAAGATATCTTCAACCTGCTCCATCCAGAACCGAAATCCACTCGGGTTTCTGACTCAAAGGAACCACATCAAATTAGGTGTTTCTAACCCACTGATGTAAATAGCCACACTTTTAGTTTGAGTTTAAATAGGACACCTGTATAGATGTGTATTTATCCCTCTTTCAGGTAAAATTTGAGCTTATTTGGGGATCACATTTTATACCTCATTTTATTTCTATTTGCAGTTGTAGGTTTATTATAGTTTAATTAATGCTAATTTAAAACACAAATATGGCATAACATATAAAACAAAACCAATTTGAAATCATTATTATTATAATGCACTTGTACATGTGAATATTATTATAATATATATTATTATAAAGCACATGTACAATGATGTAATGTACATTATTATGATAATGCTCACATACATGTAGTTGTAATAATAAATAATAATGTCTTTCTCTGTCAAGTAATCAGAGATTATCTAATAATTATTTATTTATCCAATAATTCACTGACCTTGCAATGCTGCTCTGGAATATATTTACAGTTGAATGTCTTTATTTACCAGCAGGAAGAAAAGTAACCAAAATATGGGTTAAGTTGTTGAAGGAGCCCCCCTCAGGAGTGATTTAGCTTAGAGGAAGCTTTGCATGTGATTATCTCTTTAAACTACTAATCTGGCAAGGAAAAAATATTCAAAATAATTAAGCTATTTCATTCTTTGAAAATGGATTAGAAGTACACATCTTTAAAAGTAAATGAAACACATTTGTCATAGGAAACACTGCAAATAGTACAGTGTCTTTTTGACGTGAACCAGAAAAGAGGACAAATATTTACTTGATCCCAGACCTCAAGGAATAAAGTGCCAACATCTAAGAGAGGTATTGTTAACCACACTTTTACCACAAATATGGAGCTTCCTTGGTCATAAAATATCAATGGTGAAACACATGTAAGAAAATATTTGTTAAATTTGCAAAGCATGTGTGTGGCATATATGAGGCAGCCTCTTTACACACATATCTGCAAGTGAGTTGTGTTCACCATTTGCCTAAAAAGAAGCCAACATGTGCTTGCATAGTGGAAGCTGATCACTCTGTTTTGGCAAAGAAATGAACATCTCAGTGGGAGCTGAGCACCACCACACAGTTGAGATTCTTGTTAAATTAAGATTATCCAATCTCACTGAGGAGAAAAATAATTTACATATTTATACCTCAAGCTCTTAATTTTCCAGACAGGTCTTAATAAGAACTGTCTTTATATAAGAAAACAAGCAAACTAAATATTTATTGCTTTCTTTTATTTTTCCTACCTAAATCGTATAGTAAATAACAGAAAGAACAATGTGGCCACTAATATTCCTAACAGGCTTCAATTTCCAAAGTATTTCATTTCAAATATTTAAGCTTCTTGAAGAGAAGGATCTATTAGTGTTTGTTATATTCTTACCACATACAAGGAAAGTGTTCAGTAAATATTCATAAAGTGAATATATGAATGAATGGTTTACATGGATCCTATTTTATATTTTGTTCCTAGATAACTCTAACACTAAATAGTTAATTTTATGATGCTCTTATTCTAGTTAAGATTAGGTTTATAAAGCCAACACTATGTCTTATAATTAAGTACAAGACATAATTGTTTTAATTTTGAAATGTTAATGTCAGTTATAAAAAATCTATACTTTTCGCATCGATAAATATTTAATGGTGCTAAATCATTCAAAATATCTTCACTTGATATTTTAAGGAAACATGTTCAAGGAAATGTTACTCCTTTTTTCTTTTACTGATTTGTACATTGGCTATTGACAAAATAATAATCCCTATCATCATTATAAGAATTCATTTCCATAGATAGAACAATTCCATCGGTTTCTTAAGATTAAAAAGAGACTTTAGGTAATAGATTCTTCTTTGATTTTCACAAGGTCTGGGTGTGCATTGTAATATTTACTTTTAGGGACCCAAGAGGACAGGAATGTGGCATGTGTGGTTACAGGTTCTGATTGAAGAAAGTTCCCAGTTCAGCACTGCCAACCGAACATTTAAAATTCTGTCTGCCTAAATCTTCATCGTGCTAGCAGCTCTGCACCAGTGATTTAGTAGCAAATTAGCGTAACTTTGTACCTTTTTTTGCTGTAAGTATAAGAATAGGAGACTCAAATCTATTAGCTATGAAAGTAAGCCAGTCTCTTTGAAAAGCTATACTTATTGTGAAAATAATAATTATAAAGATTACTAAAAACGTGAAGTCTGTAGGGTGTAAATATTAAGTGGAATAAATTTTATTAAAAATATAGATGCAAATACACAAGGATTGGAAGCTAACATGCAAAAATTAAAATACCTAGTTGAGGTTTAGGGTTATAGGTAACTATTTTTCCTTTTACAAAATTATATTCAATACTGTTGGAGCACTATCTTTTTTATTTTTAAAATGATACAGCAGAACAATCTGGTGCCATTATAACACAAAAGATTATTCTAGAAACATCAACAAACAGTCTGGGATTTCTTTGTAAAAATGGATATGATGCCTTTAGAATTGTTACAGTATTCTGTGTTTCTAATACAGGCCTTTAGTTCATACTACCTTTGCCCACTTGTCCAAAACCAAATCTTCTTCATTCATGTTGTAACTAAACTACTAAGTCCTGGCAAGTTTAATTGATAATAATCCTAAGCAAAAAATAAACTATGGGTAGTAAGTATCCAGATAAATTAGAAGATTAGAAAGGACTAAAATAAAAACAATCATTAATGAAAAGGAAAACAAAATGGTCATACTCATATCAACTATTAATCTGAGTAAACACTGAATTACGTTTTGAAATTATTAAAAAATTCTTAATCATTTTTTATTTCTAAATCTTACACATTAACATGTTATTACTCATGGAACAGTTGCCAGTTCATGACAGATATAAACAATAATGTTTCGTGATAATAAACCTTAAACTCATGCCTTTTGTATTTGCAACAGAGAAAAGATGAATAAGTGGTATGTGATTTATTTCATAAGGTGGAATAAAACTTCTTTTTCTTTTCTTTTCTTTTTTTTTTTGAGACGGAATCTCACTCTGTTGCCAGGCTGGAGTGCAGTGGCGTGGTGATCTTGGCTCACTGAAAAACCTCCTCCTCCCAGGTTCAAGCAATTCTCCTGCCTCAGCCTCCCGAGTAGCTGGGACTTACAGGTGCGTGCCACCTTGCCTGGCTAATTTTTTTTTTTTTTTTTTTTTTTGAGGCGGAGTCTCTCTGTCGCCCAGGCCGGAGTGCAGTGGCGCAACCTCAGCTCACCGCAAACTCCGCCTCCCAGGTTCATTCTCCTGCCCCAGCCTCCCGAGTAGCTGGGACTACAGGCGCCTGCCGCCGCGCCCAGCTAATTTTTTTTTTTTTTTTTTTTTTGTATTTTTAGTAGAGATGGGGTTTCACCGTGTTAGCCAGGATGGTCTCGATCTCCTGACCTCGTGATCCGCCCATCTCGGCCTCCCAAAGTGCTGGGATTACAGGTGTGAGCCACCGCGCCTGTCACCCTTCTTTTTCTTAAAGTTATATTTCTTTAAAACAATATGAAATAGTTATTCATGGGGAAAAAATGCAAGTTTTACATGTAGAATTACCTTGTCATATTTTTCTGCTTTCTTATCCAGACAGAGATCTTTAATTTTAGTCAATACGGTAGTCCTGTCATCATTCTCAAGAAAATTTGCAAATCACTTTTATATGAAAAATAAGAAATTGTTTTCTCTACCTCACACCACCAAATAACATCATGCATTAAAATTTCTGTCAATGATCAGTTGAGGAATATTGTAAGAGGTTACACAAGGAACAAATAGAAAATGACAACTGAGTTTGATGTATGACTGCTTAACCTGGAGAAACCAGGTCCTGCAAAGAAGAACTCTTTTATGAAACACACACACACACCACAGCCAGTTAGAAGGAAATATTGATATTATTAAATACACTAGGGTGCCAATCTGCTCATGTAATACTAAGCATCTGAATAACATTCTGAGCATAAAAGATTTAGAAAGAAAAGGAATCATGGCTCTGGAATGAACAGTCAATAATATGACAACTATAAAAGGACTATTTGGAATTCAGAGATCAAAAAGGAGCTGTAGTCTTTGCAGCTCCATCAGGAATTAGGCCCAAACCACTTCCCCTTTTTATGACAGTATTCAACTGCGCACTTTAGATCTTCCCAACAGAAAGCCTAATGAGCCCTGTGGAGGCCACGCTACCTGCCAAGAAAATAATCCATCCTCCAAAAGCCCCAGTGACAATATTTCTCAATGCTCAAAAAAAAAACCTGCTGAAATGTTGTCACTCAAAAGACTTTCTACGGTCCTCTCTGGCAATCCTATAGAATGTAATGAGTGAAAAGCCAAAGTACACAAAAGAATCATAATTTCCAAATTTAGAAAAGAAAAAAGTGCCATAAGTCAGAAAATTAACTACTAACTGTCAAAGATGACCTTCAAGAAGCATCAAACAATTCTGTCGTGGCTTCTCAAATTAGCCTAGCAGTAATGCTCAATAACTAAGAAGAGGTCACAGTGCTTTCATTCACTGTCCTGCTAATGTGCAACCTGTTCTTAAAATTCTTATTGCCGCTTCATTTTGGACATATATTTTAAGATAAAATAATCCAATCCCTAGGTCACTGAGTGAGGAAATTTGGGAATGGGAATGTTACAAAGAAGAGAGCTTTCTTTTTTCCATATTTTTCTTCTCTTTTTTAACCTCTTATTGGCCATTTTGTTTCTTTTTTAAAATCAAACATCAATATTGTTTTTAACCTTTATATATGAAAAAAAGACAGACTGCCCTCTAGGGTATTCAGAAATCAGTATTTATGACTCTGATAAGGCTATCTCTCTAGATTGCTATTATAGAAATAAATGGAAATGCATCATGAGTAAGGCACCATATCTACCCTCAAAAAGCTTGTATTATAGTTATTATATGACAAATATAGGGTACTAAGTGCTGTAGTAAGGCAACAATAGAGATCAAAGTAGTCCTATAAATGTATACCAAGTTTAGTCTTGGAGAATTCAAGAATTTTTCTGGAAAAAATGATGATTAAACTGAGACCATAAAAAGAGTACGATATGGGAGGCTGAGGCAGGAGGATCACTTGATGCCATGGTTTGAGACCAACCTGGGCAACAAAGCAAGACCCCATCTGTACAAAAAATAAAAATAAAAAAAAAAGTTATCTGGGCATGATGGTGCATGCCTGTAAGCCCTAGCTACTTGGGAGGCTGAGGCGGGAAAATTACTTGAGCCCAGAAGTTCCAGATGCAGTGATCCATAATCATGCCACTGCACTCCAACCTCCAAACCAGATGACAGATGAAGACCCTATCTGTTAAAAAAAATAAATAAAGGGGTGGGAATTGCCTTATTAATGTGTCAGCCTTTGATTATGCAATAAAGAACTTAGAAGATCAAAATTGTGATTTCAGCTGGCAAGTCACTTAAATTCTGTGTCTTGATTGTCTCTACTCTGAAACTAATTTTTCCAAACTTATAGGATTATTATTAGCATAAGGATGTCTGAGATTAGGAAACTAAAAGTGAGTGCTCAGTGTGATATGGTTTAGATGTTTGTCTCCTTCAAATCTCATACTGAAATGTGACTCCCAATATTCGAGGTGGGGCCTGGGAGGTAATTGGATCATGGTGGTGGATTGTTCATGAGTGGTTTAATAATATCCCCTTGGTGTTAAGTGAGTTCTCTCTAATAGTTCATGCAAGATCTGATTGTTTAAAAGAGTCTGAGACCTCCTCTTGCTCTCTCTCTTGCTCCCTGTCTCAACATGTAAAATGCTGGTTTTCCTCTACCTTTCACCGTGATTGCAAGTTTCCTGAGGCCCTCACTGGAAATAGATGCTGGCACCATGCTTTCTGTACAGCCTGTGGAATTATGAGCTAAAATAAACTTTTTTTCCTTATAAATTACCCAGCCTCAGGTATTTCTTTATAGCAATTCAAGAATGCATTACCATAGAAAATTGGTACTGAGAATGGGGTACTGCTATAAAGATACTTGAAGATGAGGAGGCAGCTATGGAACTGGGTAACAGGCAGAGTTTGGAAGAATTTGGAGGGCTCTGAGAAGATAGGAAGATGATGGAAAGATTTCAGCTTTTTAGATAACTGGTTAAATAGTTGTGACCAAAATGCTGATAGAGACACGGACAGTGAAGGCCAGGCTAATGAGGTCTCAGAAATGAGGAAGTTATTGGAAACTGGAGTAAAGATCACTCATGTTATGTCTATCAAAGAGCTTGGCTGCATTGTGTCCATGGCCTAGGGCTCTAACAGAAGTTTGAACTTAAGAGTGATGATCTGTGGCATCTGGTAGAAGAAATTTCTAAGCAGTAAAGCATTCAAGAAGTGGCATAGCTGCTTCCAACAGCCTATCATTAGATACAGAAGCAAAGAAACACCTTAAAGTCTGAATTCTTATTTAAAAGACCAGTAGAGCATAAACATTTGGAAAATTTGCAGCTTGTCCCTGTGGTTGAGAAAGAATCCAATCAGTCTGTGGAGCAACCACTTCCTAGAGAGATTTTCATGACTAAAAAGGAGCCAGGTGCTAATATCCAAGACAATGAGAGAAAAGTCTCAAAAAAATTTCAGAAATCTTTAAGGCAGTGCCTCTCATCACAGGCCCAGAGGCCTGGGAGGAATAAGTGATTTTAGGGGCTAGACACAAAGCACTGCTGCCCTACAGAGCCATAGCACACTGATCCCTGCATCCCAGCCACTCACCGTCACTCAAACGGCCCCAGATACAGCTTGGGCTCCACTTTGAAGAGCACAAAATGCTATAAGCCTTGGCAGCTTCCATGTGGTATTAAGCGTACAGGTGCCCAGAATGCAAAAGTAAAGGAAGCTTAGCATCTCTCACCTAAATTCCAGAGGATACGTGGGAAAACCTGGGCACCTAGGCAGCCTGCTGCAGGGGCAGACCCCCATAGAGAAAGTCTACTAGGGCAGTGCCTAGGGGAAATGTGGAATTGGAGACCCCACATAGAATCCCCACCAGGGCACTGCCTAGTGGAGCTGTGGGAAGGGGACCACAGTCCTCTAGACCCCAAAATAGAAGATTTACCAGCAGCTTGCCGCCTCAGCACGGAAAAACCATAGGCATTCAGCCCCAAACCATGAGAGCAGCCGTGAGGGTGGCATCCTGCAAAGCCACTGGGGTGGAGCTGCCCAAAGCCTTGCACTAGTGTGCTGTGGTTGTGAGACATGGAACCAAAGAATATTCTTTTGGAGCTTTAATATTTAATGGCTTCCCTGCTAAGTTTCAGACTTGCCTGAGGCCTATTGCTCTGTTCCTTTGGCAAATTTATCCCTTTTGGAATGGAAAAGTATTTATACCACTATTGTATCTTGGGAATAAGTAACATTTTATTCTTTGACCTCACAGGTTCGTAGGTGGAAGGAATTCATCTCCAGATAAGACTTTGGACTTGGGACTTGGGATTGTTTAGTTAAGGCTGGAACAAGTTAAGACTTTGGGGGACTATTGCAAATTCATGATTATATTTTGAAATGTGAGAAGGACATGAGATTTGCAGAGGACAGGGGTGGAATGATATTGTTTGGATGCTTGTTCCCTCCGAATTTTATGTTGAAACGTGATTCCCAATGTTGGAGATGGGGCTTGATGGGAGGTGGTTGGATCATGGGATGAATCCCTCATGAATGGTTTAGCACTATCCCCTTGGTAATAAGTGACTTCTCAGTTAGTTCAAGTGAGATCTGGTTATTTAAAAGAGTTCAGAACTTCATCCTCTTCTCTCTCTTGCTCCTTCTCTTGTCATGGGACATGCTGGTTCCCCTTCTCTTTCCACCATGATTGTAAGCTTCCTGAGGCTTTCACTACATGCAGATGCTGGAACCATGCTTCCTGTACAGCCTGCACAACCATGAGCCAAAATAAACCTTTTTTTCTTATAAATTACTCAGCTTCAAGTATTTATTCATAGTGATGCAAGAATGGACTAACACAATGACAATATGTCACTATATGTTTTATTACTTATAAAAGCTTACATGGTGTGGTAAGCAACTTTTAAGATGACCCCTAAAAGTCCCACCTCTTGTATTCACTCTCTTGTATAATTGCCTTCTGATTAAGTATGGCCTGGATTTATTTACTCAGTTGTAAAGAAAGAATATAGCAGAAGTGATGGTATGTCATTTCCAAAATCAAGTAATAAAGACTGTGACTTCTGAATTGGGGTTCTTTCTCTCCCACTCTCCCTTGGATTTCTTACCCCAGGAAAAGCCAGCTGCCATGTTATGTGGCCCTTTTCAGAGGCCCATGCAACAAGGGAACAAAAGGTCTGACAGTAAGCATGTAATGGTTATGAAATAGATTATACCTTCTCATATAACCACCCAGCTGAAACTTCAGATAAGACCACTGCCCTGGCTGACAGCCACCTTAATCAAAGATTTTGAGTGAGTTGTAACTGTTAAGCTGTGCTTGGATTTCTGACAGGCTTGTTAAACACTTCAGTGTTTTTATTGAAAGTCCAGAGGGACTATGGGGATTAGAAAAAGAACATGACCAGAACTAAAGGAATAATGATAAGATTAAGGGCAAAACTAAAATAGCTCCTTCCTAACAAAGCACACAGTGAATGGCCTTCACTAGTTCAAAGTAATCAGGTAATAATTTACAGACAAATATCAATACTCTTCAGAGGTATATAACAGAATTGACATGCTCCACAACTATTATCTAAAGTTTGTAGTCTAAAATTTTAAAGAAATTGTGAAGATGGAAAAAACAGATAAGTAAGCAAGAACTTTAAAATAACTATGGCAAATATCTTATCATGTACTTATCATGTACGTTTTGTACATGAAAAAGTAATATAATTATTGAAGTCCTGAGAAATTTCAGGAGATATCCAGAGCTACAAAAAGGAATCAAATGAAATTCTTAGAACTGCAAAATGCAATATCTGAAATAAAACATCCATTGGATGGAATTAACAATGGACTGGATAAAAACAGAAAAATGTATAAGTGGATTTGTAGATAGATCAATAGAAATTATTCAGGTCAAAACAAAAATATTGAAAAATGAAAGGAGCCTCAGTAATCTGTGGGACAGCATCAAGCTATATAATGAACTTGTAGTCCAGAAGACATGGATAGAGTGATGTATCAGAAAAACAGTTGAAGCAGAAAATATTAGGCAAAAAAAATTCAAATTGGATTATAAAAAGCAAACTAGAAAACCAGGAAGCTAAGCAAACCCCAAGAAAGATAAAAATGAAAAGAAAGCCATATTTAGTCACTTCAGCATCAAACTTCTAAGAAGCAATCATAAAGAGAAAATTGTAAAAGCAGCCAGAGGGAAAAAGACATATTACACACAAAAGAAAAAGAATATAAGTAATTGCTGACTCATCAGAAACAACAGAGGCCAGAGGCAATGTGACTACACCATTAAATAGATGTCAGGAAAAACAGCCTGTCAACTTAGAATTCTATATCCAGTGAAAATGTATTTCAAAACTAAAGGGAAAACAACAAAGCTATAAGAATATGTCACCAGCAGACAAGCAATACAACAAATGCTAAAGGAAACTCTTTGGGCTGAAACAAGTGACACCAGATGGAAATATGGGTCAACAGGAATGAGTGTAGAGAACTAAAAATGGTAAATATCAAAGACTAATTTTATTTTTTCTTACATTGTTTTTATTATCTTTTTTGCTTACATTACGTAAATGTTTTTATTTTTTACATTATTTCTTACATTGTTTTTTCTTACATTTAAAGTAAATTAACTATTTACAAAACAGTAAGTGAATCTTTCAAAGTTGAAGAACATGAGTCAGTATAAAAAACAATTAAATTCCTATATTTAGTACAAGTGGAATATAAAATAAAATGAAACAATATTATTTTCAATACTATCAAAATTATAAAGTATTATGAATGCATTTAATAAAAATCTTCAATATTTCCACAATGAAAATTACCCATAGAAATTTAAAAAGATTTAAATAAATGGAATACTATATCTATTATATTCATGGATTCAAAAATTTTATATTGTTGTCAATTGTTGTTAATTATTCTCATATTGATCTATAGATTCAGTGCTAAATCAAAATATCTGCAGGATTTCTGTTTTAGAAAAAATTGTCTGACACTAAAGTTTGTATCAAAATACAAAGAAAGTAAATTAGCCAAATCTGTCACAAGAATGAATTTGGAAAATATATACTTAAGTAAGACTTTCTTTAAAGAGTTAGTAATATACACACTGTGGTATTTAAAATAAAATAAACAAATAAATAAGCATACATTTAACTGAACAAGTAAATAAACAGGTAAATAATAAATGTGACACATAGAGATTTCAGAAATAGACCCAAATGTATATAACCACTTACATAGGTGCCAAGGTAATTCAATTGAGGATGGATAGTTTTTTTCAACAAATGTTACTAGAATAAGAAGATATACAATTAAAAAAAATTAAGCTTTACCCATACCTCACACCATACACAAGATTAATTCAAGATGTATCATGGACCCAAATGTAAAAGCAAAATCTCTACAACTTCCACAATGTTGTAAATCCAACCAACATTACATATATAATTTCAATCAACATTATATGTACATAATGTTGATTGAATTAATGCAGATACAAAAAGACTCTACAGGTGTGTGTCAGAAAATTCTAAAAGCGGTTTTAACAACTAAACTGAGGCAAGTAAGAATATAATGCTACAACATTCAACTGGTGTATTGTAGAATCACACTCTCTTAACTGAAAGGAACCTGATAGATCAAATCCAATCTCCTTCTCCTACCCCTACTCCTCCCTCCTCCTCTGCTTCCTCCTTCTTCTCCTCCTTCTCATTCTTATTTGCTTGAATTTCTGCCTCCTGGGTTCAAGTGATTCTGCTGCCTCAGCCTCCTGAGTAGCTGGGATTGCAGGCATGTACCACCACACTGGGCTAATTTTTGTATTTTTAGTAGAGTTAGGGTTTCACCATGCTGCCCAAGCTGGCCTCCAACTCCTAGCCTCAAGTGATCCACCCACCTTGGCCTTCCAAGTGCTGGGATTCCAGGTGTGAGCCACTGTGCCCGCCCAATTATTCTTTTTTCTAATGAAAAAACAAGGACCTAGAGAAGCAAATGATTTGGCCAGTCATCCAGTCCATACTAAATAACTAAATAATTTAGACACACACTAAAAGATTCTATGCATGTGACTTTTACAATAGGCAAATCTATACTTATGGTGATAGATATTAGAGCAGTGATTTCCTTGAGAAATGAGAGTAGATTTATTGGAAAGGAGGAGCAGGAAGATACTTTCTGTGATGATGGAAATATTCTACATCTGCTTGCAGTATATCTGTTGAGTAAAACTCAGCAAACTTGGACATAAAATTATTTTTTTCATTTAATCTAAAAAAAGGAAGAATCAAAACTGTACATGTTAAAAATAAACATTTTTTATTAAAGAAAGGCTTGAAATTTGCAACACAGTTTTGTGTTAATCTCTTTGGAATTGTTTAATTATTTGTTTACTTTTTTTGCTATACATCTGTGTCCTCAAATTTTTCTAAAATTGAAATTCATTTATTTTTATTACCAACTAAAAATTTATTAGATTTTAAGGACCTAGGAAGAATATTTATTAAACTCATTCCTCTTGTGCAAAAGCTTGACTGGAAAATCATAAATGTGAATGCTTATAAGTAAGAAAGAGTGAAGACCAGAAAAAAGGAGAAAGAAATAGGAGGATTAAAAATACAAGTGTGTATTATTAATAATATATTTTGAAGATGTAGATACGATCAACCAGAATTTTGAGTTTGGTAAGGTGGAAACTAAAATACCTAATTATGAAAAAGTATCATTAATATATCCTCCAAGATCAAAGAGAAAATAAATGAGAGCATGTTGCAAAGTAAAAATATGCATAACAATGTAAAGTTTATTTTTTAACTGAGAATCATGAAGCCCAGCAGTTTATAAAAAAGGATGTGTCCTGATCCTAGGTGAAAAGTCCATTAGCAGAGGTACTATCTGACACTTTTACTCAGAGAATGAGGTAATGGCAAGGGATGCATTCTGTTGACAGCAACTAGTATTCAAAATTTTTGATCTATACTAATCAAAATTGTGTTTCGCCTGGGATTTTTGGACTTGGAAATCAATGAAAGCAAATGTTATTCAGCTTCTAATTGGATCTCCTTCTTCATGCTGACTGTGAATGAATCCGATCTGGCAAAACAAGTATTTGGTGTAATTTGTGAGCAAGAAGAGTATATTTTTACTTGACTTCAGGAGAGCAGCAGATCACTGCAACTTATTCTGAACAGTCTCTAAACATTATTGACTAGTACTTAGTATTGTAATAATACTATGCATACCAACCTGGAGGTTTGTAACTGAGGACCTTGTTCCTTTCTTTAACTGTCTTTTTTCTCTAATTTTTTTACCCAGTGTGGTATTTCTGCAATGAGAGTGAAATGCCTAATTTGTTATTGAAATAAAGTACTGTATAACTTTATTATAAACAACTGGCAGATTCTTACCAGTACAGGCATACCTCAGAAATATTGTGGGTTCAGTTCCAGACCACCACAATAAAGGGAATATCACCATAAAGTGAGTAATAAAGTTTTTTGTTTTCTCAGTGCATTTAAAAGTTATGTTTACCCTATACTACAGTCTATTAAGTGAGCAATAGCATTATGTCAAAAAATGTGCATAACTTTAATTTAAAATACTTTATTGCTGAAAATGCTAATGATCATCTGAGTCTCAGGGAATCATAATATTTTTGCTGGTGGAGGGTCTTGCATCGATGTTGCTGGCTTCTGATTGGTCAGGATGCTCGTTGCTGAATATTGGGGTGGCTGTGGCAATTTCTAAAAATAAGAGAACAAGGAAGTTTGCTGTATCTTTGACTTCCTTTCACCAAAGATTTCTCTACGATGGGATGCTGTTTCATGGCATTTTACCCATAGTACAACTTCTTTCAAAATTGGACTCAGTCCTTTCAAATTGTGCCACTGCTTAATTAACTAATTTTATGAAAGATTCTAAACCTTTGTTATCATTTCAACGTTTGTGACATCTTCACCAGGAGTAGATTTCTTCTCAAGAAACAATTTTCTTTGCCCATCCACAAGAAGTAACTCCTCATCTGTTTATGTTTTATGAAATTTCAGCAGTTCAGTCACCTCTTCAGGCTCCACTTCTAATTCTCTTGCTGTTTCCATTACATCTGAAGTTACTTCCTCTATAGAGCTCTAGAATTATTTGAAGTTATCCATAATGATTAGAATCAACTTCATCCAAATTCCCATTAATATTGATATTTTGACCTGCCATAAATGTTCTTAATGGTATCTAGAATGATGAATTCTTTTCAGAGGATTTTAATTAGTTTCCCCAGTTTCATCAGAGGAATCACTAGGCAGTCACAGCCTTACTTGATGTATTATTTTAAAGAATAAGAGTTGGAAGTCAAAATTAATCTTTGACCCATAGATTATGGATGCTGTGTTAGCTGAAAAAACATTAACCTTATACATCTTCATCAAAGATCTTGGCTAACTAGGTGCATTGTCAGTGAGCAGTAATATTTTGAAAGGAATCTTTTTTGAGTAGTAGATCTCAAGAGTGGGCTTAAAATATCCAGTAAACCATACTGTAAACGGATATGTTGTCATCTAGGCTTTGTTGTTCCATTTATAGAAACAGGCAGAGGAGATTTAGCATAATCTTTAAGGGCCCTAGAATGTTTGAAATGGTAAATGAACATTAGCTTCAACTTAAAGTTGCCAGTTGCATTAACCCCTAACAAGAGAGTCAGCCTGTCCTTTGAAGCTTTGAAGCCAAGCATTGACATCTTCTCTTGAGCTGCGAATGTCCTAGATGGCATCTTCTTCCAATAGAAGGCTGTTTTGTCTACATTGAAAATCTGTTGTTTAGTGCAGCCAGCCTCATGAATGATCTTAGCTAGATCTTCTGGATAACTGGTTACAGCTTCTACATCATCACTTGCTGCTTCACCTTGCACTTTTATATTATGGAGACGACTTCTTTCCTTAAACCCCATGAACCAACTCCTAGCTCCAAAAATTTCTTCTGCGGTTTCCTCACTTCTCTGGAACATTCATAGAATTGAAGAGAGTTATGGCTTTGCTCTGGTTTAAGCTTTGCCTTAAGAAAGTGTTGTGGCTAGTTTGATTTTCTATCCACATCACTCAAACTTTCTCCATATTGGCCATAGAGCTGTTTTGCTTTTGTATTATTATATGTTCACTGGAGTAGCATTTTAATTGTATTCAATACATTTTCTTTTATAATCATAATTTGGCTAACTGGTGCAAGAAGCCTAGCTTTGGCCCTTCTCAACTTTCAATATGCCTTCTTCACTAAGCTTAAACATTTCTACCTTGCCAAGATAGAAATCGAGGGCCCAATAGGAGGTTTTGCAGCAATGCAAGTGAGACATAATGGTAATTTAGACATAGTTGTAACAGTGAAGGTGGTAAAAAATAATTAGATCCTGGATATATTTTAAAGTTAGAGCAAACAAAATAAAAACAATTTGGATGTGTGGAATAAGATAGAGATATCCCAGAATGACTCTTCATTTTTGATCTGAAGAACTGGAATTTCAGAGTACTTAATAATAGAGCCTCAAAATACATGAAACAAAAACTGATCAAACTGAAGGGGGAAATAGACAAATTCACAATTATAAATGGAGACTTAGCTCTCTCCTAAAAATAACTAATAGAACAAGTAGACTAAAAATTC
This sequence comes from Homo sapiens, assembly GCF_000001405.40. Lineage (NCBI taxonomy): Eukaryota > Metazoa > Chordata > Mammalia > Primates > Hominidae > Homo > Homo sapiens. The sequence goes on from NC_000001.11 coordinate 98,835,619, forward strand.
AATAAGGATACAAAAGACATAAGTAACACTATCAACCAACTTGACCCCATCTGCTTAATAAAATATTATGGCAAACAATTGCACAATACCGTATCTTTTCTATTGCATCTCAACATTTTAAAAATTATTATCCCCTGCCCTGAGAAAAATTAAATTTAAATTCTCCCTAATAAGGTAAATTAAGTCTCAATTGTCTTTCTAATGAGAGAAATTAAGTCTTACATAATACGTGTCAGATAAGGTTGAGTTTTGGAGTGCCACACATCATTGTAATATTCAAGCTTTTTTCACTTATTACCAATAATCAACTTTCATCCCCTTGAGGCCAATATCACCCTATTAAGAATATCACCCTATTAAGTACCCATGTACTGCAGAGTTGCAGTCATAAGGACAGTTCAATTCCATGTATAGAAATTCTAGAATGAGCAAAATTAATCCTATAATGATAGCAATTATTTTAAAAAGTGGTTGCCTACAGGGGGTGGAGGCACAGGTAAATTTCAGGAGTGATAGAAATATTCCATATCTGCATTGTCTGATTGTGATACTGGTATCCCATTTGTCATATCTCATGAAACTTTTTACTTGAAATCACTATATATAGATTTTTCCTCAATTTAAAGATTGATTATAAATATCATAATTTAACTTAAAAGAATATATTTTTATAAATTTGTCTTCAAACTAAATATCTACAAATTTTTGTACATAAATAAAATGTTAAATACATGCTAGTAAGCATATAAGAACTCTTGATATTCAGTGATAAAATATTTTCACTCTGCTTTCTAAATATTATATGAAGATTAAATCCAAGAAAGAAGAGATGGCATAAAGAATAGTATATGGAAAGTGAAAAACAGAATGGCTGTATGGGCACTTGAAGCATGGTTTCTACTGAATGCATATTGCTTTCACACCAGCATAAAGTCAAAAAATCCTAAGTTGGAGACTATCTATCTATCCTTTTTGGTTTAGACACTTCTCAGGGATGGTGCTGTAAATGACCTCTTAGTTCATCTATATAGGAGCAGTGTTAGGTAAAAACATAGAACAGATCTAAATTTCTTAGGTTCAGATGATTTAAGAGTTTCTTTTTTAATTTATTCATATATACACTCATGATGAGTTCATTCATCAGTCATTTTTCACTCCTTTCTCTAGGAAGCAACAGGAAGTTGCTTAAATTAGAATACCCAGATTCTAGTTCTATTTTATATCAAAGCCCTTATGTAGGAAAAAAAAATTAGCTTGACATGGTAGTAGGCACCTGTAATTCCAGCTACTCGGGAGACTGAGGCAAGAGAATCACTTGAACCTGGGAGGCTGAATTTGCAGTGAGCCGAGATTGCGCCATTGCACTCCAGCCTAGGCAACAAGAGTGAAACTTCATCTCAAAAAAGAAAAAAGAAAAGAAAAAAGAAAAAGAAGAAAATCAAACCAAAACACACACACACACACACACACACACACACACACACGCTCACACACACTCACACACACATCAGCTTTGAAGCTTGGAGGGCTGGCTGGCTGTCACGAATGATGCCGGTGACTGGACAAAGGGTCCAGTGATTTAGTGCCTACCTGTCATGCCTAAGGAAAATGCTGAGCTCTCTGACACTTTTGCCTATTTTCTCTGGACTCTGCAGATTCTTTCATCTCAGAACAGAGCATGGGCTGAAGGCAAACAGAGACAATGAATGCTATGGATGTGTAGTGTTCATTCAATCTATTTGCTTCAGCCTCTTGAAACATGCTGAATTGTGGAAGGGGCAGTGGAAAGGGAAAATCTACAAGCAGAGACTTTATCTTGAACTCCACTATTGATTTTGGAATGAGACCTGGAAAATGCTTATTTATGACCACCTGGATTCCATCATTAAAAATGAATTTTAGAGTGGAATAACTATTTGTTTCATTTTCTTGGCTTTGACATGACAATGCATTTGGTACATATGAAGTCATATTGCTTTATTGTGCAAGAGAAATTAATATAACCTCAAATCAGTCTTTTCAGACTCATTTTTCAAACAAGTGTCCTGGTTTTGTTGGAAACTGATATCCTATACATTGGCAATGTGTAGGAAAACTGTTACTTTTTGATTGTGTGCAAAAGTAAATGAGATGTCATAAAATCAATCAGCTGTGTAAAGGATTGTCTGTCTTCTGTAATGAATGGTTTCCTCTTAACATTTGGTTAATTTTTCTTGCTGTGATTAAAAAGTGTCTCTTGAATTCAAGCTATAGATGATATGTGAGATTAGCAGCCACTTATAATAATGTCACCTTGCTACTCTGACTGCTTTTGAAGTTGATTTTGGGCTACAACATATTTTTAAAAGGCCTTGTTTCAGTGACAATGTTGCCACCAGCTGAGGTTTCTTCTTTTTCATTTCTGGAAAATAACTGCAGGATCTTTGGGAAAACTCAGATTGCTTGTTCAACTCTAGTTTGAAGGAGGTACCACTTCCCTCTTCATATGACTGAACTGGGAGCCCTAGCACTAGAATAATGAAATAGAGACCTAAAATAATACAGCAAAGAGAAGATAGACTCATCCAACCTAATCCTTTCTTTTATATCTCAGGTAACAGAGGTCCACAGTGTGTAAATGGCTTCCCCAAAGTCATACATTGTATGTCTCCAGACTTAGCAACCAATACCCTTTCCATAGGCTCTACTATTAAATAAATAAAAGTAGTACATAGAAACTTTATGTTTTCTTTGAGTATCATTTGTCCCCCAGGCTTAATAATATTTGCAGATAAAATTACAGATGTACCAATTTTTTATCATTACTTACAAAAAATAGCCTTTGAAGGAACATGAGTGAGGAAACTCTTCAGCCACAAAAAATGGGTGTGCCACTCTGTGATTTCATCACTTTCCATTCTTTTAAATAAAAGAAACTTTCTTTTATTTAAAAATTAGAGCAATTTGGAAAGTCAGTTATATAAAATGTGATAACCATGAAATTATTATGCTTACCTCTGCACTGCTAGTTTCTGGGCCTTAATTATTAATTCTAATATCTGGAGCTCTTGGGATAAGCTACTGGTTATAGCTCTTATGAATATGCCTACGGTTTATTTTGTTTCCCCTCTTACCATTGGTTAGGCAATTCATTCCTAAACCTTATGTTTTCTGCCTTGGAATTTGTAAACTATCATGTACTTTTTCTGTATTGGTAAAAGGTCTTCCTTTCCCTGCCGTGGAAATGGTGGCCTTTCACTAAATGCTTAGAACCACTTAGATAGGCTCCTGTTTTACTGCCAGAACCTATTTCTTCCTAAATACATAAGTCTTTGATTGTATAACAAACAGGATTAAACAAATTGGACTCATTTCATCTGATTTAGCAAACAGAATGGCTAGCCATTGGATGCAACTTCTAAAACTTCAATAAGCAATTGTCTCACACTATTATTATTTCTGGTATACCAATTCTCATCTATTACTAGTTACTTTTTGTACTAAATTATAGTGCTAGTGCTTTTCTTTGATGAACTTTAATGGAATTTTAAAATAGATTTTGAACTTAAATCAATACTGCATTTTTAAGAAGGCTCTACTATTAAATAAATAAAAGTAGCACATAGAAACTTCATGTTTTCTTTGAGTATCATTTGTCCCCCAGGCTTAATAATATTTGCAGATAAAATTACAGACGTAACAACTTTTTTATCATTACTTACAAAAAATAGCCTTTGAAGGAACATGACTGAGGAAACTATTCAGCCATAAAAAATGTGTGTGCCACTCTGTGATTTCATCACTTATGAAGGATATTAAAAAAGAAAAATATATATATGTATATTTGAGACACCCAGGCTAGATCATGCAGTGGCATGATCGTAGCTCACTATAGCCTCAATCTCCTGGGCTCAAGCAATCCTCCCTCCTCAGCCTCCTGAGTAGTTGGGACTACAGGTGCACACCAGCATGCCCAACTAAACTTTGAAAAATTTTGTAGACAGGAGGTCTCCCTATGTTGCCTATACTGGTCTCAAACACCTGGGCTCCAGCAGTCCTCCTGCCTCAGCCTCCCAAAGTGCTGCGAATACAGGCATGAGACACCACACCTGGCAGATTATATAATTTTAAAAGTTACCCAGGAAATAACATAAACTCTGCTCTTCTGTTAGGATAATATAATTTTAAATAAAAATTAATATGGTAATACAGTGAGTTATTTTCATATTGAACCCAAATCTAAGTCCTCTAGCAAAGCATTTTCTATTGACTTACTTTAATACAGAACATTTAGCTCATAGATAAATTAATGCTAGCTATCACATATTTCCCTTTGGATAGTTCCCCCTGCCTTGATCTGGGACCAGCTATAAGTTATTTGGTTGTGTTTATTAGCTCTTAGAAAATGCTTTCACAACCTGGCAGATTTTTTGCATAACTGCATGCCATGCATTGCATCTCAATGAGTGACTTTCTCAGCACTGAAATTTAGAGTTTCTTATTGTGCATTAACAAATTGTACAGTCGTGCTGCTGACCTAGCTAATTTGAGGAAAAGGTCTTCTCTAAAGCCAAGTGCTGCTACCAAATACTAACTTTGTTTTAATGATCTTCTATTGAGCAAAATAACAACAACAACAACAACAAAAACCCAGAAAACTCGGTCATACCTCATAAGGTCAGACCCATCACACACAGAGTCCACATATATTATTAAAGACTGGCTGTGCCAAGTAATTATGTCCAATCTGATTTGTAGCCTTAAACTATCAGGGATAAGTGTAAGTAGAACCATGTGAAAACTCTTCACCCATGTCTAAATTCTTTCTTTAGAATATCACTCTGGAGTACTATAGTAGTAACCACATTCCTGAAATACGGTTTAGTAGCATTTCCCCTGCTTATTTCTCTCCTTCCTCTACCACCAAGTAGGATTTTCTATTCTTGATTACATAACAGACAGTGGATTTTAGAGTAGCCCAGAACCCCAGAGAACCAACTTGGAGCTTTGAGAATGGCTGGTTTTACACCCAGACTATACTCTGTACTTCTTCCCCATTTGGAGCTTACTTCATTTTGTTGCTATATATAGGTTTAGCTCTGTGACAGTAGCAGATATGGCTAAGCTACATCTCCTCCTTTCATAGAATGAAGTTGTTGCTGGAAGTTCTACTGAGTTAGGAACTACATGTCCTGAACCTTATGCATCCAGGTTAAATAATTTTCATCAACGGAACATGAATGGGATGGTCACTTTTGGACCAGGGTTCCTAAAAGTTAGTTATGTCTTCTCGAATGTCTCTCCCACTCTCTCCCTTTTCTCTTCTGCTGGTTGGAGCAGAAGACACAGAATTTTAAGGCAATCCAGTGCCACAAGACAGGAGCCTGTTTCTCTGAATGACTCTATCAAGGAAAGCCTGTCAAATAGGGACTATCACCTTAGAGTTTTGCATGAGAAATACACATCTATTGGGTTTGGGCATGGACATTTGGTGGTTTATTTGTTACAGCAGCTAGCATTTCCTAACTATAATAGTTTCATATGCTTTTATGTGTTTTCCAAGAAGTAAAAGTGATTCATTTTTGAAACTTCTTACATGCTCAATTCCCACTCAGTATCTAGCATAGTATTTTCATACTAAATGGGTAAAAATAAAACTGTTCCTTATTGAATACTAGTTATGTGGTAATCACTATGCTAATAGATTTTCTTATATTACACAATAATCTTTAAAACATGTCACAAAATCATTACAAGGAAACTTGAAGAAATATAATCTCTCCATGAACACAGAGAGATTGTGTACATTGCTCAAGGTTATAATTAATAAGAGTTTAAACCCATGTTGTCTAATTTCATATTTCTTTTGCACTAAACTCAACTGTGTCTTTGCAAATTTCACTTATGGAGAGATTTCTCTAGGCTAGCTTTTTGTTTTCACAAGTCGTCTCATTTAATCATCAAACAAGCATATGCAGAAGGTACTCAATCACAGAAGAGACAAGACTATTTTATACAGTGTATACAATTAAGCATTTTTTGACCACTTGCACTACGTACAGCTTAATGATATGTGAAATCCAAAGAAAATAGATTTATTTTCTCTTTTAGAGAGTGGTTAGGTAGCCAAACACTAAACGCAACTGGAGAACTTAAGTCATAATAGAACATTAAAAGCAAGATAGCCTGTAACTTGGATGTGCAAGACTTAACTAGAAAGATATTACATTAATTTGAGGGCTTCCACAACAAAGTACCAGAAACTAGGTGGCTCAAACAACAGAAATTTATTGTCTCATGGTTCTGGAGACTATAAATCTAAGATAAATTCGTTGGAAGGGTTGATTTTTCTGAGGGTTGTGAGAGAGAATCTATTGTGCCATGCTTCTTGCCCACTTTCTGGTGGTTTGCTGATAATCTTTCACATTCCTTGGCTTGTAGAAGCATTACCCCAATCTCTGCCTTCATCTTCACATGGCATTCTCTCTGTGTGCATGTCTATCTCCTAATTTCTCCTTTTCGTAAGGACTGCACAAGGACTTAATTAATGCATATTCTAATAACCTCATTTTAATTTGATGACCTTTGTAAGATCCTATCTCCAAATAAGGTCACATTCTGAGGTACCTGAGATTGGGGCTTCATCATATGATTTGTGTGTGTGTGTGTGTCTGTGCATGTGTGTGTGTGTGTGTGGAGGAGACACAATTCAAACATAACAGATAGTTACTCATTTACTTATTAAACACATAACCACGAAATACCTGCTGGATGCAAGGCACTGTTTTAGATGCTGGGAAAGTCAGCAGTGAACAAAACGGATAAGGTTCCTGCCCTAAGGACATGTTGTGTCATTAGTGCCTGTCTAGTCTAAGGTGCTGTCCACTGTACCCCTCTGGACTCCTTATGAATTATCTCTTCACATTATTATAACAATTTAATCTCATATTTCAAATAGCTAGAAGAAGATACAATCTGCCCTTTCAAAACCTGGAAGATAAATAAATCAGCTATATTTAATAAATAAATTCATTCTATCTAGTAGTAAAGTTTGCAAAGCGGTTTTTTTTTCTTTTGGGCCCCAGCATGACACTTAGTGAATTAATTTTGGCTGTTCATCAAATGACATAGCATACAACAAGGTAAGCAATGAACTCTTATTTAATGTAACATTGCTTTGCATTAATCTTGCATTTCTAAATTATTAAAATGCTTTAAACACTCCAGGCCTGATACTTCTGGTGTTAAGCAATTTGCAAAATGATATACTAATGACCTTTCAAAAAGTTATTGCCACATCTGCTCTTTGTCAAGTGCAAGAGCCTAGTATATAGAAAATAATATTAAGCTCCAAGTGAATACAAGATAAAGGAAAGGAATATTGGGAAAAGGTTCAGCAGGGTTCAAAAGAAGGAGATTCTCATGGACAATGGCTAACAGGAGTTATTCCGAAAAGATGTGTATTTTAGAGCTTCTCCTAGAAGGAATCCAGAAATGGGCCTTTATGATATAAAGTGAAAAAATTAACACTTGATACTATAAAAGTCTGCCAATTTCTTGAGAAAAGAAAAATAAAAAATAGATTCTCCTCAGATATCCTCTTGGACCAGTAAGGCTCAGCACTCACTATTGTTGGCATCAAGGTGACATCTGTTGAATAGTAAGAGTGTTCCTCCATCTGAATATAGGACAGTTCGATGAAAACATTCTTAGAAACCCATTCCCAGACTTTTTTTTTTTTTTTGAGTCAGAGTTTCACTTGTGCAATGGTACAATCTCGGCTCACTGCAACCTCCTGGGTTCAAGTGATTCTCCTGCCTCAGCCTCCCGAGTAGCTGAGACTACAAGCACAGGCCACCATGCTCAGCTAATTTTTGTGTTTTTAGTAGAGATGGGGTTTCACCATGTTGGCCAGGCTGGTCTAGAACTCCTGACCTCCTGTGATCCACTCGCCTCTGCCTTCCAAAGTGCTGGGATTACAGGCATAAGCTACCGCTCCCAGCCCACTCCCAGACTTTTTTGTTTCTTCTTCCTAGAACAACTTGCCTTACCCACACTTATCTTCTATTTGCCTAGCTGATCTTCTTAGCTTCAGTTGACAAATTTGAGTTACTACCTTTGAGAAGTTCTCCCTAAGTCCTCAATTATAGATTAATGTCCCCTGCTATTTGATCCCCTGACACAGTGCTACTTAGCCCTGTCACAGTCTCCACTAGCCTTCAGGGTAAATATCAACCCACTCATTTGTCTCTTCTACTACACAATGAACTTCAAGATAGAAATCGCATTTGTTTCACTGTTGTAAACCTGGTGGCTGGAACATAGAATTTCTCAGTGTTAACTTGTCAAAAGAAAAAGTTACAATGATAAACACTGTATCCAATTATTTTTCTAATAACCTTGTTATATTTAACTTAACACTAGAAAGGCACAGTGTAGAGTGAAGTCGTAACTAAACGAATAGGGATTTTCATTCACTCTTGCTGTTCTATCATTCATAGTTGGGTGAGTTTTGAGAAGTCAAACTTGCTGAGACTTAGGCTCTTCATGAATAAGATATAAATTACAATAATAGTCTTACTTCACATGTTGAAGATTACTTGAGACATGTATGTGAAAATGTTTGTGATAGGCTATATAAGTATTAGGTTTGTTCTTATCACTTAAAAAAAAGGTCACACATCAGGAGGCATGAAATCCACTTTCAAAAGTAAGTATGCAAAGATCCCCAAATTCGTTTTTTTGCTAAAAGTGCTTTTGGTAAATTATCCTCTATATCATCATCAACAAATATTTACTGAACTCATACTGGAAATAAAATTTCTTTCCTTGCATCAAAAACATTTGCATTTTGGGTGAAAGCACAGGAGGCTTGGTATTGTCAAATGCATTTTTCAATTAAATGATAAGTCATCTGACCCTTTTCACTTTCTAGATTGCAGCCTTTGGAAGACATTTGTTCAGAATAGAATCTTAATGTTGTTGTTGTTTTCTCACTAAGCTCAGAGAAATTTTCGTGAGATAAAGTAATGAAACCTACCACTCTTTTTGACTCTTTTTATTATCTTTTCCTTGTGGCACAATATCAGTTTACTGTTTTAGTTTCCTATTACTGCTGTAATCAATTACCACACAATTAACGGCTTGAAAGTACCCATTTTTTTTCTCTTACAAATCTGGAGTTCACCTAAAATTAAAATGTTGGCAGTACTGTGTAACTTCTGGGGGCTTCACTGAGGAATCAGTTCTCTTGCCTATTTCTGTTTCTAGAGGCTGCCTGCATTCCTTGGATCATCATCTCTTTTTTTTGTACCATTTGTACGTCTTGCTTCCATTGTCACATCTCATGACCCTCTTGCATTCTCCTCATAAGGACACTTGTGAATACCTTGGACCTACCTGTCTAAGCCAGGATAATCTCCCCATCTCAAAATTTTTAATTTAATCACAACTACACTCCCTTTTGTAATGTAAGGTATCATATTCACAGGTTCTAGAGATTTAGACCTCCTTGAATCCTAATGAAATCTTTGGGAGACCATAATTCTGTCTACTTCAATGCTCAAAACCTTTTGTTCTTTTTGGACTATTGCTTCTAAAAGCACCAGATTCACTATCATCTGTGATTATAAATAATCCCTTTTGGGTTGCATTAGGTATCTGAATTCGATTGTATTACATAGCTTTAGTTGCTATGTAACAAATTAAAACTTTGTGGCTTGAAATAACAGCAGACACTGATTATCTCACATAGTCTCTGTGGGTAAGGGATTCTGTAGTGGCTTAGCTGGGTGGTTCTGGCCCACATTCTCTCATGAAGTTTCAGTCAAGATGTCCTCAGGGCTGCAGTCATCCGAAGGTCTCACTGGGTTGCAAGATCTGATTCCAAAATGACACACTCACATATATAGCAAGTTTATGCTGGCTATTACTGGAGGCTTCAGTTCTTCACCAAATGGACCTCTGCATAGGCCTCCTAAGAATCCTCATTACACGGCAGCTGAGTTCCTCTGGAGAGAATAATCCAAGAAATGCCAAAGTGAAAACCACAGTGTTTTTTGATCTACCCTTAGAAGTCATCACTATCAGTTCCACAGTATCCAATTGACCACCCAGGCAAGCCATGAGTCAGGGCATAGAGGACTATACAACATCATGAATACCAGGAGGGAAAAGTCTTTGGGGGCCATTTTTGAGCTTGGTTGTACACATAGGTTTATACAAATTAGTGTGCCTTTTGGTGTGCTTGAGTGGTAAATACATTTGAGATTAAAGGAGACACAGCTCTTTAATTGGTCTTAATACATGACAAAAGGAAAATATGAACTTTTTCTCAGACAGAACTTTATTTCCTAATATATCCAGTCACATGTATAGTCTTTTATGTTGACAAATTATAGTTGTATATATTTATTGGTTACAAAGTGATATTATGCTTTTAAAATATAATATGAAAAGATTACATTAAGATAGTTAACATATCCATCACCTCAAATTTCTAACTTTTTAAAATACTTTTATTTTAGGTTTAGGAGTACATGTGTGGGTTTGTTATATAGGTAAATTTTGTGTCATGGCCATTTGGTGTACAGATTATTTCACCATTCAGGCAATAAGCATAGTACTCTGTGGGAAGTTTTTCAATCCTCACCCTCCTCCCTCCTTGCACTCCCAAGCAGGCCCTGGTGTCTGTGGTTCCCTTCTTTGTGTCCATAGGTACTCAATGTTTAGCTCCCACTTATGACTGAGAACATGTGGTATTTGGCTCCTGTGTTAGTTTGCTTAGGATAACGGCCTCCAGCTCATTCATGTTGTTGCAGAGGATGTGACCTCATTGTTTTTTATGACTGCATAGTACTCCATGGTGTATATTTAGCACTTTTCCTTTATTCAGTCTACCATTGATGGGCATCTAGGTTGATTCCATGTTTTTGCTATTGTGAATAGTGCTGTGATGAACATGCACATGCTTGTGTCTTTAAGGAAGAATGATGCATATTCCTTTGGAAATATCCCCAATAATGGGATTGCTGGGTCAAATGGTAATTCTGCTGAGTTCTTTGAAAAATCGCCAAAGTGTTTTTCCACAGTGGCTGAACTAATTTACATTCTCAGCGTCAGTGTATAAGCATTTCTTTTTCTCTGCAACCTCACCAACATCTGTTATTTTTTAACTTTTTAATCATAGCCATTCTGACTGCTGTTAGATGATATCTCATTGTGTTTGTTTGTTTGTTTGTTTTTGAGATGAAGACTCTCTCTGTTGCCCAGGCTGGAGTGCAGTGGCACTATCTCAGCTCACTGCAATGTCCTCCTACCAGGTTCAAGCAATTCTCCTGCCTCAGCCTCCCCAGTAGCTGGAATTACAGGTCCCTGCCACCACTCCTGGCTAATTTTTGTATTTTTAGTAGAGACGGGGTTTCACCAGGTTGGCCAGGCTGGTCTCAAATTCCTGACCTCAAGTGATCCACCCACCTCAGCCTCCCAAAGTGTTGGGATTTCAGGAGTGAGCCATCATGCCTGGCCTCATTGTGGTTTTGATTTGCATTTCTCTAATGATCAGTGATGTTGGTCATTTTTTCATATACTTGTTGGTCATGTGTATGTCTTCTTTTAATAAGTGTCTGTTCATGTCCTTTGCCCACTTTTTAATGGAGTTGTTGATTTTTTGCTTGTTAATTTGTTTAAGCTCCTTATAGATTCTGGATAGTAGGACTCTGTCAGATACATAGTTTGCAAGTATTTTTGCCCATCCTGAAGGTTGTCTGTTTACTTTGTTAATAGTTTCTTTTGGTGTGTAGAAGCTCTTTAGTTTAATTAGGTCCCTCTTGTTAATTTTGGGGTTTTTTTGCAATTGCTTTTGGAGTTTTTGTCATGAAATCCTTGCCAGGGCCTGTGTTCAGAAAGGTATTTCCTAGTTTATCTTCCAGGGTTTCTTTAGTTTTAGGTTTTACATTTAAATATTTAATATATCTTGAGTTGATTTTTTGTATATGGTGCAAGGAAGGGTTCCAGTTTCAATCTTCTGCATATGACTAGATATTTAATCCAGCACCATTTATTGAATAGGGAGTCCTGTCCCCCCGCCCCGGCCCATTGCTTGTTTTTGTTGACTTTATTGAAGATTAGATGCTTGTAGGTGTGCAGCATTATTTCTGGGCTTGCTATTCTGTTCCATTGGTCTATGTGTCTGCTTTTGTAGCAGTACCATGCTGTATTGGTTACTGTAGCCTTTTTTTTTTTTTTTTTTTTTTGAGACAGAGTCTCCCTCTGTCACCCAGGCTGGAGTGCAATGGCGCCATCTTGGCTCACTGTAAGCTCCGCCTCCCGGGTTGATGCCATTCTCCTGCCTCAGCCTCCCGAGTAGCTGGGACTACAGGCACCCGCCACCACGACCGGCTAATTCTTTTGTATTTTTAGTAGAGACGGGGTTTCACCATGTTAGCCAGGATGGTCTCGATCTCCTGACCTCGTGATCCACCTGCCTCGGCCTCCCAAAGTGCTGGGATTATAGGCGTGAGACACCACAACTGGCCTGTAGCCTTATAATACAGTTTGAAGCTGGGTAATGTGATGCCTTCAGCTTTTTTCTTTTTGCTTAGGATAGCCGTGGCTATTCAGGCTCTTTTTTGGTTCCATTTAAATTTTTACAGTTTTTTTCTAGTTCTGTGAAGAATGTCATTGGTGGTCTGATAGTAATGGCATTGAATCTATAAGCTGCTTTGGGCAGTATGGCCATTTTAATGATACTGATTTTCCTATCCATGAGCATGGAATGTTTTTCCATTTATTTATGTCTTCTCTGATTTCTTTGAGCAGTGTTTTGTAATTCTCATTGTAGAGATCTTTCACCTCCCTGGTTAGCTATATTCGTAGGCATTTTATTCTTTTTTGCGGCTATTGTAAGTGGCATTGCATTCTTGACTTGGCTCTCAGCTTGGATAGCATCGGTGTATAAGAATGCTAGTAATTTATGTACGCTAATTTTGTATTCTGAAATTTTGCTGAAGTTGTTTATTAGCTCAAGGAGCTTTTGGGCAGAGACTGTGGGGAGTTCTAGGTAGAGAATCATATCATCTGCAAACAGGGATAGTTTGACTTTCTCTCTTCCTATTTGGATGTCTTTTATTTTTTCTCTTGCCTGATTGCTCTGGCCAGGACTTTCAGGATTATGTTGAATAGGAGTGGTGAGAAAGGCCATCCTTGTCTTGTTCTGCTTTTCGAAAGGAATGCTTCCAGCATTTGCCCATTCAGTCTGATGTTGGCTGTGGTTTTGTCATAGATGGCTCTTATTATTTTGAAGTATGTTCTTTCAGTGCCTACTTTGTTGAAGGTTTTTAACATGAAGGGGTGTTGAATTTTATTGAAAGCCTTTTCTGCATCTATTAAAGTGATCACGTATTTTTTGTTTTCAATTCTGTTTATGTAATGAATCACATTCATTGATTTGCATAAGTTAAACCAACCTTGCATCCCAGGGAGAGAATTTACTTCGTCGTGGTGGGTTAGCTTTTTGAAGTGCTGCTGGACTCAGTTTACTAGTGTTTTGTTGAGAATTTTTTCATCTATGGTCATCAAAAATATTGGCCTCAAGTTTTACTTATTTATTATTTATTTATTTATTTTCCAAGACAGAGTCTTGCGCTGTTGCCCAGGCTGCAGTGCAGTGTTGCAATCTCAGCTCACTGCTACCTCCACCTCCCAGGTTCATGCAATTCTGCCTCAGCCTCCCAAGTAGCTTAGATTTCAGGCACACACCACCATGCTCAGCTAATTTTTCTATTTTTAGTAGAGATGGGGTTTCACCATGAGGCCAGGCTGGTCTCAAACTTCTGACCTCGTCATCTGCCCGTCTCGGCCGCCCAAAGTGCTGGGATTACAGGCATGAGCCACTGTGCCTGGCCAAGTTTTATTTTTTGTTGTGTCTCTGCCAGGTTTTGGCCTCATATGATGAGTTAGGGAGGAGTCCTTCCTCCTCAATTCTGTGTGATACTTTTAGTAGAAATGATAACAGTTCTTTATACATCTGGTAGAATTTGGCTGCAAATCTAACTTGTCCTGGGCTTTTTTTGATTGGCAGTCTTTTTATTACTGATTTAATTTTGGGACTTATTATTGGTCTATTCAGGGATTAAATTTCTTCCTGGTTCAGTCTTCAGATGTTGTATGTTTCTAGGGATTTATCCAGTTTATCCCTCTCTTCTAGATCTTCTAGCTTGTGTGCATAGAGGTGTTCATAGTAGTTTCTGAGGGTGTTTTTTTTTGTTGTTTTTTTGTTTTGTTTTGTTTTGTTTTCTGTGAGGTCAGTGGTAAAGTCCCCTTTGTCATTTCAAATTGTGTTCAGTGGATCTTCTCTCTTTTTTTATGTATTAGTCAAGCTAGTGGTCTATCTTACTAATTCATCCAAGCAACAAACTCCTGGATTCATTGCTCTTTTGTATGGTTTTTCCCATCTCAATTTCCTTCAGTTCAGCTCTGATTTTGCTTATTTCTTGTCTTATGCTAGCTTTGAGGTTGGTTTGCTCTCATGTCTCTATTTCCTCTAGTTACGGTGTTAGATTGGTAATTTGAGATCTTTCTAACTTTTTGATGTGGGCATTTAGTGCTATAACCTGCCCTCTTAACACTGCCTTAGCTGTGTTGCAGAGATTCTGATGTGTTGTGTCTTAGTTTTCATTAGTTTCAAGCAACTTCTTGATGTTTGCATTAATTTAATTATTCACCCAAAAGTCCTTTAGGAGCTGGTTGTTTAATTTCCATGTAATTGTATGGTTCTGAGCAATTTTCTTAGTATTGATTTCTATTTTCATTGCACTGTGGTCCAAGAGTGTGGTTGGTGTGATTTCAGTTTCTTAAATTTGTTAATGATTGTTTTGTGTCCAATTATATGGTTGCTTTGAGAGTATGTTCCATGTGCAGATGAGAACAATGTATGTTCTGTTGTTTTTGGGTGGAGATTTCTATAGATGTCTATTAGGTCTATTTGGTCAAGTGTTGAGTTCAGGTTCTAAATACCTCTGTTAGTTTTCTGCATTGATGATGTGTCTAATACTGTCAGTGGCATGCTGAAGTCTCCCACTATTAGAGGGTAGTTATCTAAGTTTCTTTGTAGGTCTCTACGAACTTACTTTATGCATCTGGGTGCTTCTGTATTGGGTGCATACATGTTTAGGATAATTATATCTTCTTGTTTAATTGAGCCCTTTACCATTATGTAATGCCCTTGTTTGTGTTTTTTTATGTTTGTTAATTTTTTTAACATTTGTTTGTGATGAGAATATTACAATTATACTTTTAGTGATACTGAAATTTACAAATTCAATTATCAGCTATCTTCATGCTATGCGATTGATCTAAAAAATAAATCAGATATATTCCTCTTTTCTAACTGAGGAAGTGCTCTATATTATTCTTTTTTTAAATTGACATATAATATTTGTACATATTTTAAGGGTACATGTGATATTTAGATACCTTTACATAATGTGTACAGGTATCCATCATGTCAAACACTTAGGTTTTCTTTGTGTTGGGAACATTACAATTAATAGTTTTTATAAATGTTGATGTGGAGGCATAGGAAGCAAATTTGAGGAACAAAAATTCTTTACATACTCCTGAAGAGAATTTTTAAATTTTTATATTTATTTCTTAAACTATGAATAAGTCCAATTTAAATTACATTTAATCAATTTTTAAGCTATGTATTGAACAAATGAAACTTACCAAAGTTTAACTATTTCATGACATTATGACTATTCCAGAAAAATTAGAATACATATTTGTCATATAAATAATAACAGTTGTTTAAGGCACTACTTACAGCTAAAATGGTGAGTGGTCAGGTGACATGCGACCCATGATGTGTTACTTCCTATTGACTCTGGAATGGCTGGTTTTACAAATTAAAGAGAGGGCTCCTAGGTAATAATTTCTCATTAGTCTTTGTTGATAGATTGTCTAGATTTCTTTGAATAAATGAAGGCTTCTGCAACATTGCCCTGCAGGTAGAAGGCACTTGGCAAATCCTCTTCAGATGATATATTATGGGATCTACACACAATTGCCATTTTCCAGTTCTACTTTTTTTAGACTATTAACCTGGAGAAATAGAATAAATTGTTTCTACAGACAAACATCCAGGTTATAGCTTCCATTCACATTTAAGATAAAGTCTAAACATATGCAGACTTTCATGACTGGGTGTCCGCAGTCCTCCCCCGGTTCATCTCCCTGACCTCTCCAGCCCTCCCTCCCAGGATACATATTATTTTATCTAACAGTATTAAATGATCAACATTTTTTTAAATTCACCAATAACTGTATCACCTCCATGACTTTGTACGCTCATGCCTCTTCCTGAAATAATATGCCTATCATTTTTCCCCACTGATTTCTTACTGATTCTTTAGGTCTCAGCTCCGGTGGCTCCTTATCTGAAAAGTACTTCTTGAGCCTGCCATTCTGAGTTATGTATCTCTCTTATGTGTCACGGCATAATTGTTATAATACTTATAACATGTATGATCATAATATTATAAGACTGAAGCTATGGCTCGTAATGCCCTCTCTGCATTTCTTTGTATCCTAAACACAAAGTACTTGCTCACTAAGTATCTGTTGAATGAGCAGATGGTCAGTAGTATGTAAAAATGAACGGCTAAGGTACTAAGTCCACCAGTTAGAAAGCCTGAATCAACCTGTAAAATTACCAGCTTGTGATTAACATTGAGGATGCACCTTATCTGACCTCGTATTCAGTGGGGTTATGATGATAAGTGTCACTCACAACAAAATAACCTAGCGAGGTAATCCATTTGTTATAATACTTAAAGAAGACAGTAAGGCATCTCCAAAAACCATGAGGTAACGTTTTGTCTCAGAATTCTGTAATCTAAAGTTTTCAGGGGACATTTATAAATCTAGTAAAATTTAAAATAGGTTCTCAAATTCCTGGGGCTTTTTTGGTTTCTTGAAGCCCACTATTAAAAAGTGGTTAACAAATCCTATGGAAAATAAACACTTGTTACTAGGAGAAGTAGTAAAACTTAATGGTGAATTAATCACGAATATACTTATGCATGGTTTCACTGTCCAAGGTTTCAGTTACTCATGGTCAACAATGGTCTGAAAATATTAAATGAAAAATTCCAGAAGTAAACAATTCATACACTTAAAATTGCATGCCATTCTCAGTAGTGTGATGAAGTCTTGTGCCAGCCTGCTCCATCCCACCTGGGATGTTAATCACCTCTTTGTCTAGTGTATCTAGGCTGTAAATGTTACCTGCCTGGTAGTCACTTAGTAGCTGTTTACATTACCAGATCAATTGTCATGTTATCGCCTTTCTTGTGTTCAAGTAAGCCTTATTTTACTTAATAATGGCCCCACAGCAGAAGAATAGTGGTGCTGTCGTATTGTTATAATTGTTTTATTTTATTATTTATTGTTGTTAATCTCTTACTGTGCCCAGTTTATAAATTAGATTATTATAGATATGTAATGAATAGGAAGAAACATAATATATATACATTTTGGTATTAGCTACTAGATGTCTTGGAACGTATTCTCTGCCAATAATATATGCTGATAATACTATTGTATCAGGAAACTGTTTGATGCATTAAGAAATCCTTCCTATTTGATAAATACTTTAAAGGTTTTGAAGTGCCCTTATGTATATTGGACTCCATGGTTCCATGAAGTTGACAGACTGGATCTGAAGAAACTGAAGTTCAGTATGTTATTTGTCCAAGCCAGACAGGCAGACAATAAGCATTTATTGATTATCTTCTATGTAGATACTGGTAATATGAGCTCTCTGGCTTCATAGAGCTTGCAATTCTATAGGAAAGACATACATTAATCAAATAAATAAAAAAAGTATACATTTCCAGTAGAATGCAAAAGAGAATTTCAAGGTGCAATAGCAGACTATTATCAGAATAAGTAGTATACTTAGGGGGAAAATTGTCATGGAGAAAGAGATACTGAAAGTAAGATTAGTAGGATGAGTAAGAGGATGGTCCTACAGCAGAATCAGGGTTGGAATTCCAATACCCTGATTTGAAATTCAGTTATCTCTAATGCAAGACATGTTAGCAAGGAAAATTTAGTGAATGGTCCACTGCAAGTTATTTCACATAATTTCATCAAACAAATGAGAGAAATTGATTTCTAACTGTAGTCTAATAATCTAGTAAATTAATCCCCAAGAACATTTTCCCTCTGCTGAGGAATCAACTTAAAGTGAAGAAATGTAGCAAAGTCAAAAAGGAAATAGACATTTGGTCATCAGTGATTTTTCTTCTTTAATATAATTCTCATTTTCCTGGCCTGGGAGTCTCATTTTTCAGAATTCTCTCTTGTTGCTTTCAGAATTCATCACATTCTACTTAATGTGCTAGAGAATACTGACAAATTGCATACTTCAGTTTTATATGTAGTGTTTTCTCATAGTATATTTTTCTTATTTTCTGGTTCTAACAGGAGCCAAAAGTGTTTTGAATATCTCATCATCTCTTCATTTGTCTTCCCTCTCTAAATGATAGAAAGGGTGGTAAGAAGAGAGAGGGAAGGAGGGAAGAAGTGAGGGAGCCAAAGAAAAAGAGAAAAAGAAAGAACCTCCGTCTCGTCACATGGAAACTGATTTTGTTATCAATAGGTGTGAAATCTTCAAAGTTGTTAGTGGTTCGGGGGTTGGTTGAGACTGCCAGAGATGCAGCAGAAACACTTCCTTATGGCACCATAGGAAGTGTCAAGACAGACCAGACACTTCAGCAGCCAGAAAAGCAGATTTACTGCAGCCATTCTTTCCTGGGCTATTTATAGAGACCACGATTGTTGTCATCAAAAGTAAGTTTGAAACCAGGCTCTCTTTTGAATCTCTGTGAACATCTTTGAAGCTCTCCTGTGAATCTCTTTTGGGGTGGCTTTTCCCCTCCTGCTCTTGTAATACACCAGGGCCTAGAGGTGGTGCAGGAATCCCTTTTGCTCCTATTATCCCTTCCAGAACATTTTATTTCCTTTCCAAGCCCTACCCTTCGAGTGTTAATCTCGTGTCAACAAATTACACTCAGATACAGCCCATCTACCAATCTATCTGCTAACTAAAGTCACCTTTTTCCTTGAAGATGTTAAATCCTGGCTTAGTGTCCATCTCTTCCACAGTACTCCTATCGTAACTGTGTGATTTCAGTATTCATATAGGCTATTTTTCTAAACCCCAATGTTTCCATTTCCTTAACTGTTCTCCTTAAATGATTTTTTTTTCCTCTAAACCATCTCTGACATTCATTCCAATGACTGAAATCACCCCATAATCTTAAATGTAAGCATCCTAATCTCTAAAAGTTTCTGTTATCTTTTCTGGTCATTCCTACTATTGTTTTTACTTAGTGTTTCAACCCCCTTCAAGAATTAAATCCATTGATTCTACCAGCTTTTTACTTATCCTTATGTCCTCCTTCTTTCCTTAAATTCCATGGTTAATCTTCATAATCATTTCCTCAAATACACATTTACCTTTCATGTGCTTGATTGAGGCTTTGCCTCAATCCTGGTTAAATCGAAATCTCTGCCTATCTTGCACCTGTACCTGCTTAGATGAAAATGCATGGAGAAAAACAAACAACCAGTATTACTGGTCTCACTTAAATTCACAATTGATTACTTTAATTGTGCCTGTAAATGCTGCTCAGCAGTAGTACTCTATTTCCCACTCCATTCATCTTTACGTTTTCCTAAATGAATACTTTATACTTCCTCTTCTCTCCTGAAACTTCTAACTTCCACCTCCTCTTCACCATCCTTATTCTCAGCTGATAAAGCAATCAGAATTTCCCAAGTTTCTATTATGTCTGTACAATCCGTGTTCTCTCCTATTATAATAGAACTGCCTGTCCTCTGTTTTAACACCAACCTCTCTTTCCCTTTGGTTCTAAATCTCATCACCTTTTGCCCAATTAAAAATATCGCTTCAACTCTCTTTTTTTTATATCTGAATTGGTAGTTATTTTCTATTAGATTGTCGTTATTGGTATAGAAAAATGCTATTATTTCTTATATCTTAAAAAATTCTCTTAACCCAACTTTCCCATTATTTCTCTTCTTTTAGAAAAGCTATGCTCAAAACAGCTATCTCCACACACTGGCTTCTTTTGTATCCATTTTCTCTTACATTCACTATAGTCAGGCTCACACTCCTACTGTTTCACCACAAGCGTTTTTTCAGGTCACAAATTGATGGGTTCTAAATCAAAAGTCAGTTCACAGTTTTCACCTTAACTTGACCTACAAGTGGAAGTTCACAAATTTTCTTATTTTCTCCTACTTGAAGCACTATCCCTCCTTGAAACACTTTAGTAGAGACAGGGTTTCACCATGTTGGCCAGTCTGGTCTCAAACTCATGACTATTCTAAATCAAAGGTCAGTTCACAGTTTTCATCTTAACTTGAGCTACAAGTGGAAGTTCACAAATTTGCTTATTTTCTCCTCCTTGAAACACTATCCCTTGGCTTCCACAGCTTCACACCTGTTTTTCCTACTACCTCAGTCTCTGATTCTTTCCCCTGGCTAGGTAACATTGGGGTGCTTAAGGGATAAGTCTCACTTACTCTATTAGTGATCTCAGTATGTAAGTGTATAGTATTTAATTTATTTTGGTTGTAAATTATATATATGTGTGTATATATATCTGACTATATCTATCTATCCCTCTCTCTTTCTCTCTAAAAGTTTATGTCTCTAGTTTCAAACTCTCCCCTGAATAATGGACTCAAACCCAACTGTCTACTGAACATCTCTTAAGTGGATAACAAGCATCTTGTGTGTGTGTGTGTGTGTGTGTGTGAGAGAGAGAGAGAGAGAGAGAGAGAGAGAGAGAGAGAGAGAGGGAGAGGGAGAGAGGGAAGGAGTTTTGCTCTTGCTGCCCAGGCTGGAGTGCAATGGCGGAATCTCTGCTCACTGCAACATATTGCCTCCCGGGTTCATGTGATTATCTCTCCTCAGCCCCCTGAGTAGCTGGGATTACAGGTGCCCGCCACCACGCCCAGCTAGTTTTTGTATTTTTAGTAGAGACGGGGTTTCGCCACGTTGGCCAGCCTTGTCTCAAACTCCTGACCTCAGGTGATACGCCCGCCTCAGCCTCCCAAAGTGCTGGGATTACAGGCGTAAGCCACTGTGCCCAGCACAAGCATCTTAAACTAGTAGTTGTGATCAAAACTCAGCTCATACTATTTCTGCTCAAAACCTGGTTCTTTTTTAATCTCCCTCATTTCAGTTAATGGTGGCTTCATCTTTTTGCATACTCAAGCCAAAATCTCAGATTAATCCTTGACTTCTCTTGTTCTCTCAAACCTCATATTTATCTATCAGCAAATCCTATTGTCTATGGTTTTACAACGTATTCATAATCTGACCAATCCTTATACTCTGTTAGTATCCGCATCCATGCCAACATCATCTCTCACCTGGATAAATGTAATAACCACCTAACTGGTATCCTTATCTCTCTTCTTGCTTCTCTTTCTTGCCTATTCTTACATAGCAGTCAGAGTGATTAAACATATTTTCTAATATTTATGACAATTTATTCTTTGACACATTTATTTAGAAGTGTGTTATTCAATTTTCATATCTTAGGGGACTTTAAAATTGATTTCTAGATTTAATTTTATTATAGTTAAGGAACATACTTTTTGTGATTACAGTCTTTTAAATTTATTAAGACTCAATTTTATGAGCTAGCTTATGATCTATTTTGACAAATGTTCCAAGTATACTGAAAAGTAGTATATTTTCGGCAGTTATTGGGTGTAGTACTCCATAAATTCCAATCAGATCAAGTTAGGTAATAGTATTCTTCCAATTTTCCATATCTTTATTGAACTTTTTGTCAGTTAAATCTATCAACTACTGAGAGAAAAGTGTTAAAATTGTCAAGTGTATTGTGGATTTTCCTATTATTTTCATTTCCTCTTTTCATTTTTTTCAAATACTTTGAAACTGTATTATTCAGCTAAATGTATTTAGGGTTGTTATAGCTACCTGATGAATTGACACTTTTATCATTATGAATTCTCTTTCTTATCTCTATTAATCCTCTTTGTCTTTAAAGTCTCCTTTGTCTGATATTAATACAGCCATAGAATTTTTAAATTGGTGTTTGCATGGTATATAATTTTCTATCCTTTTACTTTCAACATATCTATGTCCTTATACTTAAAATAGAACCTAAATGCTAAAATGGATCCTAAATGCTAAAATAGATCCTAGCCCTGTAAACAGCATTTAGTTGGTCTTTTTTCTAGTGGACAATCATTGTCTTTTAAATAGAGTGGTTTAGTCTATTTAGATTTATTGAAATTACTGATGTGGCGGAGTTTAAGCCCACCATCTTGTTCCTTGTTTTCTATATGTCCATGTTTCCTTTGTTCTACTGTTATTCTAATCAATGTGTTATTAGAACATTTTAAAAATAACCTTTCATATTTACCTTCATGTTTCCCATCTTCAGTACTCTTCATTACTTCTGGTAGGTTCACATTTTTATCTGGGAACATTTCTCTTTGACCTGAGAACTTCCTTTGTATTTGTGTAGTGTGTGTCTGCTGATATTGAACTT
The DNA here is from genome assembly GCF_000001405.40 of Homo sapiens. Taxonomy (NCBI): domain Eukaryota; kingdom Metazoa; phylum Chordata; class Mammalia; order Primates; family Hominidae; genus Homo; species Homo sapiens. The sequence continues at coordinate 98,858,223 of NC_000001.11, forward strand.
ACTATGCATTTATTTGTCCAAAATACCTTTATTTTGCCTTCATTTTGGGTAGATATTTCTTGTGGATAGACATGTTTCCTGGATATGTGTATATATTCATTCTAGGCTAGTAGACTTTTCCTTTCAAAATATTAAAGATGTTATCCTATTATCTTTTGGCTTCTATTTATTTATAATAAGAAGACAGCTATCATTCTTATGGTTGTATCCCTGAATATAATGTTGTCTGCCCTTTGCTGGTTTTAAGATTTTCTCTCCCTCTTCTTTTTTCCTTTTTCGTATGCTTCTGTTTCAGTTTGATGTGCCCCATGTGGCCTTTATATTTATTAAGTCTCCTGAAATTTGCCGGACTTGTGGGTTGATATTTTTAATAAAATTTAAAAATGTTTTGGCCATTATCTTTTCCAATACATTTTGTCCTCCATTTTCTCTCTGTCTTTCTGGATTCTAGCTGCATGTATGTTAAAGTGACATTATCTCACATGATATGGAAACTTTAGCCTGCATTTTTCATTCTTTTATTTTTATTCTCTGTATGTGAGATTAGATAATTTCTACTGACCTGACTTTGAGATTACTAAATTTTTTTCTGCTTTTTCAAGTCAGCTGTTAAGCAATTCAATAAATTCTTTGCCATAGAGAGATTTTATTTTTAGTTTAAAATTTTCCCTTTAGTTCCTTTCTAGTCTTTCAGCTTTTTGCTGAAATTCTCCATCTGTTTGTACCTATCTGTATTGTTCACTAAAGTTTTTAACATACTTATAATAGCCCTTTTAAATCCTTTACTGCTAACTCCAAAATTTGGATTATGTGTGGGTCTTTTATAAGCCATTTTTTTTTGTTGATGGATTTCAGTGTCTTGCTTCTTGCATATTTAGTAATTTTATTGTATGCTGAATGTTGCAAATTATATATGATAGAACTTCTGGATTATGTCATTTCCAGCTCCAGAGAGAGCATTGTGCTGACCAACAGTCAAATTTGTGGCAGATACTTTGATTTAATTTGCTCTGAGTCCTGGCATGTGGTCTTTACTCTTAGGCTGTGGTCCTAACCCCTGAGGCATGGGCTTCCTAGGTTCTCAGTTGAATGCTCAGGTTGTTCAAAAAGGTGCCTTCATAATCCTTTGGGTATATACCCATTAATGGGATGGCTGGGTCAAATGGTATTTCTAGTTCTAGATCCTTGAGGAATCACCACACTCTCTTCCACAATGGCTGAACTAGTTTACAGTCCCACCAACAGTATAAAAGTGTTCCTATTTCTCCACATCCTCTCCAGCACCTGTTGTTTCCTGACATCTTAATGATCGCCATTCTAACTGGCATGAGATGGTATCTCATTGTGGTTTTGATTTGCATTTCTCTGATGGCCAGTGATGATGAGCATTTTTTCATGTGTCTTTTGGCTGCATAAATGTCTTCTTTTGCGAAGTGTCTGTTCATATCCTTTGCCCACTTTTTGATGGGGTTGTTTGTTTTTTTCTTGTAAATTTGTTTGAGTTCATTGTAGATTCTGGATATTAGCCCTTTGTCGAATGAGTAGATTGCAAAAATTTTCTCCCATTCTGTAGGTTGCCTGTTCACTCTGATGGTAGTTTCTTTTGCTGTGCAGAAGTTCTTTAGTTTAATTAGATCCCATTTGTCAATTTTGGCTTTTGTTGCCATTGCTGCTATAAAGACACATGCACACGTATGTTTATTGCGGCACTATTCACAATAGCAAAGACTTGGAACCAACCCAAATGTCCATCAGTGATAGACTGGATTAAGAAAATGTGGCACATATACACCATGGAATACTATGCAGCCATAAAAAAGGGTGAATTCATGTCCTTTGTAGGGACATGGATGAAGCTGGAAACCATCATTCTTAGCAAACTATCGCAAGGAGAAAAAACTAAACACCGCATGTTCTCACTCATAGGTGGGAATTGAACAATGAGAACACTTAGACACAGGAAGGGGAACATCACACACTGGGGCCTGTTGTGAGGTGGAGGGAGCAGGGAGGGATAGCATTAGGAGATATACCTAATGTAAATGACGAGTTAATGGGTGCAGCACACCAACATGGCACAAGTATACATATGTAACAAACCTGCACGTTGTGCACATGTACCCTAGAACTTAAAGTATTAAAAAAAAAAAAAAGGTGCCTCCAACTGGATGGATGGGAATGCCAATGTTTCCCCAGCACCGTGAGACCTTTGAAGTCTCTATTCACCTTTCAGTTCCCCAGCAGCTGTTTTTGCTTATCTTCACAGAATCATGCCCCACACATGTACAACTTAGAATTTGATCAATGACTTGGCAGGAAACTTCTATGCAAATTTCTCAGACTTTCTTGATGTAGTTTTCTCTCTTCAGAGCCCTGCCCTAACAACTCCAAGATGACATTAAATCCTCCAACTCTAATATCCATCTTTTTAACCCACTTACCTTTTTCTCTATCCAGTTATGTAGAGGTTTTTTGCTTATTCAATTTTCTGAAAAATAATTTGGAAATCTCCCCCAGAGAGAAAGCCAGAATGCGTGAATGAAATTGACTCCATGAGGCTCCCTTCTTTCAAGGATCACAGTCTTGTGCTGTCCATTGCTCAATATCTGAAAACAGTTTTTTAAAATAATAGTTTTTTCAATTTTATAATTCTTTATTATGTGAGGGTAAGTACAATATTAGTTACTTGATTGTGAACTGAATCATGATTTGTTATTTTTAATCATTTTCAACAGTTTTAAGTTTTCCCCTAGAAAAAAAAATCTTTAAATGACAATTTTTTCAGTCCTAGGAAAATATGCTGTAGAAATTCTGAGTAATTAACATAATGAGATCACATTTTAAGTGCTTATGATGGTGGTTGTGGTAGAGATGGTGATGGGGTATGTATGTGTGTCTAGGGTAAATTCTAAAGTTGGAATATAAGACAAAAGTTATATGTGCTCATAATTGTTATAGAAAATCCCTCAGTAGAGATTCACGTTGTCTCTTGGGAAGTCCAACAGATAGTTGCTCTGCTTCTTTGAGTATCAGATGACGAAGTTAGCTAGTGTTTATGGCCCATGTTATTAAAAAAGTTCTTTTATCCACAAGCCTTAGATCACAAAGTGCTTATAGTAGGAGAGAAATTTGGGAGATTGATGCCTACGGAGGAAACATTAGATTTATATTTCCTATCTTATACTCTCCTTGGGGGATGCACTCTTTAGTAAGATGATAGACTTGTTTTTCTTCTATTTTTTTTCCTATTTAGTAGTGAATTTTATTCTCTCTCTCCTCCACCCATTTTTCATACGTGAATTTTATTCTCTCTTCTTTCTCTCTCTCTCTCTCTGCCCTCACATCCCCCTCACTTGAGTACAGGGCTAGTGGCATTTTTCACAAATTAAATATGTAGACTAGTCTCCAGTAGTGGGCATAGCCAGAGACCTGTGTAGATGAATTGGTTATAGCATAGAGCTACAGGTTTGGGACCTGTTATTCTACAGGCTGATGAGTTTCTTTTCCCTGGTTGCCTGGCCACAGATATCATTCTGACATTCATAATTATATTCAGGTGGTTTTATATAAGATCAGTAGAAAACCCATGATGACTATAATAATAATTCAGTGCAAGTGCCATGCTACCAGTTTTCAGGTATGGAGGATGTCAGGACAGTCTCTTTGCTATTTTGTCCCTTGAATCATTAATTCTGGTCAGCACTGATGACCATCAAATTCCAGTTTGTCTTGAGTAATTGGAGAGGAGGATAATTAAAAAATTAGAAAAAAATTGAAAATATTTTTTTCTGCCAATTCTTTTAAATTTGTCAAATTTATCTTCTTTTTATCATCTAATGATAGGTATAGTTTTTATATAACTATAATTTTATTAACCCATTTATGCCTGAGGTTGCAATTTTTTTGAATTTTTGCAATCAAAGCTTGGCGATGACCATGAGCAGTAGCATATAAATAGCTCCCACATGCTTAGCATTCCAATAGTGGAACACTAGGCATAAATGGCTAAGATAAAATTAAAGTATAAAACAAGCACACATGTAGAATGTATATAACTTAATTTGTTTTGATACATGCATACTCTTGTGAAATTGCCACCACAATAAAGAAAGTGAATACATACATCATCCCCCCAAATTTCCTCATGTCTCTTTGTAATCCATTCCTCCTCCACTCCCATTTCCATGAAACTACTGATTTGCTTTCTATCACTATAAATTAGTTTACATTTTCTAGAATTGTATATAAATGAAATATAAAGTACATACTATTTTAATTTACTTCTTTCACTCAGCATAATAATTTTCATATTAATCTGTGTTATGTGTGTCAATAATTCCTTCCTCTTTTTTTTGCTGGGTAATTGTCCATTGTATAGACCTACCACAATTTGTTTTTCTCATTTAACTATTGATGGGCATTTGGATTTTTCTGGCTTTTGTTTATTACAAATAAAAATTCTATGAATGTTCATGTACAAATCTTTGAGTGGACATATGTTTTTATTTCTTTTGAGTAAATATCTGAGAATGGAATGTCTGTGTGTATGGTGAATGCATATTTAACTTTTTAGGAAACTAATAGTTTTGGCTATACTGTTAGCCAAAATTGTGATGCCATTCTATATTCTCAAAAATCGTGAATAACATCTCCACTTACCCTACATGTTCAACAACATATGATATGGCCAGACTCTCTATTATTTTTTAAATGTAGCTATTCTAACCTATATGTAGTGGTAGCTCATTATAGCTTTAGTTTGCATTTTCATGCTGCCTAAATATGTGAAACATTTCTTCCTGTACTTATTTGCCATTCACATATATTATTTTGTAAACGTATCTGTTCAAATCCTTAGACCATTTTTTTTAGAGGTGGGATTTCACTCTGTTGCCCAGGTTGAAGTGCAGCTGCACTATCATGGCACACTGCAGCCTAGAAATTCTGAGCTCAGGTGATCTTCCTGCCTCAGCCTCTCAAGTCATCATTTGCCCATTTTTTATTAGGTTGTGAGTTTTAAGGGTTTTTTATTTATATAAATATAAGGGGTACAATAGCAGTTTTGTTACATGAATGTATTGTGTAGTGGTGAAGTCTGGGCTCTTGGTATAACCACCACCCGAATAGTGTACATTGTACCCAGTAAGTAATTTCTCATCCCTTGCCTTCCTCCCACTCTCCCACCCTTCTGAGTCTCCAATATCTATCATTCCACACTCTATGTCCATGCATTAAAATATATATTATTTAACTCCCACTTATAAGTGAGAACATATGATATTTGGCTTTCTGTTTCTGAATTGTTTCACTTAAGATAATGGTCTCTAGTTCCATTCATGTTGTTGCAAAAAGCATTCTTTTTTTTATGGCTGAGTAGCATTCCATTTTACATTATCTTTATGCATTCTTCCATTAATGGACACTTAGGTTGATTCCTTATGTTTGCAACTGTAAATAGTGCTGTGATAAACATAAAGTGCAGGTATATTTTTGATGTCATGATTTATTTTCCTTTGGGTAGATACCCAGTAGTGAGATTGCCAGATTAAATGGTGGTTCTATTTGTATTTATTTGAGAAATCTCCATACTGTTTTCCATAGCAGTTGTACTAGTTTATATTCCACCAACAGTGTATAAGTGTTCCCCTTTTCTCCACATCCTTGCCGATATCTGTTACTTTTTCCCTTTTTAATAATAACTATTCAGACTGGTCTAAGAGGATAGATTATTGTAATTTCTTTTTGCATTTCTCTGATGACAAATGATATTAAGCACTTTTTCATATGCTTACTGGCCATTTGTATGTCTTCTTTTGAAAAATATCTATTCATATCCTTCACTCACCTTTTAATGGGGTTATTTGTTTATTTCAATTGTTGAGTTGTTTGAATTACTTGTAGATTCTGGATATCAATTTTCTATTGGTTGCATAGTCTGCAGATATTTTCTCCCATTCTGCAGATTATCTGTTCACTTTGTTGATTATTTCTTTTGCCATGCAGAAGCTTTTTACTTTAATTAATTTCTATTTGTCTATTTTTGTTGTTGGTGGTGGTGGTGCTTTTCAGATCTTTGTCATAAATTCTTTGCCTAGACCAATATCCAGCAGTTTTCTCTAGGATTTCTTCTAGTATTTTTATGGTTTCAGTTCTTACATTTAAGACTTTAATCCATCTTGAGTTGATTTTTGTATATGGTGAGAGATAGGGGTCCAGTTTCATTCCTCTGAATGTGGCAATCCAATTTTCCAGGACCGTTTATTAAAAAGGGTATATTTTCCCCAGCATATGTTTTTGTCACCTTTGTCAAAGAACAGTTGGCTATAGATATGTGGCTTTATTTCTGAGTTTTCTATTCTGTTTCATTGGTTTATGTCTCTATTTTTATACTAGTACTATGCTGTTTGGATTACTATAGCCTTCTAGTATAATTTGAAGTCAGGTGATGCTATGTCTCCAACTTTGTTCTTTTTGTTTAGAATTGCTTTGGCTATTCAGGCTCCATTTTGGTTCCATATGAATTTTAAGATTTTTTTTCTAATTCCATTAAAATGGCATTGGTATTTTGAAAGGGGTTGGATTGAATCTGTAGTTTGCTTTGGGCAGTATGATTATTTTAGTGATATTAATTCTTCTGACCAGTTAGCACAAAATATTTTTTATGTGTTTGTCTTATCTACAGTTTCTTTTATCCATGCTTTATAGTTTCCCTTGTAGAAATCTTTCACCTCCTTCGGTAAATATATCCCTAGGGGTGTGTGTGTGTGTGTGTGTGTGTGTAGCTATTTAAGTGGGATTGCCTCCTTAAATTGCTTCTCAGCTTGATTGTTATTGGTGGGTAGAAATGCTAATAATTTTTGCACATGGATGTTTTGTCCTGAAACTTTAGTGAATACATTCGTCAAATCTAGAGTTTTGGAGGAATCTTAAGGGATTTTGGTGTAATATCATATCATCTGAAAAGAGAGATAATTTAAATTCCTTTTTTCCAATTTGGATGCCTTTTATTTCTTTCTCTTGCCTGATTGCTCTGCCTAGGACTTTCACTACTATGTTAAATAGAAGTGGTAAAAGTGGGCATCCTTGTCTTGTTCCATTTCTTATGGGACTGCTTACAACTTTTCCCCATTCAGGATAATATTAGCTGTGTGTTCATTGTATATGACATTTATTATTTTGAGGTATGTTTTTTCTGCTGTTTTTTCAGGGATTTTTTAACATGAAGAGATGCACAATTCTATCAAAAGCTTTTTCTGCATCTATTGAGCTGATCATACAGTATATTAGTCTGTTTTCGTGCTGCTGATAAAGACATATCTGAGACTGGGTAATTTACAAAGAAAAAGAGGTTTAATGGGCTCACAGTTCCACATGGCTGGGGAAGCCTCACAATCATAGTGGAAAGGCGAAAGCACATCTTACATGGCAGCAAGCAAGAGAGAATGAGAACTAAGCAAAATGGGAAACTCCTTATAAAATCATCAGATCTTGTGAGATTTATTCATTACTAAAAGAACAGTATGGGGAAAACTACCCCATGATTTAATTCTCTCCCACCGGGTCCCTCCCACTCACATAGGAATTATGGGACCTACAATTCAAGATAAGATTTGGGTAGGAACACAGCCAAACCATATCATTCCACCCCTGGCACCCCCGTGAATCTTATGTCCTCACATTTCAAAATGAATCATGCCTTTCCAATAGTCCCCTAAAGTCTTGACTCATTCCAGCATTTACTCAAAAGTTCACAGTCCAAAGTCTTATCTGAGACAAGGCAAGTCCCTTCTGACTATAAGCCTGTAAAACCAAAAGCAATTTAGTTACTTTCTAGATACAATTGGAGTACAGGCATAGGGTAAATACACCCATTCCAAATGGGAGAAATTGCCCAAAACAAAAGGGCTACAGGCCCCATGGAAGCCTAAAATCCAATAGAGCAGCCATTAAATCCTAAGGTTCCAAAATTATCTCCTTTGACTCAATGTGTCACATCCAAATCACACTGATGCAAGAGGTGGGTTCCCATGGTTTTGGGCAGCTCTGCCCCAGTGGCTATGCAAGGTACAGCCTCCTTTCTGGCTACTTTCATGGGCTGGCATTGAGTATCTGTGGCTTTTCCAGGTGCACAATGCAAGCTGTTGGTAGATCTACCATTCTGGGCTGTGGAGGATGGAGGCCTTCATCTCACAGCTCCACGAGGTAGTGCCCCAGTAGGAACTCTGTGTGGGGGCTCCAACCCCACATTTCCCTTCTGCACTGCCCTAGCAGAGTTCTCCATGAGGGTATTGCCCCTGCAGAAAACTTCTTTCTGGACATCCAGTCATTTCCATACATCCTTTGAAATCTAGGTGGAGGTTCCCAAACCTCAATTCTTTACTTCTGCACTCACAGGCTCAACACCATGTATAAGCTGCCAAGGTTTGGGGCTTGCACTCTCTGAAGCCATTGTCTGAGCTGTACCTTGGCCCCTTTTAGCCAAGGCTATTGCGGCTGGGATGCAAGGTACCAAGTCCCTAGGCTGCACAGAGCAACAGGCCCTGGCCCCAGCCCATGCAACCATTTGTTCTCCTTAGGCCTCCAGGCCTGTGATGGGAGGGGCTGCCATGCAGACCTCTGGCATGCCCAGAGACATTTGCTCCATTGTCTTGGTGATTAACATTTGGCTCCTCTTTACTTATGCAAGTTTCTGCAGCCTGCTTAATTTCTCCTCAGAAAATGTTTTTTTTTTCCTATCAGGTTGTCAGCCTGTAAATTTTCTGAAATTTTATGCTCTGTTTCTCTTTTAAAACTGAATGCTTTTAACAGCACCCATCACCTCTTGAATGTTTTGCTGCTTAGAAATTTCTTCTGCTAGATACTGTAAGTCATCTCCCTCAAGTTCAAAGCTCAACAAATCTGTAGGTCAGGGACAAAATTCTGCTAGTCCCTTTGCTAAAACATAGCAACAGTCACCTTTACTCCAGTTCCTGACTAGTTTCTCATCTCCATCTGAGACCATATCAGCCTGGATTTCATTGTCCATATCATTATCAACATTTTGGTCAAAGCCGTTGAACAAATCTCTAGGAAGTTCCAAACTTTCCCACATTTTCCTCTCTTCTTCTGAGCCCTCCAAACTGTTCCAACCTCTTCCTGTTTGCCAGTTCCAAAGTCATTTCCATATTTTTGGATATCTTTACAGCAGTGCCCCACTCTATTCTATTAGTCTGTTTTCATGCTGCTGATAAAGACATACCTGAGACTGGGCAATTTATAAAGAAAAAGAGGTTTAATGGACTCACAGTTCCATGTGACTGGGGAGGTCTCATAATCATGGTGGGAGGCAAAAGGCACATTTTACATGGCAGCAAGCAAGACAGAATGAGAGCCAAGCAAAAGGGGAAGCCCTTTATAAAACCATCAGATCTTATGATACTTATTCACTGCCATGAGAACAGTATGGGGAAAACTGCCCCATGATTTAATTATCTCCCACTGGGTGCCTCCCACAACATGTAGGAATTATGGGAGCTACAAATCAAGATGAGATTTGGGTGGGGACACAGCCAAACCATGTCACATAATTTTTGTCCTTAATTTTTTTATGCCATGAGTCACATAAATTGATTTGCATATATCAAACCATGTATTTATAGTATTCAATAAATTATATGAGATAGTCACTATTATAAAATAGGCTTTGTGTTAGATGATTTTGCCCAACAAGAGGCTAATGTTCTGAGCTCATTTAGGGTAGGCTAGGCCAAGCTATAATGTTGGGTGGGTTGAGTGTACTAAAGTGCATTTTTGACTTCAATATTTTTAACTTACTATGAATTTATTGAGCTGTAACCCCATCATAAATCGAGGAGCATCTGCATATGTGTTCCAAATATTTTCTTGCAGGCTCTGGATTTCCTCTTCATTTTCTTAATAGTATATTTCAAAGAAGAAACTAAGGCCAAGGCAGGTAATTTGACTTGCTTAAAATTTCCCAGCTAAAAATATCAGATATGGAATTTGAACTCAATTCTTTTTGTTTTCCAAATCCTACCTCTTAGTCCTTATGCTTTATTACTAAAGAGTCATGAAATTATTTATTTATATGAAAATATTTTAATAAATGCCTCCTATTTTGTAGTTTCAGCACTAGAGTAGTGGTTCTATATAAATGAACACATGGTCCCCATCTACTTTAAGATCCCAAGCAAATATAAGGAAAAATAAAAAATCTAAAAAGATATGTTGAATGCTATCATAAAAGTAAATAGCACAGGTAAGGAAAACAATACTATCTGGAATTGTTGAGGAAATGGTCAAATAGAATTGCTGTTTGGTCAGTGTTCAAAAGATACAATGGGTATGGATAGCTGAAAAGAATAGTGTAAACATGGTAAAGCCAGAGAGGTGTGAAAGCAAGTGGTCTCTGCAGAATTGGGACTAAATATTAGATTGTTTGAGAAAGTGGCAAAAAGCACCATTTTAAATATTTTGTTCTTATAATATCACATGCTTTGATACATAGATGTTATCCTACAGATAAGTAACTATGAATATTATCTGATTATGATAGAAACATAGATTTTAAATAGTTATTTGGGCATATGTTTGAATGACTGGCAAAATGAGCATGAGACTTGTGGTCAGGAAACAATTGAAAGCTTATTGTAATAGAAGAAGAGAAATTAAACTGACAGGAATTAATCAGGGGAAAAGGAAGGGCTGAATTTTAATGAATAATCAATAGTTCAGGTATGGAATATATATCATCCTCTTCAAGTACAATGAATGGGCCAAATTGAACATAGTTTATTACATTACTAGCTATGAAAAACCCTGAAGGGAAAAAGTACCCAACACTTCACATATTAGGTAATTGGGAATCATTATGATTTTATAACATGGCTGGGCCATAGCATTGGCTCAAATGCCAACAAGCTGAAAAGAAGGCAAGAAGGTCTGTAATAAGGAACCAACACAGAAAACTCATATATGTATATAAAATCAGTGTATGACCCAGACGAAAGGCAAGGTCATTCTAATATTCTACAGTATTGCCAATAGCCAGGACTGTCTTAGGCATTTACATGAGCTGGGTGAAACTGCTGTAATCACTATTAAACGAGGGTGCTGCATGATATGTTGCTTGCCCCACACAGTCTGGTAGACTAATGTGTCCTAACACAGCTAGTCAAAGGTCTTAGAGAGCCAAAGTCTGCATATGTCTTGAGAAAAGTAACCAGAGTATCATTATTTTAGAATTGAAAAACAACTGATAGCATGTTGCACTGGATACATAGACCTAACTTGTGTATCCTCAAGTGGTTTATAAAAATCAATCCAACTGAAGACTATAATTTTCTCATACAATCCAGATTTCTGGATTCTCTTGAAATATTAGATGATCCGGTGGTGGAGGGTCTTAATTCTGGTATCACAACAATTGACAGGAGCTACACATAGCAACCTCCACCACTCTGTGTGGGTACATACCCCTCATTCATACAATGAAAAACATTTTCACAAAAAGACCAAGGTATCACTCATTATTGTTATCTTCCTGGTCTTGTAAGCATTTGCTTTCACAGTCTCTGATATAAGGTGCAAGTGAAATCTCAAGTGCCAGAGTAATTCATAGCTGGATCCAATAGAGAAGAAACAACAGGACTCCTAAAGGATGAGTAAAGAAGTTGGAATTGCTTATTTTGAAAGATATAATAAGAAGTTTTGAGAAATATCATCAGCATGAAGGCTGACACCTGGAAAAATCTCAACTGCATTAAATTAAGTAGGCTTTCTGATGAGGTCCTACCTAAGGGAAAATTACCAAGTGGCCAAATTTTACTTAGTGTCTAAAAAGCCGCCTTTCCCTTTGCCCCTTTCTTTCTCTTCAACATTAAGTTATACCATCATATTTTCTGGTCTTTATGTAAAATGTGCATATATTTGTATATAATATATGTATTATACATATACATTGATAAAGTATCTTCTAAAATTTTCTCAGTAGCTAAGAAGAATGGGATTCTATAATTATCTCTGGCTTTAATTATGGGGTACTGTCAAAGGCTTGGGTTTTAGATTCATTTATTCTTTCAACAAATATTTATTTAGTTCCTAAGGATCTAGTCATGGTCAAGGTTCTTTTTTTCTTGAAGCTTAAATTCTAGTAAGGGAACATATGTAATAAATAATAATAATACAAGTAAATATTTCTGCATATTGATAAGAGTTATGAAGAATAAATGAGTTGTTGGGTTGGAGAGTGACCAATGGCTGTAAACAGTGGCCACTTTCTGTGTAGCAAATTTCCCAGTGGGGATATTGTGGTTGGTTTTAAAAATTACTTAAAACGGAGTGCCACCCAGCCACCTAGCTAGGACTTTACTGTTTGACTATTTCATATTCACTATATGTAAGGGTCATCCCAGCAGTTATAATCTGCCATGTGTTGCTATACAAAGATTTACAGGATTCAGCATATTTAACTACCTAATTGGAAGCACTCCTTGCATCTAATGAGCATTTTTTTCTTGACACTTTTTTCCCCACTTATCAGATAAGCCAGCATTTTCTTAAATGTCTAAGGTGTGCTAAGGCCGAAAGGTTATTTTTAAAGCAATGAGTCTATAAATTACTAAGTTTTGTGGTGGAGGAAATAGAAGAAAAAATATATTTTGGAAGGGAATGAAGTATGGTAATCACTCCAAGCAGGCTTAATTATGGAGAAACTAAGAGGTGGGCATGTGGGAGGAGACTTGAAACTTAATTTAGTCTCGTCCATAATTTTGTCTGAGTTCAGCTGTCAATACACTTACGATATCCTGGCTTTGAGGCGCTCTGTCTCTAGGATTAATTTTTTTCCTTCCAGAGAAGACATAATGTCATTAGAGTAAATCATGACTTCTCATATAATTGCTCATCTGCTGATAAGGAAGATAGGTCCACCTGATTCCAGCCTGAGCCAATCGTGCCTTCCCTATCCACTGAGTTGCTGAGTTAAGCCTGATTCTGAAGCTGCATACAGGTGTTATCAGTGCCCTTTGTTCTTGTAATGTCTCAAGAAAGATGACAATAGAAATCAAGAGAGATCACTAGATATAGCAGCATAGAGAAAGAGAAAGCATTATTTTAGCTTGTGCACAAGGAAGTCGGCACCACAAAAGGAAAAGGGCAGGCTGCTCCTGGAGGGTAGTATGTGGATTTGTTTTATGCGGACTTTCTATAGGGAAGGATTTCATCAGGGCATGTATAGGAGGGTTTTTTCTAGCACTTGTGCAATGGCTCTACATGTTTCTTCATACACCACATGTAATATTACCGTTTTAAATCTCCACTACTGGCTGTGTGACTTTTAGTATTAAAATGAGGGGGAGGGGCAATTATAAGTTAAAGTTTAAGGCTACCTGCACATGTGGAGCCGAAGGGAAGTCCCTATCCCCCTAAAGCAGGAACTTGTGGTTAATAGCTTCTTGGGTTTTTTGTTGCTGATTGGCTGGAAGTTAGGTAAGCTACAGTTTGAGTAAAGGGCTTTTGATCTTTTCTCTAAACCACATGAAAACAGGAAATGAGCCTGTCTGCCTATCTGGCCTACTCAGTGAGAATGGATTCAGTGATAGATTAACAATGTCTGCCATAAAATCAGAAATAAAAACAAAACCACGAGGGCTTGGGACATAGAGTTGTGGCAAAATGAACTAAGAATGATTTATCAAAATGCTACCCTTTGGAGCTTCTTGACTTATGTATAAGGCAGGAATAGTAGAGCTAAGCAGGTTCCCAGACCAATTTCCCAGGATACTTGGTAGATCTTGGAATAAGCCTTTCATGTTGAAAAACAAATAGGACTGAGAATTGGCTGCCCTGGGACGGGAAGGGCCCTGTACTCAAATTTGTCTCACTCCAAACCTGTCGGAAGTCAAAAATCCATGCTTGAAAGAACAAGTTTTCAGGGTGTGTAGAGGGTTAATTAACTCATCCATTGTTTTCAGTGTAGGGAGATGGAAATCACACAAATAGCATCCTATTTAGGGCTGTGCTAGAAATGAATTGCAGCCTGGCAGCAAGCCCTGTTCCTTTAAGGGAGACATGAGCCTTGTTTCCCTTTATTATTCTTAATTTTTCATCAACTCTCTCAACAATGTCTAGTTTTTAATTTTATTTATTTATTTATTTATTTGAGACTGAGTCTCTCTCTGTCGCCCAGGCTGGAGTGCAGTGGTGCACTCGGCTCACTGTAAGCTCCGCCTCTCGGGTTCACGCCATTCTGCTGCCTCAGCCTCCCCAGTAGCTGGGACTACAGGCGCCCGCCACCACGCCTGGCTAATTTTTTGTATTTTTAGTAGAGACGGGGTTTCACCGTGTTAGCCAGGATGATCTTGAACTCCTGACCTCGTGATCTTCCCATCTCGGCATCCCAAAGTGCTGGGATTACAGGCGTGAGCTACTGCGCCCGGCCAACAATGTCTAGTTCTTAATATGTAAATGAATATTCATAGAGAGGCTGCCAAGTAGATTTTAGGCATTTTTATGAGTAACTGATAACAAACAATAGATGATGTTGAAGTCTGGATAGTAAAGGAAGTCTTCTGTGACATTCAGGCAGTTCAGCAAGAAGAAGATGCACTGACTAATCTTTAAAAACAGTTTTTAAAAATTTTAATATAATAAGCATTATTTTTAAGTAAACTTTATTTTAGAATAGGTTCACAAAATTCATACAAAAATTTGTGAATGTGATATAAGAGAATTCCCATATACCCTAGTAAACCCAGTTTACCTTATTTTGGATATTCTACATTAACCTGGCAAGTGTTTCATAGTTAATGAACTCAGTGATACATTATTAATTAAAGTCCATACTTATTTCTGATTTCCTTAGTTTTTACCTAATGTCCTTGTTCTGCTCCAGGATCCTATCTAGGATACCATATTACGTTTGCTTGTCTTATTTCTTACTCTTCTTGGCCATGACAGTGTTCCAGGCTTTCATTGTTTTTGATGATCTGGACCACTTTGAGGGGTACTAACCAGGTATTTTGTAGAATGTCTCTTAATGGAGATGTGATTGATATTTTTCTCATGATTAGATTGGGTTTATGGTTTTGAGAAGACTACAGAGGTAAAGTGCCATTCTCAGTGCTTCACATGAAGGGTACATACTATAAACATGATTTATGGCTATTAATATTATTTTTGATCATCTGGTTGAGGTAGTATTTGTCATGTTTCTGCATTGTAAAGTTACTCTTATAAATCAAAAATAAAATGCTGATCCCCTCTGAACATCTGTATGGACCCTTTCTCTTGGCCTAGAGCATTCCAAATTTAGCCTGAAAATCTAGCTCAGGCCATGATGGAAAGGCGGAGTTGGACATGCCTCATTATGCCCACCTCCCTTTTGGAATTCAGGCCCAGCTGACTGGCATTAGCATCAACACAGACCTTAAGACTGATAAAACAGACTCTTTAAGTCTGATAAGAAACGTTTACAATCTATTCTCTGAAGCCTGCAACCTGGAGTGTTCACCTGCATGTTAGAACCTTGTTCTCTACAACCCCTTATCTTAACCTAGACATTCCTTTCTACTGATTTTAAGTCTTTAGACAATAACTTAACTCTCAGCCAATTGCCAGTCAGAAAATCACTGAATCTACCCATGACCTGGAAGCCCCCACTTCCAGTTGTCCCACCTTTTTGGACCAAACCAATGTACATCTTACATGCAATGATTGATGTCTTATGTCTCCCTAACATGTATAAAACCAAGTTGTGGCCTGATTACCTTAGGCACATGTTCTCAGGATTTCCTGAGAGCTGTGTTGTGGGCCATTGGTCACTCATATTTGGCTCAGACTAAATCTATTCAAATATTTCGCAGAGTTTTACCCTTTTTATCAACACTCTTTTTCATATAATCCTTTCTGTATAGGAGTCACTATATGTAGGACACACTTAAGGAGTGGGGAGCTATATTTCACCTTTCTGAGACTGGAGTATCCACCTATTCACAATTATGCTGAGTAGATGTGTTTATTCTTCCCTCATTTATTAATGTATTAATTCAATCATTTATTTACATCAGTATGGAATCTTTGTTTTTCTTTTAATGTATGTTATATAATCTGTACAATATTATATTATTTATTTTCTTGCTCAAATTGTTTCAACACTGGCCACTGGGAGATCATTTGGTTGAGCCCTATGTCACTTTAACATCTGCCCATCACATATCATGGGGTTCAGGACACATTACCCCAAAATATGACCTTGGCATTTGAGAAACAAGCAGAAGTAGGAGGATCACTCTCATCTTCCCGTCTTTCTTCTCTTCTGAAGCAGATCATAAAAGCTTCATCCAGAGGTATCTCCTTAAGCCTGGTCCTGAGGTTGAGGTCCTGAGGTTCTGGTCCTGAGGTCCAGAAACATCCTGTCCTTGAAGACACAGAGACACTAAGAAGAATCTGAACTTAGGCCTTGCTAAATTCACTCCAATTTATTACCATAAGATCATCCTGCCCCCTTGTTTAATTATACTTCTGCACAAGTTTCCACTCTTTAAACCTAAGCATAAAAATATACAAATTTCCCTGTTTCTTTGGGTCTTCATTTCTGAAGGGTCCTTCTCTAGTCATGTACAAAAAGTTAACTTACGTGCTTTTCTCTTGTTAATCTGTCTTTTGTTATAGGCGCCCCAGCATAAACCTTACAACAGGTGAGGAGAAGATATTACTTTTCCTTCCCTATGTGTGTGTGTGTGTGTGTATGTGTGTGTGTGTATGTGTGACTTCTTTACTGCTCCAGGCTCATCTTGTATATTTTCTGCCCCAGTCCTAGAATCAGCATTTCTTCAAGGAGCCCTACCTAAAAGGTAAATACTTTTATTGGAGAATGGTATTAAAACCAAGATAAAGGCACTGGGTGTGCTCACTGCTACTGAGGTATAATTGCTTCTATGCCATTCCCTTTAACCCCTGGGAAACCAAGAGGGAGATTGAGATTAATCTCAGCAGTTGTAGGAGAAATGGAAGAATAACATGCCACTGGACAGTGGAGTGAATGGGAAGTGAGAAATTCACAGTAACAAGTAGAAAATGGGACAGAAGAAGTGAGAGCTTGAGATCAAGCCTGGGTGGTCACAAAGTGATCCTGGGCATGTTTGTATCTGAAGCAAAAATTAAGTGACAATGGAGAAATTCAAGACACAGGACAGGGCAGACAAGTAAGAAAGCTAGATTATTTTATCTGGAAAACATAAGCAAAGTGGAATTATGTTGTTACGGTTTTCATTAATATTCTTTAGGGAAACATGACAAATTAAAAATGTCAAGCAATTATGCATAAGCTATCTGATAATTGTCTCTACTTTCCTTTTATTGGTAAGAAACTTCAGGAGATTTTCAAGTATGTGTAGGGATGATATTTATATGGTACTTTTTTTTATACTTTAAGTTCTAGAGTACATGGGCACAATGTGCAGGTTTGTTACATATGCATACATGTGCCGTGTTGGTTTGCTGCACCCATTAACTCATCATTTACATTAGGTATTTCTCCTAATGCTATCCCACCCCCATCCCCCCACCCCACAACAAGCCCTGGTGTGTGATGTTCCCTGCCCTGGGTCCAGGTGTTCTCATTGTTCAATTCCCACCTGTAAGTGGGAACATGCAGTGTTTGGTTTTCTGTCCTTGAGATAGTTTGCTCAGAATGATGGCTTCCAGCTTCATCCATATCCTACAAAGGACATGAACTCATCCTTTTTTATGGGTGTTTAGTATTTCATTGTGTATATGTGCCACATTTTCTTGGGCATTTGGGTTGGTTCCAAGTCTTTGCTATTGTGAATAGTGCCACAACAAACATATGTGTGCATATAGTAGCATGATTTATAATCCTTTGGGTAAATACCCAGTAATGGGATCACTGGGTCAAATGGTATTTCTAGTTCTAGATCCTTAAGGAATTGCCACACTCTCTTCCACAATGGTTGAACTAGTTTGCACTCCCACCAACAGTATAAAAGCGTTCCTATTTCTCCACATCCTCTCCAGCACCTGTTGTTTCCTGACTTTTTAATGATCGCCATTCTAACTGATGTGAGATGCTATCTCATTGTGGTTTTGATTTGCATTTCTCTGATGGCCAGTGATGATGATCATTTTTTCATGTGTCTGTTGGCTGCATAAATGTCTTCTTTTGAAAAGTGTCTGTTCATATCCTTTGTCCACTTTCTGATGGGGTTGTTTGATTTTTTTCTTGTAAATTTGTTTAAGTTCTTTGCAGATTCTAGATATTAGCCCTTTGTCAGATTGCAAAAATTTTCTCCCATTCTGTAGGTTGCCTCTTCCCTCTGATGGTAGTTTCTTTTGCTGTGCAGAAGCTCTTTAGTTTAATTAGATCCCGTTTGTCTCTTTTGACATTTGTTGCCATTGCTTTTGGTGTTTTAGTCATAAAGTCCTTGCCCATGCCTATGTCCTGAATGGTATTGCCTAGGTTTTCTTCTAGGGTTTTTATGATTTTAGGTCTAACATTTAAATCTTTAATCCATCTTGAATTAATTTTTGTATAAGGTATAATGAAGGGATCCTGTTTCAGCTTTCTACATATGGCTAGCCAGTTTTCCCAGCACCATTTATTAAATAGGGAATCCTTTCCCCATTTCTTGTTTTTGTCAGGTTTGTCAAAGATCAGATGGTTGTAGATGTGTGGTATTATTTCTGAGGCCTCTGTTCTGTTCCATTGGTCTGTATCTCTGTTTTGGTAACAGTAGTATGCTGTTTTGGTTACTGTAGCCTTGTAGTATAGTCTGAAGTCAGGTAGTGTTGATGCCTCCAGCTTTGTTCTTTTGGCTTAGGATTGACTTGGTGATGCGGGCTCTTTTTTGGTTCCATATGAACTTTAAAGTAGTTTTTTCCAATTCTGTGAAGAAAGTCATTGGTAGCTTAATGGGGATGGCACTGAATCTATAAATTACCTTGGGCAGTATGGCCATTTTCGTGATATTGATTCTTCCTATCCATGAGCATGGAATGTTCTTCCATTTGTTTGTTTCCTCTTTAATTTCATTGAGCAGTGGTTTGTAGTTCTCCTTGAAGAGGTCCTTCACATCCCTTATAAGTTGGACTCCTAGGTATTTTATTGTCTTTGTAGCAATTGTGAATGGGAGTTCACTCATGATTTGGCTCTCTGTCTGTTATTGGTGTATAAGAATGCTTGTGATTTTTGCACATTCACTTTATATCCTGAGACTTTGCTGAAGTTGCTTATCAGCTTAAGGAGATTTTGGGCTGAGATGATGGGGTTTTCTAAATATACAATCACGTCATCTGCAAACAGGGACAATTTGACTTCCTCTTTTCCTAATTGAATACCCTTTATTTCTTTCTCCTGCCTGATTGCCCTGGCCAGAACTTCCAACACTATGTTGAATAGGAGTGGTGAGAGAGAGCATCCCTGTCTTGTACCAGTTTTCAAAGGGAATGCTTCCAGTTTTTGCCCATTCAGTATGATACTGGCTGTGGGTTTGTCATAGATAGCTCTTATTATTTTGAAATATGTTCCATCAATACCTAGTTTATTGAGAGTTTTTAGCATGAAGAGCTGTTGAATTTTGTCAGACTCCTTTTATGCATCTATTGAGATAATCATGTGATTTTTATCTTTGCTTCTGTTTATGTGATGGATTACGTTTATTGATTTGCGTATGTTGAACCAGGCTTGCATCCCAGGGATGAAGCAAACTTGATCTTGGTGGATAAGCTTTTTGATGTGCTGCTGGATTCGGTTTGCCAGTATTCTATTGAGGATTTTTGCACCGATGTTCATCAGGGATATTGGTCTAAAATTCTCTTTTTTTGTTGTGTCTCTGCCAGGCTTTGGTGCCAGGATGATACTGGCCTCATAAAATGAGTTAGGGAGGATTCCCTCTTTTCCTATTGATTAGAATAGTTTCAGAAGGAATGGTACCAGCTCCTCTTTGTACATCTGGTAGAATTCGGCTGTGAATCCATCTGGTCCTGGACTTTTTTTGTTGGTAGGTTATTAATTATTGCCTCAATTTCAGAGCCTGTTATTGGTCTATTCAGCAATTCAACTTCTTCCTGGTTTAGTCTTGGGAGGGTGTATGTTTCCAGGAACTTATCCATTTCTTATAGATTTTCTAGTTTATTTGCGTAGAGGTGTTTATAGTATTCTCTGATGGTAGTTTGTATTTCTGTGGGATCAATGGTGATATCCCCTTTATCATTTTTTATTGTGTCTATTTGATTCTTCTCTCTTTTCTTCTTTATTAGTCTTGCTAGTGGTCTATCAATTTTGTTGATCTTCTCAAAAAACCACCTCCTGGATTCATTGATTTTTTTGAAGAGTTTTTTGTCTCTCTACCTCCTTCAGTTCTGCTCTGATCTTAGTTATTTCTTGCCTTCTGCTAGCTTTTGAATTTGTTTGCTCTTGCTTCTCTAGTTCTTTTAATTGTGATGTTAGGGTGTCGATTTTAGATCTTTCCTGCTTTCTCTTGTGGGCATTTAGTGCTATAAATTACCCTCTACACACTGCTTTAAACGTGTCCCAGAGATTTTGGTATTATGTGTCTTTGTTCTCATTGGTTTCAAAGAACATCTTTATTTCTACCTTCATTTCATTATTTACCCAGTAGTCATTCAGGAGCAGGTTGGTCAGTTTCCATGTAATTGTGTAGTTTTGAGTGAGTTTCTTAATCCTGAGTTCTAATTTGGTTGCACTGTGGTCTGACAGTTTGTTGTGATTTCTGTTCTTTTACATTTGCTGAGGAGTGCTTTACTTCCAACTGTGTGGTCAATTTTGGAATAAGTGCAATGTGATGCTGAGAAGAATGTATAGTCTGTTGATTTTGGGTGGAGAGTTCTGTAGATGTCTGTTAGATCTGCTTGGTGCAGAGCTGAGTTCAAGTCCTGGATATCCTTGATAAACTTCCGTCTCATTGATCTGTCTAACATTGACAGTGGGGTGTTAAAGTCTCCCATTATTATTGTGTGGAAGTCTACATCTCTTTTTAGGTCTCTCAGGACTTGCTTTGTGAATCTGAGCACTCCTGTATTGGGTGTATATATATTTAGGATAGTTAGCTCTTCTTGTTGAATTGATCCCTTTACCATTATGTAATGGCCTTCTTTGTCTCTTTTGATCTTTGTTGGCTTAAAGTCTGTTTTATCAGAGACTATGATTGCAACCCCTGCTTTTTTATTGCTTTACATTTGCTTGGTAGATCTTCCTCCATCCCTTTATTTTAAGCCTATGTGTGTCTCTGGATGTGAGATGGGTCTCCTGAATACAGCACACTGATGGGTCTTGATTCTTTATCCAATTTGCCAGTCTTTTCCAGTCTTCTAATTGGGGCATTTAGCCCATTTACATTTAAGGTTAATATTGTTATGTGTGAATTTGATCCTGTCATTATGATGTTAGCTGGTTATTTCACAAGTTAGTTGATACAGCTTCTTCCTGGCATCGGTGGTCTTTATAATTTGGCATGGTTTTGCAGTGGCTGGTACCAGTTGTTCCTTTCCATCTTTAGTGCTTCCCTCAGGAGCTCTTGTAAGGCAGGCTTGGTGGTGACAAAATCACCGAGCATTGCTTGTCTGTAAAGGATTTTATTTCTCCTTCACTTATGAAGCTGAGTTTGGCTGGATATGAAACTCTGGGTTGAAATTTCTTTTCATTAAGAATGTTGAATATTGGCCCCCACTCTCTTCCGGCTTGTAGGGTTTCTGCTGAGAGATCTGCTGTTAGTCTGAGGGGCTTCCCTTTGTGGGTAACCCAATCTTTCCCTCTGGCTGCCTTAGCATTTTTTCCTTCATTTCAACCTTGGTGAATCTGACAATTATGTGTCTTGGAGTTGCTCTTCTCGAGGAGTATCTTTGTGTTGTTCTCTGTATTTCCTGATTTGAATGTTGGCCTGCCTTACTAGGTTGGGGAAGTTCTCCTGGATAATATCCTGAAGAGTGTTTTCCAACTTGGTTCCATTCTCCCCATCACTTTCAGGTACACCAATCAAACATTGATTTGGTCTTTTCACATAGTCCCATATTTCTTGGAGGCTTTGTTCATTTCTTTCTACTCTTTTTTCTCTGAAGTTCTTTTCTCATTTCATTTCATTAATTTGATCTTCAGTCACTGACACCCTTTCTTCCACCTGATCAAATCAGCTACTGAAGCTTGTGCATGCGTCACATAGTTCTCGTGCCATGGTTTTCAGCTCCAGCAGGTCATTTAAGGTCTTCTCTACACTGTTTATTCTGGTTAGCCATTCATCTAATCTTTTTTCAAGGTTTTTAGCTTCCTTGTGATGGGTTCGAACATCCTCCTTTAGCTCGGAGAAGTTTGTTATTAACGACTTTCTGATGCCTACTTCTGTCAACTCGTCAAAGTCATTCTCTGTCCTGCTTTGTTCCATTGCTGGCAAGGAGCTGTGATCCTTTGGAGGAGAAGGGGAGCTCTGGTTTTTAGAATTTTCAGATTTTCTGCTCTGATTTTTCCCCATCTTTGTGGTTTTATCTACCTTTGGTCTTTGATGATTGTGACCTACAGATGGGGTTTTGGTGTGAATGTCCTTTTTGTTGATGTTGATGCTATTCCTTTCTGTTTGTTAGTTTTCCTTCTAACAGTCAGATCCCTTAGCTGCAGGTCTGTTGGAGTTTGCTGGAGGTCCACTCCAGACCCTGTTTGCCTGAATATCACCAGTGGAGGCTGCAGAACACCAAATATTGCTGCCTGATCCTTCCTCTGGAAGCTTCGTCTCAGGGGGGCACCCAGCTGTATGAGGTGTCAGTCGGCCCCTACTGGGAGGTGTCTCCAAGTTAGGCTACACAGGGGTCAGGCACCCACTTGAGGAGGCAGTCTGTCCGTTCTCAGAGCTCAAACACCATGCTGGGAGAACCACTGCTTTCTTCAGAGCTGTCAGACAGGGACGTTTAAGTCTGCAGAAGTTTCTGCTGCCTTTTTTTCAGCTATGCCCTGCCCCCAGAGGTGGTCTACAGAGGCAGGCGGGCCTCTTTGAGCTGCAGTGGGTTCCACCCAGTTCGAGCTTCCAGACCACTTTGTTTACCTACTCAAGCCTCAGCAATGGCGGACACCCCTCCCCCAGCCAGGCTTGCTGCCTTGCAGTTCCATCTCGGACTAGCAGTAAGCAAGGCTCCGTAGATGTGGGACCCGCTGAGCAAGGCATGGGATATAATCTCCTGGAGTGCCATTTGCTAAGACCGCTGGAAAAGCACAGTGTTTAGGTGGCAGTGTCCTGATTTTCCCGGTACAGTCTGTTATGGCTTCCGTTGGCTAGGAAAGGGAAATCCCCTGACCCCTTGCACTTCCCAGGTGAGGCGATGCCCAGCCCTGCTTCAGCTCGCTCTCTGTGAGCTGCACCCACTTTCCGACCAGTCTCAATGAGATGAACCAGGTACCTCAGTTGGAAATCCGGAAATCACCCGTCTTCTGCATGGATCACGCTGGGAGTTGCAGACTGGAGCTGTTCCTATTCGGCCATCTTGGAACAGAACCCAGTATGGTACATTTTAGCCTCTCAAAGTACTATCACTTTGTTTCTCATTTTACTCTCAGAACCATCCTGTGAGATAAAATAAATCTTATTTACTTTCAGTTTACAAATAAGGAAATTTAGGGACAGAATGTAAGCAGCTAGCACAAGCCCATTCTTTTTGCAGTGGAAATAAAGCGAAAAGCTAGGTTTCTCTATTCTAGCTATTTTTTTCACTGCCTACTCCAGGGTTTCTCAACCTTGGTACTACTGACATTTTAGGCCAGATCATTCTTTGTTGTGGGAGTTGTCCTGCAGCTGTACCGTACATTGTAGGATGTTTAGCAGCATCGCTGGACTCTACCCACTGAATGCCAGGAGCAAACTTCCCCTCCCCGAGTTGTGACAGCAAAAATGTCTCAAGACATTGCCAAATGTCCCCTGGGGAACAAACTTGCTCTCTTTAGAGAACTACTAGCTTTAGTACATAATCCACTTTTAAGCAATGAAGGCAGAGATGCCTTGCCTCCAAACTTCAGTAATGTGGATATCAAATATCTAAAAATTTTTAATCTACATTTTAAAATAATGTATTAGAAATATGTTGATATGAGTTCTCTTTGTGTCCCCTACCCAAATCTCACCTTGAATTGTAATGCCCAGGAGTTGAGGGAGGGTCTTGGTGGGAGGTGATTGGATCATGAGGACAGTTTTCCCCATGCCATTGTCATGATAATGAGAGAGTTTTCAGGAGATCTGATGGCTTAAAAATGGCAGTTTCCACTGCTCTCTTCTGCTCCCATGGAAGACATGCCTTGCTTCCCCTTTGCCTTACACCACAATTGCAAGCCCCCTGCAGCCTCCCCAGCCATATGGAACTGTGAGTCAATTAAACCTATTTTCTTTATTAATTACCCAGTCTTGGGTAGCATCTTTATAGCAGTGTGAAAATGGACTAATACATATGTTATAGTTTATTATATCATTCACTAAATTGCAAATGTATTTGTTTAAGAAATAGGGCACCATTTACAACAGTAATTTAAAGTAGAAATCACAAAAGTGCTGATATTATGATTATAAATTAGTATAGAATAAGGTTCAGTCAGATTACAGGATATAGATATTAGGATTTCAGTCAAGATCAAATCAATTGAAAGGGAAGGCACTGTTCTCTGTGGTCATTTTAATTATATTTTTGAATTAATTACATAAACAGTACTGTAGAATTACTTGTTAAGCATTTGACATAGATAAAGAAATGACTGAAGTATTTTTTTAAATGACAGCAAATTTGCACATTCCAGATTTCACTTTTCCACATTCGCTTTTAATCTTACACATTTACATTTATGATTTTTACATAACAGTAATTGTAGGGTATAATTTATATCTTTTTAAACATAAAATTATATCATAAACATTTTTCCTGTTGCTACAGAATGTGCATAATTATCATTTAATGCCTACATAATATTCTATGTAATTGGTAAACCATAATTCATTTAACAGTTCTCCTATTGCTATGTATTTAGGTTTTTGCTATCACAAATAATACTGCTACAATCATCTTTGTGATTATTAAATTATATTACTTTTGGAGACAGATTCACAGGAATGAAATTACTGGGTCAAGGTTATTCGCATTTTAGTGGCTCATGAAATGTAATGCCAAAGTGCTTTCCAAAGGGATTTACACTGCCAGCAGAAATATATATTTGCATCAGAAATATTACATTCTTGCCAGAATTAGGCATTTTAATCTTTTCTGTGTGTTATAACTGAATTGTTACAAAATTTATTTTGAGTCTTTCATTTTTGATGCTGGAATACACACACACACACACGCACACACACACACCAAAATTTAAAAATAATTGCCATGAGTTTATATCAGGATATACACAGTATAAACAATTCTCTGACAACATCTGGATTAACCTGGATGTAAGAGAATTTAGCTTACTATTGCTTCTGTTATCCTTCCAGTGTTCCTGGGAATTTGGTGAATTAGAAATAAAAAGCAATAATGAAAAAAAAAGAGTTGAAAAGCAGCATTGTTATTTTTCAAAATATATGTTGTTAAAGTGAACAGTGTTAGAGTTTCAATTGATGGTGGCCCAGCTGTTACGTCTATATGTCTTCAGTATTTCAAGATTAGTACTAAGTACTCAGAATAAATATAAAGGCATCTGAAAATGTATGGATCTGATCCCAGATACTGTCACCATATGTCTTATGAAATTCCCATTTAAAAATACAAAGTCTATATCATTTGACTTATCTAGTATAATATACAAGTTGTTCTCCTATAACACAAAACAATGAATCATAAATAAAGCAAGCTAGCTAAGATTGCATGAAATTTTTATAGCATTGAAGCTTCACATTCAATCACTGCAATTTAGGATCCCAGAGGTTTAAATTTCATTTGTAATAAAACTGTTTTAACATCAAACCATATGCTAGAATCATTCTCTAAGAGAGCAAATATTATTATCTGAGATCTGTTTGGGCACTTGAAGATTATTCTTTATCATGACATCTATGAACCTCAAGTTTCACTTTTTTACTTTTAGTAGTGAGAAAAAAATATTCGACTTAAAGATATACTTATCCACGATCATAGATATACTTATCCATAATCATAGTACCACTTTTGATGATCAGATGACTTTAATTTGAGCCATAAATAAAGGGCCATCTGAAATCAGAAGTACAGCAAATAAGTCAGAATAGCAGCAATGAAAACATCCATCACAAATCCCAGACATTTTATTTTATATGACAGAAGTAGAGTCCATTTCTGCCTAATTGACTTAATTTTACATACAATCACACCATGGTTATCTGTGTTACATTGGCATCCTTTAATTCTTCTGCAGGGCATAACTATAAGAGATGAAATTTCAAGACAGTGGATAGCTGTTATGGATTGAATTGTGTTTCACCCCCCAAATTCGTATGTTGAAGTCCCAATCCCTAATGTAACTTTGTTTGGAAATTGGGCCTTTAGGGAGGCAATTAAGGTTCAATCAGGTCATAAGGATGGAGCCCAAATCCTATATAACTGGTGTCTTTATAAAAAGAGACACCATAGATCTCTCTCTCCATGTGTGTATGGAGAAGGCAGTCGTCTGCAACCCATGGAGAGAGCTCTCACAAGACACCAATCCTGCTGGCACCTTGATCTTGGACTTCCAATCTTCAGAACTGTGAGAAAATAAATTTCTGTTGTTTAAGTCACTCAGCCTGTGATATTCTTTTATAGCAGCCTGAGTTGACAAATACAATAGCAGACTGGAAGTAGGTGAGCAAGTTTCTAAGATAGTTTTCAAGACAAGAAATAATGAGAATTAACAGCAGAGGGCAGATAAAGCCATAAAAAAAGGTGAACAGAAAAAAAATAAACAATCATAGTTTCTGAGATGCTTTAGATCAAAGGACTCAACTCCCCTATATAGCTCTTTATAACTTTCAAGAACTTCATTAGAGTACCAACAAATGATTCATGTTCAAAAGGTGTGGTGGGTTAAATTATGTGTGTATGTGTACCAAGCCAGAATGTGAGCAATATAATTTTAAAAGATGGTTAAAATATTAAATACAGGCCAGGAGCGGTGGCTCACGCCTGTAATCCCAGCACTTTGGGAGGCTGAGGCGGGTAGATCACCTGAGGTCAGGAGTTTGAGACCAGCCTGGCCCACATGGCGAAACCTGTCTCTACTAAAAATACAAAAAGTCAGCCAGGCATGGTGGCGAACGCCTGTAATCCCAACTACTCAAGGGGCTGAGACAGGAGAATCGCTTGAACCTGGGAGGCAGAGGTTGCAGTGAGGTGAGATTGTGCCACTGCACTCCAGCTTGGGCAACAGAATGAGACTCTGTCTCAAAAAAAAAAAAAAAAATCAAATACAAATAACTTTGAAAAAAATCACTTTTCCTCATCCTTCTTTCTCTGAATAGCTGAAGTGATACACTAATACAAATACTTTTCTATCCACTGATCAGAACAGTATTTTTAAATATGGCCATAGGAAAATAAGTGACCAAGAGAAATAAATCTAATAATTAACAGTTAGGAGGCTACAAAGTTCTTTGCTGTGTATTAATATGAAGTAGGGACAATATTTATTTTAAAAAGAAGGCATATATATATGGGATTTTATTCATTTATATGGGGTTTTATATATGTGTATATAGGTGTGTATATATATATGTATTAAAAATAGGTGTATATCTGTATGTATTAAAACATATATGTATCAAACACATATATATACATACACAGCCCCATATATATGTATAGACAGGACTGCCTGTTTATATTTACATATAGGGATATATATGTGGGTGTGTGGGTTTGTATATATATTCCTATATATAAATATAGACAGGCAGTCATATACACACACACATCTATGTATCCCTATATATAAATATAGACAGGCAGTCCTTACTTTGTACAGCAGTGTGAGACCAGAAAAAGACCATGCAAGCTGAAACCATGCAAAGTGTCTTAATAAGCAATGGAAAAAAATTATAATTAATGTTACCTTTAAACATTTTGTTAAAGTATTTAAAACTCTCTTACTGACAGCTTTAAATACAGAGAAAAATAAAAAATAGCTGATATTTATTCCATACTCTGTTATCTAAAACCGAAATGTTGAGAATTAAATGTCTTATTTCTTTGTAAAAATTTTATCGAGTAGTTTTGTTACAGACCGAATGTTTGTGTTTCCCATAAATTCGAATGTTGATGCTCTAATCTCCAATGTGATGGTATTTGGAGGTGGGGCCTTTGGGAGGAAATTAGGTTTAGATTAGGTCCTGAGTGTGGGGCCTTCATGATGGGATTAGTATCTTTACAAAAGGAAGAAGAAACCAGAGCTCACTCTCTCTCACCATGTGAGACAGGTAGAAGGCACAGGGAGAAGGCATCTCTCTGCAAGCCAGCAAGAGAGCCCTCCCCAGAACCTGACCATTGTAGCTGGCACTCTGATTTTAGATTTCCTAGCCTCCAGAACTGTGAGAAATAAATGTCTGTTATAGTCAAGTGCCACATACTGATGATGTTTCAATCAGTGAGAGACGACACCTATAACGCTGGTCCCATAAGATTATAATACCATATTTTTACCATAACTTTTCTATGTTTAGATACATTAGATGCACAAATACTTACCATTGTGTTACAACTGCCTGGAGTATCACCAGTCCAGTAACATACTGTACAGGTTTGAAGCCTAGGAGCAATAGGTTATATATCTTATAGTCTAGGTATACAGTAGGCTCTAGCATCTAGATTTGTGTCAGTACACTCCATGATGTTCACATGGCAAAATAGCCTAATGATGTGTTTCTCAGTACGTCCCTGTCCTTAAGTGATGCATGACTGTATTTTAGCCACTCAGTCTATGGTAGTTTGTCACTACATCCCAAGCTAAGACAAGTTTGAACAGCGTTTACCATCACCTTCTTGTCATGTAACTTAGGATATGGGGCAAGCATCTTCTCTGTGTCTACGCTAATTGCCATATCCTTTTCTACATTTGGATCCATTACTAATTAATTTTTTATCCTTTGTATTTTCAGTGTTGTGAAATATCTCCAAGAATTCCTTTAATGTGAATTTTTTTGAATCAGAATTATTTCCTCTACAATATCATCTTCATCACAAACTTTTCTCCCATTTATATCAATAAGCTCACTTTCACTGTTTCTCTGGATGCATTTCTAGAGTCTCTCAGATGGTGGTGGTAGTTTCAGCATTTCCAAGGTTGGCTATGCTATGTCTTTTATAAGTGTATTTATGTTCAATATTCAAATTTCACTTTCAGTATTGCCACCTTTTTGTCTTTGCTGTAGTTCCATTTTTGTTGACCAGATCCTGGTTAAATTATGCATTCTTCTGTAAGATGTCATGTGGATTTATTACAGAGAGACAAGGAGTCAACACATACATGCTTTGCTGTCTGTGCATGAACAGAATAGCAAATATTCAGTGACAGATCACTGGAAGACTTTGAAGGAAGTGAGATGACTGGTCACTAATCATATGTGCATGTGTTATTTTTATAGTGATTTTTGGACTGAAGAACTGGCAGCAAAGTTTGTACATTTAATCGTTACTCTCAGTTATTATACTGTAACTAAAATTTGAATGCTGTTTTGGGGGGAGTAGTGTTATCTAAGTCATAGTAACTGAAATTTCTAAAAATCAGAATTATACAAAGCAAGCACATGCATACATATACACACACACATCACACATACATATATAGAATCAATGTGTCGTAACCTGATCTTATATTTTAGTTACTTTCCTATTCTTTCCACCTAGGTGGTTTTTCTCCTTTATTTTATTTCTGCTTGTAAAATTATGTTCTCTTCCTTCATTATTGCCTATTGGAGAAGACCTAGGAAATTTGCTGTAAACAAAACTTCAGCAAGCTCCCTGTTGCTGTCAGGTGCTGGGCAGACAGTTCTCTAGACAGCCATCACAAAGGCATTTTGGAATGTACTCAGTGACTGGTGGCATGGCCATTCTTTTTCAGTTACAACAAACTTGCTTTCTATTGTCATTTGTGGGTTTCTCATGTTTATCAGAATAAATCGGTACTTGACAAGTTAGGAACTCAACTCTGGGGAGTACTGCTTGAACAAGTTTAGCAGCAGTAAAAGTTTATGATATATTGAATGCAAAAATGGCCCTTGTTCTCCACCCATCTCTGTGTTCGCCTCTTTGTAATGTGACTTTGTAGCTCCTCCCTCACTTCTTGAATCTGGCTGGCCTTGGGACTTGCCTTGGCCAATTGACTGAGATGGCCAAGTGACAATGTATTACTGCCTTACATGCCTCTACTCTCTCAGCCCATTCTGCCAAAGAGCCTACCTAGCCTGATGGAGTTTGAGAGACCACATAGAGAAAAATTAAGTTGTCCCAAGAGAAGCCATCCTAGACCAGCATACAGCCAGATGACTCTCATATATGAGACAGCTCAGTGAAGATCAGCCAGAGACTCCCAACGCGATCACGGCTGCATGAAAATTTCAGCTCAGACCAGAAAAGGGACTCGGCTGAACCACAGACTTGTGAAGGATAGTAAATGTTTATTATATAGAATTTTAGGGTTTTAAAAATTACCAATAGTTGAATAATACAATACTGTTTATGGGGGCACTGCTTTTTGTTTTCTTAAATTAACCTAGCTGCTGTTGTAATCTATAAAAATGCCCTTTCTTTAGTCCTCAGCAGCAGATTAACTCCAAGCCAGTTCTCCTACTTGAACTTAAAACAGATCTTTTACAGCTCCATCATCAGAGCTGCTGAAGCATACAATCTGGAAGGGCAGAGGCCAGATCTTTCTATGCACTGTTTAGTCAGCACATTGCAAATTATCTGCTTCACAAGATCATTCAATAAATATGCCAAATGAATGAAGGCTGAAAGTGCTTCTTGACAAGGAGCAATACATCTAGGGATACTTGATTAATGCTCAAAACATCTCACCATTTTGAAAAGGTTTTCCTTATAACAAAATTCAATTAAAATTTCATTTTTGCTCCTCCTGAGAAGAAAAAATAATTGTGTCTACAAGCAGTAGAGTTCCCATGCAAAAATGAGAACATATTTATAAATGAAATAATATGAAGATAATCATGCCAGAGGATGGCACCTGTCCATATCACTCATCTAAAGAATGAGGCCTTTGAGACATGGCTTTGAGTTTTCATGTGAATGCTAAAGGCGGTTGTATCCACTCATCTATATTTTCTTATCTGAAGCTCCTTTGTGAGCAAGGCCACAGATTTGAAAGATAGCAATCTGAGTTTAGAATTTAGATGCTATGATCCATTCATGG
The DNA here is from genome assembly GCF_000001405.40 of Homo sapiens. NCBI lineage: Eukaryota > Metazoa > Chordata > Mammalia > Primates > Hominidae > Homo > Homo sapiens. Next base: position 98,889,583 of record NC_000001.11, read on the forward strand.
CTCATAAGACTTGGGGTAAAGAGACCAGACTTATTTTATTCAGTGTTGGCCATGTCCTGAGGCTCTATTAGGCTAAGATCAGACTATAATCTAAGGTGGACAGGAAAGAGGAATTTGAATACTCTCGTTTTTCTTAAAAGAGATTCATTCACTTAAAGTCTGGAGGAAGTTCCCTTAATTGATATTCTAAAAGAACTGTAATTTGGAAAATTCATTAGAAAGCCCATGCCTGGCAAATTTTGAGATCAATATTTTCAAAGCATAAATAGAACCATTTGGTATATTTCCAGTGCAACTTGTTAGAGCATGCAATCAAAATGTAATAAATAGTGCCTTAGAAGGCAGGAATATGCTAATTTACATCCAATCTTAAATGCTTTGCTCAACATAGAAGTCAGCCTATATAGTGGATCATATACCTGCTCAGTATCTCAAATAGTTTCTAGGGAGTTGAGATTTGGAAATAAGGATGTTAGTAAGATCCCAGGATGGTCCACGAGATGCAGAGGGTAATTGAGCCGTCCAAGGAACTGGTCTAATCTGATCCATTGTGATCCATTTCCAAACATTCTTCAGTCACTCTGAGAATTCTTTCATGCACATTAATAAGCATTCCTTATTCCTCTACCCCCTATCAAGACCAATATATTACAAAGTCAAAATTCAGTTTTCAATTGAATTTTTAAATTTTTATTTGAAAAATACAATACACAGCAGAGAATTATTTCCTCCCCTACTGTTCTTTCACAAAGGAAACTGTATGGTAAATGTAACTGAGATATTTGGCTAGGATAGATCCTGAGAAAAGAGAGGCCCAGTTAGAAGTGGAAAATACAAAGTCTGTCAAAGAAGATTCACCTCTCTTTTAACATAAAAGAGCCTTTTAAGTTATCACAGGAATCAGATAAAACATGTGCAGAATTTCTGCCATGCAAACAGAGACTACCGAAATTTTCAAGTTGACTAAATTATACTGACCTGGGCCCCAAGTAAGTAGAATAAAAAGGAGATGTTTTTATCAGAAAGATATGTGTTTGCCTGCTTTTACTAGACTACATATGTACATATTTACATGGTAATATTTTCTGAAATATGATTTTCATTATTCTCAGTAACAGCATCATGAATAAGGGCTATTTTCTGGCTTTTGCCTTATTCACATGTATCTTGCCTTTTTCATCTGAATTTTCTTCATGACAGCATCACTCACTGTACAATCTTGAGCCTATGATGTGTAAATAGTAGAGGTGACTTTACTCTGGTTCTGGGTTAAATCTGAGTTTTTGAAGAATTTAAAACTCCTGCATTCGTATCAGGTTTAGCAAGGTGCAAAGAAGCAACCTTGACATAAGAATATATGGCTAAGGCTTCCAACAGGAAAAACATTCCTGCTTGGCTGCTTGGAAGTCTGATGTAGAATCAATAGAACTGATAGAAGTCTGGAAGCCTTACTAGTAATCTAGCTTTCTAAGACATTAGGATCATCCCCTTCACTTTCATTCTCAATAAGTGAATTCCCTATTACTGTTATTGCCTAAAAAATCTTTAAAAAGGGTCAAGACATTCAAAGTTTCTTCATGTTCTAAATTTCCAACAGGACTGAATTGCTCTAGAGGTCTGAAATTAGTAGAAATTTTCTTTTCTTTTCTCTTTTTGGCCCTAGTAGAAGTGTTTTAGCTTCCACAGTGATAGAAATGGGCAAATAACATCTATTTGGGGAGTAATGGACAATCTTTGGTTATATTTATTTGCTGATCTCTGTTGAAATTACAGAGGAAATTAAAAGTTTGCTTTCTTTAGTACTGTAAAGTTTAGAAAGATTCATTTCAGTCAATTACTGCCAAAGTTACTTTGCCATATAAGCCAAAGTTACTTAGGGTAGTTTTAATTATTGCAAAGTTATTGTTGAGGAGCTCACCTTCCTTATATTATGGCGATTGTAATCTGGAATTCTACATGCTAAATGTAAGGTATGTCCCTTGGGCACTCTGCTGAGTGGGAGGCTGGGACCTGGGGGTGAGGGTGGAAGGGGAGATGCTGAATTTAGGCTTCTCTTTCACAAAAAGCCTCACATCTAGACTCTTGATATTATCTTAAAACTGGATTATAATTATTATATAGTTTTATATTTGAAAAGTGTTCATTCTTAAAACATAAACATTTAAAATACAGCAGAGCTTTCATATTTGTATTCTGGCATTTCTTTATTTTTTGAACCATAGGTAGTTGCCCAGGATTCTACTGAGCTCTGAAAGGCCTCAGTGTCCAAAATGAGATGACAGCTGTGCTATATTAGAAAGGAATATGAGTTCAGGGCCAGAAAACTTGAATTTAAGCTTCAACTATGTCTCTTACTAGTTTGTGATTTGGCATGTTATTTACCCTGTCTTGGCTTCATTTTTCTTATCTATAAAAATAAAGCCATACCCTTCATGTTTATACCAGGTTATTATGAGGATTACATAAAATAATTGGTGTAAATATGCTTTGTAAACTATAAAGTACTACACAAATGCAAAGTAAAATACATTAACCATATTTCTAGCATTTATATAATTTAAATTATGTGTCAGGGTATAGTTCTTTCCCATTTAAATTATGTGGAATCTTTAGTAGTAAAAAAGCCTAAGAGTGGAGCTTTTGACCACTCTTGAGACACTGCTACCCATGGGAAATTACTCAATAATAAGGTACCAGTGCTGAATTTACTCATTTAAACTACCCTAAATACTGCCTGCATTCAAAAACAAGTCATGAATTAAGCCACAATTGTCAGGAGAAGAAGTCCAAATAAATAATTTTTAATTATGATACATTACTTATTACAGTAAAAATTGGCATTTTCCCCTTCAAAAGCAGAAGCACCAGTCTTAGAATGTATAGTATGAATAGTATTTTAAGTGAAATATAACATAATATAATGTGGAAACATTATTTTACTATAGAACATACTTTCTAAAAATAAAGTAATTTCACACACTGAAATGTTAGAATGGAAATAATGTCATGCTGAATAACAAAATAAAAACCCCCATGACTTTCAAAGTCCACTTCAAATTAAATATGGCATACTGCTGAATAGATATATGAAGATTAAAAAAATAACTAGCCCAAAATAGAAGGTTTTCATACACAAATACGATTTATGTAGAGATTTCTTTTAACATAATTGCAATGATTCTGTGAGAAACTAAAGTGAATGTTTTATTTAAGAATTTTGTTCATTTGGTCATCACATTTTTGTTGAACACCTACTTTGTGCTAGGCTTTGTTGTAAGTGCTGGGGACACAGAAAAAAAAAGACAATCCTGCCCTCGAGGAGCTCACAGTCTAGTGGGGGAAACAGATAGGTTGACATTGATTTTAAAATTATAAAAATTATTAAACAACTTTATAAACTTCACTTGCAATCAAACAAACTTTGGGTGTTATGAATGGATGGTAAAAAGGGATGATGTCCAATGCAGTGAAAAACCATCTGCTTCGATATCATGTGACTTCTGCGAAGGCAGTGATGTGGTTCTGCAAAAAGAAAAAGGAATGACAAAGTGAGAGGCTTGGGAACATTAGCTTTGTAAAATATGTAGTACCTTTACAAATAATCATTAGCTTATATGCTGAATGTTGAAGTTGCAAAACATCCAGCATTATTAAACTAAGTTTTATGTATTATTACACAATTTTTGCTGCTAATTACATATTTTATTCAATAATCTTAATTATACAAATAGATTAAAATGTTATACCTGCTTTATTCAAAATTAACTCTGAAATTTGAAAAGATAAAAATGGCAATGCCAGACACGTTAATATTCTGTTCAGTGTTAATGGAATTTTAATGCTGCATGTTGGAGTTTCAGATTAATTGCTCCCTGAGAGACAGATGGTGTAGAATGAGATAGTGAAATGCTCAGACTAAAATGGCATTTGCTAGTTGACAAAAATCTACTTAAACACTTCATTTTTGATGCATGAATCCTGACTCCAGACTGTAGTCTCTGTTGTTTACCTCTACCACAGAATTCTTCACAGCGCCTTTTTTTTTTTTTTTTTTTTTTGGGAAATCAACAGAATTATGTACAAAGAAACTCTGTGGAATGCCTAACATTTAAATAGATTCAGGCATGCAACAGGCCATGTCATGCCTGCTGAAATACTGCAATGAAAAACTACTATTACATAATTAATCATGCTACATATGGGCTTATGTCAAGATCTAATATGACTGACAACCCCAACAAATAACATCAGCATTACAAAAGGGTTCTACCATCATACTACCCATTTTAAATGTGTTTTGTATAGTTTTTGTATGGCATTTGCATTGGATTTTTATAACAAATGATATCATAAACAGAATTTCATATGATGAATGTATGCCATAAAATGTTCTCAACATACATATAGCTTTTTTCAAGTTTAAGTATTTTAATTCATCAAAACATATTTAAAATGTGTGTAAAGAAATTAAAATTCATTTTCATTGAATTTAGGCATATTAAACCACACAAAAGGAATCTCATTGACTACAATTTGGGGCATTATCTTCTAGGCTTGACCCACTTAATACTAGAAAAAAACAAAATTAGTACGAATCAGGAGTGAGCAGAGCATGCTGAGTTTTTCCACTAACTCCTGGTAACATTTTAGAAACTTTAATTTCCCATTTAAAAATGCATCATGAAAATGTCTGGAAATTCAGTAGCTCATCTGTAAGTTTTCTTGAGTTTTCCTTACAAAAGCTCAGGCATGACTTCAGGGTAAAGATGACTTGTCAGAGTTATATAATGCACTATGATTGAATTAAAACAATAAGAACTGTGGAAATAATACATCACAGTTTTATTTCCAGTGGCCCCACGGGTACTTGAAACCAGTGAACTGAGAAAATGCAATTCGATATAGAGTGTTTCAGCACAAAACCGTCATGAACATCACACTTCTTAATAGGATCTAGAACAACATAATTTCTGGAAAGATGTTAAGATAGAAATTAAAGATTAATCAGTCAGTGACAACTGGTGGGTAGGAAAAGGGTCAATAAGGGGCAGTAGAGAGAAAAGAAAGGAGGTAAGAAATAACATGGATGGTGTCCCAAAGGCCACTGGCCTAGGCCTCAGGGTTCCCATTGTTGACCCAGATAATGAAGGGAGGGTTCACAAGACTCATTAAATTTGCTGAAGATGATCTTAAGAGGACAACCACTAACCTGGAAGGGAGAATTAAATACACATTAAAGGACTTTAATAAACAGAGAAATAACCAGAAGCAAACCACTGATGATCAATGCAGAGCTTGACAGAAATAGAGGAAAAACCAAGTGCACAAGTGCAAGCTGGACAGTGTAACAAAGAAACTGTAATAACTGTAGGGTGACCATATAATTTATCATCTAAATATGGACATGTGGAAGGGGGAAAAGGGTGCTAATACAACACAAGGACAACAGGCTTAAATGAGGATTGTCCCAAATAGTAATATAAAGTCACCCTATACTGTGGTTTAATGTGTCCACTAAAATGCACATGTTGGAAACTTAATTTCTAAGGCAACAGTGTTGATAGGTGAGGCCTAATGGGAGGTGATTAGACCACTAGAGTGTTGCCCTCATGAATGAATTAATGTCCTTATCATAGGTCAGTGTTTGTTATAAAAAAGCAAGTTTAGTCCCCTTCTCTCTCGTTCCCTCTTTTTGTGCTTCCATTATGTTATGGTGCAGCAAGAAGGCCCTTACCAGATGTGAGCACCTTGACCTTGGACTTCCCAGCCTCCAGAATCCTGAGCCAATAAATTTCTGCTCCTCATAAATTACCCAGATTGTGGTATTCTGTTATAGCAGCACAAAACAGACTAAGAAACCTTAATAATGAGGCATGGATGTATAATTGTAGGTGAGCTATTGAGATCTAGAAAATACTGGAATTCAGTCTTGGCATTTAAAATCACATGCTTCAGTGATCACTAGATCTCCCTTTAACTGCCCATACATTTTAAGCCATAATACTCTTTTCCTATGCAAAAATATCACCAAGTTAAACTACAAGGACAACAGTTGATTTCTAGATTGACTATATTTTTAGATCCTAGGATTCTAGGGAAAACTCTTGCCCCCTCCCCCAAATTAGCATCTTTCCATTTCACATCACTTAAGTTTTAACTTCTGAGGTGCTTTCATTTTTTTCTATTTGACTGGGATTAGAAGTATCCTGCTTGGGGCTCATCATTTTAAGGTAGTTGTAGTTAGCAGACAGATAAACAGAGGAAAATAAAACACTGAAGTGACTATGCCTAGGGAAGAGAAAATTAAGGGGAAATTTAATCATAGTACATGAAAGGAGTGTACAGACAGATCAGAGAGCTTCTGTTCATTTACTTTACTGTTTAAGAGCTAATGAACCTATATCATAAATGAAAGAGATGGATTATTTATCTCAGTAGTTTTTTTTTTTTAAGTTTAATTCACTTCTGGCACAGGGGTGATTTTCCCTGAAGCAATCTAAAGAAGCGCCAAGATAATTACTTGAGGTCCTTTTATAAGAATCTATCATATGATGGTACATTATACAACTTACATTACCAAGGTATGTACATGCATAATTTGAAATATACAGATGGCCTAATTCCTGTGCAGGAAGTTATTGTCTATTCACTTCCCAGCAGTATTTTTCCCATTAACATGGAAAACCAGAATTGTGTTTAATATTTTCAGATTGCTGTCTTGAGAAATGGACTGCCTGTGAGGCAAAGTAGTTGACCAAGTGTTTCTCTTTTTCAATATGGCTAAATTCTGAATATGCAATACTAAATCTTTTTAGTAGATGATAGTGCAAAAAAGCAGTAGGCAAACCAAAAGCTCATGCTTAAAAGTTCTATTCAGAATCATGAGAAGAAACTGGTCATATAATTTTTTGTCACAATTCCTGGTACCTTCTGCAATTACATTAACAGAGGCTTACCATGGAGATGACAAAGCTTGACCCCAAATAGTTGTAGATTAGAATATGCTACATGAAGCATCCATTAGAAAGTGTTCACTCAGGTGCACAGCAAACCACTGAGCAAAATACTGAGTCTGGTCCTTGAGTGCAGGGGTCACAAGAGAAAGCAAACACGTTTCTGGGAAGTTGTACTGGATACTTAAATTTAATAAATTTTAAAGTCTCTATAGCATGTCCATTTTAAAAGCTCTAAGTTCTGCATGAAAATCTCTATTTTACTATTTATTCTACACCTCCACATAGAAAATACAGTCTGTAATTTAAAAAAAAAATGTTAATTAAGACAAAACTGTCACGATTCGTGGCACGAAACTTTGGTGATGACTTGCCATCTGGCAAGACCTGTCACTCAATCAACAAATAAGGGGAAAAGTATGAGAAAATGCAAAAAGGGCACTCCAGGGAAGTCTTTGGAATTACAGCTATAGGAAAACAAGTAAAATGCCATTATTAATGGCTTCTTAGTTAAGGAATGCTAAATTCATATTAATGATTGAAAAATAAAATGTATTTGAAAGATTAATAATTATAACAACAACAACAGCAACCAAAAGCTCTAGTTCCTATATTGCTTTTGGTTGTAAGGAAAACCTGCACAGAAGGACACATTTTTCTGTATTTGTCTTAGCTTTGCAACCCAATTCCAACACCAGTGCGCTCCAGCGCACATACGTTTATTGCCTTAATTGAAGGTGTTCACAGTGGCTTATTCCCATTATCCAGCTGAAGAGCCTGGCAAGACAGTCTTTAAAGGACCTTTCCTGTGAATTTTCTTCTTGACCATTCTCAACAGGTTGATTTTGGCACACCTACAAAATGTGTTTTACATATTACTTAAATGTTTATTTAAACATTGTCTTAATTTATTCAAAGTACTGGTTTATTTAAAGTTCCATGTTCTTACATCGTTAGACCAAATGCTGAGATTAAATATTATTCCAGTTTCATTCTTTCAAGATGATTGATGATAAAAAGCTTTTGTGTTTGAATAGGAGAAGCTATCAACAATCAGCATAGGGTTTTAACCTAAACATAAAATGGGATCTGTGCACCTGTCTTTCATGCAATGATTTATGTCTCTGACTCTGTTGCTGCGGAAGCTGTGTGGTACAGTGGTCTTTGCAGTCAAGTCATCTGAATGTCAAGTGTTTAAATGTGGTCTCCATCACAAGTGAAATTTTAGCAAGCAATTTAACCTTTCACAGACCCAGCTTTCTCATCTGTGAAATAGAGATAAGAATACATACTTTTTGAATGGATTTTTATTAACATTAAATGGGATTATATACACAAAGGTCCCTGTCCCTACTCAAACTTATTCATCATTTATTTATAGTTACTTATAAAAGCCACAGAAACAGCTAAAAAGGAAAGTTAAAAAAAGAAAAAGTAAAATAAATAATTTTTAAGTAATTGGTTAGAATTTTACAAATAAAGCTCACTATTTGAATATAAAATACACTATTCTACCGATCTTCAATGCTCATATCCAAACAAAGTTTAAAACCCAACAAAATGTTTCTTTTAAGATTGATGCAAACTCATTTGGTGGCAAAACCTGATCTGTTGTGAGGCAATTTATACTCCATGTTTTGCTGCAGAAATACTCATCTGTGATTACAATTGTTGCTCCAGATGCTGCTTGTGTAACCAAATATACATATTCCTAAAATATAAAATATTTTGAATTCTGTAAAAACATCTGACACTAAGGATTCTGGAGAAGGAATCATGGTCCAATAAATTAACCAACAATTCTGACATAGCCTACATTGCATCAGGAAAAGATAGGTGGATGTCATAATCTCGAATATTGTCCCTGTTTATTTTGCGATTTGCTTCTTTAACGCATTCACTTGCTTCATTCACTGTGTCCTTTGAGGAGGGGAAGGTGAGCAGAAGAGAGGCAAAAAGCAAAGTACATGGAGTATGTGTTCGAAGGTTCTACTTTGTCACATTGTTTTCCTTCTGGTAGGTTGTGAAGTTGGTATTTTAGTAAAGAGAAACAATGTTAGAACTATTTAAGAAGAAATTAGTTAAACTCAGATTTGAAGCTGTAAAACTGATTCTAAAATGTATGTTGAGCAATTTCTTGTTGTTTTAAGAAGTTGGAGACATAAAAGCTATCATGTGACAGAACCAAAGTTTTCTTGGGAAAGGTGACTTTTTTGGGGGACTATTAACCTTTCTGTACAGTGGTTCTGTTTCAGTTCAGAGTTTTATATTGGTTCAGAGTTTTGTTTCCATTCAGAAGTTTCCCTTTTTTTTACTATTCAGAGAAAGGAGCTAACAGCTACCTTCTAAAAGAATCTCTAGGCAGCTTTCTCTGATAATTAAACCAGAGGCAGGCCCAGTTTTTACGAGAGCATTAGCTACAGATCTTATGAAGTCTTTCCAAGTCCTGAGAAGCCAAAGAAGCTTAAGGCTTTTCACACCAGATCTTTAGAGGCACTGATTCTCTACTGTGGCTTCATGCTGGAATCACCCAGGATCTTTAAGAAAATACTGATGCAACCCCAGAGACCAGGATTTAATTGGTATGAGGCATGGCCTGGTTACTGGAATTTTTGAAGGCTCTCTGGATGATTGTAATGTAGAGCCAATATTGAGAACCACTGTGTCAGAGGTTCTGCAGGCCCAGCTGTATCCAGATCAAGTGCTGACTCCACATCCGGATCACCTGATATGACTGATGTAGTACAAGTCCTGGGGCCCAAGCCCAGGCCTTCTGGATCAGAATGTCTTGGTGTGAAACCCAGATATCTTCTCTTTTTGCAAGTGCCACAAGCAATGGATTGTCTTTTATGCCAGTCTGAGTACCACTGCCTAAAGGTGAAGAAAGTGATTAATGAAGTAAGCATTATCAGGGATGTAAAATCAATTCCTTCTTTAAGATGCTGTCCTTTCACTGGCAAAAGAGTATTGCTTAAAAAATCAGTTAACTGGAATAATTCCAAAAAATAAATCTTTGAATTCAAGCCTTTTGACATTAACTGCACATTATATGTCATGCTTAGAGTTACACAATGCATAAAAGTGTTAAGAAGACCTTCAGAAAATACCTGTTTATTTCACTTGTTTTTTTTTTTTTTTTTTGAGACGGAATCTTGCTCTGTCGCCCAGGCTGTAGTGCGGTAGTGAGATTTCAGATCACTGTAACCTCCGCCTCCCGGGTTCAAGCAATTCTCCTGCCTCAGCCTCCTGAGTAACTGGCGTTACAGGTACACACCACCACACCCAGCTAATTGTTTGTTTCACTTTAACTCAATGTTTCCCAAACGTATTGACATGAAATTTCATGGAAGTCTATGAATACTAATGTGTTTATGGTATTTGGTGGATATGGGTATCCATGCACTTTGTCTTCTAAGTTTGTTAACCTCCTCAACTATAATAACCTTCCTCTCTACCACACTTTTATCCCTTATTCATAGCTATATTCTCAACCAGTAATCATGTTTGAAATGTAAAATCCCAACTTAACTCCTGTCTTACCTCCCTCACACAACAAGGTTTCTTTGGCCATGAGGAAATTTCCTGACTACTAATTTATCCATCTGTTCCAGTCTATCATGCTCCTTATGAATTCCGCTTCTTTTTCACTCCTTCTGGACCCTACAGTTGATCATAAGATCAATCTTTAACAGCATCCTCAAGTTTCTTGCCCTCGTGCCCTTATCTTGCCTGCTAAACAAAACCGTTGCGTGAGCTGGATTCTCCAGCTGGACCATTCTTCTCTCTTGTCCTCACTTGGCTCATGGTCCTGAAGATCTCCCCTAAGATGACGTTTCAAGCATTGCTAAGTTCAGACAGGTCTCCCTTTATGTGTTCCTCCAGTATAGCCATCATCATCTTCTGTATATGGTTACAAAATTCTCTCTCTCCCCACGAGACATATCATAGTGCTCTGTATTTAATATTTGTTACATTTCATATATTACGAATCTGATTATAAATAAAATTTCACTATCATAACAGCTGATGATAAGGTAACTCAACAGTAAATTGTATCCATGCCTTGTTTTATATACTAATACTTTAACCTATAAAATTGGCTTCTTCTTAGTTATTTCATTTTCCTTTAACTTTTTAAAATGCTTTAGATTTACTAAATAAGCAACCTAACACTACTTGACAGAGAAGAATCGGAGGATGTGGATAATGGACCAAGTGCATGATAAATTCTTGTAGAACCAGGAGTTGATTAAAACTCCTCATTTAAAAACTTGCTTATTTTCACAAAGAGGCACCACTGATAAAAATCTGAATGAGCTACATCAAGATTCATTTCAGAACCATTCAAAATCATAAGGGCCATTAGAAATGACACAGATAACTTGAAAAATGTTTTATAAAGGTAAATATATGTTTACCATACAACCTGGCAATCTCACTGCTAGGTATTTATCTAAAAGAAATAAAATATGTGTACTCCCAAAAAACTGTATATGAATGTTTGTATCAGCTTTATTCATAATTGCCAAAAAATGGAAATAACCCAACCTTCAATTGGCAAATGGATAAACAAACTGTGGTGCATCCATACAACAGGATACTACTCAGCAATTAAATGGGAAAAACACAGACTACAGATGCATGTAACAAATAAGTCAGACTCAAAAACTCAAAATGCATGAGTCCACTTATATAATATCCTGAGAATGGCAAAACGCGAGGAACCAAGACAAATCAGTGGTTTCTCGAAGTTGGAGATTGAAGGAGGGATGACTACAAAGGGGAAGGCTGAAACATTTGGGACTCACAGAAACATTCTCTGACTTGATTATGGTGATAATTTCATGAAAGTATGCATTCATCAAAACTCATAAAGCTATACGCCAAGGAAGGATGTATCAGGATGCAAATTATGCTTTAATAAATCCAAATTAAAAAAAATTAGGCCCACCAGACATAACATGAAGTCTAAAGGCCAAGACATGTCTAAAATTTGGTGTGTCAGTTATTGAATTATTGTTTTATCATCTGGTTGTTTCAGTACGAAAGAAAAATACAAAATAAGTTTATTGAAAAATATTCAAAAATATAAATTGAAATGAGAACTTTATTTATTTTTTGCCTATAAGATTGTAAAAGTTATGAAGAACAATGTTCTCCATTGTTGCAGAGAACATACAGATATGAATTCAACCAAAAGCCTTAAAAGTGTTCATGCTCTGTTTCTGCACTTCTATGTCTATGAATTTATCTTAAATTATTAATTGAGCTTACAAAAATATATATTTAAGGAACATTTACCTTAGTATTACTTATAATTGTGGAAAATTGGAAGTGGAAGCAATAATCTATGTCTAACAAATATAATGGTTAGAGAATTTATATGGATTATAACTTTTAATAATATAATCTTATAATATCATGCAGCACAGTGATTATGATTTGGAGCTCTAAAGTGACAAATATGGAACATATTTCTTTGAAAATGGAAATTAAGGATTCATATTCTTGTTTCAGAACACAGACCAGTTGTATGACCTTGGATGTATTACTTAACCTATGTCCCTTTCTCCTTAAAATGGAAATAAGACACACTCAAATGACTTCACATATTTTATATGTGAAGTTCTCTGCATAATTCCAAGCACATATTAAGCTATAATTGAAGATTAGCTTTTAATAGTATGCCTGATATGACTGTTATATTTATGGATCTGAAATCATATCTATGATGCATTGTTATGTGAATAAAGGCAATAAAATATACAGGGAAATTCTGTGTTCAACACAAACTCATACACACGTTCATTGGGTCTTGAAGGTTATTTTAAGAATGTTTCCTGTGATTATTGTGATGACCCCATAGATACTTCCTATTCGTTTTTTGTTTTGCTTATTCAGATTTTCAGATCATAAATATATGCAAATTATTTACTGATTTCTTCTTTAATCAAAACTATGAAAAATAAACTGCTTGTTTCATAAAACTGTGAATTGAGTCATTGCTTATTTACCTAGTTTTAGTCAAATAAAATTTAATATTTTTTCAACAAAATGTTTTCACAGAACTGCGATCCTCTGATTGATTTTGAAGGCCCTCCATAGTGTCTCCAGGATGGTCTCCAATAAGGAAATAGACCTGAAAAAAGAGGGAGATGAACGGCTGGGATCAGGTTCCCATCCATGTGTAACTAATTATGTGTGCACTGGAAATGATTTTTAAATCTATCATTGATTATTCTCTCCTTAACTAATGACTGAATGAATCATATAATTTAAAGATACAGTCATCAATTCTATATTTATTCACATAAATCAGATGAGAAAGCTTCTAGTCTATATTCCAAAGTAATTTAATGAAAGATGCTTTTATAAAAGGCCTGTTAGATAACTGAAGGGAAAAGCTGTCTTTTATTTTTCATGTAGTATGTAATAATTCATAAATAGTGTGGAAAAATTGATTCTGAGTATACTGGAGTACAAATAGGAAAATGACATATGGCAAAATAATAACAGAATGTGCCAGTATTTTCAACCTAAAATGTTGATGCCTGTTGGAAATTTTTAAGCTTCCACTTTCAATTTCCTTTTTTTAAACAAAATTAAATTTTACAAATGAGAACACAGTATAGCATGTAAATATTGACTTACTTCAAATATTTTTAATAAATGCTCAAAGCCTAGATTAAGAAAAATGCCTAAATATGAACATATTTAGTTCCACTAACTATTCCAATATCTAATCACTAATAAGATTGTTTTGACAAGGTCCTATATAACATTTATATTACAGTTCAGCAGCTCTGTAAAACAAAGATTTGCATTATAGAAAATCAACTGAATCTTAAATAGATTGCCAGAGTTACTCACGCACAGCATTCTGAAACCTCAAAGGAATTTATCACAGGGAACACAGTAATGTATAATCATATTTGTCTTGGCAAGAAACCACAGGATTGTTTTGCTATTGCTATGACACTAATATATGCAACATTTTATACTACAGTATTTCCTGCATTTGTGCGATGTATGAAATAGACAATATCTGTATAAACTTTTAAATCCATGAAGTCTTTGTATGGGAGTATCCTAGTGTGAAATTAAAAAAAAAAATCCCATTAAAGAAATGATTGTTGCGGGAGGGAACTAACTTGTGTGAAGCACCTACTATGTGCCGAGAAGTTTATCTGTGATGTGTTAATTCCAACAATTATCCTACAGGGAAACCATCATTGTATCAATTCTTCAGATAAGGAGAGAAGTGATTTGTCTAACTCCACTTCATTATTATGCAGCTGAACCAGGCTTCAAACCTAGCTGCAAAATCCAAGCTCTCTGTCCACCCATCACTCTGACTACATTCCAGTTCACATTTCACCATGACCACTGTAATCTTATAAAATCTACAAAAGAGTCAATCAATGTAAAGTTCAATTCCTTGGGTCACCATGAGCTCTTTCAGAACATTCCTATCCATATAATTTTTTTGGCAGTTGCCATGGGAATTAAACATGGTAATTTTCATCTGTAATAGTACATCCTCATTATAATATTTCTAGATTTTGGAGCTATCGTCACTTCTTATCACTTTCACTCAGCTGATGTTTCTGTTAAAAGGGGTGTGCTTTTACATGATGAGCTTCATTGGGTAGTATAGGTTGGTGAAAAGCCCCTTATCCTAAGTATAAAACTGAATCTTGTAAACTATTCCTATCATTACTTTCCCTTTTTTTTTTTTTTTTTTTGGCAAGAGAGAATTCCCTTTGGTTCAATTGATTAGGAGCACATCAACCTAAGAAAAAATAATGCCTGGGTTTAGATGGAAAAAATCATTTCCTCAAAAAGCATTTTCAAATTAGCCAGGAGTGGTTATTGTGGCCTGCTGTACCTGCCTTAATAAAACTATATGGATATTAATTTCCCTTAGATCTACTGGAAATATCCCATTTTCTATCAAATCCTATTCATCCTTATATTTATTTTTAAATATTTTTGTTCTTTTACCAGATAAAGCCTTTTTCTCTATATTTTCTATATGGCATCAGTTAAAATGGATAATTCATATATTATCTCCATGTGCTGACCTATGCCAGTCTCATAGACCCAGCACTGGCCCTTGGAGTGAGAATAAGCACAGGCAGGAGAGAGAGAAGGACGACAGAGCTCAGTGCTTTGCTGTTGGGGTGACTGCAGTCTGACCTATGAGGATCATCTGGAAGGACTGCCAATGCACACCTTATCTGTTAATTACAAAGGAGAGGTATCCGTGAAGAAAGAACAGGGAAAGGCCATAGATGAAGGATCAGCATATACTATGGGTAGGGGAGAGGGATGGTTTTCTTAGTGACACTCTGGCTGGGAGCCCTTTTCTACTGTAAATCATGAGGTGAGATAAGTCCTCTAAATCAGCACCTAACAGCAGACTTTGCCAAATGACATCTCATCAGTCAAAATGGCATAACATGCTGGGCTTTACTAAGATTTAGTAAGCATCATCTGCAGCATTCAACTGGATTCTTACGATAGCCTTTCCGATTCTTTTGTTCTTCCATGCTGCTCTCTTATTCTCCTCTCTGAACAAGCCATTTAGGAATTAAACTACTCACTTTCTTAAAGTCCCTTTATGGAAGGACTTTAAGGAAGTCCTTTTTGGAAGGTACTCAATTGCTTACAGGATAAGAATCAACTTCTTAATGTTGCATAAAAGATCCTTCATAACATTCATACAAGGTCACACAGAACACTTTTCCATGTATTTATTTCCTAATTGTATTTGCTCTCTAATGATTTGTCTATTCATGAACTTTACCAATTAGGATGTTTTCTATATTATAGACATCAACTTTTTGACATGTGTGTTGTTTACATTTTATACTTTGTAATTGGCCTTTTATAAATCATTTTAAACTACTCTTGGTAACTTATTTTTTAAAATGCTTGAACATTTTTCCTAGTTAGCAATGCTAAGAATGAAGCAGTGATAATGAGTCCCACCTTTATGAAATCTGGAGAGTCTTGTACTTTAACATTTTTGCTGGTATTATCTAGAATTTGTCTCATTTTGTCATCTTAGATAATTTTCTTTTCTTATATATCTTCTACTTAAATTTTATAGTTTTGTACAGTTTCTGTTACTTTATTTTACCACAGTTAAATCTAATTAAGTTTTATATTTAAATGGTTTCTATTCTTTCTGCCAATTCATTCATATCCTAATTTGATCTCTAGTTACTGGTATATTACTCAGTTAATTGCTAAACATTTTCTGTACTTTTTTTGTGATTAGTTTAATTCCTAAATTCTTGCATAGCTGATATTTTATGGTTATTTTAATACTTAAATGACCTTTTGGGTGGAAATAGGATTATGTCACAAACTAATTCCTTGAAAATTCTGAAGACATTACTCCATCTAGAATAGATAGAGTAGGATAGAGCTTGCATCCAATGTTATGCAGACACAAGTCTGAGACCAGCATGCTATCAGCCTTGGGTAGGTAAACAACTCTTTCTGTCATTGTGGTTGTGTTAGTTTTCACTAGGTAATGCTATATACCTAGTATATATACAGTGTATGTATATATACAGTGTGTGTAATACTATATACCTAGTATATACACAGTGTGTGTATATATATATAGTGTGTGTGTATATATATATATAGTGTGTGTGTATATATACAGTGTGTGTATATACACAGTGTGTGTGTGTATATATACTAGGTATATAGTATTACCTAGTACTATATATATACATATATATGTATATATATACTGTATAACAACCCAAAAGGCTCAGTGGCTTCCAACAATAATATTTATTTCATCCTCATACTACATGTTGTTGGCCAGGTTCTATGGATCTGCTCTAGGCCACAGGTTGGGGGCAGGTTGGCTTCTCCTGTCTTTCCATTTTACAGCCCAGGCTGAGGCAGCAGTACTTGTCTGGAAAATGATCTTTTCCTGCAAGAAGGCAGAAGCAAGAATACCGGCAGAAACTCGTGACAGCTCTACATGTTTCTGATTAATGAAATTTATATCAGGTCTATTCACATGTTCTTGACCAAGTCCAAAGTAACTGGAGTAGGAAGAACACTCTGCCTAAGGAAGGAAATAGCTAACAACTGGGAACAATACTACTACCTATCACGGAATTTATAGGGTTCTTTCTCCAGTACTGAAATTCAAAAATTTCACTGAGAAACATCTAATTCCAATATATATATTTCAATAGTTGTTTTGTATCTGTTTAACCCTTCCATCTTAAAGATTCAGGTATTTATTTGGAAGAAAATTTCCTTTAAAGTATATTTCTGAATATTGCTATTGCCCCATTTATCATCTTCTTCAGATACAATGATTCATATGTTAGGTTTCTGTGGTATGTCCTCCATATCTATGATCTTTTCTCAGATATCAATTTAATTCTCATTTTTTATTATAAAACCTGTCAGTAATATAACCGTCAACATTTTCCAGTGTGGACTTTGTTCTTTATGGTTTCTAGTACAGTTTTAATCCCACCACGGCATTATTTGTTTTCTTATATTACATTTCTGATGTGTCAGCTATCTTTCATCTGACATTCATTTCATATGTTTTCTTTAATTTCCTTGACTGTGGAAAGAAGATGCTATCTAAAATAAATTTAATTGTATTTATTGTAATCCTTTTTTTTTTTTTTTTCTGATGAAGTCTCACTCTGTTGTCCAGGCTGGAGTGCAGTGCCACGATCTTGGCTTGCTGCAACCTCTGCCCCCCAGGTTCAAGCGATTCTCCTGCTTCAGCTTCCCAAGTAGCTGGGACTACAGGCACATGCCACCATGCCCAGCTGATTTTTGTATTTTTAGTAGAGGCGGGGTTTTGTCATGTCGGCCCTCGAACTCCTGACCTCAGGTGATCCACCTGCCTTGGCCTCCCAAAGTGCTGGGATTACAAGTGTGAGCCACCGCACCCAGCCAAATTTCTTGTAATCTTTTTCTTTTTCTTAATGCTCTATTAAAATATCTCTTTCTCTCTATTCTGTGTCATTTTAAAGGATTTAAGTTCTTGTCCTGATTATTCATGCTTGAAATAGGACAGATTTAGCTCAGTTGATTTTCCTAAAATGAATGGGAAAAGATTCATCAGTTATCTCTTAATGATAACCATGAATTGCTAGGGAATCCTCCACTTAGATCCTGAGCAGAAGAGCTGGAGGATGTAGTTTTATGTCATCAGTCTGAATGGATTGTGAGAAGCTAAGACCATGAGCATTTTCAGGAAGGTCACTTTGTTTCTATACAATTTTTTGTTGTTTGTTGAAACCAGGAAGACTACTGATTAGTTCAGTCTAACTTCTATTCCAGGAGTATGTGCAATCCTTGGAGGCAGCTTTTGGTTTTGGCCAAAGGTAACTTCCCATCCAGGTGTGGGGTACCTATCCAGTTCACAAAAGGTTTCCTTCATCTGGCATGAACCCCTAATAGTGAGAAGCCTAATCCAAGGACAGCTTCTTGTCTGAGAGCTTTCTTTGGGTAGTTGCTTATTTGCTAACTCTGTCTCAAAATGGTGTTGATCCAAGGTGTTGAGACGTTCTGTAAATGAAACGGACTCCTTATTCTGTTAGAGATTGCTCCTAGCTGCCATTCTCACTCTGGAATTTTGGGACATTATTGAGGCTGCACAGAATTTTAGCTACCTGTACAGCACTGTAGTTCTTTAGGAGCAAAGGAAAAATGGAATTGTCCTTTGTGGGATTTCCTAAAACTGGATTTATTTATACCATATCTAGTCAAAATGCCAAAAAAAATTTACTGTAGTTTTCACTCTTGGTGACACAGCTATAAAGATATTAATTCCTACATTATTTTTGATAATATAGGAGTGTAAAAGTAATGAAATGTAAACGTCTCCATCTCTATTTCCTAGAAAGAGTCAGAAATTTGTTTCTTGGACTCCTAAGGATAATTAATATAGTTTTTGTGTCTTGGAGATATCCTGAAGCCAGCAACACCAGTGCTTTATTTGAGATATGTGGGCCATTGAAGACTAGAGCCAGAAAAGCATGAATTTGAGAGAAAGGGATGGTGTGACCCATGAGGAGATTTGGATCCCTGGGTCCTTGGGTGGATGGGGGGTTTGTGGATCCTGTAAATGACAAGCACCTGCACACAGCTCATATGAAAGGCCCCAGGGCTAATGGTACCTAAAATGGGGATGGCTGCAGGTGCCACAGGAAGCTGAACCCTGGGCATGAAGGTGTGAGAGCTATCGCCAAGATTTCCATGCACAATTTGGCACAGAAAAACCAAACACTTTCAGAAAGGTTGTGTGAGCCCTAAGGAAGTACAGGGTTTTAAATTACCCTGGGGGAGTTTTTCTGAGGGCCTTTTGTCAATCTGAACATATCAGCAGTCAATCCAATGAGGAAGCACTGGAACCTCCTTAGAGAGCAGCTTAAATAATTGAAAAAATTTTTAAAAGATAATGATTTTCAGTCATAAAATTATTCAGGAATAATATAGTATTTCATTGTAGAAAGAAGGAAAAGAAGGAAGGAAGAAAGGAAAGAAGAAAGGAAGGAAGGGAAGGAGGGACAGAGGGAGGAAGGAAGGGTCAGGAATGTGGATAAGGTCATGGTCCACTAACCTCAGTTGCCTCCTTAAGTTTAAGCATTGCTCTGACTGGTGTCTGTTTCCCCCTCCCCTCCCTTCCCTTCCCTTTCCCTCCCTTCCCCTCCCTTCCCCCTCCCTCCCTTCCCCTCCCTTCCCCGCCTCCCCTCCCTTCCCTTCCTTCTTTCTGTTCTTTATTCTTTTCTTTTCTTTGTTTCTCTCATCCACATGTTCCTTTCTATACTACTAAAGAAAAATAGATGGTATTTCGCATAATTGATTTTATTATATATACATTTAATATACATATAAAGTCTTTTTTAAAAAAACTTTCTGATATATATTGGAAAACTTTCCATGTTTTGATTTACCTCATCCATCTTAGCTGTTAAATAATAATTATAGTTATGATTATTAAGGGTTTCACTGGTACCAGACACAGTTTAAGTGCTTTTACCATTAACTTATTGAACTCATATGATGATCAGTTTATGAAAGAGAAAACCAAATCACCAAGCATTTAAGTGAGTTGCCTAAGGTCAAAATTATCCAAAATTCTCAGCTAGTTTGCATCCAGAACCTACGAGCAGAAGCACTACACTACAATGCACTGGATCCCATTGATTTAATAATTCACTGCTCATATATATTTTAGCTTATATATTTTAATATGACAAGCAGTCATAAAAAAGTTACTAGTAACCTGAATATTTAGTGGACGTTGGGATGCAACGGGCCAGTTTCCACAGATGATTAATTCTTTTCACAAACCAAATGTAATGAATGTTCAGATAGATATACTTGTCTTCCAGAAAAATCAGGACTTTTCCTCATAAACTATGGTAATTAACTATATGAAAAACTCCTATAATTAAGGGATAAATTGCTGGCATAAAAATAACGAATACTTGTATGCTATACTATAATTACACTGCAGCTTACAGTTTATCAAACATGTACTTTGAACATAAAAGGTTATATAAGTACATAACTTCTAAACGAAACCCTTTGCCTTCTCCATACAAAAGTGACAACCAGAAAATGACAGCTTGGCATAATAATGCTAACTCTTGGCCATACTTGCAGACCAAACTTTCACACCAGACTCCCTTACTTTTTTCAGAGGGCCAGCTTTAACGTCTAATGTCACTCTCCAACTATCAGTTATTAAGATCAAAGTACTGGGAAGAATTTTGCATTTACTTGTTTACTAGTATGAGCCATAATGAATCCAATAAGGTGAGTACTCAGTGATGTTGACAGGCCTCTTGGAAATGAAGTTTAAGTAGAATGAAGTATAATGAAACCAATTTGACCACAGGCTAATTGATATAAACAGGAATTAAGTTTCTATGGCATATTTCTGGTCATAAAGACATCACCAAACTTCTAAATAAAGACCAAAATGTTTCTAGTATAAAACATTGGAATAAATGTGATTATACATACATTTAAGAAAGATTAATAAAAACAAGCATGATAATTATCTGCCCAATTATTTCAGTTCAGGGTAGCAGATGGCCAGATCCTAGCATAGCCACTCAGGGCACAAGGCAGTAACCAGCCCCGGACAGGATGCCATCCCACAGCAGGTGCACTAACACGCGCACATCACACTCACCCACACTGGGACCATTTAAACATGCCACTTCACCTAATAGGTACATCTTAGGGAGGTGGGAGGAAAACAGGGTAGAAAAGCCATGCAGATATGGGGAGAATGTGCAAACTCCACACAGACAGCAGCCCTAGCCAGAGAGTGTTTTTTTTTTTTTTTTTCTCATCGGTGTTAGAAAGAAATGATATTGAATGAAACGATGTAATTCAAAGACCTGCTGTGTATTTATCCCAAATGCTCCTTATCACACACACAAAGAGAAAGCTATTGTAGGCTTTCCTTAAGTGGTAGCCTTCCTCCCTTTCTGCCTGATGAACACAAATACATGTCCTCTCAGCAGCACAGTTACAAAGGCAAGCCTGAGATGTATTCTCAGCACCTGGCCTTGTGGTCATCCCATGCTCTGTGTGAGTGCAGGGGACAGAACTTGCACTGTGCAGACAGCATTCTGCCTGGGAACAGGAATAAAAAGATGGGAGAGTAAAGCTGGAGCTCAGCAGGGTGTGGTGCCAATGCACTATAGTGAGTAAGGGGGAAACCAAATCAGATTCAAACCATTTTTATTTCCTAGCTACCGGAGTGAAAACAGAGCACATAAATTTGTTATGAACCTAAAAATTAATAAAAGAAACATGCCACTTAACCTAATATGTACATGAATACATATATTAATGAATACTCATCTGTAACAATTTATAGATGAATAGAATTTTTTTGCTTTTACTGTCTAATATTTCAAAGCTCACTATAAATAAAAATGAACTAGCATAACATCAACAAGAACCTTTTAAATAATTTAATAGATACAATGATGTAATGATATATATGAATATTTGGCAATACTAGAAAGCTACCAAAAAACACTCATGCAAATAAATGTTAAAAAGTAGATGGCAGTGATTATTATTGAAGTTAATTTCAGAGGTATACAAAATGAAAAGGTTGTAATAGTTACCCTGACCATATTATTCAAAATATGTCTAAGATCTCTTCCTATATTTCACAACCCTTTTTTTTTTTAGAGATGGGGTCAGGGATGGGTTCTCCATCTGTTGCCCAGGCTGGAGTACAGTGGTGTGATCATAGTGCACTGCAGCCTTGAACTCCTGGGCTCAAGCAATCCTCCTATCTCAGCCTCCTGAGTCTCTAGTACTACAGGCACATGCCACCGCACCTGGCTAATTTTTATTTTGTATTTTTTGTAGAAATGGAGTCTCACTATTGTTACAGCCCAGGGTGGTCTCGAAATCCTGACCTCAAGCGATCCTTCCACCTTAGCCTCCCAAAGCGCTGGGATTACAAGCATGAACCACTATCCCTGGGCTAAATTCTACTATTTTTAAACTTTATTTAGTAAGTTAAACAAGACCTAATTTTGTACAGATCATTCAGCTTTTAAATGTATTTTCTTACATAGGTATGTGTCTCAAAACATTACATTGTATAATTTTTCTCAGCTGCTTATCAATGATCTGGACTTTTGCAAATTTCTTAACCATTTGGAAGTTCAGTTTTCTTAACTGTAAAATGGGAATATGCATTATAATAGGATATTAGCTAAGTCACTATAGAAAAGAAATTAGAACAATTCAATGGCTTAGAGGAGAAAGTAGTTCACTTCTTTCTCAGAACCATCTAGGCTGGGTGAAATCTGCTCCGTAAGCTCATCCAGGGACCCAGACTACAGGATAGATTGGTCATCTTACAAAGTGATTTCCAAGGTTGCTCCAGTCATTACCTTTTTCATTTGGTGAGAAGGGGTAGGGAATGTCCAGGGCAAGAGTCTTCAAAGAGATAAATCAGAGGTTGAACTTATCCCTTCTGCTGACATTCCATTTGTCTAAACTTGGTCTCATGGTTACACCTAACTGCAAGGGAAGCTGGGAAATATAGATTGTAGCTGGGCAGTCATGAATATAGCTAAAATTAGGGAATTCAATTACTAAAAGGAAGAAGGTGAGAAGGAATACTAAATATTAGCAGTTTTTACCATTATAATGAGGATCATGTTTAAAAATTGCTGTGAGGACTGAAATTGTATTTGTAGAGCACAGAAGTATTTTGTGGAATTTATATAAACCATCAGCACAGGACTTGACACATACTGATGATCATTAAATGGTAGTCATTATTAGTGTTAGTATATTATTATTATTAAGTACTTCTATCCTTACCTGAATGCTTGAATTCTCTCCAAAGTACCATGGACAAGTAATTATTTAGCTATTCTGGAATTCCTATAGTAAAAGGAAATTTTATCTCTCTTATGGCAGCCATTTCATTTTCAGAGTTTTTTCTTCTTTCTAGCCATTATTTATCTTCTTACACTCACTTTTCTTTGTTTTGTCCTAACTGTTATCTCAGACACCCTCCAGAACAAATCTCATCCCTCTGTCATACAAGAGCCCTTCAGATTCTTATGGGAAGCTATTGCTTCTTTCATGAGTTTTCTTTAAGCACGTTTTTGTTCCTGCAACAGTCCCTCATAATCCATGATGTTGAGTACATCCCAAAAACATTAATTCACTCATTTAACAAATATTTATTGAGTATCAACTATTTTATCAATGCCCACTTTAAAACTGTGTTGTCAAGATCAGTACATAATATTCAGAGTTGGTCTGACCAGAGCCTAGCAATGCACACCATCAATCCCCTCATTCAGGGTATCATTTTCCCCAAGTGGGCCTTAAGATCATTTAACTCTTTTGGCAGCCTTATCATGCTGTTGACACGTGTTGACTTGGTGCCTATTACACCCCAAGCCTTTTTCATTTGTGCAATTAACCTGGATGTACCCTACTTTACACGTGAAGTTTTTAAAAAATCCAAATACAAAATGTTTCCTTTATTTCTAGTTAATTATGAATTGTATCTTATTGCAGTCACTGAAGAATTTTTATTCCTTCATTGAATATGTTAATTATCTCTCACAGATTTACACAATCAGAACACCTGATTAGTGTGTAACTGACTCCTCAGCTAAGATATTGACCAAATGTGGAACTGAACAGGACCGAAGAGAAGCCAGTAGTAGCCCTCAGAGCAACCATTTAACTAGTTACAAATGCACATAACTGCACCAGCATTTAGGAAATATTATCCTATGTGGTTCACAAAAGTCTCAAGAAAAGTATTTACCTGGTTTCTGTGCTCACTGCCATGCCTAATGAGGCCTTGGCCTACCAGTCCAAGTGCTACCCTCTGGCTGCATTCAGCCCAATGGAGTCTCAGAATCTCCCTGATTAGGAGAGCACGACTGGTGTTTTCCTGATATCAGACCTTTGTGCACTGAGATTCAACAAATATTTATTGAACTGTGAATGTGTGCCAGGCATTGTGCTGAGTACTTTCTCATATAAATGGAGCATGGAAGATGTGGAATATATTTTGTAAAAAATGCATATATCCTCAAGTAAAACTATTTTATTTTTCCTATGTGTGAGACCAGTACACAATGTTCCTTATTTAGAAACTACAGCAAAGTACTAAATGGATTTCACACACAGGTACTCCTCAGCTTTTAGCATGAGGAAGACAAACAGATATTTTATTTTTTGATACGGAGTCTCACTCTGTTGCGTAAGCTGGACTGCAGTGGCATGATCTTGGCTCATTGCAACCTTTTCCTCCAGGTTCAAGTGATTCTGGTGCCTCAGCCTCCCAAGTAGCTGGGACTACAGGTGCATGCCACCACGTCCAGCTAATTTTTGTATTTTTTTGGTAAAGATGAGGTTTCTCCATGTTGGCCAGGCTGGTCTTGAACTCCTGGTTTCAAGTGATCTGCCTGCCTTGGCCTCCCAAAGAGCTGGGATTGATTACAGGCCAGGTGTAAGCCATTGTGACCGGCCTACAAACAGATTTTTTAAATGTGATATATATTTTTCTATGATTATCTCTTTAGTGGCTAAATTCTTGCTAAATATCACATTACACTAAGTAAATCAACATAAACTGTGTGGACATGCTCCAGATATACATACAGGAATAATGATTCATTTGCTCTAGTTATTATAATTTAGAATTTAAATTGTGAGTCACCTGTACAGATGTTACCTTTTCCAAAGGACTTTCTACTCGAGGAATGCTGATCATTGGCATCTGTGCCAGATTATCCATGTGTATATGCTCATTTTCTGCTTGTCTCCCTTTGAAATTATTCACCACGCACACAACCTAAAATTTCAGAAGACAATTACAGTTAAAGCAAACTGTGCTCACTGTGACTTTCAGCCTTTTGAGGAGCTTAATAAAGCTAAGCATGTAAGAAAGTATTAAAATTACTTAAATGTTACACGTATATGAATTTATATCCAGATTTATTGTATTCATTTATTGTAAAGTTTATTGTATAAATTTTAATAGCTACTCCAATGCAGATATGTTTAAGAAAACTCATCGGTTAATATGTAGCTCACTTAATTATGACAATTTTATTATTCGAAAATTTTCATTACATCGAAGTATAGTCAATGCTCAAATCAATCATAACACCATAACCTTATAAAAATTCATAGCAAGCTAACCTTTTCCTAATATGGCTATTCTACAACTTAATTTAAATGCTAATTGTTTTTCATTGCTTCAGTATCATTATATTCATAATAAACCTTCTACAATTGGTACTCTCTAACTTAGCAGCATCCCTTAATTAACCTAGCTTATCGTCTATTATTGTGTCCCATATACACTTGGCAATCCAACAATAGCTTACTGGGGCTACCACTGAAATAGAAAACCCTCCGCATAAAACATGTATACATATGTAACCTGCACGTTGTGCACATGTACCCTAAAACTTAAAGTACAATAATAATAAAATTTTAAAAATAAAAAATAAAAATAAAAAGCCTGATGTTCTAAAAAAAAAGAAAAGAAAATTGACCCTTGTTTCAATGGATTATATCTCACTGGTGACAGAATTTGAACTAAACCAGAGGTTCTCATCCTTAATGTGCATAAAAATACATTTTTGGCATTGTTAAAAATACATATTCCTAAGCCCTCCCCTAAAGATTCTGATTTAGTAAATGAAGAATGGGGCCTAGGAGTTGGCACTTCAAAAATGCATTCGAGAAGCTTCTAATGCAGGTGAATCATATTTAAGAAATAATGAATTAAACATACCAGGAAGATTATTTGCTACTGTTTGCTTACACAATAAACAAGGTATTCTTGGTAAAGGTATTCTTGAGTTTTATTTTCTGTGTTTCATATTCTATTACAAATCAAAATACAGGCCTCATTTGCAGCTATAACCTAACATTCATTTTGTAAAGTACCTAATATATAATTATACATTTACATTTCATATTTTCACAAATGCTACACTGAAAAGCCTTTTCTTTCATAGAGTTCATTACTGAATATCTTCAAAGGCCAATTAGATCAATTAGATCTTGGTTGCTTTCCAGTTTTTAAATAAAATTTACAAATCTACAAAATAAGAACACCTACTGAGATTTTACGTCAGAAAAATACTCCTTTGCAAATTATTATAGATTTCTTATCCTTCCACTTCCCAGAAGAACTACAGATTAGAGATATAGATCAAAGCCTGATAATTTGATACCTCAACTTTGTAGTTGCCACTTTAAAGATCTTTAAAGTAAGGGACAGTAAGGGCTTGGAGATGGATACTTGATAAAGCTACTACCTCATGATGTTACCAGCTTCATGACCCCACAAAGGTCTGACAGATACTGACTGTTCTAGAGATAAGGTAAGCAAATTTTGTCTGTAAAAGGAAGACAGTAAATATTTTTGGCTTTGCAGCCTTACAACCTTTGCAGCAACTATTCAACTCCACCTTTTTGGTGCAAAAATAGCCACGGACAGTTTATAAACAAATGGGAGTGTCAGTATTCAAATATAACTTTCTTTACAAAGATAGGCAGCAGATCAAATTTGGTCTGTGGGCTGCAGTTGGCTGACTGACCACTGCTCTAAAATACAAAGGATATAATCAAGAATTTTGGCCAACAATAACAACGATGATTATTCTTCTTACTCTTAGTATTTTAATTATTAGGAAAGAAATTACCTAATCCTCTGTAGAGTTATATTCCAATATTTAATAAGTCTTGTCTGCTAACATTTACGATGTGGAACAGAGGTCTTGTTTGTAAAAATGGTGATAAGAAAAAGTGAGGGACATGGTTTTTGATCCTGAACATGCCTGAGTCTATACATTATCAGACAGTTCTCCGAGTCTCAGTTTTATCAATTAGAAAACGAAGAGGTTGCAATAGATCACTAAGTTAACGTCATTTCTTTGGCTGGCAAAGGTATGACAATTCAACAACTACTCAAAACTAAACTCAAGATCTGCCCCCTCCAGCACCCACTCCAAACTTGATCTCTTCTCTGGACACGTTCAAGGAAAGGCAACATGCCACCCCACTCCCCAACACCCACCTCCGCCCCAGTGCAGATTCACAAGGCTAAAAACTTGAATTAATCCTTTACACCTCTTATACTTGACCAGTTACTGAATCTGCTCAATGTTACTTTCCAAATATCTTGGTACCTAAATATCTTGATTTCTTATATTTGCTTCATTTTATCTCCTCCACCAACTCCAAAAACGAAGCAACTACCACCTGTTGCCTGGATTCCTACACAGCTTTCTAAACTATCTCTCTAAATCTAATCTTGGCCCCTCTATTTCCACCATAATGTGAGAATGATCTTTCCAAATGCAAACTGGATTATGTTACCCCCTTAAAGCCATTCATGGCTTGGCTTTCCGTTTTTCTTAATGTGTAAACTCTGGCCCAGCCCCACTTTTGCAGCCTTCCTTCTCTGTTTTCAAAACACTTTCTGTTACCTTTCACTTCCTGCTGTTTAGATACTCCTCACCTCCACTGTCTTTGGATGCCATACCTAACTCAGCCATGATATCTCGTCTCAGCTTCACTTCCTCGTGGATGCCTTCCTTGAACTCCTAGCTGGGATGGTTTATTTTGTTTTTGTTTGTTTGCTTTTTGCTTACATGGAGCTGTGATTATTTTTATCAGAGCACTTAGTATGAAATTAAACATCATTTAAAGTAATACTTTGATTGATGTGTCTCTTCCAAGTTCCACAAATGCAAAGATGCTCTTTTTTGCTCACTGCTGTGTTCACACTGTCACAGTGAGGGATCAGATTAATGAATGAGCAAGCATCTAGGACAGAAATTCTCAAATTTTCTGATGTGCTTATATAATTTAATGTTACTTTGCTTTCAGACGTTCTGGTTTTACATTAGTGACTTCCGCATGTATAATTCTTGTAATTCTATTCTCTCCTACCAAGATGATATGAGTAAATCATCACTGCATATATATTTTCTTTTTCCTGTCATGATGATAACTTAATCTGATCCATTCTTGTTCATTTTCACTCTTTGTTGGCAAATGAAACATCATTATTGCATGGGGTTAAGTGCATGGGCTTTGGGGTCAAACTGGTCTGGATCATAATCCTGGATCTCTCAGTTACTAACTTTGTAAACATGGGCAAGTTACTTTATATAATCAGGCTTCAATTTTTTTAAACCTGCAAAATGAAGACAATAAAAACATTTCACTGAGCTGTTCTGAGGGTTAATTGCATTAATGTAGTAAAGAGCACAATAACTATTATTGTTGTATATGATAACATGACAAACTATTTTTGTGGCTCAATAAACTTGAGCTCTTCTGCCTGACACTGTCATAAATATCATAATCAATCTAAAAATAGTGTTCAAATAGTATTTGCCTTGTATTTTGCTAAGTATGGTGATTCTGCGCTCTAACCTGAAACAAAATGCCCATGAGATAAGAGTAATACAATTAACACAGCACATAATTCCTTATTAAATTATAAGAGGACAGACTGAAAGAGTGGTAGAAATTCAGGAAAAAATGGAAAAATCAGCCAATCAGGGAAACTTCCTGGGGAAATTGGATCTTGTCTGAGCCAAATCTCAAATGTGTAAAGGGTTTGAATATAGTCATCAAACGTGAAGACCGTGGTATTCAGTGTCTTGTCTGCACTAGGCTTCACTTCTTACATGTGTGATTTCACTTAATCCTTAAAAGAACTCTGGGAAGTAAATAAAAAATTCTTTAATCATTCCTTCATGTATTAATTCATTCGTCATATATTTATTCAGTACTTCCTCTGTACCAGACCTTGTTCTAGTTATTGGGGATATGCTGTGAACAAAACAAAGAAAAAGACTTCACAGGGAGCTTACATTCTAGTGGGATTGATAGCAAAGCAAAACCAAAAATGCTCCATATGGTATACTGCACAGTAATTTATTACACATTAGTTAATATTACATATTAAAAGTTGGAATATCCTTTGTAGAAAAGTAAAGTAAGGAATAAGGAAAGGAATCCTCAAGGAGGAGAAGTCATTTTAAACATGGTTCAGAGAAGGCCTCACTATTTTAGTAAGAAGCAATAATGTCTACAATTCAAAAGTTATGGTCAGAGAGCAAAGATACAAGACATGGAAGAAATATTTTTATAGTGGAAATTAACCTGGCCTAAATGAATCACTGGTGTGTGGAATGAAACAGGAGAATGAGCCAAAGGCAAATGTTAGGCATTGAGTCTGGGTGACTGGGTGGTCTGGGTTCCTTTAACTGAGACATAGAGACCTGGAGTAGATTAGCATTAATTTTATTTTGGAATCACTTTAGAATTCTGCACACACTGCAAGATAATTAGAAACACCCTAGGATATTACAACATATTACAGGCCAGAGCTGGAGTTACTGCTCAGAATAAATGTGTTGAGTTTCCCAAATGAGAAAACTGGGAATCATCATAGAAGGCTCCCTGTGCCTCGTCCACATCACCTTCCATGTTCCACCAGGCTCCAAACCATTCCACCTCCTAAATATCCTGGAGGACATGATGGATATCCTCCCTCTTTGTGCCACTGAGGGCCAATTTGCACCATCCTGTTTCCCTGGTTCTGCATAACCCATCTCTTCTATCCTCAACTTTGTCTTATTGTCCTGCAAATACATTTTCAAAACACAAATCTTACGTAGGGTAAAAGGAACTGAGAGGAAGCAAACTATAGTTTATGGAACTTTTTCCAGTCATTCATGTCACAAATTCGCTGAACATGCACTATTTTGTTTAACCTTTATAGAGCCTTATAATGATCCTTTAGGGAGGCTGTTATTTAGCCACATTTAAATAACACACCTATAGGCATTCACATTCATAAATGGCTGTGAATGAATGCATAAATGCATTTTTAGTTATTATATAGTCAGTTTTTACATATAATCCTTTCATGAAGTCATTTTCCTGAGAGTATGGGAATGTTCAAAGGGCTATCATGAAACGTTCTCAACCTGTGCAATTGGAGGGTCTTGAGCTCAAGGGGGATCCAGAGCTCAGCTCAACATTCACCAGACAGGGAAGTGACTTGGAAGGCACCAGCATTCTGAGGTTGGCCTTGTAAGGTAAGGTGTTCACTGGAAGTATAGGGAAGGTGGCAATAGCGACAGATAAACAAGAAGGCTGATGAGATGCCAGTGAAGATGTTATGGACCCGCAGAGCTGAAATACAGTTGCATCTGACACCAGTGCTTTGAAATTTTGGCTACTTGTATGCTCTTGGCTTTGCCTATACTATTTTTTAAGGATTTATGTAAAGTTTGTTGTTGGTTTTGCTTTTTGAATGTTAACCAGTTTCAACTGTGGTGAGTCAATGCAAAAAAAAAAAAAAAAAAAGTTTTTGGTTCAAGCCAGGGCCCCAGTTCTCACGAGGCTACAGGATATCTCCAGGAAAGACAGAAGGTTGAGTCTAAGTCTCCCAGGGACCTTGGGAATCACAGAGAGTGGTATCACCAAAAAAAAAAAAAAAAGCAGCACAGGATGAGGTCATGGTGACTACTTTACCGCAGGAGATTCTAGAGGAAATAACTTATTTAAAATGCCCAGTACATAAATTATGTTTCAACATTTGGTAGCTGGAAAGATTCACTGAAGTGTTTGCTTACTGATTATTAACTAGTAAAATGAGGCTAATAAAGTTAAGTTACATGTAAGGGCAATTTAAATGTAATCAAAATGGACATAAAGTATTTTTTAAATTATAATGTGTCAATGCAAAAATATGTTTTGATTCATAGTCTACACATTGTTTCATTTGGGTAAAATGTGATATACTCATAATGATTAGTGCACATGAATAGAGGGAAGTTCAGGCTGTTTATTATATACTCATACTTATAAAATGTTATACACTCACAACTTATACTATACTTTAAGAGTATAATCAGATTTTATGGTATAAACATCAGTAAGTATTTGGTACTGATAATAAGTCAGAAAAATACTTAGAAATGCATACAAACCCTTGACTATTGCCTCTGGTTAAATAAATAATAATGAATTCTAAAGTCAGACTAAAATACATTTTCCAACAACCAAAACCTATGGAAATAGTCCTAGAAGATTTTATAATAAGAGTATAAATGGAATGCTTACTTCATTAGAAGTCACTGTGTATGCTCTTTACTATGCGGTGAAATATGATTTGACATGGTATGGTCTTAGAAACTATTCATGAGTTTTTAGTTACTGATGTAAAATGCCTCATCTCACAGGTGAGGCTGACCTGCTAGCACTGGGACATGGAGGCTCAGGGAGAGTACAGCAGGGACTCACTAGGGGACTTTGGGATTCTCTCAATACCCCAGCATGCCAACTTCCCTGAGGAATCTTTAAAAAATATCCAAACCAGTCCTGAAACTCGCCTATAACATTTTTTAAGGATTTATATAAAGTTTGTTATAAATCCTTAAAAAATATTATAGGCAGTTTTTACCCAGTCTTAAAAACTATTTGGGAGGGACAGTATGTTTTTAGGCCAGCTCTATTTTATATGAAAATATATTGTTCAACTTTAAGCATAGGATTTGTATTTTTTTCATCCCCAAACCTGACTTGTGGCAGAACAAATGGGGGAGGAGGAAGAAATGAATGACTTAAATGATTTGTTTTATATACTTAAATGAATGATTTGTTTGATATACTACATTTAGACAAACCCAGTGATTCACACTTGTATTTTCTCATGGTGATTATGCAAGTTAATTAAAAACCCAATGATATATAAATAAATTTGTACTTACCAGAAATACTGCTATAGATATTCCAACCAGAAAGCCTGCTATAACATCTGACCAATGATTTCGATATTCTGCTACTCTGTTGAGTCCAGTAAGAAATGCCAAACACATTAAGCCCAAGCATAGAACTGGCTTAGCAAGTCTGGTTCCCTTGGCTTTGATTGTGTTGGTGATGTACATCTGAAACATTCAATAAAAAAAATGACTTTTCATGAAGGTATTTCCTTTATTAGCATAGCATATTATGTGTATGTACAAACATATATTTATAGACATATATACGCCTGTATGATTCAAATCATTAACTGGAGTTTATGAAGTTTTTGAAATCAGTTTCTTAAAAGCAGAATTCAAGAGTAGCAATTATTTTGTTTTACTTACCTCGTATGGCAATCTCTTACAAATGGCCAATTCTTAGCATAACATTCTTAATCATCTAGAAACACCAAGCACAGATAGTCCAACTGTCTTTTTTTCTTTTTATTCTTACTGTATCCATTCTTGTTTTATCTGAATTTTCATTTTAGATCAACCTCAACAATATTATTAGCAGGGGGAAGCTGTTGAAGTGTTTAAGTGTTTTTAATGTTTCCATTTGTGTATGCCATATTTAGAGGACACATACTTGATAAAAACCAGCATTATGAATACAGCTAGAAAAAATAAAGTGGAATAGATTTCTACCAAACAGATGTTACTTTGAAGGAAGACTTTAAGATTCAATGCAATGCCGAGGTTGCTTTCATGTTGTTAAATGAAATTGTGAAATTACTTTGTTTAACTACATTTTATCAGCCAGAATTAGGACAATAAAACACTTAAGTAGGCCGGGCGCGGTGGCTCACTCCTGTAATCCCAGCACTTTGGGAGGCCGAGGCGGGCAGATAATGAGGTCAGGAGATCGAGACCATCCTGGCTAACATGGTGAAACCCCATCTCTACTAAGAATACAAAAAATCAGCTGGGCGTGGTGGCGGGCACCTGTAGGCCCAGCTACTAGGGAGGCTGAGGCAGGAGAATGGCATGAACCCAGAAGGCGGAGCTTGCAGTGAGCTGAGATCGTGCCACTGCACTCCAGCCTGGGTGACAGAGCGAGACTCTGTCTCAAAAACAACAACAACAACAAAAAAAAACCATAAGTACGATAAGGGAAATGTGTCAACTAAAAACAAAACAAAACAGTGAATAGGTACCTACATTTCTGGCATCTGGACTTATGCTAATGAACATATGGTGTCAATTGATTGCAGCAAATGAAATGTCATGAGCCACTACGCTCAAGAATAATTTGGTCCTTCCCCCATCTAATGTATTCTATAGCTCAACTGCTCATAAGTTTATGTATTATTTTATAAGCAAATTTGTTGACTGTATTCAATTATTATTTCAAGTCATGAGTAGAGCAATTGTAAAAGAAATGACTTTGATAATATAATCAGATTTTATGGTATAAACGTCAATAAGTATCTGGTATTGATAATATACTCAGAAAAATTCTTAGAAATGCATATATACCATTAACTATTGTCCCTGGTTAAATAAACAATACATCTGCCTAAGAGAGTAAACCAAAATGAAAATTTAAGTTTTTAGTTCATACCTGCCATTTTAGAACACTATGAAATCCAGTAATTATCTTCTCTATTTTTTTTTTTCTGGGCAGTTTGCAGCCCTTGTAGCTGCCAAAAGGGGCTGTATAAATATGTAAGCAGTCCAAGTGATACAAGGCATCTCTCTAGCCAAGTTCTAGCCTTTTACAATCCATCCCAGGTCTCAATACTCTGGGGCAGGGGGAGCTGAACTGTCTCCATCTTGGCCTGTGACCTTCGGAGCTGGGTCTGTGTGTCTAAGACTGTGCTTGGAAAAGCTTGATAATTTCAGTTATGGAGGGTAAGTATACATGAGAGGGGAACAGGAAGAGATGAGAAAGAGAAAACGATGCTTTTGCCATTCTGAGAGAATGTGTTAAAGAGTTCTGCCCACATGAATAACAAGGCCAGGCTATCACATCACTTCAGGTTTCAGTGATGCAGCTAATTGAGTAACTCCTTGTATGACGAGTGCGTATGAATAGACAGGGAAATTCAGGCTTCTTGTGAGGTTTTCTTTAACACAGCTATAAGGCTGGTTAATTATTTCTTACTTTTGCATTTCTTTACATCTGTTAACACTCAAGATATTCTGTCCTCATTGAGACAAAATAAATGTGGGATGATAATTGAATAATACTAATACTGCTAGTATCAATTATAGCTACCATTTAATGAGTGATTGCTCTTCACGGCAATGTTCTAAGCATTTTATTAACAAATTACTTATTCAATCTTCAAAACAATCATTGAAGTTAGGTATCACTGTTACCTCCATTTTATAGGTTAAAAACTGAATCAAGATAAAGCTTATTATGAAGAGTACACAATTTGATGATTGTGGTGGCACTGTCGAGAAAAGACAGGCGTAAATGGAAAGTAGAGGGAAGGCACTTAGGTATCTCCTAATCTTCCTTTCTTTTTCATTGATTTCTTGCCTGGAGGAAATGGCCAATGAGCATAAGTTGAGTACCAGTGAATGCAAGACAGTCAGAAACTAAAGACAGGAGAAAGGAGGCCACCACAGAATCATAGGAGTAAGGCTACATCTATGCTCTGCTATTAGGGGGAAGTGGGAAATAGTGTGTGGTCCTTGTGCAAAATACCCTACAGAATCTATACGGCTTCAGAAAAAATTTGCCTTTCCCTCACCCCCGAAGGCCATCTCAGATACAGTCCAGCCCTTACTTGTCCAAGTTGTATGAGACCATAGTAAAATGTGGGCTTGGGCTACATCCCTGTGAAGTTTCTCTTGAATGTCGAGTTGATCGTTAAATTGCCCTAATGACTCAAGCAAGGTTCATAAGGAGCCCATAGACAGTCTAGCCACAATGCAAACTCATGAAAAAGCTTCTATTTTAGGAATAGCCTGGTATTTGGCTTTTCCCTCCATCAGAGTGGAGAGTGGACAGTGGCTGAATTTCAAGGGTTATGTGAATTTCAAGGGTTATATATTTAACTTTAAAGTAGATCATAGCAGTGCTTTATAATGCACAAATTTTTCTGCAGAATAATCAGTTGGCATGGATGTTACAAAAGAAAAAATAAGAGAGCTTTCACTTGTACTCAGCAACTCTTCAGTACTTTATGAACATAAGTGCCTTTTTAGCCAGTCTAATTGTGTTATCCTTACATAAAGTCTATTATTCTTAATTTGCAGAAAAGGAAATTATGGCATAATAATCTATTAAGCATGTTGGATACAGAACAGGAATTGATTATTTATGCTCTCTTGGTTTTTAATTCACTTATGAAACCATCTAGGTTAACCAGATGTCAAAATGTAGCTAAAATAAAATACAAACAGCAGGGTGTGTGATTTGAGCAGGATGGTATTCACTCAGTCCTCTAGGGTCAGTAGATGCTCACTATCTCGCAGGCCAATCCATTTAATCATTATTAGCAGAGCTTATTCACCCATTCCACAAATATCCATTAGCACTAAGATGCAGAAAGCCAAAGCTGATCATTTGCTCCCTGTTAAGAGCCTGGTGTATATTCTTCTACACTTTTTCTCTTTGCTTATACAAATATATACAATAATTAACACACATATAAAAAGGTTTTGCTTACTTGTTTGCTTTTACTAAAATATAATCATAATGTCCTATTAGTCTGTAATATGCATTGACTCACTTGTTATAATATACATCCTTTTTTGTGTAAATTGAGAAAACACTGAACTATTATTAATAATAAAACAATGCTATTACAAAAATAAATGGAAATAAAAAAACACAAATATTTATTAAGCACC
This sequence comes from Homo sapiens, assembly GCF_000001405.40. Classification (NCBI taxonomy): domain Eukaryota; kingdom Metazoa; phylum Chordata; class Mammalia; order Primates; family Hominidae; genus Homo; species Homo sapiens. The sequence continues at coordinate 98,925,725 of NC_000001.11, forward strand.
TACTATGCATCAGAGGCTGTGCTAGGTTTCTTCAAAGAGGAGGCATCTATGGTTAGATCCTGAAGAATGAGCATGAGAGTTCCAGGCAAAAGGGAAATGGTGGGGGAAAGGTGTCCTAGACAACATACACAATCCTTCTGTGTGTTCTCAAAGCACCTTGTTCCTCATCTGAGAACCCTGGCCACAATGTATGGTTATAATTTATTTTCATTGTTTCCTTCACTAGAGTGAGGACATAGAAGCCAAGTCTAGGCTATTCATTGTGGCCTAGCTTTTGGAGAACCTTTTTCTTTCTCTTGTTTTCATGCTTCTTTCACCCTTTTCTTATGCTATTTAGCCCTAAAGACATCCACTAATTGTTTATTTGCAGATGATTATACGTATTCTTTTACTGTTCGCCTCTTTTCTACAGATCAAACAGCCTCAATTCCCCTCAGTATGGGAATAACTCAGTGGCCAGATCCCTCAGCACTCTGCACACTCTAGTGCTTTTGACATCTGTTAGTACTTCCCTCAAAGAGTACAGCCCAAAATTAAGCAAACCGGTGCCCACTACAACTGACCAGCCCAGAGTGCAGTTGAGATTTTTCCAGATTGCACCCTATAGTCTTAACTCATTGATTTGTATCTCATAGTCAAGTTAGGATTGGATTATCTTTAAACCGATTTCCAGATTTTGATGACTTTGATTAATGCAATCTAACAGGGCACTAGGTTTGATTAGTGTGTGTGTGTGTGTGTGTGTGTGTGTGTGTGTGTGTGTGTGTGTGTGTTTTAATAACTTCATAGCATTATTGGTCAAACTGTGTTTGTGGTCCACTGAATCTTCCATGACTTCTTCACATGAACTGATGCCTTATCAAGTTCCCCTTACCCTGGGCTCCTGAAATTGTTCAAAAAGTCAAATTTATTATTGTTTTCAAAAAATATTTTACCCTGTCAACACCATTTTGAACTTTTATGCTGGCATCTATCATATTATATTAGTTATCTTTCTCCCAGATTCTAGTTAGCTACACACAGATCACTAATAACAAGACAGCATCAAGGACAGAGCCTCATGGCACTTTGCCCGAGATCTGTTTACAAACTGCTACTGACATTTTTCGTATAAAATTTTTATTTAAAAAATGGGGCATTCGTTTGTTAAGCCAACCGTGTAATGTCCTGAAAGTTTTATTTATGTACCTAGACTTGATATTCTTGATTCACTGATAAATTTGCCAAAGAGCAATGTAAAGGTGTCTGATGGGGTGTGTAACAAAATTGTGATGCAATGGTGGAAAGACCATGGACTTTGCCAGACAGACCTGTGTTCACTTAATTCAGACCTGTGATGGGGGCCAGGGTTGGTAATGGTGGTACAATAAGCAGTGGGATATTGAAGTCATAAATTTTCTATACGGTGTTATAATCTAGATTGTATAAAACATGCAGTAACTCTAGTTTCCATAACTGATCAAAACTTCATCATAAGCACCCATCTTTCACTGAATAGAAATGGGATGGGAGGAATTCTGAATAAATGCTTAGTTGTTCTCAGTTTCTCACCATTCTCTCTTCTGGAAAAACAACAGTGGGGTCTAGTTGGAGGCCTGCAAGACCTCAAGGTCAAGGTGGGGAGGCAACCCACCAGCCTTCACTGGCCTCCACTGCCAGGTGTGTATCCCACTGCTTCATTGGTGCCCTACTGACAACCACTGCTAACGTCCTTGTGGCCCCATACTGACTTGGTCCATCTAGGCTCACAGGAAGTAAAGATCCTTTTGTCTCCAGCACACCTTCCTTATAGCCCCAGGTGGGCTGCCTGCCCTCCCAAGCTCTGCTGCAAGGTCCCTGGGCTCCCACTGTCTTCTCTGCAGCCTGACTTACCTGCTGCAGGTGTACTAAGAGAAATTGTTCTCCCAGTTTCAAGCCAGAAATGAAGTACAAGCCCTTCTACTTTCTGTTATCTCCACAACCTCTCTGGAGTTTCTGTTATCCAGTGATCAACTGCCTTCTTTGGGTTTCTGACGTAAGGGTGCTCACCTACATGGACACATTTGCCATTCAGCCCTTCCCTCTCCTCCAACCCTCCACTTCTTAGGACAGGAAGTACTTCCTTCCCTTCCCCTAGGTTGGTGGTATCACCCTTTATAATTTGTGTTTTCTCTATAAAATACTCAGATAATAAAATATAATAATAAGACTTTCATTATATATAATTATAATTATATTTTATGCTCATAATAAAATATTCAGATATTCAAATTTTGCTTTTGATATGTAAAGCTGTGGTATTTGGAAATTCCTGTTCTCTCTTGACAAAGATAGCCTCATTTAACTACTGAAGCTAAACACTTCTTTTTCTTCTTATCTTGAGGTCTTTCTCTGAGGCACTGAACCAATGTGGTAGCCAGTAGCTACTGTAGCCATTAGCACTTGAAATATGATGAGGCCAACTATAGTACTAAATTTTCAATTTACTTGGTTTTAATGAAAAGGATTTCAAAAATGGTACTCAACTAGATTATTAGAAAATGTTAATATATGTTTGAAACAAATTGGGCTTCACATCTACTTTTTACACTGTAAATTTTATATCTAAATACAGAATAAGGATTTCAGATGAAAATTTAGTGTCTGAACTGAAATGTATTTTGCAAGTGTCAAACATACACTGGATTTAGAAAATTTTGAAAAAGAAAAATGCAAACTATCTTATTACTAACTTATATTGATACACGTTGAAATGGTAATAGTTTGGATACACTGGGTTAAACAAAATATTAAATATTAATATCACCTTTTTTACTTTTAAAAAACTATTAGAAAGTTTTAAATCATATATATATATATATATATATATGGTTCACTTTCTATTTCTATTGAACAATGCTGACCTAGACAAGAGCATCATAATTTAAAGGGTACGCAAAATGATCAGTGAATATTCCAAAAAAGATTATACCCGCTTCAGCAGTTACTGCTACTTTATTATTTTTATTTATTATATTGCTTCGAGTTGGGCACTGATCCTAAAACCATTTTCCAGGCTGCCTGAGCTGCGTTAGGCAACATTTACCTGCATATTTTTATCTACATTTATTTTTAAATATTTGTTAATATATTACCATGTCAAATGGTAAACAGTGCAATAAAATGATAATATCATGGAATTATTTAGGGTTTTCTAAGTTAAACTAATATATATATAGCCTATTTTTTCAGATTCTAATTATCATAATGGCTACTTTTTAAATATGTTACTTCATCAAAGTTAACCAGTTGTTTTGTATTTTATTGATACCTTTAGAGACTTAGGAGATTCCGTATTTAGTCAGTGTAAGCTTTGAGGAAAAGTTCAGCTTTAGGAATTTAACAGTCAGGGTTAAAAGTTCAGTCTACCACCAATTAGCTCTGTGACCTTACATAAATTACTGAACTTCTCTGACTCTTAGTTATATCACTTGTAAAATGAAAATAACTATGATAATCTGTAGGATTTAGAATGGCAATCACATAAGAAGTGTAAGTTTCATTGCCGTCACATGGCACCATGAGAATTTTTGTTTGCTTTGTGATTAGAATAAATTAAATGGATTAAAACAATATATTTGGATTAAAACTATACATGTGTTAGGAGAAATAATGTATTCTAACTTATGGGCATGGGGATAAAGCTCCTTATTGTATTTGAAAATCAAGAGTAAACATCCACTTTCTTTACAATATCCTTAATGGGTACCTAACAAAAGATTATGTCATTATGAACACAGAATTTATCCTGTAGCTGATGTCCTTGAATGAAAAACACTAAGGAGTCACAAATGTGATGTAAGTAACAACAACCTCAGTGTTCAGGACCAGCTGGTACATGAAGTTAAGATCTGAATATGCTCAGTAACTCTGCTGCCCTCAGCACAAAGGCCGATTGATGGTTTGGTTATGAATAACAGCTCCTTCATCACAGACACATTTACCTAATCCCTAAAGTGCAGCCATGGCTGATATTACATGGAGACTATTTATCTCCAGTATGACTCCCCCCTGACCCAATAAATATACTGCACATATGGCACTTCATCCATCAGCTAGAAGAACAAATACACTTTTGCTTGACATTATCATCTATGAAATCAAGAACCACACATATTCACCACTTAACATTTGTTTTCCATACACCAGATAGAAAGTGAGATGATATTTACATAAAGATAGCTTGTGATACGAGCAAAAATAAATAAATAAATAAGCTGTGTAACATCTGAAGAATTATCTGCAAGCAAAATATATTTGATTGCTATAATTCTATCCCATCATCTCCAAGATTTAAAATTCCCTGACTAGCAAGTAAGGAACTAAAATCAATATGTAAAAGACAAATCTGGAAATTTTAAATACTACAAAAATATGCACAAGACATTTGGGTGAATTGAAGGGTTAGATTTGGTATACCTTAAACAAAAATGAAGTAGAACCTGCAAAACTTAAAATACATAAATAAAAAATTTAAGTTTACTGTCAGGGACAAGAAATTAATAGTATAACAATAAAAGCATATTTCAAGTATCTCTGAATAGTCCTTAAAGCTGTCTGAAGTACTTAAATCTTTAGGACTCAAAATATTTCTCAGGATTTCTTCAGATAAGGAGAGAAACTATAATTAATGATAATGTGATAATCTATATGTCTGATCTTTGTATGATCTACTATGTACATAATATACATATATCATCTAGAACCAGAAAATTTTAAATATTAAGTCACAATTAGATTCTAGATTATGAGATACTGTTGAAATACTATCTTAAATTATATAATAACAGAAAAAGACTCATCATACCTTAGAAAGATAATATTGCAGCACATTATAGGTTTGTGATCAGCAACAAAATACTTTATCAGCTCCACACTAATTTCAATACATATAACTAATATTAATGACAGTGTGACATTTCAAAGGATGTCCTAAAATTTAAGAGTGTGCTTATAACGTATTTCTGACCTCATTTCTAACCCTCATTAGTGAGTAAGTAAAGGGCAGGGGAGAAATTTTCCAGGTTGGGTCCTCAGGAAGTGCTCTTCTTTCCCCCTCTCAAGGCTTGCGATTACCCTCCCCAACTCCTTTAATTTTCATTCAACCAAAAGCTTCCTACATCCATTCCCACTGAGTCCCCACCCAGCTTCCAACTCTCACTTTACACCCTTTCAAGAAGGAGGAAGGTGATGGGGATGAACCTCTGTGACCTCTCTTCTCCCACGCCTACCAGATTCTACCATTCACAACAAAAACTTCGTTTAAGGCATGTTAAGTTATCAAAGGTGTCAAAACACATCTCTTTGCTTAGTGTCTGCTTGCACCTCAAATCACATCCTCAGCCTTAGTCTCAGCTGTTGGAGGAGCAGGATGACTCTTTCTCACTTTGCTACCCAGTATTCTGTTCATAATTATTATAAAAAGAGTTATTTTTAAATAAAAATATTTATCTTTTTCTCCCATGCTAGCTTATATGGGATAGGAATATCCTTTTCTCTTTGTAACCTCAGCGCCTGGTATGGTTCTTGGCTCACTCTCAGTAACAGCTAATCATAATAAAATTTCATGAATGCTTACTATGTGTCAAGAACTGTGCTCGGTGCTTTACATGCACTCAATCAGGTAATCCAAACAATTCCATGACATTGGTACTCAACAACAGAGGTAACTGAGACACAGAAAGGTTAAGTAACTTATCGATGGACTTAAGGCTAAAAGGTGATGAAGCTGGGATTCAAACTCAAGCAGTTCAGTTACAGAGCCCATGCTCTAACAAAGATGCTATTAATACATGCAGTACAGGAGTCAAGGATCCTTTCTCCCTCAGCCTTGGGGAGGAAGGCGGGGCTGGAGTAGTCTTCAAGCAGAGGTAAGACTACTTACCTTCAAGAGCATGCCTGAAGGAGGAGCTGAAAATGACTCAGTGTGTCAGTCTGGAGGTTGTGTGGGTCGGGACGGGGGTGAGTACAGAGGGAAGTAGCAGGAATTAGGCCAGAGAGGTTAACGGGGGCCAGGTTCAAAAAGCTTTGTGTGCCAAGTGAAGGATTCGTATTAAAAGGAAAATGGGAGGCCATAAAGGGGATATGAGAATGTGACAGGAGTACACTTGAATTTTAAAATATCACTTTGGGAGAATCAGTTGCCAGTGCTGGATCATCACATCTTGAACTAGAGTCATAGCTGCAGTTATGAACAGACTGGAATATTTAGGATGTTAAACTGGCCAGAACTGTTGGTTAATTGGATGCGTGCTTATGTGCACCCATGAGTTTGAACTGGGTGAGGTCATGGGTGGAAGGTGAAAGTGCGGTGAGGGAGGAATAAAACATAACAAGTCTCAGGCCTCAGTGGCCAACAGAAGTTTCTAGGCAGGAAATCTATAGTTCCACTTGGAAGTACAATTATATCCAGACATATGACAAGAATCAAGATGTTCCACCTGCTTTCTCGTGGAAACACTGTACCTCATGGTAGTCCACGATTAATAATATATTTTAAGTACAACATGGGTTAAATAGGCTTTTGAAGGCTGAGTTAGATACCTAAACTCTGTGTATGACATGATTTCCATCAGGTCACAGTTTCAAACAACTGAGTTAAAACACCATCTAGGCCTCCGTGGAGACAGGGGTTATGTTTGTTTTGCCGCTTACTCAATACTCAGCCCTGGCACAGGGTCACTCAATGGGTGAATAAATGAACGTACTGCTTTGGAGAGCTGGGCTTGTGTATATCACACTGCTTATATATAATTAGAACAAAAATATATACAAAATGTACAGCAACTCTCACAATGAATAATCTATGTGACCTTTCAGCCTTATGCATTACTTTAGCTATTTTTTAGGTGTGTAGTAGTTACTATATTTTGGAAATGACCTCTAAGAAACTGTATTATTTTCCAGGAATCTATTGATTTTTCTAAAATCTAATGTACTTAACAGGCTATGGTAAAAGAATCTCTACTTCCCCTCTAGCCTGCAGTAAGCATGCACATTAGTTGGTTATAATGAGTGGATAAAGGCCCAGATAGCATCAGAGGATCTGAGTTCCAGTCTTGATCCTTCAGTACATTAGGGCTATGATGTTAGGTGGGTGATGACTTATCCTCATTGAGTCTCCTCATTGGTCAAATCTGGAAAGCAGCAAGGTCTGCTTTACTACAGCTCCACACTCCTTTATCTGAGCCCTCAAGTAGAGAAGTATTTCAGCATTCAGAACATTTTCAGATTTGGGGTAATATGATCTATGTACCGCCCATTGATACCTCCAGTGTGGTCCGGGCTGCACCCTATAATAAAACACATTCACATTTCTACCTCAAAACAGATGGCTACTCACAGTAAGCAGAATAAGTAAAGAACCCCAATAAATTCAGGTCAGATAAAGTTTTTCATCCAGGGACAAACAAAACAAAAATTTGTCTTGCCTTGCATAGAGAGGGCTTTTTAAAAAAAAAAAAAAGGTTTCAGTGGCTCATGCCTGTAATCCCAGCACTTTGGGAGGCTGAGGTGGGTGGATCACAGTCAGGAGATCGAGACCATCCTGGCTAACACGGTGAAACCCCATCTCTACTAAAAATACAAAAAATAAGCCAGGCGTGGTGGCGCGTGCCTGTAGTCCCAGCTACTCAGGAGGCTGAGGCAGGAGAATGGTGTGAACCCGGGAGGCGGAGCTTGCAGTGAGTTGAGATCGTGCCACTGCACTCCAGCCTGGGCGACAGAGTGAGACTCCGTCTCAAAAAAAAAAAAAAAAAAGGATTTCAGAATTAAGAATAAAGGATTATGAAACTGAGCTGTTCTGAGGACCAGATGAGATAATGACACTAAAGAACCAAGTGCAGAGATGAAAAGCTGAGCTTTGCATAACCAAAGCTGGTGCTGTAACTACTTGGCAGCTCCAATTATGGTGGCAGGAAGGCATTTACATCTAGCTCCGAAACCTGAGAAACTACTGAAAACATACTGACCATTCAAATAGCCAGAGAATGTTGGTTGATTTGGGAAGGCATTTCCTGGTAAAGGGGCTGCCAGGGATGGGGTTGTCTCTGATGCATGTAGTGATGTGAGGAAAGGCACCACGGGGCATGAAGTCAGGCAAGATTTGGGCAACGTGAGCAGATGTATCTGGCTAAAGCTGGAGAATCATGGTGGGAAAACTAGCTTGGCCTTGAAAGCTGGGTGAAGGAATTTGTTACTTACGCAAAAGGAGAGGGGGTAGTGTCCTAGGTGCTTGAGGGGCTAGAGGAAGATGTTTCTGGCAGGTGGTGCAGCATGGGCACCAGGGGAGGAAGACAACACAGGGATCCTAGGCTCTCATTGGCAGCATCAGGAGACATAGAAGTTGGAACCAGAAGGCAGAGAAGTTTAGCTATGCTTCTGGGATAAATGTCCATGGGAATGTGGGACAGAGGATAAATTATTTCACAGGCTTTTTCTCCCAACTCTTGCTTTTCTGGGAACTGGAGCTTGGGTGGCAATAGGACATATAGTGAGGGAGCAGAGCAGGCATGTGCTTGCTGATAGGTAGGAGCCAATGGATGCAAGCTTGTCATCCCTGGGCAAAACACAGAAAGGAAGAGTGGATGCAGACTGTGTGTTTATGGCAGATAAGAAAAGATTTCCTAGAATACCACTGAACATATAGTATATAGAAAAAGCTATTAATTAAAAGTTTAAAAACAGCTTGAGGCTTCATGAGAAAGAAAGAGTGTACAGAATACATTCATTCATTCCCACACTCATTTATCCAGTTTCAAATACTATTTATGGTGTCTTTCCCATGTCCTGGATAATGAGCTTGGGCTAGCAATATAGAGATAGGGAAGTCTGTTGCTGCTGACCTCAAGGAGCTCTTAGTCCAAGAGAAAGGAGAGACATATAAAAGACAAGTAAGAATAACTGAGGTGTATGTTGAAGAGCACAAATCACAGAAATAATTCACAGGAAATAGAAGTCACGTTGATCAACAGTTTCTTCTAAGTCTCAAGTATAAAAAGACTCTTTCCCTCAAGCAAAATGGAAGCAACCACCAACCCGGACGTGAGGGGAGTGTTAGGCAAAACTTCCTGTAGGGGCCATTTTTATGAGAGATTTAAAAATGAGGGAACAGGAGAAGAAGAGTGAGGATCATTTTTGAGGTGTTTGTATAAACATTAAGTCTGTGACATCCCTCCATCTGTGAAACACTTTATGGTTCATAGAATTAAAAAAAAATAAAGTGGAAGGAAGTTTACAGAAAATCCAGGGGCTTCTAAACCACATTCATGAATTCTTAGGTAATTCACAGAGGGGCTTCTGGAGCCTCTATGGAGTTGGGGGTGGATTACATGATTGCATGTTATAGGACTGGGTATATAATTTGTAGGGTCCAGTGCAAAATGAAAATGAATGACAGACCTGTTTTTCAAAAATCATTACAAATTACAAGATAGTGACAGCAGAGCATTAAGCCAAGTGCTGGAGACAGGACCTGAATCAGGTCACACATCCTTGAAGCCAGGTCCGCACATCATAATCTCCATTTTAGAAAGTTGTGTAGGCAATTATATAAAGAATGAATAATTTCAACCAGCAAGAGTAGGGGCTATTAGGAAATTTTTATTAGCAATCCAGGTAAGCCATAATGAGGGCCTGAACTAAGTCTGTACAAGTGGGAGAGGAGAGCAGTTTTATCATCCTAGGTAATACGACTGTTCACCTTTACTATTTAATTTTCTTCATTATATTTGTAATAACCCCCAATTTATGATATCAACACCATAGAGCTTCATGCAATAGAAAGTACCCAATAAGAAAACTTTAATGGGATAAGAAAAACCAATTATAAGAACAAGTCAAACGTCCCTATGATTCTATGTTAAAAATAGCCCCACTGAATTAGTGGGTGTCACTGTAAGTAAGTTAAACTTAAAAGCAAGGAATATGAGAACACAAGGGCCATTAAGAACAGTTAAATATAAGAAATATGCTTGCTTTATGTGCAGTGGTTCCTTTCGTGTTCCTTATCTGGCAGGTGCATGTTGATTACTTGCTCACTCTTTACTGAGAAGCCAGCAGTGCCAGAACACTGCTTTATGCCATGGCCATGTGAGTAGCAAAGAACCATGCTGGAAATCAAAATCCCACTCTCTTCCAAAAAACTACAGAGACATTCGCCACCCAGAACGAAGTGCCCAGGGTAAGGGACCTGGAATTCTGCATGGTCAGCCACCTCAACGTGCACCTGGGTTTACTGGCTGCAAGGGGGAGGCAATGGAATGAAGTAGTTCTGAGAACAGACACGGGGGACGTTCTGGATTCAGATCCTGTCTCCAGCATATACCAGCTGTGTGACTGTGGGCAAGTTAATGAATTTCTTTGAGCCTCAGTTTTCTCATCTTTAATTTGAGAATTATAATAGTACCTATGGAATTTGACTATAAGGATTAAATGAGATAATCTATGTAAAGCACTTAGCACAGTACTGGCATAAATAATAGAAGGACATTACTTATTATTCACACAAATACAGTGTACCCTTCTGTGAAAAAATAAGAGTTAAAAGGTCCTAAGTTTTAGGGCTTTTTAGAGTGTGTAAAGAGCATTCTGAAGTGGGCTGCTGAAGGGTCCTGTGCTGTGCAGATGCTGACACGGCCATAAGCAGCCATAGACTCAGCTAGAGACAAGGAGTCCTCCAGCCAGCATCTCCAAACCCAACCCAGTTGTTTCCACATCTACAGGCATGTTAGAAGTACTCAGAATTGTTTACTGGTGTGTAACAAAATTTCCTGATCCTCAGGATGTGCATGGATCCCCTTCAGGCAGTATCTCCAACTATGGGATTGCTTAAAAGTTTTCCCAGTTGAGACTGGAGTGGTGAAGAGGCTACTTAGTAGGAGGACGTGTGGGGTCTTCTATAAATGCCAAGGTGTATCAGACAGTCTCTGTTGGTTTTAACAGAATTGCCAGAGAAAATGCAAATGGTTACTTTATTTAAGGAATTAGACCTATTTATTCAGAACAATCGATCCTATGCTTTGTGTAGGCACAGCCTCTAAGTCTTGGGTATTTTTCCTGCATCAGAATACATTGAGACAATAGATTTATTAGAGGACAAGGGCAAGTCATCTATTAGAAAGTCTTACTTCCAAATAATGAGCACTGAATATATGGCTGTTGTTGTTTGAACCAATCAACCTATTTTTCTAAGTCTGGGTTGTATTTATGCCCCGGCTGGCATTGTGACAGCTATAGAGAAACAGTCTGTAGCCTCAGAGATGTTATAGGCTACATGAGGTAGGAATACACACATGATAACTGGACAAGGGTAATCTCTAACCTTTTTAAGAGCCACATTACCAAGGCCTGCAGAGATCAGAACATGGGCAGTGGCAAACTAAGGGTGGGCATAGCAGCAGTCTGCCCAGGTGCAGGCAGTGAGGGGATGCAACAGTAAAACCTACTAAATGTCTATCTGCTCTTTATTGTTGCCATGCTCTAGCAATTCTAAGCAGTGTCAGTGATAACATACTCCTGCCTTCTAAATCTCTTGTTGATTGTGGCACACTGTATTCTCCAAAGATGGCTATAACAGTCTCTAACCCCTTGCATTCTTGAATCTTCCCTATCAAGAGGTAGAGTCCAATTCCCCTCCCTCTGAATCTGAGCAGCCTTAGCAATTTGCTTGTATCAAGAAAATGCAGTAGATGTGACACTATGAGCTCATAAGATTGAGCTCATAAGACACATTTCTGCCTGGTTCACTGGAACACTGGTGCTTGGAGTTCTGTAGGAAGCTGCACTCCCTGGAGCTGCCTCACTGTGTGGAAGCCAAGGCATGTGAGAAGATTATGGGTAGGCTGTTGTGGTCTTCACCTTCTCCTAGCCCAGGTGCAGTAAGGTGAATGAACAATCCTTTGGATAACTGCATGTCCTGGCTATCAAGTCACCTTTGAAGTCAGCCTTTGAATCTTCCCAGTTAAGGTTGGAAACACCATGGAGAAGAGAAAAGATAGCCACATTTTGCCTTTTTCACATATCTGACCTACAGAGTCTGTGAGCATAGTAAAATGGTTGTTTTATGCTAAGTTTGGGGTGGCTTGTTAAGGAGCAATAGTAAACAGAACATTGATATAAGTTGAAATAACTGTTGCAGTTATTGTTGAATATTAAAAATATGTATGTAAGCTTTAAATAAGCATACTTTTGTTACATAATCTGTAATAAATACTGCATTACACATGGAAATTAATTCAAAGAATGCCCACCTATATACATTTGCCCCCTAGCAGACATGTGGACTCATCTACTCATATTCATCTGGAGAGTAAGCTCATAGAGGGTGGGAATCATTTGTGGCTTTTGCTCCATTTAGTGTCTCCAGCCCCTGTGGTGATGCATTTAAACAGTAGTTTTGAAAAAAAGCAAAAAGAAAAAGGAAAAAAAAAGACATGATAGCATAGTAATTGTAAAAATGAAGAAAGAGAACTTGAGCTATTTCAATTCTTCCAATCTATGTGACCACCTGGAGTTTTTATTCATGTCTAAAACTTAAAATAATAAACTAGTGTGAATGCAAAGTATAGTATTTTATTTGGGAGGCTGAAGTGGGAGAACTGCCTGAGCCCAGGAGTTCAGGGCTGCAGTGAGGAATGTACAAATAATTAAGCAGCCTGAGAAACAGGGCAAGATCGTCTCAAAAAAAAAAAAAAAAAGTATAGTATTTTTACTGGGTAAGTGCAAATTTTAGTCGATACATAAAATAGCATATTGAATATTTATAGCTTTAAAATTAAAATACATTTATATATTTATATAAATATAAATATATTTATTTAAATTACTTATTATATATTCAAAGTAATATATATCATTCTATCACAAAGACACATGTATATTCACTGTACCACTACTCACAATAGCAAACACATGGAATCAACTATGGGCTCATAAAAGAAGATGAAGTTCTGCCCGGTTCACTGGAACACTGGTGCTTGAAGTCTAAATTCCCATCAATGGTAGACTGGATAAAGAATATGTAGCACATATATACCATGGAATACTATGCAGCTGTAAAAATAAATGAGATCATGTCCTCTAAAGGAACATGGATGGAGCTGGTGGTCATTATCCTTAGCAAACTCATGCAGGAACAGAAAACCAAAACCAAATACCACATGTTCTCACTTACAAGTGGGACCTAAGTGATGAGAACACATACAGAGGAACAACACACACTGGGGCCTATTGGAGAGTGGAGGGTGGGAGGAGAGAGAAGATCAGGAAAAACAACTAATGGGTCCTAGGCTTAACACTTGGGTGATGAAATAATTTAGACAACAAACCCCATGACACATGTTTACCTATATAGTAAACCTGCACATGAACCCCTGAAATTAAAATAAAATTAAAAAATTAAATATATATTAAATTTTTTAAATTTAACCATGCATATATAGTATATTTTAAAAATATACTTTACCTATTCTTATCTTAAAAATAAAAAATAAATCAATAAAATAATGATTATTATCACATAGTTATTACTGAAAATAATTTTTCCATATAGAGGAAGGGATGCTAAAAGTGATTTGCTTTTGTGTCAAATATGCTAGGTGCACCACTGAAGATGTGCAGATTAATTTTAAATAAAAAGATGAGATAAAGCCTTAAAAAGGGGACCAGCCTTAATCCAGGTTGCTAAGGTAAAAAGAATTTTTTTCCCACTACTTAGCATCTAACCCCTTTCTTGTGATTGGGAAATTCTCCACATGTATTGTCTCCTGTGTGGGAAGCATATATTCTATGCCACCACCAAAACTAAACAAAAATCTGAGTGTGGCCTTCCTCAAAGCCTTGGCAGGCAGGCCACTGGCACGTGATCCACACTCAACCAGATGCTCTGCAAATGATGCAAAGAAGTGGGTGAAGTGAAACATCCCCACCACTGGCAGCCACAGTGGTGGCAGTGCAGGTGGAGGCATGGAGAAGTGGTGGTGCCAGCGATACCTGGGTCCTGCAGTCACAGCCGTGTGTATCCTCAGCGTACCCTTCCTGTTGTCTGGTCTTGGCTGTGGTTCTGGCTGCTTAGGTTCTATCAGTTCCTGCTCATTCCCTGAGCCTCATTTTCGAGCCTCTCCTTTCACCTCATTTTGCTTAAATCAACTTGACTCATTTTCTATTATTTATCGTAGAGAACGCTAATGGACACACAAAAAGGTGAATATAATTTTGACGGGTGATTATGGAGGTTGGAGGCACTGGAAATGTAGGCTGAGAGAATAGCAGAAATAGTCTAGTGTAAACGAGTGGAATAGAGTGATCAAATGTAGTCTAATATGGACTGGGTTCACATGAAGTGAGAGAGGGCATTATGCAGTAAGGGAGGGGGTTCAGGTTGGGCACCAGGACAAAATGCCATAGGCCGAGTGGCATAAAAGACAGAATTTAATTTTCTCATAGATCTAGAGACTGGAAGTCCAAGATGAGGGTGCTGGCATACTTGAGTACTGGTGTGGGCTCTATGTGGCTTGCAGATGCTGCCCTCTTGCTGTGTCCTCACATGGTGGAGAGAGCTAGGAAGCAAGCTCTCTGCTGTCTCTTCTTATAAGGACACAATCCCATCATGAGGGCCTTACCCCTTCATGATCTCATCTAACCCTAATCAGTTCCCAAAGGCTTCATCTCCAAATATTATCACTTAGGGGTTAGGGCTTCAACATATGAATCAAGGGAGGAAAAAATTTAGTCCATAACTGGAGGGAAGACAGCTTTTAGCCAGGGCTAAGAGGGCCTTGTATAGCACACGTAGGAGTGTAACGCTTGAAAGGGCTTTCACTGGGAGGGCAGGCTATGGAGAGCTTTTATGCAAAGGGATAAGCGCTTATAACTCATGCTTTAGGGGTGTTACTCCAGTGGCAAAGTGCAGAATGGACAAGGATGAGAAAAGAATTATGTTAGGAAGCTTATTGGAGATGATCCTGCAATAGTCAAGGCAAACAACACAAAGAAGGTAAATTCAACCAGTAGAATAACATATATGAAGAGTCTGGATTTCAGAGGTATTTCAAATGTGGAACCAACAGAATTAATCAGACATCTGGATGCGGGGGTGTGGAAGAGGGAGGAGCTGAGAATGACTCAGAGATTTCAGGCTTGGGTAACGAGGGTAGGAATGTCAATAATCAAATCAGAAGACACAAAAGCAGGAGATGGCTGGGAGCAGTGGCAAGATCATGGTTTCGGTTTTTGAAATTCTGCAAGTAAGGTGCTGATGAGACACTCCAGAGATATGTTCAAGTTAGGCGTAAAGTCTGGAGCTGAAGAGAGAGGTTAAGGCCAATGAAGGAGTTGTGGGGTTCACTTGAAAGGCGTGGAGGTGGGAATAGATGGGATCACTGTTGGAAGGGATAACAGAGGGAAGAAAAGATCTAGAACAGAAACTCGGTAATTGCTGGTAACAGTTTTCTGACATTGCAATGAAGCACTTAATGAGAAGAAAAGCAAATTTGAAGAATATAATGTTTCCAACATATTAAAAAGAGAAAAGCTCAAATAGAGGGAATAATTAAGAGTATCTATGCTACTGAGAAGGCCAGCAAGACAAGGATCTGAAGAGGCTCTTGATAAGATCTGGGGGATGAGGTCTGAGGAGTGGTTTCAGGAGAGTGAGTGTGCATATGTGTGTTTGTGTGTGTGTTGTGGAGGTGGAAGGGGCAAACCCCATGTAACCGGTTTATAAGGTGAGAAAGTGTAAAATAGTCTTTCTAGAAATTTCTTTCAAAGATGCGACGGTAGCTTGAATTAACGGAATTTATTTGTGTGGTTGTGGGATTTTTTTTTTTTTGATAGTGGAAGTTTTAGAATGTCCAAGGAGAAAATATTTCCCTATAATGTATAGAAGTTAATAGCATAAGTCTCTATAATAGAAAGATGCCTGATTAATGTATTTGACAGAACAAAGCAGTAAATACACTGTACATAAAGTATTTAGCACAGTAAGAACTCAATAATTATTTTTATACCTCAAATTGCTGTATTATTATAGAGAGATTTCTATTTGTTCTTTGGAGACTTTTGTTCTCCTTCCAAGAGTTTCTTTAAATGCCATAAACAAACAAATAGCTCAAAGCAGACTGTGCTTATAAGAAGAAGGTAACCTTTCTTGTAATACAACAGAAGAAGTACCAAGAAATCTCCTCGATTTAAATGCATCCTCAATTTAGAAGGAGTTTGATAACTGCAATTACAGATACATATATGTATACGTATATATATATATATATACACATATACGTATACATATATATATACACATATACGTATATATGAGAGATAGAGAGAGAGAGGAAGAAAGAGAGAGAGAGAGAGAGGAAGTCTCGCTCTGTCGCCCAGGCTGGAGTGCAGTGGCGCAATCTCGGCTCACTGCAACCTCTGCCTCCTGAATTCAAGCGATTCTCCGGCCTCAGCCTCCCGAATAGCTAGAATTACAGACATGCACCACTGCCTGGTTAATATTTTTTTGTATTTTTAGTAGAGATGGAGTTTCACCCTCAAGTGATCTGCCCGCCTTGGCCTCCCAAAGCTCTGGGATTACAGGCATGAGCCACTGCACCCGGACTACAGTGCTATATATTTTTTCCTATATGTTAAGGCACTTAAAATGTAAATATATTTGACACAGGGAGGATCAGAGAAGATACTATATCACGCTATTAATCTCTGGCTGTGCATTAGCTTGTTAGATCCTGTCTGCATTAGAACTAGGTGAAAGCAGTGTGGCAGCCACAGAGGTAAATTTCTCTAATCTCTATTTCAAGAAATACTGTGTCATTGTGCTGTAAGGAGACCAGTGAGCTGAGTTTCCACCTCTAGTGCACTGGATGGTAAAAACTCCCTGCTGGGCTGGCCCCTACAAGCATGGAGAAAGTGATAGCTCTATCTGAATGAGGGTGAATTTCCTGAATTGTCTTGGCAAATGGGTAGAAGGAATTAAAAGGCTCCAGGAAGTGGGCATTGCTGGAATGTACACATCATGTGAGAACTGAAGGCCCACCAGATGATATTAGCCTTGAGGGGTGGACACCTCATTCACTGAGGCATCAGAGTGTACTGGTGAGAGGGACACCAGCATCACCCAGAAGTTCAGTGATACCTTTCCTCTGCAGGTCAGGGCTGATGGTAGGGGAAGCTGTCACAAAGCTGGGTGTCTTAATATCCATGGGGATTACAGCATCCCTGAAGAAAGAGAAGCCAGGTGCTGGGCTTAACCACCACAAGCCAGTGGGTCCCAATTGTCATAACAATGCACAAAGCCAGAGTGACAGCCAAAGGGACTTAATACACAGAAAGTTATAGAGGTGGTTTATAGAACATAGCATCCCTTAGGGGCAAAATAGACGGGGAGCCACGAGACTACCTAATATATATCATCCCAAGAAAATGGGAATGTATGACATGAGGGTGGGTGCCCCAGGGAAAATCTTCAACCCTTTGCACAGTTACAACACTGAATGACTTCATTGCCTGAAGAGGCATCAGGTCCCCAGAGGGAAGGACCCTGAAACTCTGTAGGAGGTATACATTGTAATGATTTCCCCAGTCCTTCTTCAAAAAGACCCACAGTCATTTACTCAGGTTTCCATACACTGGAGAAAAAAAAATATCCAGATATTTTGAGGATGACTGGACACAGGGTCTGTGTAGACAATGATACATGGAGACCTGAATTAGTGTCATCACGGTCCCCTGTTAGAGTAGGGACATATGAGCCTAGGTAATAAATAAGTCCAGGCCAAAGTCTGGCTGAAAGTGGATCTATTAAGTCTCTGAGCATATGCAGGGGTCATTTCCTCAGTCCATGAGTGCATAAATGGGGATGCACAATACTTGACAAGAGGAGTAACTACTTATTAGGGGAATTTAATTGAAATATTCGGAAACTCCAAGATAATAAATAAAAAATACTACTACATTATTGAAGGGAGGATAGTGAAGATTTAATGTCACCTCTCAAGATCTCAATAATGCAGGAGTGCTGGTTCTTCTATTTCCATGTAATTCACAAGACTGTTCAGATCCTGAAGGATAAGTGTAGACCACTGAATCTTCAACCAACTAATATTGGCCATTGATTTGTTTAATGGGTTGTTTCCAATTCCATTCCAAAAAGAGGATGAGGAACAGTTCACATTCACCTGGTACAGGCAATTCCTTACATCACAGTTGATGTCAGTGCTATATTAACCCTCCCACTCTCTGCCATAACTTAGACTAAGGAGATAGAGATAGTTTGGATGTCCCCCAGTTTAGTCATTGATCACTTATATACAAGACATCATGCTGACAAGATAAACAAGAGTTGGCTAGCACACTGTAGGCCTTGGTAAGACACATGCATTCCAGATTTGGGGAGATAAATCCTACAATACTCAGGGCCTAATGACATCAATAAAGATTTTAGGGATCCAGTGGTCAGTGGCATGCTAGACATTCCCTCCAAAGTAAAAGACAATTACTGCATCTCGTACCCCTACCACAAAGAAGGACGCACAATACTTTGTAGATCACTTTGGGTTTTGGGAAAAATACCTCCCATATCAGTAAGTATTGCTCTGCCCCATATACTAAATACTATTATCTGAATGTGTGTATCCCCCTCACAAATTTATATGTTGAGATCCTAACTCGCAAAGTGATGGTATTAAGAGGTGGAGTGCTTAGGTTTTGAGGTCAGAGCCCATAGAGCTAGCTCATACTTTCCACCATGTGAGGGCACAATGACTAGACACCATGTATGAACCAGAAAGCAGGCCCTTGCCAGACACTAAATTACCAGAGCCTTGATCTTGGACTTTCTAGTCTCCAAAGCTGTGAGAAATGAATTTCTTTTGTTTATATGCTATACCCAGTTTGTGATATTTTGTTAGAGCTATCTGAATGGACTAAGATACTGGGTGGCATACAAAGCTGCCAACTTTGAATAGAACCTGAAGCAAGAAAGGGCTCTGCAGCAGCAGGTACAGGCTGTGGGGAAAGCAGCTCTGGTACCTGGGCCATGGATCCAGCAGACATTCTAGGGATTGATGTGTCAGTGGTGGGAAAACATAGAGTCTGGAGCTTATGGCAGGCTCCAGTGGGAGCATCGCAATGTATGCCCCAGGGGTCCAGGAGTAAGGCCATGTCACCTGCAGCAGATAATTGTGTCGTTTGAAAAGCAGACTCGAGCATGTTACTGGGCCTGACATCAAATGACCATGTATTCAGAGCTGCTCATTATAAGTTGTTGTTGTTTTTCTGTTCCACCTTGTCAAAGTGATATTACCTACCATGGAGTTCTACCCAGCTATAAGCACTGCCAGTGTTAGTTTTGTTGTTAGGCAGTCAATTGTTGCATATGGAAAAGAAGTTAAAAATACTTAGAAGTTGTCACTTTAAAAAGCAAAGCTCTTTAACACCTTAGATGATATGTAGAGCAGAACATATAAAAATTATAAAATATGCATTCACTTAAAATTAAAGAACAATTAAAATCCAATAATCAAGACTATCTATATGGCTTTTAGTGCTTGAGCTACCTGGTCACCTGGAAAATAGGACATAAGACAGGAATTTCTGGAGCACACACGTTTTCAACTATCTTCCTAATTCATATTATGCATCATTTAATTAAAATCAACTAACAAGTTTCCTTCACTTACTGTGTGTGAGGCACTGCACTCTGGGGATAACTCAAAATTTGGCTGCCTTCTTTTCAATGGGGGTACCTTCCAGGAGGTAGTGTGATGTAAAAGACCAAATATCGACTTTGGAGTCACAGTGGCCTGGGTCACATTCCTGGCTGTAAAACAGACTAGCTGAATAACCCTGGACAAGTCAACTAGCTTCTCATAGTCTCAATTTTGTTACCTGTGAAATAAATACAGCCATACTTTCATTTCAGCCACTCTAAAGAATTAGCCATATAAAGAGGTAAGGTAAAGTAACTAGTACGATAGTAGGCCAATAGTCACTTTTCAGTAAATGGTAACTGGGACATAGGTTTGAAATAAAACAGCAGAACAATTGGACCATGAACTCGGCCACATTTAGCCATAGTGTAAGTAAGCTGGTGATGGTTTAGAAACTCTGAGGTGGACAATGCAGTACTGGCTCTAGGTCTAGATCTGACTTGCCTATTCCTGTGCTTTAGGAGAAAGTGCTTAGAGATTCCCTAGCAGCTCCAATCTGTACTCACCCTGCCATGGCTCAGGCTTGGCAGCTCAGAGTCCCAGCTTACTCCATTCCTCAGAAACTATGACTTTCATTTCATTTCATCTGGTCTTGGTCACATCAGTATAAGGGCTCTCAATCTTAAGGAAACCAGCTAAATCCAAATCCAAATCCAAATCCTGAGACTCTGTCTAGGGATTTTGATTTTATGCCCAAGATTCTGTGTTGATCTTCTTAAAAGCTTTCCCTCGCCTTTAGTTTCTTTCAATTTTAATTCTCTCTTTACTCTCTACCAGACCATTTTTAAGCTGCCAAAGGAGTTTATAACAGTATGTAGAGACTTTATGCATTCTAGGTATTCAATATATATTTATGGAATTGAATCAAACACAGCCATTCTGAAGCACTGCTTCTGTAATGTCATTTCTCAGTTCCACATTGCTTTTTAATTCAAGTCATAAAGCCTCAGGTTGGTTTACAAAGTCTTCCTGATTTATTCACCCTTGCTAATCCTTAAATCCCACAGTTCCAAATGTACACCCTCGTGCTGAGGTTCCCCCTTACCTGTTTCTGATTGTTTCAGTGTTTCTTGTTCTTTGCCTTTGCTTCTGCTATTGCCCTTCCCTGGGACACTTCTTCTCCCCCTGTTCAAATCATGTCCATCTCCAAGACTCACCCCAAGTACCACTCACCTCTGAAGCACTTCCCGTGATGCTTGCCAGCAGGACCTCATCCCTCCTGGACATTGGGTGGGACTCATCATTACCAGATACTCTTACAATCATATTCCATAGAGAACTTTATTAGACCCCCTACTCAGGGCAGACTAATCCAGCATTACAGTAAGCACAGTACCTAGGGCCCATGACACTTTGAAGGACGCGTGAAAATATCATAACTTTTTTTTAGAAGCGGAAGGTAAATGTGAATTTTTAGGTGAAAAGAAAATGTTTAATGTATAACATTTATATATTATTTTTATAGAACTACACTTGTAAAATATCATTTTTAATTTTATTTATGGTGGAAGGGGCCCATGAAGGCAAAAGTACCTAGGGTCCATGGAAGTCATAATACAGCCCTATCTTATAATGTCCTAGAATAGAAAGTCCTCTTTTCTTAATTAGAATGTTCAAGAGGCTATCAGCAGTCCCCAAGCCGACGTTTGCTAACATAAGAAACCCCAGACACATAAATATAATTCTGACATATTTTTCAATATTTCAAACAGCCTAATCAAATAGTATATTTATCCATCATAAGCCCACATGCATTAACCAAAACGTCAATGTTCTTTGCTTTTGGCTGGGAGTACACTAAGTCATTTGGCAACACTGGTGATCTCATGCTGCTTAGTGGTTGTTGAAGACATGGGAATTTCTGTGATGTGACTGAAGAACCAGAAAACCATTATAAAGCCACATGTCAATCACAGAATACCCAAATGTAAGTGTCTTTTACAGAAGCCAAGTAAAATTAAGGTAAGGATGCAGAGTATCTCTAGGTCTTTAGTCATTTACTTAACTGTTTATTATCATCCAAGCCATTTTAATAGCTGTATGTGTGTAACTGCAAAACAGCATTATTATATTTTATGATTATGAGCAATTATTTAATATCTGGGCCTAAGATACAATGGGAAAGTATTTTAAAGATTTAAAAAGTGTTTTAAAGATTTTAAAACACGCAGTTCATGGAGTAGTGTGGGGAAAGGGAGACAGGGTTAATAATGAAAGGGGTCCATGGTAGTGAAAATATTGGAACCCAGTAGATACCTCACAAATGTCTTTTGTACTCTCCCCCAACTACATCAATAACACTTAGCTGAAGGCTAATAGGTGAAACATCAATCGACTAATAATAGTGGTCATGGCACCAGTTGTCATAATAATAGTATAGCAGTCACAGTATGAGTGCATGCTCAGTAAATATTTTTGATGTATTACATAGCAGATGCTTCATCAAATTTGCTTGTTTGACATTTAGAGCACAGGGACCTTATACGTTTCAGCATTACATTACGCCTAAGCAGGGAGCTTTAGAGGAATGGCCTTCTGATGGCAGCTATATCTCATTTGCCAGTGAAAAGAAGTACATGATGGCAGCCTGGAGCTTTTCATTTGGCTCACCCTATTGTTTCTACTCCAGACACAATCCCTGACCAGTCTCATGAAATCACCTGCTACAAGTAAACGGACATGCACTCCCTGAATCCTTATACCTCCAAGTGAGGGCTAGCTCATGCTCCTGTACAGAATTAGGTAATAAGTCTCAAAAGAAGAGAGGGGCAAACAGACACTAGTGGGTTGTGTTTATTTAACCCTTGTCTCAGCAGCCTGTGAGCAGTGATTGTTGTGCATGGGACTTTGTGAGCTTATTATAAAAGATGGCTGTGTGGGAAGTGAGAGTGGGATAATGCCAACGATTGGCCACCAATGAGGAAGGGGAGAGAGGGAATGATATTTTAGAGTTTCCACCAGTATTCTGGGAAAAGACTGGGATAAATCGTTTAATGCCACAAATTCTTCCCATCCCAGTAAATTCTCCTCATTACAGTGTGACTTCGCTGCACCTCCCATCTCTAGGTGGAATCTATTTCTCTACCCCCAACAATCTGGGCTGGCCTTGTGATTTCTCTGGACAATAAAATACAGTGACAGAGATGTGTAACAAGCTTAGGAACCTAAGTCTTAAGATACCCTGCAGCTTGGGTCATTACCCTATTGGAAGGCGGCTCTGAGATGCCATCAGGGAAGATGACCCTTGTGAGAAAGACCTGTTGAGAAGGAGAGAGGCCCAGCTATTTGTGCTGTCTCGGCTGAGCCCAAACCCCAGATCTCTGAATTAGCTGAATGTGTCATGTGAAAGAAGCAAGGATTGACTAGCAGGAAAACTGCAAGTCAACCCTACGTATCCTGACAGTAACAGATTGTTGTTGTTTTAAGGTCTAGGGTGGTTTATAATGCAGCAACACGTAGCGGAAACAGAGGCCAATAAATGTAACTGACCCTTTTTCCTTGACATTTTCAAAAATCTAAGGTCAGAATTGGAAGTGACCCGAGGAGGTCATTTCATGTCTGTCTGTTTCAACAATTTATATGAGGTTAACTGGAAATTCACCAAACATAATTATTCATTCTCAACCTTGAAGTTCATTTGCTTTTAATTGAAAAAAACTTTACCCATTTATATGAAAAGAAATACCACAAAGGTAAATTTAAACATTCTAATGTCACTGAACACTGAATTATAAATTTGATGACTGAGAGTTAAATAACTCTCACAATTTTTTTTTTCCCGGAGAACCAATGGTACTTACAAAAATAGGAATAGAGCTTTTTTTTTTTATTATTCCTGAAAATTTTCAGTAAAGCAAAATAAACCTCCATGATCAACTTAGCACCAAAGCCTTAATTAAAGTCAGATGTTAAGGGAGAGTTCAAATTCCTCAGTTTTATTTCCTAATCCACACAAAGAGGCATCAGAAACATATTTCTCAGTTATTATTTACGTACTCCATAACAGGGCTCATTGATTTTTATTTATGCATTTATGTATGTTTATAACACCAACACTAAATTAAATCAATATGCCTTTAACTAAATACAGCCATAAGACCATTTCCACAGAGGATATTGAATATATGGCTGTTTTCTATTTACTACCCATCAAAATTCTGGCAAGCATTTCATGAGACTGCATTAGTTTGAAACACCCCAACATTCCTATTATCAACTTTTCCCAAGGTGTCTCTAGTGAAAGTGGGAAAAAATATATTTGTATGTAAGTTCAAATATAACAGCAAAGCCTGCCTATAAGGCTTACATTTGCAGCAGGAGTTATATTCAGAGTTGCCATAGCAGCCACCCACACTCACACACACACACAAAGGGGTGGTGGGGTAAGACAGAGAAACAGCAGAGAACAGAATCTATTGTTAAAAAGACAGAAGTACCCATCAATGTAATTACAAGCAGGAATCCTAGTTTGTAGTCTGAACCAATGTTTAACAGTACAACACTTCCCAGTGCTGGAGTGTCTATTAAGGGATTTTGCTCTAAATGAATCTACCATCTGCACCCTTGGCTTTACAGTTTACTGGATGCTGGTATTATGCAGGAAAGAATTCAGCAGCAGATGCACACACTAGGGCTAAAATAATCTAATGTTTCCTTCTCTGGAACATTCAGAAACATCGCCACCAGAAAAATTTGTGGTTCTATGGATCTGAGAAAGTTACTTTACTTTTTGAGTCTCCTCATTTATAAATGGGTAAAATAATATCACGTACTTTAAGAAAATGCTACGAGGATTCAATAAATTATCACAAATTATCAATTATTAAATAAATAATAATGATAAATAACTTTAAAAATACAAAGGAACTAGTAAAGTATTAACTAAGTTAGTAAAAGTGAAGCAATTGGTGCCTGACACATGGTAAATGTTCAACAAATGTTTGTTATAATTATTATCATTAATATGTCCCAATTTTTATTATAGAACAGTATGATTTATAATTCAGAAGTTTATAAAACAAATACATGCCAGTGGCCAGTAGACTGGAGCAAGACAAGATGTTGAGATTCTTCTAGTGCATAAACAATAATACTGTCTCCTGTAGCAATGCCTTTGAAACACTATTTTGCCAGAATAAAAAGGCCAAGTATATTATTATAGCAGCACAATCAACACCACTGGCAAACATTGGTTACACAGCAAAATCTAACATGTACTGTGTTTTAAATTTTTATTTGCTTATTTATTTAGAGACAGGGTCTTGCTCTGTTACCCAGAGTGAAGTGTAGTTGAGTGATCATAGCTCACTGTAACCTCAAACTCCTGGACTCAAGAGATTCTCCCGTCTTGGCCTCTCATGTAGCTGGGACTACAGGCATGCAGCACCACACCTGGCTGAGGTTTTGCTTATTTTTTTTTCTTTCTCTCTCTCTTTTTTGTAAAGATGGGATCTCCTAGGTTGCCTAGGCTGGTCTCAAACTCCAAAGTGATCTTTCTGCTTTTTGGTCTCCCAAGGTTCTAGTATTACAGGCATGAGCCACCACGCCCCATCTGAATCTAATGTCTATTAGTATTAAAATATTTGTATAAGAATATTTGGGGTCAGAGAGCATTCTGGAATTTGTCTCCCATCATTGGCTAGGTCACGTATTTATATGCAGATATATTTGCAATTCATACCCAGATACAAATATGAACATCAAATTTAGACGTGATGGCAATGAGTGAAAAGTACTTTGTGACTTCTGATTCACTCAAGTTTCAATCCCTGTTTTAAGGCTGAGTGCTTCATATTCTAGTAGAGGTGAAACATGTAGCCAAGAGATTTCTTGAATAGGAAAGAATATGCATGGGCTACCATACCTCATATCAGGCCCAAAGGTACCTTAGAATGTGCAAGAAAAAGCAATGCTGATGGGCTAAAGAAAACAGGGGAAATTAGAAGAATAGAGTTTGGGGACACAGTGAGATGGCAAGGAGAGAGTTGTAACAGACAAACTTCAGAAAAGTTAGGAAGCAGTGAAAGAGAAAATAAATAAGATAGGATAAAGGAAAGAATCCTTGACTCCATAAAAAGTTTCTGGATGGGATTTTTAAAATGTCCAGGCAGTGAGGGATAGAATTAACTTGGCTTAAAAACTTTAAAAAATGTTAAAATGCATACTCTATGGTTCTAAAATTATCCTGCCATTGTAAATGTTACGTGTAATGCTGTATTTCCTTCCTAAATTGTCCTTTTATTCAGTAATCTTTATTTGAATCTCAAGTAGAGATGTCACAAGGTATTCCATATATTCTTTCTGCTTTTAGAAATAACATGATTGTATTGAAAACATTTCCATTATCAAATAGCTCTCTGAGGGTAAAAAAATAATTCCAAGTTTTTCCAAGTCATTAGAAATAATCAAATTTGGTTTCGAATTGGTCCTGAGATTTTACAGATCTCTTGTTAATGAGCTGAAATTGGAAGGAAGTAGATTTGGCACCACTGGGAAGGAGAACCCCAGAAGACATTTAATTCTCTGATCTGGCCGGGTGCAGCAGCTCACGCCTGTAATGCCAGCACTTTGGGAGGCCAAGGTGGGCAGATCACTTGAGGTCTGAAGTTTGAGGCCAGCCTGGCCAACATGGTGAAACCCCATCTCTACTAAAAATACAAAAATCAGTCGGGTGTGGTGGCACACACCTGTAGTCCCAGCTACTCGGAAGGCTGAGGCAGGAGAATGGGGTGAACCTGGGAGGCGGAGCTTGCAGTGAGCTGAGATTGCGCCACTGCACTCCAGCCTGGGTGACAGAGCGAGACTCCGTCTCAGAAAAAAAAAAAAAAAAAAAAATCTCTGACCTTATTGGGGTTTGTGGAAAAGCCTACAGGGAACGCGTTAGGAGTCCACCTCCTGAGCTGCAAGGTACATCCTTGTGAGGAGGGAGAGGCTGATGGTACCATTGTTGGGGACAAGAGCTGCCTGCCAAAGCTGCCCTTCTTTTTCCTTCTGCATATGGGTAATGCACTCACTCACTTCCAACTAAAGGTCCTAGGATAGCTGCCTGGGGGCCTGGCTCTTGCCACTAAGATGGTGGCCAATACTCTCAAGACTAAAGGAAAAAATAGAATTTCTAAGGACACTTTGGTTAGTTCTATGAGAAAACGTTAAACGCTAATTGAGATATGATGAAGATATAGTTGCCTGTAATAATAGTGCTTTCTAGAAAAAAAGAGTGTCCCTTTCATCCCCAGCAGGGACTATGAGAGCTTGGGTAGGCAGCTAAGAGGCCTAGGTAGTTCTCTTCATCGTGCTATTACAAGTTCATGGGGAATGCTACAACAAATTTGTTTCCACTAAGTCCTGTTTAATATAAAGACAAACATATTCTCAAATAGAAATGCTAATGGCTACATTTTTTAATACAACCAACTACCCACACATAATCTCATGAGAGTCAACTGACTTAATTTTGTTCAGAGTACAAACAGCTATTATTAAAAATAGATTAAATGGCCTACAGAAAGATATGAATGTGCTTTAAGTGACTTTCATTATGGCAGAGAAAAAGAATTTCTACATTGGAAAAATTAACAATAATACAGACTAAGACAACAAATTTATAATCCTTACTTACGGTCAGATACATAGCTGCATAGACACTGAGAGCTGCTTCTTTGGATGGAAAGGTTTTTCGGGCTCTCATGATGAGATCTGGGTTGCCAGTACAGGCCTCTTCCCCACTGATGAATTGTGTATACTGCTGACATCCAAGTGCTGTATAATTGGGCTTACACAGGGCAAGGAAATGTGGGGCCAGATTTCCTGTGACTACTTGTCCAGCATTTACAAAGATATCTGTAGCAAACAGTCCAAATGTATAAATTCCTGGGGAAGAAAACAAATAATTTTAACTTCTTGCTTGTGTGTGTGTGTGTGTGTGTGTGTGTGTGTGTGTGTGTGAATTTCAGTTTACAATAAACCAAAATGGAAATATTTTAGAAACTATAAAATATTCCATGCATATACATAGTTCCTTTTATTTCATCCCTCTCCAGTTCTTTCCTTGGCTTTCTGGAGTGGTGAAAGTGGTAAATATTGCTCTGTCTACTACTGGTTTTTGGGCATGGCAGGTTTATAAGACATAAGATAAAATAAGAACATGTATTCTCAGACTCCGGGTAATGCAATTGTTCATGGAGTCATGTGTTCCTTGAGAGGGTATAGTCTATCATGCTCTACTAATGTTAGCAATTTCCTTTTTTCCCCCATTTTTTGAAAATTTTTTTATCTCACTAACGAAGCAAAGCAGTTGTCTCTCTTTGATTATGCTGTTACTCCCATTCAGACTGATGTTAACGCTGCTGGAGGTGCCAATTAGCAGTAAATCCAGTACCATCAGTTTTCATTTAAATATGGAAAATCTTAAGTAAACCAGAATGCTTTCAGAGTAATCTCTACATTGCCTTCAGAAACACATTTTTTTTAAAGTCATAGAACAGCTAGTAATTTATTTCCACCTTATCTTATATGGACTGGCTTCCAATTGATCCAATGTGGGCTATTTAGTAAACAAGGCAATCAAAATTATAGGTTATTAATGATTTTTACAGTTTTAAAATTTATTTGCTTTGGTTACCTGAAGGTATAGAACTAAGTGTGTAGATATTTTTTCCTCCTTTGCTAAGGAACTTGCCAATTTACTTGAATACCAAAAACATTTTCTAAATTCAAAGTCATTGGTTATTATTGTTAAAACTTATTTTTCTATTATACGGGCAAAATAATTTTTGGCATTAATTTCAATTAAACTTAGAGCTACAATCTTCAAGGATGTGGTACCAATGAAAGGAAATTCATCCTTTTATAATTTTGGGAATAAAATCCAACAGGACCTTTTAAAACTATCCCAAAGTAATACTTCTAAAAGTACTGATTTATTAAAATGTCATATACTTAGGTTACAATAGTTAGATGTTTTTCTTTTTAGTCATATATTTCTGGATTATTTGTTTCCCAAGCCTTTTCATCATTATTGGCTGTTGTATAGTATATCACCATAAAAGTTGTACCAGATCAAATAATTTTCCAGTATTAGATGCATAGCTGTTCTTTTAAATTTTTGAAATATTATATAAGATTACAAAAAGTTTACATACAAAAACCCCCACACAGCAAAACTCTATGTGTACACAAATGGGAATGAAACAAAGATATTAGTTCACTCTTTATCTAAAAAGCAAACAGTAAGAAGCCCTTTCTTAACATCTCACCAGCATTGTTTGAATCATACAAAGTAAAGGTTATCAAAATCAGAAATTTGAAAGAGGAAGAGAAATTAAAGAGAACTGAGCTCAATAAAACTTCTTCCAAAATCTCCTGGCCAAGCATGGGAACCTAAATCACAAGTCTTCTTCATTTGTACACCTTTGAAATCTAGGCTGTTTGGTGTAACGGGTTTTCCTGTTTATAACAGAGAGAAATATTTGATAAGAATGTGGAAATGTCTCTTGACACTTTAAAGTTCCCAAATGTGTTTGGAATTAAAATGTCAGTGCATCAGCCCAAGGCTAATACTGTAGTTGACTACAAAGAAAATTATTAAAGTGAGATCCTGTAAGTGTATCTACACTTACCTAAAGTGCTTACCTAAAGTAAGCACTGACCTAAAGAATAAAGTCACTATACAGAATGATGTACTATTATACAGTGATGCTTCGCTTACATGCTTCCACTTATTACAGCTAGAAACATCCAAACCATAAGGGAACAAGAAACAAATGGGCTTTCATATTTTATAAAATCATATAAGAAGAAGCATGCAGAGACTTAAAAGCATACTGTACTTTGAGCCAAATATTCTTTAGAAATATGTGTGCAAATGCAGAAAAATATTTTACTTAAATAGGTACAATGTAATTTGCTTAACAGTATTTAGGAAAGCATCAATTTCTTTAAATAGTTTTAATTCTAAGCATATTGTTGCATATTGCTTTTTTTATTAAATGACTTATACAAAAAGAAATTAGTCAAGAACACAGTATTGATACATGTGAAAAAATAACTTTTAAGGTTTCATATAAAAGTTGTCCCTTCAACAGGATAAATGAGGGCTTTGGAGATACATAACTTGATGTCAGTAAAAATAACAATCTTGGATATGAAGGCCTTTCGTCTTCAGAGAGATCCAAAAGCCTGATAACATTTGGCTAGTCTTTAATGGGTTTATAGATAGATTAGGTGATCTATGCATAATATCTTCAAAGTCTTCATCCTGAATCCTTCAATATGAGAAATATGTGGAAGAGTTCCCTTCAATATGAGAACTATGTTGAAGAGTTACATTATCTTTAGTGCATCTCTTAATACTAATAAAAATTTATCTTAAATGGCATTTAGCATATACACTTATTTTTATCTGATAAATCCAGGAAACAATTATTTATATTAAATTGTATTGCGTCAGTTAAAAAATGGGTCTAGGCTAAGTCCTGAATTAAAATGATTTTCAATAATTCATTCATGCATATATTTATTATTGCTAGTATTTGAGATTGAAAGTTAAATTATTAGTGAATCTTGTCCTCTAATAAAATCCCCAATACTTTTTTGTTTATATAAAAATCAACTTAGAAGTAGTGCATGGAGTGCTACATTTCTTCTATTTTCCAAGTTGTTTTTCTTATCCTTCGTGATGTTCGACAACCTACCTGGATTATCACCACCCTCCCACTAAGTACCGTTCAAAGATTTTCATAAACACAGTAATCACGTAATTTTTGGCTCTTAAAGAATATTAAACATCCAAAGGTGGTGTTCTTTTTTCCTTAAAAGAATGTGGAAATGACATCCTAAAGTGGGATCTTGCTATATTAAAGAGAAGGTAGTATGTAATGTTTATTTTTAAATTTTTTAATTTATTTTTTATTTCAGTAGATTTTAGGGGAACAGGTGGTGTTTGGTTACATGAGTAAGTTCTTTAGTGGTGATGTCTGCGATTTTGATACAACCATCACCCAAGCAGTGTGTAATGTTTATTTTTAAAAGCAAATTGAAACATTTCAAAGAAAAAAACCCCTAATATTTGCAAACAGTTAACATGTGGGTTATTTTAAGGTTTAGCTTACACATAGACACTGTTTCAGAAATATTAAAAATAATTTAATGAACACATACCAAGAAATCGGACAGTTCGGCGCACCAGCGGGTTTATATAGCAACAGTCTCCAGTTAAAATAGTTTTTTCCTGGTTTTCAAAATCCCTTGTGGCTAGTTGTAGGCAAAAGACAGCAGTTTCTCCAACTATTATCTTGAAAGAAAATAAAAGATTAAGGAATATTAGAATTTAACCAGTATAAATGTAAAATATTTTTATTTTAAAAATGTAAAATGGAGCCCCTTTGAATGGTAATAATCTCAATGTAAAACAGAGCCATAATCGATTTCCTAGATCCTTTGATTATAGCCTTGTCCGTATGTATGTAAACCATATTTTTCTCAACCCAAATGTCCAACAATGATAGACTGGATTAAGAAAATGTGGCACATATACACCATGGAATACTATGCAGCCATAAAAAATGATGAGTTCATGTCCTTTGTAGGGACATGGATGAAATTGGAAATCATCATTCTCAGTAAACTATCGCAAGAACAAAAAACCAAACACCACATATTCTCACTCATAGGTGGGAAGTGAACAATGAGAACACATGGACACAGGAAGGGGAACATCACACTCTGGGGACTGTTGTGGGGTTGGGGGAGGGGGGAGGGATAGCATTGGGAGATATACCTAATGCTAGATGACGAGTTAGTGGGAGCAGCGCACCAGCATGGCACATGTATACATATGTAACTAACCTGCACATTGTGCACATGTGCCCTAAAACTTAAAGTATAATAATAATAAATAAATAAATAAAAAGAAAAATTATGAACAAAAATAGACAACATTTTTGTTTCCTAAAAGTCTTAATTAAAAAAATAAAATATACAAAAGATATGTAAGGAAGCACTCATTTATTTTTATGTGTAATTAAATTCCATGTTTTATTTTTTTAAGTTACTGTGTCTTATTTAATTTTGACTCTGCTACAGAATTCACAACAGATTCTCCATGCAAATATTTTTAAGGCATCTGATACACACATACTAATTTAAAATCATATTAATACTTTTATAAATAAGAAAAAATAAATCTGCACACCTTTGACTTTGAGAGCCTCCTGTTCTGAGACATTACTAGGAATTGTCATAATATACTACTTATACTTTAGTATAAATGTTATTTTGATCTTCATTAAAACCATATGAAACTAGGAATAGCATCCTACCCTTTTACAAGTAAAGAAACACCAAGACTTGGAACACAAGTGAGTTGCCCAAGAACAAGGTTCTGTTACAGATGCTTTGCTCTACTCTGTTGACTTATTAAAGGACCTGGCTATCTTACAACCATATTTGTACCATTGGTAGTGATTTTTATACATGGTCCTCAAAATCACCTAGTAAGGTATTACAGGAAGTATTAATATTCCATTTTACAAATGAGGAAATGGAGATTTAGGGAAGTTAAATAATGTGTTCTTTTTAAGGCCAGTCAGAAGCCAAGAAGAAATTTCTCTCTAATACTATGAACAACAGCATGAGAAATAAGATTAAAAGAAACTGGAGCTAACAGTGTGTCTACTAATTTGTCATTGTGAAGTTTGCTTTTATTATGTCTTGTCAAGCTTAATTAACATGCTATACAGGGAGTCCCTGACATTCCCTGGGGAAATGCTTTTGGGATCTCTATGAAAAGTAGTATCTATGATTACAAGATATTCAAAATAGAAAGTGTGAGGTAGAGAAGGAGGTTACAGGAGATTAGGTGTTTGACCTACTTTTACCCCAGTGTGAATAAAAGATTATGAGATACCTCTTCACTTTCATCCTTCTTTCTACCCCCTTTTCCTCTTTCTTTTTTTAACTATACTTTTTTTTCAAGTAAGCCAGGGTTCAATGTTAAATCAGAAGACATTGAGTGGAACTAAATTAAAAGAGACTAGTCTTGCCTATTTGGTGAGAGTGGATTGAGTTGGGAGAGATAAGAACTTCCAACTTCCTCCTGAATTTTAACTCTGGCATTGGTGAAGTAGAGCGGATGTGTGATGAAACAGTTCATCCAGCCAAAGGATGCACAAGAATTATTTTTCATGAGTATCTGGAGAATCTGATAAGTAGATGAACTGTGTGTTTGATACCTTATCTCTCTTTCTGAATAACGTTTTTCTCATGTCCTACCTCCTCTTCAGTGCACCTTGAAAGAGATTACCATGATGATGCTTTCTGGGTTTTCAGATTCAACTTCTTCTGGGTCTGTTTTACCACAGAATGTTTCAAATTCTAACAATGCATCATCCACTCCACTTCATGAGCTGACCGGCTCTGCACATGATGGCTGCCCTCTCAGCCTCCTCTTCTCCACTGCAGCTTCCACGGGGTCTCCATCCCCTGGCAGGCCCCAACCCATGGTACACTGCACCCCAACTCAGGCTACCATGCTAAACTCCCTAGAATGTAGTAGGTACCCAATAATTCTTATTTAATGCATAAAGGAATCACATTTTCAAAAAACCGTCAGCTTCAATAGATCAGAATGTCCTAGTCTGCTATTAATCTTTTGCCTGACTTCTAAAAACCAACTTCTGGCTTGTTCCTATGATGAAGGATCTATCCTGTACCTAGTTCCTAAAACTGGAGCCTGTATATGAAGTCCCTGACTTGATAATTCTTTTTAGTTACCAGGGTCTTAACAGACCAAGAACTGCCTTGCTGGGGCCACTTTTCCCGGGGCTCTCTTCCCAGTGGCTTTCTAATGCTGACCTCTTGCTTGCCTGCATCTCAGCACATTTCACCTTGCGGAATTTCCGATTTGTGTCCTGAGCATTTCTGCCAGAACAGTTTCTCAGTCACTGTCATTTGGCTGCTACTATAAGAAACCCACTTGAACTATGTTAACTAAAATAGTAAGTTTATTCTACAGTTAGTTTCCTCAGAATTGAAGGGCAGGGAGCTTGGGGATTAGGCCCATGAATGGAAAGTCCTCAGGAATCCAGGCAACAGCTGTCACCATTTCATTCTCCCTCTTTCCCTGGAGTCATACTGTCTTTCATCTCAGTTTCTCTTTGTATGCCTTTCTGCCAGCCAGTGCTCCTGATTCCGAGCATACATGATTTCCCCAGTTGTCTTCAAGAAGCTTATCTTGAATTTGTCAGCTCGGTCCAAGGAAACAGTTCAACTGATAAGATTTTCCAAACCTCAATTCCAAATTCCCAGGAGGTTTAGGTTGAGATAAGGCATCTCCCTCAGTCCGATGAGCCAAGGTTAAGAAGGTATGTTATGGTACATGAAAATGTCACTGTGGGTAGAGAAGGTAGTTTTCAAACAGAGAGTTGCTGTCATTAGACGCCGATGTCAAATGCCTGTCCATCACATCTTGCTGGACCCTCCGGCCAGTTCTTGGTCTAGACTAGCTCTTTCCAGCATGTTCTCTGGATACTGTATTCTGTCCACCTACTTGGACTTCATCTCATCAAATGCATATGCCTAGGTGTCTGCTTTCCTCCAAGGGTATGTCTAATTCACACACCCTAGTTCTGTTTCCCCCACAGCTCACTGTGATATCCATGGAACCCCTCATCAAAACCATATTCTCTCTTAACTTCCCCCACCCAACTTCCTGAGTTAAAACTCCAATTGTTTACTGCTCTCAGATAATAATAATAATTATTATTATTATTTTGAGATGAAGTCTCACTCTGTCACCCAGGCTGGAGTGCAGTGGCGCACTCTTGGCTCACTGCAACCTCCTCCTTCCAGGTTCAAGCAATTCTCCTGTCTCAGCCTCCCAAGTAGGTGGGACTATAGGCACATGCCACCACACCAGGTTAATTTTTGTATTTTTAGTAGAGATGGGGTTTCACCATGTTGGCCAGGCTGGTCTCGAATTCCTCACCTCAGGTGATCCACCCGCGTCTGCCTCCCGACGTGCTAGGATTACAGGCACGAGCTACCGTGCCCAGCCTGCTCTCAGATAAATTCAAATAATGAAAATAAAATAATTATAATTATGATGAATGTATTTATGTAAATGCCTTCTGAGTTAAGGGCACAGTGCTAGACACTAATGTTTGAAGAAAGGTTTATAATCTAACAGGGTAGACACAAGCAAATTGATTAATAATGCTACAAGGTTGCATAGGCTGAGCTTTATTTGACTGGTTTGGACAATACATGCTAGGAGAACACTTAGGAAGAAGTGTCACTGAGTCACTGAGAGAATCTGTGGTGGCAATGAAACACATCACTCAAATCTCCCACTGCAGAGATGTTTACACACAGATGGCCCCGGCTGCTGCGCTCCTCTGGATCCAATACTGTATCCATGCTGAGGCCACACTTCTACAGGCTCCTCCTAGCCAATGACTAAGCATGGTGGGAGTGAACCTAATCTTCTGAAACATGGGATACCTCCAATTTGCAATTTTGGTTCAAAGATTCTCCATGAGCCTGACCAAATCCTTGTTGGAGCCATGTTTCCTATACAATCCCACTACCCCAATGAGACTACCTAACCTAGTCTGAAGTGTTTCCCACCCAGTCTTCCTTCTTTCTCCCTCTCACGCACAGGGGACAGACCTCCATCACAGTCTGAAGGCTCTCCTTGCTGTCTCTGGCTTACCCCTCAACTTCTGTTTTTCACAGATGTTTTTTCTAACAACTCTTGTACTTCTAATCTCACTTGATAATTGCTTCTAGGAGAATATAAACATACACAGCATCAAAGATAGGGTGCAATCCTTACTACACTTAAAGCTTGTTATTAGATAAATATACAGAATTCAAAAACAACTCCAACTAGAACGCATTTGGAGAGGAGGAGGTAACCTTTTTCCTATTAGCTCTCAGCTTGACCTCAACAGAGGCTAAAGTAGATTGAGTTTGCCTTGAAGGCAGAGGCACAGTAGGTAGCACTTGGTAAATGTTAACCACTGTCATAACTGTTGAAAAAATTATTGGCAACAAGAGCATCATTAACAATAGCAATGTCGCTATTAAAGCCAATGGCATTAGTAAACAGTCTAATATATATGTAATTGTATGCAGTTTATATTTCCATTAATAATTGATATTCATATCTATTCTTTCTTCCTAAGCTTAGCACAGTACTAGGCACAAAGTAGGGAATTTTCATTTTCTACTGCCCTATATGTCTGTCCTTATGGCTAATTTAATACCAGGTCATATTGACTCTAAGGTATATATTTCTCTTTTTCCTCTTGATTTTGAATCAGAGGCTCTCGTCAGTGAGTTACAGACCTAAGTTCTATATTATCTGGCATTTTATTTTGGCTCTCTTTTCCTGACAGAAGCTCTCCCTGGTGGACTTCATTCCTCCTAAGACTTTACCATCCCCTGCTCCACTAAGGAATCCTAAATCTGCATATTTCCCCTAAACCCCAGATGCAGGTCTCCATCCACCTATTAAACAGTGACATCTCAACATGCTCATATCTACCTATTGGAAGGCCACACAGCCTTTACATCCAAAATAAAATCCATGTGTTCCTCCTGCTCTTCTGTGTCACCATCTCAATTAATCCATTCAATTTCTACTTGGACTCAAGCTAAAACTCTCATACATTTACATATCATGCTGACACCTCCAGTTCCTTCATTTGTCTCTTTTCATCAATTGCTTTTATTTATATTATTTTTAATTGACACAAAATTATATATATTTATGGTGTGCAACATAATGTTGTGAAATATGTGAATTATGTAATGGTTAAATCAAGCTATTTAACATATGCATTACCTCACATAATTAGCATTTTTTGTGGTGAAAACACTTAGAATCTACTCTGTTAACAATTTTTAAGTATACACTACATTCTTATTAACTATAGTCACCATGTTGCACAAGAGATCTTATTCCTTCTAACTGAATCTCCATCAATTGCTAAATCCTGTTGATTATATATCTTAATTCTATTTCAAATAAGACCACTTTTATCACTACCTCCATTTTAAAATCCAGTCCCTCTTCACTTTTTTCCTGCATTAAAGCATACTCAGAACTTGCCTTTGTGCTTCCATTTTCTCTGCTCTTCAAACTGTTACTGTCAGATTGGTTTATTGAAAGCAAATTTTGTATAATCCAAATTTTCTTTTCTTTTTCTGGAGACAGGGTCTCCCTCTGTCACCCAGGCTGGAGTGCAGGGGTGCAGTTATGGCTCACTGCAACCTTAAATTCCTGGACTCAAGCCATCCTCCCACCTCAGCCTCCTGGGTAGCTAAGACTAACTACTAGAGGCATGTGCCACCATGCCCAATTAATTTCTTTTATTTTTTATTTTTAGTTTTTGTAGAGAGATCAGGTCTTGCTATGTTGCCGGTCTTGAACTCCTGGCCTGAAGCGACCCTCCCAAAGCACTGGGATTACAGGCATGAGCCACCACACCCAGCCCCACATTTTCTATTTACAATTTTCAGTGTGTCCTCATAGCTTGTGGATTAACTAAAATTTCATAAGAGATCATTTACTGCTGAGCCTAAACCTATCTTTTACAGCTTCAGCAATTCCTACATAGCCTTCAGACACTCTGTGCTCTAGTCACAGCTAAGCATTTTCATTCTCCAACATATCCAGTATTTCCATACATCCAGGTTTTTATGCTTGGTCCATGGCTTAGTATATCTTGGTAGGCAGTGCATGGTTCTGTGCTTGAGACATGATTTACATATTGCCTATTCTATTGCAACTTTATTCTATTCCTGGTGCAGTTCATCATTCCCTTCTCTGTGTTCCAATGGCACGTTGTACATTTATTATGATAATTTGCATATGCGTTTATAAGTATCAGTAACATCTGTGTCTTCCACTCAGTTGAGAGCCTCTCTGAGGTAAGGATTGCATAACATTTATCTTTAAACTTCTACTATTATAGCACAGTGACTGACAATAAATATGAATACTGTATGAATGAAGAGAATGCAGTTCAATCTTCCCATCTCCATAGATAAGGAAACCTCCAGAGAGAGACAGAGAGAGAGAGAGATTGAACATGCCTGAGTCACATGGTAACCGGCACAGCCAGAGTCTGAATCCAAGTTCAGAGTTTTATTTTGACCACAGCCTCTGCCTGGGAACTTGTGAGCCTCTCCTCCAGCTTTTCCAAGTTAAGATAGGTCAGTCCCTGCTGCCCACTTACAGGTCACACCCTGGAGTCCTACCACATTCCTAGCATCTCTACAGTTTCAAAAGATAGGAGATAGGGCACAAAGCACCTCATAAGGACCTCTGGACTCCTCTGCTGTCCAGGTATAAGAAAGCCGAGTATAGAAAAAAAGATTTTCCTGATCCTATTAACACACAAGCCAGTCTTCCAACAAATACCAAAAACATTCACATCACCCTTTCTAACTCCATTGCAATTTTTTGAGACACTCTTTTCACTGAAATGTCTTCATGTCTTCTTTGCATATCCTTGGTTCTTAGGTGCCATTGAGGATCTGGTGTTTTGGTCGTTTTCTCACCTTTATCAAGAAGGGGTTCTTAATTCTGGAATCACGCGCTACCATTTTCACTAGATTCCCAAAGCATCCCTGGGGCAACGAGCATAACTGGTTTGCTTTCCCCGCTGGGAGTGGAAAATATGAGATTTCCAGGTCACAGAAGCCAGAGATGGAGATGCTAAAAGCTTTGTCACTTCACAGTTTTCTTTGATAAAACTTCCTTTCTTCTGTGAACCAACCAATGAAAGCTGTTTCTAGACAGAGTTGAGATGATGAACAGTGTTAACTGAGATCGACTGAGAAGCAGCAGGGCCCCTCCTGCCTCCCACAGGCACCAGCTGTCTATAGAGGAGGAGAAAGAAGCAGAACCTTGGGAAGGACACCTGTGGTCCCAGTGGGAAGGATCAACGGGCCTCCCATGGATCAGCCTTTCACGGAGGTACTCCTCCCCCACCTCAGCAAAAACTCTCCATTGCTTGGGACATGAAAGAAAAAGGAGGGAAAAAAGGACTCTGCTGGTAGACAGAGGGCAGGCTGGCACAGTAAGTGCAGAGCTGTCAACCCTTACCTCGTTTCTCTTACATCTGCCTTCCAGCTCCCCTCATCTGGGCTCACTAAACTCAACCCATCCCTACTCCTACTCTGCCAAGAGAGGCAAAGCACCTGTCTGTTCCCAGTTGTACAGGAAGCCCTCAAACAACCTCCAAGGAAGATTAGTGACTGTTCATAGTCCTTATCAATCTGATATAGAATGTGATGAGATGCCCACCAAGGGCTCAGAAACTAATACTGAAGGGCTTTCACTGCTTTATTTATTTATTTTGGAAGCAGGATCTTGTTCTGTTGCCCAGGGTGGAGTGCCATGGTGCAATCACAGCTCACTGCAGCCTCGACCTCCTGGACTCAATCCTCCTGCCTCAGCCTCCTGAGTAGATGAGACTACAGGCATGTGCAACCATGCCCAGTTAATTTTTGATTTTTTTTTTTTTTTTTTTGGTAGAGATGGGATTTCATCATGTTGCCCAGGCTGGTCTTGAATTCTTGGGCTTATGCAGTCCGCCCGCCTCAGCCTCCCAAAGTGCTGGGATTACAGGCATGAACCACTGCACCTGGCCTCACTACTTTATCTATGCACTCAGAGCTGGGTCTGAGCAATTGTGGTGTTTCTTAGTCACAGTCCCCTCCCTATTGCAATCTGACAGTTTACCTCATTGGGAGGAAGAGATCTGCTCCTGAACCCCAACCTGATAGAAGCCTTGCACCCCACTGACAGACCTTCTCAAACTTGAGTATCACATTCCTTATTACACCTCATCCCCTTGCTGGACATTACATTATGCTTTATTAATCCCAGTGTTGAACACTATGAAGCTCCTCGAATCTTGCCCTGCCTAACAAGCTGGATCTACACACTGTCTGCTCCTTCCTAATGACGCAACTAAGTCTCCATCATGTCTTTGAGGACAGGTCTGGTATCTAGCCCTTTTTTTTATTTTAATCAATTACCGTCTTTGGTAATGAGTAAAAAGCCCCATTCTGCTGATGAATAGCAACCTACAAGAATGCAGGTGT
Source organism: Homo sapiens (assembly GCF_000001405.40). Lineage (NCBI taxonomy): Eukaryota > Metazoa > Chordata > Mammalia > Primates > Hominidae > Homo > Homo sapiens. The sequence continues at coordinate 98,965,570 of NC_000001.11, forward strand.
GAATCATAAATGTCTCCAGGATGTGCACATCACTTTGTTCTCATACCTCAACCTTTGTTATGCATAGTCCAACTTTGTGATCTACAGTCCTTGATGACAAAATACTGAAGTTTTACTAGGAAGAGAAAATCGCTGTAGATTTTCATCAAATGTCAAACTCCAAATAGCTCTATGTTTTCATTTATAAGCACACAATTAGAAATTCCTCTCCCCTCTAACTGGTGGTAACTCAAAGATATCCATGCATCATTGATTTGAAATTGGTACAAGAAAACCATTTCAGATGTAATGCAGTGAAACAGAAGTTATGTAATCAGTGTGATAGTATTTGGCATGTGTTTCACATCCTTCAGAGATGTGTGAAATAATATCCAAAAAGCAAAATGAATCCACAGAAGTACAGTCATGGGACACACCTAAACTTTAAACTCTGAATGTGTGAATCCAGTGAAATGTGGGGTTTTATTTGTTACAGAAACTGGAACTTGCTAATTTCCCTGTTTTTAAAAAGAGAGAGAGCAAGTATCAGTCTCAGGGTCTTTTCCAGAAAACAATGCCTGGCTAGAATTTTTAAAACAATGTAGGCTTTTTTGTATTTATTTTATGGTTCCCTTCTACTTACCAAGTGATACTGGTTTTCCATTTGTAGTAATAATAGAATGTATTCTTTTATAATAATTTGTTAGTAAAGTGAACTGATTTCAAGAAAAAATGAATGCTAGCTGAGTTGGTATGCAGCTATGATTTAAGTCATGAAGGTGATGTCCTGAGAGGAAAATTTGGGAAACATTTAACATATAATAAAAGCTCATTTACACTGTTCATGTAAATAGGGCTTAGGTTTTAGGCACTGTTCTAAGTGCTTTCCAAATATTGGCCAATTTAATTTTCAAAGCAATCTGATGAGGTAGATGCTATTATTAAAATCCAGTTACAGAAGAAGAAAATAAAGAATAAAGTAACCTATATATGTTACTAGCCGTGGTTATAATTGTGGGGATGTGGCAACCAGGAAGCCCTAATATTCTGGGGAGAGGACAGTTAAGGGAAGTGGAGGGACAAAGGCCGCTTTGATGGAAGGATATGAGGTCAAGAATTGGATTTGATCCTTTGAGTTGCGGATCTGAACCTTTGAGTTAAGATTCGCAGTCTTTAGGAGACCCCTGTTAAAATGCAGATACCAGAGGATAAGAAACACATGAAGCTGCCATCCCACCCACTGGGTGGGATGAGCTTATTAACTCACTTTTCAACTGGGAAAGATATATGTCTATTTTGAGAGCTCTACAGACAGTAGCTCTCAAATGTGGTCCCTGAACCAACAGTATCAGCAATCTGGGAACTTGACAGAAATGCACATTCTCGGGCCCCACCCCTACTGACTCAAGAACTCTGGGGGTGGGGGTCTGGCCATCTGTGTTTCAACAAGTTCTCTAAGCTCTATAAGATATTTCAAGGTGTCTAAAACTCCTTTTTATTACATTGTAAATTTGTCAAGATTATGTTAAAAGGGATTTTTAGATACTGATTCAAACAAATAATTATTATGTACTTGTACTGTGCAAAGAGCTATTCTAGGTATTGCAATAAAAGGATGGGACTATAGAAAGAGAGGTTAAATAAATCCTAAAGTAAAAACAAATCCAACACTCTCACTTTCTAGATATTTTAAGTGAAATATGAAGAGATGAACTGTCCTGAGAAGGATGGCTCACTTAACCAATGCTCAGCACCCAGGAAGGCCACTCACATCCTCTGCGAGTCTACTGCATGGCTCACTATGTTTAAAATGGGGAGGCCATCAAAGAAACTTACAACTTAGCTTGCACTTATTTATGCATGCATGTGCCAGTACAGACACATGTAAAAATACTAGTAAATAAATGAAGAAGGGATGAGATTAGGGGTAAGTGATAACTGACAACTGAGTGTGCAACTCACCAAAACTTGCACAAAAAGAAACTCAGTGCCCCTTTTTGAAACAATCTGGCAGAAAGTTATCCAATCTTTTTCAGCCTCTTATTAGCTGAATGATCTTAATTAATTAATTAATTAAGTCATATAACTTCCCTTCACCTCAATGTTATCATACAAAATGGAAACAATAGAAATAATGCCATCATGGGGCTGTTGTGAGGTTATTGTTATAACATTCATAGAAATGAGGTTATTGTTATAACATTCATAGTAAAGGGGCTGGCACAGAGTAAGCACTACGTAAATTTTAGTCATTATTAGGTAGCCCTGAAGGCTCTTTCTAAGTCGTATCTGCGATGGATTAGTGTTTTTGGTAAGGGAGTAAAGGAGTCTGGGATGCCTAGAATAGGGTAATAGAGTTGTTTGATCATTTGGGATAAAGTAAAAGTCCTGACACTAATCTTTCACTGCACATGTAGATGAGGGTCAGTGGGAAGATACAGAAAAAGGAGATTCAGTTTGCTGAACAAGAACACCAAGATTCACAAGCTACGAGCATTCTTTTTAAATGACAAAAAGCTGGTGAAACCATTAACAAACACTTCCCTAGCAAAAACAAATGCTGCTGATTAAACTTTACATGATGTTTATGCTTTGCCAAACCACTCACATAAAGGTAGCAAACATAAGCTCTAAGGAAAATGAATACACTCATGTTATATACTTATAGTTTGTTTTTAATTTTAATATATAAAGTCAATGTCTCCATGTTCACAGATCTACTGTTGGCCAGTACTGTTATAATGTACCTATCATTCCTCAAAAGAGCGAGCTTATAATTAATAAAAAATTAGTATGTGGGTTATTAGTAAGCTTTCCAGTTTTTCTAAAATACCCATTAGAATCATTTTCCCCTCTTCTTTATCAACAACAAAAAAGCAATATGATAAAATTTAAATACTCTCTGGGACTTAAAGATGATGGAGATTTTAGAAATAAACCTTTTAAGCACAAGCAAAATTTAACTGTCCCTAGGTCAATGTTTCTCAAATAATATTTATGTAGCAGGATGTTAAGTGATATTTTCTAGGAAAAAAAATTCTGGTGAAAAAACATCAGCTAAAACCTTACTTGTTCATCAACATTTATAAATTATATTACTTGGCACTGTATGCCTGTATCAAAATACTTCATGTACCCCATAAATATATAAATCTACTATGTACCCATAAAAGTGAAAAAAAAATTTAAAAAATGTAAAAAGATTCATAATTTCCAGCAGCCCCATGATGGCATCATTTTATTGTATTCAGCATATAGATAAGGACACAATGGCACAGAGAGATTATATGACTTGTGTAAGGTCATTAGCTACTAAGATACAAAGCCAGACCCAATCCCATGCAGTCTAGTTTTGGAGTTCAACTTGACATTATAATATTTGATTATTTTGCTTCATTTTAGGAAGAAAGGCCGAGTAGCTTAAGCTTTCTCGTATGAAATTCTGAATTTATGAGTATAGTTTCCTCCCAACTACTTTCCCTGTATGAACCAAAAGCATGACAATCTGTTAAAGAAAATTGTTAACTTTATTGTCCAGTGTTTTCCAAACTTATTTGAGCTTAGAAATATATATTCCAGGGACAATCCTAAATATCTGGTAGAGCTAGCATCTCAGAAACACTACAGGGAACACGCAAAAGTAAAAGTCTTCCTTTCTAGAGGACAGAAACTTAAATTTAGGAAAGATAGTCTAGTGTAGCTATTATATGACAGAGAAAAGAATTAGAGGTCTTCAGAAGGCAAAAGTAAAGCTGAGAAATGCTGTCTTTAGAAAGTGAAAAACTCATTCACCACTTCCCTGGTTATTAGAAAAAGAAGAGAGGGAAGTTTAAAATAAAAGAGAGCAAATATTAATTCACACAATGGGAGAGAAAAAATATGATTCTAAAAGGTAACCCAGGTAGGAAACTAAAAAGGCATTTAAGTAGAGTTTTGAGATTTATGCGCAGCAGAAGTGGCTAGGGGAGGATATAAGGATTTACCTGACCTTTTGGATCTATGGCTTAGAAAGAATGACATTCTTTTTCTTACAGTATGGAAGACCTATACTTTTCCTCACTGGACTTCCTTAGATTGTCTCTGACAACTGTATCTGGGGAGAATTATCAGGGACCTGAATCAGTGGGGTGGCTCTTTGCCAATGTCTGGTAGCAAACAGTAAATTCTACCTCTTTTTCTCCTTCCTTCCTTCCTTTCTTTCTTTTTGCTAGTTCAGAAAAAATCTATGTTGTCATATGGTTGAGATGTCTTCAGTTCCAAAGTACATGTTTCTGTTGTACAGTGGTCACCTGTAAGTGCCCTGCCACTGCATTCAGGGAATATATATTCAATTGACTAAACCGTGATACTCTGAGTAACACTCTCCTTTTCAAGAAAATAGGCTTTTGAGGTGACAGCTCTGCCTAAGAAAGCAGAAACAGTATTCCTTGCAATTTCAAATTCATCATACAGATCATTCCCTTGAGGCCATCTTCTTCTGGGTTTCTTGGCTTTCATCTCTCCCATCTTTAAACAGACTGCCAGAACAAATGTCTTTTAAGGCCACTCATTTTTACTGAAAAAGAACTAGACATTTGAAGGACTTTATTTTTAAAACACTTTCACAGGAAGAGTAAATGTTGATTACATAGGAAATCCTTATATTTTACCAAGCCATTAAAAATGTTTGATGAGAATACACAAAGAAAAGCATGATTGAAACCCAAAAATAAATGAATGAGTCTTGGAACATAAACTCATTTTGCAGTCTGGTCTCATTTGTGCTTGGGATAAATGCAGCTTTCCAGCTTACTGCTCACATGTACTAGGAAAAGGTGCAATTATAATTTAAATGTGAAACTCTAACAGCTTGGAATGGGTTGAATTTATTATGCAAGCCAATTTAAGGGTTTCTAATACACAATGGGAAATATATTTAGAAATCAGATTATTATTCCAAATGCCTTTAATTTCAGTTTATAATATATATGTATATTTATTATATAAATTCATAAATATATTCCCTTTCCTTGTCATTTTAAAAAGTGACAAACAGCATTTACCCTAGGCCAAGTACTGTTGTAAACATCTTACATATATTAACTTGACTTGGTCCTCACAACTCCCCTATGAGGTTGATATTATTACCTCATTTTACAGGTAAGGAAACTGAGGCACAAAGAGGTTAAGTAATTTTCCCAAGGTCTCACAGCTAGTAAATGACAGATCTGACAGTCTGACTTCAATTTTAATATTATATTCATCATAAGAGATTTTTGTAGGAATGGAGTCAAAGCACTTTATGAGATACATATTAACCTACTTTATCACTCAATGTCAAACTTGACATTATAATATTTTATTATTTTGTTTTATTTTAGGAAGAAAAGTTAAAACTTTTTATCTGAACTTCTGCACTTATCAGTATAATTTCTTCCAATAAGCTTTTCTGCATAAAGCGTAAAAAATGCTTGATAAACCAATAAGATGCTCTAATAAACAGTGACATTTATTCAAACGAGGAGTAGAGAACAAAGTGTGTATTGGTGGGCAGTGTGATGAGGCCTGGAATGTTCATTTCTGCAGTGTTTTCCCAGACTACTACATCTTATTTTTAGAAGCAGCCTGCTACTCCAAAATGTCTTTTGAAATATTGGTGATGGGGCAGTTTGGTGAGAGGTGAAGAAAATAACATGATTTCAGATAATATTAACAGGAAGTTCATTTATGAAAAATAAACTTTGGAGAAGAGTTACATATTCATATTACATCTCAAAGCAATAATGATTATATATTTATTTGCAGATGTTGCACAGCATAGCAGAAGCCCATAGAAGTGGTATGTAAGCTTTCCTATTGATTATAAATGTTAAGGAAAAAAAAAAGTATGACTACACTATCTCTTTCACATATAACTTACTCAGTTTTTATCTGATTTCCCCTCCCTTCAAGATTCAGATTAGCATTTCCATTTTTTTTGAACTCTGAGATAGGAATCCTTGACTTTTATACTTGTAAGGCAATCTATCCTATCCAGCCCCTTCATCCTTGTGAATATTTGTCCAAATGTCCAAATCATGCACAATCTTAGATTCTGCTTTTCTACTGAGTCCTATTGTGGGCTGCTAAAATATTGAGAGTCATCACATCCCAGCAGTTAGCATGAGTGTTGCTGAGAACATAAAATGCCAGCTGCAAGCCCCCTGGCACCAAGGTCTACAACTCTGAGCAGCAATGCCCAGTGAAATTTTTAGAAGCAGACTCTCTCTGTTCTGTTCTTTCCATTTCATTCAAAAACAGAATTAGTCTTTCTGACCCCTTCATTGTGATGAATATTTTCATGTTAAGAGTTCTCATGTTGACACAGAACAGGCAAGGCTCCCCCCATGGTCTCACCACTGGGACCATCTGTGTTTCTGACTGGTGACAACAATTCAGAGGCTTGAATGAGCCCCCATTTGCAGAATACATACTAACTTCTGTGCTACATTCTCCAGCTGCCACCTCTGACTTAACTATGGAGGATCATGAGTGGTGTTGGGCCCAAACGAACCCTCAATGAGAAGAAAGAATTCATAAAGGGTGTGAGAGGCAGGGATCCTCATTTAGCAGCCTCTCTTCCCAAGCTCCCCTTGGTACTATAAGACATTTCAAAATCACAATTTTTTAACCAATTGTTTGTCACATTTCACAGCTGGCAGATATCTGAGAATTCTGCAATCCAATACCAAATGGTGAATTTGCAATATATATTTGAAATTCTATGAACAAATACTTAGACATTGCCTCAAAAAGCAACAGAAAACAATTCTACTTAATGAGCAATTCTGAACACAGTTTGCTGGCCAGCAGTTTTAGATGGCTATTAAAATCTCAATCAAGTTTTCTTTCAAAATCTTAATTATAATCTCCCCGTATGAACTTAAGTAAAACAATATGAAAGTGAACCTGTTATGTGCAGTACTGATACTGTTTAAAGCCTATTTAACATCAGTTTTTATAATTTATGATACCATTAGAATATTGAGGTAAATCAAAATCCTTTACATTCTGAAGTCAAACTAAAGCTCTATTTAATAATTATTAATTGAACTTAAACTTATAAGTAGCAATGTTGTTGGCCTAATCAATGTTAATTATCTTTCCTTCTCAAACAGCCTTAATTTTGTTCAGTTACCAACCTTACTGAATGGCTATGATCTTCAGGGGAGTCAGGGCCATCTTTTGCCTCAAGTGATGAATGATTTGTCAGGTCCTGATGGCCCTGATCTGGGGCTAGTGTAGGCCTGGGCATGGCGTGAGATTCTGCCCAATGAAGCATGAAGAGACTTCTGGTAGGGATGGATGCTTCTGAAATAGGAGTTTATTTCTTTTAAAGGGACTCACAGAATACTTTTTTTAAAGCTAGACATCCTTATGTTTGGATGTGAAGTTTAGAAAAAGGGCAATCGTTGTGCAATCACGAGGGGAGTCAGCCCAGGGTAGAACAGACACATACTGTAGCAGAGTGGACAGAGAAGAGACACCTGGATCTTTGACCTATTGTTCAGATATTGAATTAGTCATTTCTGAGCCATCCTAACTTAACACTGCTTGTTATGTGACAGAATAAATTTTCCTAATTGTTTAAATATCTAAGTCCGAGTTTTCTGTTATTTGCAGATGAAAGCAATTTAATCGTTACAAAGACCCTGAACCTGTGAAGTACCATAGAAGATAAAATTTAAAATATACAAATAACTATCTATAAATACAAATAATTGCAATGCCATGTTGGTAAATGTAGGGATTGACAGTAGGAAGAGAATACCGTAAATGTAGGGATTGACAGTAGGAAGAGAATACCTTAAATTAGGGACAGTAGGATGGGGAGAGAGGAAGAAAGTCTTACAAAAGTTGATGTTTTCACATGGCACATGGCTTGAAAGGACAGGGTTATGTTGATCACAAGCAAAGCTAAACAGAGTGGACACTGGGAATAAGACTCAGAGAAGCAACAAGTGGAAGAGCTTTACAGGTAGGGCCATCATGTAATTTATCATTCAAACTACTATTTTTGAATGTGAAATGGGAGGATTAATAATATTAATACCAAGACAAAAGAAATAATCCAGAACTGACCCAGGGAAACCAGGACATAGGGTTGACACAATTATAGTGCAAAGAAGAATATAAATGGAGTCTCAGAGGAGGGGAAGTATAGAATGTACTTGAAGAACAGCAAGTGGGCCCACTTGGCTGGCATGCAGACTAGATACAGGGGCCTAATGGGACATTATCCTGGGACCATGATGTAAATGGTTTAAGATCCAAGTGAGGTGCCGGTACTTAATTTTGTTCACAGTGGGAGGCCATAAAATTTCTGGGCAGGGGAGGGGTGGGGTCAGACCTATGCTGCAGGAAAATCAATCCCGAAAAAGGCAGCGGAGACTGGAGAGAGGAGGTAGAAAGCCCAGGAAGCGTCTGGTGTAGTAAATCCTTTCCGGGTAGTGAACCATGCTTAAAGCCGCGGGAAAGCAAAAGGGCACATGCAAATAATGAGGAGAAAAGAGCAAAGGGAAAGGAAGGCTCCAAAGTCCATTTTTAGATCACTTACACTTGGGGAGTGGGCAATAAAGAGAAGCAAACAAAGGACACTGGGCAGAAGTGTCAGCAAGTAGAGAAGAAAATTATCATGCCATGAAAACCAGAGGGGACAGACTTTCAAGACAGGGGTCCTCGATCAGCCACATTCAGTGTCACAAAGAAGTAAGAGAAGTAAATGTTCAAGCAAGGAGGTTGTCATTGGTGACCTCTGAGAAAAAGCTTGACAGTAATGAAAGCACAAAACTTTTTCACATTGCCTTTGCCTTTCAGAAAACTTTGTTAGTTAAGTCAATGGAAGAATTCTCCACACACACAGCAAATCTGACATTATATGACCTGGCAATGGGTTTGACTTAAATGATGAAATCAATTAGGTGAGGAGTAGAAAATAGAAGAAACTCTGAAATGGATCACAGGTCCTTCATCCTGTTTCATTCTTAGCTCTGTCCCACCATCCCCACTCTCTTCACGAAGTCATAGGTGCTTAAATATATTTCTTTTCCCTTGCTCCCTAAACTCTCTCTGATCTCTGAAAACTCTGAACTGAGGCAGGAGAAAGTTATAGAGCTATAATCCAAGCTGTGATTCAGTATCAAGTCTCCTCTGCTAATTCAGGTTGTATATTCTGGCCTATATTTGATAACAAGATGTATGCATTATTCCTGAAATGCAATTTCTACTTTGTACCTGAATTCCATTAGCAGATCCCTATTCCTGAGTTTTCGCTTTGATCACTTACTTTGCACCTCAGTTGCTCTAAGGCTGGGACTGTCTGGGACTGTGATTCCTGTCTGTCTTACAGGCAGTGAAGTTTTGCTGCTAAACCCTATATGGTGGCTAAGGCACTGTTCTCTTACTTAGCAACAGGTTTTCTTAACACCCATCTGCTCCTAGATTCCTGGGAGCTATGTTCTACCCACCTACGAGGACATGTCACTGCTCCCCACAAGACCTCCCTGATGCAGCCTCTTTTGTAACTATTCCTTTCAGAGATCATGTTCTGTTGCAGGACCAGATGCCCAGAGAATCGTCAGGAGAGTCTACCCTTCTATGCCTTGACTGCGTCCGTGCCTCAAATGTTTCCACACCCTAGTTCTTGCTGACTTAATTCATCTCATTGGTTTATAGAGTAGGACTCTGCCTCACCCTGTCCTGATGCATAATAGGTTTTTGTGTCCAATCCCTTCTTTGCATAAAGTATTCAGGCATGTGGTAACACTTGTAAATTGGAACCAGAGGAAAACAGATTTTGCATTGTTCTCTTCCATTGACAGAAATCACGGCATGTGATTCATGTCCTTGGAGATGTACAGGAAGCAGGGAGAAGCACTGATCCATGCATACAGATGAAGCCTTTTGAGGTTTCAGCGGAATATTTGTTGCCAATATTTGCAGTACAAATAAAGTTGTCAACAGAAGTACAAATATAACCTACATGTTATTTGGAGATTGCAAAGCACTGACTTCTTTCAATATCTATCCTACCTGATCTGATGCCTCTGACAATTATGCATAAATACAGACATAAGCTTCCCCTGATAGGAGTATTTACCTGGAAAAAGGGTCGGCTGGGACCCATACACATGAACATACTTTGTACCTTTAAGAAAAGTCAAGGAAGAGGGGGACACTTCCCGATTTCCAGCAAATCGGGATATCTCGACCCAAGCTCTACCGAACCAACAAGGAATAAATAATATGTCCTGTTGAGGGTAGTGGTGAACAACATATGTTAATATTTGTAATCTTCTTGCACAATTTTCCCACTAATGTGAGATCGTTGAGGACTTCCTTTTCATTATTGGATCCCACGCCTAGCAAGCTGCCTGGCATGTAATATATATATACTAAGAGTTTATTAATGAATACATATGTTAAATGGACTGTGATAGAGTCAAGGCAGTTGTGGTTCCAGGGAATAGACAGGCCCTGCAATCTGTAAGGCACGTGCTGAAGATGAGATCATCCTACTAAAAAGTAAAAAAAAAAAAAAAAAAAAAAGCCTAAATGATGCCATGAATAACCTTTCTCAAACAACTTTTTTTTTAACATATAAAATGAGCTAACAAAAGGAAGAGGAGTTGGGGAGAGAATCCACACATAGTAATGAATCTTTTCCTCTCACAGTGAGATACATGAAAGGGAAATCTGTAATATGTCTTGATTCAAGTTTAAGCTTCAAAAATGTTCTAATATTTTCACATCCTTCTCTATGTCCTAACATTGATGAAAAAGTGTTTTTACAAAAAGGTGATGTAAAAATCATGTTTGAAACAGGTACTGTAAACCAAGCATTTGAGAAAATGGCTTTAAAAATCTATTCAGATATATCTTCTAAAGTACAGATCAAAATAGTGCATATCAATTCAATGGTATTTCCTAAACCCACAGAAAAAGTAGACTAGGAAACCACCAAGTTTCTTTAATTAGCCAGAAAAAAAATCTAGATCTGCCCTGTCTGATGAAACTGCCAATTGCCTTGAACACTTGGTGACTGAGCACCAGAAAGGTGGCTAATCCAGATTGAGGTGTGCTGTAAGTGCAAAATTCAGACTAGATTTCGAAGACTTAGTACAAAAACGATAACTTATTAATAAAAATAAAAAATAACTTATTAATAAGTGTGTATATTGATTACATGTTAGAATATTTTGCATATATAGAGTTAGTAAAATAAATTATCAAAATTAATTTCACCTATTTCTTTTTTAAAATGTGGCTACTAGAAAATTTAAAATATGGTTCACATTGTATTTCTATTGAGTATCGTGTGTCCAGATTCTCTTCTCATGTCCCCTGGCCCATCATAGCAGCAGATAATTGCTCCACAATAATAATTGCTCAATAGGTCCCAGGTTTAAAAAGAGCCAGAGTGGAGGAGACAGCTGCATAGGTATCATGGATATAGATTTTTGAGGCCTCTTTTGGCAGGCACATCTGATTGATATTCTAGTTGAAATATAAATATGAGCAGAACTTTTAGATAAATTTCATCTTGTTTCTTTATTCCAGTGACTTGGTCTTTAAAAGATAAAATGCCATATGATGGAGACTCCACCAGGCAACTGGGCATACATTTGTGGATGGATTAAATAAATACATGTGAAACTCTAGTGTATTCGATGGGCATTTTAATCAATTGTCCTAATATTTTTCATGTTCCTGAATTAGATGCAGCTTAAACATGTCAATCACATCTGAGGTCTAATCTGTAACAATTCATGATCCATTATTCCCATATATTCTGTAATAACTAAAACAAACAGATCACAATGGAGTCAACTCACAAAATTTGTTCCTTATTTTTTTCTCCCATCTTCCTGCCCCAAAGCAATGTTCTCATTGGTTCTATGAATGTATGCTAATATATCTAGAATTTCTAACCTGTTTTTCTTATTATGACTATTTGCTTTTGATCTAGGATGCTATGATGCTTAGATAATAAGCAAAAAAGACCATCATGTTTTTATTGACACAAGTTATTTGAAGGCAGCAAGTTCAATACATTCTTCCCTGTGAATGTATTGAACCTTATCTGGTTCCTCATGCTGACATTTGAACATACCTTCTTCCTGGTATGTTTTTATTCAGGTTAATTTCTCTATACATGGTGAACCTAACATTTGCTTGGAAGAAAGGTTTATCTTCTGGTAGAGAACTAGCCTCTGACCCAGAGAAGGCTCTTAAGGAGCATTCACATCATCTATAGTAAATACATATACTATAGTAAATGGCGCTTTAGAAAAGAAGGTTTTCAATCAGTCTTACAAACCAGTAACCAAAGAAAACAAATAATAATGGCATGGTAGAATATCAAGAATGCTAACTTTTTCAAAATGTCCATGCATAATCAAATCAAACTACCTCTGGTGGTATAGCTATGAAATAATCATGAATGTGACTTTAGATAAAAGTCGTAAAATCTTTTACTTGCTCCAAATTTTGTCTGTCAAATGCAAGAGGAGAAAAGTAGAAATGATTTTTAATTCCTCTGGCATCGACAATGATTACATTTGACAATGAATTCTTGACTCTATCTTTGTATCACTAGACCTCTGCCCAGTTCCTCACATAGAGAAGAAAATCAACTAATGATTGCTAAAGAAGGAAAGAAGGAATGAAGGAAGACAGGGAGGGAGGGGTGCTACATTTTCAATTGTATATTTCAATTGTTCAAATAATGCTACATTTTCAATTGGTCTCGCAGTCTTTGATTTTCACATAGAATTTTTATCCCATCTTCAATCTTCTTCTCCATTAATGATGGTTCGATGTTGCATTGGGATTTGTTTCAGCTACATGTAAATTATTGCTCTCTTCACGTGTTCATAACTCTCTTTCTCTTTCTACAAATTCCTCAATACTATAAAACAGACTAAGTAGAAGAAACATGCTCCTTGTCTTCAAAACTCCCCATGGACCCCTGGAACACATCTTTTGCCATTACTGGAGAGTGAGAGAAAGAGAATGAATTTTGAAGCCAGGCAAAACTGGTTTCAAATTACTTAACTTTATGCAGATTACATGATGGTTTTTTAATCTGTTTCTTCTTCTGCAAAAGGGTAATGATAATGCAAAATGACAGATCTGTTGTGAAAATTAAATCAGCTCCCCCCACCAGAAAAATTAAGATGTTCAAAAGCATTAGCTTCTATACAATGAACACATATCATAAGGAAACTGAGAATCAATGAGGTCAAATAATTCATTCCATATTACAAGAATTAGTAGAACCAAGACTCAAACACAGGCATGTCTGATTCTAAATCTCTCTCAATGAATTATTAGTTATCTTTCCTTCCCAACCAAATCCAAATACACCTGACAGGATGACATGAAAACATCCTGTCATTGAGTTGCTAAAACGCATGTTCTCAGAGAAGGCTTCTCTATATCCTGAGTTCAAATTGATTATTTTCTTCACTGGGCTACCCAGCATTTCACCTGATACTCATTTATACGTAAAACAGTGACTGAGTACCTCCCAGGTCCCAGGCATTCTTCTAGGTACTGGAGTGAATTTTTGAAAGTTTAGCTTCTCATTTAGGTTATTTCTGTATGATTTTTATGTTGACTGTAAACTTCCTGAGGTCAGAAGAGCCCTTCTAATTTCTTCAGAGCAGTTTTCTTGTTCTTTACTCACTGCAAAGTACTTAACAAAGGTTTAAAAATGCCAGGGTTATGTTCTAATTTAAGCTCTGCTACTGTTTTGGTTGCATGACTGTGAGCAAGTCTAATTTTTTAAGCCTCAGTTTTATCATCTCTAAATGACTGCAATATCCATGCCATTTGATTATTGTGAGCTATTCTCTAAGTGATAGAGCCTATACAAACGTAAGGGGCTATGTTGTTGCTATTATAGACATCACATTATTATTTAATATATGAATGCTAGGATGAATGTTCTGCACTTAGCTTCTGTATTAGCAAATGTAAGGTCAGATTGTTTGGTTCCATATCAAGGCTTTCATAATTATATTACCTCACATCTGTTGCTCAGACTCTCCTTAGAATCAATTTCTGGTCCCAGGTTGCAGATTTCTGCCTCCTGCGATGGATTTCTGGCCTCCAACTGCTGGTAATCTGATGTGGGGCTGCCAAGCTCTGCAACCCAGATCGTGTGCCTGGGATCTCATCTCACCACCATGTTCTATACTTTTCCCTCTCTTGACTTTGAATCTGACCAGCCTGCCTCATCTTACTAAGGTATCTTTTCTCAAATTCACCACATCTTTGCTTCTTCCAGACTGCCATGCTCTGCCTTGCCTCTCAGCATCCTGGTTCCAGGCTGCCCTCATATCCGTAACTCTGGCTCAGCACTGCTCTCTCATGTCTAAGTGACCCTCTATTAGAGCTATCTTTCTGATGCCTGACTGCCTGCCCATAATCCAAGAAGCCATCTTTATCTTGGTTTTCCTGGTCCTAAATGCACTACTGGTTTCTGTGGCAGTCTCTATAACCAAACCCACCTCAGGCATCAGGGATGCTCTAGACCCTTTTTCTCCTGAAAGAAGCAACAAAATATTGTGATCTGTCTGAATCTTCAGTTTCCTTCTTCCTATGCCCAGGTTTTGTGGCTTGACCTGCCTATATACTGCCAAAGCTTTTACTACTTTTGTTCCTCATAGTGTGTTCTTGCCATGCCATTAACATGACTGCTTTTACCTGCTTCCTTTGCAAACTTTTATGTGTTTTCTCTTTCAAACTCCTTTAAGTTCTCTCTCATAAGCGAAAGAAGTCAAGACTCTAGTACACTCATATCATAAAACTTATGCAAATCCAATTAATCCAATCAAAACTTATTTGTGTAAAAGCCTGTCTTATGTGCTCTTTGAAGTCATTTCCCATGAATGGAAATCTTAATTAGATGACTAAATTTAGAAGGATAGTGCATCTTGCAAGAAAACCAAGCACATTTAATCCTTAATAGTATAAACTGGAAAAACCTGAGTTTTACCTACCAGGAATAGTACTGTTCGACTTCACATTAATTACAATCAGTGTTTTTCTGAAAGAACTGCAGTATCATATCCTCAAATTTATAGAGCAATATATAGGTGTATATGTTACACTTTAATTTTCAATTTATAGTGAGAAGATTGAAGACATGTATTATACAGGTGAACACACCTGTTATGCAATTTAGAAAATACAAGTCAAGGTGAATTAATTATAGAAGCAAAACATAGAAAGAGAAATAAAAATAAACTTGCCAAGTTGAATTTTAATTCTATATTTCCAACACAAACTTTCATAATTGCACAAATATTTATCTTTTAGCATTGTCCATGATGCAAATAACAGTTTAACATCAGGTAGCATGTTTGTGACAAAAGTTAACTTCTTAGTAACCATCTAATCAAAAATGCATTTCACAGTATTAATTTTTATTTCAAAGTGAGAAAAACCCAAGAATTCTGCAACACACTTAGCAGCTGAGATCCATGTGCTAAATATTGCCCTAGATTCCTTAAAACTCTAAACCAATATTATATTTTTTCTCTTTAGTTTACTAAACTAAAATTGGTCACAGAAATAGAATTACTTGTGCGAGAGAGGTAGATTTAGAGGCCCCATTTTGCAGATAAAGAAAGTGAGGGTAAGATGTTAAATTGTGTATTACAGGTTTACCTCTTCAAGCTGGTAAAGGAATCTTGACTTCAACCTCTCAGTATCATTGTAATACATTTTTGACTCAACAGCTTTATGTTCTGAACCTAGCTACCTCTGTGCTATACACCTTCCCAGTCTAGGCATTGTTGTAGTTCCTTCAACCTACCAAGCTTTCTTCAGCCTAAACAACTTTGCATGCTGTTTGCTGAGAACACTCGTCCTTCACTTCCGTGACTAGCAACATCACCTCCTCTCAGAAACCTTCTCTTTCATGATTGCCTCTTCCATTTTTCTCACTCCACTCCACCTCATTCCACTTCCAGTTATGCATACCTCCATCAGGATTAGTTAAAAATATACTAATACAGGGATCCTTTCTTCTATCTCTGACTATCTAGAACCCATTACACACAGACAGACTTGTCCAAGAAACACTTGGTAAATGTTTTTAATAACTATATGAAGGAATGAATTACTGAATACTAACTTAAGCATGCTTAAGTCATTGTGCTTTAACACGATTGCTAATAGGCCATTTCATTTTGAACCCATATGATAAGGGGAGAAGCTAATTTGCACTTGTTTGATATTTCACAAATTAGGAAATCCTGAATTTCAATGAACAGTATCTATAAACAACAAAATCCTAATATTATTTTATCTGTTCTGCCTGAAGTTAATTGAAGTTGTAAGTGATTGCCTGCCCAAGCAGCACCGAATCTTCCTTTACTCATTAATGTCAATCTCTAAAGTACCACTAATTTTTATCACTCTCCAAGGAAAGAAACTTTTCTCAAAAATAGTTCCATGTATTGAGTCAAATGTTTCAACTCTTACTCTATGATTACTGATGAAAATGTACAGAGTATGATTCAGAGATCCTGAGTGACAATAAAATCATGACTCATCTCATTTAGAAACTCTGCCAGCTATCTGAATGCACCATGAGAACAACATCCAAAAAAGTGTTCTAATTTTATCATATATACACGTTTTCAGATGTAAATTTTACTGGCGGTGTTAGGTAAAATTTATAGGATGCCAATGGTTTGGACTGAGCTCCTGCACTAGGCCCAGTGAACCAAACCAAAATGGAGTCACTCATACTAACATTCCATGTCATCAAACAGAAACTAAGTTGTTTATCTGACCTTCCAAGAAATCAGAAGTTAATAGCCAATTAATAGCCAGAAGAGTTAATGGCCAATTCCTCAAACAAGCCAGTTTTAGCTGGCAGGATAAGGAAGTCCCTTCTGCTTTAACCTTTATACAGAAAGTAGCTTTGAAACAACCAATCTGCTTTTTGTTTTCTATTTCTGCTTTCTTCGGCCCTTTTCTTTCCATAAAACCAACCTCCTCTGCCTAGCTCGTTGGAACACTCATTCTATTTTATAGAATAAAGTGTTGCCAGATTCCAGAATCACAAGTAAAAGCCAATTAAGATCTTTGAATTAAATGTGTTGTAATTTTGTCTTTTGACAGTTCTTGCAACCTAAGGGACCTGAATATCACTGCTGACAACTCCAGAGATCTCTTGAGGAAAGCAGGAGAGGCACTGCTGACCCTTTTGAGGTCCCCTGTCTTCCTCATGGAGCCCCAAGGGTTGTAAGTTCCTCTTAGGTAGGACTCTGATCTTTTTGCATCAACCCGCTGTTTTTATGGGCTTTTGAAGCCAGACTTAGTTTGTTCTGTGAGAAGACATTTGACCTTGGATTAGGTACCAAGAGTTAGTTTGTGCTGCGAGAGAGCGCATAACCTTTGGGTTTGGGGTGGCTGAGGAGTCACTGGTAAGAGCTGCAGTTTTAAAGCTAACTGATAGCTGTTGCAGTAAGTGCTTATTACTGCAGAGGGCATAAACTCCATTTTTTTTTTTATTATACTTTAAGTTTTAGGGTACATGTGCACATTGTGCAGGTTAGTTACATATGTCAACATGTGCCATGCTGGTGCGCTGCACCCACTAACTCGTCATCTAGCATTAGGTATATCTCCCAATGCTATCCCTCCCCCCTCCCCCCACCCCACAACAGTCCCCAGAGTGTGATATTCCCCTTCCTGTGTCCATGTGATCTCATTGTTCAATTCCCACCTATGAGTGAGAATATGCGGTGTTTGGTTTTTTGTTCTTGCGATAGTTTACTGAGAATGATGATTTCCAATTTCATCCATGTCCCTACAAAGGACATGAACTCATCATTTTTTATGGCTGCATAGTATTCCATGGTGTATATGTGCCACATTTTCTTAATCCAGTCTATCATTGTTGGACATTTGGGTTGGTTCCAAGTCTTTGCTATTGTGAATAATGCTGCAATAAACATATGTGTGCATGTGTCTTTATAGCAGCATGATTTATAGTCCTTTGGGTATATACCCAGTAATGGGATGGCTGGGTCAAATGGTATTTGTAGTTCTAGATCCCTGAGGAATCGCCACACTGACTTCCACAATGGTTGAACTAGTTTACAGTCCCACCAACAGTGTAAAAGTGTTCCTATTTCTCCACATCCTCTCCAGCACCTGTTGTTTCCTGACTTTTTAATGATTACCATTCTAACTGGTGTGAGATGGGATAATCTCATTGTGGTTTTGATTTGCATTTCCCTGATGGCCAGTGATGATGAACATTTTTTCATGTGATTTTTTGGTTGCATAAATGTCTTCTTTTGAGAAGTGTCTGTTCATGTCCTTCGCCCACTTTTTGATGGGTTGTTTTTTTCTTTTTTTTTTTTTGAAATTCACATGTAATTTGAATTCTATTCTCTTAATTTCTTTTTCTTGTGCACTTAGGTAAGGGAGGCCTCAGGTTCCTGAGTCAGACAGAAACTGGAATATCACTAGCTAAGCTGCTCAAGTGTATCTCAAAGCCAAAGCCACAACTTGACTGGTGGGCTCAGTTCAGGAACTTAAGAACTACTAAAGCAGCCTGGCAACAGAAAATAAGACTATTATGTTAGGATAAGCTGGACATGGAACAGGGCAGTGCCCGCCAGCATCAAGAGAGTGTCTATGCAATGAGATACCCTGCCAAAGCATTACATGACCCAACCCTGCAGTCTTTCCCTCCTAGGATCTTATATTTGTTCTAAGGGAACCAAGATTCAATGTAAAAATGGGATCCTTAATTTCTAAAGAACTGAGTACACCCCCTTCCAGCTATGCTTGCCTTTTACATGTATAAGTATTTGTCCCTGGAAGCTTCAAACGCTTACAAAAATGGTGAAATCTTACCAAAGGTAATTTAGAATTAAAGTGGCCATTATGTAGAATGTTCCAGGTGAACAACACAGAACTTTACAGAGTGCATCTAAAATTGAGGACTCTCAAATTAAGCCCACTCAGGAACACCTATCTTGTGCAGAAGCTTCTAAAAAGATTTCAAAACATTTTATTGACTCTTTAAAAATATTCTTTTGCAAAGGTGAATAAAAATCTTAAGTGACTAATTGATAAGAAAATTTGAATCTATTAACCTTTTCCCTTAGTTACTATCCTATCCCAAAAGTGAAAAGAAATCTAAGATGTTTATAAAGGTTAGGACCTCAGGTAGAGCAGGTTTCCTTCTTTTTCAGAGGTATCCATGCTGAGTCCAGGCAAAGAAAATACTTTCTTTGATCTATTTGTTAATAGGTTCCACCCTGAAGTTGGTAATCTAGTAAGGAAACAAGCTAAGTTGAAAAAAAACTACCTAGCTAACTAAATTTGTCTCCAAAATATATCTTTCTTGTATTGAGCTGGCTATGTAAAAACTCTTCATAAAAATTTGTATCTATAAGAAAAACCACTCAAAATCCTTACAACAGAAAAGCTCATTGGTCTCAACAAGCCTGACCTTTGACCATTTTGTCTTAACTTGGCTTCCTACCTACACCTTTTCTTGTTTGGGATGAAGGAGCTCTTAGAACAATAGATGACGGCTGTCTAGGTTTGGTGAAGTCTCCTCTCCTTTAATAAAAGTTAATTGTCCCTGATTGCTGGAACATCCTAGGGAGAGGATTGATAATAACTGAGTTCCTCTGGGATGATCTGTCTTTAGGCAGATAAGGGGAATTCAGAAAGCTCCACCTTGCATTATGCTGTTTTTCAGGTGCCCTCAAACTAATCAACAGAGTCACGTGCTGCATAATAACATTGTGGTCATTGATTGACTACACAGATGACTGCGGTTTCAAAACCTTTTTGGTGGAGCTGAAAAATTCCTTAGTGATATTATACCATCATAACATTGTAGCACAACTACTTTATTTTTTAAAATAAATTTAGTGTAGCCTAAATGTACAGTGTTTATGAAGTCTACAATAGTGTACAGTAATGTCCTAGGCCTTCACATTCACTCGTCTCACTCTCTGAATCACCAGAGCAATTTCCAGTCCTGCAAACCCCTTTCATGATAATTGCCCTATACAGGTGTACCATTTTTTAATCTATTATACCATATTTTTACTGTACCTCCTCTGTTTAAATATGTTTATATACACAAATACCACTGCGTTACAACTGTCACAGTTTTGAGTATAGTAACAAGCTGTACACATTGGTACATAGCCTAGGAACAACAGATTATTCCATATAGCCTCATTGTATACACATTATGCCATTTAGGTTTGTGTAAGTACACTTCATGATGTTTGCACAATGACAAAATCACCTAACAATACATTTGTCAGAAAGTATCCCTGTTGTTAAGGGACATATGACTGTATACAATGCAACATATTTTGAGGTGGCATTTCCTGAATTCCTTCAATGGCTAGTTTGTTTAAGGAACAACTGAAGTATAATTGTTAAGAATGAGTAAATTTGGAGAATGTTAATGGGATAAAAGTTTACAAATGCACTTGTCACCGTTTCAAAAATATTTTTTCAGTAACTTGAAATCTTAAAGTCACATTATATTAAATTAAGTAATGGATATTTATGAAACATCTGAGTCATTTCTAAGTTAGCTATAATACTAAAACATTAATTGCTGAACATATGTTTAAAGTATATATACTTTGGCATCTTATTTTTATATGGTATGGAGAAGCTAAATATATTTAGGTATGTTAGTAAACATGAAAAAATTGTTCTAGAGGAAACACATAATTTTAAAAATTATAAAATGTACTAACATTCATAAAATGTTAGTATAAGACACGGAGTTCAAAATTGCTTAATTCCCAGGTTTTCACTAAAACTTAAGGTTACTAGGAATTTAAAATTCTAATTAACATATGGTAACTAAAAGTAGAAATAATAAGGGGAACAACTCTGGATGTGAGAAAAGTAAGGCTTTTTTTAATAAAAGAAGTTGTAAAGTATAAGGATATATTTTTGTTAAAGGAATAAGGGAATAATCTTTGTTCCAAAGTAGAGTGGTTATTCCAAAATGAGAAAATAGGAAAAGTATAGGCCAAAAACTGAATGGATAAGAAAACTGTAGAATATTTGTGGAAGACGAATCTTGTGAAAAGAATTTTATGCGTGATAAAGCTGGCTAAAATTAGAAGGTAACTCTTTATGTTTTTCTAAATAGGGAACATTACACATCAAAAGTACACTGATGCAAAATTAAAATTTGGTCCTCTGTTACAATGACAAGGTTTTCTTGGAGAGTTGATCTGCTCTTAATAGAAAATAGTGAAATGGGTGTTTTTTTTAACCTTTTAGGTAATTGGCCTAGGAAACAGGGATTCTCTGCTATCAAGATGATTCCCTATGCTTCAAATTTTCTTTATTAGTTCTTTGATTACTTAAGAAAATTGATTCTTCTCCATACTGAAAGAGCTAAGGTTTTCCGACATCTATATAACTTCCTGTATTTGCCTCTTAAAGTCTTTCAATTATCACTCTGGATAAATAAATGACTATTACTTTACAGTGATATGTAATATTGTTTTGATCAAGTGTTTTAACTACTTTGATACTGACAAACTTCCCAAAATCAAATGCTAAATTAAGTCTTCCTGATCTCAAGTTAACTTTGGGATTTTTCCACTTAAGCCCCGGAAAAACTTCTAAGGATATGTCTCTTATGTAGTATAAGAGAGGTATTAAAATAATTAGGCTTATTTGATATGTTAAATTATATGGGAAGCACTTTCAAATATTAAGTGATTTTTCTTTAAGTGATATTTATGGGTATATTACTAATGAGTGTCCTAAAATACTGTATGAAATTCCTAAAAATCTGATCTGTTATTAGTCATAATTTTGGTTTTTATTTTAAAACATGGTACACAACAGAAATACCATATTTCCCTATGAGTTGTGCCATTATCATAGTGAACTCAAATCAGATCTTTAACTATGGTCATTTTAAGTCCTTTTGTCCACAGTTAATTGCTTTATTCTAATGCTTTTCTGAAAGCCTTTTGCAAGCAACTGTAATCCTAATGTGTGATGCATTCAAATAAATTCATGGAAAAGACTCTGACAAATACTGTTTTCTGATAACTTTAGATCACACCATGGGACTGGGTAAGAATTTCTATCACTCTAATGAAGAAACCAGTGGGTTCATGAAACTGTTAACCAAAGGCAAGCAGAATAAAAATTAATTAGATGAAATAAACTAATAAAGAATTATGCATTTTACACTTTTTTTTAACATTGCTGATTCTTTTGATTTGTTTTTCTAGGTTTAAGAAAATATGTTTTTTCTCTTAAGCTACCGAAAATTTATAGCAATTTGGTATAGTATACTTTCATGAACAAAAATTGAAATATTTACTTTTTCTCCATAACCGATCTCTCCAGAATTTGGAAACTATTCATGGGCATTCTTATTTTTATGGAAATAAAGTTATTTGCACAAGTGCAGTAAGAGTATGTTCTGCTTATAACAGTATAGAGTCAGAAATATTGGTTATATTACCAAAACTTTGACTGGAATGTGGTATCTGAGAAAAGACCTAGAATGAATCTGTATGTACTGCAGGTCAAGTCTAAAGTCCACTTTGATTTGACTTCCCAGCCTTGAGAGGTTTTAAAAAGTCAAATCTGAAATTCTTTGTCAAAAGTTGCAGCAAAGCAAACTTGCAAAGAGCCTATGTGGTCAATCTCTATTGTTTCATTTATGTATTCAGGCCAAGTTTAATGAGATTAGACCTATGTTGTAAACAAATTGGTCTTACTCTAATTATCTTTATTATAAATGGGATAACTGTAGAGAAAAAGCTTATGTTTATGAAGAAAAAATATACTATACCTGTTATTAGGTTGTAGCCCTATTCATTGTTTTTAAGATTTATTATCAACTTGTAGGCTAGACTATATCCTGAATTATCTAGTTTCCTCCAATATTGGGCTACAACTCTCTAAGAACAAGATCTGCTTTGTTCCTGAAGCCCTGTAAGCTAAAACTGGACAACTCAATTTAAATTTCAAGGAACAAATCTCATGCCTGATGTGTGGGCCATACTGAGAGCTCACCAAACACCCAATACCATAACCACAGATATTGACACTATAAATTAGGACAAGAAGTTGATGACTTCATGTAGTATACTACTTTTCTCAAGATATTTGGACATATCATAATAAGATTCTTGCTTCTCTTAAGTTTTCCTTGCTTATGCCTCTATTTTTCCCTTGGCAGGATCATGCTATAGTTGTAATTTCTCAATCGGTGCCTTCTGTGGGTAACTTGATGAAATATTGGATTTGACATGCCAAACTCAGATCATTATATGAACTAAGGAATCCTTTAGTCCACCCAGCACGTAACTTTAGCAACATCCCTAACACAACTGCTGTTCAAGTTGTACCAGTGATCCCTTTTATAGAGTAAGACTTCTAGATCTGCTTGTTCTCACTCCTCTTTAATTTAACAGAGTCATGGGTTGTCAGATTACCTACTAACTGAACAGGGAGGAGTCTGTGCAGTTGCTGACACTTCTCGTTGCACATGAATAAACACATGAAGCACTGTAGGAACTCAGTTGCAAAAAGTTAATAAACAGCCTATTTGGTTAAAATGGGCAGAATCATCATATGCTCATTCTTTGATCTGTTCAATTTTAGTTGGTTTGGTTCATGGGGACCCTGGCTAAGAAACATATTCCAAACTCTTGGAATTATTCTCCTAATAATCATAATAGTACTCTCCTTGGTATACTGTATTATCTCAAGTTTTAAATGTTTGCTTTCAACTATTCATGGAATGTCAAATGGTCTCTTTGGCTGGAATAGAAAAAGAACTCAAAGAAATGCTTAATCATGAGGACACTGTAACCCACAAATGGTGTGTTAACACTAGAAACTCAGAATAACAGTAACAGAGTTGTGGTAATGCTCCAATCTACCAAAAGTAAGAGTGTGATCAAAAGAGGAGAACTGTTAAATAAAATGTACAGAACACGGGCTTGGACTGAGCTCCTGCACTAGGCCTAAGGAACCAAACTAAATGTAATCATCCATGCTAAAGTTCCATGTCACCAAGCCAAAACTAAGTTATTTATCTGCCCTTCCAAGAAATCAGAATAAGAGACAATAGCCAAAACCCCAAACAAGCCAGTTCTGGCTGGCATGATAAGGAAGTCCACTCTGCTTTGACCTGTGTAAGAGAAGTGACTGTGAAATAACCAATCTGCTTTTTGTTTTCTGTTTCTTCTTTCCTCAGCCCTTTTATGTCTATATAACCAGACTCCTCTGCTCAGCTCATTGGAACTCACTCTGTTTTATAGAATGAAGTGTTATCCAATTCTAGAATCACAAATAAAAGCCAATTAAGATATTTAAACCAAATTTGTTGTAATTTTTTGACAGTGGTTTGATTTATAAAAGTGAAAGAAAGATGATCTTAAGTCATCTGATTAATTTCAGAAAAAAATTGTTAAAAAGTGTACAAAGTATATAAAATATCACCCTTGATAAAGAAAGAGCAGGCCAGGCATGGTAGCTCACACCAGCACTTTGGGAGGCCAAGGTGGGTGGATTACCTGAGATCAGGAGTTTGAGACCAGCCTGGCCAACATGGTGAAACCCCATCTCTACTAAAAATACAAAAATTAGCCAGGCATGGTGGTGCACGCCAGTAATCCCAGCTTCTCAGGAGGCTGAGGCAGGAGAATCGCTTGAACCCAAGAGGTGGAGGTTACAGTGAGCTGAGATCGCGCCACTATACTTCCCCCTGGGTGACAGAGTAAGGAGGCTCATCCCAAAATAAAACAAAACAAAACAAAAAACAAAAAAAGAAAAAGCACATACCATACTATATAAATGCTTAAGTAGTGAAAATTTAAAGTTATGAATATATGTGCTATGTACTATTAAAGATATAGGAATGTGAAATAGTAATTACAGAGGCAAAATGTGACTATGTTAAAGATTTTTAAAACAAAATGATGAGTGTGTGAAATATTCTCCATTTGAAGTAAGTGAGATTTATTTTGGACTGTCTTATACAGCTTTGATTAAACAAAAAATGAAATGAATATACATGAAGAAAATATTAGAAATCAGTGATGATTAGGAAATAAAGTAAAACTAAAGACTTGAGTTTTGGAAAAATAATTTGGACTTTATAACCTAGGCCTCTATGGATGGGCAGTACGCCTAAATATATTTTCTCATAAAAATTTTCTTTCATTCAAGTGCCCAGGAAATTATTAACAGTCTTAAAGAAACAAGAGTGTCTAAACTAATTTTAATTTCTATTAATTTTATTTTTTTAAATACACAAATATTAGCGTTATTTATATCTACCATTTTAAAGGCATTATGGTAGTCAGGATGTGGTGAGCAAGAAGCAAAAATACGCAAGACAAATATGCTAGTCTATAGGAATTTATAATCTTTTGACAGCCAAAATATGTGTGTATGTAATTAACTATAATGCACAACCATGTAGTATACTACATCATATATACTACATACAATTGGAAGCATTTTAATAATCATCTGATTCCAAGACAGTAAACCCAATTAGATGAAGTTTCCTGGAGTGTTCTCTTAAGGTTTAGAAGCCCAGCTTAGTCTCAGCAGGAGAGAAAATGCCATGATCTCTCAGCAACATTTACTGTGTTCATGAAGCAGGACAGTGTCACCATACTGTGTTTTGCCTATTTGAAAAAAAAAAAAGATGAATCTACTCTAAGGATGAAACAAATTGACCACAAGGTGTCGTTACACCCGCCCCAAGTCTAATGCATTGAGAAAAAAAAATAGCATGCAAAATAGGTACACTTTCTACTCCATTTTCTACTCCATTTGCAAAATAAGTACACTTTCTACTCCATTTGCAAGGTACACTCAAAATACATCATTCAGTAGTGGTGACAACAGTTAAGAACATAAGACATCTTGTGTACAGTCAGATATGGGCAGCCAGAATAGTAGAAAGGGCTCATGTCCATGTTATATGAAGTTAAAGATTCTCAGTTCAAGAAAAGAACAGTCAGAGAACTGAAAAGTAACTTCAAACACTATGAAACCACCTAAGTTGTTCCAAATAACTTCAAAAGGTTGAGTTGAGGTCAGTGAGGAGATTCAGAAAGACAGACTTTATTTCACTGGAAGGCGGAGCATCCCAATAGTCAGACTTGATTTTTACATAGAAACAGCTGCCTGGGGAAGCAATGAGTCAGTATCCTGTCCCAGTTGGAGTTCAAACCTTTGCTAACCAGATAGCTAATGATACAGAGGCCCAAAAAAAAGGACTAGACTTTCTCAAGGGCTTATAGCTAGTAAGCAGCAGAGCAAGGAGGAACACGTACTTGCCTGCCTGTCAGGCCAGTGAGTCACTGTTCATTTCATTTGTCTTGCTTTCTCTCCAGCAATCCATCCCATACCCACAGGTACCCTTTTATCTTATGCAGAATATATAAGATAAGGGAAAAATACAGGAGTTTATAGAAAAGATGGATTACTGTTGAGTAGAAGCATTAAGGAAAGAGTTATGAAAGAGATAGTATTGGAGCTGTCTAAATTAAAGGATGGAAAGTGTTTAAATAAATCCAAATTAAGAACACAGAAAACAACATCAAGTACAGTAGCTCATAGAACTACTTTCTCAAGTCACTGGTGCTTCCCAGGAAATGGTACCAGGACTGAACCAGTCCTGCTATTATGTTTGCTATTATTTTGAGAGTACTCCTAAGAACAGATTGTGTCCCTTCAAAAATAAATATGAGTTCAAAATATAAATATATAAATGTCTATGCTTTTCTCTTAAATTTATACCACTGAATATCTCTTCTGCCTCTAAGCAGTTGCCAAACTAATGACTATGTCTCAGGTGCAATAGATATTCTATATGTTACTTATACTGTTATATTATGCTATGTGAAAATCACACTGTAAGAATTCAAAATCTGTGCATCAAAAATGGGTAGATTTTGGTTATATCCACTTGTAGCAAGTTTCAAATGTAGTGTTACTTTTTGTCTGAAAAGATTTGATGTTAGAAACAAAAAAGCATCATATCAAGCCAAATGACATGGGTGTTAAATGCTCTTTTTCCCTGTCTTTTGCTACCTCTTCACTATCACAGTATTTAACTATAAATACAATATTCAGTAAAATCTTTTGGGACAACAGTATAGTCACTCAGAAAAAAACTCTCATAGTAGTCACATACTCTTCATCTATCTTCCAATTAATACTGCCATAAAGAAAGATTCATTGCAGATGGCCTTAACATCTGTAGGAAATGGCAAAAAATAACAGTATTAGTGAGAAGGGCCATCCCTGTATTAAAAGCACATATGGAACCATTCTGTCGAGGTATGTCACTTCCTTTATGTGGGGTCATAGGTTAGCCACTTAATCTTTCTGTGCCTCAGTGTCCTCATCTGTAAGCTGAAATAACAATAGGGTCTCATAATGCTGATGTAAGCACTATGTTAGTTAATATGTATAAAGTAGTTGAACAATGTCTGCTACACAGTAAGTGCTCTATATACGTCAGCTACTTGTGTATTTGTGTTAACTCATTAGTTGCATAACCTTGGCCAAGTCATTTAGTCTCTCTAGGCATTGATTTGACAATTATGAGATAAAACTATATAATCTCTAAGCCCTTCTTCACGACTAAAAAGTTCCAGTTATGAAGAAGCATGTTCTCTTTCACACTGGATTCACGAATCTTTTCCAAAAATGGGATGACAGAAAGAGCCTGATAGTGTGGCTTGAAAAAAGTGTCTACTGGATTCTCATATCTGTATTCTAGATTTAGCCCAGGAAAAATAAAAAGGGAACCCCAAGTATTCATGTGATAAGGAGCCAGAGAGAAGAGGAAATAAAGATCTCTTTGTGAAAGACCAAAAAGATTGTCATATAGTTTTGACTAAGTCTCTTCATTCAATTTAGTAACTGAGCAAGCCCAACACTGTGAAGACACATGTGAAGGAAGAGGACATTGTCACCAACCCAAAAATACTGTCTAGTATTTTTTTAATTGGAAATTTTAGGGGTTCATTTTAAATTACAAGATGAATCCCCAAGTGCATTATCTCTATCCAGGACTGCTCAATTTTGGTGTGTGTGAGAACATAGTGTTCTGCTTTGATGAGATATCTGGAAATACAAGATGTTTCGGAGTGTAAAAAGTGCTTCTATGAACCCCAATGTGAGAAAATGCTAAATATGAAATGGATATTAGAAAGTACAGTTTCTGCTGGTACTATCAAAAGCACCCTTTATAAAAGGGATCACTGCACTAGAACACAATTTACTCAGCACAGAGGTTCTGGTCATATCAACACAAATTCAATTTTCCTTAGAGAGGAAATGCCACGTTATTTTAGTGTTATGCAGATATGTCAGGGGTACATTTGTACATAACTGCTCTATAATTTCATAAGTATTTTATTTCCACATATTTCTTTGAAAGATTTGAAGGAGTGGTGGGGGCTGGGCTTTATCCTAGTTTTAGGATTTGGAACAAGTCACTTAACCTCTTTAAGCCTTAATCTCAAGGTATGGTGCACATAGAAGGTGCTCACCAAATATTTGTCTGGAGAAAGGAAGGATGAGAGAGGGAGGGAGAAAGGAAAGAAGGGGGAAATGAAGGGAGAGAAGGAAAAAAATGGAAGGAGGGAGGGGAGAGGGCAGCAAGAATGGAAGCAGAAAAAGTTCCCTCCTTTACTCTCCTCTTTTTGTACTTCCATTCTTTCCACACTGTTTCAATTCCAAGTGTTTTAGATATTTCCATGCCATGCCAAACACAAAACAGGTCATCAACAAATTAATGAAAACTTGAAAAATTCAATAGACTAGCAAATGTAATTGTGGCAATATGGCAAATAAAATTCAATCACTTCCACAATTATTAAGTTACCCATTAGCTAACAAATTTTGTATGTCTATTCTAGAAATAATGAGGACAAAGAAGACCTCGTTCCTAAGTTATGAAGTCTGTAATTTACTTTAAAACACTTCATCATAATCTGTCTGATATGTATGTACCAGTTTGTTTATATTCTGATTTAAGGAGTAGTCAGCTAAAATGCTATCAAAATGCCAAGTCCTACATAGTCACCAGCATTTTATCAGAAAGGTCCCACTCCAAAGTCTTTTTGCTATCTGCATGTTAATTACCAATGATTTAATTAGCATTGTGGATGTAAAAAAGAATTTTTCATTGATGAAAGTAATGACTGAATTCGCATGATGAATGCTAAAGATGAACTCATTGGTAAAATCAAAGATTTTCAAAAGAAGATATACTTGCAGCCAACAATATGAAAAAAAGCTCAACATCACTAATCATTAGAGAAATCCAAATGAAAACCACAATGAGATACCATCTCACATCAGTCAGAATGGCTATTATTAAAAAGTCAAAAAATAACAGATGCTGGCAAGGTTGCAGAAAAAAGGGAATGCTTATATTCTGCTAGTTAGAATGTAAATTAGTTTAACCATTGTGGAAAGCATTTTGGTGATTTCTCCAAGAACTTAAAACAGAATTGTCATTTGACCCAGCAATCCCATTGTTGGATATACACCCAAAAGAATATAAATCACTCTATCATAAAGACATATGCACATGTATGTTCATCCCAGCACTATTCACAATAGCAAAGAAACGGAATCAACTTAAACACTGAGTATATATGGACACAAAGAAGGAAACAATAGACACTGGGGCCTACTTAAAGGTGAAGGGTGAGAGGAGGGTCACGATCAAAAAACTACCTATGGGATATTATTCTTATTACCTGGGTGATGAAATAATCTGTACACCAAACCACTGTGACATGCGATTTACTTATAACAAACCTGCATATGTACCTCCTGAACCTAGAATAAAAGTTTAAAAAGAGACTTTCAAGCTATGTGGGTTAACTAAAATAGCTTGGAGATACTTCCCACTCTTGAATGAGTAGGGTACAGGACTCTAGTAAGGCCTGCACCCTCTCCCCCAGTGGCTTATTCTTAATGGATTTAGAGTCCAGCCCTTGGTTTAAAACAGTTTCTGCTTGGAGCATGTCAACTTGGGGACCCAGAATCCCACTGTGGCTGTGCCCACACTTTCATACAGGATTTCATGAACTAAAAACTTCTCAAGGACGGAGAGATGGGAATTCACTGAACTTAGAGAACTTAGAGAATGGAATATGTAAACTGTTGCTTAATAAGTTGTTATTAAATAACTATGCACAGCAGAATTTGTTCTGACACTTGAATTTAATTCATTATAACATCATCACCATGAACTTCAGTTGGTGTCTGGATACCTTATCTAGTAAAAATAACCTAAAAGCTGGGCATGACCAAATTGGCTTGAATCAGATAACACCACATGACTTTGAGATGCTCAAGTCTAGTTATGGAAATGTAAATAAAATACAATATAAAGTATAATATAAAGTTATTTGAGTTTCACAACTTGTTTAAATGATGAAAGGATCATAGAAGAGAATGCAGTTATTCAACTGACAGAGTCCAAGAGACCTACATAAAGGCATTGGTGCTAGCTTGGAAGAATATATCAGAATATTCCAGGAAGTTGTTTTTTGGTTTTGTGGGGGTGAGGGAAGCATAATAGAGGTGAGAAGAAAGGAACATAAAAATGAATTCATACAAGAAACTACAAATGTATTATACACACACATACACTACCCCCACCCACACATACATACACATGCTTAACTCTTACATGTTGTATCAGTGAGAAAATCCCATAATAAATTATCTACAGAGTTTCAAATGTACCTGGCCTGGAGAATAAAACTCTAGAGTCCTGTTTTTGCCACCAAAAAAAAATGGTGATTTTACTGACAGTGATTCTTAAACTACATCTGTCATAATAAGACTAAAAAAGTAACCAGCCTGCTGAGTGAAAACTGGCATTCTCACAAAAAGTTTAAATAGTACTGAATATAGAACTCCACTTCACATATGTTAAAATATCTTTCATAATAATGATACTCCTTAGGATTTTCCAAAGTCTGTTATAAGGGTGCTGCTAACTATAGGTTAAGATCCTAACTCTGACCTCAGAACTTACCTTCTCAACCTGTATAAATGGGAATGATGAGCTGGGAAAATTTAGTTCTACTGGCTATTCCACTGGTCTTAGGAATCAATAAACTTTTATCTTTAAACATAGATTATTTTCTTCTTTTTATGTTTGGTTGTAACTAAACTTATATATTAACAAGCATGTGGATATTGTAAGAACATATTGATGTATACTCAATATGTTTTAACTCTCCCTTGCCTGCTAGGAATGCCATCATTTATGCTATAAATCAAATCAGTGGGCAACTGCAGCCAACAGAGCATTGGACCTGAAGTAATAGGTTCAGATCCTAGATATGTCATTTACCAACTGGAGCAAATTACTAAAGCTCCCTGCATATGTTCCTACATATGCTATCTGAAAGGATTAAAGAGTAAATGGTTTACCTCATTCATTCAACAAAAATGATTAAGTACACATAATGTCATTTGCTCTGCATTATCAATAAAAATTATTAGCATTTATGTAAAACAAACTAGCTATCACTTATCAAGCACTTAGTGCATGTAAACATTTAACTCTTATCAGGTATCAGGTTAAGTATTATTTCAATTTTACAGATTAAAAAAACTGAGGCTTGGATATGTAATTTTAAGTATTTGTGTCTGAACTTCCGAAGGGCAGAGATATGCCTTACTTACTTTAGAAGCCCAGGCAATAGCACTATACCTATTACATAGTAGATACATTGTCGTCTTTCAAAACTTTTGCAAATAATGTGTTTGTGGCACAGTACCAATTTAAAAATTAATATGATACACGACATACTTAATACATGGTATCAGCTATGCTCCCTAGAAACATTATTTATTTCAAAGTACAAAATGAACGAGATGATTCTTTCTAATCATGTTGACAATACTCAGAGCTTATTGAAATATTTTGAAAACAGCCTTGGGTATTGCATTAATAATTAGTTAGGAGACCATTTTACATTTTTTTAATCTTTGCTATTCTTTCTATAGGAAAATCAGGAAAAAAAGTATAAAAATCTTACTCATTTTTCCACACCACAGACTAAGGCTGGCAAAGTAG
Source organism: Homo sapiens (assembly GCF_000001405.40). Lineage (NCBI taxonomy): Eukaryota > Metazoa > Chordata > Mammalia > Primates > Hominidae > Homo > Homo sapiens. Next base: position 98,997,716 of record NC_000001.11, read on the forward strand.
TGCTGCAAGCAGTGCTAACCATCTCCAATGACCAGGTAGCTACATAACCCATGTAACCTGCTCACATTATATTTTCCTTATATGTATGAAGTGGTTTATTGTCTCCACAGTGTTTTCTCAACCATTTCATTCTCACAACAGCACTGAAAAGTAGGAAGAAATAAGTCAATATTTTTCAGATAAGGAACTGGCAAGAGAAGCCACATGGATAGTGAGCAATGAAAGACAGAGGGAGAGACAGGAACAGGAAAGAGAGAGAAGGGTGGAAGAGGTGAAGGGAGAAAAAAACACTAACTGGTGTTATGGTTCTTTGCTTTTCCCTCAGCATCACCATCTCCTTAGCAGTATGCAAAGGAGAGAAAATAAGTGGAAAAAGAGACAAAGAGGAATGAAGAGAGAAAGGGAAAAAGAAAGGGAGGGAAACAGGAAAGAAGGGAGAAAAATCAGTATGAGTGAAAGTATCTAAGTGAACCAAAATCCTAAGAGGCACAAGAAGGAGTCACTGCACCCCCAAATCTAGTGCCAGGTCTCATTTTAAAAAGCATGCCTTAGAAACAGAAGTACCTCCACCTCTCCATATACCACGGTTTGCAGATCTAGAACCAGAGGGTGGTTCCACATAAAGGTGGTGCTTATAGCACTGTAGTAGTGTGTGTTACTGAGATGAGACACATGCCTTTAAATCAAAACAATAGAAATATCTTTGAATCCCTTCTGCTGCCACCTACTCCTCTACAACATTTCCAAGCTTAATAGGAAACAAACGATTTCCTACACCACCCATTGAAATCATCATCTACGATAGAACACGAAGTTTTCCATCGAAGCAGGAACATTGAAATCGAGGATAAAAGGTTTGAGAAAATTTTGACTCCTGGTACTGAATCACTATGAGTAAAATCTTTAAAGACTAATTAACATGTTAGGATAAAAGTATATAACAAAAAATGAAATGCACAGCCTTTGGTGATTCTGCCATTGCCATCACGGGACTCCAGATTGGTCATCTAACCTCTTCCAAATCTCTTTCATAAATTTGTTGTGAAAATTGATTACATTAATGAATTTAAATAATTAGAGTCTGACATACAGTAATCTCACTAAACTTCTATTTCTCATTTATAAAATAAATATATTTAATGTTAGTCCCCAATATGATTAAGGAAAGTACTATCCTGGGGAGTATTAAATGGAGCAATGGGTTAAATGCACCTAACACAGTGGCTGGTGTATAAGAAATGCATGACCAATTTTAGCTAATGTTAGCCCACTTGGACAAACAGAGGAGTCACCAAAGATAGGAATCATTAATTTCATTCTAAGAACTGAATTCTGCTTAAGTTTTGCTTTTCTTCCTATTCAGACTCCCAATTTGTGAGGGTCAGTAGACTAAACTAGGTGGTTTCTATCCACATTTAATTTCTTACCAGCCTTGGAATCCACTAACAAACAAAAGTAGTTTGCTAGGTGCTTTAAAGAGGTTTCCTGATTAATCAACACAGCCTTGGAAAGCCTAATAGGAGCTAACACGTATACAGCTGGGCACTGCTCTGATACTTACACATGTTAACCCATTTCATACTCAGTAATCCTGTGAGGCCAGTACTTATATTTACCTCAATTTTACAATAGAGAAAACGGAGGCATGGAGAGGCTAACTGGCTCAAATTCTCACAGCTGGAAAGTAGCAGATCTGGCCTTCAAACCCAAGAAGGCTCCAGAGTCTGTGATCTTAACCTGTGCATGTACTGAGTCTCCAAGAGGTGGGTGTTTTTATGTTCAGTTTATGAATGAGAACATTTTGACTGAGGTTACATGGCTAGTAAGTGGGAGAAACCAGGATAAGAATCCAGACACATCTGAAACCCATGTCTGTGCTTTTTCTCCTACACCACACCACGGGAATGTTCCAGGAATGGGGATGGGCAGTGATGCCCAAGGCAGGGTTTGGGGGAAAAGAGGTCTATGGGAAAGCTTTAGGCAGGTTGATCCAATGGGGAGCTCTAGGTATGAGATGACTTTCTATCATCTATCTGTACCACATACAATGACGCCAGCACCCTTGGGATAGCAGCAGTAGCTACATTTCTCAAATCTGAGTCTCCGGGTCCAGAGGGAGCTTCCTGGAGTGGCAGATATAAATAATCTGAGATGTACCTTAATGTTCAAACCTGCCGTGCTCAGTGTCCAGGGCTGCCTTGGTTGGTGCTGGTTTTCTTTATCTTTATTCTAGCTTTGTGAAGATGGTGATCTAGCTTCATTTCCTTTAAATCATCTATGTTGCTCAGAGATCTAAGGAACAATAGCTGCTAGCGGCCACTGTATCCAAATTTGGGGAGCAGAAACCACTGTCATCACCAGTTCTTTTCATCAATGAACACCAAGGATCACTAACTAAACCTGTATCTGTACAAGCAATGTCCAGTGCTCTGGCAAATGCTATACAGAACAAACTGAACAGTACCTATTTTCAAAGAGTATATAAACTATATCATCTCTGTAAATAAGCCCAAATTACAGGCGTTTTCTGAAAATGCAATTGAAGTAATATTAGACAATGCAAAATAAACTTGGAGATGAAGAGTTTGAAATTATGTACTTTGATAACATTAGAGTACTATACACTGCTACCTAAAAAAATGTCCTAAACCACCACCCATCAAACTTTATCTCTGCTAAATTCCTACCAAACTGAGAAAATCTCTCAGCCTGGCATGGCATTTCAGGTCTTATCAATGTGACCCCAGCCTTCACCTTCAGATGTATACGCCATTTTCCCCACACACCACTCTTAGAAACAAACAAACCAACTGCTGTTTCAAGAGTGCAGTCTCCATTTGCTGCCTCCAAGGGGTTGTTCACGGAGTGATGTCCTAACTCAAATTCCATTTCAGTCTCTCCTTCAAGACACACCTTAAATACCACCATCTTCTCCATGAAGCCTTTCCTCATGTCTCCAAACAAAAGTGATCTATCTCCTCCTCTTCTGAACCACTAGAGGTCTTTGTGGTATATACAGATGCATGGATATGCATATATACATACATATGTATAACTTCTGTCATAATTACTTATATTATGATCTGCGGTATGTTTATCTAATTTCACAAATTAGACTGTAAATGCCTTAGGATCAGTTACTATGGTTTACTTCTGAAGTTGCCTTTATAACCTCTACTCAGCCAGATATAATGCTTGGAACACATGAATTCAATAAATTTTTACTGAATTATTATTTTCTTAATAACAATAATGTTAATGATGTAGTGAACTCTTATGGAGTATCAACTATGGGCCAAAGATGACATTTACATATTGTAACTAATTTGATATTCAAAACCTTGTCAATAAGGGAATTGAGGCTTAAAGAGCTTAAATAGATTGTTCAAGATTACACAGCAAGTAGAGTTCCCAACTCTTTTTTTTTTTTTTTTTTTGAGACAGAGTCTTGCACTGTCACCCAGGCTGGAGTGCAGTGGCATGATCTCTGCTCACTGCAAGCTCCACCTCCTGGGTTCACGCCATTCTCCTGCCTCAGCCTCCTCAGTAGCTGGGACTACAGGCGCCCGCCACCATGCTGGGCTAATTTTTTGTACTTTTTAGTAGAGACGGGGTTTCACCATATTAGCCAGGATGGTCTTGATCTCCTGACCTTGTGATCCACCCGCCTCAGCCTCCCAAAGTGCTCAGATTACAGGCGTGAGTCACCGCAACCGACCCCCAACTCTTAACAATGCAGCAGAGTGTGCTTTGGATTTAAATCCAAATTTACTAGACTCGGAACCTGAGCCCTAGTCAGCATTATATAAAAGTGATAAAATTCAAAATATATATTGTTTTTAATTTTTACATAAATGAATTTAGCAAGTATGAAACAAATCTGTAGACTGTGGTAGTGAGGAGAACGACTTTTCAAAATTACTCTCAAGAACTAGAAATGAGTTTGAAAGTTAAAGATATATATATATATATATATATATATATATATATGAAGCTTTATTACTACAGGACAAAAAATGTAAAAGAGACTATTTGAGGCATTTATTTAGAAGAACGATTCATGAGCGAATTGAATTTTCATCCTGTAATAGAAAAACCACACTTGAGAGTATGACAGAGTAGGGGGAGAATTCTGGGTGTAACATTCTTAGCCTTGGTCCTTGGAGAAGATACTTAATCTTTCTAAGCCATCATGTTCCCAAATGTTAGATAAGAATAATAATTATTGCTTTCAGAGATAATGCAAATATTAGAAGGATATAAGGTATGTAGAAAGTTTATTAGAGTATATGGAAGAAAGTAGTAACTCAACAAATGATGGGTACTGTTAATATTATTATTATTATTTTGATGCCCAAGTGAGCATGCTAACCCAGCGTTCTTGAGAAGAGTGGAGAGGCAGAGCTGCCCTTACTGCTCCCAGCTCCTCACATGGTGACAGAGTGCACTATTCCTAGAAGCAGAAGGGAAAACAAATGCCAGCAGCACAGCCATCCTCCCAAACCTACCACTTCCTTCTCTTCTAAACTGATTCCCAAACCCATTCTCTTGTACCTAAAAGAACTAAAAGCCAAAACATCGAAATCAAGTTGGATTCTGACTTCAGAAAAATCTATCCACTTATATTCTCAATGCCTGCCTGACCAGCCAGCTTCCACCTTCTTTCAGAGAACAAGCTCTTTGGAAGCAATGTAAGTCGCATGGCATTCAGGCATCCGTCCTATAGGCATACAAATGCCATACCCACCTTTTTTTTTGTTTTCAGATATTCCTTATTATCTGAACCTCACTTTCTTCAAATATTAATTGGAGATAATATCTCCTGAAAGAGCTGCTCTGAGAAATATACGTGACTATGACTATTCGGTACCCAAAATAGAGTAGGCACTAAATAGTGACTAATTCATTCTTTTTCTCCGTCCTACATTCCTCCTAAGTGGAGAATCATCCAAATCATTGGGTGAGTGTGCTCTCGTCTCTAACTAGCACCTGCCACCATGATTGGATGGTTAGGACTGAAAAGTGCTATCTTATTTAAATAAGACATAGAATGGGAATTAAAGGATGAGTTACAGACATTATTGATTATAGCTATGACCAAACCAATGAGCTGAAAGTGACAGGCTCTTCCTTTTTCTTTAAAACAATCCTTGAAAAATATCTGAGCTATTTAGTCTCCTGGAAAACTGTACATGGGAAACCCCGATCTCCAGAAAGTAAAAAGGGCCCCCAAAAATCGACCTTTTTTTTTTTCTCTGCCAGCTTGTCAAATGGAGAAAAGAGAACACAAACATGAAGGCTGGATTTGGGGCTTCTAACACATTTTAGCAACTTATTTTACATATATATATATATATATATATATATATATATATATATATGTAAAACATTATCTGGGGCAAGGTCTAACACATTTCAAACCATTATGACAGAGGCAATTTGAAGTCAACTATCACAGGACATGTGATAAAGTTACTTTAAGGTTATCAAGAAATTACTTGATTTGTTCACTGATTTCTATCTTATGTGTTAGGAACTTTTCATTATTTTACAAATTAGTAAGTCATTGCTCCTAAAATTAAAAAAAAAGATGAACATCCAAACTTAATGGATTCAACAGACATTCTTAACATTCAATTTACACATTTAGCTACTGAAAATAAAACTTCATTCTTCCTTTCCCCTTCATTTTCTTATTTCCCGTTTGTTATCTGTTGAGGGAGAGAGAGAGCGCGCATCACAGGAAGGGAACCTCCAATACTTTGTCAATATTAAAGGAACCATAAAATATCAGGTTTTCTAAAGAAACACCAACAATTCTCCTAAGAATAAATATGTAGCATATTCACATATGTAAATTACTATAATAAAATTAATATTATTATGTGTAATTTATCCCCAATAATTTCATATGTATATATGTGAGGTGTGTGTATACACGTGAGTGTATCTGTATAGTCATTCTTTCTCTCACACACACATACACTCAATAAATCCAAAAGGCATGCTCTGTGAGGTTCTAAGAGAAAAGGACTTAAATTGCCCAGGGAGCGGAGCAGCCTTTAAATAAATCTGAAGTGCTCTTGTAATTGAGGTACAGCTCCTGCTTTTCAGCAAAGCACTGGTGCTGAGGCCTCTTCATTTAGAAATTCTCAAATTCTTTTTTCAGATATTTGTTCCCTGGTCAGCTTAGTCCCATTGGCACTTTCACCTGAAAAGGAGGGAGGTGGCGAAATAGAAATACGTGCCCCGACTCGGGAAGTGGGAGTCCCTTTCACACCCCAGCAATTGATCCCCTCTCTCCTCGCCGGCCCGCCCGCCGCTGCTCTTCTTCCAGGCACAATCGAAGAGGAGGCAGTGAGCGAGTCAAGGCCACAGAGTGGATGGAATCAAGGTTCACCCCCAAAGCTCACCTCCTTTGCAACCCGGATCCCCACTCCTCACCACCTACGGCCCCTCTTCCCTTCCATCCCCGCCCAGTCACCCAACGCTGAAGCCACCGCGGGGTGTGGGGGGGTGACGTGTGGGAAGAGCTGGGGGCTTCCTTCGCACCCACCCTCACGCGCCCTAGAATGTCCTCTGGGGAAGGGGCTGCCCATAACTTGGAGGAACTTAGAAGGCAAAACCTACTGCGCCCCAACCCTTAGAGGGGCCTCAACCCCGAAGGCGAGGGGCGAGATCAGGGACTCGGCGACGAGGGCGAGCGCCCCCGGGCTTACCACGAGCACGGGGACCCCGGCGGCCAGCGAGTAGAGGAGCACGGGGGGCACGGCGCTGCTGTCCTCCGGGCCCGGGTAGGGTTTGCGGTAGGCGCTGTCGTGGCAGAAGAAGCCCTGCACGTTCACGGTGAACGTGTCCGTATACTCGAAGTAGTACGCCAGCATCACCGTCCCTGCCATGATCACCATCTGGAAATAGAGCATGCTGCTGGTGAGCGCCGCGGGCAGCAGGGGCATGCACGCCTCCCGGGCCGGGCCGAGCCGAGCCGAGCGGGCGGTCGACGCGGTGGGCCCCCTCCCCGGTCCGCCGAGGCAGCCACCGGGGGCGCGGCGGCGGAGGCGGCGGGAGGACGAGGCACGGGAGGCGGGATGGAGCCGCTGGAGGAAGAGGCGGAGGCAGGTCCGGGCTTCGAGGCGCCGGCAGGCTGCAGAGGAGGCGGCTACCCCCGGACGAGCCCCCTCTCCCCTGCCCGCCCCCTGCCCGCCGCAAGCGCCGCCCGCCCCGGCGCGGGGTCGCGAGGGAGGGCGGGGAGTCCCGGGCGACGGGCAGCGGCCGCTGCGCCCCTGCACGAGACCATTCGAGAAGCAGCGGCGCTGGGTCAATCCCCCAGGCTAGCCCGGAGGAGGCGCTGCGTGGGCGGACGGGGCGGCAGCCGGCGGGACAGCGGCACCTGTACCCCTCACAGGGCGGACGCTGTGGGGCTGGAGAAGCTCCTGGCGGGGGTAAAATCAAAAGGGGGGGAGGGGAGGCAGTAGAGATGGAGCTTCCAGAAACTCTTCCGAGGCACCAGCTGAGAGGTTTAAGAAACCCGCACAACGCCTGGGAAAATGGTGCGTGGACGCGTCTTCCGAGCGCAAAGCCCACCAAGGCGCAAAGTGCCGATGCGGCGCCCAGAGTTTCAACCGGTGCGTTCAGCCTGCATCCCTCGAATTCCTTGACCCAGCCCGGGGCTGGAGCCTGGCGGTGGTTTCTAGGCGCTGTTAGAAAAATCTCAGCGAGGTTTCTTTGCCTCCTCTGCAGCTTCCTAGGGCTTTGTGTATATATATATGTATATACAAATAATAATAGAAATCATAGCCCAGTAGCTCCCGAAGCATCATCTCTTGTACAGCGGCCCCTTCCTGGATCCATGCATTCTCTTGCTCATCTTTTCAGTCTGTCTTTATTAGCTGCTTGTGAGAGGAGGCATTGCAGATTCCAGGCACTGAGCGGTCCCAGCCACCAGGGTAGGAAAAAGGACTATTTGCCTCATCTCGTTCTTTATTCCCTGAATTCCAGGGAACTGCAGGGATTCCTCAGGGGTCGGGATAAAGGAGAGGGAGACCAATGCTGGCTCACAGCACATGCATACAAAAATTCATCCGTCCATGGCTATCCACGCCTATGCGTGGGTATGTAACTAACTATGGAACTGCATATGTGCAAGGAGCCCGTTCTGTCATGCCATGTGGGTCCCTGCTGCAAGCTTAGTCAGCAGACTCTCAAGGGGTCTTTCTTTGAGCCTCAGGCTGACACTCCTCTACTCCAGTGAGCAGGTGAGGAAGCATGAATACAAGCAAGAGGAGGAAAATATTTTTAGAGCCCTGCCCTGCTCATTAAAACCTGGAATCACCTTAGCAGGGTTCTAGAATGTTGGTTCATTGTAATAGGCTGTAGCTTGATGAATTTTAGAGGTGGGCCTTTATCATCAGGAAAAACAAAACAAAACACTGTTGGCTTAAAAATCTGTTGAAATTTGGCAAATGATTGGTAGTTTTGGGATGGGATAGTAAAGGCAGTGTGAGTTTCTTTAATGTAGTATCATACATACCTCACCCTCCGCATTGTCGTAAACATAATTCCACAACTAATTACTTAGAGCTACAAGATAGACAACACTAAGCAATGTGTATAACAAGCAGTTTTGGGCAGTGGGAGTAAGCTGTTCCAAAATGGACATGAGCAGCTTATATTATGAAAATATAACTACTACAAAGATACATGTTTTAAGGCTTCATTAAGAAAATCATTCTGAGACTGTAAGGGTATTTAAACTGGTACTCTGGTTCTAAGTAGGAATCCCCCCAAACTATCTCATTCGCTGAGGAATGCCCCTGAAGTCTTGTTTATAGACATTTTTCCAATTTTTGGAAGAATGATGTTAATTTTTAAGGGCAACTCATTTCTTCAGTCTAATGAAAGTGAGCATTATTTTCACAATTAAGACTCATTGTATTGCGTTGTTAATGTGTATGGAGTGCCCAGCACAGTACATGCAACACAGCAGAGTCCTTGTCTGACCTGTTCACTGCTGTGTCCCCAGCATGAGCACTGCACTGTATTGCACATTATGGTTACTTAAGAAAAATTTGTCGAGTAAATAAACGAACTGACTCCTCTAAGTACAATGGGAAACTGTTTTCACGTACAAAATTTGTCAAGGGTTAAGGAGTCAGAATCCGGATAAACACAGCCCACATACTTACATGGTCACACTGAAGTAAAAGGTGTAAGTTCAGCATAAGAGCAGTGACTCTGGTATTGCCTCAGTGCAAATGCTAGCTCTGCCACTTACCACCTCTGGAAGCCTGGGCATGATGTCCGAACTCTTTCTGCCTTAGTTTCATCACCAGTAAAATTGAGATAATACTAGTACCTAATTTACAAGGTGGCTATAATGATTAAATGATGCTAAGCTTATTATGTCTGGCACATTTTGTAAAATTTAATTTCTACATAAATGTATCTAACCTACCTTAAGTAACTCAGGGCATTTCAACAGCCATCACCAGTCACTTTCTTCTCATTTTATTGCTTACAGAATGATTCTGGTTGAACCCATATTTTTGTAAGTGTGCAAATATTTTTATAGATTTGTGCACCTTCTGTCTTCTCCTTTAAATGCTATCCATCTCAGGAATAAGATATTATATTCCTTCAGAATTCTAATATCCCCCATTATTTGTCTGTTTTAGATGGTGAAAGAATGTCGTTGACTGATTCATGGTTGGATAACAATCCAGTGCTGAAATTCAAAGTTAATATTGAATCTTAACACATGTTATAAGGATACCAGTATTAAATTCACCTTCCATGAATATTTGAGCAGACTAGGTATTCATAGAAGTGGTTCAGGGTGGATGAAAGAGCATGAGTTATGTGCCCTTGGGCTAATTCCTTTACCTTCCTAAGCCTGAGCTGCTTCGGGGGCAAAATGAAGTAATTTTTTTAACGTTTGGGTTTATTTTGGCAATTAAATGAGAATATGTGAGCTACCTGGTCCAAAGTAGGCACTTATTTAGATGTTTCTTCACTTTATTTTCTATTAAGTCACTTAAGCTAATTCTTTTCCAAAATATATCTTTCCAACTGCAAAGAATCCCTTGGAATCCTGCCTCAATTTTTACTTAAGTTTCTGGCTCTTTCTAGATGAAAAACAGCACTACTGATATTTAATCCTTTACAATCCTGCCTGAATCCTTAATTTCATTCTTAGGCACATCATTGTGCTTTCAAATGTATTATAGCTGTCAGTCTTAGCAAAACACTGTCTTGTCCTTCAAACTGTCCCTATCTCAGCTGCTACCAACGTGAATAATCTAGATTAAAAATGTGGAATTCATAACTTTTATTTTCCAATTTCTCATCATTCATATTATAGTTAGATGTGCATGACTTAACCACTCCCACTCCCACTTTGTTTCTCCGCCATAAAACATGAACCATGGTAAATGTTAAGACAAATCTTGGGAGAAACATTTATCAATTCCAATACCTCTCTCCACCCCAATACTGTATGCTCTTGGAAGAAGATGAAGATGCTTACAAGAAACAGTTCTCTCAATACATAAAGAACAGTGTAACTCCAGACATGATGGAGGAGATGTATAAGAAAGCTCATGCTGCTGTACCAGAGAATCCGGTCTATGAAAAGAAGCCCAAGAAAGAAGTTAAAAAGAAGAGGTGGAACCGTTCCAAAATGTCCCTTGCTCAGAAGAAGGATTGGGTAGCTCAAAAGAAGGCAAGCTTCCTCAGAGCTTAGGAGCGGGCTGCTGAGAGCCAAACCAAACAATTTTCTATGATGATTTTTCAGATATAGATAATAAACTGATGAACAGCAACTAAAAAAAAAAAAAAAAACTAGTAAGGTGCTCAACTAGCATGGGAAGATATAGTCCTCATCCATAAGGTTTATAATTCTTCTTTCACAGACAGAAGATGGATGTACAAAAAGTCAAGGTGGAGGAGACCTCTATCTTCGTAGGATAGAGGATAGTCCTTGAATGGGCGAGCATTGAATATTTGTGGATGGCTTAGATAAGTGAGTGTATTCTTCCTATTTAACTTCGAAAACCTAAGGTGTCTGCTAGAAAAGTACAGTACATCTGTACCTGGCTCCTCAAGATTATTATCAGTTTGGTTCTATACAACAAATCTTTTATTGTTGAGAGAGCTAGATTGAGATTTTCCTCTAAGGGCCAAGGATTTGACCTTCATTGGTTTATAGACATAATGTTGTTGGCAAAGACATACCTGAGCATTTCCAAAAAAAAAATACAGAATGTTAAATGTTGATTTCCATGTGTTTCGGGTAAATAGTACATAAGCCAAGCCATTTTCCTGAAATGTTCTCATTCCATATGCAAAAACAGAGAAAAAAATTTTAGCTGAGATGGTGTAATATGAAGGATTGAGACAGTTTTACATAAGACAAACGGGAAGCATCTCCAAAAGAATAGATTTCTCCTTTAAACAACAACAACAACAGCAACAAAACCTGTATTCATAATGTCAAACCTGAGCTAGAGATAGTTAAGGAGATTCAAGGGTGCACAAAGTTAGATGAGTATGAACTAATGAGGAACTTCAAATATTAACATATAGATTGGTGGAAGATCTCATAGGGGAAAATTTGGAAAGAGATATTTTTAATAGACCAGGTAACTGCTTTCAGAATAAGTAAGAGTATCTGGTATTTTATTCTAAAATTATTTAAAAGCCTACAAAAGGCAGTATCTAGCAGCTTTTTACTGGACTGAATCTGGAGAATGAACAAATACACTAGTCTACTAACTCCCAGACTACTTGATGTGAGGAATGCCCCTGAAGCTTGAATAAGAGAAATAAGATGTAGAATCTGGTTAACTCAAGAAATGTGTGCTTAAAGACATTCACATAAATTCAAAGATACAAAATTCTGAAAGGCAAATTTGAAAAGGTAGGAACATTTGGGATTACACCCTTGACCTCTTCATATTGACATCATACGGTACTATATCCTCACAAAATGATTTCCAGTGCTTAATTTAGGTTGTAGCTGCTTTCTTAAGCAAACAGGAAGAAAAACAGCTAGGGTAGTAATTGGAGTGTCTGTCTTTGAGTTTCCAGTTGTTATGGGATATTTATCTCAAAGGCCAGATGCATCTGACCTGGACAAGTCGTATTTATCTTGGGACCGCTGAGATGTCTTTAAAATGCCTTACTCTGCGACTGTATTATAGCTTATTCTGTTCTACATTTCCAGTATTTTAAGTTTTCACTTTTAACACAGTTATCACAAACAGAACGTATATTTTATTAGAGAATCTAGTTATATTTCACCGAAGGTACAGATGTGAAATTAATGGACCAGGTGAAAAGAGCTAAAATAAAATAAAATATTAAGGCTGGGAAAGAAATGAAATACTTAACTAATATGTAAGGGGACACTCTTATGTGAACATAACATTTTTAAATTATTAAGTTAGCAAAAGTTAATTGGAACATGCTGATAATGTTTACTGTGTAAACCTGGCAATTACTTAGTCTCTCTGAGTCTCAGTTTGCTCATCTCTAAAATTGGGTGAATGAATCTTAACTATGCAAAGATGTTGAAAAGGCTTATATTTATAAAATGCTTCATAAATAGTAAAGCATTGGGAAAATCTGCATTAGAAAATATGTGATCAGGAAAAGAGAATGACTAATCTAAGTAGGTCCCGGGTTTTCTTCCCATCACTGGGTTCCAACTCACAAAAACTCAGATTCATCACTGCCTGGTCTGTTTTCACATCTGTGAATATTGGATTGTTTACTATATGTGTTAATCATAAAAATACACATTGTTAAGTATAAATCCATGAGTCTATAAAATCAGAGGACGTTTCAAAATATTCAAATTCCCTGAGAATAACTATAACAATTACTAAGAAAAGTACATAAGAGTGTGTCTGTGAAATATGGTGGTTAAATGCAAGGATTGGGGATTCAACAGATCAGAGTTTGTATCTTTGCACTGTAGAATCATGATGGTGGGGCTTGACCAGGTCATTTCAGTTTCTCAGTGTCTACAGTATCCTAAAATGAGGATAATGTTTCCTACTTCACCGAAGTGCCTTACAGAGCCTAGGCCATTCATGATAGCCACGATCATTACTGTGATTGTTATTCATCACCTACACTGGTATAATTCTGCCACTGCTGAATCAGCAAAACTTTCATTGATCCATTTGGAATTGTGGCAGCATTCCTACAGAAGTGTTTTTGTAACTTCATGTTTCTTAAAGACACTTGAAAGTCATTATTTGTGTTATGATAAATGAGGACCACTCTAAACTAAATCACAAGTCCTGTTAATACTTTGAGAAACAAAGGTTCTTTAGCACTGATACAGAACACATGGGGCAACTAAGCTGATGACAGCTGCAGGTTCTTTGTCAAAGCTACAGACTATGAATGCTAATCAGCATTTGCCTGGTTGTCCTTCAGTGTCCTGTACTAGGTAAATGACTGAAATAAAAATATGACAGAAACTAGGCACTCAAAATCATTCTTTATGTTAATACTTGGACCATAATCAACTATTAATTTTCATCTTTAAAAATTGGGATCAAGAGCAGATGAACAAATCAAGGTTCATAATCTTGATTAACGAAAACCTGATTTATTCATAACTGGACCCCCTGCCACACTGGAAGCCTCAATTAAATGGAGAACATAATAGTATTCTGCACACCACTTTTTGAAAGAGAAGTAAACCAAAACTAATGCTGTTACACCTCTTCAGTAAAGTGGAGATAGTTGTGAGGATCAGAAATCTGTGAGTAAAATGGCACCCCCCCCTTTCTGACGTATAGTAGTCACTAAATAAATAGTCTTGTTGTTGTTTCAAAAAAAACCAAACAAACATATTTCAGGCACTTTTTTACAAAATGTCCAGAGTTTACCCTGCCATCAGCACTTAAAAAATTCAATCTTCTACATCTTGTTCTGCTACAGTAATGAACAGTAAGAACTGAACATTAAAATAATGACCCCTGTGTCAGATCATCAAAGATAAATGCAGTATATTCAGCATGTTTTGATTACTAATTTAAGAGTTCTGACAAAAAAAGAGGGTTTCTATTAATAAAAGCTGTAGTTCCCCAGGATACCCTCTTTTATGAAGTTAACTGAGTTTTCACTATTCATGTTCTTCTATCTTTATTAGAGATCTATATTAGCCTAAAGATGTATTAAAGCAAGTCATCAGTGACTAAACAAGTGGAAATATTTTGTACTTCTCCATTAATTGAACATGTACGGCATCATTACACATTAAGGCATTGGTTATAATGGTTGATTGATATAATGAAATGTCTTTAGAAATACTGATACAATAACAGTGATACTCAGAAAAGTAAACAAAACAATATTCACAGTGATATGCTTCTCTTCCAAATATTTTCCCCAACTTTCTTTCAAAATGACTTTGTTTAATTTCATAGTGGTACAGTATATAAATACCTATTATTAATTATTATTATTTTGGGACAAAGTCTTACTCTGTAACCTAGGCTGGAGTGCAGTGGTGTGATCATGGCTCACTGCAGACTTGACCTCCTGGGCCCAAGCCATCTTCCTACTTCTGCCTCCTAAGTAGCTAGTAGCAGGTGTGCACCACTATGCCTGGCTTATTTTTTGACTTTTTTGTAGAGAGGACATCTCACTATGTTGCCTAGGCTGTTCTTGAGCTCCTGAGTTCAAGCTATCCTCCTGCCTTGGCCTCACAAAGTGCTAGGATTACAAGTGTGAGCCACTGCACCTGGCCTAAATAATTATATCTATATATTTTCTTTTGAGATGGAGTTTTGCTCTTATCGCCCAGGATGGAGTGCAGTGGCGTGATCTTGGCTGACTGCAACCCCCACCTCCCGGGTTCAAGTGATTCTCCTGCCTCAGCCTCCTGAGTACCTGGGATTACAGGCACACACCACCATGCCTGGCTAATTTTTTTTTTTTTTTGTATTCTTTATTAGAGATGGGTTTCACCAGGTTGGCCGGGCTGGTCTTGAACTCCTGATCTCAGGTGATCCACCCACCTCGGCCTCCTTAAGTGCTGGGATTACAGGCATGAGCCACTGCACCCGGCCAATAATTATATTTTTAAAGTTAAAATTTTCCATGACTTAGTATCTTCCAATTCGACAATTATTTTCTTTCCTTAATGAAAATTATATTCCTTGCTTATAGTTGTAAACTCTTGGGGAGAATATAGCCTCATAATTTGGTAATCCATGCAAGTGTGATGAAATTTAGGGCAGGGTTTTCACCATCACCAAAATAGCATTCTGAAAATCATCTGAAATTTTTATGGAAAAACGCCCTTGAGACAATTGCAGTTCGTCCACCTTTTCATTCTTCATGACAAAATACCTCATTCAAAGCAGATGATTAGGAAACTAGACAGAGCATGAAGGAAGGTCTGTTTTTCCTAAATCTGTTATCATTCTCAAAGACAAGAAGAGCCAGAAGTGAACCTTGGATTGGGCTACAATTTGAATCCCATTCATCTTAAACAAAGAAACCAGTCCCAAAGTAATTAACTAATTGTCTGAGGTCATGTAACTACAGAGCAAGGAAGAGAACCTCTTGGTTTTCTAATTTCCAGTTTACTTTATTACTATTACTATTTTCAGCAAGACAAAGTCATGTTTTTATCATTATCAAGTAGCTTAGTTCTTTGGACTGAGTGTATCTGTATCTATTATATTTAACTCTATCTAAATGACTTTTTATGAGAAAGGATTCCAAGCATGTCCCATATGTAGGTTCTCTGAATCTTAGTCCAGGTGTTGTTCTACTGTAAAATGTTGCTTCTTGGCCAGGTGAGGTGCCTCACACCTGAAGTCCCAGCACTTTGGGAGGCAGAGGAAGAAGGATCACTTCAGCCCAGGAGTTTGATACCATCCTGGGCAACATAGCATGACCTCATTTCTACAGAAAAAAAAAAAAAAACTAGCTGAGCATGGAAGTGTGTGTCTATAGTCTCAGATACTCTGGAGGCTGAGGCGGGAGAATCCCTTGAGCCCCAGGAGGTTGAATGCAGTGAGCCATGATCGTGCCACTGTATTCCAGCCTGGGTGACAGAGTGAGATACTGTCTCAAAAAAAAAAAAGAAAAAAAAAAAAAAAGCTTCTTTATGTATCTACCTGATTAATATAAATGTTAAGGAATAAAAGTTTATGTGGGAAATTTCAGTTTGCGTAATGGGCCTAACAACAATGTGTGTTTTTGGTTGAGAGAAATAAATGAGACAGCATATACAAATATACTTTGTAACTTGTGTTACAAAGGGATCTGCCACAGGTGTATTTGCAGTTTCACTTTTAAGCCCTGTTAACTTTTAGGATATAAGTCACTAATGGTGGCATGTCAGGGATGTGGCAAAGTGAATTTGGGACAAAGTGGACAAAATACATGATAAGCACAGGACTTCCGTGTGCTGTTACAGCAGGCAGTACAGAGACCTCAAGAAATTTCAAGCTTGAGTCTGCAGACTTTTAAACCTAACATAATTGTAATTCTACAGAAGCATAAAATTACTCTTTTGGAAATAGAAATGGAAGTTGCTCTTGAGTGACACAGAGTTTTCATTTTGGTGTTCAGTGGACCTGCAGATGAGGCTGTAGGTTTGAAGAGTAGGTGCCCCTATATCCCTTTAATATTTGATAATCTGTCTTGGTTACCTAACCAGGAGATTAGAGGAGAATTGGGTGTAGACACCTGTATCAGGGTCTCCTTGAGCTGCCATAACAAAATAACAACAGACTGTAAACCATATAAATTTATTCTCTCATATTTGTGAACACTGGGCGTCTAAGACAAAGACACCCATCAGGATTGGTTTCTGGTGAGGCCTCTCTTGCTGGCTTGTGGATGGCTGCCGTCTTGCCCTGTCCTCACATGGCCTTCCCCTGGTGTGTGCACAAAGAGACATTGATTTCTGGTGTTGCTTCTCATAAGGACACAAGTCGAACCTGATTAGGGCCCCACCCTTACTACCTCATTTAACCTTAATTACCTCCTTAAAAACCCTGTCTCCAAATACCATTACATTGCAACTTATGTCTTCAACACATGAATTTAGGGGGATACAATTTAGGTTATAACAGCTCCCGGAGTAGCTTAGACTCTACTTGGGAGGGTGTTACACACTAAATTCTACTTAGAAGAACCCACAGCTCTCCTAAGTCAACATCTTGGGATGTTTTATTAGGTTGAACTATGTGAAGTTGCCATTTCTTTAGGTGAAAAAGACTTGCTCACTGACAACTTTAATTGCATCAGTCTATACAAGGTCATGTAGGTATGCTTTATTGCTGAACTATCTAGGTGATCTCATAAATTATAACATTGAGAAATATATCATATGTACTCACTTTTAATGATATCATGCCTCCCAATCTGACAGATTTGAACTCTTTAAAGTTAAGTGTGAGACAAAGTTAATTTTTATTACCTCATTATAAAAGTCAAAAAGCACAAGTTAAAACTGAATTAATGGCACATAACTCTAATGATTTATTTGGCAAAACAACTCCACTAAAACCCCCTTCAATGTGATTTTCATACTATAAATATTGATAATGAAGGTCACTCTTACTTATAGCCAGAAGTAGGAAATGGCAAAATATGAGGAGTTTGGAATAAGCACACTCATATTTTTTAACTTTGGATTAGAAATTTAATTGCATCTTCTTGCTCATACTGATAAAGTCATATGCTATGCTTCAGGAATTGCAACAAGTCAATTACTGACAAGCGATGGGGTCCAGTATCAACTAAGATAAGGATGCTTAGAAATCAGCTTCATCGGAAGACTTTCCTAATGCTGTCTGGACCACCCAAGCCTTTTTTGCCTTAAGTTTTGCTTCCCTCTTTCCAGTTGGATATGACTGCCTGAAAAGGAACACATAAAATTTGCATCAATCACTTATCAGCATCAGATTACATGGTGTCACCAGTTCTGCTGGTTATATTTCAAACAGATTTACCAAATTCCTGGCTTCTAGGAACTCACTCCATAAGACAACCTTGTACTAGAAAGTCATGCAACCTAGTGTTTTGCACTTGTAAAGAAACTTACTTGTTAAGAATTTATGATATGCAAAGATCTCTATTATGCATAGTACAATAGATTATCTCTGGTCTGTTAACAAAATCATTCATAAAAAAGTCAGTATTAAGAATTTCCACACCTATGAATCAGGATGATAACAATTTCTAAACATATATACCAGGCTACCTCAACTTTATGACAGATGGGTGGGAAAATAGACATGTTTGGCTATTTGCTATGTGACAGACACTTTACATGCTTTAATTTTATTTAATTATTTTGAAAACCCTATGAAATTAATATCATTACTCCCTGATTTGCAAATTTTGAGTGTCAGAGTACTTTCCTACTTGCCCACAATTCATAAGCAGCAGAATTGATGTTTGAATCTAGATCTGGCTAGTTCCCAAGGTATTTCTATTGCATCATACTGACAATTTTTAATATGTTATACCAATTCCAAAAAACCATTATATGTATTCAACAATATATTTGAGTAAACAAGCTGTGATATATCCATATAATAGAATACTAATGAACAATAAAAGAAAAAAAACTCCATAATTTGGATGAATCTCAAAGACATTATACTTCAGGAAGGAAGCCAGTCTCAAAAGGTTATATACTGTACTGTTCTGTTTTTATATCATTCTTAAAAAGACACATCTGTAGTGGCAGAGAGCAAATCAGTGGTTCCCAGGGCTTTGGTGTGACCATGAAAGAATATCACGAGGAAGTTCTTTGGACTGATGGAACTGTCTTGCATCTTGGTTGTTATGGTGATGATCTGAACTATATGTGTATTATAATTCATAGACCTGTATACCAGAAACATCAAGGAAAAATATCTGAAACATGGAAAAAGAAGAAAGGGTGACAATATACTAAGCTTCTAATATTTTTATAGTTTTATTTTTACACAGAAGGTGACATGTTTTGTGAGAGTCTTTAGTCCCATATGGACAGATACATATTCTGAGGTATCTGCATTTGGCAGATGATAAACATGATGCTTACGAATAATGGAGACTGACATGTAACAGTGTTTTGAAATTGGTATGTATGGTGTTTATCCTAAGAAGTATGGTGGACACCACAGACAACAAATCAATGCATTAAGAGCAGATCCCATCCAGTAGCTGGAGAGAACTTAGTCCTTAAATCCAATAGTTCCTTTGCAGGGTAGCCAGTGGGTGGCACAAATAGGCACCCTGTCTCAGTGATTAGGGAGACTGTACCAATTCCTGTGGAGAACTAGGGGACTACGAAAGAGGCATTGGAGGGGAACAAAACACATTTGTGTCAATCGAACCTAGAAAGTGGAGTTTGGCAGGAGGCTGGGGCTGGTGAGAGGGGAGAGTGCCAGAATTCAATCTGGCCATATCAGATAGTAGGTCACCCTCTGACCACATCCACTGACCATGTCCACTACCTAAATCTAACAGCTTATTCAGAAATAGCTTAGGAACTTGCATCTTTGAAGGTTAATGATAGAGGCTTGCGGGGAAGAGCTGGCTCTTTAAAGTGGTTTACTTGTAGCTTCTTAGGATTATTGAACCTTCCCAAAGGTTCAGGAATGCTATTAAATGAGTTCATGTATGTGAAGAGTACTATAAACATTAGGGTACCACACAGGAGTTAGTTATTATTAACCTTGAAATTGGGAGACTGACTCAGTGGAATATAATTAACTAAAGGACTAACATCTGTAAGGTAACCAAAATACCAAATGCTCAGTCTTTCAAATTTTTAAACATGCATTTCAGGTAAACATAATCCATATGTGCTTATACATTGTGTAAATATTCATACCGCATATTAACAAACACATACAAATGAGTTGAAAATTGTGAATTACTCAGTAAAACCACAGCAGCCCGTCTTGATTAGAAGATTGCCCTTTCAGAGAAACCATTAAAATGCAAATATATTAAATAAATCAAATTTGGGGGGGTCAAATTTTCTGGGGACGTACAATCTTTTAGCAATATTGCATCTCTATGAAATTTCCATCTGAATTGTACTAATGATGTGCAGACTGAGAGTGCAATGAAAGAAAAATGTCTAAGACTATGGGCTTTAGCTGTACCAGATGTTATATGTTCTGACAACTAAATCAAAAGGAGATGGATAAAAAATCTTGGCACACACTTTATACATATTTGCTAGGAGAGATATACTCTATAATAAGTAATTCACGGGGAAAATTAAAAAGTGTATATTATTTTTAATAAACACAATTCACATATATCAAAATATTAAGTGTATTTACAGCATTATGCTAATATTTTTACAAGGCATACTGGGTAAAGGCCTGAGTTCTGTTTTAACAATGACCTTTTCAGGCAAAGCCCTTCTCCACCTAACTGATTCACAAGTGTTAAATCCAGAGATGTATGTTCTGACAAAAAAATCAAGATAGATAAATCTTTGCACACACTTTTTATATTTATGCTAGGAGAGATATACCCTGTAATAAGTAATTTACAGAGGAAATAAAAAATATATATTGTTTTTGACTAACATAATCACATATATCAAAATACTAAGCGTATTTACAATATGCCAATATTTTTTACCAGGCATATTGTGTAAACGCCTGAGTTCTGTTTTAACAATGACTCTCTCAGGCAAAGCTCTGCTCCATTCAACTGATTCACAAGGGACACTGAGGAGGTCACCTTTGATGTATCTGTGGCTACCAGGCTTCTCAAATGAAAGCTAAGATTTAGGCTGAGATAGTAAACAGCTATTTGGTCATGATCAGTGTCTCGTTTTGCTGAATGCATAGTCTTATCATTTTGAAGTCATCCAAGCAGTACTGTTTAAAGTCACTGTCTGAGATAACCCACTGGAGAGGAAGTCTGACAGACTCTCAAAACACTGGTTGTTGTTGTCTTGTTGTGTTCTGTGACTTCACCTTTTTTAACCCTGACAGGGCTCTCAAACTTCGCAGCTCATTGAAATTGCCTGGGGAAACTTAAAACTCTTGCTGCCCAGGTCACACCCTATACCAATTAAATCAGAATGTCTGTGGGTGGGAGCTAGGTAGTCACAGTTTTTAATAATCCCCAGGTGATTTCAATATGTAGCGAAATTTGGGAACCACTGCTTTATGGCCAATCTGATATAGAGTATAGTGCCTGACAGAGCCAGCACAGCACTTGTATTTGCAGAATAAATCAAAGAATCTAGCCTCAGGATAAAAAGCCTTCTAGCTATTGCAGCCTTCTAGTCCTGCACCCATTCTTGCTGTAATTTCCCCAACATTCACTCTCTCAGATAATTTATATACAAATGTTAAACCTCATTACATACAGATATTCAACTCAAAATATTACCACTACATTACTTTTAAAATATTGGATTACTAAAGATATATGCAATGATAAAAGCCCATGTGAGTGAGAATGTGCTGAGATGAATATTTTTCATGTACTATTTGTAGTACAGCCTTGTTGGAAAGCTATTAGGTGGTAAGTGACAAAAACTGGCTCCTTGACCCAGTAAGTCTATATTTTTAAATCTGTCCTAAGAAAATAATTGGGACCTATGAAAAGAAATTATGGTTTAACCACATTATTTACATCATAATGAAATGGAAAAATTTTAATGCCCAGAAACAGAGCATGGTTGAATAAATTGTGGAATAGCAACTGAATAGTATATCATGAAGCAACTAAAAATATTACCAAAAAACTTTTAAGAACACTGAATGAAAATCCTTTATAAGAATTAGAATTAGACTTTTATTCTCTTTTACTTTTTCTCTATTTTCCAAAGCTTTCTTTAGAAAAAAAATCACATTCAGAGTGGAAAAACATAACAAAATGATATTGCTAAGAAGGTCATAATATAGGTCTAAATTGACATATGAAGCCAAGATGATGGTGCCTAAAATAGGAAATAAATTGCATTTCGCAAGAGAACTATGCCTGTGAAAAGCCCAGTCTTGTTTAGCTTTGTGACAATTATACAAGTACTGTTGGGGTTTAGGGGCAGTGCCCTCACACAATGATCTGGATTGGTTAGGGGACATTTCACAGAGAAGGGAGGATTTGAGCGGAATCATGAATGTGTTTGAATTTTAGTAAGAGGAAAGATTTTGGCAGGAGTTTCAAAACCTCAAAACTTTGAACAAAAAAATGAAAGGCAGAAGTGAGATAGATGTGTTTGCAAGGCAAGTGGAAGATTGACTTAGCCAAACCAATCAGTGTTGGGAAGAAGTGGGAAATTATTTTCGACAAGGAGACTGAACCCAGATGCTAGCAAGCTTCAGTAGAACAGATCTAATAGTTTGGACTGTGTCCTAAGAATAATGGGAAGCCATCTAAACTATTTGATCAGGAAACAGATAAGATTAAAACAGCACCCTGTGACAATTATGTGGACATTGGTATGTATAATAATTCACAAGGTGAAGGGATAGGAGGCACACATACAATCAATTGGGAAGCAAAGGCAGTGATCCAAAAATGCAAAAGTGATCTTTTGAAAATTCAATCTGATCAGGTTACCCCTTTGTTTAATCATGTCGATAACTTTCTTTTATCTCAAAATAAAGAAAATATTTCTTAACATGTTATACAAGGCTCTACATGGCCTCTCCCTACCTCTCCAGCTTTCTGACTCTGTACCGTGTTCTCCCAAATCAGCACTTAGCTTCTTGTAACCTCTCTTCACCATGCTACCTCCAATTATAAGGCATCTGCACATGTGGAGTGTGACCTAGAGTGTTCCTCTCTGCTTTCTTTGTCTAATTAACTCCTACTCATACTTTACATTTCAACTTGAGTGTCACTTCCCAGATAAGTCATTTCCCACCTCCCTAAGCTTCTGATTATAGGCTCACATAGCACTAAGTGTCTTTGAGGCATTGCAGTTGTCTATGTTGAGTCTATCCATTTGTTTGGGCTACTATTTGATAACTCTTCATTCATTTTTCTAAGCCCCATGAAGGATGAATTGATGTACCTTTCTTTTGTATCTCCACTGCCTAAAAAATGTTCTGACATTTGGTATGTCCTTAATCAATAGCTGTTAAAGGAATGCATGACAAATAAAAAGTGGCATAGGATGACAGAAGTACAAATTGGAGAGAAAGGAGGAACATGAGAGATGTTTTAAAAGAAGAACCAATAGAACAAAGAAGAGTGATGAATAAAAGATGATGCAAATGATTACTGGAGAGTCATAGTGCCGCTGACCAAAACAGAGGGGAGCATGGGGCAGGGGATGGAGAGAAAGAGAGTAGGCAGTTTCAATGTTGGAAAGTTTAGACACACATAATGACTTAGAGATATGGACTTGGAAAGTATTTACATAAAGATGAGGGTCAAAACAATAAAAATGGAGAATATCCTACACTGTGAATGTATACATAGCTTCATATTTCCTTGTGGAGAGACCTCTACTAGAGTAATACTCATGGTGTGTCTTCCTCATTTCTGCCCAAGTGGGAGCAATGACTTACCTAACTGGGAGGGACAGTGACATACATTGGTTCACGTTTGTTCCACTAGACAAATCTTATCTACTTAAAAGATGAAAGATCCGGAGATATGTCCCCTCTTTTTGTGGGGAGGCAGCAATTCTGGGTATATATGTCTGCCCCACGGATCTATTTTGTTTCCTTGAGTAGTTTCTTTCAATCTCAGAGCTTGGACTAAGTAGGGAGGCAGACGATATTAACATTCCTGTTTAGTCACCGATCTAAAAGAAATAGTTACTATACCTTTGCTGATCTGCTATGTCTAATTTTGTAATTAGTTTAAAATTATTCAGTAGGCCTGGTACAGTGGCTCATGCTTAAAATCCCAGCACTTTGGGAGGCCCTAGTGGGAGGATTTCTTGAGGCCAAGAGTTCAAGACCAGTCTGGGTAACACAACGAGACCCTGTCTCTACAAAAAGTATTTTTGAAAAATTAATTGGGCATAGTGGTGCATGCCTGTAACTCATGCCTGAAGATGAAAGACAGGCCTAAAGTGTTCCACCTCCAGGACACATGTCCTGCACTCCCTTGTCTTCGTCTACTCCCCATACCACCCCTTTTATTCCCTTTTCCTTTGGAAAAAATAGCAAGAATACACACACTTTTATTTTTATTTTTTAGCGGCTAAAATATCTTATGAATGTGACTCCTTTTAAAAGAATCTTATATCAGAGCAACTAAAGTTATGCCAACTTCACCGATTGATCCAATGCCGTGTTTTGAGACTGAACTAAGTCATGGGGCACATCAAATCAGCATAGCATAGGAGAAAGACAAAGGAGAAAATTAATTTCACAAGGTTTTTCATGTGGTCTAGCACTTGTCAGGGAAAATCAAAAATGTGTTATGCGCCCTACCTTTTTTTTTTTGGTGAGAAAATGTTAAAATGTTTGAAATATGCGGTAAACAAAAGGCAAAAGCAATGTAATCATTGACAAGATTAGTTACATATAAAAACATTTTATTTATTAATGATAAAGTTATATGTAACTTTATCTGAAAACAAACACTATT
Organism: Homo sapiens; assembly: GCF_000001405.40. Lineage (NCBI taxonomy): Eukaryota > Metazoa > Chordata > Mammalia > Primates > Hominidae > Homo > Homo sapiens. The sequence goes on from NC_000001.11 coordinate 99,022,280, forward strand.
TCCTCTTTATAATTTAGCTCTGTTATCAAAATCTTTCTTTTAGATCATAGAGTAAGTTACGTATTGGTTACATACAAAATCTTTATATTGAATAATGATTTTCTTCAAGTAATTTGAAGCACAGAAAACTAAACTCTATTAACAATGAACTTTCATTTGTTTTTATTTTTAAAAGTAGGAAAATGGAGTTATTAAAGGAGTAAGATAATTCAACAATTTCCCCTGAATCAGTGAGTTAGTCTCAATTGAAAATGAGTTTCTTAAAATTCATAAAAAGACTGAAATCCATAAAATAATGAATAAACAGTCATAGAGGGGTGCTGGTTACTTTCAGGACGTGATAATAAGAGCTATAACTTATATGTCTCTTAAGTGAGAAGTACTGTACTAATCAACATATTTTTTGTACTATTATTAGAAAACATTTCGAACATTTAGAAAAATACAGAAATAATGTTTTAAAAGAATCCCAGTGACATCCCATAACTAAGTGATGTTAGTTCAGATGTTTATCCCTTCCAAATCTCATATTGCAATGTGACTGCCAATATTGGAGGTAGGACCTTGTGGGAGGAGATTGGATCATGGGGGCAGCTCCTTCGTTAATGGTTTAGCACCTTCCCCTTGGTGATAAGTGAGTTCTCCTTCAGTTAATTCATGGAAGATCTGATTGTTTAAAAGAGTCTAGGACTTCCCTCCATCATATTCTTGCTCCTTCTTTTGCCGTGTGATATGCTGGTGCCCCTTTGCCTTCCATCATAATAATAAGCTTCCTAAGCCTCTCACCAGAAGCAGATGTTGACACCATGCTTCCTGTACAGCCTGTAGAACTGTGAGCCAAAATAAGCCTTTTTTCCTTATACATTACCCCCGCTCAGGTATCTCTTTATAGCAACTCAGAAATAGACTGATACGGTATTTTTAACAACCCTCCTTAAAAAATCACGGAAAATTTCAAAAATGTATCTAATTAGAGAATCGTATAATAAGCTCTCCTGTTCTTATTGCCCACCTTTGATAATCATCATGTTGTAATCAATCTTGCTTTATCTTTACTCTCACTCTCCGTTTCCCACAGATTATTTGGAAGCAAATCCCCAACCTGTCATTTCATCCACAAATAGTTTAGTATATATTAATTAATCCACAAATAATTCAGTATATATGCAATGTAAGCATATATGTATGTATACATATGCTTTTTAAAAATAAAAATAAAATAATGATTGTTAACTATTAAATATTCAATATCCAGTCGGTATTCACATTTCCACATTGTCTCTTTTCTTAATACGTTCTTCAAATAAGGAACCAAATAAGGTTCAGATTTTGCAATTTCTATATTAATTTATAGGTTCCTCTTCCTATATGTTTTTCCCTTGCAATTTATTTTAAACATTAATCATTTAAACCATAGAGTTGCCTGTAATCTCAGCACTTTGCAGGGCCAAGGCAGGTGGATGACCTGAGCCCAGGGGCTTTAAGACCAGATGGGGCAACATGGTGAAACCCCATCTCTACAAAAAAAATAAAAAATAAATACAAAAATTGGCCAGGTGTGGTGGCATATGCCTGTAGTCCCAGCTACTTGGGAGGTTGAGGTGGGAGGATTGATTGAGTCTGGGAGGTTAAGGCTGCAGTGAGCTGTGATCATGCCATTTACATTCCGGCCTAGGCAACAGAGAAAGATCCTGTCACAGAAAGAAATAAAAATTTAAAAAAATTAAAAATGAGCCATAGAGTCCCCATAGGCTAGATTTTGATAATTGCAACCTAATAGGGTTGATTGACATATTCTGTGGTCCCCTGCATTTCTGTGTATTAGAAGATTAATCTAGCGTTTTTGTATTTTTTTTTTTTTTGCAAAAATACCTCATAGGCATTGGTATGTACTTTCATTAGGAAATAAATAACATGGTTTTTTTTTTTTTTCTCTATTACTGATATTATCCATCATCAATGATTATCTCCTAGATCTGTTTTTTTCTTTTAGGGGTTGAAAAATGTTGAAATTTTATTTTTATCATTCATTCCTCATTTATTAACTATAGTACCTATATAAGGAGAAACTTCACCTAATCAACTATTTAGTTAGTCAGTAGTAGAGTTTATGTAGAAAAACAGGATAAATTTTTCTTTAGCTCCCTTGTAGTATAAAAAGTGAGTTAGTTTCTAGCATCCTGCAAAGGTAAACAATCTGGATATTAATATATTTTATATAATATTTGTATATAAATTTCATTATATATAAATTTTACTATATTGCATGTTATATATAATATTAATATAATTAATATATTATTAGTATTTAATATATTTTACATTACTTATCAATTATATAGTTAATTATATATTATTAATATATAATTTATTTTATAGTTATAAATCTATGAACTTAGAGGCATTTGATATATTTCAATTCATTATGTTGTTATTCTTGATACTCCAATTATTCACTTTTTGGCCACTAGAAGCCTCTTCAATTGGCTTCCTGTATCCTTTACACAGAACTGTAATCACAGTATCATCATTAGCTTCCTTCTGGTATAAGATGTAGCAGTTATCTTATATATGTTTTGTCTCAGAACTAGAACTAGCTATTTTTCCGAGGTGCTTTGGTTCCTTTTAGGGGGAAATGGTATTTATGTAGCGGCTGAAATCTGGTCAATAGAGTTGCCAGTTGTTACCTATTGGCTGGCCATTGTTTCCAGTTCTTCTCAGTAGAAAGAACTAGATTTTTTTTCTTTCAGAGAAAATATGCCATGAGTTTATACTGACATTCCAATTCACAGTCAAGAATACAGGATTTGTGCTTAATCTCTTTAATCTTACATCTGTACTTTATCATGCTGGAAATCCTGCTTCACAAGGATATCAACATAATTATGCATCTGTTTATCACACATCATACAAATAACAGACCAACAACATCAACATTACCACAAATAATATAATCATTGAAAAGAGTTAAATGTCTTTGTTGTGCTTTTTCCCATGATGTGGGGCAGTTTTGTCTGCTTGGTTGGTTTTAAGCCATTTTTCACTAGAAATACAGAGACAAATAAATTTCTGTGTTTTAAAGTTATTTTATTTTTTTAATTCTATTCTTCTTTTTAATTTTTTTAGACTTAAGCCCTGAGAAAACTTGTTCAATTAAATAAGTAATGAGAATTTTAGGCATTTTCTTTTTTTTTTTTTTTAATTATACTTTAAGTTTTAGGGTACATGTGCACAAGGTGCAGGTTAGTTACATATGTGTACATGTGCCATGTTGGTGTACTGCACCCAGTAACTCTTCATTTAACATTAGGTAGATCTCCAAATGCTATCCCTCCCCCCTCCCCCCTCCCCCCACGCCACAACAGGCCCTGGTGTGTGATGTTCCCTTTCCTGTGTCCATGTGTTCTCATTGTTCAATTCCCACCTATGAGTGAGAACATGCGGTGTTTGGTTTTTTGTCCTTGTGATAGTTTGCTGAGAATGATGGTTTCCAGCTTCATCCATATCCCAAAAAGGACATGAACTCATCCTTTTTTATGGCTGCATAGTATTCCATGGTGTATATGTGCCACATTTTCTTAATCCAGTCTATCATTGTCAGACATTTGGCTTGGTTCCAAGTCTTTGCTATTGTGAATAGTGCCACAATAAACATACATGTGCACGTGTCTTTATAGCAGCATGATTTATAATCCTTTGGATATATACCCAGTAATGGGATGGCTGGGTCAAATGGTATTTCTAGTTCTAGATCCCTGAGGAATCGCCACACTGACTTCCACAAGGGTTGAACTAGTGTACAGTCCCACCAACAGTGTAAAAGTGTTCCTATTTCTCCACATCCTCTCCAGCACCTGTTGTTTCCTAACTTTTTAATGATTGCCATTCTAACTGGTGTGAGATGGTATCTCATTGTGGTTTTGATTTGCATAATGTTAGACCTAAAACCATAAAAACCCTAGAAGAAAACCTAGGCAATATCATTCAGGACATTGGCATGGGCAAGGACTTCATGTCTAAAACACCAAAAGCAATGGCAACAAAAGCCAAAATTGACAAATGGGATTAATTAAACTAAAGAGCTTCTGCACAGCAAAAGAAACTACCATCAGAATGAACAGGCAACCTACAGAATGGGAGAAAATTTTTGCAATCTACTCATCTGACAAAGGGCTAATATCCAGAATCTACAATGAACTCCAACAAATTTACAAAAAAAAAACAACCCCATCAAAAAGTGGGCGAAGGATATGAAGAGACACTTCTCAAAAGAAGACATTTATGCAGCCAAAAGACACATGAAAAAATGCTCGACATTACTGGCCATTAAAGTTATTTTAAATAATTCCTCCCTATGTACTTATGTCATCAACTTCATAAATAGTAAAGTTCATTTGTTTCATTTTTCTTTTAAGTTTTAGGGATTATATTTTTTCTTCAAAATATGTTATAGATATATAGACTATTTACAATATAATTTGGAAGCAAATTCTTCTTTGGTCCGACCTCAAGATGACAGCATTTTGATGGTAGCCTTGTGAGAGACCCTGAGCCACAGTTAAGCTGTGCCTGAATCAGTGACCTATAGAAACTGTAAAATAATAAATATTTATTGTTTTTAGCTGCCAAATTTGGGGATACTTTGCTACTGGACAATAGATTACTAATATACTGCATTCTTTTCTTGCTCATATGTTTAGCTCAGTTTTTTATAAAGTTGCTGGTACTTTTCTATTTTTCAAGGCTCTTTATATGTTAGGGCTATTATGTTACTGCATGTAATATAAGTATATTCCCAGTTTGAAATTATTTCATTTTTATGTACTCATGTTTTTAAATCTTTTCTCTATTTTTCTCAATTTTGAAAACAAGCAAGTTTTCCCAGTACTAATGTATCCATTCTAGTTTTTGTATGTCTTTATTTATTACATTCTGGCCTTTCACCCATTTGGAATTTATCTACAAGTTGCAATAGCGTAAGACACTAAAGCATTATATAGCTGAGGCAGCCTGGTACAGTGGAATCATAAAGGAAATTAAACAGATCTGGGTTTGATTCCCAGCTCTACTTTTATAAGCCCTGTAACCCTGGACAAGTTATTTACATCTGTGAGCTTCAGTTTCCACATCTCAAAAATGAACTAAAATAAATTTACAGTGTGGAGCATAGTGTTTAGATATTCATTCTATTTTAGCTAGTGCTAAAATTATTGCTCTCATTCTATTTCAGTTGCTGATAATATTGTTCTTATTGTTAATATACATTTTGTGACTCACCTATGTTTGCATTAAACCTGTGGGTAAAGCTAAACTGCAGTTTGCTGACCACTAAACAAGCCCCAGCTTTCATAAAGTTTGTATGCTTCTAGGAACTTCATGTAAGCTTATGAGAATGCCATCCTTTGAAAATTAAGATTATAATGGGTCTTTTGTGCTCAAATGCAAGCTTCCTGAGGGCAAAGTGTGTGTGAGTGTGTGTGTGTGTGTGTGAGAGAGAGAGAGAAAGAGAGAATGAGAGAACTGCCTTCAATTTCGTGACTGTATTCAAAACAGTTGTAATGAAGTTTTCAAGTGTTCCCCTAGCTGTCTTCTTAATTCATTTATTCCTTTAATATCTAGTTTTTTCCTTTGTTTTTTTTTTTTTAAGCAGCACTTTTTGAGAAGAGTGGATCATATCTACCAAATTGAATTCCTTGTATCTCGTTCTCATTTTAGTTCATGGTAATATGGCTTCTGATCTCACTGGTCCATTGAAACTGATCTTTGTAAATTCACCTAAATGCCCAATTTTTTAAAACACATTATTGTCTTTATAGTACTTGACCTCTATGAGTTAGAAGTTTGACATTATGAATTACTCCTTCCTTCTCAAGATTCTTCACTTCCTTGACTTCCCTGAGGCTGCCCTGTCCTGGCTTTTCTTCCATTTCTCAGATTTCTTCATGGACTTCCCTTCCTCCATTAATCCCTTAAATGTTGGCATTTCCTTACATCAGAAATTATATATTGTCCCTCATTTTCACGTGGGACTCCAGCATCTTATGTTTATGAATCTGAAATCCAGCTTCCTTAGCTTCCTTTGTTTCTCTCCATAGTGCTTGTCACCATCTGGCATTTTTGCCCTCCTCAAGTAGGAAATAAACTCTATGATGGCAGATAAGTGATCTATTTTGTTATTTCTCAGAATCTAGAACAATGCTTGAAACAATATTCAAGAAATAATTACTGAATGAATGAATGAGCAGATGTTCCCATTCATTCGTTTATTTACAAGTGTTTATTGCATGCCTACTTTGTGCCAGGCACTCATCTAGACACTGTGAATAGAGCAGCAAGCAAAGCAGATAAAATCTTTGTGCCCCAGGGAGCTTGCATTTGAGCAAAAAAACAAGACGTGTAAGTACAACGTAGTGTAGGTTAAATAGTGATGAGTCCAAAGGAGAGAAAAATAAAGCTGAGAATGAAGAGATGAAATGCCAAATAAGAATTGAAATTTTAGATACAATTACACAATTTTAGATACAATGGTCCCAGTGAGAAAGAAGGTGGCTTTTGAGTAAAGATCTATAGGAAGTGAAAGAACCCACCACAGGTTTACCTGTAAGGAAGAATGTTCCAGGAAGAAGAAACCTCAAGTGTAGCAGTGGGAACTTGCCTCACTTGAAAAATAACAAAGAACTTGCCTGGCTGAAGTAGGAACTTTCGTGGCTTCAAAAAGAATAAAGGCACCTGTGTGGCTAGAGTGGAGTATGTAAGAGGGAAAGTACTAAGAGATAAGATCAGAAATAGCCAGAAAGCAGCAGATTATATCTGGCCTTGTAGGTCATAGTCAAGACTTGGCTTTTCACTTTGAATGAGATGGGAAGCTATTGTTAGGAAATAGGGAAGGGACAACATCTAACTTACTGTGTAGGGGGAACAGGTTGCAGAGGGATGTGAGGAGCAGAGACAGAAACAAGATCATTTAGGAGGCAATTATAATGATTCCCTGCCCTCTGGGTCCATACATCTGCCTGCCTAACAGATGTCTCCACTTTCATGACTTAAAGTACCTCAACCTTAACATATTCAGAGTTAAATCCATAGTTGCCTCCCACCTTCTCCACACCTGGTTTTTCTTCTTGTTACCTATTGCAGTAAGTAGCATCACTGTGTATCCAGAAATCATACTGGAATCTTGGACATTATTTCATTGTTTTCCCTCTTTTTTATGCTAACATTAAATCAGTCCCAAGTGCAATAATTATAACTTCTTTCTCTTTGGAATCTTCTCCCTCCTCTTCATTCCCTCTGCCATGAGCTTAACTCAAGCCTCATCATTTCTTGCCTATTTCAGGCAATAGCCTCTGATAAATGCCCTAGCTCTTGATTTGTATCCCTCTAATCTCCTCTCCGTATGGCTTTCAGAGTGAACTTTCCAAAATATGAACAGATTTTGTCATTTCCTTGCTTAAATAAGAATTGTTAATATGATCTTCTCTTTGTAAATTTCCGTTCCTCTATTGTCTTTAAGATTTCAAACTTTTGTATCCTATAAAGGCTCTTCCTGATCCCTCTGGTCATCTGTCTCTGTCCATGGCACACACTTTCACATATGCATGATAAATCATAATCTTTTGAAAGCCTTTCCTGATAATTCCCATTAGGATTAGGACCCTTTTTTTGGGTGTTCACATAGTTTTCTATGTTTACTTCTTATCCTAATCATTTTACTTTGTTGTTGTGTTTATAGACTTATTTCCCCATAAGCAATGCACCCTCTTGGAGCAGAGCCTATATAGTTAAGAAGCAATCTTTATACTCTGGTTTCTCCTCAGATCGTATAAATCTTTTGCCTTTTACTGTATAGCTAAGAAGCAAACTTTGATATTAAATATACTTAGGTTTACATTCTGGTGTTGTCTGTTCCTAGCTGTGCAATTTGGGACAACTTAAGCTCTTTGAACCTCAGTTTTCTCATCTGTGAAATGGTCAATTTACCATATAGGACTGTTGTAAGAATTAAATAAGGCAATGCCTATAGAGTGTTAGCATTTGGTATAACTCATAAGAACTTTCCATAAATATGAGCTCTTACTACTATCATTTATGCAATAGAGAATTAGTGAAGGTAAAATGAGGACAAGGTCAGCCTCCAAGGGAGGCAGTCATGTCACTAGAGAGGCAGGTACTAAAACAAGAAAAGCAGAACTGGGGCCCTACTGGGGACAGAGGCTGTAGGTCAGCCAGTGACTCCCCTAATTAGACTAGGAGTGACAGCTAAACCAGACCCAAGAGGCAACTCTCAATTGAGGCTGTCAGGAGCTGGCTGAGAAGAAAAGTAGGACACACAAGGGACAGTTCTCAGAAAAGTGCTTTTCACATAGCTTTTTTGGGTTGGGTGATTTGAAGTTACATGGCTCCCCTAAGCAGCAGTATTTTTAGTAGATGTTTGGTGTTACAGGTTGAATTGTGTCCTCCCAAATATGTATATAGGAATCCCTAACTCCTGGTGCCTCTGAATATGACCTTAATTTGGAAATGGAGTCTTTAAAGAAATAATCAGTTTAAGTGCTTTTCACATTGCTTTTTTGGGGTGGGTGATTTGAAGTTACATGGCTCTTCTGAGCAGCAGTATTAAAAGTAAATTCTTGGTGTTGCAGGTTGAATTGTGTCTTCCCAAATATGTATATATTGAAATCCTAACTCCGGTTACCTCTGAATGTGACCTTATTTGGAAATAGGGTCTTTAAAGAGGTAACCAGTTTAAGATGACATCAGAATGGGCTCTAATTCATATGACTAGGATCATTATAAAAAAGGGAAATTTGGATACAGAAACAGACCTGGATGGAAGGAAGATGATGTGAAGATGAACAGGGAGAAGATAGACATGGAAAGCCAAGGTTACTATCAAACACTAGAAGCTAGATGAGGCAAAGAAGGATTCTCCCCCCTAGAACTGTCAGAGAGAGCATGGCTTTGCCAACCCCTTTATTTCAGACTTGTAACTCCCAGAACTGTGAGACAATAGACTTCTATTGTTTTAACCCATCCATTGTTTGGTGCTTTGCTATGGCAGCCCTGAGAAACTAACAAACCTGATGCTATAAAATAACAGCCAGTTCCTTAAGACTAATATACATTAGGCAATGTGCTAAGCATGTTTTTTAGTTTTAATTTTTTAACTGACAAATAAAAATGTTATGACCATCCTGGCTAACACGGTGAAACCCCGTCTCTACTAAAAATACAAAAATTAGCCGGGCATGGTGGTGGACGCCTGTAGTCCCAGCTACTTGGGAGGCTGAGACAGGAGAATGGTGTGAACCCAGGAGGTGGAGCTTGCAGTGAGCCGAGATCGCACCACCACACTCCAGCCTGGGCAACAGAGCGAGACTCTGTCTATAAAATAAAGTAAAATAAAATAAAATGAGTTATATATTCATGTCATACAACATGAGGTTTTGATATATGCGTACATTGTGTAATCACTAAATCAAGCCAATTAACATATCCATTATTTCACATTCTTATTTTGTGGTGAAGACATGTAAAGTCTCCCTTAGCAATTTTTATATATATAATGTATTGTTATTAAATATAACTTCTGAATTTATTTCTCCCTTCCAACAAAAATTTTGTATCCTTTGACCAATATTTCCCAAATCCCCAGTTGGTATGGTTTGGATTTGTGTCCCCTGCTCAAGTATCATGTTGAATTGTAATCTCCAGTGTTGGAGGAGGGGCCTGGTGGGAGGTGATTGGATCATGGGGGTGGATTTCCCCCTTGTTGTTCTTGTGATGGTTTGTGAGTCCTCACAAGATCTGGTTGTTTAAAAGTGTGTGGCACCTTCATCCTGCTCTCTCTTACTCCTCCTCTGGTCATGTGAGATGTGCCTGCTTCCCCTTCACCTTCTGCCATGATTGTAAGTTTCCTGAGGCCTCCCCAGATGTGCTTCCTGTTCAGCCTGCAGAATGTGAGTCAATTAAACCCCTTTTCTTTATAAATTACCCAGTCTCAGATAGTTCTTTATAGCAATGTGAGAATGGACTAATATGCCACCCCATACCCTAGCCCCTGGTAATCACCATTCTACTTTCTGACTAAGCACTTTTCATGGATTTTAATATTCAGTCCTCATAGTTTTATGTGTTGTGTGCTATTATGTCCATTTTATAAATGATAAAACCAAGGTTTAGTGAAATTAAAGCAACTTGCCTGGGACCACATAGCTAGTAAAGGGGAGAGCCTAAATTTGAACCCAGTCTACCTGACTGAGAGTTCATGCTTTTAATCACTACCTACTGTTTTCCTGGTGCATACAATAGGACATTGGAGCTTTAGAGTAAATGTGGAGCAAAACCCCAGTTCAAGAATGTTGTTATCTTGAAAGTGATGCCAGCAAGGTGGGTCTGACAACCTCTGTCCTGGCTGTGAACCCTGAAGCTGCCCTCTAACTCAGCTCCGGCCTCACCCTACCATGGTCTGGAGGCAGTCTTGCTCACCCAGGGATCTGGTAAGAGCCATGTCCATCAATAACCTCCCTAACAGGCCTGCCAACCTTGTACCTGGCTGTAGACCCTGAGCAGCCCTATGATTTGTTTGTAATCCTGCTCTGCTGCAGTCTGTGGGGCAGTTCTGCCCACCCAGGGACTTATAGGCAGCCATACTCATTAGCACCCACAGTAGCAGGCCCATTCACCTCAGACCTGACTGTGGACCATGAAGCAGTCCTGTGACCAAACTCCAGCATCCCTCTACTTCATCCCCCAAGGACCTAGATGAAGTCACACTCATCTATACCACTGGAATAAAGGCATCCCATATTTTGACCTGGCTCCAGCCCTGCTTGACTATGCTCTCAGAGGCAGTCCCATCAGCCTATCATCTCAGCAGGAGAAGGTACTTACCTGCCAAAATCAGTCTGTAAAGATTGAAAGAGCTGTTTGCTCCTTCAAATACACAGATACCAAGGCAAGGCTGCATAGATTATGAAGACTTAGGAAAATATGACACTACCAAAGAAAATTAAGGACCAGTAACCAATCCTAAAAGTGGAGTTATATGAACAGCTTGACAAAGAACTCAATCATCTTAAAGAATATCAATGAACTACAATTTAATAGACAATCAAATGAAATTAGGTAAACAAATGTGAACAAAATGAGAAATTTTATTTGAAAAATAGAAACCATTAAAAAGAACCAAAAAGAAATCCTGGAGGTGAAGAATACAGTGACTGAACAGCAAAATTCAATGAGAACTTCACCAGCAGACTCAATTATGCGAAAGAAAGAATCAATAAACCTGAAGACAGATCATTTGAAATTAGCCAGTTAGTGGAACATAAACAAAAAAGAATGAAGAAGATTGAAGAAAGCATACAATATGGTACACCATCAAATTAACCAACATATGTATTGTGGGAATACTGGAAGGAGAAGAGAGCAAACTGAATTCAAAAGCATATTAAAAGGATCATACATCATGACCAAGTGGAATTTATCTCTGTTATGTCAGAATGATTCCACATATGCAAATCAATCAATATGATACACCACATTAACAGAATGAAAATTTATACTACATGATCATCTTAATAGATGTAGAAAAAGCATTTGACAACATTTAACATCCATTCTTAATAACAACGCTCAACAAACAAGGCATCAAAGGAATTTAACACAATAGAGACCACATATAAAAAGCACACAGCTAACATCATAATCGATGGAGGAAGACTCAGATCTTTTCCTCTAAGATCCAGTAAAAGGCATGGATGCCTACTCTCACCACTTCTATTCAACACAGTACTGGAAGTCCTAGCCAGAGCAATTAGGCAAGAAAAATAAATAAAGGGTAACCAAATTGAAAAGGAAGAAGTAAAATTATCTTTTTTTTTGGCAGATGACACAATCATATATGTAGAAAATTCTAAAGATTCAACCAAAACACTGTTATGGTAAACAAGTTCAGTAAAGTTTCATGATACAAATCAACATACAAAAACTGGTTGCATTTCTATACACATACAATGAGCTATCTGAAAAGAATTTCATTTACCAAAGCTGGAAGCAGCACACTTCCTGGTTTCAAAATGTATTACAAAGCTGCATGATCAAAATTGTATGGCCCTGGCATAAAAATAGACATATAGGCCAACAGAGCAAAAGAGAGATCCCAGAAATAAAATCCAAGCATTTACAGTCCATTGGTCTACAGCAAAGTTTCCAGGAACACACAATGGGGAAAGAATGGTCTCCTCAATAAATAGTGTTGGAGAAACCATATATCCACATGCAGAAAAATGAAACTAGAACTTTGTCTCACACCGTATATAAAAAATCAACTTAAAATCAATTAAAGACATAAATGCAAGACCTGAAATGTAAATCTTATAGAAGAAAACATAGGGAAAAACTCCATGACATTGGTCTGGGCATTAATTTTGTGGATATGACCCCAAAAGGACAGGCAATGAAAGCAAAATTAGACAAGTGAGATTGTAGCAAAGGAAACAATCATCTGAGTGAAAAGGCAGTCTACAGAATGGGATAAAATATTTGCAAACCACATATATGATAAGTGGCTAGTATCTAAAATATATAAGGAATTCAACTCCATAGCAAGAAAACAAATAACCTGATTTTAAATGGGCTAAGAACCTGAATAGACATTTCTAAAGAAAAGACACAGAAATAGCCAACGGGTCCATGAAAAGTGCTCAACACCACTAATTGTCAGGGAAATGCAAATCAAAACCCCAAGGATATATCACATCACACTTGTTGGAATGTCTGTTATCAAAACGACAAAAAATAACAAGTGCCGGTAAGGATGGGGAGAGAAGAGAACCCTTGTACACTGTTAGTGGAAATATCAAAGCCATCATGGAAGCAGTATGGAGATTCCTCCAAACATTAAAAATAAATCTACCATATGATTCAGCAAATCTCAATTCTGGTTAAATATTCAAAGGAAATTAAATTATTATCTTTAAGAGATATCTGCACTCTCATGTTCATTGCAGTAATATTTGTGATTGCTAAAATGTGGTTATAATCTAAACTTCTGTGGACAGGGAATGGATAAAGAAAATTAGGTATATATTTATACAATAGAATATTATTCAGCCTTTAAAAATAATAAAATCCTGCCATTTGCAACAGCATAGAAGAACCTAGAAGACATTATGCTAAGCGAATTGAGCCAGACACAGAAAGACAAATACTGCCTTATTTTATTAATATTTGGATCTAAAATAGTTAAACTTATAGAAACACAGAGAGAATGATGGTTGCCAGGAGGCTGGGGGGTAGAGGAAATAAGAATATGATCAACGACAAAATGATTCAGTTATGGAGGATGAATAAGTCCTGAAGAGCTAATGTACAGCATGTTGACAATAGTTAATAATGCTGAATTTTAAACTAGAAATTTACTAAGAGGATTGTATTAGTCCTTTTTCATGCTGATGATAAAGACATAACCAAGACTAGGAAGAAAAATAGGTTTAATGGACTTACAGTTCTGCATGGCTGGAGAAGCCTCACAAACATGGTGAAAGACAAGGAGGAGCAAATCACATCTTACGTGGATGGCAGGAGGCAAAGAGAGAGAGCTGGAATGTGGAAACTCCTGTTTTCAAAACCATCAGATCTCGTGAGATTTATTCACTATTACAAGAACAGCACAGGAAAGACCCATCCACATGATTTAATTACCTCCCACCAGGTTCCTACCATGACATGTGGGAATTGTGGGAGTTACAATTCATGATGAGATTTAGGTGGAGACACAGCCAAACGATATCATTCTGCCTTTGGCCCCTCCCAAATGTCACGCCCTTACATTTCAAAACCAATCATGTGTTCCCAACAGTCCCCCAAAGTCTTAGCTCATTTCAGCACTAACTCAAAAGTCCATAATCCAAAGTCTCATCCAAGACAAGGCAAGTCCCTTCCACCTTGAGCCTGTAAAATCAAAAGCAAGTTAGTTACTTCCTAGACACAAGTATTGGGTAAGTACAGCCATTCAAAATGGGATAAATTGGCCAAAATGAAGGGACTACAGGCCCCAGGTATGTCCAAAATCCAGTGGGGCAGTCACATCTTAAAGCTCCAAAATTATCTCCTTTGACTCCATGTCTCACATCCAGGTCACTGTGATGCAAGAGATGGGTTCCCATGGTCTTGGGAAGCTCTGCCTCTGTGGCTTTGCAGGGTACAGCCTCCCTATTGACTGCTTTCACAGGCTGGCATTGAGTGTCTGTGGCTTTTCCAGGTGCATGGTGAAAACTGTCAGTGGATCTACCATTCTGAGGTCTCGAGGATGGTGGCTATCTTCTCACAGCTCCACCAGGTGGTGCCCCAATGGGAACACTGTGTGAGGGCTCCAACCCCACATCTTCCTTCTTCACTGCCCTAGCAGAGGTTCTCCATGAAATCCCTGATCCTGCAGCAAACTTCTGCCTGGGCATCCAGGCATTTCCATACATCTTCTGAAATCTAGGTGGAGGTTTCCAAACCCCAATTCTAGACTTCTGTGCACTTGTGGGCTCAACAACACGTGAAAGCTGCCAAGACTTGGGGCTTTCACCCTCTGAAGCCACGGCCCGAGCTCTACATTGGCCCCTTTCCACCATGGCTGGAGCAGAGCAGCTGGGATGCAGGGCACCACGTCCCTAGGCTGCATACTGCACAGGGACCCTGGACCCAGCCCACAAAACCATTTTTTCCTCCTAGGCCTCCAGGCTTGTGATGGGAGGGGCTGCCATGAAGACCTCTAACATGCCCTGGAGACATTTTCCCCATTGTCTTGGGGATTAATATTCGGCTCCTCCTTATGCAAATTTCTGCAGCCAGATTGAATTTCTCACAGAAAATGGGATTTTCTTTTCTATTGCATAGACAGGCTGCAATTTTCCAAACTTCTATGCTGTTTTCCTTTTAAAACTGAATCCTTTTAACAGTATCCAAGCCACCTTTTGAATGCTTTGCTGCTTAGAAGTGTCTTCTGCCAGATACCCTAAATCATCTCTCTCAAGTTCAAAGTTCCACAAATCTCTAGAGCAGGTACAAATGCCACCAGTCTCTTAGCTAAAACATAACAAGCATCACCTTTGCTCCAGTTCCCAACAAGTTTCTCATCTCCATCTGAGACCACCTCAGCCTGAATTTCATTGTCTGTATCATTATCAGCATTTTGGCAAAGCCATTGAACAGGTCTCTGGGAAGTTCCAAACCTTTCCACATGTTTATGTCTTCTTCTGAGCCCTCCAAACTTTTCCAACCTCTGCAGTTACTCAGTTCCAAAGTCGCTTCCATGCTTTCAAGTATCTTTTCAGCAGCACCCCATTCTTGATACCAGTTTACTGTATTAGTCCATTTACATGCTGCTGATAAAGACATACCTGAGACTGAGAAGAAAAATAGCTTTAATGGACTTACAGTTCCACGTGGCTGGGGAAGCCTCACAATCATGGTGGAAGGCAAGGAGGAGCAAGTCACATCTTACATGGATGGCAACAGACAAAGAGAGAGAGCTTGAGCAGGGAAACTCCTGTTTTGAAAACCATCAGATCTCGTGAGACCTATTCGCTATCATGAGAACAGCACAGGAATGGCCCACCCCCATAATTCAATTATCTCCCATCAGTTTCCTCCCACAACATGAGGGAACTGTGGGAGTTACAATTCAAGGTGAGATTTGGGTGGGGACACAGCCAAACCATATCAAAGGTAGATCTTAAGTGTTCTCACCACACACATACACACAGATGCACAAATGTTAACTATGTGAAATGATGGCTATGTTAACTAGTTTGACAAGTTGTACACCTTTAACTATACAATTTTTGTCAATTATACACCAATAAAGCTGAAACAATTTAAAGAGCCAAAGCAAAAATATGATATTGTCATCTTAGTAAATGACATGCACCATCTCTGTTATGTGCCATATTCCTGGATAATGCCAAAGGTAGGCGTCTGTAGTAACCTTGAAAAAGAATAAAGTTGGAATTAGATGATCTGGGTTCAAGCCTCTACATTTTGATTAGATAAATATATGGCATTGGAGGAGACATTTAACTTTTTTATTTATTCTTCTGCAAAAGTAACCCCTGATGCTCCAATCCCTCTTTGTATTTCTTTGTATCCATTCATTCATTTATTCAGTCAACAAATGCATCTTAAGCGATTACTACACACCAAAGAACAAGGGGTGGCATTGGTATTTCAAAAGGGAAAAGATAGCACCTTCTCAGAACTTTCAGTCCCAATTTCTCACTTGTATTACATTATTGTAGTTGATTATCCTTGGTCAATATTAGGGATGAGTCAGATTTTTTACTATGTCTTTATTAGTATATACAGCAATTAAGAGTGCCGATTTTGGAAAAGACAGATCTGGGTTTGAATCTTGGGTCATCATATATGGTTTACGTGATATTGGACAGGTTATCTAAGCTCTCTACACTTAAGCTTTCTCATTTGTAAAATAGGAATGTTAATGCTTACTGCATATTGTCATTTTGAGGATTAAATGAGGTAAGATATACGAAACAAACAGTACAGTTACTGTCAAATGGAAAGTCTTAATGAATCTGACATGATTATTAATCATTTGGTACATTTTCAGCAACATAATTACTCAAATTGTTAATAAATTATTGAAATAATATAAAGGAAGGGATTATATAAACTATTGGGTTATAAAAGGTAACATATTGTCTGCAATATCTGCATATCCACTAAATCATTCTCTGTTACCACTTGTTTTCTAAAGGATAACATTTGTTAACTATTTAGAATGCTGCTAAATTTTAATTTTTTGAAAATATTGGTGATAAAAGATCATTAATATTTGTTCCACAAGTTAGAAAAGATAACTCAAGGTGAATAGCTGGTGCTTTGAGAGCTCATTTATATGCAAACCTTTGATTGGCTATTTTACTTGAATTAGTTACTTAGTTAAAAATAGTCTGTATTTAGCTGGCAATATGGCAGAATAGGGACAGCTCCGGTCTGCAGCTCCCAGTGAGACCAATGCAGAAGGTGGGTGATTTCTGCATTTCCAACTGAGGTACCATATTCATCTCACTGGGACTGGTTAGACAGTGGGTGCTGCCCATGGAGGGTGAGCAGAAGCAGGATGGGGCATCGCCCCGCCCAGGAAGTGCAAGGAGCATGGGAGCCTCCCTTTCCCAGCCAAGGGAAGCTGTGAGGGACTGTGCTAACCAGCACAGATACTGCACTTTTCCCATGGTTTTTGCAATCCGCAGACCAGGAGACTCCCTCATGTGCCTACACCACCAGGGCCCTGGGTTTCAAGCACAAAACTGGGCAGCTGTTCAGGCAGACACTGAGCTAGCTGCAGGAGTATTTTTTTCATACCCCAGTGGCACCTGGAACTCCAGGGAGACAGAACTGTTCACTCACCTGGAAAGCGGGCAGAAGCCAGAGAACCAAGTTGTCTTGCTCAATAGGTCCCACCCCCATAGAGCCCAGCAAGCTGAGAACCACTGGCTTGAAATTCTTGCTGCCAGCACAGCAGTAAGAAGTCAACCTGAGATGATCAAGCTTGATGGGGAGAGAGACGTCTGCCATTACTGAGGCTTGAGTAGGCAGTTCTCCCCTGACTGCACTAAAAAGGCCTGGAAGTTTGGACTGGGCAGAACTAAACACAGTGTGGCAAAGCGGCTGTGGCCAGACTGCCTCTCTAGATTCCTCTTCATTGGGCAGGGCATCTCTGAAAGAAAGTCGACAGCCCCAGTCAGGGGATTATAAATAAAATTATAGATAAAACTCCATCTCACGGGGACAGGGCACCTGAGGGAAGGGGCGGATGTGGGCATAGCTTCAGTGGACTTAAATGTTCCTGCCTGCCAGCTCTGAAGAGAGCAGTGGACCCTGACAAGGAGGATTCTACCAGCACAGCGCTCAAGCTCTGCTAAGGAACAGACTGCCTCCTCAAGTGGGTCCCTGAACCCTGTGCCTGCTGACTGGGCGACACCTCTCAACAGGGGTTGACAGACACCTCATATAGGAGAGCTCTGGCTGGCATAAAGCCGGTGCCCTTCTGGGATGAAGCTTCCAGAGGAAGGAGCAGGCAGCAATCTTTGCTGTTCTGCAGGCTCCCCTGGTGATACTCAGGCAAATAGGGTCTGGAGTTGACCTCCAGCAAACTGCAGCAGACCTGCAGGAGAGAGTCCTGACTGTTAGAATAAAAACTAACAGAAAGCAATAACATCAACATCAACAAAAAGAACCCCAAAACAGAAACCTCATCAAAATGTCATTAACCTCAAAGATCAAAGGTAGATAAATCCACGAAGATGAGGAAAAACCAGTGCAAAAAGGCTGAAAATTCCAAAAATCAGAATGCTGCTTCTCCTTCAAATGGTTGCATCTCCTCTTCAGCAAGGGCACAAGACTGGACAGAGAATGAGTTTGATGAATTGACAGAAGTAGGCTTCAGAAGGTGGGTAATAACAAACTCTCTGAGCTAAGGGAGCATGTTCTAACCCAATGCAACGAAGCTAAGAACCTTGACAAAATGTTATAGGAACTGCTAACTACAATAACCAGTTTAGAGAAGAACATAAATGACCCGATGGAACTGAAAAACACAGCATGAGAACACCGTGAAGCATACACAAGTATCAACAGCTGAATCAATCAACCCAAAGAAAGGATATCAGAGATTAAAGATCAACTAACTGAAATGAGGCATGAGACAAGATTAGAGAAAAAAGATAGAAAAGGAACAAACAAAGCCTCAAGAAATATGGGACTATGTTAAACACCAAACCTATGATTGATTGGGGTCCCTGAAAATGACAGGGAGAATGAAACCAAGTCAGAAAACACACTTCAGGATATTAACCAAGAGAACTTCCCCAACCTAGCAAGACAAGCCAACATTCAAATTCAGGAAATACAAAGAATACCACTAAGATACTCCTCAAGAAGAACAACCCCAAGACACATAATTGTCAGATTCTCCAAGGTTGAAACGAAGGAAAAAATGTTAAGGGCAGCCAGAGAGAAAGTTGAGGGTACCTACAAAGGGAAGCCCATCAGACTAACAACAAATCTCTCTGCAGAAACCCTACAAGCCAGAACAGAGTAGGGGCCAATATTCAACATTCTTAAAGGAAAGAATTTTCAAACCAGAATTTCATATCCAGCTAAACTAAGTTTCATAAGTGAAGGAGAAATAAAATTCTTTATGTACAAGCAAATGCTGAGGGGTTCTCTCACTACCATGCCTGTCTTACAAGAACTCCTGAAGGAAGCACTAAATATGGAAAGGAAAAACCGGTACCAGCCACTGCAAAACACACCAAAATATAAAACCAATGACACTATGAAGAAAGTGCATCAACTAATGTGCAAAATAACCAGCTAGCATCATGATGACAGGATCAAATTCACACATAACAATATTAACCTTAAATGTAAATGGGCTAAATGTCCCAATTAAAAGACACAGACTGGCAAATTGAATACAGACTCAAGACCCATCAGTGTGCTGTATTCAGGAGACCCATCTCATGTGCAAAGACACACATAGGCTCAAAATAAAGGGATGGAGGACTATTTACCAAGCAAATGGAAAGCAAAAAAAAGAAAAAAAGAAAAAAAAAAGCAGGGGTTACAATCCTAGTCTCTGACAAAACAGACTTTAAACCAACAAAGATCAAAAACAAAAAAGGGCATTATATAATGGTAAAGGGATCGATGCAACAAGAAGAGCTAACTAACCTAAATATATATGCACCCAATACAGGAACACCCAGATTCATAAAGCAAGTTCTTAGAGACCTACAAAGAGACGTAGACTCCCACACAATATTAATGGGGGACTTTAACACTCCACTGTCAATATTAGACAGATCAATGAGACAGAAAATTAACAAGGATATTCAGGACTTGAACTCAGCTCTGGAACAAGCGGACCTAACAGATACTTAGAGGACTCTCCACCCCAAATCAACAGAGTATACATTCTCCTCAGCACCACATAGCACTTATTCAAAAATCAACCACATAATTAGAAGTAAAACTCCTCAGCAAATGCAAAAGAACGGAAATCATAACAAACAGTCTCTCAGACCACAGTGCAATCAAATGAGAACTCGAGATTAAGAAACTCACTCAAAACCACACAACTACATGGAAACTGAGCAACCTGCTCCTGGATGACTACTGGATAAAAAATGAAATTAAGACAGAAATAATGAAGTTTTTGAAACCAATGGGAACAAAGAGACAAGCTACCAGAATCCCTGGAACAGGAAAAGCAGTGTTTAGAGGGAAATTTATAGCACTAAATGCCCACATCAGAAAGTGGGTAGGATCTAAAATCTGCCTTCTAAAATCACAATTAAAAGAACTAGAGAAGCAAGAGCAAACAAATTCAAAAGCTAGCAGAAGACAAGAAATAACTAAGATCAGAGCAGAACTGAAAGAGATAGAGACACAAAAAACCCTTGAAAAAAATCAATGAATCCTGGAGCTGCTTTTTTGTCAAGATTAACAAATAGACTGCTAGCGAGACTAATAAAGAAGAAAAGAGAGAAGAATAAAACGGATAAAGGGGATATCACCACTGATCTTACAGAAATGCAAACTACCATCAGATAATACTACAAACATCTCTACGCAAATAAACTAGAAACCCTAGAAGAAATGGATAAATTCCTGGACACGTACATCCGCCCAAGACTAAACCAGGAAGAAGTCGAATCCTCCGTATGCTGAGCGCCAGTCTCCTGGGCCCACTGTTCCTTCTCTATACTTTGTCTCTATGTCTTATTTCTTTTCTCAGTCTCTCGTCCCATCTGACGAGAAATATCCACAGGTGTGGAGGGGCAGGCCACCCCTTCATCTGAAGTTCTGAAATAAAAAACCCCAGGACCAGACAGATTCACAGCCAAATTCTACCAGAGGTACAAAGAGGAGCTGGTACCATTCCTTCTGAAACTGTTACAAACAATAGAAAAAGAGGGACTCCTCCCTAACTCATTTTATGAGGCCAGTGTCTTCCTGAATCCAAAACATGGCAGAGACACAACAAAAAAAAGAAAATTTCAGGCCAATATCCCTGATGAACACTGATACAAAAATCCTCACTAAAATACTGGCAAACTGAATCCAGCAGCACATCAAAAAGATTATCCACCACAATCAAGTTAGCTTCATTCCCGGGATGCAAGGCTGGTTCAAAATACACAAATCAATAAACATAATACATCACATTAACAGAACCAATGACAAAAACCACATGATTATCTCAATAGATGCAGAAAAGGCCTTCGATAAAATTCAACACCAATTTCTGATAAAAGCTCTCAATAAACTAAGTATTGATGGAACATATCTCAAAATAATAAGAGCTATTTATGACAAACCGGTACTGAATGGGCAAAAGCTGGAAGCATTCCCTTTGAAAACCGGCACAAGACAAGGATGCCCTCTCTCACCACTCCTATTCAACATAGTATTAGAAGTTCTGGCCAGAGTAATCAAGGAAGAGAAAGAAATAAAGGGTATTCAGATAGGAAGAGAGGAAGTCAAATTGTCTCTGTTCGCAGATGACATGATTGTATATTTAGAAAACCCCATTGTCTCAGACCCAAAACTCCTTAAGCTGATAAACAACTTCAGCAAAGTCTCAGGATACAAAATCAATATGCAAAAATCACAAGCATTCCTATACACCATTAATAGATAAGCAGAGAGCCAAATCATAAGTGAACTCACATTCACAATTGCTACAAAAAGAATAAAATACCTAGGAATACAACTTACAAGGGACATAAAAGACCTCTTCAAGGAGAACAACAAACCACTGCTCCAGGAAATAAGAAAGGACACAAACAAATAGAAAAACATTCCATGCTCATGGATAGAAGAATAAATATTGTGAAAATGGCCATACTGCTCCAAGTAATTTATAGATTCAATGCTATTCCCATCAAGCTACCATTGACTTTCTTCGCAGAACTAGAAAAAGCTACTTTAAGTTTCATATGGATCCAAAAAAGACCCTGTATAGCCAAGACAATCCTAAGCAAAAAGAACAAAGCTGGAGGCATCATGCTACCTGACTTTAAACTATACTACAAGGTTACAGTAACCAAAACAGCACGGTATTGGTACCAAAACAGATATATAGACCAATGGAACAGAACAAAGCCTCAGAAATAACACCAGGCATCTACAACCATCTGATTTTCGACAAACCTGATAAAAACAAGCAATGGGGTAAGGATTCCCTATTTAATAAATGGTGATGGGAAAACAGGCTAGCCATATGCAGAAAACAGAAACTATATCCCTCCCTTACACCTTATACAAAAATTAACTCAAGATGGATTAAAGACTTAACATAAAACCTAAAACTATAAAAACCCTAGAAGAAAACCTAGGCGGCCGGGTGTGGTGGCCGACACATGAAATCCCAGCACTTTGGGAGGTCAAAGTGGGTGGATCATGAGGTCAGGAGTTCAAGACCAGCCTGGCCAAGATGGTGAAATCCCATCTCCACTAAAAATACAAAAATTAGCCAGGCGTGGTGGTGAGCACCTGTAATCCCAGCTACTTGGGAGGCTGAGGCGGACCCATGAGGTGGAGGTTGCAGGGAGCCAAGATTGTGCCACTGCACTACAGCCTGGGTGACAAAGCAAGACTCTGTCTCAAAAAAAGAAAAAAAAGAAAGAAAACCTAGGCAATACCATTCAAGACATAGGCATGGGCAAAGACTGCATGGCTAAAATACCAAAAACAATGGCAACAAAAGCCAAAATTGACAAATAGGATCCAATTAAACTAAAGAACTTCTGCTCAACAAAAGAAACAAGCGCCAGAGTGAAAAGGCAACCTACTTAATTGGAGAATATTTTTGCAATCTATACATATGACAAAGGTCTAATATCCAGAATCTACAAGGAACTTAAACAAATTTATAAGGAAAAAACAACCCCATCAAAAAGCAGGTGA
Organism: Homo sapiens; assembly: GCF_000001405.40. Lineage (NCBI taxonomy): Eukaryota > Metazoa > Chordata > Mammalia > Primates > Hominidae > Homo > Homo sapiens. Next base: position 99,045,272 of record NC_000001.11, read on the forward strand.
AGGATATAAACAGACATTTCTCAAAAGAAGACATTTATGCATCCAACAAACAGAAAAAGAGCTCATCATCACTGGTCATTAGAGAAATGCAAATCAAAACCACAATGAGATACCATCTCACACCAGTTAGAATGGCAATCATTAAAAAGTCTGGCAAAAACAGATGCTGGCGAGGATGTGGAGAAATAGGAATGCTTTTACATTGTTGGTTGGAGTGTAAATTAGTTCAACCATTGTGGAAGACAGTGTGGCAATTCCTCAAGAATCTAGAACCAGAAATACCTTTTGGCCCAGCATTCCCATTACTGGGTATATACTGAAAGCATTATAAATCATTCTACTATAAAGGCACACGCACACGTATGTTTATTGCAGCACTATTTACAATAGCAAAGACTTAGAACCAACCCAAATGCCCATCAATCATAGAATGGATAAAGAAAACATGGCATATATACACCATGGAATACTATGCAGCCATAAAAAAGAATGAGTTCATGTCCTTTTTAGCAACAGGGATGAAGCTGGAAACCATCCCTGGTTTCCATGTAAGAACACATGGACACAGGGAGGGGAACATCACACACGGGGGCCTGTCAGGTGTTAAGGGGCGAGGGAGAGCATTAGGACAAATACCTAATGCATGCAGAGCTTAAAACCTAGATGAACGGGTTGATAGTTGCAGCAAACCATCATGGCACATGCATACCTATGTAACAAAGCTGCACGTTCAGCACATGTTTCCCAGAACTTAAAGTAAAATTAAAAATAAATAAATTAATTAATAATAATAATAGTGTCAAAAAGTAGTCTGGCATAATATTGACAGAATAAAGTAAGCAATAACCATAAAAAATTGAACAAATTATTACAAGTAGGTATTGCTGCCTGCTTTATTTGCTTCTATCTTGACTATCTCTAAAGTCTAAAATAAATCTACTTATCTAAAGTTGGGCCCAAATAATACCTATTCCAGAAACCATTTGTAACTGCCAGCATAAAGTAAACTTCAATTTCTGTTTCTCTTACTCTTCTCACCACAGACTATGTTGTATTAATATTTGAATATTGGTCTTATTTCTTCTGTTGGGATCTAGATTTCTTGCAAGAACAAAATATATTATCATTGCTTCCCATGATACTTTATATAGTACTTTGCATAGAATATCTGTCACATGAATGAACTAAAGAAAAAATCAGTGCATGAATAAATGAATGGTTGCATTTATGAATTGTTACGTTATTTAGAAACATTCACTGTAAGCATTACCAAGATCTTGCATGTATGCTATTTCTAAATTTAGAAGAAAATGGTTAATGTATTATACTCAGGAAATCTCCCCTGAGCCCTACATGCCACCATTCACTCACTCATTCATTCAACATTTTTTTTTTTTTGAGATGGAGTCTTGCTCTGTCGCCCAGGCTAGATCTTGGCTTACTGCAACCTCCACCTCCTGGATTCAAGCGATTCTCCTGCCTCAGCCTCCCAAGTAGCTTGGACTACAGGTGTGTGCCACCACACCTGGATAATTTTTGTATTTTTAGTAGAGATGAGGTTTCACAATATTGGTCAGGCTGGTCTTGAACTCCTGACTTTGTGGCCCACCTGCCTCAGCCTCCCAAAGTGCTGGGATTACAGGCGTGAGCCACTGTGCCTGGCCTCAACATTGTTTTTTGAGTGCCTATTATACATAGTTTTCCCTCAGTAGCTGCAGTGGATTGGTTCCAAGACCTCTCTGAGAGGCCAAAATCTATGGATGCTCAAGCTTCTGATATAAAATGGCATAATATTTCCATAAAACCTGTGCACATTCACCTGTATACTTTGTCATCTCTTGATTACTTGTTATACCTATACAATGTAAATGCTATGTAAATTGTTGCTATATTGTATTATTTATGTAATAGTGACAAGAAAAAAGTCTGTACATGTTCAATACAGACACAATATTTTTTCCATATGTTTTCTTTCTGTGGTTGATTGAATCCATGAATGTGGAACCCACAGATACAATGGGCCAAATGTATCAGGCACTGCACAAAGCAGTGAACATCATTCTTTACTTGCCAACTGAGTGTTCTTTCGAAAGCAGAAAATCTCCTGTGTTTCACTATTATCTTCCAGATAAAGTTGACATTTTTTAGCATGGTACATATGTATCTGCCTTAATCTCATTCATGTTGCTAATACTTTTGTCTACTTTTTCAGAAGGCAGAAAAAGAAGATAACTACATCACTATGTAATCCAATAAATCTGATTATTTTCAGAGCAAGGGATGCATTATTTATTAAGTACTAACTGAGCAGCTTTAATGAGTGCTCTGGGAATCTAAAAGGGAGGATTTGATGAGCATTCTGCTCTCCAGGTTCCTTCTTCTCAGTTTGAACTTTGGTCCCTAATTTCAGAACTCCCTGACTGAGATTCAAAACTTATTCAAAGTTTGTTTTCTTAACGTTTTAATGTAGATGGTATAAAATATTTTTTGAAAATGTTAATTGGCTCAAGTGGATTTAAACTGTGCACTATAGGTTTCCTAAAAAAAGATATATAAAAATTGATTAATCATTTATGTGTATGTATACATGATATACAGAAGACACACCTACCCGCCCACCATGGAATTAACATATCCTTATAGTACAAATATTAAGCCTGACTTAAGACCAGAGAGAGTGACATAGAAGAAAATCGGTAACATTTCCAGGTTTTCATATGAAGTCCCTATTCTTGGAAAATCCAAATTCAGGGATCTTAATAGCTGGCTAAATTTTCACATTGGTTAAAAACATAATGTATCTTATTTTTACACTTTAATGAACTCATTTGTATCAACATTTGCTGTTTTAAATAATGATTTTCGCATATTCTATTTTTTTTTAAGACAGTATCTTGCTCTGTCACCCAGGCTGGAGTGCAGTGGTGCAATCTTGGCTCACTGCAGCCTCCACCACCTTGTGTTCAAGCAATTCTCCTGCCTCAGCCTCCTGAGTAGCTGGGATTACAGGTGTGCACCACCACACCCAGCTAATTTTTGTACATTTAGTAGAGTCAGGATTCCACCATGTTGGCCAGGCTGGTCTTGAAGAACTCCTGACCTCAAGTGATCTGCCCACCTTGGCCCGCCAAAGTGCTGGCATTACAGATTTGAGCCACCACACCTGGCCATCTATGCTTCATTTATAAATTTATGATACCAAAAGTCTTCTGAGATTTAATGATACATGATCCTTGCTCTTTAGAAAACTAAATATATATAAATATGATTTTCTGATATAACTGAAGCATTCATTACAGACAGCCTTTAAATAGGAAGCTCTTGATGAATGTAAATGCTGACAGTTCATCAACTAATTGACAGAATATCCTGAAGGGCAGAGAAATGGCAAAGGTGTTATGAAGGATTGTCAATTGCAAATCAATTAGAAATGCAGATAAAATAAACTGTTCTAATGTAAGTCAATGTAAGCAGATTTGCCCTTATTTAATTTGCATATAGCTTTTTAGAAATTTACCAAATGAATAAAAGACACATTTTCATAACATTAATTCAAAGCTTTAACATTTCTGTGCTCTTGTCTCCAGGTTGCAAATTTCTCAAATTAATCTCTAAATTTTTTAAAACATGATTTTGGCCCAATGAGACTAGCCTTTCTTACACAAAATTAATTACATGAATATAGTAAACCCTTTATACATTTCCGAGCTGTAAAAACTCCTCTGCCACACCAGATTGTCCAGCTTTTATGCAAAGTTCAAATCTACTTTTTTTGGTCAGGATTTTTTTCCTGCCCTTCAGTCCTACTTTTCAAACTCCAAACAAAAAACACGTTTACTAAATCCTCAAACCCAGTAGAGCATGTATTCTTTAAACACCTCTTTATGGAACACCAGCCTTGTGCTAGGTACCACGCTAAGTGCTGGTAATGCAGTACTAACCAAATAATACTTTCAATATTATTTAGGCTCCAGTCTAAAACCATCTCCAAACTCCTTCTGTTACATAAAAGCTTCCAACTGTTCCTCCCATTTAAAATCACACTTTAGGCTGTATTCTCTGAAATCATTATTTTAGTTTTTCTTTCTTTCTCCTCATTCTTTATATTCAGTTTGCTACATAGTACTACCTTCTGCAAAATTTTGGTGATATTTATTTATTAATTTATAAAAAATTCATTGAACAACTACCATGTGTCAGTCACTATTCTAGATTGTGGAAATATAACAATGAAAAACAGACAAAACATGTTACATATTACAGGGGAGATATAGGTAATAAATAAAAATAAAGTGGTAAGGAAAGCTATGAAAAAGCAGTTCCTGGAAAGGATTAGAAAGTGTCATTGTGAGCAGATTAATTTTAGTAGTCAAAGAAGACCATCTTTTGCTCTGTATATGACATAGAGTATCCCTGGCCTCTTATCATCTCTTACTTGCAATCTCCAGTCTCCCTGGTTCCATATCTCACCCTCCCATTCATCTTTTTTTCAGTCATTCCAGACTACTCTTCAGAGGAGACGAAGTCGATCACATCACACATTTTATAATAACTTCCAATGGAGTTTATGTTAAACATTGACTCTATTCTAATTAACTGTAATCTAAACATAGATTCAATTCTAAAATCATTTGTTTGCTCTGAACCTCCTGACGTCACCTTAAAATGACTTCCCACTCCTCCCTGATGCTGACTCCCAAGCTTCATCATCTTCCTTCCATATCTCTGTTCATGCCATCCCCCTGTCTTGGAATTCTCTAACTCCTTCTTTTCAGTATTCTTTCTACCCTTCATTTAAGCTTCACCTCAAGCCTCACTTTTCTTTTGAAATTAATCTGTCTAATCTAGTATTTATACACAGTCTCTTACCCCAAACTTCCACGTGAAGACTGAAAACCAACAACTTAGTTCTTCATTCTGTCCCAACTTACATCACTCTGATTACTGCGTGTTAGGTTCCATCCTCCTTCAGCCCTCAGTACTGACATCAGCACTACTCATCACATGGTATCTTTGTCTTCTGGGAACAGGCACAAAGCTCTTGAATGTTCCTTTAAATAGCCCCCATCTTCTATAGCAAGGGCTCCATGTGTGCTTTATGTCCAATGTTTAGCTCCAATTTATAAGTAAGAACATGTGATACTTGATTTTCTGTTTCTGTGTTAATCTAGTTAGGATAATGGCCTCCAGCTGCATCCATGTTGCTGCAAAGGACATAATTCTGTTCTTCTTCAATAACAAGTTTATTGATTGTGAATATTTTTGTTTGATTGCTTTTGTTTCTTAAGACAGACAACCTGGAAACACTCTCTTTCTTAGGTTTTAGGTGGCTAATCTCCCTGTTCTAACAAAACCTTGAAGCCCTACTTGAAATATTCAATCTCTTGTAGATTCATTTTGTCACTACCTATCTCCAGTAAATAATTTGGTTTCCTACATCAAAAATTTTCACTAAATAATAAAGTTCCAAAACTGTAACTCCAGAGAACATTATTTAGATTACTTCTTCTAGAGAAAAATGTTTTTAAAAAATAATTTCAACTTTTATATTAGATTCAGAGGGTGCATGTGCAGGTTTATTACATGGGTATGTTGCATGATGCTGAGGTTTAGGGTAATATGATCTATCATCCAGGTAGTGAACATAGTACCTCATAGGTAGTTGCTCTGACCACACCCCGTCTTCCTCCTCCCTCTAGTAGAGGCAAGCGTCTATTGTTCCCATCTTTATGTCCATGTGTATTCATTCAATATTTGACTCCCACTTATAAGTGAGAACATGTGGTATTTAGTTGTCTGTTTCTGTGTTAATTCGCTTAGAATAATGGCCTCCTGCTGCATCCATGTTGCAGCAAAACATAAAAGGAATGTAATTTTGTTTGTTTTTATGGCTGCATAGTATTCCATAGTATATGCATACCACATTTTCTCTATCTACTCCACCATTAATGGGTAACTAGGTTCATTCCATGTCTTTGCTCTTATGATTAGCACTGTAATGAACATATGAGAGCATGTGTCTTTTTGTAGAATGACCTATTTTCCTTTGGGTATTCATATGGTTTGCATCTGTGTCCCCACCACCCAAATCTCACGTTGATGTGTAATTCCTAATGTTGGAAGTGGAACCTTTATTTATTGATGGATTTTTGCCCTGGGTTTCACAGGCCATGTTTATTGAATATTGATGTTGTAATTTGTCAAGTGAACCAGTAGATGATGGTTAAGAGTAATGACTGGCAGATAGGTTCTTACTCAACCATGCATCTCCTTTGTATTTCAGCGCATTTGCAGCAGTTCTTTGTGGTATAGGAGGGGGAGAAAGATGATCCCCTCACTATGTCTTCTCCTGCGCCTTGGAAGAGCTCCCTCCAACCACTGGCACAAGGCCCGCATTTCCTTTGCTAGGTATTCTGAGCCGTGGGCTCCATCAGGCAGAGGACACAGCTGGCAGACAGGCCACAGGTTCCTTTCTAGGACCAGCCCTGTAAAGGAAGGCACATCCTTGCTCTGGCGCTGGCCCACTAGCCCATGCATCTCACCTCTCTCAGTGTTCTCAGAGTGGGGGGATCCTCACCAACATGAGCACCGGCTGTGAATCTTGGTTGAGCACTCCTGAGCAGCACTACAGCCCTATGGCATTGAGACCAGCCCGTGGCTCCATCTCCAGTCCCTTGAGGTCCGGCACCAGTGGCACTGGAGGATCCAAAGTACACCCAAGCTTCCAAGAAAGTACTCAGATGGGGCCCCTGCAAAACACCCAGGTTGGGTAGCAGAGGCTGCACTGTGTACACAACCCCGCAGGAGCGGCCAGGTATGGGCTTTGGGAGGGGCTGGCAGGGAGGTAGGCCTGCAGAACAGATGTGCTCCACTCCCAGTGGAAAGTCTGCTGTGCTCTCTCTTGGCCCTATGGTCAGCTTGGGCTAGAGCTATTCAGAGGGAGATGGGGAGCCTTGGGAGTTGAGCACCTATTAATATGTCCACATTCCACTGCAGCTGCCCTGTGCGTGCAAACTCCGTGGGCTCTGTGCAGGCTGGAGCTCTGTCTCTGCCTACTTTTAGTGCAGATCCCCCTGCCAGTTCAAATGTCTATGGAGGTCGTGAGCTCTCTTGTAGTTAGGATCCCAGGCGTCTGCAGCAAGAGTTGGCTGTCCCTCTGTCCCTTCATTCACCCCTTACTTAGTAGCTATTGAGGGGCAGGCACTAGCCCTGGCATTCAGCAACCCTGCACAGGACTCAGCTTTCCCCCCTTCAGCCTTGGTGTCTGAGCCATGGCTCCATTGACTCAGTGTTTTCTCTCTAAAGATCTTTTCAAAGTTTGTTGGTTTACTTGAGAATTTGGTCTCCCTCCATGGGAGTAGCACTTCTGGATGCACTGAATGGCCCATGTTGTCTCTCCTCAATTATTTATTTTTATTCATTGTCAAAACTTCCTTTAATCCTAGACTGCATTCTAGAATATATAGTTGGTTTTAAATTATAACACTTTGTAATTCATACCAAAATTCATCATCTTTATATACCAAAAATCCAAAAATAAATTTGTCTTTTCAACTTTGTATGAATAATTGTGATGATATTTTGTCATCCCTTGATAGTCTACTTGTTTCTGACACTTCTGGGCATGGTAAAATTGTGACCCAAAATTTGCTTATCACTCTTCAATTTACAAGACAGATGAAGGCAAGGCAATCTTAGTCTGGTCCAGTTTTCTGTAACCCAGGAGACCAAAGAATGTAAACATGAAAGGGCCCTCTAACAGAGTGCACGTGTCATGTTTTATGTAGCTAATCTGTCCTTGGGTGCATCCTCTTTGCCTAATTTGTAAGAGGTACACAGATAGAAATCTGGATTATTTATATTGTTTTCTGTGCTCTTGGCTACTTCATCCCAATAATATCACATATAGCATGCCTCATAGAAACAAAAAGTTTAAATCTTGTTGGAACTTTGCCTAGGGAGATTTTGCTTCTTTTTTCAACTCCATTGCCATAACCTCAGAGTCTCCCTAGGATAATATACACACAAAGAGAGAAAAAACTGATTCTCTGCTTTACTTGAATGCTTCTGGGTATGATAAAATAACATTCTGTTCCTTTGTATATTAGTATAATTTCACCCAGCTTTACTTTCTATTGCTAGTTTAAAATTTGAGTTATTTTAAAAGGGAAAAAATACAAGTACATATAATGTATATTTTTATTATTGCAAACTCTGTTCATTCCAGCTGTATGCTGAAGGCATTAGCCTACGCCTGTAAGAAGAATGATCCATATCAGTGGACCCATCCCAAGTGATCCATCCCAATCATGTCTAATCTGCATCTAGCACCTTCACTGTAACATAACAAATCCTTGAAAGGGAAAAGTCAGATGTATAAATAAATAAATAAATGCAAGTTCTTTTTTTTTAATTTGATATTTCTATAATGAGGGCTCTTCTGATAATTTTTAAGTACAGATCAATATTTAATCATTAATGATCATATTGGGAATTGGAAGAATATTTTGAAATATTTCAACCATAGCAAAATTTAAATAAATCATGTGAGCTTTCAGGTATCATTCAGAACCCAAGGCTATATGACTAGCATAAAAATGAAAGAAAACAAATTGATCAAATTATGAAAAAATAAGTTGTCTTAATGTCCACATCAATTTAGCAATTCAATTTTTATATCCATCAAATCGAGGTGAATTCTTTTACTCAGGCAGGATAATCTTCTTGATTTGGTCAGACTGAGCTATTTCCTAGTTCCTGTATGTACTCTCTCACTTTGCCTAGATTTCCCTTCCCCCATCTGTCCATACACAAATTCCATCTATCCTTCAATAACAATTTAAATGGCACCTCTTCCATTAAGTACTTCTCATAATTTCAAACTGAAAATATTATTAACTTTTTAAAATTGTAGCTTTTTGGTTATGAAACTTGCCATAATGATCATTAATTAATTTCAAATACAGAAAGCCTGTTTAAAGTTCCAGCTCTGCAATTACTAACTGAATGGCCAAGAGCCTGTCTATCAACCTTTACATATCTCATTATACTAACCTGACAAAGAGGAATACTAGTTCTTGTGGCAGAGACAATGCTTTTTCTTTGTTTTACGATTTATTTTTTACAGGCCCATTGGAAAACAGGATTTTCTAACTTGTTTTGGATTTACCTTCAGATCATTTGACTGATTCTGATCAAGAAAACGAAAGCAGAAATGACTAGACTGAGGGAGTTATCATGTGGTCTGCCTCTTTCACTGCACCCTATCCCTTATCCAGTAGCCTTGTGTTGAGATGGATGGGCTAGCACTAAGATTTGTAATTGGTAACCATTGTCAAGGATTTTAGTCTCTCTGATCTACGCCTGAAGGTGGATGCATGCTGACTCACATGACACTTTGCTTGAGTGAGAAATAAACTTGTGTTGAATTATGTCGGGTTAATTTATTGTCACAGACAGCTTCTCTTACCTGACACTTATGATCTCCTATTTCATAGAATCAAGGTGAGAATCTAGTGAAGAGTACCACTTTTTGAGCGTGTAGTATATACCAGATATTATGTTAAATATTTACATGTATAAACTAATGTAATAGTATAGTGAAAGTATTTTGGAAACTATAACTATTAATTATATGAAAAGATTAATACCTTGTGCTTGTACACATTTTCACATTTTCCTGATCTATAGGTTCTTTATAAATGGATTGGAATACAATTTATATATTGAGGGCAGTATAGCATGATGTTTAAAGATGTGGGCTTTAAATCTGAATCTCATCCTTGCCATATACTAGCTCTGTGATTTTGTAAAAGATGCTTAATATCTCTATATCATAATTACTCATCTGTAAAACAGGGTGGATAAATGTTCCTACCTAATAGAAATTTTGTGGAGCATAAATTATTTAATGCACGTGAAGTGCTTAGAAAAATACCTCTCATAAACCAATGGTTCAAAAGAGTTTAACTGTTCCTATTTTTTTACAAGTTCTTCCCAAAATTTAGTAGTCTTTTAGAAAATGAATAGGTGGTAAAGCTAAATGTTTTCTTGTCTCTGTAGTAAAGAATTTTCCTAGATTATAATGTGACTACTTATGATGTCTATAGTCAAATGTCCTATAATTTATTTTCCATATTTATTTTGTCCCTTTCCTTTTAGCTTAACATTTTAAATTAAGAATTTTCCTTGAAAAATAAAGAAGCAACTTCTATTGTTGTATCATGCAGTTGTAGAGATGATGTGAGACCTAGTTGAGCCCAGATAAAGATACACATAGATCTGCTGAGTCTGCAGAGGCAGTCGCTCTCAGACATCTATTTGCACAAGTTTCTTTGAATATGGCAGAATATGAAGGTGATGAAGGCGGAAAATGTGACTTCCTTTCCCAGAGCAATACTTTAACCTAAGTAAATCTGAGCCTTGTAGAGAAAACGACAAGAGGCATAAACTGAAGGAGATGCTTTTATGAGGGATATTGTAAGAGGAGGAGTATCCATAGTGCTGAGTCAGATGTGCCTTCACTTTTAATTAGGGAACCTCAACATATATGGTCTAATAATTAATGCTTTGTTGATAAAGTTGATGTTCCAGAATGAAAAATTTGCTCATTTTATATAAAAAAGTAAAACCCTACTATAAAATATGACTATACATATTTTTGTTTTGTCGATAATTTTAAGCTTGTTTAAGCTTAAATTTGCTTAAATATCTCGTAAGATGATCTAAACCAAAGAATTTTGAAAATGAAAGTACAACATTTCAACAAAAAGGAATAGTCAATCTTTACTAAATTCATCAAGCAATTCATTCAGTTGTTTGTTCATTCATGCATTCAACAATTATTTATTGAGAAACTACCATATGCCAGGCATTGCGCTAGACCCTGGGCGTCCACTGGAGAGCAACATAGACATTGTCTCTGTCCCGTGAAGCTTAGTCTAATGAAAGACACATAGAATAAGCAAGTAAATATGTAATTGTGAGGCAAAAGGTATTACGAAGAAAATTCAAAAATATTATGAATAAAACTCTGACAAAGAATATAATGAGAACAATTACTTCGGGTGATCAGAGGGAGCCTCTCTAAGGAAAAGTCATTTAAACTGAGACCTGAAAGTGAAAAGAAGCCAACCCTACAGAGTCTGGTAAAGAGCCTTCTAGGCACAGGGACGTTCACCTGCAAACCTTTCAGCAATGTTTCATGCACAGAATGGTAGGCAGTGAAAGAAAGTGGTATTAGCCAGGCTAAACACAGAATCCTATAGCTTATGGTAAGGAGTTGAACTTTTTCTTTAACACATTGGGAAGACATTGACGTGTTTTGCGTAAACATGAATTGATTTGTCTTTAGAATAAATCAGACTGGCTGTTTATTTAAAAGGTTTGACAGCTGGAAGACAGCTGGAAGACATGTGAAAGTTGTTGCTATAATACAGGGGCTTGGGCCAGGGTTGCAGCGACAGACAGAGAGAGAAGTTCACACTTTGGAGAGTTATCTAGAAGGTAAAGTCAACAGGATTTAGTGATTGATTTGATTTAGGGACAGAAAGCATAGTGAGAGAAAAGAATGCCTAAGATGATTTCCAGGGATAGTGGGAATAGATACGGTGCCCCTGGACAAATGGCATAACCATGCACGGAGATGAACAAGACAGAGGGGGGACAGCAGTGAAGGAAAGGTTCTCTCTGTCAATTCCAGCTTCTTTCAAGTTTCTAGATATTTATAGATTCACTCTAGAACTTTAATATCATTGCTTCCTTAACTGGGGATTATATGGGAGTGAGGGAGGCACATCTAGAAAATTACAGAGAGAATTTGGGAGAGCAAATTTCTACTTTTTTCATTAACTTGCTCTAGCCTATATTGCATCTGTAGGAATTAGAACTATTAAGTCCTGGGAGATGGGATGTGGGAGTGTGGGTAGAAAGTAATAGAAAATTAGTGGCATAAAAAAAAAAGCCTGCAAAAAAATTAAAGGTTGGGTTATTGAGAAATTTAAATTGATGAATAAAATATTTAAATTCAAGTTTCATATACTTCATTAAGGCTTACTGTTTCCAAAAATATTTCTAAAAATAAAAATTTCCATGTCTCACTGAGCTGAAATAGTGTGTTTTTCTAGCCTTTCATGCTCAATAGCTTAGGCAACTCCATTATTTTGTAGAACTCTAAGTGTGTTTTCATTAATGAATATGTGTTTTCATTAATGATTATAGAAGTAAATAAAGCAAATGAGAAAATACTTCAAGTAGTTAATTCAACTGCAATTTCTATAGATCAAAGTTTCAAAAGTATATATGCAATACATTTAGTTAACTTGATGCTTAATTTCATGAAATTTCCCTAAAATTACACAGGTTAAATTAAATGTTAGAAAATTTAACTAAAATGTAAAGTAATAGTAAAAGCCTTTTGTTTGAGGGTTAGGAATGAGGTTATTGAATAGTAACATGTTGCAGTTTTAATCTCTCTGAATGTGTTTCTGCATCTATAAAATATTAATAATATTCTTATCTCAGAGTTGTAAGAGATAAAACAGATAATGTATGTAAAATGCAGGTCTAGTGTTTGGCATCATTGGTTGCTCTAAAGAAAATAAAGTATATGTATGTGGAACTACATACATAGTAAAAGCAAGTTATAATACATCGTATAATGGAAGATCAAACATGTTATATTATTAGTTAGCCAGCAAATATCTTTTGGAGTCCAGAGAGTGAAAGAACAAATTGAAAGTGTGAGTGTTGATAACTTACTGAGAGATTTTGCTGTAAAGAGGGGCAGAAGAAGAAAATAGTAGCTGGAAAAAGATGTGGGGTAAAGAAAGGCTTTTTCTTAAGATGGGAGATATCGTGGCATGTCTTTGTGCTGGTAAAAAAATTATCTACAAAGGGGAAAAATAATGATAGAAGAGAGAAAGAACCAATTACAGGAGAGTATCTTAGAATAAGTGAGAAAAATATAACTCTATGCACAAAGGTATGGTTTGTTCTTAGATAGAAGTACAATCAATTTGTCATTATCCTAGGAAAGAAGACGAGTTATATGAGTATAGATGTACATAATTTGGTAAATTTGGTAATAAGAGCATGGGGACATTGTATTCTTTTTCCTTATATTTTCTCAATGACATAAGAATCAAGGACATCTTGTATGGATGAGGGTATTGGAGTTTTATGAGAGAGGAGAAAATGTGAAATATTTACCTAGGAGATTAAGAAAGTGAACTAGCTGAGGAGATGTGGTAGAATTACTTGCACCTTAAGGTCTGTGTTTATTAATTTTAAATTACAATGGTTATTGTGACTTTTTTCCTCTAGCCATGTTTAGCTGCTTGGGGCAGGAAAGGAAAAGGAAAAAAATGAATTTAACCAGGGTTGATGTTTTGATAAGTTATTACAGTGGAGAGATACTAATTCCAAATGGAGAAATCAAAGATTTGTATAGAGCTTGAATGGCCAAGATATTTGGATGGTCTTTCCAAATAGAAGGACAGTTTTGGAAAACTAAAAGTCTAAGTGAGTCAAGGAATCATGGAGATCATCAAATAGATGGGTCTAATTAGCCTCTACATTATGTATATCCTAAATATTTTAATGGAGTGAGCAGGGGTGGGAGGTGATGAAAAAGAGGAAGGGAGGAAAGCTCTACCTATTGGAAGGGACCAAATATTGGTGACTTTTTACTGATGTCTTTTGTTAACACACACACAAAAATTGTGAACTTTGAATTTGACAAAATATCCTATTGGATGCATCCTTTTTACCCACACAACTAAGACATTTTTCTGGGTTTGAAAATGTACACCAAATTTAAGAACTAAAGTGAAAAAATTTTTAAAAAGAAACAAACAAAAAAATGTTGTCGTTTGGACCAGATTTTAACTTTTAAAATTCCCTGAAGGTAATAACATAAATCAGTAAAAAATGAGATTGATCAGGCAACCATGTGATCAAACATGCATTATAGTATGTTAACCTTTTTTCTATTTCATGTTTGAAAGTAAGTCATTGTTATGCCTTCTCTATTTGATATTTTGGTGGACAAAAAATACCAGCTTATGCCTTGTAATAAACCAAATGTTATTTCCCTGTACTTCTCTTCTTTTTAAAATTGTATTTAATTTTAAATGTATTTTAGAGACAAGGTCTTGCTATGTTACTCAGAATAGATTTGAACTCCTGGGCTAAAGTGATGCTCCCGCCTCAGCCTCGAGAATAGCTGGCACTACAGGTACACCACCATGCCCTGCTAGGGATTCATCTCTTTGTGCCCCACCCACCACACTCACCCCATTCCACCAGTGTGATCAAATGAATATAGAAAACAAAAGGTTTTACCCTTAAATTTTTGAAACTCCTGTAATGTTCATATCCTGAAATGATTCAACAGAGAAAAATCATTTATTTTTTTATTTATTGGGATCTATAACCCCTTTAAAAAGATTAATAATGCTCTCAAGTACAGAAGATTAAATGATCAGGATATCACTTGATGCCCTCCAATTTTTTTATTCTAAAATTTTATAACTCTGTGTAATTAAATCAGTGTAATCAATAATACATGAATAAGCTACCATTAATAGCCTCATTTTTATTTCCTTTGCATAGTATTTTTTCTATTAGATGCATAATGCATAATTTCTTTGTCATTAAGTTGAAACATAATTTAAATTGTATTTCTTTATAAATGATTTTCTCCAAATAATTCTTCTAAATCATGGAAAGAATGTCCTGGCTAATGTAGAAAAGAATTATTGTAAAAAAATCTCCACATTGTTAGTGTAATAGCATAGTAATATACAATTTAGCAGGAATATATGTTTAGTGTTTAAATGTTTGTTCTTTTATTTTTTAAGAGAAATCTAAGACATATAGAGTACATACCATAAATTATTTCTGTTGAAAATTCATTTTGTTATCTTACTTAATCCTTGTAACATCAATATGAGAGAAGTGTTACTATCTCAACATTATCTATGAAGAAGATTTGCCTCAGAAACACAAAATATTTTCACAATATTGCATAGAATATAAATCCTTGAGCAAATAATTAGATACATAGATACATAAAATAATGCCTACATAAATTATTGCCAATTCAAAATTTGTGGAAATATTTTTTAAATAAGTGATTTTACATCTTAAAAGTATATATCATAAACTGTAGCTAAATATTTACCATTTATTTATGGAGTATATTATAAAGTGACTTTCTGCATCAGAGACTTAAGTACCTGGATTTCAGCGTCCCTTATATGGAAGAGTCTATTATCTCTGTTGTTTGTATAATAATTTTGATTTTGGAATCTTACCTTGATTAAGTAAAAGAAATTTATCATTTAAAAAGCTTCCCTGCCAGATGTTTGTGCACTGTATGGAGGTCATAAAGGGAAGCATCAGGGAAGGAAGCTGAGGCCAGGTGGGAGCAGGGGAAGAGGAGACAGCAATCTACACCAGTGAAGGCAGTAGTCAACTGTATATGAACCATATATGGGATACTGGGAAACTCTTTCTTGAGGAATTTCTGTGCTGATAGTGATTTGCAAGCCTGTAGTGAGTTATTGCTTGGCTCATTGGCAAGATTTCAAGTCAGAGGAGAGCCAACAGTCCTAAGAGTACACCTGTGAGGTCCGAGAAACAAGCCAGGATTCTGACTGGATTGAAAGAAGTCATTTCCAACACCTCCACTGATCCTGTGACATCAGGATCCATAAGAAGCTCTACACATTCTTAGAAACAAGGAGTGCAGATGAAGAGAAGTGCTTATTTTGACTGAATTCCAATAGAAGGATTTTTTGTTGTTAAGCTAGATTTTAAGACTGCTGGACTTAATCGCCTTCACAGAGGATACAGAGGCAATTATGAATTAATTACTTTACTAAAGACTATTTGTGACATAGAAGTCATCATACTTTTGAAATCCTTACTATCTGCTTTAATTTTTAAATTTACTTTATATTCTTTGAAGTTTTTTGTTGTTATTCATTTTTAAACTCTTGAGCTGATTGATTTGTTTATACCTTGCTTAATAATGAGGACATCCATGATTAAAATATTTTCTCTGAGAAATGTTTTTTTTTTCTATCCCATAACTTTAACTCATGAATTTTAGAAAAGTGTGAACCTACACAGAAGTAGAACAGTGTCATGACCCCTCGTGTGCATCGATTACCCAGTTGGAGCTATATCAATTGATAGCCAATCTTCTTTCCTGTAATAGGTCTCCAGATAGATCTCCCACCATTGGATCATTTTGAAGTGAGACATTGTATCATTTTATGTAACGATTCTTATCTTCTTATGTAAGTTGTTATGTCTTTTAAATATACTCTACAGCTCTCTCTCTCTCTCTCTGTCTCTCCCCCTGCCTTTCCTCTCTGTGTCTCTTTCTCTCCCTCCTCCCCTTTTGTATTGAAGAAAAACTTATTCTATTATTCAGTAGCATTTCCCTCAGTACAGATTCTGATGATTATTTCCTTTTGGTGTCAACTTATTCTATTATTCAATAGCATTTCCCACAGTACAGATTCTGATGATGATTTTGTGTGTGTGTGTCATTTGCTAGGTTTTCTCTGTTTCTTATTTCACTGTAAATTGGTTTTTATGTTGAGATGCTTAAGCATATTCATTTCATAGGTAGAGTAATATGCTTTCATCAAGAGATACATAATATGTTGATTGTGTTTTTACCATATTAGCAGCCATTAATGATTACTGCCTAGATTGTTTACATTAGATTTACATTAGAAGTTGCAGAATGGCCATTTGCAATTTTATCATTCTTTATTAGCTGCAAAATTTCCACAAAAGACAAACTTTCACTCATCAATTATTTGATTATTCTGAGATATAGTTCCTATGGGAAAAGCAGGTTGATTTATTCCTTTTGCTTATTTTTTTCAAAATATTGAGTTGCTTCCTTAGTGTTTTCATAGGTATCCAAGGAATATTTTGGGGAGTTGGAGAGGTACTTAACCTTATAGATTCAGGGATTTAATTATATATGATTTGTTTCTATCCAGAGCAGATATTATTATTATTGCTCAAAATGCTCATCTTTGTCCAGTGGAAACCTCTTCATGTTTACTCCTGAGTCATTCTGATAGGAAATTTGCATACTATGAGAGCTTCCTTACTTTCTGTTATGACAAATGTTCTAGACTTACATTATGAATTTCCTCACCCAGACCTGAAATTAGTTTTCTTCAGTGAGTCCTGGTCCTAAAAGTGGAAAATGACATTAGGATACCATAATCACAGTACTGAGGTAATATCTCATAAGTTTTAATGGAAACTCCTTATCATTGTTTTCTAAATAATCTGCAATTACAACTTTAATTTCTTCTTTGATCTAAAAAGTATATTTTAAATTTTTTCAGTTTTCTTCAATTATCTATTTTCATTTTTGTTATTGTTTTCTTGAACAAAGAAAACAATTTTTACACATTTTTGCTTTTGTGGTTTAATGAGTTTCTTATGACCTAACATATTTTAAAATATTTTATCAGCTGTTGAAGAGAATGTATTGTATCTGTTGTAGGATCCTTCAGTTGTTTTATATCAGTTAAACAAATATACACCTATATTATTGAAAGGCTGATTCTTTGCAGTTTATCTATACACTTATGTGATAGTAAGACCCTAAAATAAAAGTATCTTAAACAAGTCCAACATTTCTTTCTCTCTGTCTTTCTTTCTTTCTTTCTTTCTGCAGTAACCCCAGAATAAGCAATTCAGGGTTAATATGGAGGTCCTTTCCTTCAGAAATGCTCTGACATTTCCAAAATGTTGCCTTATCCACATCGAGGAGGGCTCCCCACCATGCTCACATCTCAGCCAGCTATAAGGGGAAAGAGAGCAAAGTGGTAGACACACTTCTTCCTTTTAGAGGAATGGGCATGGACTAGAAGCCACGTACAAATTCTGCTTATATCATTGGACCAGAACTTGATCACATGGCCACATTGAGACACAAGGGAGGCTGAGAAAGGGAATCCTTACTTTAGGTAACTCTGTTAAAATATTCTTACCACAAAAGAAGATGACAGGAAATATTTGGAGCAGGGGGGTGAGGAGAAGGGGGAGGTGTCAATTAGCAGCCTCTAATATAACCGAAAAGATGCTTTGTCCTTGAAATTAAAATTTTTCTAACATTTGTAGAAGGGGTTTGGTCTCTTTCATTAATTTTGGCTTTTGAAACATAATGATTTTCTTTGATATAGATATAGGTTTTATTCTGAATCAGGTAAATTTTCTTCTGTCTCACATGTACAGTTCTTTTCTTCAGGCTCATTTATTTCTCTAAGATCTGGACCTCTTAAGTTCGGATGACAAGCACCTAAGTGCATAGTTACAAAGAACATCATTTCTCTCAGTGGAGGGATTCCGGCTGGATGATTTTTATGGGTGAAGAGGGATCTCTAAGTCTTGGTAGAAGCTTTGACTGATGACTTCTGAGAATCTTCTCAACTTTAGAATTCTCTGACACTATAAAATGTTCATACAATGTTGAGCTTATTTTCTCTTTTGTGTGCTTCATATAGAGCTTATAGACCCTGTGAAACCTACAAAGTGTTCTAAAAGAAGTCAACGCTGTAATGACCAAATCAAGGTGCAGGTGTATTATTTGCAGGGAAATATTTGCCTGCATAGAGCATTTGATCTTGACTGAAGTACTTACGAGTCCTCTGGAGCATCATAGGACAAAGTCTCCTGGCCTCCTATCCCTTTTCTTTTCCAAGGTGGTGTCTCATGAACACATGTTTGGGTGTCCCTTAGTGTGGAGAGATTTGAATCAGGTATATACTCATTTCTATTTGGTTGTGTCCTTACCATATTCAGACTCTGTGTTGTAAAACAAAGCTATAAAAGACTTGTCTGTGTCCTTGTGGATCTTATGGCCTAGATACCATGATCTAGGCATCTGATTAGAAAATTTATCTTGAAAAATGTTTTACCACTGATTGCATATGTACTAAAAATAGCTGTGAACCGTAGAAAAGTATTAGTTCTGATAAAGTGTTAAAAGTTAGCTATCACCAGATGTGGTGGCTCATGCCCGTAATCCCAGCACTTTGGGAGGCTGAGACAAGTGGATTATTTGAGCCCAGGAGTTCTAGACCAGCCTGAGCAATATGGCAAAATTCCATCTCTACCAAAAAAAAAAAAAAAAAAAAAAAAAAGTTAGCTATTGGTGAAGCACAAAAGTAATGTTTACGTAGACCAGTGTTAATGTTAGTTCAGCTTACTGAGGAAGTAAAGTATCCTAAGATCATCTTGAGTTACTGATTAAAGAGATGAATCACCAATAAATCAGTCTGCAGAATTTTAGAAGAAAATAATACACTATAATTTTTAAAAGAAGTGGTCTTTATACAGATATGGAATTACAGGGGTATAATAGTTTAACGTCTATCTAACGTATACAGATCACTAGATTTTTCCCTTCACTGTTTTGGAAAGAAATTATATAACAGTTCCAATGATCTTTCTAAGGAAAAAATCAGAGGCCAATTTTCAAAATTGAGTGAAAGTATTGGTTGCATACATCATGTGATTTTATTTTTGCAATGTATAAGTGGTTATTTGAGTACTGCTTTGTGAGATTTCGCACAAAAGATATTTATTGAGACATAAAAATGCCCTAGGTCTTAAGGAAAAACTTAGTAAAGCACTCACAGTCCATGCCCAGTGGGCATGCAACCTAATTAGACTGATAGACCTAATGTAATCCTAGGAACTCACACTACATTAGCAAATCAGTTAGTTACATTTTAAAACTGGGCCGACAATGTTAAAATCACATGAGGTTCATTCTGCCTTAATGCAAACTGGGCATCTCTAAAATTGTAAATAACTTGAGAAAATAAAGACTGCTGACCACAATTTGTATACTACAATGCGGATCCAGACACCATTTCACCTGCCAAAGGATATATCTCTATTATGCTTGTTTGCATCAACTGCTCACTCAGCCTCAATCAAAAGCTTTTGCAGCCGCTTGGTGATGGTGGTTCTGCTTTATGGGCTATGACAAGCTCATCTAATCCTATGTACATCACTAAGTTAGGTCAGTTCTTAAATGGAAAATCCCAGGGGAGATTAAAGAACTGTTTATAGCACAAGCTGGGAATATAGGATTTGTATCATACCTGACATGTACATGTGGCTATCACACCAAACACCAATTGTAATATGGAGAGATAAATCAGCTGCACTGAGTCCTAGGTCAAGTGCTGTTTAAACAACTCTACCTCAAAGAGGACACAGCCTCAGAGCATGTTCCTTCTGACCTCCTCTTGGAATCTTAGGCAGAATAAGAGCCTTAGATAAAACTCTTAAGTCACTCTTAACTCCCACATGCCATGGAAAAGTCTTGGAAAATACCACATGCCCGCAGAGCTGGGTGAATGTGGGGATATAGAGATAGTTGGGAGTCCAGCTATGGTAATTGCCGGAGTTCCACAGTGGTCTGGCAGGCACTGAGTGATCTAAGAGTCAAGTACAATACCCTGCAGTCACACCCAAGCCCTCTCAGCACCAGTAAGTAAAGGTAAACTTGAGTCAGGAGGGGAGGATCTCTGGGCCCTGATCAGATCCAGGAGGATGCAATACATTCCCCAGGCACAAACGTTAGCACGGTACACCAGCAGATAGCGAGACCTGTGAGTGGAGCAGACTTTTTCTCAACCACTACGGGTTATGTAACCCTCCCCATTTTGCAATTTGAGACCCACTTGGACATACCAGAGGGACAGATGGGAACCCTGAAAGATGCAGAATTCACCAAAATAAGATAGTCATCTGTAAAACAAAGTTTAAATTGTTGGATCAATATAAGTTACTGAATTAAACTAAATTATATTTTCTCTGCTCTCCAGCATTGTTGGTGAGGGTGGCAGGGAGGTGGTCTTAAAGAAGGATTATATCAGTTATTCCAAGTAAGCCATATTTTCTGTGGATGTAAATTTATGGCTCTTTTACAAACACAAACACTGATTTAGTGCACAATCAAGTTGCTATGTCTTTGTTACCAATTGCCATGTGGAGTTTATCGATGTTAGGACAGTCAAGAGTCAAATATAAAAATCCAACTGTCAAGTCTGAAAAGGTGTCAGGAAACTCTACTATGTTCAAAAATTCCAAAGATCTGAATTTGATATTAAATATCTAGGCATATCTGAGGCAGTTTGCTGATCACAAAATAGTCATTCATTAATTATGAGAGCAGTAATTTCTGTTTTGTCTACTAATGTATCTCCAGAACCTACAATATAATCTGGAATTTAATAAATGCTCAATAAATAACTATTGAATAAGTGACTGAAGAATGAAATATGGATGGTGAAATTATAAATACAGAGTTCAGGTTCATATGCTAGCCATGATACATAGTAGTAGGCCAATTATCAACTGGAAGTAAAGTTATCAAAGATTAGATGTCTGGCTACTCATAGCTGTTTTTCTTCTACTTGTTTTTACTGGGAGGTAAATCCCTGAGTATGGTTTACTGACTTTCTGGTCCTAAT
This sequence comes from Homo sapiens, assembly GCF_000001405.40. Lineage (NCBI taxonomy): Eukaryota > Metazoa > Chordata > Mammalia > Primates > Hominidae > Homo > Homo sapiens. The sequence continues at coordinate 99,066,805 of NC_000001.11, forward strand.
TGGTGGTCTAAAAAGATTCCACAGCAAAACATGGGTAAAGCTGTGGCAGTGAGTTGACTCAGGGCTGCAAGTATCCACCTCTGTTGTCCCATGGGTATAAGATAACTTCTCTACATACCTAGACCAGATATTACTACCCTTTAAAAAAGGGTAGAGTTCTTCTTCATCATGACATAATCCAGCAGAGAATTTATCTTTGACCTAGTTGTTTTAACTAGTGGTTGAATAACCTAAACAAAGTTTCCCACAGAACAGGAAAATGTTGTTGAAAATAACAGAGTGTTCTTGCAAAATTAAAGACTGTGTCTCAAAAAGTGCTGTACATGTTATCTTATTTGCAATTCTCTATATTTAAAAACATACAATTTAATGAAAAATATTAACAAAATAGTTACAAAAGCACAGAATAATGGAGAAGTTTATAACAACAATGGAAACTAAATGTATAGTCAAGCTAGTTTCAAACTCTTGCAAGAATTTTTAATTGCAAGATCAATGAAACTGAATTGAGGAGCAAATCATGACTTAGATTTGCTTTGCCCTCAGAAACAAAATAGATTTTTCAGTGTACACTCCCCCTGTCAGACACATTCTGATTTGTATGTACCAGCAAATGTCCCTGATTTTTAATACATCTTTGGCAAAAGATTAAAAAATGATCCATTTGTTCATCTTTTGGATTATAATGGGACAAATGCACAAATATATATGTAAAAGAATATTCATCTTAGCATACATTTTAATACTAGAACTAATTTAAATGCTGATTATAGGAAATGGACATATAAATAAAGATACAACCATACAATGGACTACCTCAATTAAAAATGTTGATGTCTATATGTGTTAACACAATTTTTTTGTTTTTTGTTTTTGTTTGTTTGTTTTTGAGACAGAGTCTCACTCTTGTCACCCATTCTGGAGTTCAGTGGTGCAATCTCGGCTCACTGCAATTTCCACCTCCTGGGTTCAAGCGATTCTCCTGCCTCAGCCTCCCGAGTAGCTGGGATTACAGGCGCCCGCCACTATGCCCAGCTAATTTTGTATTTTTAGCAAAGACAGGGTTTCACCACGTTGGCCAGGCTGGTCTTGAACTCCTGACCTGAGGTGATCTGGCCGCCTTGGCCTCCCAAAGTGCTGGGATTACAGGCATGAGCCACTGCGCCCCACCTAGATTTTTTCCAATGATATATTATTAAGAAAAAAAAAAACACATTCTTAAACATTAGTGAGTGCTTTAAAAGTGGATGTAAAACTTTACCTTTTCTAAGGTATGTGTGATTATAACAGAAAAAGCCCTAAGAGATTACCACCAAAATATTAAAGGAATTACCTCTTGGAAGTAGAATCACCAAAGATATTCATTTTCTTTTCCTTGTTTAAGTATTTTATCATTTTTTGCAATGACTTGCCTTATATTCTTTTAAAATCAAGGCAGTTTTTTAGGGAAAAACCCTTACTGTTTGTATATAACTGTGAATAAATGATCAAGCAACATTATCATAAAATATAAAAGGGAAGTAGTCACATAGTCACAAGTTAAATAGTAATCAACACACAGAGCTCTTCCTCCACACTGTAGGAAAGACAGAAATATGATGCGAATTAATCAACAGGTTCTCCTTCCATTATAATTGTGAGTAGTCACATCCTTGGCTGAGTGCGTTGAATTTAGCTGTTGTTGAAAAGCACAGTTATTCCCTCTCATGGCTATAGAGGGTTAGAGACTTTTGCAATATTCTTGAGAAAAGAGCAGCAATTATTTCAATAATGAGAATTAATTTATATGAAATCATTTAGTTTCCATGACAATTCAGTTAGAGAGTTTGGGCCACTAACCACAAGGAAACACTGCCTTTTTCCAGTAAACCAAATATTTTCTCATATCTCCACCTCTTCGTTTACTCATCTCTATTGCAGGAGTGGCTAATAAAATGAGGAATTTAGTGTATATTTATTAGGGATAGAGATGTTCTATTAAAGTGTGGACAATGAGTAATTCACCTCTTTCCTCTAACTTTATCTTTTAGTTTAATCTAAATTTTGTAAACTTCAAAAAATACTTTAACTTCATTAATCATCAATACCGTCATCTGTATAACTTGGAAATATGCATGCCTACCTTTAAATCTCTAGGCATAAGGTCTGGCACCTTGTAAATGCTCAATAAATGTCCGTTGTTACAATTAATATTATAGTTGTTGCTTTAGAAAAGAGAAGAGAAGAAGAGAAAATTTTGAGAAATTAGTAAAATTTTAAAAGCTCGGCTGGGCGTAGCTGACAGAAGTAGAGGAACAGAGAGAAATAGAACACTCTGGGGAAGTGCCAAAAAGATGGCAAAGAGCAGAATTTGGGATGACATGGAAGGAACCTAGGGATTGAAGCTCTACCAACTCCAAAATTCCAGAAAGGCAGTATTGGGCGAAGTACACAAAGGAAGGAAACATTTGTCCTCAATCCACTAAGGCACAAGCTTCGTAAAAATCAGCAGCTGTTTCAGTTCAAGAATCTCCTGAAGAAAAATCTCCAGCTAAGGCAATTGTGATGCAAAGACAAGGGAAAGAACCCTCTAAGGCACAGGATTCGTAAGCCCAAGGAATTCTAGAGGGGGAGGCAGTAGCAGCAGACAAATGGCACACTGCTAAAAATGCCTTTAGATATTTTTGTGGTTGGAGAAATCCAGAAAAATGAAAAAAAAAAAGCAGAAGATTGACATTGTGGAGAATACAATGCAATGAATTCTGGAGGATGGACTCTTTAAATGTGGGACACTCAGCTCTCCAGAGGAAGAAGAGGTTGTATCCCTAGGCAGCATGCTCAGCCTTCAGCATCCACATGCCAGAATCATAAGGCTCCGAGGAGATATGGAAATGAAAAAATGTGAAATGAATATGAAATGAAAGAAAAGAGCTTCAAATAAGGCCTGAAGGCTGGTGAGGCCATCACAGCAAATTTATATGTATATATTTTTGCAAAATGAAAGAATGCAATAAATGTAGAAGCAATGCCATAATTAACTTCTTAATTAAAATATTCTCATACTTAAATTTAAGTTCATAGGTTAAATATTCAATAAACTAGCCTAGATTATTGGGCATTCTGGTAAAGCTGAATTCAAATCTATTCTCTTCTGGTTTTCTATGGTTCAATGCTGGCAATTGCAATATTGCATTATATTATGAACAGGAGTAACTGCTTTGGGAGAATTGAAATTATTTTGTCTATTCTAAATTGCATGGGTGAGGGCTGCAGCTGAGATCATCATATGTATCCTATTGACTTTATGGATTCTTTGTCTGATGGCATGTCACACATGATGTGCCTTGAAATTGAGTGACTTGAAATTGGAGTAATTAAATTTTGAAGTTGCTACACTTATTTTCATGGAAAAGGGCCAATCTGCTTCTGAAAGAGCCCAGATTCCACATGAGTGAAATTGTTCTGGCCGAAAACAGAAAACCATTGGATAGAAAAGATTTTAGATTTTAATTTCTTTAAAACCTAATGAACTTTAATCCGATTTTGTTTTGGGTCCATAATTTCTCTCTGAGAATATAATAATACAGGGAACTCCATGTGATTTAAGTTGGAATCAACTGTAAAGTTATACTGTATTATTGGAGGTATTTTTGTTTGAATTTTTTGGTATATTCTCTGATAAGAACTATGTGACAATATGGCTGGGCATAATTTAAAGTTGGAAATTGAATAGAGAATGAGCTGTTGGCTAAAAGTGCATTGTACCCTGCAAGTTACATCAGTTAATGGTTTATTCTGAGATATATTGGAAATTTCTGGGAACAAAAATGAAACTATTCACTAATGTCCCAGAAGGAGGTCCAGAGGGGCACTGGTAGGGAGTGAAAAGAGGTTTCCCAAATAGAGAGTGGGGCTCTCTGATACTCTGCTAGTCACTCCTCTGAAGAGATACAGCCACAACCTTGGTTGACCATATGCTTGGTTGTGGTCAAAGGTTAAGGAAACAAAAAGTTTGAGAGTGTTCAAGAAGAAAGCTCATTTCCTGACTTCTTTTTCTATTATTCCTTGTAGAGAGGGGAATTTGAACATAGTCGCATAGGAGCTGAGGTAAAATATCTAATTGGTGAGTTCTTGAAGAGCTTAATATCCGTGAGCCACACTGGAAGGCAGGGGGTCACTAGTGGAAATGCTGCATTGCTAAGGATGTTCCTTTTCCCTCCCCCATTCCAAAAATCCATTTACCCTCAAGTGCTAAGGGCCTGACTTGCACTTCCTTCATCCTTCTGTAACCAAACCAAAAAAGACCCCTGGCAAGCCCAGCTTGTCCTCTGCTCTCCCTGATCCAATGTCTCTGCCTGTGACTGGATGAATACATCCCTAAAAGCTAGGTAGCCTTAGTTCAGAAGCGGGCATAGGAAGCGCCAATCTGGCCTCAAATCTATGCAGGGCTCTCTATCTAGCTTTACCAATAATAAAGTTGGCACTGAAATTTGTTCTTTTTTTAGTCTCTTGATTCTATTTCTCAATTAGCTAGAACCAGGAGTTATACAACACATATGCCCATTTTATTTGAAATATTGCTATTTTAGTTCTCAAAGAACCATTTTCAAAGTTAAATCAAAGAGAGAAAGGGATTTAAGAAGGAATTTTTAAATTAAGATTATTAAAACAAGACAAAGAACTTTAAAATGTAGGAAATTATATAACAAGCACAACCACATGGGCAAATAATTCTGTTTCTGTCTTCAGAGGGAAGAAATAAAGGCAGTCTCTGAATATGTATAAAACATATACATGTATGTTTATATAGCTGGATGATTGGACAGATGCAGAGAAGACTTTTAATTTTAAGGACAATTTAAACTTTTTATCCTATTATAAGTCAAATTACCCTGGCTACACAGAAAAATCCAAACTCTGAAAAAAATCTCATTTCCTATCAAAGCACCCCCACCCTAACTCCACATACCCGGCAATGAATGATTCTGAGAGTACCCAAGAAATGTCTCATATAACAAGACCTAATTCAGCATCGATGCTGCTCCTCTGACTGTATGCTCCATATGGTGCTTCATTGATGCAGCAGCTTCTCTGCTAGTGGTCTTTGCAGTTCCAGAGTGTGTCAGAGGCTGCTTGCTGATCACCACACAGCTTGTTTGTTATGAGACACTCTCCTCTTGCTTGTCTGGGCACCCAAGGTGTCTGAATGCCCACACTAAGGCCTCAGTTACAACAAAGCTGGATGTGGCCTGTGAAAGGATTTGAGAGTTGTCCTGTTTCCCTTCAAATATTTTTTAAATAGATTTTTGTTACAGTGGTGAAAATTAGTGTCGCCTGTGCCACAAAGTGTTTACACTTTGTGTAAACACAGCAAGCAGCCTCTGACACACCCTGAAATTGCAAAGACCACTAGTAGAGAAGCTGCTGCATCAAGGAAGCATCGTATAGTACTTCACAGTATTTAGTAAAAAAACCAAAAATCTTCCTGTTTTAACTTTTAGATCCATGAAGCTGAGCCTAGAAGGAAATCATGCAACAGCCAAGACATTGTATCCGGAGTTCCTTCTCCTCTGATGGCTTTGTTGTTGGGTCGGGACCATTTGCCTGTTTCCTTGGAATGAGTTCCCTAGAGCTCTTAATCTCTTGCTCACAATCAGACTTCTTTGGGGCCAACTCACCAGTTCATCAGATAGGATCAGATATGTTTGAAACTCAGCAGAGGACACAGCTTATATTCTTTCGTAGAAAGCTTCTTAGTCATGAAAAAATTTCTAATAAATCTGTTCTACAACTTATGTAACCTCAACTAAATCCTAGCAGTGGACAATGAGAAGACAATAGTTTATTCTGATATTCCTCCAATACTATTTATAATTATTTAAAAGCAGAATATGGAATCATGTGGCTAAAGGGACTCAGGTAGCAGCACCGCAATATCTCATTAACTGCTAGCAGTGTCACCAAGACATGTTTTTTTGTTGTTTTGTTTTTTTGAGACGGAGTCTCGCTCTGCTCTGTCACCCAGGCTGGAGTGCAGTGGCATGATCTCTGCTCACTGCAAGCTCCGCCTTCTGGGTTCATGCCATTCTCCTGCCTCAGCTTCCAGAGTAGCTGGGACTACAGGCGCCCACCACCACGCCCGGCTAATTTTTTGTATTTTTAGTAGAGACGGGGTTTCACCGTTTTAGCCAGGATGGTCTCGATCTCCTGACCTTGTGATCCGCCCGCCTCGGCCTTCCAAAGTGCTGGGATTACAGGCATGAGCCACAGAGCCGGGCGCGACATGTTTTTATAAATTCATGTACCAGGGAATTCAATTGCCTGCTTGTAGACCCTTATTGCTCTTTATTTTCTGAATCAATGGTATTCCCACAAGCACAGCTGCAGGTACAACCCTAAACTGTAATACTCATAACTTTCAGTTGAAGTAATTACTATTTTGATGTGGTGCTATGATAGGCAAAATCCCAGAAGTATTAATCACTTTGATTGTCCAAAGTGTATAAGGACTGTCAACTCTGAAGTTGATTTAGGAACAAGTTGGATAATTCTATATCTGTGAAAATGATCTTGAATTGCTTTGATTACTAAAGACCTTCTATTTTAAAGCATTTAAAAATGGTGTTGCTCTATGACCCTTTTCTCTAGGGAAAATAACTTTTAAATTTCTGGAAAATTAAACTCATACATAAAATATAACTTTCTATCAGAGTGGAATAATTATACCTAAGAGTTGCTTTGGGATCCTAGACTGAGTGAAAATGGGTGGTAAAAGGGGAAATACCATTGATGCAGAAACGAGTAGAGCCTGGTCCAAAGGAAAGAGGATTCACAAAAAGAAAGAATGATGAAAATTATTCAAATAAAATTTGAAGATGTAAGGGACTTTGAAATCAGCTACTGATAAAACTCCCATGAATCCACAGAATAATGCTTAGAGCCTATGGTGAATGTAAGACAATGTAGGATTGTTGAAAGCTTAATACTTCTGTATTTCAATGATAAGAAGGCTTATGAAAGCAATAACTGTGAAAGCAAGTGCTCTTCTTTTATTTGGCAGCATAGACTAACAGAGGATTGTGAACATATTGATGAAAGGAAAAGATATTCGAATTTGGAAGTTGTTGTCTAAAAGTAAAGGAAACAAAAAGAGAGTATAGATCAAAGGCTTAAAAAAATTTAGAGAGTAAATATAAGAAATAAACATATCCAAAAAATAGAAATTGACACCTCTTACACCTACAGAATGACTGTGATGAAAATACAAAAAAAAAAAAATGCCAGGTAACTGGAATTGTCATTAATTGCTGGTGGGAATTAAAATCTGTGCAATTACTTTGGAAAATGGTTTGGCAGTATCTTCTAAAGTAGAACATATGTGTGTCTTATGGCCTAGCAATTCTACTTCATATCTCCAAATAGCATGCACTAAAATGTTCATAGCAGCACTATCAGTAATCGTTCCAAACTGGAAATTACCCACATGTCCATCAACAGTAAAATGTGTAGGAAGAAAAAGTAATTTTTCCTCTACCCTTCTGAGTTCTTGGCTGGGATATCTGCAACAAAAGACAGGTTAACAAAGGAAAAGCAAATGGAAGCTTATTAACATGTATATTTCATATATACATGTGACATACCGAAGAAATGAGTAATTCTCAAAGAGATGAACTAGAATTTTAGTTTATATAATATCTTTAGTTCAAAGAAAGAAGGAGGCAAGTTATGGGAAACTAATGGTAGGTAAAGTCTAGTTAATAAAGGTTTGTTTTGTTGATTCCTCTGGTTCTGTCTCCTGGCTTATAAAAGTCTAAATTTATCTTTGGTGATCAATCTTTGTTTTTCCTGGTAGAGGTGGAAGGGAAGACATGTTTATAAATATATGCCCTGCTTTTAGGCAAATGTGGGAGGACAGAAAGTTTTTCTTGTATCTGCTTCTTCTCAATTCCCTTCAATTCAAAATAACCCTTATGCCAAAATGGCAGATTTTGGGGTGACATACTTTGCTACCCTTCAAATGAGTAAATTAATTTTGATAGAATCACTGACTGAATGGTGTAACAGCAATGAGATTAACAAATTATAGCTGCATGCAACAAGATGGAAAAATCTTAAAATATGGAAAGATGGGAGTGAAAGACACAAAAAATTACGATTCCAGTCACAGAAATTACAAAACAACACAATACAAAACATCCCAACAAAACGTATCTACCTATGCTGTTAAAAGTGACTGTAGTGGTGGTCCTTATAAGAAGAGAGGGAGCGCCTCTGCCCAGCCCCCATGCCGTCTGGGAAGTGAGGAGCCCCTCTGCCAGGCCGCCCCACAGTCTGGAAAGGGAGGAGCCCCTCTGCCTGGCCGCTGTGCAACCCTCCAAGTGTGAAGTGCCAGCCTTGTGTGTGATCTTTCTGCCCTCCCCAAGTTTGCATTTTTGACATTAAAGTTTACTTTTAAATTAACAGTTTTAAATTGGAAAAAAAAAAAAAAAGAGAGGATGATCATGCCTGGAGAAGTGAGGGGGTTTCAAGAGTACTGGCAAGACTTTCTAACTGTAATGACGCTCTCCTCTTCACTCCTCTCCTTCAAGCTGCCATTACCTTTTACCTAGACCATGAAGAGAGCATCTTAACTAGTTTTCTTCTGTTCTTTGCCTACTCACAAACTATTTTCCACTTCATCACCAGGGTGACCTTTTTACATATAAATAAAATTGTGTCCCTATCTTGTTTTAAACCCCTTCTGTGGCTTCTCTTTACACTCCAGATATTTCCCAAAGCTCCTCATGAACTGAATGGTCCTGCATGATCTGTTCTCTGCCTACCTCTTCAAGATCACTGCCTACCATCAAAGCTCCACCATACTGGCTCTTCATTTGCTTCCCAAGCATGCCTGTTTTTCTTCTGTCTTTGCACTAGTTATTTGCCCTGCCTAAAATCCTCTTCCTCCCTAAATCTTTATGTGACTGATTCCTTCATACTATTTACCTCTCAACTCAAATATTACCTCCTCAAAGAGACTGTCTCTAATCTATTGCTCCAAAAGCAGTCCCATCATACCCATACCACCAGTGTATTTCCACCATATTATGTATATGTATATGTATATGTATATGTATGTGCATATGTATATATATTTCCACCATATTATATCATGTTGTCTTTTTCAGAGCACTTGTCATTATCTGAAATTTTGCTAATTTGTGTGTTTGCATATACATTGTCTGTCTTCATTCATATAATATGAGGTCCGTAAAAGCTAAGACTCTTGTCTTTTTGTCTGGTCTACTGCTTTATCTCCAGCTCCAAATACAGTGGCAGGCACACAGAAGATGTTCAGTAATTATAGAATAAATGGAAAGCCTTAAGAAACTTTAAGGGTTTAAGAGCTCAAAATGTTGAACAGAAATTTTCTTGGAAAGAGGTAATGGAATGAATGTTAATTTGGAGAAAACTGAACAGGCAGGGAACTTAGGGTAGAAAAAAGGTTGGGGTTTGAGCAACTTGGAGAAGTATAAAGCTTAAAGAGAGATAGTAGAGTGGTCCAAGGTAGCTCGGAAGTGTAGGCAAACTATTAAGATCCATTATAAAGAATTTGGATTTTATCTTTCATCTTAAGGAAAACTACTGGAGGGCTTTTAAGGTGAGCCCTAACGCATTCCTACTGATACTTTTAACAGATTACTTGGCTGCTGGTTGAAAGAGGAAGGTCAACTTGAAAGGTGGGCCTTAATGAAAGATGATGGCAGCTTGAATTAGAGGCTCATAAGAAATATGGAGAGAACTGGATGGATTTATGACCTGTATCGCAGGGAAAATATTTAAATTTGCTGATAAATTGTATCTATGTAGGGTGTATGGTTAATGGAGAGGAAGAAGTCAATTATTTTTAAATTTCTCATTTGGGCTACTGGGTAAATGCAGCAAAACTTGAGTAAAAATATATCTCAATCTTTATATCCTTGGAGTTTTATGGGTTGTATAAAGCAGTTAACAAACATAGGTCAAAGGAGTAAGTGAATAAATAAATGAATGAATGAAAAGTGCAATGCAGAGAAGAGAGAGTAAGATGTAATCACTATTTTATACTGTTTAAGGGAAGCATATCACTATACAGGGTCCTATGACAGGTATTATATTTTATTACATTTTCACATAGTTAACACATTCACACCTATGTAATGTAATGGTTATACTTATGAACTTAAATACTTTTAATATATGAAAAAAGTTAGCCTTGGCGGTCTCCAGATTCCATGAAGATTAGTAGTACTATTCCTCCCAGATCCTTCTTACAACAAAAGAACTTTGGGTATATGTAGCAAACAAACATAGGAAGCCTCCAAAATGTAGAAGGAAGATGTTCTGCCTAGGGATCTCAGAACTTGAGGGAAGACATAGCAGTGGGTCCACTGGATTTCTTAGTGCCTTCCGTATATCCTGGACAGGGAGATCCAGAAGCCTCCAACCCCAAACCTCCAATAGACATGGACACACAGCTCCAAAGAAAACCTGTCCCTTTAGCCAAGAGACATGAAAAAAGATTGCCTGACAGCAGATTTTTTTTTTTTGCAATATCCTCCCTAGTCCAGCTAAACACCAATAAAAAACCTCATTCATCCCAAGGAAGTAGGGAAGAAATTTTCACTCCCCAATAAGATGGTGTTGGAGTATAAAGCACAGTCTGACAGAACCAGATGGTGCCCTGATTCCCTGCTAGGGTAGTGTTAGCACTAAGCAGGGCTGTTTGTCTCTTTTTCATGCTAGTACCATACTGTTTTGATTAATATAGCTTTGCAATAAAGTCTTAAATCAGGAAGTGTGATGCTTCCAACTTTGTTTTTTATTTTATGAATTGTTTTGGCTATTTGGGGTATTTTTGGCTCCATATTAATTTTAGGATGGATTTTGTTACTTACATAAAGAATGCCATTGAGATTTTGATAGGGATTGCATGACTCTGTATATTGCTTTGCATAGTGTGGATATTTTAATAATATTAATTCTTCCTGTCTGTGAGTACAGAATATTTTTCTATTTATTTGTGTCTTCTTCAATTCCTTCCATCAATGCTTTATAGTTTTCAGTCTATAAGTCTTTGGTTAAATTTGCTCCTCAGTATTTTAAATTTCTTAATACTTTTATCAGGAAATATAATGGGATTATTTTCTTTTTTTATTTATTTATTTATTTTTATTTTTTATTGATCATTCTTGGGTGATTCTCGCAGAGGGGGATTTGGCAGGGTCATAGGACAATAGTAGAGGGAAGGTCAGCAGATAAACAAGTGAACAAAGGTCTCTGGTTTTCCTAGGCAGAGGACCCTGGGGCCTTCTGCAGTGTTTGTGTCCCTGGGTACTTGAGATTAGGGAGTGGTGATGACTCTTAACGAGCATGCTGCCTTCAAGCATCTGCTTAACAAAGCACATCTTGCACTGCCCTTAATCCATTTAACCCTGAGTGGACACAGCACATGTTTCAGGGAGCACCAGGTTGGGGGTAAGGTCATAGATCAACAGCATCCCAAGGCAGAAGAATTTTTCTTAGTACAGAACAAAATGGAGTCTCCTATGTCTACTTCTTTCTACACAGACACAGCAACAATCTGATTTCTCTGTCTTTTCCCCACATTTTCCCCTTTTCTATTCAACAAAACCGCCATCGTCATCATGGCCCCTTCTCAATGAGCTGTTGGGTACACCTCCCAGACGGGGTGGCAGCCAGGCAGAGGGGCTCCTCACTTCCCAGAAGGGGCAGCCGGGCAGAGGCGCCCCCGACCTCCCGGACGGGGCGGCTGGCCGGCTGGGGGCTGCCCCCGCACCTCCCTCCCGGACGGGGCGGCTGGCTGGGCGGGGGCTGACCCCCACCTCCTGGATGAGGCGGCTGCCGGGCGGAGACGCTCCTCAGTTCCCAGATGGGGCGGCTGCCGGGCGGAGGGGCTCCTCACTTCTCAGACGGGGCGGCTGCCTGGCAGAGGGGCTCCTCACTTCTCAGACAGGGCGGCCAGGCAGAGACGCTCCTCACCTCACAGATGGGGTCACGGCTGGGCAGAGGTGCTCCTCACATCCCAAACGGGGCAGCGGGGCAGTGGCGGTCCCCACATCTCAGACGATGGGCGGCCGGGCAGAGACGCTCCTCACTTCCTAGATGGGATGGCGGCCGGGAAGAGGCGCTCCTCACTTCCCAGACTGGGCAGCCGGGCAGAGGGGCTCCTCACATCCCAGACGATGGGCGGCCAGGCAGAGACGCTCCTCACTTCCCAGACGGGGTGGGCGGCCGGGCAGAGGCTGCAATCTCGGCACTTTGGGAGGCCAAGGCAGGCGGCTGTGAGGTGGAGGCTGTAGCCAGCCGAGATCACGCCACTGCACTCCAGCCTGGGCAACATTGAGCACTGAGTGAATGAGACTCCATCTGCAATCCCAGCACCTCGGGAGGCCGAGGCTGGCAGATCACTCCCGGTTAGGAGCTGGAGACCAGCCTGGCCAACACAGCGAAACCCCGTCTCCACCAAAAAAATATGAAAACCAGTCAGGCGTGGCGGCGCGCGCCTGCAATCACAGGCACTCGGCAGGTTGAGGCAGGAGAATCAGGCAGGGAGGTTGCAGTGAGCCGAGATGGTGGCAGTACAGTCCAGCTTCAGCTCGGCATCAGAGGGAGACCGGGGAGAGGGAGAGGGAGAAGGAGAGGGAGAGGGAGAGGGAGAGGGAGAGGGAGAGGGAGAATTATTTTCTTTTTTAAGTAGGTTGTGATTTCTGTATAAAAATGCTCCCGATTTTTGTATGTTAATTTTGTAACATGTAATTTTATTGAATTTCACTTTTAGTTCAAACAGTGTGGAATCTTTGTGGTTTTTTAACATATAGGATTATGTCATATAAAGACAGAGATAATTTTACTTCTTCCTTTCTGATTTGGACAATTTCTTTCCTATACATATTAAAAATGAATATGTGGAAACTGAAATTAAAGGATGAATACCATGTATAATCTCTCTAAAGAAAATGAGATACTTAGGTATAAATTTAACAAAACATGTACAGGAACTGTATGCTAAAAATTCCAAAATGCTGATGAGAGAAATCAAAGAAGACTCAACTAGATGGAGAGGCACACCGTATTTGTGGGTTGGGAGACTTAGCATAATGAAAACGTCAATTATCTCCAAACTGATCTATAGGTTTATGCCATTCCTATCAAAATTCCAGTGAGGTTTTTTATAGACACAAACAAATATATTCTAAAATATATAAGGAAAAGCACCCTAGAATAGCTAAAACAATCTTGAAAAGGAAGAATAAAGTAGAAAGAACCACTCCACTTGATATTAAGTTCTACTATATAGCTATAGCAATCACAACAGTGTGTGGTATCAGTGGAGGGACAGATAAATTGATCAACTGAACACAGTAGCGAATTCAGATGTAGACTCACAAAAATATGCCTGCATTCATCTGTTGTGTGTTGCTATAACAGAATACCACAAACTGGGTAATATATAAAGAAAATAAGTATGTTTCTTACAGTTGTAGAGTCTGGAAGTCTAAGGTGGAGGAGATCACATTTGCTGTTCTTGCTGTCATTTCATGCTAGAAGGTGGAAGGACAAGTGGGCACAAGACTGCAAGGGGGCCAAACTCACTTGAAACAAACCCAGTCTGTGATAACTAACCCAATTTTGTGATACTGATATTAATCTATTCATGAAGGCAGAGCCCTTATGATCTAATCACCTCTTATTAGGCCCGCCTCTCAATACTGTTACATAGAGGATTCAGTTTCCAACATTTGGACTTTGGGGGACACATTCAATCCATAGCAACACCAAACTTACTTTTGACAAGGGTGCAAACACAATTCAATAAAAGAAAAGTAACCTCTTGCACAAATCATGCTGCAAGCCAATGGACATCCATAGACAGAAAATTTAAACCTTGGCCTAAACTTCACACCTTTCACAAAAATTAACTCCAATTGGATTGTGAACTTATATTTAAAACATAAAGCTATAAAACTGCTTGAAAAATATAGGAGAAAATATTTGGATCTAGGACTAGACATAAACTTATTAACCTTTACACCAAGAGTATGGCCCATAAAACAAAAACCTGACCAACTGAACCTCATCAAAACTAAAAACTTTGATCCTGCAAAGACACTGTCAACATGTTGAAAATATTACCACAGACTGAAAGAAAATTGTTTCAAACCATATTACCAATGAAAGACTAATATTCATCACAAATTAATTATCATCATCATAAATATATTAAGGAATATTAACACATAGATGTTCATTAACATATTAATGAATATTAATATAGAGAACTCTCAAAACTCAATAAGAAACCCAATTAGAAAATGGACAAAAGTATGAAGAGACATTTCACTAAAGGGGATATACAAGTGGCAAATAAGCATATGATAAAATATTTAACATCATAACCATTAAGAAAAATGCAAATTAAAACCATGAAGAGGTATAATCATACATCTATTAAAAGTGCTAGAATAAGAAATAGTGACAACACCAAATGCTGATGAGGTATGGAAAAACTGGATTTCTCAAGCATTGCTGGAGGGAATGTAAATGTTGAGCTATTTTGGAAAACTGATAGTTTCTTTTAAAACTAAACATTCAACTACAATGTGGCCCAATCATTGTACTCCTAAGCATTTATTTCAGAGAAATGCACCCTTATATTCACAAAAAGCCTGTACATAGTTGTTTATAGAAGTTTTATTTGAAATAGACAGAAACTGGAAACAACCCATATGTCTTTCAATGGGTGAATGTTTAAATAAACTGTGATACATCCAAACCATGAAATACTATTCAGCAATAGAAAAGAATGAACTACTGTATTGATACATGCAATAACTTCGATGGATCTCCTGGAATTATGCTGAGTGAAAAAAGCTAATTCTAGTAGGTCATATACTATGTGATCCCACTTCTATGACATACTTGGAATGTCAAAATTATAGAAATGAAGAGAAGATTAGTTGTTGCCACCTGTTGGGGACAGCGTTGGAGAGATGGAAGTGGTTGTGGTTTAAAAGGCAACACAGGGAATCCTTGCAATGATGGAACTGTTCTGTATTGTTCTGTATCTTTACTATACCGATATCAAAATCCTGTTTGTGGTATCATACTAGAGTTGTGAAAGATGTTATCTTTGGGGAAAAATAGGTAAAGGGTATTTGGCATCTCTCTGTACTATTTCTTACAACTGGATGTCGGTCTATGCTTATACAAAATAAAAAGCTTAATTTTAAAAAGGTAGCATTGGAGGAAAAAAAAATGTTCTCCTAAAGAATATTCCAGAATTCCAGAGTTAAAGAGAGTGCATCTACGTAATGGAGAAGGGTTCAACACTGGTTCCTGAGTGCACACTAGAAAAAAACTAGATGACAATAGGCAACGTTTGGGGAGAAGATTGTGAACATATGGTTTTAAGAATTATATGTGAATTTGGTATGAATAAAATAGGATGGTAAACAAAAATATTTGGTGTACATTCTGAGAAAACAAATATGCTATCATGTACAAATACATAAAAAAGAAAAAATGACAAGACATTTTATTGAAACAGAAAAAGAAGATATAAGAGGAAATAATAAAAAATTACTTACTGTGATTATATGAAATGCATTAGCTGAAGCTTAAAGGATAAGAAGCCAGCTAGACTGACAAAGGGACAGAAATGAAGAGGGTATATGTTCTAGTTAGAGGAATAACAAATGCAAAGCCCAGGGCTGTGACTGAATGCTTGAGGAAACGCCACTAATTGGGTGTGACTGAAGCTGAACATGAGGTGTATTTATAGAGGTTACAGAGCTTCCCAGAGCAAAGAATTGTCTTGTAAACCATGCTAAATAGTTGGAAGTCTATCTATACTTAAAGTGGTAGGAAATTATTGGAGAAATATATATCTTCGTCTACTTGCTATCTCTTATTCTCACCCTTCCTGCTTGTTTCTTTCCTTCCTTCCTCCCCTCCTCCCTCCCTCCCTCCCTCCCTCCCTCCCTTCCTTCCTTCCTTTCTTCCATTTCCATGCCCTCTCCCATCTTCCCCTCCTCTCTTCTTCTGCATTCTTCTCATATTATTTTCTACTATTCAGTAATACACTAAACTAGGCACCAGAAGTGCAGAAAAAAATATGGCTGCTCTAAGTGCTTACAGTCTAGTAGAAAAAAGTACACATGCAATTAGCTTATTATCTTTGGAATTTTTTTTAAATTTTGGTGACATAGAAATGAAATATATTAAGCCCTATAATGTTTCAGCCTCTGTGCTTAACATGTTGCCTGTGGTATCTCATTTTATCCTCATAGAAGGAAAAAATACATGTAAGCATATTAACATATATATAAATACTTTTTATAATTAAAACTCTGTGGAATTTTGTCCATGAGGTGTTCAAAACAGTCTAGACATCTTTCTGTTGTGAGTACTCCACTGAAACCTTAAGGGATGCTGCAGTCCTTGACTGAATGAAATTGTCAGTTTCCATCTATTTCAAAAGTTCTATAATCAGATGGAAGTGATAGTGAACTCTTGCACTATTCTTAGATGATTTAAATATGATATATATTTTTTGAAAATAGAAACCAATGTTTTACCACATCTTCTTATTAAAAATGCCATGCCATTCTCTCTGGTGTGGTGATGGCTATGCTCATGCCAGGACCAGCTTCCCAAAGAATCATTTTACGTGGCTTGCCTAAGTTCCGTAGGAATTTCAGAGGCTTAAGACCTTCTTTTGTTCTGGTTTCAGTCGTTGCATAGTTGTGTTGGTCATAATTACACGGAAGTTTAAATGGGGTTAAATGCCCATATGTGTATATATTTACATACATGTATATAAAATTGAATCATCCTATGTCCACAGCAGTCATATCTAACAAAATAATAGAATTTGAAGAAATCCAGGAGTCCTGCAAATGACTGCTGGTGCCCTGGCACATGGAATTCAGAAAGAAAAAGGCAGCGTTATTAAAGGATTCTTGAACATTTCTAGGACCAAGAAATGTTCCTTGGTGTGAAATGTCATGTTTCTGTTTCCTGAAAACTGTATCCTCAATGGGAAAATTTTGATTCATTTTGCTACAAAATGCTTTACTAAATCAGTGATATTATCTCTAAGCAAAATTCTGTTAAATTTTGGTTTATGATTAATTGATGAAAGTCAATACATCATAGAATGTATCATTAATATAGAGCAGTGAAAATTAATGTTGTAAATCTTGATACTCTAGTATAACTTTTGTCTCCACTGAAGCAAGTACCTTTATGCTTGTGGGTCTCTGTTTTCTGCTCTAAAAAATGAGGAAACTGGAAACAGTGACTTTTAAAGTGTGTTTGATGTCCCAAGAATCACTGAGTCAGGAAGAGGGTACTGTGTTCAATGGATCCCATTTTCTGAGGTCGGAGACTCTCTAGGCTCTAAAGACCAGAGCCCACTGGGTGGTCAGATGCAAAAGAAAAGTCTGATTAGTAATCCTATTCAGCCTTATGATTGTGTCATGGCTGATGAGGGGTTCATATCAGACACAATCTCTAATTTATAAAGAAGCACCTCTAGACCACGCATTTCTGAAAATCAAATCATCCACCCTTTTACAGAAGCAGAAGCAGGAGTGGGAACAGAAGGAGAAGGAGAAGAAGAAAAGAAGAAGAAGAAAGAGAAGGAGAAGAGAGGATTAAACAAAGGAGTGTCAAAGTTATGCTCATGCATAGTGATCATAAAGGCAGAGATTTTTTTTTTTTCATTCTATGAACTGTCTCATTTTGGAGAAGTCTTCAGAAACTACTTTGCTGTAAGAGATTGAGAAACCAGATCCCTTACACATTTGTGAGATCACCTGATCTGAAAGCATGTTTCAGCCAGGGTGGCTGCTACCTCAGAAATTCAAATATCGTGTAGACTAGAACTTTTTAAGAAAATCTGAAAGAAGCTGCCAATCAATCTAGTTTCTATAAATCCCAAAATAGAATTTCAAAAGTCTAGTCAGATTTTTAGGGTAGTGAAACTATTCTGTGTGATACTTTAATGGCAGATACATAATCATTATATATTTGTCAAAACCCACAGAATGTATGACACCAAGAGTGTACCACAAAGTTAACTATGGACTTTGGGTAAAAGATGTGTCAATATAGGTTTATTAATTGTAGCAAAATTCCACTCTGGTGCAAGATGTTAATGGTAGGGAAGCTGTGTGTTGGGGCAAGGGGTTATAGGGCAATTCTACTTTCTGCTCAGTTTTGCTGTGAACCTAAAACTGCTCTAAAAGATAAAGTTTAGTTTCTTAAAAACTCTACCATGACTTCTTCTTTATATACGAGCAAATAAAATGTTTTCACTAACTGAACAAATGCTTATAAAGCACCAACCATACATAGGTCTGTAGGCTCCATGGAGCAGGAACCAATTTCCTCAATGCTATTTCCCTGTCGTTAGAACAGTGTCAGATACAGAGAGAGCATGCATGTATTCAACTGAATGGTGAATAAATGCACGCCTACGTTCATGTATGAATACAAAGGAACTGTGATAGGTGTTTGAGATACAATGGTGAATGTGAGATCTACTTTCCACACTGTCTTGGCAGAACAGATAGAGGCAAGTTCACTTTCAGTTGTGACCAACAACTTGAATGGAATCAGGTTGTGTGTGTTTGTGTGTGTGTGTGCACATGTGAGTACATTTGAGTGACAGATAATCATATTTAGGGCAAGAGTGCATCACAGATGGGCTTCTAATTTTTCAGATGACATCACAGATACAAGGATTGGATGCCATGGATTAAGGAAGGCTCTCTACAGTTTAAAAATATCAAATGGAGATTACTGAGATGAAGACTAGAGTTATTCTTATAACCAAGGCAACTAAATTTCTTTCCATTATCTCTATGTGTTGGGATAACTTATATTGTTGCCCTGGAAATGAGTAATATCTGTCTAATGGTGCCAAATGGGAAAACTGTATCCAAATTAGTGCAAGAGGCCATAAAACTGTCACACTCTGCTCGAAATCATTTGTATCTATGTGACAAATTTCCAGGAGTTAGGTCTTAGTGATGTTGAACTCTATTTAAGCAATCCCAGGTGTACAGTTCCAGTTTTAACAAGCTTATTTGCTTATGCTTCAGCTTAAAATTTCATTTAACATAATTCATAAAAAACTTTAAAACTACCAGGGTGTTAAACATTCCAGTTCTAATAGATATTCTAGCTCTAATTGAAATTAGAACAGACTCTAGTTTCTTTATTGATGCACACAAGGAAACATTCTAGAATGTATTAATTTGTACCTTATTAAGTTCCAACTGTAAACATTACCTTACTATTCTATACTATTTTTTCTTAACAGTTCTATTATTAGCTTTATTTTTCAGCTGAGGAATCTAAGGCAAAGATTGACTCAGCTAGAAACAAACCAAGTGTCATATCCAGAAAGAGACCCAATTTGTATTAATGTTAGAACTGACAGTCTCTTTGAAGGCAGGAAATATGTCATTTTCTCCAGAGAATCCCCTCATTCCCTAGCAGCATGCTCTGAATTTAATTGACTTGAACCAAGCACCAGATAACACTATATTCTCAGAATGAAGTAAAAAATATTGACCTGGACACTCATGATAAATGATGATAAACGAATTGCTTAGCTGAATTTCTGTAAAAGCCATAAATGCCAACCAAATAACAACTATGACTTTAAAAAATAGTTTAAATTTTTCATGTTGTTTTGATTTAACATAAAGATCCAAGAAAATTTATCAAACCAGTGATATGAATACAAAATATAGAAACCTGGAAAAATTATAGAATTTAAGAACGAGGCCACCATAGACATTTCCTAATGCTTGTGAGGCTTCCAAGTTCATGTCTGATTAATATTTTATCTGTTATTTAATCATTTCATCATTATTTAAATAAATTATATTTATTGAGTATTTTGGTCACCAATTAATGGTATGTAGTCAGCCACTAATGCTTGTTTGAGTTTGTCAGATGCTATGCTGACAAACTGGCAGCCTAGTTTGTTAGTGCTTATATCAGAGATGATGTGTTTGAGTCCAGCTTAAATAAAACAGCTTGTTAGTAGTAGGAAAGAAAGTTTCTATACAAAACTTTTCTTCACTTATCCAAGACCCAACTCTGAACCACTGTGGTTCATTCCTTCACTTAATACTATGTCCTAGGAACTCTTCCAGGCACTGGACATACAGCCGTGAAAAAAAAAAATTAGAGTATCTGCCTTTCCATGAAGCTCACATTTACATGGGGGGAAAACAAATAAATAAATAAGAACAAATATCTATATGATGTCAGATGATAATAAGCATTACAAGGAAAAAAATAAAGTAGGATGGGGATCAAAGAATGACAAATACGGTCGTTTAGAAAGGGCAATAAGGAAAGTGCTATTGTGGGGAAGGTATTGGAACAGGCGTCTGGATTAAGTGAGTAAATGAGTTATGTGAATATCTGGGAAAAGAATTCTCAAGTTAGAGAATGGCAAATCAAAGGCCTTGAGGTGAGAGCTTTCTTGGCATGGTAAACGAATTGCAAAAAGGCCCAGTTTGGCAAGAGAGGAAATTGTAGAAAATGAAGTCAGAGAGAGGCCAGGTGATATGATTTGGATTTGTGCCCATATCCAGATCTCATGTTGAATTGTAATCCCCAGTCTTGGAGGCGGGGCCTGGTGGGAGGCTATTGGATCAGTGGGCTGTACCTCATGAATGGTTTAGCACTCTCCCCTTGGTGCTAAGTTCTCATGAGGTCTGGTTGTTTAAAAGTGTGTAGCACGTTTCCCTTCTCTCTATTCCTCCTGCTCCAGCCATGTAAGACATACCTGCTTCCACTTTGCCTTCCACCCTGATTGAAAATTTATTGAGGCCTCCCCAGAAGCCATCATGCTTCTTGTTCAGCCTGCAAAACCCTGAGCCAATTAAACTTTTTTATAAATTACCCAGTCTCAGGTATTTCTTTATAGCTGTGCAAGAACAGACTAGTATACCAGGCATGGTGGCTCATACCTGTAATCCTGGCACTTTGAGAGGCCAAGGTAGGAGGATTCCTTGAGCCCAGGACATCAAGACCAGCCTGGGCAACATAAGTGAGACTTGGAAAATGCAAGAAAGCAAGAAAGGAAGGAAGGAAGGAAAGAAGGAAGGAAGGAAAGAAGGAAGGAAGGAAGGGAGGAAGGAAGGAAGGAAGGAAGGAAAGAAGGAAGGAAGGAAGGAAGGAAGGAAAGGAAGGAAGGAGAAAAGAAAAGAAAAGAGAAGAAAAGAAGAGAAAAGGAAAAAAAAAGTCAGAAAGGTAAGCAAGAGCAAAATAATGGAGTCTTGTAAACCATAGTAAAGATTCTGGATTTATTTTTTCTAAGTTACCTGGAAATACGATTAAGGATTATTATTTTCCAGACAAACTATACATGTGTGATAGGCAAGAGAGGAACTGATATGGTGTGGCTCTGTCCCCACCCAAATCTCATCTTGAATTCCCACGTGTTGTGGGAGGGACCTGGTTGGAGGTAACTGAATCATGGGAGCAGGTCTTTTCCATGCTATTCTCATGACAGTGAAGAAGTCTCATGAGATCTGATGGTTTTACAAAAGGGTGCTTCCCTGCACAAGCTCTCTTTTCTTATCTGCTACCATGTAAGACATGCCTTTCACCTTCTGCTATGATTGTGAGTCATCCCCAGCCATGTGGGACTGTAAATCTATTAAGCCTCTTTCTTTTATAAATTGCCCAGTCTTGGGTATGTCTTTATCACCAGCATGAAAATAGGCTAATAAGTTGGTACCAGCATTGCTGAAAAGATACCAGAAAATGTGGAAGTGACTTTGGAACTGGGTAACATGCAGAGAGGTTGTAACAGTTTGGAGGGCTTACAAGAACACAGGAAAATGTGGGAAAGTCTGAAACTTCCTACTGGCTTGTTGAATGGCTTTGACAAAAATGCTGATAGTGATATGAACAATAAGGTCCAGGCTGAGGTGGTCTCAGATGGAGATGAGGAACTCATTGGGAACTGGAGCAAAGGTGGATCTAGTTATGTTTCAGCAAAAAGCCTGTCAGCATTTTGTTCCTGCCCAAGAGATTTGTGAAATCTTGAACTTGAGAGAGATGATTTAGGGTATCTGGTGGAAGAAATTGCTATGCAGCAAAGCATTCAAGATGTAACTTGGGTGTTGTTGATGGCATTCAGTTTTATAAGGGAAGAAGAGCATGAAAGTTCAGAAAATTTGTAGCCTGACAATGTGATAGAAAAGAAAATCCCATTTTCTGAGGAGAAATTCAAGCTGGCTGCAGAAATTTGTATAAGTAACCAGGAACCAGATGTTAATCCTCAAGACAATGGGGGAAATGTCTCCAGGGCATGCCAGAGGACTTCACGGCAGCCCCTCTCATCATAGGTCTGGAGGCCTAGGAGGAAAAAGGGGTTCTGTTGGACCAGCCCCAGGGTCCTTGTGCTGTGTGTCATCTAGGGACTTGGTGTTCTACATCCTAGCTACTCCAGCCGTAACTAAAAGGGACGAAAGTACAGCTCAGACCATGGATTCAGGGGGTGCAAACACCAGGCCTTGGCAGCTTCCATGTGGTATTGAGCCTATAAGAAAACAGAAGTCAAGAATGGGGTTTGGGAACCTCCGCCTAGACTTCAGAGGTTGTATGGAAATGCCTGGATGTCCAGGAAGGAGTTTGCTTCAGGAGCAGGCTCTCATGGAGAACCTCTGCTAGGGCAGTGTGAAAGGAATATGTGGGATTGGAGCTCACACACAGAATCTCTACTGGGGAACCATCTAGTGAAGCTGTGAGAAGAGGGCTATCATCCTCCAGACCCCAGAATGGTAGATCCACCAACAGCTTGCACTGTGTGCCTGGAAAGCTGCAGACACTCAACACCAGCCCATGAAAACAAATGGGAGGGAGACTGTACCCTGCAAAGCCACAGAGTTGGAGCTGCCCAAGACCATGAGAACCACCTTTTGCATCAGTGTGACCTGGATGTAAGACATGGAGTCAAAGGAGATAATTTTAGAGCTTTAAGATTTGACTACCCCGTTGAATTTCAAACTTGCATGGGACCTGTAGCCTCTTCATTTTAGCCAATTTCTCCCATTTGGAATGGCTGTATTTAGCCAATGCCTGTATTTAGCCAATGCCTATACCCCATTGTATCTAGGAAGTAAATAACTTGTTTTTGATTTTACAGGCTCATAGGTGGAAGGGACTTGCCTTGTCTCAGATGAGACTTTGGACTGTGGACGTTTGAATTAATGCTGAAATGAGTTAAGACTTTGGGGGAATGTTGGGAAAGCATGGTTGGTCTTGAAATGTGAGGACATGAGATTTGGGAGGGGCCAGGGGCAGAATGATATGGTTTGGCTATGTCCCCACCCAAATATAATCTTGAATTCCCATGTGTTGTGAGAGGGACCTGGTGGGAGGTAATTGAATCATGGGGCAGGTGTTTCCCATGCTCTTCTCATGATGGTAAATAAGCCTCATGAGATCTGATGGTTTAAAAAAATGGTAGTTTCCCTGAACAAGCTTTCTCTTTGCCTATTGCCATCCATAAGATATGACTTGCTTCTCCTTGCCTTCCACCATGATTTTGAGGCCTCCCTAGCCATGTGGAACTCTAAGTAAGTTCATTAGACTTTATTTTATAAATTGCCCAGTCTTGGGTATGTCTTTATCAGCAGCATGAAAATGGACTAGTATAGGAACCAAATAATTATTTGGCTATTCTGTAATCTTTGGGGAAATGATGGTAATGATGTTGGAATGGAGATGTAATAAGTGGTTGGATTTGGAATATATTTGTCATCATTAGAAACAGTAACAAGGAAGGTTTATGATATCCATGTTTCTCAAGATGAATTTTCTACTATTAGCTCAGACTTTTAGAGTCAAAAGGCACAAAATTGATCAGTCCCATTGCTGTACTATAGCAGAAACCATGGTGTATAATATAGAGAGAATTTATATAGAGGAGTGAATCTTAACAAGGAGAGAGAAAACCCTTTCTAGTTTACCAACTAACAAAGCTAGCTCCCATCTACAGAGCAAAGTAGAGGGAAGCAAAACTTACCTAGTTTCTGTTTTTTCTAAAGCTTTTATTTTAGGTTTAAGGGTACATGTGCAGGTTTCTTATACAGGGAAACTCCTGTCACAGGGGCTTGTTGTACAGATTATTTCATCACCCAGGCACTAAGCCTAGGATCCAATAGTTATTTTTCCTAATCCTCTCCCTCCTCCCATCCTCCACCCTCAAGTAGAGCACAGTGTGTGTTGTTCTTCTCTTTCTGTCCATGTGTTCTCATCACTTAGATTCCATTTGTGAGAACACGCTGTATTTGGTTTTCTATTTCTGTGTTAGTTTGCTAAGAATCATGGCCTCCAGTTCTATCCATATCCCTGTAAAGAACATGATTTCATTCTTTTTTTAATGGCTGTATTGCATTCCAGGGTGTATATGTGCCACATTTTTTTTTATGCAGTCTACCATTGATGGTCACTTAGGTTGATTCCATGTCTTTGCTACTGTGAATAGTGCTGCAGTGAACATACACATACATGTGTCTTTATGACAGAACAATTTATACACCTTTGGGTATACATCCAGTAATGGGATTGCTGGGTCAAATAGTAGTTTTGTTTTTAGCTCTTTGAGGAATCGCCACACTGATTTCCACAATGGTTTAACTAATTTATACTCCCACAAACTGTGTATAAGTGTTTCCTTTTGTCCACAACCTTGCTAGCATCTGTAATTTTTGACTTTTTAATAATAGCTCTACTGACTGGTATGAGATGGTATCTCATTGTGGTTTTGATTTGCATTTCTCTAATGATCAGTGATACTGACCATTTTTTTCATATACTTGTTGGCTGCATGTATGTTTCTTTTGCAAAGTGTCTGTTCATGTCCTTTGCCCACTTTTTTAGGGAGTTGTTTGGTTTTTCTCTTGTACATTTGTTTAAGTTCCTTACAGGTACTGGATATTAGACCTTTGTCAGATGCATAGTTTGCAAATATTTTTCCAATTCTATAAGTTGTCTATTTACATTGTTGATCATTTATTTTGCTGTGCAGAAGCTCTTAAGTTTAGTTAGATAAACTAATTAATTGATTAAATTGTCAATTTTTGCTTTTGTTGTGATTGCTTTTGTCATCTTCATTATGAAATCTTCACCAGTTCCAATGTCGAGAAATGTATTGCCTAGGTTGTCTTCCAAAGTTTTTAATAGTTTTGGGTTTTACAGTTAAGTCTTTAATCCATTTTTAATTGATTTTTGTATAAAGTGTAAGGAAGGGGCCCAGTTTCAATTTTCTGCCTATGGCTAGCCAGTTCTCCCAGGACCATATATCGTATAGGGAGTCCTTTCTCCATTGCTTGTTTTTTCAGTTTTGTCAAAGATCACATGGTCATAGGTGTGTGGCCTTATTTCTGAGCTCTTTATTCTGTTCCATTAGTCTATGTGTCTGTTTTTGTACCAGTACCATGCTGTTTGGTTACTATGGCCCTGTAGTATAGTTTGAAGCTGGGTAACATGATGTCTCCAGTTTTGTTCTTTTTGCTTAGGGTTAGCTTGGCTATTTGGGCTCTTTCTTTATTCCATATGAGTTTTAAAATAGTTTTTTTCTAGTTCTATGAAGAATATTATTGATAGTTTGATATGACTGGCATTGAATCTGTAAGTTGTTTTGGACAGTATGGCCATTTTACTGATATTGATTCTTCCTATCCATGAGCAGGAAATGCTTTTCCCATTTGTTTTTTTCCTCTCTAATTTCTTTGAGCAGTGTTTTGTAATTCTCATTGTAGATATATTTCACCTCCCTGGTTATCTGTATTCCTGGTATTTTATTCCTTTTGTGGCAATTGTGAATGAAACTGTGTTCCTGATTTGGCTCTCAGCTTGGCTGTTGTTGGTGTAGAGGAATGCTAATGATTTTTGTACATTGATTTTTGTATCCTGAAATTTTACTGAAGTTGTTTATCAGCTGAAGGAGCTTTTGGGCTGAGACTATGGGGTTTTCTAGATATAGAATCATCTCATCTGCAAACAAGGATAACCTGAATTCCTTTCTTCCTATTTGGATGTCCTTTATTTCTTTGTCTTGCCTGATTGCCTTGGCCAAAAACTTACCTAGTTTCATTAATAATGAAGGCTTTTCATAAATTTGTTAGTCAATGATCTTGGCTACAAAGAAGAGGAAATGATTCTGACTTATTTAAGCTGAAAAAGAATTTATTTTAAATATATTAGATTTTTTACAGTATTTATGACAAAGCTGGAGAAATAGGCTTTTAATATTGTGCAAAAGCAAAGGAAGATAGCAGCAATAAGAACCTCAGCCAGAATCACAGCACAGAAAATTCTGGTAGAGATACTGCTGCTACTGCTGCCATTGGCCACAGGAAGCCACAGCATGTGTTATAACTGCCACTTTCACAAAGGCCAGTGCTGGATACTGGACATTTCCACTGGAGCCACGGTAATAGCCATTTTTGAAAGGATACTGCTACTTCTACTGCAACCACCATCACAATGTCCATATCTGCTTCTATCTGTTACTGGCTTCTGTCTGAATACCTATAGCATTTGTTTGGTTTAACCTAGATCAATTGCATGTTCCTGTGCTATAACAGAGTTTGGAATAAAGATTATGTAACCATTTAGGCATTTAAAATGGCTTCACCTCTCACAAAGACCAAGACTTATACAGTGGTGAATTCACACAGCACAGGAGGAGAGATCAAATGCAAGGAAAACAAAAATATAGAAAAAAATGTAGAAAATGGCAAATATGTAAGCTAAGATCAATAATTTTCTTCAAGAACTAGTAAGGTATCTTATGAAAGAACATTTTGTTCTAGTGCAAACCTTGACAGGAAAGTGGTGATAGTCATTACATTAAAAAAAAATAAAGAGAACCTGGAAGAAAAACAATTCAGACTGCAGATAATTCCCTGAATTGAGAATTTCTGTCAGTTCATTAAGGAGGAATCAAAAATTTGTATCTGAATCTCTGGTAAGAACTGAATTATAGCTCCTCAAATTTTATATGTTAAAGTCCTAACTTCCAGAAGGTTAGAATGTGACTATATTTGGAGACAGGGTCTTTAAAGAGATAATTAAGGTAAAATGGGGACATATAGGTAGTCCCAAATTCAATATGACTGGTACCCTTATAAATAAAAGAGGACTAATGCAGACAATACAGACACAGACACAGGGAGAAGATGGACACCCGCAAACCAAGGAAAGAGCTCTCGGGAGAAACCAAACCTGCTGACACCTTGATCTTGGACTTCTAGCCTCCAGAACTGGGAAGAAACAAATTTCTGTTGTTTAAGCCCCCCAGTCTGTGGTACTTTGTTATGGCAGCTCTAACAAACTAATAAAAGAAGGAATCAATAATTATTATCAGAATCCCTTCATCTTTTACAATCTAGTCCAAAAATGGCAAATATACACCATATGAACCTTCACTCCATGTGCTCAGCTAGTTTAGATATTGATAATAAAGAATCATATTATTTCATGTTGAACCCAATCTTGAGTTCAGATTTCTTCTCCACACAATGTTCAGGCAGCCACTGCTAATAGATAAGTGTTGGTGAGTTGGTGGAAATCCATTTTCATCTCTGTTAGTGGACCTGTTCAGTAAAATGCCTAGTTCTTCCTCAAAAAGTAGGCTCACTAATTTCTAAGTAATCGCTATTAGATTCATGAAATCTTGAGTTAAGTAACTTCTTGATGTCATAGATATACACTAGAGTGTTGTCCATGTTGTATATATCAATAGTTTTGATTGCTCAGCAGTATTCCATTGTATGGATACACAAGTTTCTCAATCAAGAATATGAAATAAGGCTGGGCGCAGTGACCTTACAAATCCCAGAACTTTGGGAGGCCGAAGTAGGCAGATCACTTGAGGACAGGAGTTCAAGACCAACCTGGCCAACATGGTGAAACCCTGTCTCTACTGTAAACACAAAAATTAGCTGGGTGTGGTGGCACATGCCTGTAATCCCAGCTAATTGGGAGGCTGAGCACAAGAATTACTTGAACCTGGGAGGCAGAGGTTTCAGTGAGCTGAGATCCCACCACTACACTCCAGCCTGGGCAACTGGGTAAGACTCTGACATTTTTTAATGGTCAATTGTAGATGTATATATTTGTTTCTGTACTCCCCATTCTATTTCATTGGTTTGTCTAGTAAAAATATCATACTATCTTGTCCTCATTTCACCCTCATTCTTGAAATATATTTTTATGGGTATGGAATTCTAGGTTGGCAATTTGTTTTTCAGTTCTTTGAAGATGTTACTCCATGGTTGCCTCCTTACAGGACTTTCCGCCAAAAGACTGTTGTCATTTTTTTCTTCCTTGGACAAAAAATTTTCCTTTTATGTCTCCTTTTCAGAAATTTGATTACAATACATCTGGATCAATTTTTCTTCATGTTTTGCTCTTATTAAACTTATTGGATGTGCAGACTTCTAGTTTATGTGAAAATTGGAATTATTTTACCCAGTCTTTTATTTATATATTTTTCTGACTTTCCCCCCTCCACCTTTGGGCACTCCATCTGCATGTGTACTATGTTACTTGTGTATTATTATGTTGCTCTATACTTTCCTGTTCATAGTGTCTATTGCTATGTTTTCAAGTTCACTAGTTTTTCTTCTTCAGGTTCAAATGTGCTGTTAATCCCATTCAGTATACACCTATTTTTAGCAATATAGAAACATTGTAATTTCTATATCGAGGTTTTTATTTGGGTATTTTTAAATATATTATTCCTACTTAATATGTTTAATCTTTTGTTTATTTTTTAAACCAATGAAACACAGCTAAATGATTGTATTATTGTCTTTATCCACTGATTCAGTCATCTTTGTAATTTCTATGTTAGTTTTTATTAATTTTTATTTACATTACGAGTCATATTTTCTGCTTTCTTGCATGCCTTGTAGTTTTTTACTGTATGCTAGGCATTGTAAATATTTCTCTTTTGGGTGCTGGATATCTTTGGATTTCATGTGTAGAAATACATGAATGAATGAATGTGATGTGATGCGATGAATCTGTTACTTGGTAACTGCTTGATATTTTTGAGGACTGCTTTAAGCTTGTTATTCTGGACCAAAGCAGCGTTCGGTTGATGGCTTTTTTTTTTCCAGCTACTGAGACAATACACTTCTGAATACTTTGAATAAAATCTCTTGAAATGTGAGGTTTTTTTTTTTCTTTTTTTTTTTTTTTTTTTGTAAATTCTGGCTGGTGGAAATGCAAACTACTTTCTGATGTGGGCATTTAGTGCTATAAATTTCCCTCTGAACAAACTGCTTTAGATGTAGCCCAGAGATTCTGGTACATTGTCTCTTTGTCCCCATTGGTTTCAAAGAACTTCATTATTTCTGCCTTAATTTTGCTATTTACCTAATGGACATTCAGGAGCAGGTTGTTCAATTTCCATGTAGTTTTGTGGTTTTGAGTGAGTTTCTTAATCCTGAGTTCTAATTTGATTGCACTGCAGTCTGAGAGACTGTTGTGATTTCAGTTCTTTTGCATTTGCTGAGGAGTGTTTTACTTCCAATTATGTGGTTGATTTTAGAATAAGTGCTATGTGGTGCTGAGAAGAATGCATATTCTGTTGATTTGGGATGGAGAGTCCTGTAGATGTCTATTAGGTCAGCTTCATCCAGAACTGAGTTCAAGTCCTGAATATCCTTGTTAATTTTCTGTCTCATTGATCTGTCTAATATTGACAGTGGGGTGTTAAAGTCCCCCATTAATATTGTGTGGGAGTCTAAGTCTCTTTGTAGGTCTCTAAGAACTTGCTTTATGAACCTGGGTGATCCTGTATTGGGTGCATATATATTTAGGATAGTTAGCTCTTCTTGTTGCATTGCTCCCTTTACCATTATGTAATGCCTTCTTTGTTTTTTTTTTTTTTTTGTTATTGTTGTTGTTGTTGTTTTGTTTTGTTTTAACTTTGTTAGTTTAAAGCCTGTCCTATCAGAGACTAGGATTACAACCTCCTGCTTTTTTTTTCTTTCAATTTGCTTGGTAAATAGTCCTCCATCCCTTTATTTTGAGCCTATTTGTATCTTTGCACATGAGATTGGTCTCTTGAATACAGCACACCAATGGGTCTTGACTCTTTATCCAATATGCCAGACTGTGTCTTTTAATTGGGGCTTTTAGCCCATTTACATTTAAGGTTAATATTGTTATGTGTGAATTTGATCCTGTCATCATGATGCTAGCTGGTCATTTTGCACATTAATTGATGTAGTTTCTTCATAGTGACATTGGTCTTTATATTTTGGTGTGTTTTTGTAGTGGCTGGTACTGGTTTTTCCTGTCCATATTTAGTGCTTCCTTCAGGAGCTCTTGTAATGCAGGGCTGGTGGTGACAAATCCCTCAGCATTTGCTTGTCTGTGAAGAATTTTATTTCTCCTTCAGTTATGAAGCGTAGTTTGGATGAACGTGAAATTCTGGGTTGAAAATTCTTTTCTTTAAGAATGTTGAATATTGGCCCCCACTCTCTTCTGGCTTGTAGGGTTTCTGAAGAGAGATCTACTGTTAGTCTAATGAGCTTTGCTTTGTAGGTAACCTGACCTTTCTTTCTGGCTGTCCTTAACATTTTTTCCTTCATTTCAACCTCAGAGAATCTGGTGATAAGTTGTCTTGGAGTTGCTCTTCTCAAGGAGTATCTTAGTGGTGTTCTCTGTATTTCCTGTATGTGAATGTTGGCCCATCTTGCTAGAGTGGGGAAGTTCTCCTGGGTAATATCCTGAAGTGTGTTTTCCAACTTGGTTCCATTCTCCCTGTCACTTTCAAGGACCTCAAACAATCATAGGTTTGGTCTTTTCACACAGTCCAATATTTCTCGGAGGCTTTGTTCATTCCTTTTTATACTGTTTTCTCTAATCTTACCTTCACACGTTATTTTAGTAAGTTGATCTTCAATATCTGATATCCTTCAGTAGAAGGATTATATATCATTCTACTGTAAAGACACATGCACACATATGTATATTACAGCACTATTTACAATAGCAAATACTTGGAACCAACCCAAATACCCATCAATGATAGACTGCATAAAGAAAATGTGGCACATACACACCATGGAATACTATGCAGCCATTAAAAAAATCAGTTCATGTCCTTTGCAGGGACGTGGATGAAGCTGGAAACCATCATCCTCAGCACACTAACACAGGAACAGAAAACCAAACACTGCATGTTCTCACTCACAAGTGAGAGTTGAACAATGAGAACACATGGACACAGGGAGGGGAACATCACACACCGGGTCCTGTCGGGGGATAGGGGGAATGGGGAGGGAGAGCATTAGGACAAATACCTAATGCATGCAGGGCTTAAAACTTAGATGATGGGTTGATAGGTACAGCAAATCACCATGGCACATGTATAGCTATGTAACAAACCTACATGTTCAGTGCATGTATCCCAGAACTTAAAGTAAAAGAAAAAACAAAAACAAAAAAAAATGCAAACTATTCCTGGCCTTATGTAATAACTATCAATTGTTTCCCCTACTTCTTTTAAATAATCCTTTTTCTAGCTTTGAGTACTTTTCTCAAATGCATGTACTGATCCATACTCAGCTAGATATTCAAAGAGGATCCTCTGCAGATCTCTCTCTCTCTGTCTCTCTCTCTCTTTACTAATACCCTGCTCCTGGACTCTCAACTTCAATGTTTCAACTCAGAAAGAACACTGGGCTGTGCTTAGGTTCCCCCTCTGTTCTGTGGCCCCTGTGGAACTGCTGGGACAGTCATTTGACTTACCTTATCCTTTCATCTCTCTCCTGTATAATTTTCTGGCACTGTCTGATTTCTAATATTTGAAAACCGTTGTTTTACATATTACATCTGCTTCTTGTTTCATATGGGACTGAAAATACAATTTTTGTTCCTCCATTTGGTCTCATGCAAAATGCCATGTAAGCACTTTAAATAAAATGTGGTATATTTGTAAGTAAATATATTATAAAATATTTCATATATATGTACTTTAAGTTCTGGGACACATGGGCAGAATGTGCAGGTTTGATACATAGGTATACACATGCCATGGTGGTTTGCTGTACCCATCAACCCATCATCTACATTAGGTATTTCTCCTAATGCTATCCCTTCCCTAGCCCCCTGTTCCCCAACAGGCCCCAGTATGTGATGTTCCCCTCCCTGTGTCCATGTGCTCTCATTGTTCAACTCCCACTTATGAGTGAGAACATGTGGTGTTTGGTTTTCTATTCCTGTGTTAGTTTGCTGAGAATGATGGTTTCCAGCTTCATCAATGTCCCTGTAAAGGACATGAATTCATCCTTTTTATGGCTGCATAGTATTCCATGGTGTATATGTGCTGGAAATAGGAACGGTTTTACACTGTTGGTGGGAGTGTAAATTAGTTCAACCATTGTGGAAGACAGTGTGGCGATTCCTCAAGGATTTAGAACCAGAAATCCCATTTGACCCAGCAATCCATTACTGGGAATATACCCACAGAATTATAAGTCATTCTACTATAAAGACACATGCACACATATGTTTACTGCAGCACCGTTCACAATATCAGAGCCTTGGAACCAACCCAAATGCCCATCAATGATACACTGGATAAAGTAAATGTGGTACATACATAAAATATTTCTAAAAGCAGAAAACCTTTTCCTGTAAAAGGAATTCTTAGACGGTGAAGCATTTGACATCTTTTCCAAATTTCTAAGATTTTAGGTAAAAATTTTTGTTATCTCATTCAACTTATACCTAGAGGACTAAATTTGGACCTCTCTTCCTTTGGAATGATTTCTTAAATTTTTCAGAAATTAAGCCCCAATATGAGAAGTAAATACTTCTGATATTCAGCAACACACAAAAATTAGAATTAAGGATGCATTTGCATAAAATTGGTTTTACTACTGAGGAAAGCTCCTCTTTAAGTCTCAAAATAATCTACATATTATTCATGTTTATAATTTTTTAATTAAATAAAATTAGAATCCCAAACAAGTGACATTAACTGATAACTATAGAATTAGCAGAAGGTAATTTACAGGTTTTATTTGGGTTCATTAATGTATATCATTAGTATAAAATATTACCTTATATTCTCAAAAACATTTTCCATGAACCCAGTATATATTAATTATGCAAAATATAAATTTTAATAAGCAATTACTGTATATTCACTATTGTATTCCATGTAGAAAATACATTAGAACATGAGTCAGGGCATTGCTGGGGCACACAATTTTGAGGCAGGGATTTCTATCATTTTACTAACAAATATTATTTGCAAGTTATAGTATCAATGAACTTTGACCACTGCTATTATTAGAAGTTCCACAGTTCCACAACTTAGATTTCCATAAGGAAATGGTTGAGAATAAAAGTCTGCTGAGAAAGCAATAATACGTTCAATACAATTTGGTTTGGGTCCCGGGCATGCACTAACTTTGCTACTCAGTTTTGATTCAGTTTTCACTCTTCTTTTCCTATAGCTTCCCTTTTTATGACCAACAACAAATCTTACATCAGATTGAACTTGGTTTACAGATCTTTAAATATTAGTTCACTCCTTCACATCAAATCATATGTCTTAGATAAAGCACTTTGGTTTTAAGTAATAGAAATTAAATCATACAAACTGAAAAAAAGATGATTAAGATACAGATTTTTAAATTTAACCCACAAACAGCAAGTACATTTTGCTTTTACAAATAAATGGAACCAGAAATTGGAAAACTTACAGAAAGCAAAGCAACTGTACTCACAGTCTTTTTCACTCCTACCTTATCAAATTTCTCTGATTCATTTTGGAATTAGCTGACCATGAATCCCATAATTTCTGACTGTGCTTGTCCTCAATTCAGGTAATAATCAGAGGCCAATTTTCATTTTTGAATGTCAATTCAAAATTATCTAAAGCCATAAACTGACTGGTTCACTTTGAATCGAATAGCAACACCTGGTACAATCACCTAATCAAAAGAGCAACATCACAAAAAACAAATACAGCCTCCAGGACTTGCCACTATAGGTCCTGCTCATTTAAATGACTTGTCCGTGAAATTATCTTTTATATTAGATTGCAGACTCCTTGAGTGCAGAACTGTTCAATTTGTAATATCTAGAAAGGATTATAACATGAAAGTAGAAGAGTAGACATTTTTTGAATAAATAAACAAAGTAACTAACATTAAGGAGAACCAAATATGTATCAGGCATGTTGATAAATACATTACATAAAATAATTTATTTAGTCCTTACAACAATCCTCTGTGGTAGCCACCATAATTATTTTCATTTTACAGATGTGAAAACTGAGTCTCAGAGAGAGATTGCAGTAACTTCCTAAGCTTTCACTTCTATTGAGATGAACTTGAATCTAAGACTCTAACTCCCAAATTATCAACAAATCAACACTTATTCTGTACCAAGTGATCCCAGGTTTCCCAGGGATCCTGAGCATCTCAACTTAGGGGTCTTCCTCTCTAACACACTGCCCTTTCATCATTTGTATTAGTATTTAGTAGTCT
This sequence comes from Homo sapiens, assembly GCF_000001405.40. NCBI lineage: Eukaryota > Metazoa > Chordata > Mammalia > Primates > Hominidae > Homo > Homo sapiens. Next base: position 99,101,397 of record NC_000001.11, read on the forward strand.
CAGTTAAATTTACAGCTATTTTTCTTCTCTAAAAAATGAACTGAGTAAAAGCAAGCATTCATCACTATACATACATCCAGCTACTTATACAGAACTTGACAGATTGCCTTTCTTTGGTGAAGTAGATGTTACAAGGTGTTCCATTATGTCTTTCATCAGAATGAAGAAAAACTTTTGTTTGGAGGCTGTTTTTTTAATAATTGTTTTTAACTGGCCAATTTTTATAGAGATTTAAAGGCCAAATCTTCTAAACATTTCTGCTCTTACCATTTCTCTGGGAAGTTAGCAATGATAACCATCAAGTCATCTTGTGATGAATATAAGAATCACAGCAGGGTGTTACTGGGTCCAGGAGTTGTGATTGGGTGGAAGACCTGTTGTCAGAAGTTGTCTTCGTCAGATGAGTAGGTTGAGAAAATTTTCTCCCATTTTGTAGGTTGCCTGTTCACTCTGATGGTAGTTTCTTTTGCTGTGCATTTTCACAACCTACTCATCTGACAAAGGGCTAATATCCAGAACCTACAGTGAACTCAAACAAATTTACCAGAAAAAAACAAACAACCCCATCAAAAAGTGGGTAAAGGATACGAACAGACACTTCTCAAAAGAAGACATTTATGCAGCCAAAAGACACATGAAAAAATGCTCATCATCACTGGCCATCAGAGAAATGCAAATCAAAACCACAATGAGATACCATCTCACACCAGTTAGAATGGCAATCATTAAAAAGTCAGGAAACAACAGGTGCTGGAGAGGATGTGGAGAAATAGGAACACTTTTACACTGTTGGTGGGACTGTAAACTAGTTCAACCATTGTGGAAGTCAGTGTGGCCATTCCTCAGGGATCTAGATCTAGAAATACCATTTGACCCAGCCATCCCATTACTGAGTATATACCCAAAGGACTATAAATCATGCTGCTATAAATACACATGCACACGTATGTTTATTGCGGCACTATTCACAATAGCAAAGACTTGGAACCAACCCAAAAGTCCAACAATGATAGACTGGATTAAGAAAATGTGGCATATATACACCATGGAATACTATGCAGCCATAAAAAATGATGAGTTCATGTCCTTTGTAGGGACATGGATGAAATTGGAAATCATCATTCTCAGTAAACTATCGCAAGGACAAAAAACCAAACACCGCATGTTCTCACTCATAGATGGGAATTGAACAATGAAAACACATGGACACAGGAAGGGGAACATCACACTCTGGGGACTGTTGTGGGGTGGGGGGAGGGGAGAGGGATAGCATTAGGAGATATACCTAATGCTAAATGACGAATTAATGGGTGCAGCACACCAGCATGGCACACGTATACATATGTAACTAACCTGCACGTTGTGCACATGTACTCTAAAACTTAAAGCATAATAATAATAATAATAATAATAATAATAATAATAATAAAAAGAAGTTGTCTTCATACAAGACTCCATAGGATTGAAAAAGCAATAAGCCTGCTGTGGAAGATGCCTTAGTGGAGTCCGAATGCTACCTGAAGGGAGTGAATGTAAATTGCTAGGTTACCAAAGCAATTCAAATTGTCTGATGGAAAGAGTATTGTATATGGCAACAACACTGCTCTTTGATGCTTTAGAAGTAACTTTCGAAAAATGCCTTTTCTCTAAAGATAAAAAGAAACGAGAGAAAGGGGTGAAGGATCAGCAGGAGTCACAAATAATTTTCAAGAGCCAACTGAGTTTAAAATGTGTCAGATGGAATATAAATAAGATAAATATCCTATTGTCTTATAGTAAAATAGAATAGAAAGCACTATCTACTCATTCGTGGTGAATTTTTGAGACAGTATGTGTTATAGTTACCTAGTAAGTTGAATAAACATAAGACAAATTCAAACACGTAAAAGTAGTCTGTTGGAAATGTTGCTCCATTTCCTCATTTATTTTGTTTGGTTACACATTCTTCTATTCTGACAGTTTTGAGGAATTAAGATATGTAAGATTTTTCTGGCAGAGAATACAGAGACAATTTGACTTAAGACTTAGTTTTAAAGAGAAGGTTGAGATTTAGTATAAGCCATGAAATGATATATTGGCCTCAGGCAACTGTCAATAGTTGTTTGCCATCTTAGGTATATATTTTGTCTCCTAATCAACTGTAATATTTTATCTGTCTGTACCCCTAGTGCCTGTTACTATACCATGCATTAGTAGATACCTGGTTATGTTTATTTTGGGGAATGATGGCACCCACTAATCTATAGTATTCATGACATCTAGGTATAGTCACTTGCTTATCCACAAATATTTATTATGTGGTGCCAATGAAACTTGGGCATAGGACTAAAATAATTAATACTATTTAGCAATTTAACCCATGTTAAAAATAGGAGGGAAAAAGATGGATTTTAAAAATATTATCAATTTATAAAAACTTGCATAAAAAGTATACATTTCTTAGTTTGGGAATTATCCCATATGAAGAAACTATGTTATAATACTCAAATCACTATATGATCTGAATAATAATTTTTAAATATCCAGAAGTGAATAGAAATTATGTGGGCATTTCATTCATACAGACAAACAGAGTATTAAGTAATTAAAGAGTTGTTGTTTCTAAGATATAATACTTTTCAGGAAGAAGCCAGAAACTTGGTCATAAAAATGGAGATGAGAAAGAGATAAGACTAAATGGAGAATGACTAAAATTTTTTAAATGTAAACAGGAAATGCTGAGAGTATAGATCACCTATATTCTATATAATAGCACTATTAATGGTTTCAGTACTAGAATGCTACCTAATACTGAAAATATTTCTTAGCACACAAATTTCTTAAAGTTGGTTCTAAGCTTGAAGTTTTTTTATCTTTAACTTCTCTATTCTCTTTTCTAGGTACTTAATCATTGAGTGACTATTGCTATTTCCCTTAGAAACAACACCTTAGATGCATAATGTCCTCTTTATATACTATGCTGCTTAATAGTTTAGGATTTTATCACTACAAAAGTTAATTAATAAAATATTGTTCTGTGTGGTCTTCCTATACCAGACTTCACAGAAAAGAATCTGGAATACCATCACCACTCTAATTTTTATAAAAAATATCCCACCAATTAAATTACTTTCAGGCACTTGAAGTGTAGCAAGTTGGTGGAATAGAAATCTCCACTGATTGTCCCCCCACCTCAAGGACACCAATGTAACAACCATCTACACAAAAAAAGAATTGGAAAAAAAAAAAAAAGAGGCCAGGGGTGGTGGCTCACACCTGTAATCCCAGCACTTTGGGAAGCCTCGGTGGGTGGATTACCTGAGGTCAGGAGTTCGAGATCAGCCTGGCCAACATGGTGAAACCCCGGCTCTACTAAAAGAATGCAAAAATTAACCAAGTATGGTGGCACATGCCTATAATCCCAGCTACTCGGGAGGCTGAGGCAGGATAATTGCTTGAGCCTGGGAGACAGAGGTTGCAGTGAGCCGAGATCGCACCACTGCACTCTGGCCTGGCCAACAGAGTGAGACTCTGTCTCAAAAAAAAAAAAAAAAATGACGACAACAAAAACATTTTTTGTCCTTCATAAGAACCAAAAAATCTTAGTGAGCACTCACAGTACCTGGTTTTAACTTCATATAATTGGAAAAGACACTGAAGAGATAGGAAAAACAGTCTTGAGTTGCCAGTGCCACCTCTCCCCTTCTCCTGGCAGTGACAGACTGGTGTGGAGAGCATTTCTGTGTTCCGGGGAGAGGGAGAGCACAGCAATTTTGAGGCCTTAAACTCAGTGCTCTCCTATTATAATAGAAAACAAACTGGACCATACTCCTCTGATGCCCAGCCACAGAGACAGTATTTAAATCAGCCCTAGCCAGAGGTGAATCACCAATCCCAGTAGTCCAAACTTGAGTTCCTGAACTTGAGTTCCTGAAAGCCTCACCACCATAGGCTAAATTGCACTAGGGCTCTAAATAAACTTGAAAAGCAGTCCAGACCACAAGGACTGCAACTCCTAGGTGAGTCCTAGTGCCGAACTAGACTCAGAGACAGTGGACTCTGGGGGCAAATGACCTACTGAGACACTAGCCAGGGCAGCTAATGGAGTGCTGGCATCACCCCTCCCCTAACCTCAGGCTACATGGCTCCAAAAGAGACTTCCTTCTACTTGAGGAGAGGAGAGGGAAGAATAGGGAGAACTTAGGCATACATCTTGGATAACAGGTCAGCCACATAAGGATAGGGCACTGGCCAGAGTCATGAGATCCCCTTTCCAGGCCCTAGAGCCTAGAAAACATTTCTAGACACAATCTGGGCTGAAAGCGAACCCAGTGCCTTAAAGGGAACGACCCAGTCTAGGCAGGATTCATCGCCTGCTAACTGAAGAGACTTTGGGCCCTGAATACCAGCAGTGATACGCAGGTAATACGTCGAGGGCCTTGGGTGAGACTCTGAGACTTGCTGGCTTCAGGTGAGACTTAGCACATTTCCAGCTGTGGTGGCTAATGGGTGAGACTCTTGCTTGAGAAAAGCAGAGGAAAAAATAAAGAGGACTTTGTCTTGCACCTTAGGAACCAGCTTGGCCACAGTGCGGGTAGAGCACCAACTGGGCTCTTGGGATCCCTGATTCCAGGACTTGGCTCTTGGACAGCATTCCTGGACTTCCCCTGGGCCAGAGAGAAGCCCACGATGCTGAAGAGTGAGCCCCAGACCATACCACAAGTGGACTGAAGAGCCCTTGGGCCTTAAGGGAACCCTGGTGGTAGACTGACAGTATTCCCTATGGGTCTGTTGTGGCAGTGGCCATGGGATGAGGCTTCTTTGCCTTTGGAAAGGGGAGGGAGAAGTGAGAAGGACTGCATCTTGGGTTTGAGTATCAGCTGAGCTGTAGTACAACAGAACACCAGGAAGGCTTCTAAGGTTTATGACTCTAGTCCCTGGCTCCTGGATGATACCACTGAACCCACCTGGGGCTTGGAAGAACTCGCCACCCTGAAAGGAGGGACACAGGCCTGAATGGTTTTGCCACCTGCTGATTATAGGCCCCCAGGGCCTTCAGAGAACATAGGACATAGCCAGGAAGTGGTTACAGCAGGCCTTGGATGAGACCAAAGCTGCATTTAGTTCAGATTGGATCCAGTGCAGAGTCCTAGTGGTGGTGGCAATAGGGCTGCTTGTGACACTCCACCCCCAGCTTCAGGTGGCTCAGAACAGAAAGACTCCATTTGTTGGAAATAAAAACAAGAAGAGGACAAGAGTCTCTACCTGGTAAGCCAGAGAATTTCTCTGGATCTTGTCCAAGACCATCAAAGTGGTACCTTTAAGAGTCTACAAGAACCACAGTGTTACTGGGCTTGAGGGGCCCCCTAAAGCAGATACAGCTTAGATCACAACACCCACATCCTTTTGAATATCTCAAAAGCCTTCCCAAGAAGGACAGGCACAAACAAGTCCAGACTGAGAAGACTACAATAAATGCTTAACTCTTCAATGCTCAGACACAAACATCTACAAGTATCAAAAACATCCAGGAAAACATGATCTCACTAAATGAACTGAATAAGCTACCAAGGACCAATTCTGCAGAAACAGAGATATGTGACCTTTCAGTGAGCCAAGATCGTGACACTGCACTCCAGCCTGGGCAAAAGAGTGAGACTCTGTCTCAAAAAAAAAAAAAATGCAGAAATAAATGAAATTAAGAGCAAGTGGAGACAGTGCAGGACACAGAAGAAAATTTCAAAAAAAAATTTTTAAGAGACAACATTGCATCTCTAAATCAAGAAAAGAATGAGATGAAAAAGGACAGATCAGGGACTAAGTGCAATTCTTATAAATCACACATTTTGTAATTAATTTATTATTTAAAATTCAGTGAGAATGCTGGAAGATAAAACTTAGGAAAATTTTGGAAATCTTTCAGAAAGCAAGGAGTTAACAATTAAGAGCAAAACAACAGAGAATGTTGAATGTGTGTGTGTGTGTATATATAATTTCCCCTTTTTATATATTTATACACTGTGTGTATGCATGTGTCTGTGTAACATCTCTTCTATCTCATATATGTGTGATATGGTTTGGCTCTGTGTCCCACCCAAATCTCGTGTTGAATTGTAATCCTCATGTGTTGAAGGAGGGGTCAGCTGGGAGGTGATCAAGTCACGGGGGTGGACTTCCCCCTTGCTTTTCTCATGATAGAGTTCTCAGGAGATCTGGTTGTTTGATAAGTGTGTGGCACTTCCCCCTTCACTCTCTCTCTCTCCTGCTCCACAGGGGGAAGACATGCCTTGCTTCCCCTTCACCTTCCACCAGGATTGTAACTTTCCTGAGGCCTCCTCAGCCATGAGGAACTGTGAGTCGATTAAACCTCTTTTCGTCGTAAATTACCCAGTCTCAGGTGGTTATTTATAGCAGTGTGAGAATGGACTAATACAATGTGTGATATTCAGAAAGTCCAACATCCAAACCGTTAGAGCTCTAGATGGAGAAAATAGAAAAATGATGATGACGTCATCAATAATTGCAAATAATTAGAAAAAATTCAGAATGGAAAAATGTGGAAGAACCCCACTTAAGTGCCCAAAACAATAAATAAAAAAATATAAACCAAGACTAATGTTTGCAAAATTTTGTAATACCAATAATAACAAGGCCTTGAGATTTAAAACTTATTGAGACTCAGAACGTCGTCCTAGTTGAGCAATTTGCAAGATACAAGAGATGAAGTAATGCTTTATAAATTTTTATTGGAATTATTTTCAACCTAGAATTGTACACCCAGCCAATCCATTAACTAGATGCATATGTACAATGGAAACTTTAAGACACATTTTCCAGGCACCTTGTGGTATGCAGAATAATGGACTTCTAAACATATCCATGTTCTCATCCCTGGAATCTGTGAATATGTTACTTTAAATGGCAAAGGAAAATTAAGGTTGCAGATGGGATAAAGTTTACTATCAAGCTGTCCTTAAAATATGGAGATTATCCTATATTATCCAGATGCACTCAGTGTAATCACAAGGGTCCTTAAAAGTAGAAGTGGGGGTGCAGAAGAGGAGGTCAGATGTAAAGTGAGAAGAATCCAGGCCACCATTGCTGGCTTTGAAGATGGAGGAGAAGGTCACCAGTCAAGGAATGTGGGGAGCCTCTAGACACTAGAACAGACAAAAAAAAGTGATACACCCCTTGATTTTAGCCCAATGAGATCTAAGACTTCTAAACTACAGGACTACCTGGTAATACATCTGTGTTGTTTAAGCCACTGAATTTGCAGTAATTTGTTACAGAAAAAAAATAGAAAACGAATACATATGCTTTTGTGAGAATGTACAGTAAAATTTTCTCCACTAAAGTGGAAGAATAAACCAAGAACAGGAGATCTAGGATACAGGTCAATACAGGCACTATAACACAGGAGAAAGGGAAAGAAAAGGTAATTCCCAAGATGGCTGCAAAAGAAAATTTCAACACAACTTTTGTGGACCAAACCTAGAGACTGCATAGACCAATCTGAAACAAGGGGATAAAAGGCACTTGGATGGAGCTGGAAGCCATTATCCTCAGCAAACACAGGAACAGAAACCCAAACAGCATGTTCTCACTTATAAGTGGGAGCTGAACAATGAGAACACATGGACAGAGGGAGGAGAACAACACACACTGGGGCCTGTAGGGGTGAGAGGGAGAGCATCAGGATAAATGGCTAATGGATGCTGGGATTAATTCCTAGGTGATTGGTTGATACGTGCAGTGAACCACGATGGCACACGTTTACCTATGAAACAAACATGTGCATCCTGCACATGTATCCTGGAACTTAAAACAAAATTTTTAAAAAAGCACTTGAAGGATTCAGAGGAAAAAAGTAATTAATAGATTATTTGATATATTTAATCATGCAGAAAATTGTAGCAAGATATTTTTAACAGAGTTATTAAATTGTGTGTCAAGAGTTAGCCAGATATTTAAGAAAACTAAGCAAAAAGTTGTGAAAAAAAGGAAATTCATTCACCCATAGTACAGTACTTGAGTAGAATCAATGTAGTCATAATAATAATAAAGACATTATATATATTTTGCCAAAAATTGTAATCCATCTATTATAAGAGAATGGTTAGGAGGAAAATGAGTAAGGGTAAAAGCTAGAGACTTAATTCCCTTAAAAAGAAATCAATAGATAATATTTAACATTTATAAGTCAAAACATAGCAGTCTACACATATTACTTGGAGAAATAGATTAAGTTATTTCATAATAGGGGGATACAGAACAGGTAAAGTTATTTTATAGTAGGGGGACAGAATTAGTATACTGGAATTTTTTGTTTTAATTTTCAACAGTTTTTTAACCTTTTAAGCTATGTGTATGTGTTAATAAATTAAAAACTAAAATAAATGTTAAAAAGAAAATGTATGGTAATTTATAGCTAAAATATTAACAGATAAGTAGCAATATTATAAGGAAAATTATGAGGCCCCATCTGCCATCACCAGACCTCACCCTCATCTCCTGATTTGTTTTTCTCCATAGCATTTATCCACAATTACTACCATAAATACTCTACTCACTTATTTGCTAATTGTTTTCTCAGATCATTGGAATGTAACATTCATGAGGAGACAGATTACATAATTTCACCACCATTGTATTCCCAGAGCCTAAAACAATGTCTGCTACATAGAAGGCATTCAAATAGAAACGAATAAATGAAATTTTAAAAACTGTGCTATAGTAGTTTTTAAACATTACAAATATTTATTACTTTAAAATTAGAAAAAGAAGTCTCTTTTTTGTAAGAAAAAGAAAAAGTGCTGTCTAGGAAGAAAACAGGGGAGTGGGGTGGATGATCCAGCAGAAGTTGCTGGTTTTGTCTCATTGCTTTGAAAGACCAAGGACATGGAACATGGAAAATGCACGTGGGTCTGTGAAAGTCCAGAAGTTGAGCTAACAAAGGAGGGTCCAGGAAACCAGGTCAGAATAGGATTTTATATTCTCACCTACCTAATTAAGTATAGAGTGGATGGAGTTGGTGCAATAGTTGGGAAAGAAGGGACATGCCTGGGTTTCCCTTCTTAGTTATGCAAAGTTAGGTAGATTAGTGAATGCTATGCAACAAGTTTTTTTTTTTTTTAATCCAGTCCCTAGTTTACCCAACTGGGGCAAAGGTTAACATACCGAAAGTAAATCGATAGACCAACAACCTCTGTTCCTACATAACATCAGTCAGAATACCATTTAAAGATAATTTAAAACACCTAGTCCCCATTTCTGCCTTCCCCACTTCAGTCCCAACTATTTTCTGTCTCTGCTTAACTGTCTGGATTCCTGGATATACTCCACAGATAGTTTAGCTAGCATCCCCAACTCACCCTAAAGCATTTTTTTCAGTTGTTAGAATCCTACTAAAGAACATCCATTGCTCCCCAAACACCAGAATTGTTTCAGTTTAGACAGCAACGTGATTTGGCATTAGAGGTTGTCATTTATCCCGCTGTGCTTCAGTTCTCTTGCTCTATATAATCTCGAGAACTTTCAATAGCAAAATCTCTCATATCTGTGCTTCCCATTGCCAGCCCTATTCAGCTACCTAGGAGCTTCTTCCTCTTTTACTTGTGGTCTAAAATTAACATTTCAAATTCTTCCCACTGCCATAATCTCTTCTTTCCCCCAGATTAAAGAAAAATGATTGGTAGAATAGCATGTAAGATATCTTTTCACCGAACCATAAAGAAAGTATTGTCTACAGTCCATCATTTGTAAGTTTGTCTTTAGGTAAATGTTGCTCATGCTAAGGCTAAACTTCTTTGCCATAAACACTAAAAATAGTTCATTTTACCTTACTTTTGGATTTTTGCTAAATTTTTTTTCAAACCATAGTTTCTTAAAAGTGTTTTACTTCTTGTAGTTCTCATTCATTAAAGAATATTTTAAACAATCTACAAGTTTGAAAACTAAATGAAAGTGATTTCATTACCCACCCTCCCCTACTTTCCTGATATCATTGCCTCCCAATACAGAGTGCCTTAGATCATTTTCTAGAAGGATACTAGAAAAGAATTGCAATCATAAAAAAGGAGGCAGACTCCAAGAAAGTAATTGTAATGACTGAGCACTAAGCTATAATCTTGTTAAAGTCATTGTTGAAAGAAGTTATTACCAATTAAGCATTTATGGCTTAATTAAATTATTAATTTTACTCATTATAACATGGAAATTACATACATATCATAAAGGTGACATCACTGTAAAAGTGCATGTGTGATATTTCTAATGTTTTATATACACTTAAAAAGAAAGCAAGTATCCAACAGTAGATTGGGCTGGGTAAACAGGTTCCGACTGGGTGTCCCTTGATTGTTGTTGATGCACTACTATGGATATGTTGCTTATCCACACACAATCTAAAAAAGCCAATATAAGTAATGGTTTTATAATTATAATTATATATATATAATATATACTATATAATTATATATAATTATAAATAATATATATTATATAGTATGTACTTTATATATAAATTATATAATTATATATATAAATTATATACTATATAATATATATTATATTATATTAAAAAGCCAATATAAGTAATGGTTTTATAATTATAATTATATAATTATATATAATTATATAATATATATTATTTATTATATTATAAAATATATTATATAATTATATATGTATATATAATTATATAATATAATATATACATTATAAATTATATACATATAATTATAAACATGTTATATATTATATAATATATAAAATATATATATTATTTTATATATATATATTATACTTTAAGTTCTGGGATACATGTGCAAAATATGCAGGTTTGTTACATGGTATACATGTGCCATGGTGGTTTGCTGCACCCATCAACTCGTCATCTACATTAGGTATTTCTACTAATGCTATCCCTCCCCTAGCCCTCCACCCGCCGACAGGCCCCAGTGTGTGATGTTCCCCTCACTGTGTCCATGTGTTCTCATTGTTCAACTCCCACTTATGAGAGAACATGCAGTGTTTGGTTTACTGTTCCTGTTTTGGTTTGCTGAGAATGATGGTTTCCAGCTTCATCCATGTCCCTACAAGGGACATGAACTCATCCTTTTTTATGGCTGCATAGTATTCCATGGTGTATATGGGCCATATTTTCTTTATCCAGTCTACCATTGATGGGCATTTATTTGGGTGGGTTCCAAGTCTTTGCTATTGTGAATAGCGCTGCAATAAACATACATGTGCGTGTGTCATTATAGTAGAATGATTTATAATCGTTTGAGTTTATACCCAATAATGTGATTGCTGGGTCAAATGGTATTTCTGGTTCTAGATCCTTGAGGAATCGCTACATTGTCTACCACAATGGTTGAACTAATTTACACTCCCACCAATGGTGTAAAAGTGTTCCTATTTCTTCACATCCTTTCCAGCATCTATTGTTTCCTGACTCTTTAATGATTGCCATTCTAACTGACGTGAGATGATATCTCATTGTGGTTTTGATTTGCATTTCTCTAACGACCAGTGATGGTGAGCTTTTTTTCATTTGTTTTTGTTGGCCGCATAAATGTCTGCTTTTGAGGAGTGTCTGTTCATAGCCTTCACCCACTTTTTGATGGAGTTGTTTGGTTTTTTTCTTGTAAATGTGTTTAAGTTCCTTGTAGATTCTAGTTATAGCCACTGTCAGATAGATAGATTGCCAAAATTTTCTCCCATTCTGTAGATTGCCTGTTCACTCTGATTGTAGTTTCTTTTGCTATGCAAAAGCTCTTTAGTTTAATTAGATCCCATTTGTCAATTTTGGCTTCTGTTGCCATTGCTTTTGGTGTTTTATTCATGAAGTCTTTGCCCATGCCTATGTCCTGAATGGTATTGCCTAGGTTTTCTTCTAGGGCTTTTATGGTTTTAGGTCTTACATTTAAAAGTCTTTAATCCATCTTGAGCTAATTTTTGTATAAGGTGTAAGGAGGGGGTGCAGTTTCAGTTTTCTCCATATGACTAGCCAGTTTTCTCAACGCCATTTATTAAATCGGGAATCCTTTCCCCATTGCTTGTTTTTGTCAGATTTGTCAAAGATCAGATGGTTTTAGATGTGTGATGTTATTTCTGAGGCCTCTGTTCTGTTCCATTGATCTATATATCTGTTTTGGTACCAGTACGATGTGGTTTTGGTTACTGTAGCCTTGTATAGTTTGAAGTTAGGTAGCATGATGCCTCCAGATTTGTTGTTTTGCTTAGAATTGTCTTGGCTATACAAGCTCTTTTTTGGTTCCATATGAAGTTTAAAGTAGTTTTTTTCTAATTCTTGGAAGAAAGTCAACAGTAGCTTGATGGGAATAGCATTGAATCTATAAATTACTTTGTACAGTGTGGCCATTTTCACAATATTGATTCTTCCTATCCATGAGCATAGAATGTTTTTCTATTTGTTTGTGTCCTCTCTTATTTCCTTGAGCAGTGGTTTGTAGTTCTCCTTGAAGAGGTCCTTCACATCCCTTGTAAGTTTTATTCCTAGGTATTTTATTCTCTTTGTAGCAATTGTGAATGGGAGTTCACTCATGATTTGGCTCTCTGTCTATTATTGGTGTATAGGAAGGCTTGTGATTTTTGCACATTGATTTTTGTATCCTGAGACTTTGCTGAAGTTGCTTATCAACTTAAGGAGATTTTGGGCTGAGACGATGGGGTTTTCTAAATATACAATCATGTCATCTGCAAACAGAGACAATTTGACTTCCTCTCTTCCTATTTGAATACCCTTTATTTCTTTCTCTTCCTGATTGCCCTGGCCAGAACTTCCAATACTATGTTGAATAGGAGTGGTGAGAGAGGGCATCCCTTTCTCGTGCTGGTTTTCAAAAGGAACGCTTCCAGCTTTTGCCCATTCAGTGGGATATTGGCTGTGGGTTTGTCGTTAATAGCTCTTATTATTTTGAGATACGTTCTATCAATACCTAGTTCATTGAGAGTTTTTAGCATAAAGGGGTGTTGAATTTTATTGAAGGCCTTTTCTGCATCCATTGAGATAATCATGTGTTTTTTGTCATTGATTCTGTTTATGTGATGGATTACGTTTACTGATTTGTGTATGTTGAACCAGCCTTGCATCCCAGGGATGAAGCTGACTTGATCATGGTGGATAAGCTTTTGATGTGCTGCTGGATTCAGTTTGCCAGCATTTTATTGAGGATTTTGGCATCGATGTTCATCAGGGATGTTGGCCTGAAATTTTCTGTTTTTGTTGGGTCTCTGACAGGTTTTGGTATCAGGATGATGCTGGCCTCATAAAATGAGTTAGGGAGGAGGCCCTCTTTTTCTATTGTTTGGAATAGTTTCAGAAGGAATGGTAGCAACTCCTCTTTGTACCTCTGGTAGAATCCAGCTGTGAATCCATCTGGTTCTGGGCTTTTTTTTTTTTTTTTTGGTTGGTAGGCTGTTAATTACTGTCTCAATTTCAGAACTTGTTGTTGGCCTATTCAGAGATTCGACTTCTTCCTGCTTTAGTCCTGGGAGGGTGTATGTGTCCTGGAATTTATCAATTTCTTCTAGATTTTCTAGTTCATTTGCATAGAGGTGTATATAGTATTCTCTGATGATAGTTTGTATTTCTTACAATCCTTCATGGACATAATGAGACTGAAATAAGAGAACACCAGAACTCATAGATCTTGTCATGTGTATGAGGAACGAATGTGAGAGAAGCAAAGTTAAGTGGAGGGAACTGAAACAGGTGAGTGGTGCTGATCCAGGAGAGAGGAGAAAGATCCCAAAGTGCTTGACATTAACCTCAGGGTTTGCTGGTTAAATAGGGGTCAGTTGTAGCTGTATCCTCCAATCAAGTAAAGGTAACATTATGGGGTTCTCAAACAACGCTGAGAAGTTCTGGGATAAGGAAGAGCTTGTGAGAAGAGGGGTAGATACTAGAAAATGGGGACAGATAGAAAAAGATGCATCAGTGAGGTAATACAATAATAACTCTGGATCTAAAAACTCATTCGTGCATGATGCAAAACTGCCCCTGTGTTCCTAATTACAATGACCACAAAACACTTCAGATGGTAACAAGCCCATGACCTTACATGTTTCTATAGTTACATCATCAATGTATGTCAAAAGGGATACATGAAGTAAGTATTAAAGGAACAGTCTATTTCTTTTGAATAATACATATTCTAATGGTAAATGTCCAGAGCTTTCTTACCTCTACAAAGATGAAGCAGGGAAAAATTGTGTTGCTTCTACTAAACTCTTGGCTTTGGTGATTTGGAAACATATTTTCCTGTTGGGATAGGAGGAAAGAATACAATGATTTTGTAATCCAGTTTGTACATGGCTACATGCTCTGTGGAAGTTCAATAAATTCTCATTACAAAGCTAACTTTGTCTTTACCAGGAACTGACATCTGGCATCCTGAGTAATTGTTTGAAAACATCAATATCTTCCACTTACATTACATCTAGCATCTACAAGGATCCTTCCTTTTTAAATGTTCCCTCTGGCTTGAGAGATCGTCAAACATTTTCACTTCTACCCTAGTGCACACATAATCAGATAACAAACATTTGACTATATCTGTTGGACAGAGACACATTTGACTAGAAACAGTATGTTAGAGTTCACTGGGTACCATGGCAACATCATCCCCTACAGTTCTGCACCTGTCCTTCCCCTAGCTCCATCAAAATTTTAAGCATTTTCTGAGATGGCCTTTTATTAAGAAGCTTGTCAATAACCCCTTCAAAGGTATTCCTGCCTCCAAGATTATGGGAAGGAGGAAGAGGATCTTAAACCTAAGCTGCAGCAGGAACTCAAATTCCAAGGAGTTTCCACGTTATCCCCGCTATATAGTTTAAAATTTTCAAAATAAAATCTTATTATGAAATACCTGATTTAGGTATACATGGGTCAAAACAGTGGAATCATCTACACAGAATTATCAATTAATACTTTGATTATAATCCTTATGAAAAAAATACACAAGTAAATAGTTTGACCTCCTTTCAAACAGCCAAGTAGGCAAAACCAGAAGACCTTACAGAGTCAAAATTAGATGTTTATATGGAATCACTAGCAGAGAATGATGTGCAAAAATGAATATGATCCTATAACCCATCAAAACAGAAAACATATACAAATTCCTCTGTAGATGAAACTGAAGTGGTCGGTGCATTAGTCT
Source organism: Homo sapiens (assembly GCF_000001405.40). NCBI lineage: Eukaryota > Metazoa > Chordata > Mammalia > Primates > Hominidae > Homo > Homo sapiens. Next base: position 99,116,567 of record NC_000001.11, read on the forward strand.
GCTTTCACACTGCTAATAAAGACATACCCGAGACTGGGTAATTTATAAAGGAAAGAGGTTTAATGGACTCACAGTTCCACATGGCTGGGGAGGCCTCACAATCATCGTGGAAGGCAAAGAGAAGAAAGGCATTTCTTACATGGCAGCAGGCAAGAAGAAGTGCATGTGCAGGGGAACTCCCCTTAATAAAGCCATCAGCTCTTGTGAGATTTATTCACTATCACGAGAACAGCACAGGAAAGACCCGCCCCAATGATTCAATTACCTCCCACCGTGTCCCTCCCAAAACATGGGGGAATTATGGGGGCTAAAATGGAGATTTGGGTGAGGACACAGCCAAACCATATCGGTGAGGAAGTGTAATTTTTTTTCCTGTATTGCAATATCATGACCAGGCCAAAATGTTGATGTATCCCATATTCTAAATTCAATTTGCTATAAACATTTGAGATCAGCCTCCTTCCTGAGAGGAGCCAAAGCACCACTCTCCTCATAGTTCAGTAGTTTTCAGTAGAATGTCTCACTTCAGAGAATATTTGGAAATGGTATATGGAAAGTGGGTTTTCATAATGAGTTAGACCCTTTATTGATATGTAGGCACAATGACCAAGGGTGTTACATGCTCTACAATGTTCAACATGTAGTAAAGAATTGTTCCCACATCCTGCCCTACATTCTAATGTCCTATTATGAAAATATGTCAGTAGCAGTTCAGTTATTATAATAATAAAAGTATAAAAACATATATGAAAATCCTGGTAATTTAAAAGAAGACTGTAATGCATAGGGAAGCTTAAATGGAAAAGAGCAATGGTCTTGCAATTATAAAAATTATAATTTTTTAACTTACATGAAATTTTTTTAAAATTATAATTTTATAACTTACATGAAACATTTTTGTCACCAAAAATTATTCCCCACTACATACTTAGTTTAAGAGGTTTTCATTGCATGGTGCAGTAATGCAGTTATGGCAAAAGCAAAGAAGTGATCACAGACATGTAATATTTAAAGATGTAAGGTTTTCAAGATATAAGGCTTTTAAAGTATTCATATCTAATACAATGTTATTTAGCTAGTGAAGTTTATGCCATGCATCAGCATGACATTTGAATTTCATTAATAAAATTCATTTTAAAACATTTTATTTTACTTCTTTATATATATGCTTTAATTTTTTAGCATAATGATAAGAAATCTGTGTGATGACAATTAGATATCCAAATTATCCATTTATTTTGGGGATGCACATATTTTTCAATTTTACTCTGACACTTTCACTAGAGTCTTAGAAAGAAATGGTAAGGCTGAAGAAATGGGCTCATGGAAAAGTGGCCTGTATTCCCAGGGGCCATTGAACAGAGGGCGAACGGAGCAGACACAAGAGAAAGTAGCTGGACTTTGGGCTTTATTGCCAGCACTATACTAGCTACAGCTACTTTGCCAGGCTACAAAATCCAAGAAACAAAAGAATGTGGGCAGGGAGACTTCAGTGGGGACTGAAGGGATTGGAAGAGATGGAGGGGTTTCTGAACTTCCTTGCAAATCACTTTCATAGAAGCCTTGGGAGAAAAGTAGAGCTGACTGTGAAGTAGTTCTACAATAAAAGATTACTCGTAACTGATGATGATGAAAAACAAACAAAATGAGAGCCCCAGAAATTTAAGATGAAGGACAAAAAGGTGGGAGAGAGAGGAAGAAGCTAATGACTGGGACTCTTGCTTCAGCTGTGGGTCATGTAGCCCTTAGACACCTGCTACACTGCAAGTGTTGTCAGCCCATGTCACCCAGGGCGTTCATTCCTGTAGCCTCCCTCTCTTCTCCGTACATGTAACACAATGTAATATTTTACAAAATTTAAAATGTGCAGTGAATGAGTGATGAAAAAGGAAATATGATATTTATTAAACTGGAATGAAAGTAAGGATTGATACTACAAGGGCATATTGCAAACATTTTAAATATTTTTAGATCTTAGTATAAGGTATCAGGGACCTCCTTTGAAAATGAAGACATTATTCTTCGGCACTTGGTGCTGTCTTTTTGAGAGCTGGAGCAAAGGTAAGGGGGAGTTTTTGATAACTTTTGTACACTGATTTGTCATACTGTTCATAAAACTATACATTTTGATCAATTTTTTAAAATTTTGTACAAGTTACCCATGCCTTTGGGATTTAAATAAAATTGAAAGGTGAATAGAAGCAGAACATGTCAGCAAGGGATGAGCTAACCATAAATAAAAGGCCAATGTTGTCTAATGTGTACAATGTTTTAGAACCAAAAAATATTTTTGTACTTTTAAATAGGCCAAGACAAATTACTGCTGGTATATTTCGTTTTGTTGACATACTTTTCAGAAATGGTTCAGGCTTATATAACTTATTTAATGTATTCCATTATATGTGACAAGGCTAAGACCTAAATAAGCCCATCCTTGAACTTTAATTGCTGTTTGAGAGCCATTGAATTTTCTGAACTTGATTGTTTTTTCACACCATATATATGGGCGGTAGTTACAGATATGTCGACAAATTCTATGATGGTCCTCCTTTTAAGAAGTGAAGCCTAATTCCCCTGCTCTTAACTGTGGCCTGAACTTAGTGACACTTCAAATGGATAACATATAGCAGAAATGATGGGGTTTAACTCAGAGACTGGGTCACAGAAAGCACTGTGTCCTTCTGCTCACTGGCTCACTCTTAGATTTCTGGGTCTAGAGCATGTCAGCTGCCATGCTGTGAGGAGAGACCCACGTGGCCAGGAATTTTGACTTCCTGCCACAAGCCAGTGAGGAAGTGAGGCCTCCTGCCAATAGTCACGTGAGGAAGGAACCTTGGAAACAGATCCTTCATCCACAGCCAAGCCTTTGGATAACAGCAGCTCCTGCCAATGTCCTGACAGCATCAACATGAGAAACCTTGAGTCAGAACCACCCAGCTAATCTACTCCCAGATACCTGGGCCACAACATCTGTGAGATGTTAACTGTATTAACTTAAACCATCAAATTTTAGTGTAATATTTTGCACAGTAATAGATAACTGCTATAAATATTGTTGGTGATACATTAGCATACTGGATATCAGTCAAGAAGGAAGTTGTCTTGGTTTGTTTTTGGTCTGTTTGTGTTTTGTAAAGAAATAACCATCCTGGGAAGGGGAACACCCAACAGTAATCTTAGAGGTGGTTCCTGTGTTTTACTGTTTGCTCATGATCCACTAACTTATTTACTCCCCAACATACATACTGTCATGTCTGCCTTGACCCTTCTAGTTTGGTCTCAGGTTGTTATCATGAAGGGCACAACTGGCTGACCAGTGGCTAGGTTTGAGATGGGGTCAGATGAAAGGCAAACAATGAGGGTAAATCTCAAGTGAACGCATGCAAAGGAGACAAAACCAGAAAACCGAGTGTTGGCTGTAAATTATTTCTAAACTGAATCATATGGAATCGCGCTTTTGTGGGTCAAACTGGCACTTTCGTCTGGTGCTTTCCTTTGGTTTAATTAGTCCAATTAACCAACAAGACCAATCCTTGTTGACTCTGTAGCATTCAAAAAAATGAAAAGTTAAATAGAGCAACTAAAACAACAAAAAAGAAAAAAAAAATAGACAGGAAAGAAAGTAGAAAGGAAAGAAGGGAAGAAACAGAGAAGTTGGTTGGTAAATTCCTTGTAGGAGGTGCAGTGTCCTATGACTGCCTGAGTCCTAGCTCTATCAGTCGCTACGAACCTTGTGCAAGGCATTTAGCCTGCAGGGTTCTCAATTTTCTCATCTATTTCATGAGTATAATAATAATACCTACCACACAAGTTCATGTTGAGGCTCAAATGCAATATTGTGTATGAAGAGGACTTTTTAAAGTACTGTCCACTCCAAATAGGCTGTGAATATGGAATCTGATCCTCCAGACCTGAATTCCCAACCAAATGGATTACTTCACGCTCCTGTCTCAGAAACTATGTTTGAGATATATGTGATAGAAAAGAAAAAGGGGAGACTAGTAAATTTTCTAGGTGTTATGAGCTGAATTCTTTTCCTCTAAAATTTATGTTGAAGTTCTAACCCCCGGTACCTCAAAATGTGACTGTATTTGGAGACAGGGCCTTTAAAGAGGTAATTAAGGTAAAATAAAGCTGTTAAGATGGGCCTTAATTCAATTTTCTGGTGCCTTTATAAGAAGAGTAGATTAGGACACATGCACGTACATAGAGAAAATCATAGAAAATGACTACCTGCAAGCCAAGAAGAGAGCTCTTGGAAGAAACCAACCTACTGATGTCTTGATCTCAAATATCCACCCTCTAGAACTGTGAGAAAATGAACCACTGTTGTGTAAGCAACCCAATCTGTGGTACTATGCTATGGCAGCCCTAACAAACTAATACATTAGGTAATAGCTACCAAGGTGTTAAGAGTGGGGCCTCACATGCTATTTCAGATTCAATACTTATCTATATACCTTTGGTACTAGCTGGTATCTGGGTAGCAGTTTTGTGGTGATAAAAGATGATGAGTTTGTGGGGGAAAAATCTTAAGAACTGTTACTAGCTGTGTAATCTTGAAACAATTTCTACATTGCTGTAAAATAGACAAAAATTTGAAAGAATTATTCAAGTTATTCAAATGTAAGTTATTCTGGAAGGTTTTTTTCACCCACTTAGGGGAAATTTAAAAATTTTTCACATGGAAAATAATATACACAGGAAAATCTACTTAATTTGCACATAGCTTAGCTTAACTTGGCAAATTTAAATTCTAGAATCATTTTCCTTGTGGGTGCAAATTGAATGCTAATTAATGTTAATATTAGTCTCAGAAAAACATAATTAGAAAGGTAAATCTGCTGCTTTTCCCATCCCTCAAACCGAATAATGTATCCCATTAGCAATTATTTAGGGGGAAGATCAGAAATTTGCCTTAACTTCACTACATCTATTCATCATCAGTGCAAAAAACTGAGAGGGGAATGGGCAGCATTACTACTTTTGTAATACTATTTTGTTCTTAAAGTATGTGAATATCAGCAGAAAAAGTCACATAATGTTTGCAAGGCAAAATTAATGTAATTGTGTTGCACCAGTGCTATTATATTATTGCCAGAGATCCCTACAATAGTATTCTACATTTTATTACCATTTATATATTGTTTTAATACCATCTTCTGTATTAATTGATTTACATTAATTGTCCCCTCGTGTCCCAAGCACTTGCAAAACATGAATGCACCTTCTACAATAAAATAACTGCATTGGCGATTGACTACAGCTTCTATTGAGGAATTTCACAAAAAGAGATTAAAATCTTCAATAACTCCAATAACCTTGTGTGCTCTAGAGGACTGTCATAATGGGTTGTGTCTAATTTCAGAGAATATTTGGCTAGATTATCTTTTCACCAGCCCATAGTAATTAAACTGGTAGCTTATATGATGCATTTTCTTAGAGAGGAGAGGGGAGGGGGAAAACCTAAACATAAAAGTTTCCTTTTTGTAAAGTCCTAACCTTGATTTTTAAATTATGAGGTTTTAAAATAATAAGTGAATGTGTTAGCTTTCCAGCAGGTAAGGAAGCATCATGTAAAAACCTACTGGTTTCAGAGTGAGAAAAGAAAAGTGACTCAGGGCATCCTGAGCTCCATGAGGAATGCAGGCTCAGAGATACAGGAGCCCAGGACCTCGGTCATGTCCCCACACGCATGCCTGGGGGCAATTGTTTAAAGTTACTTTGTTCTTGACTATCTTCTTCACCCAGCGTCTTCATGTTCTTAGAATTTGTGATACAATGAATGAGGATAGCCAAACAATACTTACGTTATTTTGCTGTGAATTCTTGGTAAACAACTTAGGTACTGCCTCTTCTTCTCCTTTAAAAACCTGCTTGTAATGGTTGCTAATTGGAGTGTATATTCAAGGCCACTTGAATCTATGCTTCCAGGTTGCAATCCTCAAGCTTGGCCCAAATAAACTCTCTGCTTACATTAATTTTGCCTCAGCTTCTTCTTTTAGGTTGACAATAGTGGGTCCTTAAATATGACAAAAGTGTTTAATAACTGACTCTCCCAGGAAAACGCTATTCCCTTGTTATTCCAACCATTTTGAACATAAAAGTGGATCACTTAGGAAAGGCTTAAAACTTTCATGACTTTACTTTTCCATTTGTGATGAGTTCAGTATATAAATTAAAGGACTAAATTAGAAGACTAAAATCACAATAGTTTAAACAAAACAAAGAATTGTATTTCCCACTTAGTAAGAGTCCAGGTGTATGTAGTCTAGGGCAGGTAAAGCTGCCCAGTGCTGAAGATCTAGGCTTATTCTGTCACATTACTGAGTCATCCCACAGTGTCCCCTTCATCTAAGTAGCCCAGTATGGCTCATTTTTACCAGGTTTGCTTTCTGGGAAACAAGAATGAGGAAAGGGATGGGAGGAAAGTATGTCCTATCCTTTTAAAGATATATGAACATCACTTCCAGATTGGCCAGACCATATTCAAAAGGCCACAGCCAACTACCTGTGAGGCTGAGAAATCTGTCCCACTGAAATTTCTTATATGGAGAAGAATTTAGGGGATGAGTAAGTTCTTCCACCTGAAAGAATAGGTAAATGTCTTTTTTTCTTTAGAAATCTTAATTCAGAACCCAGACATTCCACAAACACCATATTGGAAACTGAGGCCATGTCCTAAGGCTTGGTGTGATATTCAATAGTCCACTGTAAAATGTGGAGCAGCAGAGCTGATATCCGGCAGTATACCTTGGGTGCTTCATGGTGAATCAGAAAGTCTCCCTGTGCATTTCAGAGCTGTGGTCATGTCATGTAAGAGCTGTGACAGTATGTTTTTTCTCTCGGTAGGAACAGAAATTGTGAGATAAACATAGGCTATAAAACTTTGGAGTGAAAAAAGCACTCTAGGTTGTTACTGGTCATTTCCACTTTCTTTTGGTCTAATTGGACTACTCTTAGCTCCTCTAGCAGTATGTTCATTATGGCAGCCTGAATTTACCATTACTAACACAATTCTAATTTCTATTTTATCAGTTGGAAATAATTGCTTTATTTTTTTCTGAATATAAAAGTATTTACTTCTCTTTATAAATGAGTGTAAAAAGAAAAAAAGTAAAAATATTGTGTAATTTTACCATCCAGAGATAATTCCTGCTAGCATTTTAGTATATATTCCTCCAGATTTTGTCAATGCTTAGGGACCATGAACTAATAAGTTCATTACCGCACATTATCTTAAGCACATGCTATCACGCTATTTGGTAACTATGATACTATTTCAAGTTTTAAGGGAAAATCGCTACAGGGGTTACTTGGAAATCCTCTGGCTTTCTTGGTCCTCTACTTCCTACATGTTCCATCAGAGTCTCTTCCCTAACTATCCCATGGTAATCTATCACCTTGGTTTGGGGATGCTTAAAACTTTTATGACTTTACTTATACATCTATGATGACTTCAATATATTAATTAAAGTCTGTGGAAAGGTTTGCTTCTCTCCAACATTCTGATTTGTAGTAACTGAGAGAATAGGTCTTGTGATGCAACTACTCTGAGTCTTTCTCCCATGGGTCCTGAGTGCTTGTTGCTGGGCTGTTCACCTCTTGGCTGAGAAATATTCCATATATTATTTATATAGCTACAGTCTCTTAGGCATACTCAAGAAAAGAAAGAAACTTTACTCTCCACTTTTTAACAGAAAAATAAACCATTTATTAAGGACTTCACTGAAAAACATCTCCTTATAGCTGAGGATTAGCTAACTGTATAAGTCTGTTCTCACACTGCTATAAACACGTACCTGAGACTGGGTAATTTATAAAGGCGAGGTTTAATTGACTCAGTTCCACATGGCTATGGAGGCCTCACAATTGTGGCAGAAGGCAAAGGAGAAACAAAGGCACATTTAAAATGGCAGCAGGGCTTGTGCAGAAGAACTCCCATTTATAAAACCATCAGATTTTGTGAGACTTATTCACTACCACAAGAACAGTATGAAGGAAACCACCCCCATGATTCAGTTATCTCCACCTGACCCCACCCTAGACATGGGATTATTACAATTCAAGATGACATTTGGGTGGAGATACAGCCAAACCATACAAGTAACTAAGCTGTTACAGAGAAATGTTATGCCCACTCTTGTGTAAGTTTTATTTTCCTGATATTCTGAAATTTTTTTGGTGGGGACAGACAGAGCCTCACTCTGTTGGCCCAGGCTGGAGTGCAGTGGTGCAATCTCAACTCACTGCAACCTCCACCTCCTGGGTTGAAGGAATTCTGGTGCCTCATCCTCCCGAATAGCTGGGACTACACGCATGGGCCACCTGTCTTGGCCTCCCAAAGCACTGGGATTACAGGCATGAGCCATTGCACCTGGCCTATTCTGAAAATTTTTAAGTGAGGGATGTCTCCTGTTTTATCATCCAGTGTTGCCGTTGAAAAACATGTTGTCATTCAACTTCTTACTTCTAGAATAAAATAGTCAATTTTATTCTGTTTTTAAAATATTATTCATTTATTTTTAACTTTTATTTTAAGTTCAGGGTTACATGTGCAGGATGTGAAGGTTTGTTACATAGGTAAACTTGTGTCATGGGGATTGGTTGTAAATATTATTTCATCAACCAGGTATGAAGCCTAGTATCCATTAGTTATATTTCCTTCCTCTCTCCCTCTTCCCACCCTTCAATCTCCGATAGGCCCCAGTGTGTATTGTTCCCCTCTATGTGTCCTTGTGTTCTCATCATTTAGCTCCCACTTATGGTGAGAACATGCAGTATTTGGTTTTCTGTTCCAGAGTTAGTTTGCTAAGAGTGATGGCCTTCAGCTCCATTCATGTCACTGCAAAGGACATGATCTCATTCTTTGTTGCGGCCTCATAGTATTCCATGGTGTACATATACCACGTTTTCTTTATCCAGTCTATTATTGATGGACATTTGGGTTGATTCCATGTCTTCGCTATTGTGAATAGTCCTGCAATGAACATATGCACACATGTGTCTTTATAATATAACAATTTGTATTCCTTTGGGTATATACCCAGTAATGCGGCTACTGGGTCAAATGGTAGCTCTGTCTTTGGATCTTTGAGGAATAACTACACTATCTTCCACAATGGTTGAACTAATTTACTCTCCCACCAACAGTGTAAAAGCATTCCTTTTTCTCCACAACCTCACCAACATCTGTTATTTTTTGACTTTTAAATAATAGCCATTCTGACTGGTATGAGATGGCATGTCATTGTGGTTTTGATTTGCATTTCTCTAATGATCAGTGTTCTTTAGCTTTTTTTCATATGCTTCTTGGCCACATATATGTCTTCTTTTAAGAAGTGTCTGTTCATGTCCTTTGCCCACTTTTTAATGGGGTTGTTTTTATCTTGTAAGTTGTTTAATTTCCTTGTAGATGCTGGATATTAGACCTTTGTCAGATGCATAGTTTGCAAAAATTTTCTCCAATTCTGTAGGTTGTCTGTTTACTCTGTTGATAGTCTCTTTTGCTGTGCAGAAGCCCTTTAGTTTAATTAAAACCCATTTATCAATTTTGCTTTTGTTGCAATTGCTTTTGATGTTTTGTCATAAAATCTTTGCCTGTGTCTATGTCCTGAATGGTATTGCCTAGATTTTCTCCAATGGTTTTTATAGTTTTGGATTTTATATTTAAGTCTTTAATCCATCTTGAGTTAATTTTTGTACGTGGTATAAGGAAGGGGTGTAGTTTCAATTTTCTGCATATGGCTAGCCAGTTACTCCAGCAACATTTATTGAATAGAGAGTTCTTTCCCCATTGATTATTTCTGTAAGGTTTATCAAAAATCAGATCGTTGTAGGTGTGCAGTTTTATTTCCGGGTTTCCTATTCTGTTCTATTGGTCTATCTGCTTGCTTTCATACCGGTACCATGCTGTTTTGGTTACTGTAGCCCTGTGGTATATTTTAAAGTTAAATAGTGTAATGCCTCCAGCTTTTTTTCTTTTTTGCTTAGGATTGCCTTGGCTTTTGGGGCTCTTTTTTTGGTTTTATATGAATTTTAAAAATAGATTTTTCTAGTTCTATGAAGAATGTCAGTGGTAGTTTAATGGGAATAGCATTGAATCAATAAATTGCTTTTGGCAGTATGGCCATTTTAATGTTATTGATTCTTCCTATCCATAAGCATGAAATGTTCTTTCATTTGTTTGTGTCATCTTTGATTTCTTTGAACAGTGGCTTGTAGTTCTCCTTGTAGAGATCTTTCACTTCCCTTGTTAGCTGTATTCCTAGGTATTTTATTCTCTTTGTGGCAATTGTGAATGGGAATTCATTTATAATTTGGCTCTCAGCTTAACTGTTGTTGGTATATACGAATGCTAGTAATTTTTGCACATTGATTTTGTATCCTGAGAATTTTCTGAAGTTGCTTATCAGCTTAAGAAGCTTTTGGGATAAGATAATCGTGTTTTCCAGATATAGGATCATGTCATCTGCAAACAGGAATAGTTTCACTTCCTCTCTTCCTATCTGAATGCCCTTCATTTACTTCTCTTGCCTGATTGTTCTGACCAGAACTTCCAATCCTAGGTTGAATAGGAGAGGTGAGAGAGGGCATCCTTGTCTTGTGTTGGTTTTCAAGGGAAATACTTTCAGGTTTTGTGCATTCGGTATGATGTTGGCTGTGGGTTTTTCCTATACTGCTCTTATTATTTTGGATTATGTTCCTTCAATATCTAGTTTATCTGTAGTTTTTTAACATGAAGGGAAGCTAAATTTTATCAAAAGCCTTTTCCACATCTATCGAGATAATCATGTGGTTTTTGTCTTTTGTTCTTTTTATGTGATAAGTCACATTTATTGATTTGCATATGTTGAACCAACCTTGCATCCTAGGGATAAAGCCTACTTGATGATGGTTAATAATCTTTTTGATGTGCTGCTAGATTTGGTTTGCCAGTATTTTGCTGAGGACTTTTTCACTGATGTTCATCAAAGATAGTGGCCTGAAGTTTTCTTTTTTTGTCATATCTCTGTCAGATGCTGGCTTCATAGAATGAGTTAGGGAGGAGCCCCTCCTTTTCAATTTTTTGAAATAGTTTCAGTAGTAATGGTACCAGCTCTTCTTTGTACATCTGGTAGAATTCAGCTGTGAATCCATCTGGTCCTGGACTTTTTTTGGTTGGTAGACTATTTATTATTGCTGCCTCAATTTTAGAGCTCATTCATTGGTCTGTTCAGGGATTCAATTTCTTCATGGTTCAGTGCTGGGAGGGGAGATGTATCCTGGAATTATTTCATTTATTCTAGGTTTTCTAGCTTATGTGCATAGAGGTATTTATAATATTCTCTGATGGTTGTTTGTATTTTTGTGGTGTCAGTAGTTGTGGTGTTGGAAATATCCTCCCTATTATTTCTGATTGGGTTTATTTCTATCTTCTCTCTTTTTTCCTTATTAGTCAAGCTAGTGATCTATCCATTGTATTATTTTTTTTTTTTTGAAAAACCAGCTCCTGGTTTCATTGATCTTTTGAATGGTTTTTCATGTCTCTATCTTCTTCAGTTCAGCTCTGATTTTGGTTATGTCTCATCTTCTACTAGCTCTGGGGTTTATTTGCTCTTGGTTTCCTTGTTCTTTTAGTTGAGATGTTCAGTTGTTAACTTGAGATCTTTCTAGCTTTTTGATGTGGACATTTAGTGCTATAAATTTCCCTCTTAACACTGCCTTAGCTTTGTCCTAGAAATCCTGGCATGTTGTATCTTTGTTCTCATTAGTTTCACAGAACTTCTTGATTTCTGCCTTAATTTCATTATTTACTCAAAAGTCATTCAGGAGCAGGTTATTCAATTCCATGTATTTATTTGTATGGTTTTGAGTGAATTTCTTAGTCTTGAGCTCTAATTTGATAGCACTGTGGTCCAAGAGACTTATGATTTCAGTTCTTTTGCATTTGCTGAGGAGAGTTTTACTTCCAATTATGTGATTGATTTTAGAGTAAGTGCTGTGGCTGATGAGAAGAGTGTATATTTTATTGTTTTGGGGTGAAGAGTTCTGTAGATACCTATCAGGTCCAATTGATCTAGAGCTGAGTTCAGGTCCTGCATATTTTTGTTAATTTTCTGTCTGACGATCTGTCTAATATTGTCAGTGGAGTGTTCCCCAATAGTCTTATGCTATTACTATGTGGGGGGTCTAAGTTACTTTGAAGGTCTCTAAAAGTTATTTTATGAATCTGGGTACTCATGAGTTGGGTGCATATATATTTAGGATAGTTAGTTCTTCTTATTAAATTGAACCCTAAGTCATTATATAATACCCTTCTTTGGTCTTTTTTAATCTTTGTTGGTTTAAAGTCTGTTTTGTTGGAAATTAGAATTGCAATCACTCCTTTTTGCTTTTTTCCATTTGCTTGGCAAATTTTCCTCCATACCTTTATTTTTAGCCTATGTGTGTCTTTGTACATGAGGTGGGTCTCTTAAAGACAGCGCACCAATGGGACTTCGTTCTTTATACAGCTTGCCACTTTGTGTCTTTTAATTTGGGCATTTAGCCCATTTACATTTAAGGTTAGTATTGTTATGTGTAAATTTGATCCTGTCATCATGATTCTAGCTGGTTATTTTGCAGACTTGTTTGTGTGGTTGCTTCATAGTTTCACTGGTCTGTGTACTTCAATGTGTTTTTGTGATGGCTGACAACAGTTTTTCCTTTCCATATTTAGTGCTTCCTTCAGGAGCTCCTGAAAGGCAGGTCTGGTGGTCATGAAGTCCCTCAGCATTTGCTTGTCTGAAAAGAATCCTATTTCTCCTTCACTTGTAAAGCTTAGTTTGTCTGGATATGAAATTCTTTACTGGAATTGCTTTTCTTTAAGAATGTTAAACATTGGCCCCCAATCTTCTCTGGTTTGTAGGGTTTCCACTGAGAGGTCCAATGTTAGTCTGATGGCTTCCTTTTGTAGGTGAGCTGGCCTTTCCTTCTGGCTGCCTTAATATTTTTTCTTTCATTTTAACTTTGGAGAATCTGATGATTATGTGTCTTGGGGATGATCTTCTCATGCAGTATCTTACTGGGGTTCTCTGCATTTCCTGAATTTTAATATTGCCCTGTCTAACAAGGTTGGGAAAGTTATCCTAAAGGATATCCTGAAATGCATTTTCCAAATAGGTTCCATTCTCCCCAGCTCTTTCATGTACACCAATCAGTCAAAGATTTGGTCTCTTTATATACAGAGTTTTCTTCCTTCTTTTTCATAATTTTTCCTCTATTCTTGTCTGCCTGTCTTATTTCAGAAAGACAGTCTTCAAACTCTGAGATTCTTTCCTCTGCCTGGTCTATACTGCTATTAATACTTGTGATTGCATTATAGAAGTCTCATATTGTGTTTTTCAGCTCTATCAGGTCAGTTACGTTATTCTCTATCCTGGATATTTTGTTTTTCAGCTCTTGTAATATTTTATCATGATTTTTAGCTTCCTTGCATTGAGTTAGAACATGATCCTTTAGTTCAGTGGAGTTCATTTTTATCCATATCCTGAGGTCTATTTCTGTTATTTTAGCCATATCAGCCTCACCCCATTTCAAACTTTTGCTGGAGAGGTGATGTGGTCTTTTGCAGGAGAGAGGGCATCCTGGCTGTTTGAATTTTCTGTGTTCTTGTGCTGATTTTTTCTCATCTTTGTGAACTTAACTACCTTCAATCTTTGAAGTTGCTGATCTTTGGATGGGGTTTGTGTTTGTTGTTGTTGTTGTTTGTTTGTTTATTTTGTTTTGTTTTTCCTTTTAATAGTCTGGCCACTTTTCTGTAGGGCTGCTATGATTTGCTGGGCATCTGCTCCAGTCCCCAGTCACTTTGGATTTTCCAGTACTGCTTCCCTGGGTCGGTGGCGGGGGGGTCCCCTGCCTCTGTGTTGCTTCTGGGTGGGCCACCACTCTTCCCTGATTTTCTCATTCTCTGTGGTTTGAACTGTTTTCCCCATCAGTCTCAATGTGAGAACCTGGATGTTTCAGTTGAAGTTGCTGTATTTACTTTCCCCTTTTGTTCGTCTCTGTGAGGGCCATGCACTGTAGCTGCTTCTAGTCAGCCATTTTTGCTAGCTCCTCCAATTTTATTCTATTATAAAATGCTTTCATAAGCTTTTAGGATCCTTCTTTCCAGCTTCAAAAAACTTAGGAGTATGTGCCTAAGTGTGGGTCTTTTTTTTTTTTTACCTTATATTGCTGAATATTTTTAATTTGAAGGCCTGTGTTTTTTCTTATCTTTGGTAAATAGTCTTATATTATTCCTTTGACTAATGTCTCTCCTATATTCCTGTATTATCTCTGCTCTTTCTCTAAAAATTCTTTTCTTTCTTTCTTTGTTTTCTTTCTTTAAGTTCCAGCTCAATAGACCTGAACATTTTTTTCAAAGTACATTTGGCCTCCTTATTTGATTTTCCATGTCTCATAACTCTCTTTTATATTCTTAATACTTTGTCTTTGTGCTTTACATTCTGGGACATTTTCTCTTATTGCATTCAGTATTTTTGTATTATAGAAACATCATATTGAGACAACAGGGTATATAAGTTATGATATCCCTTCTTAGCAACATATACATTAAGAATTAGAAATTATAACTTTCCCAAGTAACATTAATTTGTCCTCACCAAATTTTAAGTAATTGTCTACTGTAACTATATAATATCTCAGTTAGAATTGGCTTAGAGCCAATCTTCAGGGCCATAAAATAAACTAGAATTTCATGAATGATAGCTAAGTGAATATAACTAGGCTGAAATAACTTTAAAATGCTAGAAAACTTAAAATGAAATATGAGCAATTTAAATTCAGTTGAGGTCATACACAGCAGAATTGAAGCTACAGAAAGACAACTCAATGTTTGATTAAAAAATTAACATGTTTTTCTAGAATACAGAAATTTTAAAAGGATTGGATATAAAATAGATATGTGAAACAGAAAAAAAGAGAATTACAATATATATTATAGATTTTTTTGAAGTAGAAATGGATTAAAGTTCAGGACCCACATCTCTGTTTCTTAATGTAGTTTTTCTCAGTAGCTGATATACAAATAAGGACATTGAAGCTACTTGTTGGAAGAAATTGCAGCCATTGCTCTGTCTTTCTGGCTTCCCTCTTTTGCCTGCTTAGGGAGTTTTTCCAAACACTGATGAGGTAAAGGGAGCTCTGGGGCCACAGCAGCTGTTCAGCATTGGAAGGCTTTGCAAAGGAATCCTAGGACAGTTCACCCTAGACCTTGAGGTCAACATTTTTTTATTTCCCATTTACATATGTTCTAGATTTCTTTTTCTTGCTGTTGGAGTAGTAAGAGGCAAGCCTTGGGAAGAGCAAACCTGTTTTGACTTCTCAGGAGTCTGCACTATTGTAGGCAAGAAATATTTATTCATGTGATGATTTTTAACTCCTTGGAGAACTAGCACTAGATAGGGGTTAACTAAATTTAAGATAGTAGTTGAGAATTTTAAAGTATTCCTTTGCCAATATTTTTCCCTAGGAACAAATTATCTTTCTTTTGTGATGCTTAGAAAACTGTGACTACTTAAGCCCAAGTGTGTTTGTTCAGGATCCTTGTTCCTGAGGACTCTTTCTCTCTTAATATCTAGCATTTCCTTTTTAAGTGCTAGTTAAATGCAAATAAAGCAGATCATATTGGCATATAAAAGGGCTCGATATTTGATTAGCAAAAGTCAAATTTTTTTAGATTACGTTTTTATTGCAGAGACTGAGAATCCTGTAAGGTCTCTGAGAATGGAGCAGGATTTTCAGAGATCTTCCACAGAAATGGTAGATCAAATTACATTGCACGAAGTATGGGGCTTTTGAGTTTGTGATTGTTTCTTTTAGTTTTCCTCCAACTTTGTTTAAGAAGAAATCACATTCCTCCAGTAGTAAGAATATTTATTCTTTATCTGTTCATTGGGAAATTGATAAATTCCACTATTCCTTCCCTCTGGGTCTGTAACATCCACAGCCACTATCAGGGATTGTTTAACATCCACCAAAGACTCTAAATGGGGAAATAAAGCAGAGTGCCCTCTCAGATGTTTCTCAGTCAAGGCTCACAGATCACAAGAGACTGGATCTTGTGCCTAACTCAATCCCAGAGATCAGGGCTTCTCAATGCTCAAACCAGAATCAATTTGAGAACATAAGGAAGGTTTGCATCAAAGATTCAAAGACAAGCCACATGCATCTTGAGGAATTAGTACAATTATGATGTTCTGTTTGACCTGAAAGAACACAGAAATTGATGAATTGATAAAGGAAAGAATAAAAATTTCTAAGGCAGCCAGTCTAGTGCCATCTGCTTCTGCTTAGCAGTAACTTTCCCTAAAGCCCCACAAGTAGAAAAGAAATCTTATTATTATGCTAATTTACAGGTGAAAGAAGTGAATCTTAGAGTAACTTGCCCAATGTCAAACAGCTAGTATCTGAGCTGTTGTGATGAATTACAAGGCTCATATACTTTCTAATTTGCCATCACATCTCACAATTAAAATATTATGTGATAAGTGCTGGATGTAGGTAAGCCTGGGGAACTATGGTTTCAAATATGCCAAGGAGGGCAGTCATGAAATAGTTATCAAGGTCAGTGACTTATAAATTAAACACTCAGAATATGTTTATTTCCTAGAGTAGTGACTGCCACAAATAGGCTATCAAGGAGTAACATTCATAAGCGTAATCAAAAAAATACATATATGGGGCCAGACGCGGTGGCTCTCACCTGTAATCCCAGCACTCTGGGAGGCCGAGGCAGGTGGATCACTAGGTCAGGAGTTCGAGACCAGCCTGACTAACAAGGTGAAACCCTGTCTCTACTAAAACTACAAAAATTAGCCAGATGTGGTGGTGGGCGCCTGTAATCCCAGCTACTCGAAGGCTGACGCAGGAGAATCACTTGAACCCAGGAGGCAGAAGTTGCAGTGAGCTGAAGTTGCAGTGAGCTAAAGTTGCACCACTGCACTCCAGCCTGGGTGAAAAAGTGAGACTCTGTCTCAAAAATAAATAAATAAATAAAAATAAATATAATTTTAAAAATATGGTGCTATATTCAACAAAGTAAATGGTACAATCAGGAGAATCTTAGTTTCCATGTTCAGAGAGCAGACTTCTGATGGAATCTCTCCTTCCATGCAGATACAGGAAATGAGAAAAAGGGATAACATGGTAGCAATGCAGATGACACAGCAGAACTCTCTTTATGAAAAAGAAAGAGTGCCTTTAGGAGAAATAAAGTATCTGGCCTGTATATACACGTTAATGTTTGTTAGAATTTTTTTGTTTCTTTGTTTTTGTATTTGTATTTTAATCAAATGCTCCCAGATCAAGCAGGAAATTGTAGAGAGGATGATGAGATCCCAGCTGCTGCCTCCAGGGAGGGATGAGTGGTTTTGCCAGCAGCTGAGAAACCTCATGTAACAGCTGATAGGTCAAGATCACAAATGGATAAATCCACCTCTACTCCTATCCTATAGGATTTTAATTCATTGAGGTCTTAGTTTGTTTCTGACCCAAATAAAATATACAGGACTCTCTTCTTACTTTCTTTTCATGTTTTATTTCCTGTCTTTCTTTTGTTTCTATGAATCATGTATTCACAATAAAACTGGCTGATTTGAAAAATCCACATACTCCAAAATGTAATTATTCCGTTCAACAACAGTCTTTTCATACATAAAGGCTTACTTCATCTTCCTATTGGGGTCACCCATCTGGCTGTCCTGGTGAGAGAAAAAGAAGCTTTAATAAGAAGATTCTCTTTGGTCAGAGTAAATGAAAACCATCAAGAGAAAACTCGAGCAGGGTTAAGTGTAACTAACAGTGCAGTTTCCCTTTTTGATCTTTCCTCCACCCCCTCAGTAAGCCAATTCATTCTTCCAGGTGTGGAGCACTGAGATGAATCCTAGCACTGATCTGTAGCTCTTCTCTAGAATATTACAAAGTGTTTACAAATTCATTTCCATCCACCCATTGTCTGTTGTCCTTGGACAGTTTTCCTCTTTTCATTTGTTACCCATTGTGCTTGTTTTGTTTCTTGGTTTAATTTTTCTTTTATCAGATTTCATTATGTTTCTGTAACTCCCACTTTATCTCCCATTCCTTTTTAAACAGGCACCTAAGTGGAAATAACTGTGTTTGCTTCTGTAGAACATAGTGGTTATATTCATAAGATTTTAAAAGAATAAGTACAAGGTCTCTGGTTTAGAAGTCTCTTCAAGAACAATGCTTATCATAAGGACAATCCGTAAGTAAGTGTTCTGTAAACATTTGTTGAAAAAAATAAATGAAGCAGACAGAAACTCAGTTTTTCTTTTTCCTCACTGTCAATCTATGCTCTCTGTCTTCAAAACTTAACTCCTTCCAAATGCTATCCAGGCAAAACCCACACAGCTGCATGTATCTCTACTTGACATCCCTTGATATCAAACTTAATGGAGAAAGGATATTAATACTTATGAGGTACCACCTACCAATGTCAGGCTCCAAACTAAGTAGTTTTCACGTGACATATTTAAATCCTCTCAAAATTTTCCCTTATAGAGAGAACAAAATAGTGACTCAGAATGGTTAAGATTCTCTCAGTTTGTATGTAGAAAATCACAAATAATCATTGCTTCCAACAGAACACCTAAAGAATTTTTTGGAGAGAGTACAGAGAAATTATAATTTTTAATACCCATCAGAGAGGTGAGGTGAACAAAAAAGTTAAAGGAACTAAATTTCAGAGCTCTACAAGCTCTTTCCAGGAGAAAAGGCAACTCCTGATAAGTTCATCCATAGAAACATAGTGGCAGAAGATGCAGGCCCAACATAGATGGTGAAATTTACAGGGTAAGGAGAAGCCAGCCAAACTTTTAAAGGGCACACACAGGCTGGCATGACATTAAAATCTTGAGGAACTCCAGATGCAGAGCAAGTTTGTACCCACCTGCCAATTCTTTCTCAGAGCAGGTCAGAGAAAGATGTATAAAATGATGAAAGCTGGAAATAGGACTGCAGAGCAGAGAAAGTTTCCTGTTAATGTTAAAAGCAATACATATAAAGCACTAAGACATCATAAGATTTTTATGGGTGCCTAAATCAGTCAAGTTCTGCTTGAGTGAGAGTCCTAAGAGGGCCCTCAAATTACTTGGAACAAGTAGTGCCTTGAAATTTACTCAAACTCTAACCCCTCCCAGATGCAGCTAAATTATCGATTAGAAAAAAGATCATACTAGACTAGGGGGATAAATATCATTTACTTCAATCTCTATACCATCTCTATTGAGTTGCTTTCAACCAGAAGTCTCCTAATCTAGATCACAAAATGACTGTGGGCAAGGTCTGTGTCCTCTAAGTCAATTCCATTCTGTGTAATCCCACTTTGAGGTGTCTTCATACAAAAATCCTGACATACATGTGGTCAAAATTGATGAGATCTACACTGAAAGTCAATTCAGATGGAGAGGCTGATAGATGCAAAGACAGGTACAGATATAGATGTTCTTTAGAGCCTTTTTGGTTGGATTTTCAACTAGTCTTAGTGATCCTATGTCCTTTCATTTTCCCTCCCAGATTCCACATTTACTACTTCTTTGATCCATTAGAGCAGGAGTCTCAAAAATCAAATGTCTTCTATAACCAGGAAGGTAAACTAACTGTATTGAGCCAAATCAGCTGCTTAATAAGGCAATAGAGAGTAATAAGAAATGCAAACATGCAAAGAGATGCAAAGTTATGCCATGCCAAAATGTGTTCAAATTCATGTATATTTTTAACAGTCTCCTGACCAAGAAAGATCTGTTTCTTACACCACCAGTTTGTCCTATGAAAAGAGCACAGTGGTTAAAAACCCACAGTTTTTGATGGCAGACAAAACTGGTTTCAAAGTCTAGCTCTGCCACTTGCTGACAGTTTTAACACAGGCCCTGTCATTGACCACTATCAGTCTTAGATCCCATTTTAATCAAAGGATAATAATAATAACACCTACTCCACATGTTGTAGTATGGAACAAATAATGAGGGAATGTGTATAAATTGCTTTGAACAGCACCTGATACATAGTGAATTCTCAATATATATGAACTCTTATTAGTATGAATGAATCATGCTGAAAATATCTTTGCAAAATTATCACAGTAAGAGAAATCTGACATAGTTGACTCCATCTTGCTTCTAACCTCCAAGCTGTCCTTGGTCATTCCTGGGCACAGGCCAAGCTAATTTGGAGAGGAATTTAGTTTATAGTTTATCCTTAAAGCAAGGATGACAGTAGTGCTTCCCAAAACTAAATCACTTTTGTAAAACTAATAAAAAGGCTCAAGGTTAGGATTATGAGAGGGACCTAAATTCTGAAAAGATGTAGGTATATTTTCTATAATTCATTACTGCTCAGGAGTCATGTGGCCAGAGGTCACAAGAATTGTGACTTCCCCAATTCCTCCTATAGATAACATCACTATTGTAGATCCTGAGATTAGTCTTTTGAGATTTTTTTTTTAAATCAGACTGTGCATTCTTGCAACTTAGGGACCCTACCTGGACACGTGACTCATGACTCAACTGGTCCTGTGGCCCCACCCAGAGGTGGACTTAGTGTACAGAGATAATTTTCTATGCCCTTATGATTTCATCCCCAACCAATCAGCGGCACCCATTCCCTATCTCCCTGCCCACCAAATCGTCCATAGAAACCCCAACCTCTGAGACTTTCGGGAGGCTGGTTTGAGTGATAAACCAGTCTCCCATGTGGCTAGCCTCATGTCAATTAAAACCTTTCTCTACTACAATGTCACTGTCTCAGTGAATTGATCATTGTCTATGGAGTGGACAGGAAGAACCCATTGGGCTATTATTATAACCAAGTTTTCCAAAAAGTTTTTACAGTTAAGTTTTCAAATGTATTCTTAATAGGATCTAGAAAGATTTATTTTAAATGCTCCTGGGATTTTATTATTAGGATTCATGCTTGCAGTTATTCATACAAATATAGTATATATGATCATGCAGGAAACCAGAATATGCCACCCCAAAATATGCCTCTTTGCCATAAGAATTATTTTGAGCTGATTATTTTTAGAAATAGCTAACACATAAGAAGCCCTGAAAAGAGAGTAGAAATTACCCTTTTGTAAGAGCAATTTACATTTATAAAGGAAATCTGCATTTGTAAGGATGTCTCTCTTTCTGTATCAGCAGAAGGATGACTAAATCACCAGAAAATCTTATCAATGGAAAAGTAACCAATTTAAATCTGCATAACAAACCTTACTCTTGTTTTACTCTACTTTTTCTGGTTACCTCCCTAACCAGCCTTCCCTTACCCTCTTTTCTTTGTTTCCTCTGAGGATGGTATTTAAGTCTCAATTCTAAGCCACCTCTTTGAGATTTACTCACTTCTTTGGGTATCTCCCATGTACAGTCATACACCACATAACAACCTTTTAGTAAACAACAAACCATGTATATGACAGTGGTCCTACCTTTGCTGAAAAATTTCCATCGCCTACTGATGTCATAACCATCATAACATCACAGTGCAACACATTGCTCATGAGGACTAAACTCAGAGTTTTATCTTGCCCAAATTCCTATCTAAGGGGTTTTGGGAGTTATGCCCTACAAATCATAAATTCTCATCAGATGAGTTTTATTTAACCCTATATATCATGACTTACTTTTCCAACCCAACTCTGGCATAACATTACAAGACAAGGAAGAAAATCAAAATATTTTACCCCAACCATGTTTCTTTGCCATATCTTGAAATGGCTTTGCA
Organism: Homo sapiens; assembly: GCF_000001405.40. Taxonomy (NCBI): domain Eukaryota; kingdom Metazoa; phylum Chordata; class Mammalia; order Primates; family Hominidae; genus Homo; species Homo sapiens. The sequence goes on from NC_000001.11 coordinate 99,138,329, forward strand.
AAGCTGTCCTTTATAGGGGGAAAATTTGCACCTGTAAAGAATCTCTGGTAACATAGCTAGATCTTTTTATTCCAGGCCCTCCCAATCGTAAAAAGATTAACTAAAAGTCTAGCACCTTTTAAAGATCTAAATAGGAAACATTTGTCATCTATTGTCTCTAAGGACAGCCACTATAAGACTTCAAAAGAACCCTGGTCTCCACAATCTTTTATCTTAACCTGAACATTTCCTTTCTATCAAACCCCGGTCTTTAGACAAACTCAACCAATTGTCAACTAGAAAATGTTTAAATTTACCTATAGCCTGGAAGCCCGTGCTTTGAGTTGTCCCACCTTTCTAGACCAAACCAATGTATTTCTTAAATATATTTGATTGATGTCTCATGCCTCCCTAAAATGTGTAAAACCAAGCTGCGCCCCAAACACACTGGGCACATGTTCTCAAGACTTCCTGAGGGCTGTGGCATGGGCCATGGTCATTCATATTTGGCTCAGAATAAATCCTTTCAAATATTTTACAGAGTTTGACTCTTTTCCTTGACACTCACATACTTGTGGTGATGCTGGTGTAAAGAAACCTACTGCATTGTCAGTCATATAAAATTATAGCACATACAATTAGGTATGATACATAATACTTGATAATAAATGTATTACTGGTCTGTGTATTTACTATACTATACTGTTTATCATTATTTTAGAGTGTACTCTTTCTACTTATTATAAACGTAAGTTCATTGTAAAACAGTCTCAGGCAATTCTTCAGGAGGTATTCCAGAAGAAGCCATTCAGAGGAGATAGCTCCATGCAAGTTATTGCCCCTGAAGACCTTCCAGTGGGACAAGACATGAAAAGACAGTGATATATATAACCCTGACTCTCTGTAGCCCTAGGCTAATGTGTGTGTTTGTGTCTTAGTTTTTGACAAAAATGTTTAAAAATTAAAAAGTAAAATAAAAAAATTGAAAAGTAGAAAAAAGTTTATAGAATAAGGACATAAAGAAAATAATTTTGGCTGGGCGCAGTGACTCACACCTGTAATCCCAGCACTTTGGGAGGCCAAGGTGGGTGGATCACTTGAGGTCAGGAGTTCGAGACCTGCCTGGCCAATGTGATGAAACTCGGTCTCTACTAGAAATACAAAAATTAGCTAAGTGTGGTGGTGCATGCTTGTAATCCCAGTTACTTGGGAGGCTGAGGCAGGAGAATCACTTGAACCCAGAAGGTAGAGGTTGCAGTGAGCCGAGATCACACCATTGCACTCCAGCTTGGACGACAAGAGTGAAACTCCATCCAAAAATATTTATATATTTTTGCACAGCTGTACAAAGTGTTTATGTTTTAAGCTAAGCCTTATTACAAAAGAGTCAAAAAGTTAAAATTGGAAAGTTTGTAAAGTAAAAAAGTTATGATAAGTAAGGTTAATTCATTATTAAAGAAAGAAACATATTTTAATGAACTTAGTGTAGCCTAAGTATGCAGTGTTTATGAAGCTTACTGTACAGTAGTGTACATTACTGTGCAAAACTGTTCAGTAATGTCCTAGGTCTTAACATTCACTCCATGACTTACCCGAGGGAAACTTCCAGTCCTGCAATCTCCATTCATGGTAAATGCCCTATATAGGTGTGCCATTTTTACCTTTTATACAGTATTTTTACTGTGCCTTTTTTTTTTTTTTTTTTTTTTTTTTGGAGACCGATTCTCACTCTGTCACCCGGGCTGGAGTGCAGTGGCGCGATCCCGGCTCACTGCAACCTCTCCCTCCTGGGTTCAAGGATTATCCTGCCTCAGCCTCCTGAGTAGCTGGGATTACAGGCACACACCATCACGCCCAGCTAATTTTTTGTATATTTAGTAGAGACGAGATTTCGCCATGTTAGCCAGGCTGATGTCGAACTCTTGACCTCTGGTGATCTACCCACCTCGGCCTCCCAGAGTACTGGGATTACAGGCATGAGTCAGCAAGCCCTGCCTACTGTGCCTTTTTTATGTTTAGATATATTTTGATACATAAATACCTACCATTGTGTTATAATGTCTACGGTATTCAGCAAAGTAACATGCTATACAGTGTTGTAGCCCAAGAGCAATAGGCTATATCATGTAGCCTGGGTGTATAGTAGGCTCTACCATCTAAGTGTGTGTAAGTATACTCTATGATGTATGCAGAGCAATCAAATCACCTAATGACACATTTCTCAGACAATATCCCTGCATTAAGTGATATATGACTTTATATATAAAATATACATGTTAAAAAACTTCTGCTTGTTTTTCTCCTGTTAATCTGTCTTTTGTTACAGGGGTTTCCATCTGAGAACTCAGAAAGAATAAGAGAAAACTATTTTTCCTTTCCTATAATCATATATTAAGTACAATACGTATCATGCATATTAACAATAATGACTTACTGATGGTTCGTGGTTAGTACATTGTTTAATAATGGCATCTAGATATTTTCTGTCATGTATATGGAGATCCAGTAATTTCTATATTTTTGGAAGCATTTTTCCCTTAGAAGTGTGCTGTTCTGGATATATACCCCTGGAATATTATTTTCATAATTATTGATCATTTTACAGACCCTTTCTTATTAAAACAACATAACTATTCAATAAAAAAATCTAAATCCAATGACAAGATTTCTTCAGGAAGTAACAAGTGAAATAAAAATGAAGCAGTATTATGGCTCATTTTATGTTATTTTATCCAGCTGTCATGTTAATACATTTCTGTTGACACAGTAAACCTATGGCTGCTGTTTCAATGGCTAAAAGCCTATTTATATGCACCCTATCAATGTTTTATGAATAGATTTCCCATCATATCTTGACTTAGAGCAAGATGTGTTACTTTCCTGAAGGATATCTTCTGTGATCACAGTCTCTTGATGACTTTTAAAATAAGGACTTTAGGCCAGGCGCAGTGGCTCACGCCTATAATCCCAGCACTTTGGGAGGCAGAGGTGGGTGGATCATGAGGTCAGGAGTTAAAGACCAGCCTGGCCAAGATGGTGAAACCCCGTCTCTACTAAAAATACAAAAAATTAGCCAGGCGTGGTGGCGGGCACCTGTAGTCCCAGCCACTCAAGAGGCCGAGGCACGAGAATCGCTTGAACCTGGGAGTCGGAGGTTGCAGTGAGCTGAGATCGCGCCACTGCACTCCAGCCTGGGCGACAGTGCCTCCTGAGTAGCTGGGATTACAGGCACAGGCCACCAAGCCCAGCTAATTTTTTGTGTATTTAGTAGAGACGGACTATTCTATTTCACTTGTTACTTCCCGAAGAAATCTTGTCATTGCATTTAGATTTTTGTATTGAATATTTATAGTTGTTTTAATAAGAAAGGGTCTGTAAAATAATCAATAATTCTGAAAAATAATATTCCAGGGGTATATATCCAGATTTATTCTCAACCAAGGAGGCAGAGGTTGCAGTGAGCCGGGATCACGCCACTGCACTCCAGCCTGGGCAACAGAATGAGACTCGGTCTCCAAAAAAAAAAAAAAAGAAGAAGAAGAAGAAGAAAAAAAGCACAGTAAAAATACTGTATAAAAGATTAAAATGGCACACATATATAGGGCATTTACCATGAATGGAGATTGCAGGACTGGAAGTTTCTCTCAGGTAAGTCATTGAGTGAATGCTGAGTGAATGTTAAGACCTAGGACATTACTGTACAATTTTGTACAGTATTGGACATTACTGTAGAGTAAGCTCCATAAACACTTATTTATTCAAAAAAAACAAAAATAAAAATGTAAAAAATAAGGACTTTAAAGACTCCCATTATAAAATGGGGTTATTTTCTGAAATGTGTATTGATCATTTATATATAATAATTTTTCTATGCAAATGTTTCACATAAACATTTGCTAAGGTCTCATAATATCACTAAGAAATAATAACAATTTATTTGATAAATATTTTTTGACAAGCTACTCTGTTCCAGAACCAGACAATACAATGGTAAACAAGATTGACGTGGTCCCTGATCTCCTGGAGCTTACTATCTAATGAGAAAGACATTGTTAAAAAATAAGCTTAGTTGCATTCAAATTTTAAAGAGTTTATTTGAGCATTCAGTGATTCATAAATCGGGCAGCACTGGACTGCAAATAGTTTGGCACTCCGCTGGAGAAGTGAGAAAGGAAACTTATGAAGTGTTGGCACAAGCAAGACAAACAATTATATAATTGGTTAGAGTGGCAAGTTCCTAGTTGGAGGTTAGTTGATAGTTTCTCAATGGCTAGAGGTTTGATTTGCTTTGGTAGGAACTCAAAGCGCTAGAGCCATGCCAATCTAATAGCCCCCCAGTTACAATTATTTTTAACAGCATTCATTAAAAAATAGAATTGTTACACAAAATTTATTCTTAATTGTGACAAATATTACAAAGCAAAAGCAATTCGCATTCATTACATTCATTCATTTATCAAATGTATATGTCAGGGAATATCCAGGGTGAAAAAAAAAACCATGAATATTACAGTTCTTCTATCAATAGCCTAACTTGTTATCTCTAGGAAGATAGATAAATAAAAACACAGTTAAAGATGATGAGGATAAAATAGAGACCAATAGATAGTAATACAGCATTCTAGAGGAGAGGCTAAGATTCTACCTGGGCAAGCATAAATGAAGGCTTCTCAGAGGAGTTTACATTCTGTGTGGTTATGGCAGAATAAACAGAATACGGCTGATAGAAAAGTTAGAGAAAAGGAATCTAAGTAGAGGATACTTTTAAAAAGGCAGTGGTGTACAAAGAATGATATATTCTTTAAAAAACTTGTTGTTTCAATCACAACATAGGTGGGAACTATTGTATAAAATGCAGAGCTGAAAATAAGTCCTCCTTGTCCTTTTGGAGCTCAAAGTCTAGAAGTTGAAGGAAAAAAAGTACAAATAAGTATATGTTATAAAGTGTTTATTGTATTAGAATCCTATGCCACATCTATAATCTGATTTCAAAATATCAGAAAATTATTACTTTTAAATGTAAGAAAATGATCACATAAATATCCATCAAATTAGTGTGGGAAAAGAGCAAGAGGGAATAATGATCTACTTAAATATTTAAAATATAATCTTTAACACCTTTATAATTTAAACAGTTGGGAACTGGTGAATGAATGGACAATTGTAGGCCTATGAATAAAAATAAATGAAGTAATTGAAATGTGGTACTTCAAATCAGTGGGGAAAAGTGTGTTTTAATGACAGATGCTTAGAAAAAAATAATAAATCTGAACCCTTACTTTGAGGGACCAGTGAGACTCCTCCCCCTTCCTTCTGAATTTCTCTAAGCACTTCTTGCCTCTCAACACCTCCTTACAGTCATTAATAGATTTGACAGGAAGAACTGGGTTGAGCTCCACCTATTACTCTTTTCTTTCTCCTTGGAATTGGCTTGCCTGCAGAAAGCATGCAATTGATCTACTCTCAAATATGCAGTAAACTGGTAGTAACTGCCTTCTCCCTCCAGTAGGCACCTATATTGTCTTGTGCTTCCTGTGACTGGGTGGGTGAGGCTACCTGAAAGATCAACGAGGTCTGGTATTTAGCTTAAGGAAAGAAAAAAAAATAGACTTCTAGTGTTGTTAGAGTGAATGCTTTCAAGCTTTGCTGAGGCTTGACAAAGTACAGAGCGTGTGGGTTTGTGACTCTAGCAGGTGTTGCTGGTGTATATCATGCTGTATTTTTCCAGGTATACCGATGGCTGCAGCCTGAGCCAGTGACTTTAAGCCTTGGACATCAAGCAGGCAAACCAGGCAAGATTTTGACCTTGCTGCATTACTGCAGGTATGGCAGGTTTGCCCAGAGGTGAGTGGCTGCTTTTATATAGGAAGGATTGTGGGCAAGTGGCCTTAACTAAAAAGCATGCAGGGCTCACAGACCCTAAGCTGCTGCAGCTTATCCTCTTGTCCCCAAAGGGGCAGTCTGCTCTGCCTATTGCTGGAGAGGCTGACATAGAATTCAATTTATTTTCATGCACTGGGAGGCAGCATCATAGTTCCTACTTTTAATTGCAAAGAAGCTGGTGTCCCTGTGAACTAGTGAATTTCTGATTTGAAATTGTTGGTGTTAGCCCTAAAGAGTGTTAGAAAACTGCTCCAAATCCCATCCTACACCCATAGTCCCATGGAGGGACAAATCTCGGATTCATGTGGCTGGTTCAGACGCTCCAGTATGATGCCCCTAGCATGTGGTCTCCAACTGGTCTGGATTAGTTAATAACGCAAGCTCTGACCATGGCTTTAGGGTTACCAAATCCAATGTGTATGGAATCTTGCGGGCACATGGCAGAGGTATTGATTCTTTTCAGGCCCTCAGGGACACAGCTTCAGAAGCATCCATAGCAGCAACAATTGGCTGGCACAATGGCTCACATCCGTAATCCCAGCAGTTAGGGAGGCTAAGGCCAGTGGGTTGCTTGAGCCCAGGAGTTTGATACCAGCGTGGGCAACATAGTGAAACCCTGTCTCTACAAAAAAAAAAGAAAGAAATTAAAAATATTAGCCAGGTGTCGTGGCATGTGCCTACTCGGGAAGCTGAGGTTAAAGGATTGCTCGAGCGCAGGAGTTTGAGGCTGCAGTGATCTATGACTGCAGCACAAACAAACGAACAAATAAATAAATTTTTAAAAATAGCGTTAACAACTTAAGAATCTGAGGAAAGGATTTCTCCATTTAAACAAATGTAGGGATGAAGAGAAAACCTTCCTAGGAGATAGATTTCGGGAGATAGGTCCAAACAGGTGCATGCAAAAAGCAGTGACAATAGCCATGATGGCAAAAGTCTGCCAAAGCCTGCTCTTGAGGGTGTGTGGATAGATCCTACACCCACATTCAATTCAGTGTGAGGATACCAGAAACTCAGTGTTCAAAAGCAAAATGGAAATTAAGAGATTTTACACAGAGAAATATATTTTATTTCCCTAGAGATGAGAATTCCGTAATGTCAAAATTAACCTCTCGTAGAGGGATTTCTCTCCAGTAAGTTTTATTCCACCGGCCATTGATTCTGGCAAACTGCATAGAATCAGCCTAAAATCAAGATTTGTTTTTATCTATCCCCTTCACCTATATGCCACTGTGCTCCTGCTGCTGTTGTGGCCAACATTAAGTACAAGCAGGTGTCTAGGATCACAGTGCTGCCTGAGCTAATTCGTTAGGGGCTAGAGAGTCACTCATTTAAAATCTTGGAAAGGGGAGAACAGCTATAAAATCTTTCATGTCCTTCTTAAATCTTTCAGCTTCCTTAGCATAATGTCAGTGACTAAATAGTTAATTCTGAGACTCTGGAATAATCCCTCATTCCATTAAAATAATCCCCCATTCTCTTAAGAGACAGTCTAGAATGCAGCAGTTGAAGAAACCCCAAATCCACCCAACATGAATTTTCTAGCTGAGAGGGGGCAGAATTAAATGTTTCAGAGGACAGATGGAAGACCTTTATTTCCTTGAACATTTTATTCATAAGACAAGATAATTTGATATCAGATTTGAATTCATTTTAGACTTTAATTTTGGATTTATAAAGACAGTTAATCTTTAGAATTAATTTCTCCCAGGAAATGTGGTAATATGACAAAGTTTACAGTAAAAATTTTTAGCATCTCAAGAATGTTTTCACTGATTATTAGAAGATCTTAATTTCATTGTTATGCTAACCACATGGGTAGTCATATTTTAGAAGAGAACATAAATCAAAAATAAACATTTGGCTTTGAATTTAACATTACCTTGGATTCAATTTAATTAATTACAATAGTGAGTCACTTCAGAGTCTTCCTGAGTAAAATGTGTACTGTCTACCAGGAGGATCTAGAGAGGTGCAGTGGTTGGAATAGAAGGAGGGGCTTATGAAGGTAGAAGCCGAACTGCCTGACAGGCTGCGGACCTCTGTCTTTGAGGAACTGATGGCAGAGGCCAGAAAGCCTGCTTTTGCCATCACCTGGCTGCAGTGGGGAGGCGCTGCCCAGGCTGCACGCTTCATGGAGCCAGCGGGAGCCCCGCCCCATCCAAGTTGGAGTGGGAACTTCCTGGGTGCCGTCACCCAAACTGTGGCTGCAGACCCAGGTCTCCTGCTCCAGGGACCAGGCTGGAGCCCTGCCCTCCTCGGAAGGGCTGCAGCTGCCCAAATTGCAGTTGTGGATCCAGCCTCTCTGTGCTCTTGGGGGCCTGGGGGAACCTGTGCTCTCGCAGGTTCAGAAGTGCCTGCTCCCGCTGCCTGGCTTATCCCTGCTGTTGGCACCTGCTGGATCTTAGGGCATTGTCCTGCTGCGCGTTGGGGGTGATGAACAGCAGCAGGAGGCAGACAGATTTCCGGACAGAAGGGGCGGGTCCCTCATGAGGCTCCACCTTCAGGCCAGGGAGGGCCTGAGGCTAGGATCAGGCTGCCAGTCCCATGGACCAAAGTGGGAACTTGTGGTGCCTTTTCCAGGTCCCCCCATGGCTACTCATGGAGCAATTGGCATCCACTTCCTCCTCTCTGAGGCCCACAAAAGACCCGTGCTCAGCCAGAAGCAGATAATTGGGTGACCAGCTGCAGAGAGGAACTCTCTGCTGAGAACTTCAGAGACCTGCAGAGATGATGGGACTACCAGTTCCAGAGAGGAGCTACCGTCTCCAGGGCTTCTCTACTGAGAACTGGACACTCGTTGGGGTGATCTGCCCGCGGAGAGGAGCCTTCTCCTGCTCACTCACTCCAGGGCCTCCACTCCTCCTCCTCCACTCACTCCAGGGCTTCCTCTCTGCTGAGACCTGAACGCTCAACAGGACAGCCTGCCTACAGAGAGAAGCTACCCATTGTGTGTCTCTTCTGAGCTGTTTCTAACACTCAGCAAAGCTCCTCTTCACCTTGCTCACCCTGCATTTGTCTGCATATCTCATTCTTCCTGGACACAGGACCAGAACTCAGGCAAAGGTGCCACCGGCCACAGAGGTTTCCGGCCAGAAAAGTGACACCCCGAGGATCCCATAACAGAACTTGCTCATGCTCCTGCTTGACCTATGCTTAATTGTTAAGTCCAATGTATTAAAAGCACAAAGTGTTTATGTTTGTGAAGAGGGTACACTTCATCTCTAATTTTCTAGTTTCCAGGAGGAGGGATTGTCCTTAAACATTAATAACCTCTTGATTCCCTTCCTTGATTCCTCCCACCAAGATAGACTGAGTTATCTGCTGTTTTTGGTTTTTGTTTTCTTACTTAGGTAAACTTAAATTTTCCCAAATCTTAAACCAAGAGCATTTGTTCTTTTACCCTTACCTGCCCTCCACTAAGATAAGTGATTTGGGTGCTAGTGTCTGCTCTGAAGACCCAAAACTTCCCTCCAACTCTAAAGACTACCCTGCTAATACTACTCTAAAAGTTAGGCTGGGGAGAAGTCAGAGGCTCATTTAGGGCTTAGTAGTGACTAATTATAATATTAATAATTTGCTATTGTCATAATAATGCCACCTAACAAACACTCCAAAATCAGTAGCATACAACAATAGGCATTTAGTCACTTGCTTGCAGGTCTGCAGATAGGCTAGTGAAGATATTCCATTCCATGTGTCTCATTTTGCACCCAGACAGGAGGTACAGCAAAATCCTGAAGTATATTTTCTCATAAGGAAAATCGGAAACTCCCAGATAGGGTAGTGAGAATAGTTGTTCATAAGGGTTAGGTTTGGCACACTCTCACTCTCATCTACTGGGCAGAAGTCCACAGGCCAGGGCAATATCTGGGCTTAAGGTAGTATCTGCTTCCATGGAGGTATTAGGTGTGGGTAGGGAATAAATATTTCTCAAACAATAGCATATCCCACCTGGAAATATTAAGATATAAGTCACTATTTCTGATGCAATTAATATGAAAAATAATAATTTGTTGCAAAGCTTGCTTGCTTTTATATTTTCCTAAGCTGTGCACAATAAAAAGATCTTCTTTCTTCTTTTATACATGCCTTAGTTTAAGAAAGCTTAATTTGATTGAAATATGCCAGAAAGAACTAAGATAGTATATATATAACACAATTGGGTGTAGAAGTCATAGCATTACATTTTTATCCTCTGAAATTCTCATAATTCTGCCCTCACTTTCTAGAGATCATTTGTTAATTTATGAAAAGGTAATAATATAAGAAATCAATCACAAATTTATGCTGAATATTTTGCTCCTTCAAAAAGCTTATATATTTGTTACCGATTTGACTCTTACATCAATCCTATAAGTATAGATACAGATATAAATATAGATAGAGAGACTGGAAATTTATATGTTTAAAAATAAAGGAAATCCAAGAAGTTCTGAAAATTTAAATGACCAAAGTCATTCCACTAGGCTTAAACTTAAAGCTTTTGGCTCTAATCCTACACTTTTCTTCTACTCAGCAATCTTTAAGACAACTCAATAGATCCAATAATAACAGGCACAAATTGTATACACATGAAGACTACTTACCGTAATATTGTAAAATTGTAAAAATTACTTTATTATTCATATAACTTTTCAAAGAAATAAAAATATATTCTATATTTCCAGTTGTGTTTTTCATTGAATTTTGCATGTATCATTTTTAGAAAATGTTTTGTGAAGTACTTTTGCTCTGAAAAATATAGAAATTGAACTTTGCATCCCTCTATTGAATCCTTTACTCATCTGTATCTTTACCTTGATTCCTCTTTCTATATCTCTACTCCTCCCCCTACCCATATGTATACCAGTGTAGTCTATGGTTTTATTTGCTAAGAAGATTGTGGAGTACCTGGAGTGGTAACTGTCTATTCAAAATATTAATGGATTAAAAGTGGGGACTTCGCAGTTCTAAATTTCTTTTAAAAAGAGACTGTAGAGAAATGAGAGCAGTTTGGCAACAAGTCAGAAAACCCAGGTAGTAAGTGAATCATTTCAGTAAAAATCAGTAAATGGCAATTTTTTTGAAGTGTGGTTTCCTGTAACATAGAAGTCTTGGTGGCAAATATTGTAAGGTGAAGTGGCAGGATGAATGCAAACGAGTGGTGAGTGGCTATGGAAAACAACACTTCTGAAATCATCACCATCTGCTTTTGAAATGAGGGACAAATAAGGTGATTCTTTGTTTTGAAAAACAGAATTGTAAGCAGTTTTTTAAAGACTCTGCCCCAACTAATATTCCCCACTGCAGCTTCCCCTGAACCTGGGACTTCTGAAGATCACGGATTTGAGAATGTTTGACATTTAAGCCATTCTTGGACCAAAGCTTTTGTACTAAATCAGTTCTATGTTGAGGATAGAAAAAGTGAAACAAAAGCAAAAAACTAGGAATCCTCTTATTGTTCACCTTCACAAAATAAGTATTTAAGCCAAGAAATGGGATAAATCTTTTTTAAAGGTTGTCATATTTTAAAATTTGAATAACTACATTAATAAGCCTCAGCACAATAGCTTATGACTACCACCACAACAACCCATTAAAACCAAGCAGTGCAAGTTGTAATATGCTGTCTTTTAAATTGAGTGGGTTATACCGTATTTTTTAAAACTGATTATGTTTTTATGTAATTTATAATAAAATGTTCTTTAATCCAGTTTTAATACAATTTTCTAAAGTACAACAGCCCTCCCTAACCATGGTGCTTTTCATTACAGATGCATGCCTAAAAGGAATCTGCCCCAAGAGAAATTATGTCTCTTATCTACCTCCTTCTAATAAAGAAAACCCTGCACTTACGAAGTAAAAAGTAAATTTCAAAATACCACTAGGTGATTTCTGACATCTCAGCCATTTTCACACCGTAAACGCTGTGCATCCTTATCAATAGGACAGATCAGAGCCTGGAAAATAATGCAAACTAGATTGCAGGAGTCAGATTTATGGAAATTGCATTGTGGGTCAATCATCTCTTCCTGCATCTAGCAAGAAATAGAAGGAAATACTCAGAGCTAAACTGGATTTCCTGGAATGGAATGGAAAAAAAGGAAAAATGTAATAACAAATATGTGTATTACAGTTTACAGAAATAATCTGTACAACAGCATTGTATTTCACCTGGATGGTTGCAATAACTTTCCAACTGGTCCCTCCACTTGTACTAATGACCCCATGCTGTCTATTCTCCATAGAACAACCTTAGTGGTTTCTTTAAAATATGTCATTTTATGTCACTTCTCTGCTCAAAACCCTTCAATGATTTCCCATGTCTCTCATGATAATATCCAAAATCCTCACCACAACCTATAAACTGTACTTGGTCTGTCCTCCCAGCCCCAGATCAACTTCTTTTCTGATGCCATTTTCATCCTTTGGTCACTCTGCTTCAGATATCCTGGCTTCTTAGATTATACAAAGTAATCTCCCATTTCAGAGTGTTTGTATTTGCTATTCCTTTTGCTTGAACTATTCTTACCTTAGAAAACTGCACGACTTGGTGCATCACTTCATTCGAGTCTTTGCTCAAATGCTAACCTTTTAGGGGCCCTCTCCAACTACTATTTGTAAAAGGACATACACGACTCCACTGGCCTTCAGAACCAAACCACCATTACTCTTTTTCATTTTATTGTCCTTATCACCAAGTAGCATGGTTTACATTTTCTATTATCCCTATTTCCCTCCTGGATGTAAACTCTACAATGGCAGCCTAGTTAATAAAAATCAGCAACAGTCACAAGATCTCTTTGTACATAAGAAAAGTGAAGTTTATAAGCATAAATAGCTTACCAATATCACAATTACATAGCACAATCATAATGGAACCCTGGTTTTCAGACTTCAGGCCCTACTCACTTTTCTTTTCTTTAACCTCCAGTTATTGTTCTTGAAAAGGAAAAGCATTAATAAAATGGTGGGACATAGAAAATGTGATTTGGTGATGCTGTAGGAAAGTTCTTTACATCACTACCTCATCTGTGTGATTGAATTTCATTCACAGTCTCCTTTTACCTGGAGTTGAGTTTCCTCTTTTTGTCATCTATTTGAACCCCTTTCAATGCTTCCCCTTTTGTAAAAACTTCTGCAACCTTCCTGTTTATTGCAATCGATTGACTATTATTTTTAGCAGCAGAGCCCTTTCTTTAAGCTAAGCCTGAAGCAGAAAACAAAAAGCAAAACAAACAAAAATGGAACTTCTCTGCAGAAGCAGGTTTGCAGGATTTGTTGTGCATCATCGGATCTTTACCATGACTTAGGTACCACCCAGACTTAGAGCAGGGAGAAAAGAAATAATCCAGGTCTTTCTCTTGAGTTAAAGAGATGTATTAGTCCATTCTCAGACTGCTGTAAAGAAATACCTGAGATTGGGTAATTTATAAAGAAAAGGGGTTTAATTGGCTCATGGTTCCACAGGCAGCACAGGAAGTATAGCGAAGGAGGCCTGGGGAAACTCACAATCATGGTAGAAGGCGAAGGGGAACCAGGCACGTCTTACACGGCCAGAGCGAAAGGAAGAGAGGGTGGGGGGGATGGTGCTAAACACTTTTAAACAACCAGATCTCATGAGAACTAACTCACTCACTCACTATTACAAGAACAGCAAAGGGGAAATCCACCCTCATGATCCAATCACCTCCCACCAGGCCCCTCTTTCAACATTAGGGATTACAATTTGACATGAGATTTGGGCAGGGACACAAATCTAAATCATATCAAGGAACAAGATATTCTCTAAGTTTGCAGGTTATCCAGCCTGGCTCATCTGGGTAGGTAATCAGGTTGTGCAGAAGAAATTAACATTTTCCACAGGAGTTCAGAGAGATATGAATATGATCAGTATTTCTATTAGGAGTCATATTTTTCAATCCAGAAATGTAATATCTGAAAGTTTGCACTAGTATTCTGTTTTTATTTTCCTATTTCTAAAATATACAGCTATAATACAGAGACTGCATAGCCAAAAGATGTAGAATTTCATTGCAATTCTGTATTTGTGATCAAGATTGCTAGCTGTGTAAAGCAGCTTTAATGGTATTTTATCTTGTTTTTCCCTATCTGACCTTTTAAGCTACTTAATTGTGAAACGTGGTTTGTCTGACCCTTGTAACATCACATCCTTTAAACCAATATATTTCCCAATTGCACATGAAACAAACACAAATAGTAATAGATAACCTCTTGAGCTATTTATCCTATAGACATTATTTCTGCTTTACTGGAAAATACAACTGTACTGAATGGAATATCCCCAGAATCCATGCATGTCTGTTTTCTTCCTCTAACACTCACCATAAATAACCAGTCTTTTGGTAGATACCTGGTCCAAACCAGGCAAATTAAATTTTCCCTAGGAATTTGAAATCTAAAAAGGAGAGACACTGGGCCTGCATCCTTGGATTTAAGTGATAAGATTGCTCAACTCTCTCTAAATTACTGAAGATGTCCAGTGTCTTGTCAATAAATTTTCTCTATCTCCTCCACATCCTCCCGTTTGTTTGCAAAAGTAATGGAGTAGTTGTTGGGAACTAAAATAAATTTCATCTATCTATCTATCTGTCTATCTATCATCTATCTATCTATCTATATATCTATCTATCTATCTATCATCTATCTTTATCCAATAAAGATATAGTCCAGTCTTCATACTTTGAAATGCTTTATTTTCTTATTGATAGCAGCGTTTAAATTTTACTTAGGATGAATATTATTCCACTCCAACTATAACTCCCACTAGAGAAACAGATTCTTTTTTTCCCTATATACTAGACCAAATAAACATGTTTATAATAGACTGCCAGACAATACATAGACTCAGACAATAAAACGCCAACACTCCTGATTAACCAGTAGCTTCTTGTTGGTACAGAGCATGATATAGAAACATTTTCTAGCATATGAGCCTCAGTTTCTCCACCTAAGAAATGAGATAGATTCTGAATTTAAACTTACTACTGACAATTCAAACTGACTACTCAAAATAAATTTAGTAAAATTTATTCCCTGAATGTAAGAACCATGTATTATACTTCTTTTTGTATGTATGTATGTATGTATGTATGTATGTATGTATGTATGTATGGGAGAGAGACAGAGTCTTGCTCTATTACCCAGGCACAAGCAATCCTCCTGCCTCAACCTCCTGAGTAACTGGGACCACAGGCATGCGCCACCATGCCCAACTGTCTTTGCATTTTTTGTAGAGATGTAGTGTTGCTCTGTTGCCCAGGTTGGTCTCAAACTTCTGACCTTGATCTGCCTGTCTTGGCCTCCCAAAGTGCTGGGATTACGGGCATGAGCCACCAAGCTTGGACTATTATATTTCTTTTAATCCTTATGATCCCTAGTATGTAGAAGGTGTTGAGTTATTATAATTCTGTTGAATGAATTTGAATATTTAAAACAATTGGGAGATTTAAATTAGTACATTAAATTAGAATTTGTAGGTTAGATATAAATGTTAATTTTATGCTGGTGGAGCTTTCAAATTTTATATAGCAAAAGAATATACTTAAATGTTAAGCATATTCTGAATAAATATTTTTATACTTAAACATAAGTGTTAATTTTGAGAAGTAGTAGAAGACATAACATCAACAGAAAGCAGATTGGTGAATGCCAGTGGCTGGGAAGAAGGAAGAGTGGGAGTAAATGCTTAATGGGTATGAGATTTTCTTTTGGGGTGACAAAAATGTTTTGAAACTTGATAGAGGTGATCATTGCACAACATTGTGAATACAACAAATGCAACTTAATTCTACCCTTTAAAATGGTTAATTTTGTATTATGTGCATTTCATTTAAAAAAAATGTTATCAGGAAATAATGTGAAAAAGTCAGACAGGAGGAAAGAATCTTTGCCTTCTTAAATTTTCATTATCTTGAGATTAATGTAAGAAAGCTGCAAATATGTGCCACTCATTGAATAAAATTTCTCCCTTTGCTCTCTCCAAAGGATAAAGATGGCTTATAACGAGAGAAAAGAGCAGATGAGAGTTGAGGCAAACAGCATCATTTTCATTAATCATAATTACTAGCTAAGAAGATTTTCATGGTCAGAATGTATTATGGATATGCTTTTGTGAGGAAAATTAACAAGATTAACTTGGTAAACTTATAGCAAGTAAATATCTAACATCAGCCAAGTGTATAAAAGAGCTTCTATATATAGAGGATGTATCTGGCTTAAATGGAAAGCACTGTAAAATAAAGCCCTCAAAAATAAAGTAATACCTGGAATTATGGTGTGAGCTTTAAAACTTCATTTAATTTTAAAAGGTCACCGTGCAGTGACCAATACAATACATTGTTTTGGAAAGCATTGTGACATTAATAAATGCCCTAACTCACCTATGTAACAAACCTGCACATCCTGCGCATGTACTCTTGAACTTAAAATAATTTAAAAAAAGAAATCACAGAGAAAAGACCTTTTTTTGACAGAATATTTCCCAATTGCACATGAAACAAACACTTTAGACAGATTATTTTTTGGCAGAATATTTTGTCATTAAATAAAATCTTTAGCCCAGTTCTAAAGATTATACCATATGCCATTAGGGGATAATTTTATTCTTTCTTAAGGTAGAAGGTACTATAATAATAAACCAGTCTTTTTGTTATAGGAAAAGTCTAATGTGTGGTCATAATGCCAGTCTAAAAATTTTAAAGACTGATTTTTATAAATATTATTTTAAAATCCTTCCTGTCCGTACTCTTCATACTTTCTTATTTAAATTTGTTAAGAACGACAACAAAAATAAATGTCTCATCTTAGTGAAGGGAAACACCATCCTCTAAGGTATAGGTGTCAAAGATGATGACCAGCTCCCTGGTTTGTGACTACACAAACCAGGTTGTCATCAAACCAGGTAATCACAAATCAGGTAATCATCTTTGACACCTCTATCTTCCTAAAACCTTCATGCAATGTATCACCACATCTGGTTGACTTAACCATCTATCCATCTATGCATTTACGTAATATCAAATTTATCTACTTCTTAACAGCCTCAGCACCAGGATTCCATTCATCTACCAGAGGTCCTTGTACTATGCAAACCTCTTATCCCTATGAAACCTGCTTTACACTCTCCCAAACCTATTGAATATATACATGCTAGAAGATCCTTAAAATATGAGAATCTGTTCATGACATTCCCTGTGTAGAATCCTTCACTGGCTTTTCACTACTCTTCACATGGTTATAAGAACCTATTAAACCAGCCTTTGCTTGACTCTCCTTCTCCAGCCAGGCATCTAGTACCTCCAGTCACAACAGCCTCCTCTCACTTCCTCAAGTACACCATGCTTCCAACAATCCAGAGGCTTCACCCATGATTCTCTGGAACCAATGCTTTTCCTTCCACCTCTATCCCCTATCTTCTCTTCTTCTCTTCATTCACATTCAATTCAAATGACACTTGAGCACAGAAGTTTTTCCTGATAGCAGATTAGACCAGGCCCCTCAAATGTTTTCATAACACATAGGAGTATTTATTTCATAACAATCATCACAGTTTTAAGTCACAGATTTTGTGTAAATATTTTATCTTTTACTATATCATAAGCTCCTTGAGAAGTGGGACCAGGTCTATTTTCCTCGCTACTATGTTCCAGTTACAAAGAATAAATGAATTTGCAGTTGTCAATAACTAAATTAGAAAAAGAATCTGGCAAAGTAACATTAGCTGTTATTTGACAACTAACACTAATACTAATCATCCTCTTCCCCCAGTTGTTATTGATGAGATTATCAAATTAACACTTAAATGTACTATAATTAATTTGTGATTTTAGCAATACTTCTAGTTAGCTTGCAAGTTTCTTAGAGAAATAAATATGTCTAATATATCTTCTGTATTCCTCTGGCATCTCACATTGTGAAGAGCACATAGAAGGTACTTAATAAATACTACCTGATTAATATCTTTCATTTTTTTATTTTTTATTATACTTTAAGTTCTGGGGTACATGTGCAGAACTTGCAGTTTTGTTGCATAGGTATACACGTGCCATGGTGATTTGCTGCACCCATCAAACCTTCACCTACATTAGGTATTTCTCCTGATGCTATCCCTCCCCTACCTCCCCACACCCTGACAGGCCCTAGTGTGTGATGTTCCCCCTCCCTGTGTCCATCTGTTCTCCTTGCTCAAATACCACTTATGAGTGAGAACATGCGGTGTTTGGTTTTCTGCTCTTGTGACAGTTTGCTGACAATGGTGGTTTCCAGCTTCTTCCGTGTCCCTGCAAAGGACATTAACTCATCCTTTTTATGGCTGCACAGTATTCCATGATGTATATGTGCCACATTTTCTTTATCCAGTCTATCATTGATGGACATCTTGGTTGGTTCCAAGTCTTTGCTATTGTGAATAGCGCTGCAATAAACATACATGTGCATGTGTCTTTATAGTAGAATGATTTATAATCCTTTGGGTGTATACCAAGTAATGGGATTGCTGGGTCAAATGGTATCTTTAGTTCTAGATTCTTGAGGAATCACCACACTGTCTTCCACAATGGTTAAACTAATTTACACACTCACCAACAGTGTAAAAGTATTCCTACATCCTCTCCAGCATCTGTTGTTTCCTGACTTTTTAATGATCGCCCTTCTAACTGGCATGAGATTGTATCTCATTGTGGTTTTGATCTGCGTTTCTCTAATGACCAGTGATGACGAGCATTTTTTCACATGTTTGTTGGCTGCATAAATGTCTTCTTTTGAGAAGTCTCTGTTCATATTCTTCTCCCACTTTATGATGGAGTTGTCTGCTTTTTTCTTGAAAATTCATTTAAGTTCTTTGTAGATTCTGGATATTAGCCCTTTGTCAGATTGATAGATTGCAAAATTTTTCTCCCTTTCTGTAGGTTGCCTGTTCACTCTGATAAGAGTTTCTTTTGCTGTGCAGAAGCTCTTTAGTTTAATTAGATCCCAATTGTCAATTTTGGCATTTGTTGCCATTGCTTTTGGTGTTTTAGACATGACATCTTTGCCCATGCCTATGTCCTGAATGGTATTGCCCAGGTTTTCTTCTAGAATTTTTACAGTTTTAGGTCTTACATTAAAGTCTTTAATCAATCTTGAGTTGATTTTTGTATCAGGTGTAAGGAAGGGGTCCAGTTTCAGTTTTCTGCATATGGCTAGCCAGTTTTCCCAACACCATTTACTAAATAGGGAATCTTTTCCCCATTGCTGTTTTTGTCAGGTTTGTCAAAGATCAGATGGTTGTAGATGTGTGGTGTTATTTCTGAGGCCCCTGTTCTGTTCCATTTGTCTATATATCTGTTTTGGTACCAATACCATGCTGTTTTGGTTACTGTAGCCTTGTAGTATAGTTTGAAGTCAGGTAGTGTGATGCCTCCAGCTTTGTTCTTTTTGCATAGGATTATCTTGGCAATGTGGGCTCTTTTTTGGTTCCATATGAAGTTTAAAGTAGTTTTTTTTCTAATTCTGTGAAGCAAGTCAATGGTAGCTTGATAGGGATAGCATTGAATCTATAAATTACTTTGGGCACTATGGTCATTTTCACAATATTGATTCTTCCTATCCATGAGCATGGAATGTTTTTCTATTTGTTTGTGTCCTCTCTTATTTCCTTGAGCAGAGGTTTGTAGTTCTCCTTGAAGAGGTCCTTCACATCCCTTGTAAGTTGGATTCCTAGGTATTTTATTCTCTTTGTAGCAATTGTGAATGGGAGTTCACTCATGATTTGGCTATCTGTTTGTCTGTTATTAGTGTATAGGAAGGCTTGTGATTTTTGCACATTGATTTTGTATCCTGAGACTTTGCTGAATTTGCTTATCAGCTTAAGGAGATTTTGGGCTGAGACAATGGGGTTTTCTAAATATACAATCATGTCTCTGCAAACAGGGACACTTTGACTTCCTCTCTTCCTATCTGAATATCCTTTATTTCTTTCTCTTCCCTGATTGCCCTGGCCAGAACTTCCAGTACTTTGTTGAATAGGAGTGGTGAGAGAGGGCAACCTTGTCTTGTGCCAGTTTTCAAAGGGAATGCTTCCAGTTTTTGCCCATTCTGTATGATATTGGCTGTGGGTTTGTCATAAATAGCTCTGATTATTTTGAGATACGTTCCATTGATACTTTGTTTATTGAGAGTTTTTAGCATGAAGGAGTGTTGAATTTTGTTGAAGGACTTTTCTTCATCTATGGAGATAATCATATGTTTTTTGTCATTGGTTCTCTTTATGTGATGGATTACGTTTATTGATTTCTGTATGTGGAACCAGCCTTGCATCCCAGGGATGAAGCCGACTCGATCATGGTGGATAAGCTTTTTGATGTGCTGCTGGATTTGATTTGCTAGTATTTTACTGAGGATTCTGGCGTCAATGTTCATCAGGGATATTGGCCTGAAATTTCTCTTTTTTGTTGTGTTTCTGCCAGGTTTTGAATCAGGATGATGCTGGCCTCATAAAATGAGTTAGGGAGGATTCCCTCTTTTTCTATTGTTTGGAATAGTTTCAGAAGGCATGATACCATCTCCTCTTTGTACCTCTGGTAGAATTCAGCTGTGAATCCATCTGGTCCTGGACTTTTTTTGGTTGGTAGGCTGTTAATTACTGCCTCAATTTCAGAACTTGTTATTGGTCTATTCAGGGATTCGACTTCTTCCTGGTTTAGTCTTGGGAGGCTGTATCTGTCCAGGAATTTATTCATTTCCTCTAGGTTTTCTAGTTTATTTGCATAGAGGTGTTTATAGTATTCTCTGATGGTAGTTTGTATTTCTGTGTGATCAGTGGTAATATTTCCTATATCATTCTTCATTGCATCTATTTGATTCTTCTGTCTTTTCTTCATTAGTCTGCCTAGCAGTCTATCTATTTTGTTGATCTTTTCAAAAAACCAGCTCCTGTGCAGTGAGCCGAGATCGCGCCACTGCGCTACAGCCTGGGTGACAAAGCGAGACTCCGTCTCAAAAAAAAAAAAAAAAAAAAAAAAAAAACCAGCTCCTGGATCCACTGATTTTTTGAAGGGGTTTTCGTGTCTCTATCTCCTTCAGTTCTGCTCTGATCTTAGTTATTTCTTATCCTCTGCTAGCTTTTGAATTTGTTTGCTGTTGCTTCTCTAGTTCTTTTAATTTTGATGTTAGGGTGTCAATTTTAGATCTTTTCTGCTTTCTCTTGTGGGCATTTAGTGCTATAAATTTCCCTCTAAGCACTGCTTTAGATGTGTCCCAGAGATTCTGGTATGTTGTGTTTCAAAGAACTTATTTATTTTTGCCTTCATTTTGTTATTTACCCAGAAGTCATTCAGGAGCAAGTTGTTCAGTTTCCATGTAGTTGTGTGATTCTGAGTGAGTTTCTTCATCCTGAGTTCTAATTTGATTGAACTGTGGTCTGAGAGACTGTTTGTTATGATTTCTGTTCTTTTGCATTTGCTGAGGAGTGTTTTACTTCCCATTATGTGATCAATTTTAGAATAAGTACGATGAGGTGCTGAGAAGAGTGTACATTCTGTTGATTTGGAGTGGAGAGTTCTGTAGATGTCTATTAGGTCTGCTTGGTCCAGAGCTGAGTCCAAGTCTTGAATATCCTTTTAAATTTTCCATCTCATTGATCTAATATTCACAGTGGGATGTTAAAGTCTCCCATTATTATTGTGTGGGAGTCTAAGTCTCTTCATAGGTCTCTAAGAACTTGCTTTATGAATCTGGGTGCTCCTGTACTGGGTGCAGATATATTTTGGATAGTTAGTTCTTCCTGATGCATTGATCCCTTTGCCATTATGTAATGGCCTTCTTTGTTTCTTTTGATCTTTATTGGTTTAAAGTCTGTTTTATCAGAGATTAAGATTGCAACTCTTGCTTTCTTTTGCTTTCCATTTGCTTGGTAAATATTCCTCTCTCCCTTTATTTTGAGCCTGTGTGTGTCTTTGCACATGAGATGGGTCTCCTGAATACAGCACACTGATGAGTCTTGCCTCTTTATCCAATTTGCCAGTCTATGTCTTTCACTTGGGGCATTTAGCCCATTTACATTTAAGGTTAATATTGTTATGTGTGAATTTGATCCTGTTATCATGATGCTAACTGGTTGTTTTGCCCATTAGTTGATGCAGTTTCTTCCTAGTGTAGTTGTTCTTTACAATTTGGTATGTTTTTGCAGTGGCTGGTACCAGTTGTTCCTTTCCATGTTTAGTGCTTCCTTCAGGAGCTCTTGTAAGGCACACCTGGTGATGACAAAATCTCTCAGCATTTGCTTGTCTGTAAAGGATTTTATTTCTCTTTCGCTTAAGAAGCTTAGTTTAGCTGGATATGGCATTCTGCGTTGAAAATTTTTTTCTTTAAGAATGTTGAATATTGGTCCCCACTCTCTTCTGGCTTGTAGGGTTTCTGAAGAGAGATCCACTGTTAGTCTGATGGCTTCCTTTTGTGAATATTCTGATCTTTCTCTCTGGCTGTCCTTAACGTTTTATTCCTTCATTTCAACCTTGGTGAATCTGACAATTATGTGTCTTGGGGTTGCTCTTCTCAAGGAGTATCTCTGTGGTGTTCTCTGTATTTCCTGAATTTGAATGTTGGCCTGCCTACATTGGGGCCAGATTGGGGAAGTTCTCCTGGATAATATCCTGCAGAGTGTTTTCCAACTTGGTTCCATTCTCCCATCACTTTCATGTATGCCAATCTATTGTAGGTTTGGTTTTTTCATATAGTCCCATATTTCTTGAAGGCTTTGTTCATTCCTTTTTATTCTTTTTTCTCTAATCTTGTCTTCTCACTTTATTTCATTAAGTTGATCTTCAATCACTGATCTCCCTTCTTCCACTTGATCGATTAGGCTACTGATACTTGTGTACACTTCACAAAATTCTCATGGTGTGTTTTTCAGCTCCATCAGGTCATTTATGTTCTTCTCCAAACTGGTTATTCTAGTTAGCAATTCATCTAACTTTTTTCAAGGTTCTTAGCTTCTTTGCATTGGATTAGAACATACTCCTTTAGCTCCTTTATTACCCACCTTCTGAAGGCTACTTCTGTCAATTCGTCAAACTCATTCTCTGTCCAGTTTTGTTCTGTTGCTTGCGAGGAGTTATGATCCTTTGGAGGAAAAGAGGCATTCTGGTTTTTGGAATTTTCAGCCTTTTTGCGCTGGTTTCTCCCCATCTTTGTGGATTTATCTACCTTTGTTCTTTGATGTTGGTGACCTTCAGATGGGGTCTTTGAGTGGTCATGCCATTCCTTTCTGTTTGTTAGTTTTCCTTCTAACATTCAGGCCCCTCTGCTGCAGATCTGCTGGAGTTTGCTGGAGGCCCACTCCTGACCCTGTTTTCCTGGGTATCACCAGCAGAGGCTGTAGAACAGCAAAGGTTGCTGCCTATTCTTTCTTCTGGAAGCTTCATCCCAGAAGGACACCTGCCAGATGCCAGCCAGAGCTCTCCTGTATGAGGTGTCTCTCGGCCCTACTGGGAGGTGTCTCACAGTCTGGATACACGGGGGTCAGGGACCCACTTGAGGAGGCAGTCTGACCCTTAGCAGAGCTCGAACGCCATGCTGGGAGGTCCGCTGTGCTCTTCAGAGCCATCAGGCAGGGACTTTTAAGTCTGCTAAAGCTGCACCCACAGCCGCCCTTTTCCCCAGGTGCTCTGTTCCAGGGAGATGGGGGATTTATCTATAAGTCCCTGACTGGGGCTGCTGCCTTTTATTCAGAGATGCCCTGCCCAGAGAGGAGAAATCAGGCAATCTGGCCACAGCAGCCTTGCTGAGCTGCAGTGGGCTCAGCCCAATTTGAACTTCCTGGCTACTTTGTTTACACTGTGAGCATAAAACCACCTACTCAAACCTCAGCAATGGTGGATGCCTCTCCCCCCACCAGGCTAGAGCATCCCAGATCAATCTCAGACTGCTGCTGTGCTGGCAGCGAGAATTCCAAGCCAGCAGATCTTAGTTTGCTGGGCTCCTTGGAGGTGGGACCTGCCGAGCCAGAACACTTGGCTCCCTGGCTTCAGCACCTCTTTCCAGAGGAGTGAACGGTTCTATCTGCCTGGCGTTCCAGGTGCCACTGGCATATGGAAAACAACAACAACAACAAAAACTCCTGCAGATAATATGGTGTCTGCCCCAACAGCTGCCCAGTTTTGTGCTTGAAACTGAGGGCCCTGGTGGGGTAGGCACCAGAGGGAATCTCCTGGTCTGCGGGTTGCAAAGAAGACAGTGGGACAAGTGCAGCGTCTGAACTGGAGTGTGCATGGTTCCTCAGGCTCATTTCCTCACGGCTTCCCTTGGGTAGGAGAGAAAATTCCCCAACCCCTTGAGCTTCCTGGGTGAGGCGATGCCCCAGCCTGCTTCAGCTCACCCTCCGTGGGCTGCACTCACTGTCCAACCAGTCTCAATGTGATTAACTGGGTACCTCAGTTGATAATGCAGAAGTCACCCGCCTTCTGCGTCAATCTCACTGGGAGCTGCAGAAAGGAGCTGTTCCTATTCGGCCATCTTGCCAGCAATCTCCATCTTTCGTTTTAACAATATTGTAGCCATAGTATTTTCCTAGAACTCCAGGATATTTAATTATTATATATGGATATTTTATATGTGCATCATACCAAGGAGAGCTGAAGCAAAATTCATGATTTTCCTCCAAAGCAGCTCCTTCTCTCAACTTCCTAGTCTCTATAATAATAGCACTACTGCATGACTGAAGTGATTCTTGAAAAATACTACCTGCCTAAATACTTTCCCACTTAAAATTCTATGAAGTCTTCCCATCAGATGTAGAATAACACCTAAACTCTTTACTATAAACTGAGTTCTCACATGATCTGGCCCTTGCTTATCTTTCCAACTTTATCTAAAAACTTTGCTGCTCTTTGTCCTCCTTGTTCTGGCCACATTGATGTTCTTGTAAATCAAAGGTGTCAAGCTCATTCCCATTTTAGACCTTTTGCCTCAATTTCCACTTGCCTAGAAAGCATTTCTTCTGATTTTCACTGACTGAATCCATCTTTGTCATTTGCATATGTGTTAGTCCATTCTCACACTGTTATAAATATCTGAGACTGGGTAATTTATAAAGAAAAGATGTTTAATTGGCTTGTGGTTCCTGCAGGCTGTACAGAAAGTATGGCTGGGGAGACCTCAGGAAACTTACAATCGTGGTGGAAAGCCAGCGGGAACCAGATATGTCTTCACATGGTTGAAGCAGGAGGAAGAGGAGGAGGGCAGAGTTGCTACACACTTTTAAACAACCAGATCTCAGGATAACTCGCTGATATGGTTTGGTTCTGTGTTCCCACAGAGAACTGGAACAAAAGTGACTCCTGTTATGTTTTAGCAAAGAGATAGGCAGCATTTAGCCCCTGCCCTAGAGATTTGTGGAACTTTGAAGTTGAGAGAGATGATTTAGAGTATCTAGTGGAAGAAATTTCTAAGCAACAAAGCATTCAAGATGTGACTAGGGCGCTGCTAAAGGCATTCAGTTTTATAAGGGAAGCAGAGCATAAAAGTTAAGAAAAATCAGCAGCATGACAATGTGATAGAAAAGAAAAACCCATTTTCTGAGGAGAAATTCAAGCTGGCTGCATATATTTGCATAAGTAAGGAGGAGCTGAATGTTAATCCCCAAGACAATGGGGAAAATGTCTCTAGGGCACATCAGAGCCCTTCATGGCAGTCCCTCCCATCATATGCTTGGAGACCTAGGAGAAAATGGTGTTGTGGGCCGGGCCCAGGGTCCCCATGCTGTGTGCAGCCTAGTAACTTGGTGCCCTGTGTCCCAGCCTCACCAGCTGTGGCTGAAAGGGGCCAACGTAGAGCTGGGGCCATGGCTTCAGAGGGTGCAAACCCCAAGCCTTGACAGCTTCCATGTGGTGTTGAGCCTGCAAGTGCACAGAAGTCAAGAATTGAGGTCTGGGAACCTCCACCTAGATTTCAGATAATGTATAGAAATGCCTGGATACCCAGACAGAAGTTTGCTGCAGGGGCAGGGCACTCATGGAGAACCTCTGCTAGGACAGTGCAGAAGGGAAATGTGGGGTCAGAGCCCCCACACAGAGTTCCTACTAGGGTACTGCCTAGTTGAGCTACGAGAAGAGGGCCACTATCCAGACTCCAGAATGGTAGATCACCAATGGCTTGCACCATTCATCTGGAAAAGCCACACACACTCAATGCCAGCCCACGAAACTATCTGGGAGGGAGGTTGTATCCTGTAAAGTCACAGGTGCGGAGCTGCCCAAGACCATGGGAATCCATCTCTTGCATCAGTGTGACCTGGATGTGATAAATTGAGTCAAAGGAGACCATTTTGGAACTTTAAAATTTGACTGCCCTGCTGGATTTTGGACTTGCATGGGCCCTATAACCACTGTGTTTTGGTCAATTTCTCCTATTTGGAATGGCTGTATTTACCCAATGCCTCTACCCCCCATTATATCGAGGAAGTAACTAGCTTGCTTTTGATTTTACAGGCTCGTAGATGGAAGGGACTTGCCTTTCTCAGATAAGACTTTGGACGGTGGACTTATGGGTTAATGCTGAAATGAGTTAAGACTTTGTGGGACTGTTGTGAAGGCATGATTGGTTTTGAAATGTGAAGACATGAGATCTGGGGGGGCCAAGGGTGGATTGATATGGTTTGGCTCTCTGTCCCCACCCAAATCTCAACTTGAATTGTACTCACATAATTCTCATGTGTTGTGGGAGGGACTCAATGGGAGATAATTTGAATCATGGGGGCAGTTTTCCCCATACTGTTCTCATAGTAGTGAGTAAGTTTCATGAGATCTGATGGCTTTATCAGGGGTTTCCGCTTTTGCATCTTTCTCATTTTCTCTTGTTGCTGCCAATGTAAGAAGTGCCTCTCACCTCCTGCCATAATTCTGAGGCCTCCCCAGCCATGTGGAAGTGTAAGTCCAATTAAACCTCTTTTTCTTCCCAGTCTCGGGTATGTCTTTATCAGCAGCTTGAAAATGGACTAATACCCTCACTCACTATCAAAAAAACATCACCAAAGGGGGAATCTGCCCCCATGATCCAATCACTTCCCACCAGGCTCCACCTCCAACATTAGGAATTATAATTTGACATGAGGTTTGGGTGGGGACAGAGGCTTAAACCATATCAGCACCTCAGCATAAGTGTCAGCTACATGGAGAAGCCTTTCATAA
The DNA here is from genome assembly GCF_000001405.40 of Homo sapiens. Lineage (NCBI taxonomy): Eukaryota > Metazoa > Chordata > Mammalia > Primates > Hominidae > Homo > Homo sapiens. The sequence goes on from NC_000001.11 coordinate 99,165,358, forward strand.
ATCATCCAGTTTAGGGATGTAAATACCCAGTCTGTGTTTATAAATAAAATTGAGATCCAGGAAGAGGACAGATCAATGGGGTGAATGGGCGTGGGGGTGGAGGCTCAAAAAAGGCTTCTCTGAAAATATACTGAGGAAAGACCAAAGAGCAAGCCATGTGGATATCTGGACAACAAACCTTTAAGGTAAAGGGAACAGTTGTGTAAAAGCCGTGAGGCAAGATTTGGTGTGCCAAGGAAGCCATGATGGCTGGAGATGAGTGAGCGAAGAGGAGAAAGGCAGGGCATGAAGTCAGACAGCAGCAGACCAGATCATGGGCTCGTAGATAGGGGACTTATAGGCCATGATAAGGATTTGGGATTTTACAAAGAGAGAGACAGTAAGCCCTTAGATGATTGTGAGGTGAGACATTATAAAATCAAGCATATGTTTGTTTAAAAATAGCTCAATGGATAAATGAACAAAATGGAAAAAAAATTAGTCCTGAGACACAGGGCTGTAATGATATCTCCTATAGACATGGACAGGGAGAATCTTTTATCAACATTCATCTTATAAAGCACAGGGGAACTCTGAGATTCAAATGGTGTTGAACCGATTCTTGAAGGGTGACTGACCAGCCATATACAGTGACCCCTCCTAATTCTGCCTGTGCCCCACCCCAACTTTACTTTTTTCTCATAACTCTTATTTTCTAATATTCCACTTTTTGGTTGATTTATTTTTGTTTGTCTTCTTTCACTAGAATAGTAGCTTCTTGAGGGCAGGCAACTTTGTCTGCCTTAAGGAGTGCTCTTTCTTGAGTGTCTAGAACAGTGTAAGTGTTCAATGGAGAGTTGCTGAGAAGATGAATGAAGAGATGTGATAGAGTGTAGCCACGGGTATCCCATTGTACCTGAGGCCACAACGTGAGTGCTATGTGATGCCATCTCCTCTCCCAGACTCACCCTGCACCACCACACTGTGGCTCAGAGACCAGCAACACTGCCCCCCTTTCTCCTCCTTCCATGAAGTTCTGTCTCCTCTACAGGAATTACTCAATATGAAGTTTCCCTCTGGAACAAAAAGGAGATTCCTCCTTCTTTCATGGTCTAAGAAAACACATTGAGAAAACTCCAGTGGTTGAAAACGAGAGTTTTAGCATTGTTATAAAAAATAAAAATCATTGTGTACCTTGAGATCCAGGAGAGCAGCATATATTTGCAATATCCAAATCCCTAAAACAATGGCAGCTTGGACAATTTTCTAAGTACCTTATTTTCTCAACATATTTTCTGTTTAGGATATTTTTGTCAGGCTACCAGCATATGGCTAAGATTTATCTTGTTGGGTAGATCATCTGCTTTTAAATGAAATACACAATACCAATAAGCAATTTCCTGCTGTGACAGAGAAAGATTAGAAAGTACTTATGCCGCAAAAGTGCACCCATAATTATTGTTCAATTTACTTTGACTGAAAGAATGAAAAGAAAAGAAATTTGTCTCCCCAAGGTAGGTAGATATATATAAAATAGACAAGTTTAGAAGAATAGCCTCAAAATTTGGGATACAGGTTTCAATTTCATACTACTTTCAAGGTCATTCATAAACTGTAAAGTCATATTTGTTGCCAGGAGAGACTATAAATGTCATAGAGGGTAGTAAAACATGCACATACTGACTGAACCAAATTGTTTCAATGTTTTCATCTTTGCACAATGCTTTGGATTGTAAATTTAAAATATGTATATATATATATATCATTGGCAATAGAAGAAAATAGGTTGGAGTTGGCAATGACATCTAGCTGAGAATGATTAAATGCAAAATATCTTTTTTTGTGAAAGAAGAAAAATATACTACTTCTTGTGACATTAACATTTATGTTTTGGGTGAGTATATTTGATGCTTGATTAAGCTTAATATCATGGAACATAGGACAAAACATCCCTGTCGATTCTCATTTTCTGTGATATATATTAATTTTTACATTTGGTGAAGGGGTAGAAAAGAGGTAGACAAACAGAAAGACACACTGAGCTGTTTATTCCCTGTGATTTCATGTATTATGGAAAGAAAATTTCAAATCTGAGATTATCCCAGAAGACACTCTGGTTCAGTGCTTCTTAAATATTAATGTTCTTAAGAATCACATGTGGATTTTGTGAAAATTCAAATTCTGATTCAATAGTTACAGGATGTTTCTTGGGATTCTTCATTCCATGCAAGTCCCCAGGAAAAGATGATACAGCTGGTCACAGAATCATACTTTGTAAGTGCTAAGGTCTGGTCCCTCACCCAATGTGAACCTATAAAAAATGTGACGGTTGCAAAGAAAAATCTACTTCCAAAAATAAATATAACCTATTCCTAACCAAGGGAAATGTTTCTGTATCATCTAATGTTGTATATTATTTGCATCAAAGTTTACTTCTTATTGTGAAATCAGAGAATAATCAAAAAGTGACTGTATTTGAACATAGAAGCCTTACTTTATTATATTCCAAAATTTCATTCTAGGTCAGAAATCATATTATTGGTGAGATACTGTTAAAATACTGGCTTTATAATATAACCATAAATAAAATTATGGAATTAGTAATACATCTCAGAACACTTTTCTGAAAATTCCTATTAATATAAATATCTTAATCTGAATTTTTATTCTTTTAAACTCTGGATAGTTTGTTTTATGTTTGTTTAAATCTAAGTTAAAGAGAAAACTGGGTTGGGGAGAGTTTCTAGAAGACTCTTCTAGTCCAGGAGAGGTGATGATGGCTTCTCCTGGTTACTGGCAGTGAGCAGTGGAGAAATGGAAGGACCAGGAGCCAAATCAATAGGCTTTACGTCTGTGCTATTACAGACAATTTCACTTCCTCCTATGAGGCTAGCTAGTTATCTCAATGCTATTTATTGAATAATCTATTTGTCTGCCATTAATTTGAAATGCTACTTTTATCATATACCTTATGAGAAAATTATCCCACATATACTTGGTTTATCTCTTACATCTGGCCTTTTCTATTGATTTCCACATTCTGAGGCAGTACCACACTGCTTTATTACTATATACCACATTGCTGCTATATTTTAAATTTTCCCCATGCTTACTCTTCCAGATGAACTTTAGAATCAAGTAATAAAGTTCCAAACTTTCTGTTGGGATTTTGAGTAGTACTACATTGCATATTTAAATTAATTTAGTAAAACCAACATCTTTCTAATTTAAGAATTTCAAATGAAGAATAGAAGATGTCTCTATTTTCATTCAAATTTTATTTTATACTTCTTAGTAAAGTCTGTGGCTTATACATATGCATATTGTACAATTTATTTAAAGTTTTTTTCCTTGGAAATTATCATTGTATTATTATTGTAGATGACATCTCTTTTTCCTTCATTTCCCTCTATCTGGCGGTTGTTGGCATTACAGAGACTTTTACATTACCTTGTACATTATTTAGATTATTTGGCAATTTAATTTATCAGACTCTCTTATTTGCTTCTATTGGTTTTTCAGTTAATTTCTTGTCATCTCTAGGCATAGCATATAACAATATCATTTAGAGACATTCATGTATTATATTTTCTTTTCTAGTGCATACACATTGTATTTCCTTCTTTAACTTCTAACTCCTTTAACATTTCTCTGACAATATTAAATAACAGAGATGGTAGCAAGTATCTGTGTCTTTCTAGTTCATGACTTTAATAGAATACTTTTATGGCTCACTATAAAGCATTTTGCAAACCATGAGATATATATCATAGTTATACATTAAGGAGCATTTAATATTATGACACTTTTAAACATAATATCATTTTAGTGTATAAGAAATAGAAATGATATCCATCTTGTGTTTATGATTTTATTTTTCTTTGAGACAAAGTCTCACTCTGTTACCCCAGGCTGGAGTGCAGTGGCACGGTCCCAGCTCACTGCAACCTCCGCCTCCCGGGTTCAAGCAATTCTCATGACTCAGCCTCCAGAGTAGCTGGGATTACAGGCGCCCACCACCACTTGCAGCCAATTTTTGTATTTTAGTAGACACAGGGTTTCACTGTGTTGGCCAGGCTGGTCTCAAACTCCTGACCTCAGGTGATCCATCCGCCTGGGCCTCCCAAAGTGCTGGGATTACAGGTGTGAGCCACCGCGCCCAGACTGTTTATGATTTTTTTAAAAGGAATCATAGTTGAGTTTTAGCAAACCTGTTTTAGTACTCATTGATAAGATCATTTACCTACCCTTGTAACTTCTTAAAATAACTAATAAAATTAATACATTCCAGATGTTGAACTATTCCTTAATTCCAAGAATAATTCAAGTAGGTCATGTACAAAAATATTAAATACATTATGATGTTAACCATTTGGGGAGTATGCCATATTTTTGCATCAATAGTCAAATTTTGTTTTTAAATTATTATTTGCTTTACTGGGGTTTTTATCTGCACAGATTAGAGAAAGATTTGTTTTTTAAATCTATATTATCTCTCTCAGATTCCAGTGTATGTGTAATTCTCACTTTGCAAAATAATTGAAAAGATTTCTTTCTTTTTATGAAATCAGGCACAGTTTAAATACCAATGTTTCTATTTCTATTCATGCTTTGAAAGATAATCTTTGAAATCACTTTGATTGGAAATATTGTTCAAGGATCTCTTGACAACTTTCTCAAAATATTTTCCAGTTATTGGACTTTGGATATGTTTCTCTTCTTGTATCAAATTATATAATTTGTATTTTATCAACAATATCAGTTTATATTGGATTTTAGTTATTATTCATTACATATTATTGAATTTATTATTCATTAGTTGAGAAAATTATGAGTTTCTATTTTCTGAAATATTCCTATCTTTCATGATTTAATTTTCTTGTTATTGTTGGTTTTGTTTTTCTCTTTATTTGGATTATCAAATTTATTGGCAACAGAAGAAAATAGGTTGGAGCTAGCAACGACATATATCTAAGAATCATTAAATTCAAAATATAGGTTTTTTGTGAAAGAAGAAAGGTATACTACTTCTTGTGACATTGACATTTATGTTTTGGGTAATTATCGTTGATGCTTGATAAAGCTTGATATCTTGCTGTTGTTGTTGTTACTGCTGCTGTTTTCCAAGAATCAAACCTGGGGAATTTGTGTTTGATTCTGCCTTCCCCTCTTGTTCCAAAATTCATTAATATTCTTATTAAAACATTCCTATTGCTTTCCTAACATATATTTTGGTGATCTTTCCCACTTTCTTGGCTTGGACGCTTAATTAACTGATTTTGATTCTTTCATATTTGGTGGTGAAGCTATTTAAGATACCTGCCATTCTGTGCAAATCTCTGATTTCATCTCCTACTATCTTTTTGCCTGTATTTGACTCATACAAAATTAGTCATACTTTAACTAGATTTAGATATGACTCATCTGCATAGGATGCATTGTAGTTGGACTTTGTTTCTTTAATAGAGCTGACACCATCTTTTTAAAATTTAATTCTGTCCTTATGTTATTTTCTAATCAATATTTTTAATAATTATGCATGGTTTTATTCCCTCATTTATCTAATTCTTTTTGCTTGTGTGCTTGTATGCTTGTTTTTGTGCTCCCTCTGATCCTTTTATAATGTATGTGCTATATGGTCTATGTGCTTTTCCCTAAATAATTTGGAGGGCATAGTCTTTTAAAAATTATATCACTGAATACCTACCAGACTTCTTAAGGCTAATTAGAATTAACATACAATATGAGTGCTATGGTAGATATTACTGTTCACCAATGAACAGTTCCCCTGTTCTTCCCTGCATAAGAGAAGCTGTGCTCCCCTAAGACCATATAGTTATATGGGGCCCTCAGACTTGTTCTGGGCAATAAAATGTGAGTAGAAGTGACTGCGTCGTTGCAGGTAAAGGCACTGAAAAATCTGTGGCACACCCCATTCTCTCTCCCTCTCTTGAAGCACCTGTGAGGTTCCAGAAGGTGGAGCCTCAGTCTTCCTGGGACCTTTAGTGCAGAGCTCCAGTTGTCAACTTGACAGCGTACATGAGTAAGAAATAAACCACGGTTACTGTTAAGCCATGGACACTTTAGAGTTAAATTGCTACCACGACAAATCCTAGTCTACCCTGACTGATCCAAATAGAAAAGAGACTACAAGCACATGCAGCGCAACCTAAAATTAACGCTAAAATAGTTGGCACTGGCTGAAAATAAACATGCTGATTACAGGAAAGACAGTCTCATAGTAAAAGCACAGGCTTTGAAAGCAACCTTGAGGTTGATTAATGAATTGTATGAGTTTGGCTATTTTCTTAACCTCTGGATGTTTATGTCATTCTTATTTGTGAGATGGGGTTAATAACTACCTTGTAGAATGTCTTGGAGAATTATTAACCAAAACTAATATATGTTAAGCACTTGGAGTCTAGTTGGTCCCAATGAAAACAGATACAATAATTATTATGAGTTTCTTTTATTTATTCAAAGTATATTACAAAACAAAGCATTACTAAAATTTTTTGTTAGTAAAATCTTATGAATATTAATGAAATTTGTCACATAAAGTCAATAAAACTACTGGCCCAACTTTCATTATTTAATAACTCATTCCATGTCCACAGACAACCCCCCAAATCTTGAAGTTCTTCAAAGAAACCATATTCTCACATGTACAATATATTAAGTTCTCTTTGTGGACATAATCAGAGCTTGAAATTTGAGTTCTTTATATTGCAAAGTTTATGCTAAGGTATTTTCTCATGAAACGAGTACCTATGTGATAAACATAAAATACAGGACTTATTTTAAAATATAGAATTAGAAACTTCTATTCCCTCTCCTCAATATCAAATAACTTAAGGAAGATGTTAAAAGACAGAAGAGTGTTTTGATACTCCTAGCTTAGATGGCTAAATATCCTTATTGTTTTCTTTCTCGTTTATTTTCCTTCTTTCTTAAAAACAAAACTCTTAGGATCTTGGGTACATATGCAGGTTAGTTACATAGGTAAACATGTGTCATGGGGATGTGTTGTACAGATTATTTGTTCACTCCCTCCTCCCACCCCTTACCCTCTGATGGGCCCCAGTGTGCGTTTTTCTCCTCTATGTGTTCAGGTGTTCTCACCATTTAGCTCCTACTTATAAGTGAGAACATGTGGGATCTGGTTTTCTGCTCCCAGGGTACTTTGCTAAGAATAATGGCTTCCAGCGCCATTTAATTTTTTATTTAATCACTGAGAATTTTATTATATTTTAGTCACACTTTGGAGGCAATTGAGTCAATTTTTATTTGTTTAGAAGTTAGAAATACATGGATGTAGCGGTAAATATATATACCTTTACGTGTGTTTATACATACATATGTGTGTCTGTGCATGTTTGTATAAAACAAGATTTTTTTTCTTACATCACTGACAAGGAAATCTTTAACATATTGTTATCTACATCAGTCTCTAATTTCTTCTTTATCAAACAGGGCTTTTTAACAGTTTGACCAATAACAAAACTTAAACAAATTCTAAGGGATACATGTTAACTCATATACCCACTCACAGTACAGTTTGGGAAATTTAAGTATTTCTTATCTGACAAAAATAACAAAATGATCTCAATGTTTTAAAAGTTCCTTGAAGCAAAAATTAAAACCACTGAAAATAGGTTTCACAAATATTTTTGCTAAATCTTTTCATAAGTATTTGTCTAATTAAAATATTTAGATACCATTTTCTATATCTTTTTTACTTCTAATATCAGAAATAGACTCATACTCAGCAACTTCAATGGATAAATTACTTCAGGAATATCAACTTGATTTTAGAAATGTGATTCAAAATATATTCACCTAAATTTTAAAATCCAAACATATACCAAAATACTTCTATTACTAATAATTTAAAGGAAAATAAGGTGGAAATATAAAGGTAATAAAGGTAACTTGTTTAATTTGGGAAACCAGATGCTGTTATCACATCAACTTGAATTTTCTTTCCATTTTTAAAATACATCCCAGAAATAGGTCAAGGAGAAAAAAAAGCACACACATGATAAAATGGAAAAAAATGTAACTATGACTATGGCAACAGGATAGCAATATTTTGCCAAGGAGTTTTTTTTAACTCAGATATACCAGTTCCAAAGAATACACTCCAGATGGCAAATCCATGGTTTATGTGGGTGATTTTATCTTTACTACCCAAAAGAATCTTGCAGGCTGCCGTCCTGAAACTTACATCTGCTATGAATGAAAGTGATTAGGATTTGAAGTTGTAGCTCTCTTGCTATCACTTCCTACCTGGTTGCCTATCTCTGGCGACCTGGGAGTCAGTTACATTTCCTCGTAATGGCTCACAACAAATGTGTTTCTACCTATGAAAGATAGTTACTAGTCAAGGGGTTGAAAGTGATCTTAAACTCGAGATTCCATGTTACACTTCCTGATGGTAGCCGTGATAATGGATGCTCCTAAGGGATAGAGGTAGAGATCACACAAAATAACCTGGATAGAGACATCTACTGGAGATGGGAAGTGGGTGTATTTGATTATTTGTTTGTTTAATGTAGCACTCAAAACACAAATTCCTGTGGCTGATTTTAACAGTAGTAGTCACATTTGAGGCCTTCTTTAGAGGTTTTACAGCAGAAGAAAAAAATGTGGGCTCTATCATAAAATGGAGAAGAGGATTGACTCTCATTATCAATACCTGTTAGCTCTGTGACTATGAGAAAGTTACCTGGCCTGAAGTCTCAGTAGTCTTATCTATAAAACGGAGATAATAATTAACTAGAAGCACGGTGTGGTGGCTCATGCCTGTAATCCCAGCACTTTAGGAGGCCAAGACGGGCGTATCACCTGAGGTTGGGAGTTCAAGATCAGCCTGACCACCATGGAGAAACCCCGTCTCTACTAAAAATCAAAAAATTAGCCGGGCGCAGTGGTGCATGCCTGTAATCCCAGCTACTTGGGAGGCTGAGGCAGGAGAATCCTTTGAACCCAGGAGGTGGAGGTTGCGGTGAGCCGAGATCGCACCATTGCATTCCAGCCTGGCAACAAGAGCGAAACTCCATCTCAAAAATAAATAAATGAATAAATAAATAAACAATAATAATTATCTTGAAAGGTTGTTGTGAAGATCAGAGATAATACTCTTAAATACCTGGTCACCTAGTAGTTACTCAATAGTGAGAGCTATATTAATATCTGTTTTTGTAATTTCAAAGCTTCTCATGCACTATACAAATCTAGGGTAGGATGCTTTGTCTTTTGATGTAGTTATGTAAAAACTGAGTTTCTTCCTTTTCCCTTTCTTTCTTTCCTTTCTTTTTTTTTCTCTCTCTCTCTTCCTACTACCTCAATTTTTAATTCAATTCACCTTCTTAACATAATTTCTGGATATATTTAGTTCCATTGCTAATGGTAAATGACATTAAATGTTGAGATTTCTAAGCCATCTTAACCAGGTTGTCTTCCTGCTTATTTCTCTAGCTTCATCTCTTTTGACATACACAGGAAGAAAAACTATAGCTGTGAGGCTTTTCAGAAAACATACCATTTGTTTTACTCAGGGTTTATCCCAGTAACAAATTGAGCTTCCAAGCAATAAAACTGCCATGCACAAGTCTTCTTTAAAAGAAATTCTACTTGAAGATGTATCAGGAACTAGAATATTAGAAGAAAGTGACAGTCTTCTGATAGCAAAAGCAACTATTCCCTTTACTAAAGAGAAATAAAATAAATTTCCTAAGTAAATTTATTGTCACTGCATTTAGTGCAATATCGAACTATGCCTCTATGGGGTTTCTCTATGAGCCTAATCAGACACTTAGCCATGGAATCATATTTTGTAAACTAGAGCACTAGAAAAGAACTTAGGGGGCTCATGGGAAATACTCAGCAATACTGGTGGTTCAGAGGAAAGCACTGAACAAGTCATTTAGCCCCTCCTTGAATTACTAGTCTCCCTTATGGAGTAGTTTAATTTAGGATTTTTCTTCTTCTTAGGGACAGAAGGTTTCTATACTCTTTTAGTTCCATCAGAACTAAATCAAGATGAAAGGACCTGAGAAAATGATACTTGAGAGATGTTTAGGATAAGATCCAGATTCTTTAACCTGGTCACCAGGATTCTGCCTTCCTGCCAGTCTCATTTAAGGTGCTTCTCCAACCCATGCTTACTTGTAGCCCCAAGACTTTCCTACCAGTAATTTTACTTATTTATTTTAATATTTTATTTTCAGTCAGGGTGTCTACAAAAATAAAAATAGTTAGTCAGGCATGGTGTTGCACACCTATAATCCAGCTACTCTGGAGGCTGAGGCAGGAGGATTGCTTGAGCCAGGGAGTTTGAAGCTGCAGTGAGCTATGATTGTGCCACTGTACTCTAGCCTGGGCAACAGACCGAGACCCTGTCTCAGAACACACACACACACTTACACACACACACACACACACACACACAGAGAAAGAACATTAATATTTTAACTTTCATTTAGCACTTTAATATATGAATTTCATGGGGTAGTCCATTTAATCCTCAAAATAACATGAATGCTATTATCCCCATTTTATAGATGGGGAAATAGATTTCTGAGAGATAACTAACAGGTTAATATTAGCTGGATATTCCACCTGGTCTTGGAACCCAGGTGTGGGTTCCTCTTCCTATTAGGCCCTACCTCTTCATTCTCTAGCTTGCATCTCAAGTGTAGCTGGAAGAGAAACATGGGTAGAGCTTCAGAGCTGTAATATACTTGGGTATGTTATACTAAAGCAAGCTAAATCAGAACTCAAGAGAAAACCTGTAGTGAAAGCCAGGAAGATGGAAAAGGGGGATGGTGGTGATAGGAAATAAAGTCACTGAAGGGAACTTCTACCCTCCCTATTCAGAGAAATAGAAATTAAGAGAGAAGTATATGTAGTTAGAGTGGTATTCATCTTGTTTTTAGTTGCAGAACTCTTTTACTCTTCTGCAAATGAAATATTTCAGAGAACCTCAAAATGTGAAACATTAAAAAATTTCTCTGCAACATGCTGAAAACCCAAGTTATACCTGCTCAGACACTTCTCACATCTTTCCCCAAAACTTGGAAGCACCCGAGATGCTTCCTGGTCTCTAAGGCATTAAGGAAGCCATTGACAAATAGCTGGGAAACCACTAAGTCAGACAGGTGTGGGTTCCAGTCTCAGCTTTGCATTTACTTTTTCTAGGAACTTGAGAAACTTAACTACCCTGATTGATGGTGTCTTTTTATTGTAAAGATAATAAGAGATAATGGCCATAAAACATTAGTACATTACCTGAATAACAGTATAGATGCTCAGTAAATATCTTTGTTGGAAGAAAATTAGAAGTTAACATTGAGCTCTTCCTAATAAATTAAATTGATGAGGTTTGAAAATTACTTAAATAGTAAGCTTGTATTTAAAAGATCCTTTGACCACATAAAATTTCATTTGGAAAGAACTGCAGGTTTTTCATATCATCTCTATTTTTAGAGTGGAGATGAGAAGAAAAAAAAACACAAGAAAAAAGCACATGGCTAGGACCACTCATTATGATTCAGAAACATGAGTTAGAAAGTGCAGCTGTCTCCCTGCTTTCAGAGCAGATAGCGGCATCATTTTATAAATGAAAGTAGAGATAAAGTCACTGTGATACACATTTCTGCAATAACAAACCAGGGAACATTAGAGACAAATAAATACTCATTGCCAGGGGAATATTTTCTCCTGGGTAAAAGGCATGCATTAATTCTCACAATAGAGTCATCTAATAAATGATTCATCTAGACACTAATATTTAATCAGTTCTTATCTTCAATTGCTCTAAGAACCTTTTAAACACTATAGCATATTTAAACATATTCAGGGTTATTACTTATTCAAGTTTAATTCCTTAGTCAAACTTGTTTTAAAATGAATAAATGACACAAAAGAAAAGAATACTATCGCTTCATACTAAATGCTAATGTTGTAATTATTTTCTTTAGATAAGTAGATTTTTACCTGTAATGTTTTAACTTAGAATTTTTCTGACAATTTTAAAAGTTAATAGGAACTATTTGTTAAGCCATGCAGTTTGCTCTGCGGTTACTTACAAAATGGATTTCAATTTTTCTGTGGAATTGCTTTTTAATTTTTTACAGCACTGCAATGTTTTACCTACTTAATTTCATAATGTGAGTCATCAATAATATATTTCCTACATTCAGTGAAACCAAGTGTGATGCCAGATTGAAAAAATAATGAATTTTCTTTACATTTAGGATTTCTTTTCACATATATGACAATCCTTAGATAAATAAAAATGCTGTCCTGGATTATTATACTTTTCCACAAGAGGGCTCTTGAAAGTCAAAAATATTGCCCATGATTAGTAATCTGCTTACATCTATTGGTAAAAACCAGAGAAACAAGATTTTGAAATATTTCCTGGATAATTAAATTTTTAAAAAATACTTTAAATTAAAGAGTTAACTAATAGTAATCAAAGCCAAAATCGATGGAATGCTTCCTGTGTGCAGGCCATGTGGTTAGTGCTGGATATGTAGCCATTATTATTATTCATTGCACTATAGAGAGTCAGTTACGGTTCAGCATGAAACTTTGGAGATAAGATTGCCTGAGTTTGAATCCCAGCTCTGCCATTTGAATTATTTCTTTGACTTTGGGCAAGATACTTGGTATTTAACTTTATCAGTCCTTGGTTCCTTTTCTGTAAAATGCGGTTGTTGTAAGGATTAAGGGAATTAAGATACATAAAGCAATTAGAAGAGTGTCGGGCACCTAGTAAGTGCTTTGTAAGTTTTAGCTACTACTATCATCACAGAGGACAAAACTGAGGCACATAGAGATTAAAAGATATGCCCTAAATCGTGCGCCCAGTGTCTGGAAAGATACAAGGTTTTGCCCCACCAGTGTGCTAGAACATGTATTAGCCAATATGCCTCTAATATAAGAGAAGATTGGCAACACCATCTGCTTATTCCTACCCCCACTGACAGCACTGGGGGACCCATCCCTGCTTAACCACACTGCCCACCTGTCCACGGTCCTGGATTATCCATACCTCTCAGGGTTATCTCTCATCGTAATAATCATTGATTTATGTATTGAACTCCGTCACGAGTCTACTTGAGTTCCAGGACGATATCTTATTTATTTTTGCTTTCCTAGCACATTTTGGTTAGCAAGAATTAACAAGGATGATTTAAAAAAAATAAGGGTGTGCTAATATTTCCAACTGTCCTATAAAACGATTTTTGTTAAACCCATTTAACAGATGAAGAAATCGAAATTCTAAGATCAAGATCTCACGGTTTGAAATAGCCATACTATTGGAAACCAGATCTGAATCTGAAGCCTGTGTTTTCTTCACTATAATGACCCACACATGTGCTCAGGGTTGTTTGTGCATTTACTGACTGAAGACAGACTGTGAAAATTCCACCAAGAGACATAACGGAGTGTTTTCAATGTATATATAGGCTAAGGGGAGATTATTTTTGCAATAACTCAAGTATTCAAATGAGGATTTTTCCCTTCAAATAGTTTTGGTCTGTGTTTTTTTTTAAATAAGGTTAAATTTTTTTCAGATTGATTTTATAACTTCTCTTTTATAATTATTTTTGTGGAAAAATTTAAAAATGTTATGAACACTAAGAATAACAATATTATACAATGAAAGTGTATAATAAGGAGAATTTCCTGGTCAGGGACTGGGTTAAAACTTCCTTCAAAGGGAGATATCTGAACTGAGAACCAGAGGATGAGTCCGTGTTAACCAGGTGAAAAAGGGAAGGAAAGAATGTTATTCCAGGCAGACGAAACCATTTGCAAAGGCCCTGTAGCAGGGGACACCATCCTAATGAGGAGGAATAAAAAGAATAAAGGTAACGGGAAGCAGAATGGTTCAGGAGGGGCTGAAAAGTAAAAGGCAGACAATTCATTAATTTTGTAAATATTTATGGGAAGCCTACCACACCCCTGCTAGTAATGTAGGTACAGAGGAATAAAAAAGTAATAAAGCATTTTTCTCTCAAGGAAATTCTTAATCTGGCAAAAGATGGCTAAACGCACACACACGCTTACCTCTAGATATAATGCAATGGAAGCGGTATTGTAATAGCAGTAAGAACAAAAGGCTGTGGGAGCACAATAGAAGGAGAAATTAATTGTGATTAAGGAAATATCAAAAGAAGGAATTGGCCAATATTTTATTGGGTAATTGACATGTTAGCTGATCCTTAAAGGTATTCCAAGCAACAGCATGAAGAGAAGCACCAGGTGTAAATAGTGGCCAGAAGTCTATTAAATAATAATTTGTTTGATGGATCTGTTTATTTTAAATCTCAGAGGAGGTTCTATTCTCTGCAGAAAGTAGAATTAAACTAGAAAGCAGTAACAAAAAGATAAACAGAAAAAAACCTTAATAATTGCTATCATGTATATAGGTGTTAAAACACGGTTGCGAAAACAAGTAATCACAATGAAAATTAGAAAATGTTTGGAAATAAATGTTTGGAAATAAATGATAACATGGTTGACATATCAAAATACATAACTAAAGTTATGCTTAGGTAAAATGTGCAGGCTTATGTGCATATGTTAGAAAAGAATATTGAATATCAACACTCTACATATCTATCTGAAGAAGCAATGAGAAAAGCAAATTAATCCAACGAAAGTTGAAGAAAAAGATGACACAGGCAGAAGCCCAATGAAGAGAAAACAAACATAAAATTAATAAAGAAGACCAAAAGTTGGTCCTTCAAAAATAAAACACAATTTATAAACCCCAAGGTCAAGAAAAAAAGAGAAGTCAAAAAAGTCAGAAATAAAAGCCAGGATATTACTTTAGATTTTATAATTGTTAAAATATAATAGAAAGATATAAACAATGTTATGTCCGTAATTTCAATATTTAAATGAAATAAGCAAATACCATTAAAATATTATTTTTTAAATAACGAAATAAGGATGGGAAATCGGAATTGTTCTATATCTTAAGGAAAAAAAGAAATGAAGAATCTCTTTATAGAGGTAGTTATACTCTTCTTTCTGCTTCCTACTAGCCAAAAGGTAACAATGTTTACTATCTCTCAGCATTTCTCAATTGCCGCCACTAGGTGGCAAACGTTTCCAAACTATTGCAGGAGCCTGCAGTGACTATCAGAGTTTGTTGGACACCATTTTGTGTGCTCCCCAACAATCACAAATAGAATATTCTAAAATGGTCTCATTATTGTCATTATAAGCACTCTCACTGTTTTCATGAAACAAAAGATAGCAGCAGGAACAAAACTGCACTGAAAAAAATCTAAACACAGGTTTTATTGCAAGAAATTGAAAACCTACTCTAACAATAGAACCTTCCACTTCAGGCTCAGAACAAGGCCAGCGAAGTGGAGCAGGCCTATCACAGATTCCCATCTCCATGACAACCTTTTCAGTTCCATGCACAATTAAAGCTACAGTATCAGTTTTTTTCAGGAAAAAAAAAATCTGAGTCCTGGCTAGTATTCATTTTTTATAATAGATTTGAGAAATTAAATTGATTCTAATTAGTGCAGCTGACTTAGTGGGTAATAATAATTCATTATACAAGCAGCCCTAACTCTCTTCTCCAAAAGCAAATGAAAATATATATTTTGTATGGTTTAATGTACTATCATTATCACTATCCTTTTTAGCTTTCTTTGACAACAGCTCTTTTGTGCCAGGCATTCTCGAAAATCCTGGCTTAATTCCCCTTCAGGCTATACTTGTGGATAAAAAAAAAATCTGTTCATTTCATTAGCAATTAGATTTCAGCCAGATGGTCTGGAAAGTGTTGGGACTCCCTCAGAATCCTGGAATAACCTTTTCTCCAGATACATGCTTCCTTTCGTCTTCTGAAGACATTTCTGGAGTTT
Organism: Homo sapiens; assembly: GCF_000001405.40. Lineage (NCBI taxonomy): Eukaryota > Metazoa > Chordata > Mammalia > Primates > Hominidae > Homo > Homo sapiens. Next base: position 99,181,245 of record NC_000001.11, read on the forward strand.
TTAGTTGTTACTGAAAAAATGGGTAGAGCTCAGATTTCTGCTGCCCTGAAAGAGATTGTTCAGAAATTTTGAAGAGTTAAAATATATATATTCAAAGTGTTAAAAAAATGCAACTTGTAAAGAAAATTTAGTGGATCAAGAGTTTAGCGTATGGAGAACAAATGATTGGTGGAGGAATTTATGACAATAACATTTTCAAGTACCATATATGAAGATATTTAAAAATAGAGTGACCAGCTATATTTTTCCTTTTTAAAAAATTAATAAAGATATAAAAATGGGATGTGAGTTTTCATGTTATTTCATATAAGCAATAACATGAAAGACTAGTTGAGTTTAAGACATTTCTGAGATTCCTAAGAATGGAATCAAGGTGGTAAAACATTACCAAGAGTTATCATAGAATACTATGCCATGAAAATCATAAACATGTATTTTTTTTCTTCTTCCTAGAAATGTGCAAGTATAACTTTTCCTGAAATCAGACGACTGAGGCAGGTGACTCTTCATGAACCCTTTCATTACTAGCATCTTGTGATTTTTATAGGCATGAAATGTAGATACTATGGCACTGTTGCTTCATTCATTTTAACCATCTCTAACACCCTATGATGATGACCGGGAGAAATAAAGCAGCCAGTTTGCAATCCAGCTTACTTGTGGATAGATGTTGTCATTGCTTGAAGAAAGTATGATTACTACTACCTTTTTGCGTGGTCAAATTGAGACAAAGAAAAGTTAAGTGTCTTCCCCAGCACTAAGTCCAAGAGAGATGACATATGTTTTATGTCTGTCCAGCATGCCTTTGGTCAACCTCATTTACTTCATTCTTGCCTGGAAATGAATGGGGCTGGCTCAACAGTGGACATAAAACGGATGCCTAGACAAAGAGAAAGCTCTATCTCCTTGCCAAATGTTACATTGAGGAATGGGCATGGGTCATAGCTTTGCCAAAGAAAATTGTTTCCTCCCAGAGAACTCTGAAGCTATTGAGAAAGACATAATTTCTTTTTTTCTTTTTCTTTTCTTTTCTTTCTTTCTTTCTTTTTTTTTTTTTTTTTTTTTTTTTTTTTTTTTACTGAATCTTGCTCTATTGCCTGGCCTGGAGTGCAATGGTGCAATCTCGGCTCACTGCAACCTCTGCCTCCCGGGTTCAAGTGATTCTCCTGCCTCAGCCCAGCCTCCCGAGTAGCTGGGACTACAGAAGCGTGCCACCACGCCCGGCTGATTTTTTATTTATTTTTTATTTTTTATTTTTAGGAGAGACGAGGTTTCACCATGTTGGCCAGGTTGGTCTCAAACACCTGACCTCAGGTGATCCACCCGCCTCAGCCTCCCAAAGTGCTGGGATTACAGGCATGAGCCACCACACCTGGCCAGAGATAATTTCTTTTTGCTTGTAGGGCAAACATAAACCTGAAGTTATTGTCATCTTATAGGGAGAGCTTTTCAAAATGAAGCCAACACAGGTAAAGGGAAGAAAATATAGCTTACACAAACAATGTTTAACATATAGATTTAACACATGGAGACATAGAGGCCTGGTTAGATTTTTAACTGTAAGGTCGAGCAAGAGAAAATACCTCTAATGTTATTGTATAAGCTCCTTATAGCTAGAACCTGACAAACTCATCCAGATCTTTGTAAGTTGTAAGCATGGGATTTAAAAAATGTTAATTTTGCTTTTTAAATTATCATATAGTCACAGACTTTCTTGTACAGGTCTTTGAATTTTGATACTTTTATAGATTCAAATAACTACCACCATTATCAGGATATGAAAAGAGTTCCTTCTATCACCTCAGACTCCCTGGTGTCATTTCTTTATAATCACAGCACTCCATTCCCCTAATCTTTGGCAACCACTGATCTCCTGTCCATTTCTTTTATCTTTCTGGGAATTTCATATAAATGGAATCATGTGATATGCAACCTTTTGAGACTAACTTCTTTTTCCCATTATAATGCACTTGAAATTAATTCAAATTCTGATCTGAATCAATAGTTTGTTCTTTTTTATTGCTGAGTAGTGTTTCATTGTACTGAGGTATCATAGTTTCTTCCTCCATTACTCACTGAAGGACTTTTGCACTGTCTCCAGTTTTGGGAATATATTATGAAGAGAGCTACTATATTAACATCTGCGTGGAGGTTTTTGTTTGAACGAAAGCTTTCTTTTCCCAAAAAATCAGAGTTGCTGAGTCATAACTACATGTTTAACTTGATGAGAAACTGTCAAACCATTTTATGTAATAGCTGTACCATTTTTCACTACCACCAGCAATGTATGAGAGTTTTAGTTGCTCTACATCCTCGTCAGCACTTGGTGTTGTCAGTATTTTTTATTTTCTGCATTCTAATAAGTGTGCAGTGGTATTTCATTAATGCTTAACTTTGCATTTCACTTATGGCTAATGATGTTGAACATTTTTAATATGCTGCTTTGCCATCCTTATAACCTTCTTGGTAAGTGTCCAAGCTTTTGCCCATTTTAAAAATTGATTTCTATGTTTCCTTACTGTTGCATATTGAGTTTTTTGGGTTTTTTGGTTTTGTTTTGTTTTGTTTTTGATGGAGTTTCACTCTGTTGCCCAGGCTGGAGTGCAGCGGCACAATCTCAGCTCACTGCAACCTCCGCCGCCCAGGTTCAAGCGATTCTCCTGCCTCATCTCCCAAGTAGCTGAGATTACAGATGCCCACCACCATACCTGGCTAATTGTTTTATATTTTTAGTAGACATGGGGTTTCTCCATGTTGGCCCGGCTGGTTTTGAACTCCTGACCTCAAGTGATCTGCCCACCTCAACCTCCCAAAGGGCTAGGATTACAGGCATGAGCCACTGCATCTGGCCTGAGTTTTATATATATTTTGGATGAGAAATTTATAAAGGAAAGAGGTTTAATTGATTCACAGTTCCACATGGTTGGGGAGGCCTCACAATTATGGCAAAGGAGAATGAGCAAAGTCACATCTTACATGGTGATAAGCAAGAGAGCATGTGCAGGGGAACTCCCCTTTATAAAACTATCAGATCTCATGAGATTTATTCACTATCATGAGAACAGCATGGGAAAAACCTGTCCCCATGATTCCATTATCTCCCACTGGGTCCCTCCCATGGCACATGGAAATTATGGGAGCTACAATTTAAGATGAGATTTGGGTGGGGACACAGCCAAACCATATCAACATGTATATTTGGTCAACTTATCAAACAGACCTTTGGAAACCTAACTATTTAAAGGACTAAGGAACTTCCAAGAGAAGCTAATTCTAAAACACAGGACAGGTAGACACACACATCTAGTAACAGATTTCTGAATTTGAGTAGGGGAAGATTTTTGAGTACAACATACTGTCACTCAGAATTGTTTCTGATACTGTCCTTGTTTGAATTCTGGAGAAGGCAGAAAGTCAAAAGTAAAAGATATATTTCACTCAAATATACCTGATTTTATCTTTAATGGAAAAAAAAATGAGAGTACCTTTTCCCCCCAATTTATTGTAGAGTGCCAGAATCTATTTGCCCTGCATTTGCCCAGTGCATCACCAGCAGCACCCAGTGGAATAGGCAATAGTATTTAGCTGAGATGGCCCTGCTGATTCCCAGGAAAGCAAGCAGTAGTGGTGCCCCTTTGCGGTGGCAAAGTTTGGAGAAGACTGTTGTCCTCAAGAGTAGAAATGGTTATCATGCCTATTGTAAATGACATCTCATGGAAGTGAAAGCAATATGTGACAGCTGCCAACTAAAGCAACTGCCCAGTGGAAAGGCCAAGAAAACAGAAGGCAGGAAGGAGAAAAACATGGCCAAAAGCACAATTGCTCCTAGGATTATTCTGAGAGCTTGGGAGACACAGGGTCCTAGTTTATCATGTCAGTGCAAGGGCCAGTGAATCATAGGTTACTTGTTGACATTGAATTTGGTGCCTATTTTAGTCACTAATTGCATTGTAATAAGCTGTACATTTGAATAGCTTGTTTCTTTTTAAGTAGTTTAAAGAATAATAAACCAATGGAAGCTGCAGCTTACGACTAATATCTCGGAGTTGATCTTGCCTTTCAAAAGGCCTGTGCCATTTATATGCTTTTAAAAATATGATTTCCCAGGCTCTACTCAGGAACTTCTGTTTCAGTCACTCCAAAGTGCAGCCCATATGTCTGTATTTTTAACAAGCTCCACAGAGTATTCTGATCCAGAACAAGACTTGAAGACTTGAAAACTCTGCTTTGAAATTCGATAAAGAAAATGAAACAGCTTATATGATGATGAAATAACATAGAATTCAAGAAGCATTCAATTTTAGTAACTACTTTTGGAGTACTTTAAGTTAACTTTAAAGATACATTCACAAGTCCTGCAGGTGAACTTGTGTTTTTTTCTGTAGACCTGAAACCCATGCAGATAGAAAGGATTTGAGTTGGACTATGGGGATTCTGTAATGGGCCACCCAGATCCCCAGTTCAGGAAGGGAGAGTTTACTCCCCCAGCTGCTGGTAGTATGGCCAGGGAATGACCCTCAACTGCCACCCCACTTCAGTGATTGCCTTTGTTGCAGAAAAATGTCTCACCATAAGTTACACACTCTTTCTAGCATGGCTTACATTTAATGACTGCTGAATGTCAGGGGAAAACATCTCCTGCCCCAAATTAGAACAGACCTCTAAGGCCATTCCAGCTTCCAGGCTGTCTTTCAGGTCAGCTGAGGTCTTCATTGAGATTGCATTACATCTCAACTTCTCCTTCTATCCAATCCTGCTGTCTTCCCTTCCCTTCACAGAAGTTGATCCCAACAACACACCTGAGCAAATGTTCTGCATGCCAATCATCATCTCAGAGTTTGCTTCCTAAGCAACTCAGCCTGTGTCAACCCCTTAGCTTGCAAATGGTCAAAACCAAACTAGCTTAAAGTAAGGGAGAAATTCATCACAAGGATACTGGGCTATCTCAGGTTGAACTATGAAGAGTGGACAGAGCAGAGATGCAACCCAGCTTAGAAACAACTAAAATGACAGAGTGAAGACTGCCAGATCACTCTCTCATGTCCTCACATTCTCTTATGCTCTCTTCTCTTTCACTTGCTTTTTCTGTAATCCAGCTTCTCTTTTCCTACCTGGTTTATTCTCTCACTGTGGATGGGCTACTTCTACTGGATGAGAAATGTAGCTATTATATTATACATTTTCATATTTCTACAGTCAAAGAAGAACTATGTCTATTTTCTAATCTAGTTCATAAATTTTTAAGGAATATTCTGTTTGTCCAGACTTGGGTCAGTTTCCAAGGTCTGGACCAATCACTTGTTGTTAGGAGGCAGGGACAGGTAATATACCAACTTTCCCTGAAATCACATTGGGAGAGGAAGGAGATAATGTCCCTAAGAAGAAGGCTTTTCAATGCAGAAGGGTTTAAGAAATGGTGTGTGTAGGAGTGTATAAAACATATATAAGACTTGCTCTGAGTGGAAGTCTCTACAATATCTCCCCGCACACACACACACAACTATATATTATTATAATAACATACAACAATATGCTTTGTCTGAATGCTTTCCAGTTCAAAAACATCTTACTTGCCTCATTTTTATCTTTACAAGATATTTAAATATATAAGAAAATTAGTCGTAAATTATATTATTGAAAATTTCATGCCCATTATGAGTTAGATCTGGAATTCAAGCCTGATCTTCTGATTTCAAGTCTAAGTCCAAAAGTTGTCCACTTTTGCACCTACTTACTTATGATTTTTTCTTTTTTGAGTTTTAATTTCTGTGGGCACATAGTAGGTGTATATACTTATTTACATATTTTTTTCTAAAAACATATGAATCCTACTTGGTCCCCCATTAAAGTAAGACACAGTTATCTTTTCCTGAGGTGAGTATATAATGCAACCAAATGATTTCCAATTGTTTATCGGCCATTTTAGGTGGGTGTGCTTCTTGATGTCTATATTAAAGCCTTGTCAAATAGCCGATTGCTTATAATACCCATTCGTGGGCACACAGGTCGCTCTTCCACCAGCTTCCAAAACAAAACAAAAGACCAAAAAACCATCTTGCCAGAAATTCTCACCTGCAAATTATGCTTCTTAATGATCAATCTGCCAGTTAGAATGGCGATCATTAAAAAGTCAGGAAACAACAGATGCTGGAGAGGATGTGGAGAAATAGGAATGCTTTTACGCTGTTGGTGGGAGTGTAAATGAGTTCAACCATTGTGGAAGACAGTGTGGTGATTTCTCAAGGATCTAGAACCAGAAATACCATTTGACCCAGCAATCTCATTACTGGGTATATACTCAAAGGATTATAAATCATTCTACTATAAATACATGCACACGTATGTTTATTGTGGCACTGTTCACAATAGCAAAGACTTGGAACCAACCCAAATGCCCATCAATTGTAGACTGGATAAAGAAAATGTGGCACATATACACCATGGAATACTATGCAGCCATAAAAAGGATGAGTTTATGTCCTTTTCAGGGACATGTGTGTAGCTGAAAATCGTCATTCTCAGCAAACTAACACAAGAACAGAAAACCAGACACCACATGTTCTCATTCATAAGTGGGAGTTGAACAATGAGAACACGTGGACACAGAAAGAGGAACATCACACACTGAAGCCTATCAGGGGGTGGGGGGCTAGGGGAGGGAAAGTATTGGGAGAAATACCTAATAGAGATGACGGGTTGATGGGTGCAGCAAACCACCATGGCACGTGTATACCATGTAACAAACCTGCACTTTCTGCACATGTATCCCAGAACTTAAAGTATAATAATAAAAAAATGCATTATTTCTTCACAAATATACACATCAGACCAAAACAGTTTTGTCCAGGAAGTAACCACTTTTATTTTAATTTTCTAGCACTTTTTCCTATATATAAGGAATCATATTATAATACAGTTTAGAATCTTGAATTTGACTTCACGTAATTGTAACCTGAGTATTTTTTATAGTTGTTATTTACATTTTTAACTGAGGCATAACATAGATAAAAAGTATATATGCTTAAATTAAAACCTGAATAATTTTTATGTAACTATGTCCCCATGCAACCACCACTTAGATCAAGATACAAAACAAAAGTTTCTGTTTGTCCTCTGCCCAGTTTACCCCATCTCAGAAAATAAAGAATATTCTGACTGTTACCATTATTGATTTGTTTTGCCTATTCTTAAAGTTTATACATTGAATTATACAATACATACTCTTTTATAATTGACTTCTTTCATGCAGCATAATGTCTCTGAGATTCAACCATATTGTTACATGTACCATTAGTTCATTTTTTTAACTGCTAGGTAGAATTCATTATATGAACATATCACAATTTATTTCTTCATTCTGTTGATGGGCATTAGAGTAGTTTCTAATTTTCAGCTACTATAAATAAAGTTACTAGAAACATTTTTATCTTTAGTGTGTGTATGAGAGAATGTAAATGTATGCACTCATTTCTTCTGAGTGTATGCTCCAGAGTTGAATTGCTGGGTCATAGGACAGGTTTATGTTTAGATTTAGCAAAAACAGCTAATTTTCTAAAGGACTTATTTCATATTCCCCAAAAGCAAAATATGAGAGTTCTAGTTGCTCATCTTCACCAGCATTGATATAGTCAATCTTTATAAATTTTAACTATTTGGTGTCAGGAGAAATATTACCACTCGTTACGTTAATTTGCATTTCAGTGATGAGTAATGATATTCCTTACCTGTTCATATACTTACTGATTATTTAGATATCCTCCTGGGCTAAATCCCTCTTTAACTCATTTATAATTTTAAAATTTGTTATGCTTGTCTTTTGCTTATTGATTTGAAGGGTTTCTTTATATATTCTGGACATGTTTTAGATATATGTGTGCAAGTATTTTCTTCTATTCTGTGGCATAATGTTTCCTTTTCTTTATGGTAGCTTTTGATTAACGGAAACTTTACCTTTTACCTTTAGGTACCTACTTTCTCTCAAAACTAATTTTCAAATGTGGTATATGAAGTAGAGATCAAAGTTCACATTCTCCCCATATAGATATCCAGTTGGCCAACATTACTTTTTCAAAAGACAACCCTTTTACCCACTGAATATATTGATGTTTTTGTTTTAGATCAAGTGATCAGATATGTATGAGGCTACCACTGGATTTTCTATATTGTTCCATTGATCTCTTTGTCCATCCTTGTTCCTACACTATATTGTCTTATTAGCTGCATCTTTACTGATAGTCCCCAACTTTTTTTGCTCCTTCAAGATTGTACTGTTTCTTTTATATCTTTGACTATTTCATGTAAATCTCAAAATCAACTTGTTAGTTTACACAATAATCCCTGGTTGAATTTTTATTGAGGTTTCAAGAGTATGTGTGTCAGTTATGAACAAGTACATATTTTCATCTATTTGGCCCTTCTATGATTTCTCTAAGCAGTATTTTGTAGTTTCCAGTGCTCACATCTTGCTGGCACTGACCCTCTACAGTTGGAAAGCATGGTGATGAGCCAGGCTGGAGAAGAGCCCTCATGACACAGAGGAGGCCAGAGCTGAGAGGTACGGGTGAACCCCAGGAAAACTAGACTCACCTAGGAATTTAAAATCTTTCTTTGCAAGCTCCATTGACAGTAACAATATATTTTCCTAATTGAAAATAATAGTATTATACTAGCTAGTCTAATAATCCTCTTTACTTAAAGCCAATTGATTGTAAATATTAACCATATCTACAATATACCTTCACAGCAACACCTCAGTTAAGTGTTTGGTTAAATCACTGGTTACTATAACCTCACCAACTTTACACAGAAAACTAACCATCGTACCAAGAAATGCCAACAGCACCCAGAAGCAGGAAGAGATAAGGAATGGGTGCTTCCATAGGGCTTCTGGTGGGAGTGTGGTTCCGAGATCCCATTACTTTCAGATTTCTAGTCTCCAGAACTGTGAGAGAGTAAATTTCTGTTGTTTCAAACCTCCCAGTGTACAGTAATTTGTTGCAACAACCATAAGAAATTAAAACATGTAGTTTAGGTCGACAGATTTGGGAGTCATAGGCATAATGGAAGGAGGAAGAAGAATAAGATGGAAGGTGTGGCATCACAGAATTCAAGAGAAAAACATTTCCAAAGGTGATCTAGGCCATCACATGCTAAAGAAAGATCAATAAAATAGAGACTAAAAGATTTTTATTAGATAAGGCTACAAGTATGGCAATGAGAATCTTTGTGAAAACAGTTCAATTTGAAAGATAAACAGCAAATTTTAATGTCCCAGATGGTAAATGGTTAAGTGAGGACTTTACCTCATTTAATGGCTATTCTACATACCTCTTTTCTTTCAAAATGCTTGAGTTTGAAGAGAAAGAAAGAGGTAGCTCTCTGGTTAAACTGATTTGTAGGGTTAACTTAAGGGTCTTGTTCACTTCCTTAAGGTAAAAAAAAAAAAAAAGATTAGACTATCAGGTGTTTAAATCTTCTTAAACAATTGAAATATCAAGGAGAAAAATGTTAGCAATACAAGTAAAAGAGTGTAAAACACAGGAAACAGGCAGTTTTAGAATCCTCAACTTTAGACATGGGAAATGGCACCTCTTCCATTGCAAACACAAGCATCAGGGAAGAATGAGTTCAGGCAAATTGTATATGTGATTTAAGGAAGCTGAAGAAAATCCTGTGTGATGGTTTCTATTTTCTATTTTCCGTGCAAAATTGAAGAATAAGTTATTTCCTAAGAGCAAAGGGTGAAGCCTGGAATTAGAAAGTTTTGAAATGAATAAAAAAATTGAAATAGCCAATCTGGACAATGAGAAGACAGCCAGTGAGAAAAAAAATAATAAAACAATAGGATATTTCTGTGCAGACCTGAATACACATTTTTGGTTAGAAACTATCAATTTATAGTGGCATCAATCTGCAGTTCCCATTATAATGCTCAGATTCCAGGGGAAAAAAAAAGAGGACATTTGGATTGGTCCAGTATTCATATTGAATCAGTCAGGGACAATGGAAGAAGAAATAATTAATGGAGATGAGGACAAGAGCAAAGAATGAGTGAAGTAAAGGGAGACATTATATCTAGGCTCAATAGGATTTTTAAAAATATTTGTTTCCATCCTTTTCCTCCAACACCTCATCTTAACAAATGAGAAGGAATGTTGTCCAAGGAAGAAAAGTAATCATTAAAACAAAGACATATAATCCCAGCACTTTGGGAGGCTGAGGCGCACAGATCACAAGGTCAGGAATTCGAGACCATCCTGGCCAACATGGATTAACCCCGTCTCTACTAAAAATACAAAAATTAGCTGGGCGTGATGGCACGTGCCTGTAATCACAGCTACTCAGGAGGCTGAGGCAGAAGAATCACTTGAACTTGGGAGGCGGAGGTTGCAGTGAGCTGAGATCGTGCCACTGCACTCCATCCTGGGCGACAGAGTGAGACTCTTTTAAAAAAAGAAAAAGAAGAAAGAGAAAGAAAGAAGGAAGGAAGGAAGGAAGGAAGGAAGGAAGGAAGGAAGGAAGGAAGGAAAGAAACAAACAAACAAACAAAGGCCAAAAGGAATCAAAATGGAAAACAAAATGGAGGTGAATTGAGGAGAAAATAAAGTGAAGGGACAGAAGAAAATGATAAATATGATAGTATTTGATTGTGGGGATGGCTATACCATTTGCTTCAGTAAATTTAAATGTTAAAAATGTGATTATTTATGAAGGCTTTTAAGAAATATTTCTAAAGAGCTGGAACAGGAATGGTGGGAGGTAAGTATAGTCAAGAGAATCTAACAGCATGAGAAAGCATTCCTAGAAACAGATTTGATGTGTCCCCTCTAAGATTACCAAGTGAAATATATGATGCCTCGTGAAATTTGAATTTCAGGTAAACACCATGTAAGTTTTTCCACGTAAGTACATTCCAAATATTACATGGAGTATACTTAAGCTAAAAAAAGTACTCATTATCTCTCTGAAATTAAAATTTAACTGAGTGCCTTGTGTTTTCATTTGCTGAATCTGGCAACTCTATTACCTGTCCCATGATGGAGATGGCCTATAGTCAATTTTGCCAAGGAGCAGCATTGCACAAGCTAAGAGAGATTAAAGTGCTAGATCTTTTTAAATGTTGTATTTATAATGTCTGTACCATGAAGTTTCTTGGAGAACTACTCAAACAAGATTTGGGTCATAAGTGTGTGTGATAGCAAAGACATGGAATCAACCTAAATGTCTATCAATGACAGATCTGATAAAGAAAATGTGGTATATATAAACACCATGGAATACTATGCAGCCACAAAAAAGAATGTGATTATGTCTTTTGCAGGAACATGGATGGAGCTGGAAGCTATTATCCTTAGCAAACTAACATAGGAACAGAAAACTAAATACCACATGTTCTCACTTATCAGTGGGAACTAAATGATGAGAACTCATGAACACAAGGAAGAGAACAACAAACACTAGGGTCTACTTGAGGGTAGAGGGTGGAAGGAGGGAGAGAAGCAGAAAAAATAACTAGGTGGGCACTAGGCTTAATACCTGGTTGATGAAATAACCGTATGACAAGCCCAAGTGACACAAGTTCACCTATATAACAAACCTTCACATGTACCTCCAAACCTCAAATAAAAATTTTTAAAAAATGTGTCTGTGTATGTGTGTGTGTGTGCACATGCCCTCATGCACAGGTGCACGTGCACAAGTGTTCATGGCGTATTTTATTTTGAAGTATCTTCATTTATTTTCTTTCTAAAAGAAATATTGTATTTGATAGTACATCCCAGAAACAAATTCAATGCTTATTAATGTATAACTGGTTTGAAACTATTTTCAGAGTGACTATTTGCCCTCATCATGGAGATATCTAGATTAAATCTGTCTTTCTCTAAGTCACTAATGAGTGAGTACATATGACAATCTTTATGGCAGTCCATGAAAATTTAACCTAAGACAAAATGTTGAGCATCTGAAACTGAAGATAAAGAGAAAATGTCTAATGAGTTCTTTTAAAATGCCACGAAAAATGACAAAATAGAAATTAACACATTTAGAGTAATTAATCAATATCAGACAGTGTACTAAGTGCTTCACATGTATTAATCTTACCACAATTTTATGGATCAGAAATGATTAATATCCATATTTTGTAAGTGATGAAACTGTGATGTTACATTCAAGATACCTCAATTAGAAAAGGGCAGAGCAAGGATTTAAACCCAAGCAGCTTAGCACCAACATCTCTGCTCTTAATCACTGAACTGTATTTCGCCAACATATTCAGAAAAGCAATAAAATTAGAAGACATTTAAATACTTTATTTTTACAAAAGAAAAAAATGTCTGTGTAATGACAGCACCTAGCACAGTGCTTAGCTCATATTGTTGGCCAATAAATATTGGTTAATTGATGGTCTGAAATAGTCTTCTCTCCTCGGTGCACCCATAGCACTGTTTATACTTCTATCACAGCATTTATAACACTCCACTGAATTTGTTATTTAAGTGTTTTATGTAGTAAACTACAAGCTCCTTTGTGTCAGGGATTAGGTATTTATCTTCCCATTCTTAGCCCCTAGCAGAGTGCCTTGTACATAGCTTTAGCTTGGTAATATTAAATGAAGGCGTAAATGAATGCATAAAAAATGATGAGTTCTAAAGTTAGGATTCAAAGGGTTTTTTGCTGTTTTGGAGGCATAAATTTTCTATAAACACTTCTAAATATGCCATGGAATTGTAAAAAAGAAGGTGGCTTTCCAGTGTGAAATGCTGGATAACTAAAAGCATTGCAGTGATGAATTTCCAGCTTGACATACTTAATATTTATACAGCAAAACTACCTTTAGGGCCTTTTTTAGGTTTCCTGATTTTGGTAATTTTATCTGATTAGTTGTGTCTTAGAAATTGATAGGATAACAAAGACTATTTGGGCAAAAATATGATGTTTTTCTTAGTGCAAATTGCAGAGGAAATCCTCAATTACATTTCTAGTATTTCATCTATGAGTACTAACATGGAAAATTTGCAAAGGGCACTGAAATTTAAAAATGGAAATGTGGAAACATTTGTAATATGTATGTAATAGCATATGTAATAGCATAAAGTTTATATACCTATTTCATATTACATATGTAACAGCATAAAGTTTATATAAAAGGAAATCCAAAATACCAAAGGATACCCACCACACTGATAATCATCACTACCTCTGGATAATGATGCAACTGGAAGTGGTGAACAAGTAAATCATGAGTTGTAACCATAGCAGAATTCTTTTGTTTGTTTTTAACATAAGTATATTTAGGCCTCATTTATGTAATTAAAATAATTTTTAAGGTCTAATAGTATCTCAGTTATCAATAAGAGAAGCATTATATTTAACATAGTAATGGAAATCCTGGCCATAGCAATTCAGCAAGAGAAAGATATAAAGGCATCCAAATTGGAAAGGAAGAAGTTAAATTGTCCCTGTTTGCAGACAACATGATGATTTTATATATGGTAAACTCTAAAGATGACACAACACACACACACACGCACAAACACCACTGTTAGTACTAATAAACAAATACAGTAAACTGCAGGATACAAAATGAACACACAAGCATCAATAGTGTTTCCACACACTAACAACAAACTATCCACAAAAGACAATTTTAAAAATCCCATTTATAATAGCTACCACCAACAACAAAAAAGCCCAATGTCATTAAATTACTTGACAATCATGGGAAACAAGTGAAAAACTCTGATAAATGTTAGCTCTTAACGACTTAAAAACAGGTTTACATAAAAATATCTGATTGTAAAGTCTACATATTCTTATTAAAAATTCCAACAACACAGACAGTAAGATACACTAAGGTAAAAAGGGAAAGTCTTCCTTATTTGGGAAGTGGAGGGTGGAAAGGGGATATAGTATAAAAGGAGAATAAACTTGAGATGCGTGTTGTAAATATGATTTGGTAATAAAATTCTTACATTTTGGTAGGACTACTTTGACTTGGATGCTTCAAAATGGCCTTATCAAAATTATCTGTCACTTCAAGGTGAATTAAAGCACATGACTGACTTTTCTCTTTTCTAAAGCAAACACATTGTCTAAAACCATCTGTATTTTTTAAACTGATATTATCCTCTGAACTATTCTCTGTACCCAATGAGCACTCTTTTTAAATATCTTCTCTTTTTATTGGCATTTAAAACCTGTCATAATGAAGAAATGTCTTTCTGTTGTTTCCAAACTGAATAACTAGAAGCTATTTATGCATATGTATTTCTGCCAAACATCTAGAAAACTAATAATAAGGTGTTCTAAACATATCTTCTCTAAGATTATTTATTGGCATATGTCACTTTTGAATCCAGAGATCACTTTACTGCTATCAAAACACATCATCAAAATTACGGTGACGCACAGCATAACGACAGTTTGGTCAGTGACAGATCACCTATACACGAGTGGTCCCATAAGATTATGATGGAGCTGAAAAATTCTATCGCCTGGTGACATCATGTAGTGCAACGCATTATTCATGTATTTGTGGTGATTCTGGAGTTAACAAACCTACTGTGCTTCCAGTCATATAAAAGTATAGCACATACAATTAGGTACAGTACATAGTACTTGATAATAATACACAACTATGTTACTAGCGATGTATTTACTATACTATACTTTAATTGTTATTTCATAGTGCACTCCTTCTACATATTAAACAAATAACTAAAACAGCTTCAGGCAGGTTCTTCAGGATGTATTCTAGAAGAGGGCATTTTTATCATAGGAAATGACAGCTCCATGCATATTATTGCCCCTGAAGACCTTCCAGTGGGACCAGATGTGGAGGTGAAAGACAGTGATACTGATGATCCTGACACTGTGTAGGTCTAGGCTGATGTGTGTGTTTGTGTCTTAGTTTTGAATTAAAAAGTTGAAAACGTTTAAAAAATAGGAAAAAAATGCTTATAGAATAATGGTATAAGAAATAAAATATTTTTGTATAGTTGTACCATATGTTTGTGTTTTAAGCTAAGTGTTATTACATAAAAGTCAAAAAGTTGGCTGGGTGCAGTGGCTCACACCTGTAATCCCAGCACTTTGGAAGGCCAAGGCGGGCAGATCACGAGGTCAAGAGATCCAGACCATCCTGGCCAACATGGTGAAACCCTTCTCTACTAAAAACACAAAAATTAGCTGGGCATGGTGGCGCACGCCTGTACTCCCAGCTACTCGGGAGGCTGAGGCAGGATAATCGCTTGAACCCAGGAGGCGGAGGTTGCAGTGAGTGGAGATTGCACCACTGCACTCCAGCCTGGTGACAGAGAGAGACCCCATCTTAAAAAAAAAAAAGTCAAAAAGCTTGTAAAATTTAAAAAGTTTATAAAGTAAAAATTTCAGTAAGCTAAGGTTAATTTAATATTGAAAAATATTGTTTTATAAATGTGGGGTAGCCTAACTGTACAGTGTTTATAAAGTCTTTGGTAGTGTACAGTAGTGCCCTAGGCCCCACCACTCACTACTTACTCATCTGGGGAAGCTTATAGTCCCGTAAGTTTCATTCATGGTAAGTGCACTACACAGGTGTACCACCTTTTAAAATCTTTCCATCATCTTTTTACTGTACCTTTTCTATGTTCAGATATGTGTAGCTACATCATGCTTACCATCGTGTTACAATTGCCTGTAGCATTCAGTACAGTAACATGCTATAAAGGTTTGTAGTCTAGGAGCAACAGGCTACACCATATCGCCTGGGTGTGGTAGGCTCTACCATATAGGTTTGTGTAAGTACACTCTATGATGTTTGTACGGCAATGAAATTGCCCAATGACCCATTTCTCAGAGCATGTCCCCATTGTCCCATTGTTAGGCGACACAAAATTGTACTTGTTAAATTAAGACAACACAGGAAGAGCCTATTAATTTGCTTGGTTTAGCAAATCATCTACACTGACTGGGCAGTATAGTCAACGGTTGTTTAGTGACTGCCTTCTATATGCTTAGTCTTGTTGTACGTCTTGGGGATACAGCGGCAAACAAGACAAAGTCTCCATCTAGCTGTAACAATCAGAATCATCTTGTGTGGTATCTAGAGATTGACTGTATGGTAGAATGAGACGTCTCAAAATCATTCCCTTTATTGGTACTAAGACTTTAAGACCTCTACTAATTGCTATCATTCTTCAAGGTTGACTCTGGAATTCTTAATGATTTACCTTTTAAAGTCTGCAATCTTAAGATGCAAGTTTTTCAAATTTTGGATCAAGACATAATTCCTCTCCAATAAATTGGAATATATATATAAAGAATTGTAGTTGTAGTTGTATATACGTAGTTACATGTACAGTTTTTCATACATACAGTTATATATAGTTATCAGAACCTATGGTCAGTAAATGTTTCTGAATGCTCATCAATGTTCCAAACATGCACAAAAGTAATCAGCTAAAACCAGCCCATGAACACATATGTTAACTCTGTAATTGTTGAGCCCCGTGCTAAGGGCTGGGCTGAGTATTGCATGGTAAACAAATATTTCCAATCCCTGTCCTCCTAAAGCTAACAGTTTAGTAGGAACATTAAAAATATAAATCACCAAGTAAACCCATAACTCTGAGCTGTGAAGATAAACAGATAATAATTGCAGAGAATGATAGTGAAGGCTAATTTAGATTTTGCGGGGAGGGGGCCATAGGAGACTCATATTTTTGTCTGACCTATCTCCATGATAAGGAAATACTTTAAAAAACCATGGCTGAAACTTACCATGTTAACATTATTACCTGGTTATAGCTTTTAAAATATGTCTCAAATGACACATTCCAATTGTACATTTCACTCTCAAAATTATTTTAAAATATTATGTATGTCATAGTTACATCAAATATGATTTAGCTTTTAAAAATTTCTTTCTCGTTAATAAACTGAATGTGAACATATAACACATCACTCAAGTTAATTAGTGATATGAGGTTGAAATCCAAATGATCACACTTATATGTGCATTAGTAAATGTCTCATAAATTATAATGCTACATAAATCTTACTCTAAAACTGTATGTAGGGATTATCCTATTAATATATTTCTCCTCTGTCTTCCATAGCTTTCCCCAGGAAAGGATGGACCAGTGTGGAGATTTTAAGCCTGGGCAATTTATATTCCCTTCATTTCTTGTTTGGCAAGAAGTGAAACATAAAGAAGGAGCTAAAATTGTGGACAAAAAATGGTAGATAAGCAGAGGTAAAATGGGAGATCAGCGTAAATTCAGGGGTGATTGATCTGCTATGATGTTTGAAAGCTTTTTAGAAGAGTTTTCATAATGTGAAAGGGTTTTTGAGCAATTACAGTAGCTTCTGTTTCTTGTCCACTTGCAATGTGCATAGCACATTGTTTCACAAAGAATGTCTCATTCCATTTTCTTGACAATGCCAGGAGATTAATTATCACTGCTTTAGAGACAAGGAAAACCACTCAGAAAGGGGAATTGACTTGCCCAGTGTCACACAGCTCATAAAATGCAAGAGTCAGGCTTCAAATTTATATCTGTTTGACTCCATGGTGTTTTTGTTACATTGCAGCACCTCTTTGCTGAAGGAAAACTGTTCACAATTTTCCTAGGCTTTCATAACAACATGGAAACTATTTTTGCTGAGCCTAAAAGATGTGGTACAGGTCACAAAATCTTCAAATTGATTTATGCTCAAATCAATGAATTTTGAGCTAATATTCCCCTAATGGCTTTTTATAAGGTTCTATGTTCAGTATTTGTAAAGCACTATGCTATGCCATACTTTGGGACAGAACAAATAAATGTATGCCTGTGAAAAATACTTATTGAACACACCAGTGACAACTGAAACTCCAAAATGTTCTTATACTTTCACTGGTGATTCTAAAATAGAGGTTTGTGGGTTTCTTCTGATTTGAATAGGAGCATAAATATGTTACAAAATTCAGCTCTTTCCAATTTATTCTGAGATAAGCAGTAGATGATTACCTAATAATGGAAACTGTTTAATATGAAACGTTTAGAGAATACCTAATGGATACTTTTTAAATTAAAAGGAGGAAAAACACCTCCTCCGACTTCTTCTGCTGTTGCAAGTCCTTTGGAGGCACTGAGGGAGGGAAGTAGCATTGAAAATTCAAGCGAGTCCTTTATGAATCTGCAGCAAATCTTCACATCCCAAATGTTTAACGTGCTTTCCTAGGTGTATTAGGTATCTGCTTCTGCATAACAAATTCCTCCAAAGTCTTAAGGCTTAAATCAGCATTTATGAGGTCATAGTCTCTATGGGTTAGGAATTTGGGTACGGCTAATGAGATTCTCTGGCTCAGGGTCTCACACAAGATGGCAATCTAAGTGTCAGCCAGGGCTGCAGTCATCTCAAGGCTTGACCCAGAATGGATCTGCTTCTGAGTTCAATCACAGGGCTGTTGGCAAGCCTCAGAAGATCCATCCACTTCCAAGCTCACTCACGTGGCTACTGGCAGGACTCGTATCCTTACTGGCTATTAGATGGA
This sequence comes from Homo sapiens, assembly GCF_000001405.40. Classification (NCBI taxonomy): domain Eukaryota; kingdom Metazoa; phylum Chordata; class Mammalia; order Primates; family Hominidae; genus Homo; species Homo sapiens. The sequence goes on from NC_000001.11 coordinate 99,199,765, forward strand.
AACTTCATTTTCTTCCTACATGGGCTTCCCCCAACCAGGACAGTTTGCTTCTTCCACATCAAGGTCTCCAAGCAGAAGAGGATGAGGAATGGTGGGCAAGATGGAAGCTATAGTCTTTTTGTAATCGAATGTCTGAAGTCACATCTCATCACTTTGCCCTATTCTTTTTTTATTTTTTTAAATTATACTTTAAGTTTTAGGGTACATGTGCACAACGTGCAGGTATGTTACATAGGTATACATGTGTCATGCTGGTTTGCTGCACCCATCAACTTGTCATTTATATTAGGTATTTCTTTTAATGCTATCCCTCCCCTGCACTCCAACCCCCAACAGTCCCCAGTGTGTGATGTTCTCCTTCCTGTGTCCAAGTGTTCTCATTGTTCAATTCCCACTTATGAGTGAGAACATGCAGTGTTTGGTTTTCTGTCCTTGTGATTGTTTGCTGAGAATGATGGTTTCCAGCTTCATCCATGCCCCTGCAAAGGACATGAACTCATTCTTTTTTATGGTTGCATAGTATTCCATGGTGTATATGTGCCACATTTTCTTAATCCAGTGTATCATTGATGGACATTTGGGTTGGTTCCAAGTCTTTGCTATTGTGTATAGTGCCACAATAAACACACATGTGCATGTGTCTTTATACTAGCATAATTTATAATCCTTTGGTTATATACCCTGTAATGTGATCGCCAGGTCAAAAGGTATTTCTAGTTCTAGATCCTTGAAGAATCAGCACACTGTCTTCCACAATGGTTGAAAACTAATTTACACCCCTATCAACAGTGTAAAAGGGTCTCTATTTCTCCACATCCTCTCCAGCATCCGTTGTTTCCTGACTTTTTAATGATCGCCATTCTAACTGGCGTGAGATGGTATCTCATTGTGGTTTTGATTTGCATTTCTCTGATGACCAGTGATGATGAGCATTTTGCCATGTGTCTGTTGGCTGCATAAATGTCTTCTTTTGAGAAGTGTCTGTTCATATCCTTTGCCCACTTTTTGATGGGTTTTTTTTTATTGTAAATTTGTTTAAGTTCTTTGTAGATTCTGGTTATTAGCCCTTTGTCAGAAGGATAGATTGCAAAAATTTTCTCCCATTCTTTAGGTTGCCTGTTCACTCTGATGGTAGTTTCTTTTGCTGTGTAGAAGCTCTTTAGTTTAATTAGATCCCATTTGTCTATTTTGGCTTTTGTTGCCATTGCTTTTGGTGTTTTAGACATGAAGTCCTTGCCCATGCCTATGTCCTGAATGGTATTGCCTAGGTTTTCTTCTAGGGTTTTCATGGTTTTAGGTCCAGCATTTAAGTCTTTAATCCATCTTGAATTAATTTTTGTATAAGGTGTAAGGACTTTGCCCTATTACTTTAAATTGAGTCACTAGATCTAGCCCATGCTTAGGAGAAATGATTTTATAAGGATGTGAATACCAGAAGGCAGAGATCATTGGGGATCTTTTTAGAGGCTGCCTACCACACAAACTAACACTTGCTGAATTATAAGACATACATTAATCTCATACAATTATACTTATTCAACATTAGTAATGTATACTTGTATAGTAATTTACATTTTTCAAAGTTATAGACAAAGCCTACCACACCAGCGTCTGATGACAAAGATGAATAGACATAATGGGAATGTGTGAAATCTATCCTCTGGACTAGACTTAACCCTGTGAATATGGCCAATGCTCATGGCCTATGCCTAAAAGTGGGCAGTAAATGAATAGTGAATCCGCCCTAACAGGATGTTAATACATGCCGGTGTTCTTGTGCATACGTCTTTGCAATATAGCTGACTTTACTAAAAATAATAATAATAATAATAATAATGTCTGTGACCTTAGGACTGGATAAAGCCAACGTGAACCTCAAGATGGTTAAGCCAATGACCTTGACCTCTTTAACCCCAACCAACGGAGTACTTGATCCTAAGGTTAACAATGCGCGAGTAACATAGTGACTGTAGGTGTCTAAGTCAGTGGCCACTAATATCAAGCAATAAACATGTGGAAATGATAAAGAACACTGCTTATTTTCCTTTTAGGAAAATATTTCCTAAACTTACTATGTTAAAGTGATCTGGACTCTGCTGAACACCTAAATTCTAAATGTCTGAAAAATGAAAATCATCATTCAACGTTGTGTTCTTTTCATCAGCTTCCTGATGAATTCACTCACTTCCAATGACAGCAGAAGGATTACTCACACTGATAAAGGAAATTGGCGGAAGCTACCCAGAAGGGCCACACCTCCAAAAGGTTTTTTTAAGTACATGAAACATTGATGCACGTGCCCCGCCTGGTAAGTAGCTTGTCTGTTACTAGGGTGACATGTTGCATGGGGTATGAGCAAAGGTTTTTGATGCTGAACTCCATCTCTTCCATTTGTTAGCATCGTAACTCTGGGAACATTTCTCAAACTTTCTGAAATGCAGTTTTCCCTCCTGTGAAATAAAGATGATGCTCAGTGGAGGTCTTGAAACTGTGCTTGCCAGTCCCTTTGGTACAGGAAGTACACATGCTCCTGCTGCTGCTCCTTGAAACACTGGCTGTGTTTGCACTGAGGCCATGCCTCAGCCAGCGACTGAGTGTGACAAGGATTCTCAGTCCTGTTCCTGGGAGATGTGAGATTCCTTTGCTGGCAAACTTCAGCTTGAATATTCCCCAGGTGCCTTGCCAAACCTTCTTCAGTCTGCTTTGTTCTCTAGAACATTTCCACACAACCTTCTCTCTCTCAGGATCAGACTCAGATCGCAGTCTGTTGGCTCCTTTCTATATTAATCATGTCTTTTTATTTTCTGTATTCTGATGCTTTGGTATCTGGAGTCCACTAAACCTGGAGGGATTCCGCCCTCTTCCCCCAGGGTTAGCCAATTCCCAGAGATAATACAACAACTTGCTACACTAGCATGCTTTTCAGGTTCAAATCTACCAATTCAAAGCCCTTACACCCAACCACCTACTTTATCTGGCTCTTGCACTCTGGGTCACTATCCACTTGCCCTAATCACCTCAGGACCAGGTACCAGACAACTAAAGACAGCCTTTTTACCCTAGAGCCCACTGACATTATTGAAACAAACCAGCCTGCTCACCCTGCCTCAGCCATTGCTTCCAGCAGAAACCACAATAAAGGGTTTTGCCCACATTTTCCTCTGCTCCCTCTGTCTCCCAACCCAACCTGGTGCTTACCTGGTAAGAACATATGGAAATGATACTTACAGTTTCTTGGAATCAGGAGGCATGTCACACTGCCCAGGACCCTACAGGGGTGTGCCAGGTTGTGGTAGGAGACAGAGGGAGCATAGAAACCTGTGGGCATAAGCCTTTATTGTAGTTTCTGTGGGAAGGAATGAGTAAGTCAGGGTGAGCAGGTGTAGGATTGGCTTGATTGAATAATTTCAGTGGGATGTAGGGTTTAAAAGTTGTCCTTCATTATCTGGTACCTGGCCCTGGGAGAACACCTGTGTGGAAGGAAATAAAATGCTTTAAGGGTGCTCAGGATAGATTTCAATCAGATATGGTAAGGTAGGCAGTCTCCCAAATAACAAACTTGCAAATTTAATCCCCTCTTGGCATTTGCTTCTTGAATAACCTGGACTAATTTAAGCTGCCTGCTCGAAATGGTATTTGTAGGCCGCCGGGCACAGTGGTTCACACCTATAATCTCAGCATTCTAGGAGGCCAAAGTGGAAGAATCACTTGAGGCCAGGAGTTTGATACCAGCCTAGGCAACATGGTGAGACCCTGTCTTTACAAAAAAGAAAAAAAAAAAAAAACCAGGCCTGGTGGCACATGCCTGTAGTCCCAGCTACTCAGGAGGATAAGGCAGGGGGATCAGTTGAGCCTGGGAGTCCAATGATGCACTGAGCCTGATGTGGCAATCTAAGTGACAGAGCAAGACCCTGCCTCTCTTAAAAAAGAAAGGTATTCATAAGGGATAAATGAGGGATCACATAGTTTAATCATTGTTGAATTCCTGGTGCCTAGCCCAGTGCCTGGCACAGGGATGGCACTGAAATGAAATAAATTGTGCAAATACTCTATCACAAAATAGCTCTCTAATACAAGTTACTTTTCTTTCCTGAGAATAAAATATTTTTAAATGATTGATCCTCTTCCTATCTCAGAGAAATGTTTTTCTCCTAGTTTTTCAAGTGACAAGTAAAAATTCTATTCTTTGTTTATATGTTTATAGATGTTTATGCCTTGCAAAACATATTAACACATAATTTTCTGATTTGATCTTTTCAATAACCTTAGGCTTGAAAAGTATTACTATCCAATTTGACAGATGAGGAAAGTAACTCAGGTTAAGTAAGTCATCCAAGGTAGCACAGTAAGCCATGGCAGGTTCTAGATTAGAACTTGAGTTTTAAAACTCTTATTCAAGACTGAGCCTGAGAAACAGCCTTAATATATATAAGTATCAAATGTATTTTAGGATTGTGTAAAACTTGCTTTATGGGTGATATACAACATTTTGTAAACTTGCTTTTCTGTACTATGAAGGCAGTCACCATAAAAATTTTCTGAGCATATGAAATTGGAAGACCATGTGTATTTTTAAAAAGAGCAGAATTAGCCTCTAAACTCTTAGTGAGAGGATAAGTTGGATGACCATACCTTTTCATCAACCGAGGCATTGGTTCAGGCCCTCAGGCCTGAACCCCAGTTGGAGGATCATTTAGAAAACACTTTAATACATCTTACAATATAATGATACATTTTTCACAATTAATGAACTAATACTAATATTTAAGTCATTAAGTATAATTAATACTTTACTCACGTTTCTTTAGTTTTTTACTGAATATTTACCTAATTACTAAAAAAATGCTGAGGAAAATTTAATAATATGTAAATAAATGAGATAGTTGTGTTCATGAATTGAAAGACTCACTACTGTTAAAATGTCAACTCTTTCCAACTTGTTCTGTAGATTCAATACAATCCCAAACAAAATACCAGTAACTATTTAGGAGCTATGGCAAACTAATGTTAAAGTTTATATGAAAAGGCAAAAAACAGTAAAAACAAAATAATACCTAGAGAGAACATACTTGGAGGTTTCACACTGCCTGATTTCAAGTGTTACTATAAAGTAACAAAAATCAGGTAAAAATCAAGATGATGTACTGGCAAAAGAGTAGACACACAGATCAATGGAGCAGAATAGAGAGCTCAGAAGTTGACCTGCACAAATATAGTCAACTGATCTAAGCTGCAAAGGAAAGGAGATAATCTTTACAAAAAAATGGCAGGGGAACAATTGAACAGCTAAATGCAAAAAGCTGAACCTATATAGAGACCTTACATCTTTCACAAAAATTAAATCAAAGTGTATTGAAGGCTTATATGTAAAATGAAAAACTTTAAAACTTCTAAAGAATACAAGAATCTACATGAATTTGGAATTCAGGGACGAGTTGTAAATACAACACAAAAGCACAATCCATGATAGAAAAGATTGATAAGTTGGACCTTGTTCATTTCATTTTTTATATTTTCGCTCCAGTTTTTATAATTCTATTTTCAACAGGTATAACATAAACTTTATATAGTATGTGTTCTGTGTTTTCCACCATTAGTATATATTTTTCTGTACCATTATAAAAAGAAAACACTGTTAATAATATAAAGAATTTCTTTTTAAAGAATGGTATTTTCTGTGAGATGCATTGTTCAGTGGGATACTACTATGGTGGGTATATTCCTTTTTGGGTTTGCCCTACCCAAAGCCACTCCCTATAATTTGAGTAATGCTGACCCACCTCTCATTAGAGGGAAGACAAGAAACTTGAGGTTAGTAGGTAACTCTGACCATGGTGGTTGGTTCAGGGAGGGCACATGTACTATGTTAGGTCCCAGGTCATTTTCTGGAGCTATTGGGACTGTTAGCTTCCAGCTTCCAGTGGCCAGTGGGCAAGCTATGCCTGAGAAAGAAGCCAACCAGGAGAAAGCCAAAGTGAAGAAGTTGGGAGAAAGAGTTCAAATCTAACAATAGACTTTTCAGTCATCTAAACCAATAAATTTTCTTTATTTGAGAAATGTAGTTTGAATTGGGTTAGTATAGCCTGCCAGCAAGAGAGTAAAAGTTCTGATTAACAAACATTAAATAAATTTGAAGCAAAATTATCTTTAAAATGTATTATCTGCCTTTGCTAAAAATCAAAATGATTGGCAAGAATCAAGACAAAATCATTAGCCGTTTTCTTAACCTCTCTTTTTCTCAGTTTCTATAAGGTGTGAATTTATAAGTCTGTTTGTGCTACTGTAACAGAATAATTTATAAAGAACAGAAATTGATTTTCTCATCATTCTGCAGGCTTGGAAGTCCAGGACCAAGGTTCCAGCTGTCTGGCTGCATCCACATATGGAGGAAGGCAGAAGGTCAAGCTCCCTGCATGGTGCATAAAGCCTCTTTTATAAGGCCCTTAATCCCATTCATGAGGAAGGAAACTTCATGGCCTATCATCTCTCTCTCTCTTTTTCAAATTTGATTTTTTATTTTAGATAGAGGGGGTACATGTGCAGGTTTGTTACATAGGTATATTGCACCCAAGCAGTGAGCATAGGTAGTTTTTCATCCCACGCCCCATCCCTCCCTCCCTTCTCTAGTAGTCCACAGCGTCTGTTGCTCCCACGTTTGTGTCCATGTTATGTACTCAATGTTTATCCCACACTTATAAGTGAGAATATGTGGTTTTCAGTTCCTATGTTACCTCACTTAGGATTATGGTCTCCAGCTTTATCCATGTTGCTGCAAAGGACATTATTTTGTTCCTTTTTATGGCTGCATGGTATTCGATAGTATATACGTACCATATTTTCTTGATCCAATCCACCACTGATGGGCACCTTGGTTGATTCTATGTCTTTGCCATTGTGAATTGGGTGGTGATAAACATGAATGCATGTGTCTTTTGGTATAATGATCTATTTCCATTACTGGGTCAAATGGTAGCTCTGTTTTAAGTTTTTTGAGAAATGTATAAACTGCTTTCCAAAGTGGCTGAACTAATTTTCCTTTCCATCAATAGCATATAAACGTTCCCTTTTCTCCATAGCCTCACCAACATCTGGAGTAAATGGCTAGCTATATGTAGAAGAATGAAACTAGACCCTTACCTTTCACCATATACAAAAATTAATTCAAGATGGATTAAGTGTTTAAATGTGAGACTTCAAACTATAAAAATCCTAGAATAAAACCTAGGAAATACTCTTCTTGACATCTGCCTTGGCAAAGAATTTTTGGTTAAGTCCCCAAAAGCAATTGCAGCAAAAACAAAAATTGACAAGTGGGAGAATGAAACTAAAGAGCTTCTGCACAGCACAGGAAATTATTAACAGAGTAAAACAGATAACCTACAGAATGCAGGGAAATGTTTGCAATCTCTGCATTTGACAAAGGTCCAATATCTAGGATCTATAAAGAACTTAAATCAACAAGCAAAGAAAAAATAATAACCCCATTAAAAAATGGGCAAAGGACATCAACAGACACTTCTCAAAGGACATTGAAGCAGCCAATGAACATATGAAAAAAAGTGCTCATTATGACCAATCATCAGAGAAATGCCAGTCAAAACCACAATGAGATATCATCTCACGCCAGTCAGAATGGCGATTGTTTATAAGTCTAATCATCTCTTAAAAGCCCCACCTCTTAATACGATTACATTGGCAACACCTAAATTTTGGAGGGAACATATTCAAACCACAACAGGAAATAATAAAAATACTTACCTCACTGGGTTGTTTTGAGGATTACATGAGTTAATATGTGGCAAGTACCTGGATAAAATTCAATGCTAATTGTAAATGAGTTAATATGTGGAAAGTACCTGGATAAAATGTAAATGCTAGTTGTGTTTTTATAATTGTTTTTGTTGTTATTTTGCTACTCTTGGGAACCAAAAATTAGATTTACATTCAAGTATCACTTAATAATGGGGATATGGGCCAGGCACGGTGGCTCACGCCTGTAATCCTAGCACTTTGGGAGGCCGAGGCGGGTGGATTGCCTGAGTTCAGGAGTTCGAGAACAGCCTGGGCAACAGGGTGAAACCCCGTCTCTACTAAAATACAAAAAATTAGCTGGGCATGGCAGTGTGCGCCTGTAGTCCCAGCTACCAGGGAGGCTGAGGCAGGAGAATTGCTTGAACCCGGGAGGCGGAGGTTGCAGTGAGCCGAGATTATGCCACTGCACTCCACCCTGGGCGACAGAGCGAGACTCCATCTCCAAAAAAAATAAAATAAAATAAATAAATAAATAATGGGGATATGTTCTGGGAAATGCATCCTTAGGAAATTTTGTTGTCATAAAAATGTCAGAGTATACCAACACAAACCTAGGTAGTATAGCCTAGTGCACGTATAGGCGATGTGATAGAGCCTATTGTTCTTAGGCTACAAACCTGTACAGCATGTTATGTACTGAATACTTCAGGCACTTGTAACACAATGCAAGTATTTGTGTAGCTAAACATATCTGAACATAGAAAAGGTACAGTAAAAACATATATAAAAGGCAAAATATGGTACATCTGTATAGGGCACTTCCTTGAATGGAGCTTCCAGGACTGTAAGTAGTTTCCCTGGGTAAGTGACGGAGTTGTGAGTGAATGTGAAGACCTAGGATATTACTATACACTACTATATACTTTTTTTTCTTCTCTTTTCTTTTCTTTTTTTTTTTTTTTTTTTTTTTGCACAGTTTCACTCTGTCACCAGGCTGTAGTGCAGTGGCGCAATCTCGGCTCACTGCAACCTCCGCCTCCCCGGTTCAAGCAATTCTCCTGCCTCAGCTTCCCGAGTAGTTGGGACTACAGGTGCGTGACCACCATGCCTAGCTAATTTTTGTATTTTTAGTACAGATGGGGTTTCAACATGTTGGCCAGGATGGCCTCGATCTCTTGACCTCATGATCTGCCCACCTCGGCCTCTCAAAGCGCTGGGATTACAGGCGTGAGCCACCGCACCCAGCCCTACTGTAAATTTTATAAACACTGTATACTTAGCCTATACTAAAGTTATAAAACAATATTTTTCAGTAATAAATTAATCTTAGCTTACTGTAACTTTTTATTTTATAAACTTGTTTAAAAACCTTTTGACTCCTTTGTAATAAGACAGATTAAAACACAAACATATTATACAACTGTAAAAAAATAATTTCTTTATATATTTCCTCCATAAGCTTGTTTCTATTTTTAATTTTGTTTCTTTACTTTTTAAACTTTTTTATAAAAACTAAGACACAAACACATGCACTGGCCTAGGCCTACATGGGTTCAGGATCATCAGTATCACTGTCTTTCTCTTCCACATTTGGTCCCACTAGAAGGTCTTCAGGGGCAATAATATACAAGAAGCTGTTATCTCCTATAATAGCAATGCCTTCTTCTGGAATACTTCCTGAAGGACTTTCCTGGGGCTGTTTTACAGTTAACTTTTTAATCTATAAGTAGAAAGAGCACACTCTAAAATAAAAATTAAAAGTGTAGTATAGTAAATACATAAATCAGTAGCTTAGTCATTTATTACCATTATCAACTATTATGTACTGTACATAAATGTATCCACTATACTTTTATACTACTGGCAGTGCAGTAGGTTTGTTGACACCAGCATCACCACAAACACATGAGTAATATGTGTTTGTGACTTTACAACTGCTGCAGTGTCACTTGGTGATAGGAATTTTTCAGCTCCATTATAATCTTATGGGACTATGGTCATATATGGTCCATCACTGACCAAAAGTCCTTATGTGGTACACAACTATACTTTAACATCTTATAGTTGTATATCATTTTACATAATAGAAAAGATATATAATCTTATTTAATTTGCATAGTGATCTGGTGATATGGAAATGATTACACCCATTTTATCATAAAAAACAGGTTCAGAGAGGTTAGATTCCTGGCTTAAAGCCAAAGACCCAACAGCGCAGAGCCAGAACCAATGTATTGTGATGACAGGGAAAAAAAATCTTTCCCTTTATACCAGTTTACAATCCAACATGGGTCAATATCTGCTATGGGCTGTTTCTGTTTTTCCAAAATTCATATACTGAAACCCTGATTCCCAATGTGATAGGGTTGGAAGGTGAGACCTTTGGGATGTAACTGAATTTGGATGAGGTCATGGTGGTGAAGTTCCCATGATGAGATTGGTGTGCTTATACAGGGATGAAGAGACCCCCAACTGTCTCTCTCCACCATGTGAGGAAACCAGGAAGAAAGCCCTCGCCAGAACCTGGCCACACTGGCACCCTGCTCTTGGACTTTCCAGCCTCCAGAATGATGAGAAATACATATTTGATGTTTAAGCCACCCAGTCTATGGTATTCTTGTTATAGCAGCCTGAACTAAGACAATGTAAAAGCATGAAATATTTTATTTCCTTCTGGATACAGAATCACAACAGTAGGTCCAAGTTTGGAATGGGATTAATAATGTTTTCTGACAACCAGTGAGACTATGGTGTATAAGTAGAGCATAACTGCTTCAGTGAGAATTATGTTAAGAAGAAAAGGCCTTAAACTATTGAATTTATAGGGAACATTCAATTCTCTTTGCTATAATGCAATTTTTGCCCATATCTACCTGCTCTGATTAATGATAAGGCTTATGAAAAGGACATTTGTAATGTCACAAAAGCTTCCATGCATTTTACAAAGGATATCATTAATAATCAAGTTAAAACAACCCCAAAGGAAAATATCACATTTCTTTAAAAGATTTAGTGATGCTCAAAGAATGCAATCTTGACTTTCCTGCTAATGAAATAACTCCCAAAGTTTAGAAACATTTGTAATGCTATATGTTTAAAAAAGGAATAGAAAGTATCATTTATTTTTTGGAAAGTTTGTGTGCATTATACCAGTTTGGCTTGGAATAAGTTTGTGTTTATTTATTCTTCAATTTATTAGGTCTTCATTGAATAATAATTATTTTCCCAAATGTGCACTGAAGTTGCAAAATAAAACAGACACAATCCTTGCCCTCAAATTTCTTATACTATACTGGGAAAGATAGATATTAGGAGGGTAATATTAATATTCATCAATAAAGGACATTTCAGATGTAAGCAAGGATACTATGGCAGCCTAGAGAAAAAGCATCTAACTGTGTTTAGGGTGTCAGGAAAGTCTTGAAGGAGACCTAAACTTGGCTAGATAACTTGGAGTCCAAAAAAGTCAGGGTAAGAGTTTGGAATTCCATGCAGAAGAAAAAGCCTAAGACCAGAGATTGGAGACTGGAGTTGTTGGTGAATCATGGCTAAAGAGATAAGCACAGCACAGGTTAACAGAGGTCTTGTGAACCATTTATGGAGTACTGGCTTTGACTTTTTAAGGGATTTAAGCAGCGGAATTATATAGCTGATTTACCCTTCAGTGAGAGCTTCCTGGTTGCAATGTGGAAAATGGATTTGAGGGCGTCATTACTATTAAATTTAAGACATTACCTCCATCTCTTCAGAGATATTACTTTCTGTGACAATATGATAATAAAATGTGTTTCAATATATTCCTTTTGACTATCTCTACTCCCATTCCCCTCTCCCAAACTCAGGCCCTACGCAAACCCAGTAGTTAACTGTTAATACCCCAATATAGTGAAGACAGCCCACCATAGGAAAGAAACACACACACACACACACCACACACACACACACACACACATCTTTGACTCTGTATTAGTTATTTATTGTTGCAAAACCATATCCCTAAACCTAGCAGCTTGAAATAACAACAAGTATGTATTATCTCATAGTTTCTATGAATCAGAAATTCAGCTTAGCTGGGTGGTTTTGGCTCAGTGGTCCTTAAAAGTTTTGTAGTCATCATGTTAGCTGGGCGGCACTCATCAGAAGTCTTGGCTGGAGGATCCACTTTTCTGATGGTTCACTCAAATGGCTGTTGCCAAGAGGCCTCAGTTTCTTGCCATGTGGACCTCTTCACAGGACTCCTTGTGTGGCTTCATGACATGGTGGTTGAAAATGGACACCACCTCAGCCTCAAGATGCCTGACTAGTGTTCTTAAAACGTTTATGGTTTTAGAATTTACCCAGAGGAAGGAAACACAAGTTCAGAGATGACAATTTAAATCACTTGAGACTGAGTTAATTATCTCAAATGTGACCAAAAGCCATTATGCTTGTCTAAACTTACATGGAATCATCTGAAAAGAGTTGCCTACCAGAAGAAACCTGGGGGCTAAGTCTGAAATCAAAACTAGTTCTAGACATAAAATTCTATTGGATAGAGGCAAATCTTCTTAGCTGTAATTGATGAAATAGAGTAAAAGGTAGTGGGGAATATGGGCTAGCTAAGCTAATGCTTGTTTCCAAAGACTCACTGAAGACTCAGTTGTGGCCCAAAAGATTACTCAAGAACACCTGACTTCTAGATCTAGTATAATTTGGATTCAACTCTAAGAATTCAAATCTCACATATCTACTTGGGAAACCAAGGATGATCCAAAATATTTTCGTAATACTAGTATGCAGTAATTCTTAGAAGCCCAAGTGAAAAGAAGCCAAGGGAACCTAATAATAATCTGAGTGTCATTTAACTTGAGACATTTGGCTTGATAATATTACAATAATGTGTACACCTTTATAAAGGTGTTTTATAAAGGAATTTTTATATGTATTATAAAAGAATTTTATAAAGGAATTTCTAAATGTACTATGATTTCTTGCATAAAGATAAAACCTGATAGGCAATAGAATGCATGTTAAAGAGTAAAACTCAAATGAGATTTTCAAAAACATCATGTCTACCTTAATAAATTATGTAAAAGATTGATGATCAATTAATTTTAGTGTTATCAATGAGCTTAACTACCAGGATAATTTTTCTCCCCCAAAATAAAGAGCTTACTTCATAAGAAACTTAAAAGCATGAGAACAAGCAAAATAATTATCATTTCTCAAAAACTCCACTTTAAACAGAAGGGGATTGTGTGCCTTTTCAGCATAAAACCAGCAAGAAATGATATGTTAATATTTCTAAGATGCACATCAACTTAATTAATTAAAACCTAAATGAAAAATAAAATACAGGCAATGAAGGAAACAATTTCTCTATGAAGTCTTCCTGTAAAATTACATAAGCATTTTTAATTCTGTTTTTGGCACACCTGAAAATTACTATACTTTCTGTCTTAAATTACTACTTCTTTCAAATTTTTGTAAGTTCATCATATGTAACTGAGGATGTATTATAATACCTATCAAAGCGAAAGATCCACTGGACAAAGTTAAACAAGCAAGGGAGATGTTATTCAAGGCTATTGCCATAGGGGAATGACGCCAGAGCTCAGTCTCAGCTCAACTCTGTTGAAACAAAGGCCTGGGGAGTTTTTAAGAGTTGAGAAGAGGGAATCACAGGTCAGATGTGTTTGCTAATTGGCTTTACCTAAAGGACAAGTGAATTTTCTCTGAACTTATGACAGTAAGTAGTTTTACAACTTGGAGCAAGGCATCCACTGAAGTTTGGCTCCCACCCTCCCACAGAAACTGGGAAATAGGAATGCTATCTTCCTTGGTGATTATATTTCAAAGGGATGACTCTCAGACCCTTAAGAAAGATAGTCCTGGGATGTAAAACTGGCAAAAGGATTGTCAAAGTTTTATTTTTTTTTTTATTTTTTTTTTATTATACTCTAAGTTTTAGGGTACATGTGCACATTGTGCAGGTTAGTTACATATGTATACATGTGCCATGCTGGTGCGCTGCACCCACTAATGAGTCATCTAGCATTAGGTATATCTCCCAATGCTATCCCTCCCCCCTCCCCCGACCCCACCACAGTCCCCAGAGTGTGATATTCCCCTTCCTGTGTCCATGTGATCTCATTGTTCAATTCCCACCTATGAGTGAGAATATGCGGTGTTTGGTTTTTTGTTCTTGCGATAGTTTACTGAGAATGATGGTTTCCAATTTCATCCATGTCCCTACAAAGGATATGAACTCATCATTTTTTATGGCTGCATAGTATTCCATGGTGTATATGTGCCACATTTTCTTAATCCAGTCTATCATTGTTGGACATTTGGGTTGGTTCCAAGTCTTTGCTATTGTGAATAGTGCCGCAATAAACATACGTGTGCATGTGTCTTTATAGCAGCATGATTTATAGTCATTTGGGTATATACCCAGTAATGGGATGGCTGGGTCAAATGGTATTTCTAGTTCTAGATCCCTGAGGAATCGCCACACTGACTTCCACAATGGTTGAACTAGTTTACAGTCCCACCAACAGTGTAAAAGTGTTCCTATTTCTCCGCATCCTCTCCAGCACCTGTTGTTTCCTGACTTTTTAATGATTGCCATTCTAACTGGTGTGAGATGATATCTCATGGTGGTTTTGATTTGCATTTCTCTGATGGCCAGTGATGATGAGCATTGTGTATTTTGTTTTTAATTGACACATAATTGTACATATTTATGGGACACCATATAATGTTTTGATACATGCATACATTGTGTAATAACTAAATCAGGGTAATTGACATATCCATCACCTCAAACATTAATGATTATTTCTTTGTGGTGACAAAATTCAAAATTTTCTAGCTATTTTGAAATATACTATACAATATTGTTAACTACAGTTGGTCAATGAGTACAAATGTGCAGTTAGGAGGAATGAATTCTGGCAAAAGGTTTTTTTAAAAAAATTTACATCTCAGAGAGGCAGGGAAATAATCTAAAATTATGTTTTCTAAAGCAAATGCTCTAAGAAAAGGGAGGTCAGGAGCCTAGAGTCAGGAAGAAGCCTGCCTAATGTTTGTTCAAGCTGTGGAGAACATTAAGGCTGTTTTGGTCATACCAAATCTATATTCTCACATGTTTTTCAGCTTGTCTGTTAACCTGTCACCAGCGACAGACTCTACTTTTGTGCCAGATTTCAAGTCCTTTTCCTTTATTTCAACTAACAAGTCAACTGAGGCAGGGATGAGACTCAGACACCACAAACTGGAACTCAGGGCAAATAAGTGCCCTTGACACCCATTTAGTGTAATCTCCCCAAGTCTCTAACCATATCTTCACAAATAGGTGAGAATCTCTTCTGTACAGAGACTTTCAAAAGGGCAGCCCCTGCCCTCAATAATCTCCTACAACATCTTACAGCCCTCATAGGCAAGACTTCTTTCACAAATCTAACTCAAATCCCTCATGCTCCATTTTAACCTTCTCCTAGCTTCTCTTGGAGATCATCTTTTTCTCACCCTCTGTGCAACTATTCTTGGTGTAGTTAAAACATGAATGTTCCCCCATCCATTCACTTTTGCATGCTAAGTTATTCCAATCCCATTCTATGTCTTATTTTTCACAGCTGACTCATCTTTGTGCTGTCATAGTTTAGTACAACTATTTGGTAGCTAGAGAAATTTAGATTCTAATCTTAGGTCTCCCACTTTTTGTCTGGCTATAAGCCTTAGACACAATTACAGAGGCCCAGCTTCCTCATTCTAAACTAGAGTCAATACAGTTTATTTTGAAGATTAAATGAGGTAATGGGTTGAATATGCTACAGACACCTAATAAATACTAGTGCTCTTCACCTTCCTTGTTTTCTGAACCGCTTATTTGGTGTTTTTTGACCCAGTACACTAGCCCCTGCTTTTTCCATACTGAGAAGTGAGAAAAAATAATTCAACAATACATACAGTTTTTTAGTTTCACTAGTGATGAAATCCATATTAAAGTCATACACTATATTGTGAAGAATTGGAAATATTGATCAATCCTTTATTTATTAGAGTAATGGGATAATAATATGGGAAGCAAAATTATGGTTCAATATGATTGATTTTAAAGGGGCATTAGAAAAATCATTTTTCATTTACTCTCTCTTAAACCAGTTATGCCAATTTTCTTAAGTTCACAAGAGCCAGAAAGGCTTGCAGATTCATTTCCGCTCTCTGATTAAGAAAAATGTCACATATAAATAGTAAGAATAATTCCTTTAGTGGAGGGATGTGGAAGAAGAAACTAGCTTATCTGTTATACTAATGATACAGTAAAGGTATCAGTTTTTAAAAATAATTAATTTTTAATGAATTAAATAAGCTTGTAAGACCACTTGTCAACTCTTTCTGTTACAGATATAATATATTCAACAAACACATCTATTGTTCAGCTTTCTGGGAAGGAAAGGAAAAGAAAAAGAATAGCCTTTAATTACTTACTCCAGGCTTATTTTAATTTAATTCAATTTATTTTTACTTTGACTCTGTGTTAACTTGTAATACATAGTTGACTGTATCATTCAACCCTTCCTTAAAATTAAAAGATCACTTATAAGTTTTAAATAAGTCCCCCAAACAAATATAAAATCAAATTCTTATCTAAAAACTGAATGAATTCTGTCCTCAAAAAACACATGAGAATATTAGTCATTTTAATGAATTCAATATCTTGAAAATTGTCACCACAACTTCCTTGATATTCAGAGATGTCTTCTTTATCATGAAGGGGATCTGTTTCTGGTGCATTTCTTCTTCCAGTCAATATAACATTTATTGAGCATCTAACTGTACAAAGCAATGTTTTAGACACTTTACTAGTCACTGTGAGAGACAGATGTGGAAAACATGGCCTCTTTCTTAGGAAACTTAAAATCTATGTGGAGATACAAAATATAGAGAAGTAACTATAATATCAGGCATATTTCTCATTTTATTTCTTGTTTGAGAATTACCATATTACCATTTAATTGCTTGGAAATTATTACCTTTTGTTAGGTAGGGGAATCAAATGTTAGGTAGGGTTGTGAATGAAGGCTATAATTTGCTAAAACTTGTCAATGATACAAGAAGTAGAAGGCTCAGTAGTATTGAGGAGAGAGAATTATCATTTGGAAAGGGAGCAAATGTGAATAAATTTTGAGTGTATTTTATAAATGAATAAGAATGAAAGTGATTAACAATCAGAAATAATGTAAAGAATATAATTACATTGTCTGATGCCCAACATAAAACAATTTAGAAATTTAATACTGTCCTTAAGTCATTGGTAACTAAATATCTGCTCACTGCTTGAAGCTTTTGCTGAATGAAGTTGATACAGGATAGCACTAAGTAGCTAAGGCAACTTTTGTGCTAACATATATTTATTTCATACTAAGAAATTCAAACCACTTCAGAGTAGAACTTCATAATGGCTGTCCCCCTAAAAGCATCTTCCATTCAGCTGGGGCTTTGCACGTTGCAATTTATATTGTAATTCCAACACAGCGGTTTATCTGTGGAAAATCAAGAACTAATACTGGCAATAGCCAAAGTAAAGCAGAGTTTGTATAGATGAGGGTGATGTAACTTGATCTTGCCTTATGATACAAACACCTGCTACTATCACTTGGTCTGGGTTAAATGCTTTAACTGAGCAACCGATCCGGTGGTGTAGTGTCAGGTAACGAGAAAGTTAGGACTGCAGCAAGGGTGTTATATGCCCTCATTTCAAATGACAGCTAGGTTTATTCTCACAAACTCACTGAACAAAAGAATGGATTCTGGTCTAACAAGTGATTTTAAAACCTGCTGGCTAGGACTCAGCTGTTCAATTAAATTGAGCTTGGAGAGAAACAATTAATAGAAGAAATTTAACTTTTGAAGAAAAAAACTAACAAACTGCTTCTAAAGACAGCTTCACACAGGATTCAAATCTAGTCCTTTTGAAATACAAGTTATGTTAAAATACACGTTCATCAAAAAGTTCATAGAAAGGACCCAGTTTTCCCCCATTAAAAAAAAATCTCTTTATCCTCCCTCTCCCCCACACCAATAAGCCAATAAATATTATAATTTAAGTAAAAGCTGAGCATAGCTAGGCCTTGGCACCTGACACTACATGAGGTTCCCAAATGCTTTCTTAGAGAGGTAGGGGCTGCTGAGGTTGTGAAACTCCCTGTACTCACCTTTCAACCCTTAACCCAGAGCCCAGCTTGGCTCTCCCGTGGCTGGAGTGGGAAGATGGTGCTGGCTCTCGCCCTTTGCTGTCAGGCACATGGGCCCTCCCAAAATCTGAGGCTCCTCAAGTCCCCAAAACACACCCCTCACGCACTCGGGTTGCCTTGGGAGCTCCAAGCTGTCAGCTAGAGCATAAGGACAAATATGCATTAAAAATAAGAGGCTTAATTCTGGCAGCTGAAAATAGAAGAAGAGATTTCCCTCTCCTCTTATTCAGAATATTTACATTAGAAAACTTGTCATTGTAAATACTTTCTCTTCTCTTTGAAGTGTATATAAATTCTTTAAAGATGAGATAGGCCTTTTGTCAGCTTTATGACCTAAGAATGTATTTTTCAGGGACCAGGGATCCATCTCTTTGAAATGTAAACATTAAAAACATAGCACCCCTAGTTTCCAGTTTCTGTGGGAATGTAGGAGTCTAACTTCAGTGGGCAGGCAACCTGCTCCAAGTTGCAAAACCACCTACTGTCATAAAAACATGAGAAGTTTGTTTTACCTAATTGTAAGCCAATTAGATAACACAGATGGTCACCTCAATTACCTAATCAGATAAAGTAGGGATCAACTATGTGTGACCAAAGGTGTTGTCAAGCCTTGTTATTTGAGGACTAATTATTGTTTATCTTGAAAACATGGATGTAATGGGTTGTATCTGCTTAGCTACAGAAAAGAGTGAGATTTATTTTCTGCCTTTGCAATCTCTTATGCAGATTGCTGATGATGAGTATCACATGCTGGTTTAATGCTTAATAGTAAGTTTTTTTTTCTCTACTACCTTTATGGAAAAGATTTCTGGGTTGAGAGAAGATTTTATTTTTTAGTACATTTTCCCAACACAGGCAGAGTCCAGTTGACCGCTTAGGGAGCCCTGAGTTTCTGCCTGGGAGCCATCGGTCATGATAATAAAGCTAGATACTTATTTATTCATCTATTTGAAACTCACCCCCTTCTGCCCTCACCCTAGAGTAGGGGAGATTTTAAGCAGTTCCTCTTGTTCTGGAGATGTGCAAATACTCAGTGACCTCCACGTTGCCTTTAGACAATAGCCATGGTAGCTTTTTGTATGTTGGCTTTGTCAGAGTCATTTATGAGCGGAAACAATTGAAGTGAAACTTTGCTAAGGTTCAAAAATGTTTTGTGTAAATAGAGTTTTTGGTTTTGATAAATTGTAATACCCTAAATCTTTAATCAAAACAACAATTACAGCAACAAACATTACCACCCCAACTTCCCCTGCTACCACCACCAACCAGGCTTGGGTCTTTTCTTCCAGTCAAATGAAAACCCATGTAATACAAGATCTACTCTCTTAACAAAATTTTAAGTGTACAGTGCAGGACTGTTTTTGATATGCACATTGCTGTACAGCAGATCTCTAGAATTTTTCATCTTGTGTGACTGAAACTATACCCATTGAACAGTAACTTTCACTTCTTCCTCTTTCCAGGTCCCAGTAACCAACATTCTACTTTCTGTTTCTATGAGTTTGACTACTTTATATGCTTCATGTCAGTGGAATCATATGGTATTTGTTCTTCTATGACTGGCTTATTTCACTTAGCATAGTATCTTCAAGGTTTATTCATATTGTAATATATTACAGGACTTCCTTCTTTAAGATTGAATAATATTCCATCATATGTATAAACTACATTTTCTTTACCCATTCATCCATCGATGGATATTTAAATTGTTTCCACTGCTTGGCTATTGTGAAAAGTGCTGCAATGAAAATGAGAGTGCAAATATCTTATCAAGATCATCTCTTCAATACTTTTGAATGATTATCAAGAAGTGGGATTGCTAGATCATAGGGCAGTCCTATTTTTAATTTTTTTAGGAACTTCCATACTGTTGTTCATAGCAGCTGTATCATTTTTATATTCCCACCAACAGTATACAAGGATTCCAATTTCTCCATATTCTTACCAAATCTTGCTATTTCTGTATTTTTAAAATAATGGCCATCCTAGCAGGTATGAGGTAAAATATCATTGTGACATTGACTTGCATTTCCCCAATTATTCGTGAAATTGAACATCTTTTTGCATATTTACTACTTGTATGTCTTCTTTGAAGAATGTCTATTCAAGTCCTTTGCCTATTTTCTAATTGATTTTTTTTTTTCTATTTAGTTTTAAAAGCTCCTCATGTATTTTGGATATTAACCCATTATTATATGTGTGATTTGTTAATATCTTCCCCCATTCTGTTGATTGCCTTTTTATTCTGTTGATTCCTTCCTTTGCTACACAGAAACTTTTTAGTTTGGTGTAGTCCCATTTACCTATTTTTGCTATTGTTACCTGTACTTTTTGTGTCGTATCCAAGAAATCATTACTAAGACCAAAGTTATAAGGCTTTCCCCCTATGTTTTCTTCCAGGGGGTTTATAGCTTAGATCTTACATTTAAGTTTTTAATCTCCTTTGAGTTGATTTTTATGTGTGGTGTAAGATAAGGGTTCATTTTGCATGTAAACATTCAGTTTCCCCAACACCAATTGTTAAAGAAACTGTTCTTTCCCCCTTGTGTAGTCTTGGCATCATTGTCAAACGTCAGGTGACTAAAGGTATGGCTCTCTATTCTGTTCCATTTTTCTGTATGTCTGTCTTTATGCCAGTACCAGACTGTTTTGATTCCTGTAGCTTTGTAATATGTTTTGAAATCAGGAAGTGTGAAGCCTCCAACTTTGTTCTTCTTTCTCAAAGTTGTTCTGGCTATTCATGGCCTTTGTAGTTTTGTATCAATTTTACGTTTGTTTTATCTACTTCTAAAAAAAATTTCAATTGAGGTTTTGACAAAGATTGCATTTAAGTCTACAGATTACTTTGGATACTCAAACGCTTCCAAAAGATCAAAAAGAAGCAACAAAAACTACCAAATTCTTTCTCTGAGGCCAGCATTATCCTGATACCAAAGCCAAAGACACTGAAAGGAAATGAAACTACAGACTAATATCCTTGATGAATATAGATACAAAAATAATACTCAACAAAACATTAGCAAACTGACTTCAACAGCACATTAAAAGGATCATACACCACGATCAACGGGGATTTATCCCTGGGATATAAGGATGATTTAACACATGAAAATTTGACACACCACACTGAGAGAATGAAGATATTAAAAATCACATGATCATCTCAATCCATGCAGAAAAAGCATTTGACAAAATTCAAACTCTTGTGATAAAAACACTAAGCAAACTGGGAATAGAAAGAAAATATCTCACCATAATAAAGGTCATATATGAAAAGTCGACAGCTAACATCATATTTAATGGTAAAAAAACTGAATACTTTTCCTCTAGGACCAGGAACAAAACAAAGATGACCACTCTTGCCACTTCTATTTAGCATAATACTAGAAGCCCTAGGCAGAAAAATTAGGCAAGAAAAAGAAATAAAAGGCATCTAAATTAGAAAGGAAGAAGTAAAATTATCTCTATTCACAGATGAGATGATCTTATACGTAGAAATTCTAAAGATTCCAGAAATCTATTAGACTTGATAAATAAATTCATGAAAGCTGCAGGCTACAAAATCAACATAACAGAAATCAATTCTGTTTTTATACACTAACAATGAGCAATTCAAAATGGAAATTTTTTAAAAAATCCATTTACAAGAGCATCAAAAGAATAAAATACTTAGGAATAAACTTAACCAAGTAGGTGAAAGACTTGTACACTGAAAACTATCAAACATTGCTGAAAGAAAATTTTTTGTAGATATCAAAATAACTACAGGAGTGGATTTGGAATGTTCCTAACAGAATGAAATGAAAAGTGTTTGAGGTAATGAATATCCAAGTCACCCTGGTTTTATTATTACATATTGTATGCTTGTATCAAACATCACATGTACTCCTAAATACATAAAACTGTTATGTACCCATAAAAATTAAGAATTAAAAAAAATTAAAGAAGACAAAAATAAATGAAAAGGAATTTCCTCTTTTCTGAGTGGTGCCTATTGCAAGTCTTTAAATATATACTTAGACTGGTTAGCTCTGACTAGATTAACCTACATGCTGATCCAATAACTTTACAATTAAATGGATTTTTAAAAAGTCTCTAGATGGGATGAAGCAGGTTAAGTGGGTAGGCCTGATGTGGAATAGAGAGCCTGAAGAGGCACAGTGGAGAAAAGTGATAAAGAAGGGACTGGGAAATAAAGAATCTGGGAAATATATGGACTCTTAGAAAGAGGAAGGGTTAATAAAATTTAGGGAGCTCAAACCAATGAAATGCCTGTAGGAAATTAAGATTTTTGAGGGGACTCTTGAACAAGGATTCAAAGATAAGAGCCGCTAATTTTAGGTGTTATGGTAGATTATGATATGTACCATTTCCTTGAACTTGGAGATATCCCTCTAGCTAATTCAGACAGCATCCTAAAGAGAAGAAGGAGAAGAGACAGATATTATCCAACAGATTAAAGTCCAAGTTCAAGAAAAAAAATTAACTTTACATAGAAACATTAACTCCAATTATATGGCCAATCAAAAATTTGCCTGCTTCTCTGCAGTTTATGCACAAAGAATCTATATTGAATTAAAAAATAATTTATATACATTATAAAATTATTTCAGATTGTGCTGGTTCCTGGAAGCCACTGAAAATGAGAATTGGGGTCCTGTTCCTCAGATCCAAAGGGGTCAAGTGTTCTCAGTCCCTTGAATGATGTTTCTAGAAGAGACTGGTGGCAGAGGTACCCACTCTCTATTACAGAAAAGTGTTTTCAGACACTTTACCTCACTATCTATTATGCCATATTTATGTTTATAGTTTCTGTCCTCTTAAACTGATATTTTATTGTTAACCTAGAACTGAGTGTGTGGGGAAGAGAGTATGAAAGGCAGTTCTCCTACTGCCAAGTCTGGTAAGCAAGGGACATTGTAAGAGCGAAGGCAACATGGGAACCACAAATGCAGTCAGAAACATCATTTCTTCTTTTCTCTTACTCCTTCCTGACCCCTAAATATGGCAAACAAAACTGGTTCTAACTTTTTAATTGCCCCTTCCAAAGACCTTGAGGAGCAGAAGAACCATTGGTATACTCAGAACCAATGAGGATGATGGAAGCTTTACTTAAATAGTGTAGCATATCTGCCTCTGAAAACTGGAGGATTAGTCTGACTTAGGAAGTTATGAAGGTAAATGCTATACAATCCAACCAATGTCTGTTCTTTCTGTTTGGGGCAAATTGAAATCTATTCATGAAAGGACTTTGTAGCTGCTAAAAAGAATAATTAATAGTCAATGGGATTTCATATGACATGTGTTTGTTACAGATATTGTTTGACTTCCCAATTTCTCATAAGACAGGCGTTAGAGGAAATATAAACTCTCATACTTGAAACTCTCCAACTGTGCTTTATTCATCATTCTAGTTACCTTATTACTTCCAAAGTTCCAATTACAATGATTTATGTTCTAAGGAGGCAACTTTTTTGTTGTTATTGTTGAGATGGAGTTTTGCTCTTGTTGCCCAGGCTAGAGTGCAATGGCGTGATCTCAGCTCACTGCAACCTCCGCCTCCCAGGTTCGTATTTTTAGTAGAAACAGGGTTTTACTACATTGGCCATGCTGGTCTCGATCTCCTGACCTCAGGTGATCCTCCCGCCTCAGCCTCCCAAAGTGCTGGGATTACAGGTGTGAGCCACCATGCCTGGCCAAGGAGGCACCTTTTGAAGTTATCAGCTCTTTAAAGAGCACAAGTGGATGCTGAAGAAACAGGTAACTTATTTGGCATATGGGTTTTATAATTTTGATGGCATTTTTAAATACTGTGCCCATTGAATCACAGAGAATTGATGTTGAAGAAGCAGCTGATAGTGTATCACTCAATCAATAAGCATGTAATGGCAACAGTTACTCAATTTGTGCCACTGCCATGGAACTCTGTAGGAAGATCTGTGCTAATTTTAGTCATCAGAAAAAGATATTGATGTCCTTGAAGAGGACGTTTTAGTATTAGTTTTATTAGGGAATAGAAAGCCTCTTGTCCTCAAAATCTCTTTCCACATTATCTCATTTGATTCTCCAACCAACTTTTTAAGACAGATGTACTATTGTGACCTCTATTTCACAGATATGATAGCAACTAACATTTATATAGTGGTTTCTAGTTTCTGATGTGCTTCCAGGGTCTTCTTCACAATTACATCTGAGGTGGGATGAAGACACTAGGGCTCAAAGTGCTTACTCACGTAGCAACCCCCCAGGTGTCTGTCTTTGTCACTGCTCCTACAAGGGCACCATCATCTCCCCTGGTAATTTTTTTAAGAATAACAGAATGTTTATCAACAATATTTTAGATAACTTCAAATCTATTCGGAACTATTTATTTAAGCAAATATCCTCAGAAACCTGGAGCAGTGTCCCAGTAATCAGTGGCAAGATTGCATAGCCATTCCAAGTGTGAAAGTCAAATTTGTAAAATGTCATTTTTGGGAAGAATTCCTCTTGGTAGCCAACTATTGCTGCTCCAATCTCAATGCTCCATAAATATATGAATACAAGAAAACTCTGCCTTTCCGGCAGTCTCCAGATGAAGATTCAGTAATGGCATCTTCTAAAATTGGCATGGGATCACAGTTTGCATACATTTATTATAAAATATATGACCTGATATCTGTGAACAGTAGGAATTGATAATGTCTGCTCTTGTAGAAGGTTGTGCTAAGTCAGATGATGGCCAAGTCATAGATATATGTCCTGAATTCACAAAACAAACATTAAGCCTGCGCTGCTCATCCTCAGCCAACAAATATTTGCTACTTGTCAACTATGTACCAGTGAGAGGGGAGAATTCCCTTGACCCCTTCTTAGGACACACAAATGGGGTGGCTCATTTACTCAGCTGCTGTGCTCAGTGCTTTATGAGAGGGAGCCCATGAGTGGACGGGTGCGGGAACCAGAGTGAACAAAAGCTGGAACTGGCCAGTTACTCCTGTCTAGTGGGGAGCAGGCTCTGTGTGGGCCTTGTGGCAGCATCCAAGTGTTATGATGCTCTTTTAGCTCTGCTTTCCAGTAGGGGGTGTCTATGACCCCCCCCACCCCCAGATCACAAAAGGATGTGTGTTACAGTCAGTGCTCTTTTAGCATTTGCTGTCCATGGACAGCTAAGTGTTAACCAGCTCAGTGGAGGGTCAGGGTGACAGCCTTTTATATCCTTCCCTTTGGTATCCAAGTTCTTGTCCAGCGTCCAGGAAGAATTAGGTCACACAAATACATTGAAGGGTGGTGAATGTGAAAGACTTTATTGAGCAATGGAAGTGGCTCTCAGTGGGAAGGGGAGCTAGAAAGGGGGCAAAGTGGGAAGATAATCTTCCCCTGGAGTCCAGCCCTCCCTGGCTGAGCTCCTCTCTGATTATCCCTGGCAGAACTCCTCTCTGACCATAATCTCTGATGTCCAGCTGCTTCTTTTCTTGTGTGTGTGTGTGTGTGTGTGTGCTGAGTCTGGGGTTTGGGGTTCTTACAGGCACAGGATAGGAGGTGGGGTGAGCCAAAAGGCAACATTTGGGCAAGAAAACAGGGAGAGTTTGCACTTTGGGCCAAGGGTCCAGGCTTGAGGGTGGAGTCCTTGCCAAGGACCCCGCCCTCTTCTACCAAGTATTTCCCTGCCTCCAGTCCGTATCACCAGTTGCAGTACTAGGCATGTGAAAGATTTAGATGTGAATGAGACAAGATTCCTGAATTGTTAAAAGAATGAGAAAAGCATATATGTGAAAAATATTAGCATTCTATAAATACTAAGCACTCATTGAACATAACACAGAATTTATAATCTCTAAATAAGTATAACGCTATATTATTATTACTAGTAATTTTTATTACTGCCATATTATCTGTTGTTAATAGTGATATTTATGACAATACTCTAATTTATGAGCTAATATTCAGATTCATACTTCGTCTTTTAGTATTAAAAAATCAAACCACAGAAAGCTAATTAGTAACATTCCACAAGATATAATTTTATCTTTTCAGAGTACTACTCTAGGCCTTGAAGCCATATCTAAAGAGACTGGCTTTTTTAAAAAAATTGAAGAAGTGATATTTTGCTGCGGATCGTTGGATTAAATCCAGTCTTCTCATTCTTACTTCCATAATGTGTATTGTGATAGATCTTGAAAATGCATTTAATCTCTTGGCTATTGTTTGGTTGCTTTTTAAAACCGTTACTGGCATGAGTTTGCTTTGGCAAACCTAAGTGTGTGGGCACTGAGCTAAGATTCATGGTGAAAGGAGAAGCATTGCGGATGGGATGTTGGAATTATAATTCAAATTTGGTTAGAGATTGGGCCTAAAAGTAGGCGTAAAATTTCAGGCTGAATGTAGATGCGCAAGTGAGTAGGAAGTATAAGAGAGAGCTGCTAAGACCAGTGAGAAATATGCAGCTCTATCTCCCCTATGCCACAGTCAGTCTCAGAAAATAGAAACATTCAATCAACTGATGATCATGCTTCTGAAATTGTTTTCACTGATTCTCCTTATCAAGACTTCCCCCACAGACCTGGGTGTTGTGCCAACTCTAAAGCTAAGCACACTCTCTGCGTTTCTAGCTGAATTGCTAGAGATTGAGACCAATCTCCATGGGTAGAATGTGGGATGGATGGGGACAGAGGAAGAGAAAAGACAAACAGCTATTCCTCATTAGGTGATGAAGGGCTACAGTCACTTGTAGAACAGATCAATGTATTTTTGAGTATCCCTCTAGGTCCACCCAAATGATTTACAGTCCTCAATCATTCCTGCCTTCACTTAGTGAAGAAAAAAATGGATCTCTTTTTTTAGTCATACTTTATACCATAGCCAAAGCAGGAAAAGATAGAAATCTATCTGCCTACAAGACATGGAGGGCCCTCTAATAAGCCAGCTATTTCCCCTCTCCTCAACACATGGACACACACACAAACACACACACACACACACACACATTGACATACATAAACACACATTTTGACCTTAGTGGAGGAGAAGGCACAGGATCTCCCCTCTCTCCTGGCTGCTGGTTCATGACCAAAAACCCAGACAGGGCCCTCCTTTACTTCAGCTCTCTGAGCTCTGCTCCTCCTGCCCACTGTCACATACTTACCTCTCACCTAAGTCTTCCTCATTAGTAATTCATCTTGAATATGCATCATACTAAATCTGACCTTGTTTGATATTTATATGAATTCCCAGTTTCTGTTAGATGTCCTGAATTTCCTTTGACTTCATCTCTATCTTTACTACCGAGCAATAATCACCTCTCTGCAAAACACAAGCACACACACATACCGACACACACAGCAAAATGCAAACAGGCATAGACACACACACACACACACACTCACCAAGAAAAGTCTCAAATTTTCAGCCCTTGGGCTTGGTTTTGTGCCACTATTGTATTCTTTGCCATCTTGATCTAAATGTGACCCATTAGAAGTGCTGCCCAATTTTATAGCTTCTTTGAGTCACATTTTAAAGCTCATTACAGGGTCTAAAATGATTTGTATCGCCTCTCACTTTGAAATACAAGCTTTTTAAAAATAAAGTTTCACTATAAATAGAACTGCTCTGAAATTACATGTGGCACATAATTAAGTGATACACATTTAAGCACTCAGCTGTTTCATAATTCTCCAGGACCTGCTGCTGCTGCACTGAAATTCAGAAAATACACTGCCCTTATTCTGGGCACACTCAAACCAATGAGAGATGTAGGCACAGATATAGTTCAGCAGGATGCCTTGTGAATAAACAATATTTGGAAGCAGAGAGCCCCATATCTAATGGGTTTTCTTTCTTCAACTCAGAAGCACCAAGACATCAATGCCTGGAATCTTGACTGAGCAGTTGTTCCTCTGATGAACAGAAGCCGACCTTTCCTCCTGCTGGGAGAATAGCCTCTGCACTTTCTGATAAGTATCAGAAAAATTTATAGCTTGCACCAGAAGTGGAGCTTCTCCCTGGGTAGTAAATCTATTGACACACATAAGGGTTTTTCTGTCCTTGGCAAGCTTGAAGCCCAGAGACTACAGAAGAGCAACTAATGGAAGGAAAACATGTACAAGTCACTTACCTGCTACAGAACCTGCAGCTCCCCTTGCCTCTGCAGAGTGCCAGCCACAGTTACATTAGGAAGCGGCTAGTGTGATACTATCAATATTTAAAGGGGAAAGCGGGCATTGGTAGGAGGGGGTGTCAAGGGAGGGGAGGGATGAGAAGTAATCTTTTCAGAAACAGGCCAGAGAGTTTCTCCTTTCCTTCTCTAATAACTAATTGCTCTGAGCTCTGGGACTGAATGGTAATGCCTAAAGCAAGCCCTCAGGTAAGAACAGGAGTACAAAAAGAAGGGGGAAAGAATAGGATGAGGACTAAAGGAAAAAGATGGAAAAGAGAAGAGAATGAGATGAAGAAAGCGGGAAACTGAGGAGATGGGTATATGGCAAGAAAAAGAGAAGCAAGAGAAAGAAGAAAAAAAATGGATGATAAAATGAAACAGAAAAGCAGAACAGAAAAAAGATTTATCTAACCTGAGCATAACCAAATACTTGTTTAGTATAGTCTTGGTGAAGATTTTTTCACTTTCCTAGTCAGAGGGGAAAATAGATATGAATGATCATTTACCTCTGTAAATAGTGCTGAATGATACAGCATCATGGGAAGTTTCTCCGTCTGCTTTGCTCAAGAGACAGTCATAGAAGCATATTACATTAGCACTGAAATGAAATTTAGAGGTCATTCAGTTCAATCTCTTACTTAATGTAAGCTTTCTCCACAACTTTTCTGATAATTAACTATCCATCTTCCTCCTGCACATCTCTTAAAGCAAGGGGGTCACTCCCGGAAAAGTTGTTTGTGTCAATTTCAGATAATGCTCAGATTTCCAAAAGTTCTTCATTCTTCTGAGTAGAAAACTGTTTCCTTAGAGCTTCCTTCCAATGGTACTCTTCTTTCTTCTGCAGTGACAAAGAGGAGAATAGAAAAGAAACAAATAGAAAGGAAGGGAAAGAGGGACATTATGGTGGAACATCACACGATAACTAGAAAGAATATAAAAGGAAAAAATAAATATTTGAAAGAGATGTAAAAGTTGTGACTCTCAAAAAAAGGGAAATTGAGTAAGAAAGGATATAAGAAGATACATAACATAGAAGAAAGAGAGAGTGAAACATGGAAGAATGTTCATCATCTAATTATTGTCATCTAATTAATTTTATTTTAATATTTCTCTAATGACTTTTATTCTTTTATGTCTTTTCCAAACTGGAACTTTATTGTCCTGAGGAATAATGGCAGCAACTTAATTGTCTTTTTTTGTGTTATAATTTTGAAAGTGTTATTTTTCTCTCGTTTTCCAAATTTAAAAATGATGCAGTTAAATTTGTGATTCTTCTGTCTAACATGGTCATTACGCGGTTGAAGATACAGTAATTGCTTTTTTTTTTGTTTTTCAAGTGTTAATGATTTCTGTACTATAAATAAACTGGATGTTCTCTAGTTGTTCATAAACAACTTCCATCTGGGGTTCAAAATTATAATGGTTTTGGCTTGGTTCATATTTATGTATTGCTAGCATCTGAAATCAACTAAAAGGAGAGATTTTATCTACCACTGACTTGTTCCTAGCCACAGTTTCTGATTTTCAAATCGTTTCAAAATACTCTGCTCATTTGTATCTCCTTACAGCAAATATAACTTTATAGAATCAACATTAATTTTTAATTTATTCTCTAAGCAAAATAGGAAGCCTTAAGTATGTAGTATTAACCGTGGAGGGAACCTCTTCACGTAAGATACATTAGGTTAAAAAAACTGTAAAGTCAATGGCTACATTAAAGAGCTTATACCCACTTGAAGGATTTTTTTAAACTTCAGTTTTTCTGTCTATTTATTAGAAACATTTCCTCTAAGGAAACATTTGAGTAACCAGTATTCAAGAAAAAAAGAATTTTCTCAAAATTATGTTATTTAAAATAAATGCTTTGTTATGAAAACCCTCCAAGTTTTATATAAAATCCTCTCTAATAAGCTTGAATAGGTTCCTTGACAAAAAAATTTACACAGAAAGCTTCTTGTTATTGTATCATTTGGATGTTGCCTTTAAATTAGAAAATATCCCCTGTGGTCTTTTACACTTAAATTTTTTCATTATTAGTTTTTAATTGTATAATTCTTCAGGTAAAATAGCATTTTGAGAATTAAAAAAATACCATTTTCTTCTCCAATGTAAGAACAGACTTGAAATCTAGGAGGGCAAAAACATTTTTTCACCAAACCAAGATAAAAACTAATGAGTTTTTTTATTAAAAGGTATAATTAACTCACATGAGTGCTAATGGCAAATGAATATTGTCATCAGATAAAGAATTGTTCATATGCTCTTATTATTTGTGAGACGTTTCCTAGGATCTTACCCATATTATTCGCTGAAAAATTTCAAGTTAAAGAATATCTAGTTAACTCAAAACTATTGTTTTCAATGACAAGATCTGAGAGTAAGTAAAAGTCATATTTCCCCACCCAGGGATTCAATCTGTTTGGCTTCTTTATACATTTTTATCTCTGATACCTAACATTTGAAGGACTGATTTAAGAAATGGATAATGATTACTATAGGGACTAGATTAATCCATATTAACATGGGTATTCTGGTAACTTTTTCTTCTTCTCATGCATTCTTTTCTCTGAGAATAGAGTTGAGTTGAGTTGAGTTGAACAAGAAATTTCTCTCTCACTCAATTTTCTACCTAGGATGCTTTCTCCGAATCTTACAAAATACTTTCTGCTGTTTTAGCTTTCTGGCCTTTATCTACTTACTCTGTGGCCCTTCCAGCCACTAACCTTTCTGGCTTCTCTTGTCTTCAGCTGAGGCCTTGCTGGGATTAATCAATAGGCTGGGATCTTAAAAAAAAAAACTTTCACAGATGGATGGATGAATTGGAAAAGAAGAAGAGATAAAGGATAACTAAATTTTTCTGATGAAGAGGTTAGGTTAATCTGTACTCACAGTGCTGTCACTCTTACAAAAACCATAGAATGAATATTTTTTATTAAAATGTCACAATTATTATTTCCTTAAGAAAGAATAATAGCTATTTTAAAAAAAAATCAATTATTGTAACATCAGCAATAATTTCTTTTTCCAAAGAGAAATAACCTAACAAAGGAAAGACAACTATTTTTTTAAATAAATGTGTCCTAGAGTTGATGTCATCTATGTAGGAAGTAGCAGATAGACTGCAAAGCATTTAGGAAAGGAAATGATTTAAGTCACCTTATATTCTAGGTACTTTTCTAGGAGCAAGTGAAATAATACAGAATAAGACATAGTCCTGGCCACTTTGTTTGTATCGGTAGAAAAAATGAGACACTGTGCAAATATAATCAAGATACTAGACATAATACAATCAGTGGGTAGTAAATGAAAGAGAGTGGGCTGCTTTGGGCACATCATACCCATTAAATAAAATGTATACTTCTAAAGCCACTGGAGCCAGAATTTGGGGACAGGGTTAATCAGAGAAGGCAGTGTGTATTACTATTATCTCTAGCATTCCCTCACATTGCTTTGTGGAAATCGAAAACCTGGAGCTGTTTCTATGTTCTTCAGTCTTTGAGAAAGCCTGTCTGGTAGACAAACAGGAGCTTTATCTTACCTTGAAGAAAATGAGACGGACAACACCAATACAATGGCCTTAGGCTTTATTTAATTCCTGAGTTTAGAAAATATCAGAAGAAAGTTGATTTTCTTAAGCCTTCAGCAGCAATAAAGCAGCTCCAGCTACTAAATGGAGGTCTTGTGTCAACGTTAGGATATTGCAAAACCCTGTGCTGCCTACTCAGGTCTGATTTTATAAAAAGGCACAAAACTGCATTAGATTTGAGAGATTTGAGAGATGCTTGAACCAAGAAGCCTTCCATCGCGTCACTAGAAATACATGTTTATGTTCTTTTTTTAAACATCACTCTTTCATTCATTTAGCCATTAGTTCCACAATATTTCTTGATATGCTTTTGTGAGCCAGGCACTGTATGTGACACTAGGAATAAAAAATCTCAGGGGACAGAGTGAAGTGGAGAATTGAAAATATTTGATAGAGATAATGATTAAGCTGAGACTTAAAATGTGCTTGAGAAAGACAACATATGTATTCTTGACAATACTTTAGTAGGAGTCAAGATAGGAAATGGTTGTGTCTAGTGGCTGGAGAGTCTAGGGCAACTGGACCACATTTGGAATTTGGGCCTGGAGGATGGAGGGAATAGACACCAAAATAGGGGCAAAAGCTTTGAAACAGAAAACGTGGGTGCTGCTAAGTTGTTTGGCAACAGCATTTTTTAATGATAGCCATTTCTAGTAGTCAGATTATCTTAGTCTGTTTGGGCTGTTATAACAAAATATTATATACTTGGTAGCTTATAAACAATAGAAATTTATTTTTCACAGCTCTGAAGCTCAGAAGTCCCAGATCAAGATGCTGGCAGATTCGTTCTCTGGTGATGGTCTGTTTCCTGGTTTATAAACAGTGCCTTCTCACCATGTCCTCACATGACGGGAAGGGCAAGGGCCTCTCCAGGGCCTCTTTTATAAGAGCACTATCCCATCCACAAGGGCTCTGATTTCATGATGTAATCACTTCCTATTTTCTAATTTTAACCTGTGGGGTTAGGACTTCAACATATGAATTTATGAGAGACATTCAGAATATAGAAGAGGTGTTTAGGAGATTAAAACATCATCTTTTTCCAAGCAAAATGCCACTCTATCAGATGAGCTGGCCTTTTACCATCCACTTCTGGCTGCTGTTGCTTGATCACTAATAACCCTCACATGAACAGAGCTCCAACACACTATTTCAGTTGAAATATGAAATGTCCTTCTCTGATGCTGGGTGCATCCCACCATTCTGGATTCTGTCCCAGGAAATAGTACCTGATGAAAGTTTTGCCCCATGCTGCCCATCGGTTAACCAGTGGGTACACAATGAGGAAGAAGGCTCTCTGGGTGCATCAGGTGCCGCGTGGCAGGTGTCCCTGAAGTTTTATCTCTTTATACCAACCACAATGAGCAAGCAGTGGTGTTGCATCCAGCAATGAAACAGATTATTTTTCAAAAACAACTAGATGAACATCAAGTTAGAATCTGGTTAGAAAGCTAATTTCTAAACATAAGTGGTATAAAAACTATAGGTGAAGATTTACAGTTCTGTGGAAATGTCTATGCTATATTACCATATAAATGAATAGAATAGGCAACAAAGTAATATGTAAGCAATATTTTGGAGGGAAATGCATATATAATTTGAATGTGTAAATATGTGTGATACTGGAAGGGCTCTTATCAAAATGTTTAAAGCAATCATCTTTTGGCAATAGGGGTAAAGGTGTTTTTCCTCTATCATTTTCTTTGTTTTCAAGTTGTTTTTCTTGTTGCATTGAGGATTTTATATCAAAATGTTACATACATATATAATTTGATAAAATTAAACAATGCGAGGTTGGCATTGTGCACTGGAGAAGCATATGTCTCCATTTTGGTCTGGAAACTGGACCTCTGACACTTTTAGAGTCAAAATTTTGTTTATAATTTTTTTATTGTTAACAAATTAAAAGGCATGTAAACAACATGCTTGTCTTCATTGTGAGGTGGAGTCTCTCTAAAATTTATTTTAGGCAAATAAAGCTATAGCCAGTCCAGTCCAGTGTCCTTTGCTAATAGGTATTGTAAAAAAACAAAAATATGAATATGTATCACTTTCTGAATTTCTCTTTCTCAAATGTACCATCAAGCACATTTTGTAGACCTCCCTGGCTTTTCTTATTTCAGAACGCCAGATGGACATGGAAGCACACAGTGTGCTGCAAAACATTTACTCCTACTCAAGATTTGTGCTGACAGATTCTACTCCACAATTTCCCTTAAACTGTATCATAGCCAATGCCATTATGGAATTAACTCACTGCCAGCAAATACAATGGCTGGTAACTTTTATTACAATGAAAGCTAAGCTACTGACATTGAATCAGGATTCTCAGGATGCTAGTTTTGATTAACTTGTACCCTTCTTGTATTTTCTACTATCAAGAACAAAACAACATTATCATTACTTTGCAAAAATTCAGCTTCACATGAAAATTGGGCAAGTTAGTAGAATTCTGCTGCAGGTGCCCTTGTTGAAACTTACTAGTGAATGCTATTGGTATAAATGCTCACACTGCACCATAGATTTCATCCAAAGTTGTATTTTTCTGCAGCTCCCCTGTTAAAACTCTTCTCTCCTTGTATAGCACCTTCTCTCACATTTCAAATACAAAATTGTAAATGAAAGGGTAAGAAATTACTTTATATTTAATGCATTTGCAAAGGATGCATTGTTCTGTGAAGCTAGGTTTGAAAAGAATCCAGTATTTACCTTCTTTTCCCGGAAAGTATATAATTTTAACTTCAATGTTAAATTCTTATCTATGGTTGACACAAAATAATTTTAGCACCTTTCCCTTCAATATTAAAAATAACAACAATGATGATAGTAATCTGAAAACGCAAGTAACAATTTAAAGAGTGGAACCATTATTGTGTTCCTATGGTAAATACTGCCGGAGTGATTGCTGATGATTTTCAAGGTGCATGGTATAAACACTTTTGTGTACTGGAATTATTGTCTTAAAGTTTTCACAAAATGTAAGCCAATCTCTGCAAAGCCCTAATTGACTCAACCCTTGAGGTATTCCCTTAAGGAAGAGGGGTTCTGTAGCAGCCTCTGGTTGGTGCATTCTCAGGAGCCCTAACCCAGTGATGAAATGTTACAAAAATATAAAAATCTAGTTTTTCTGCAAAATACCTCTGGCAACCTGCAGGACACAAAATATTGCTAAGAGTGCTCCCAGAATTTCCAGTTTGCTGGCGGAACTGGTATTACTGGGCACCTATTTATGGAAAGACAGTTGTATTACAGCAGCTCTAGAAACCAATGCATTACACATATAGTCATGGAAGGCCAATGATGGAGCTTGTGAATAGAGATATAAGGATTGATTTAAGCTCTATCACAAGCAACTTTCTGGTTGTAGTCTCAGAAAAACTGTTATGCCAGTAAAATTTAGGGTGGACCATCTTTTTGAGACTTTAACCTGAGGTCCTCAGAACCTAGGAAGCTCAAGTTACTTCCTAGATTAAAATTTAACTATTACTTATTAACCGTTAGACTTTTCAACATACATTACATCGATCTTATGAGTCTCAAATCTCTTCTGACCTTGTCACTCCCAAATCTTTGATCAATAAGTCATGTAGTAAATTAATCTGTAATTTTTAAACAGCAACTTTTCTTCTTTTGGAGAGCCTATGCAAGTGCTTTCTAGGGGTAGTTGTTTCACTATTGCAGTCAAAAAGTGAGATTTTAATAAAAACAATTTTAAATAAGCAAGAAGTAGAAAACAGACCTGTAGAGGAACATTATGTAATACATGGTGAAAAAAGAATATATTTCAGAGGGTCCGTCTCAAATAATAAATTAAGCTTTATTATGCCACTAATTATGGTACTTAACTTATTGTGATCTACGTATTATGTATACATATATACTCACAGCATTGCCATATAATCCTTTGGTTTTGCTGGATATTAAGGTTGAGTCTCTTCTTGTAAATCATGACTTTGGGAAGCAGGCAGCAACTCTTGGGGATAACGCGACCCAACTCTCCTACTTTTCAGATGCAGAAACTGAGAACTAGAAAGGTTAATGATTTGCCATAGTCACACAATCAGTTAATGACAAAGCCTAGCCTAGAAATCATGAAGCTTGACTCCTTGATAGTGAGCTGGTAGGTAAATTCTGCCCTGCCTGCGCATTAAACTCTCTCGAATCACTGAGGTACCATTTTGTAAACTATTATTGTAAGTCATTAAAGCTCTTTATTCCCAAGCATCTTAGAAACAGTTTCAAAAGTGGTGCCCTAATAGGTCTTGAGAGTAAGTGGAGCTGTCCAAAGAGGTGTTTTTTTTTTTTTTTTTTTTTTTTGGCTGGGGAGGCCCTCAAGAGAAGTTCACCAGCAAAAATAATCTAGTTCATTGTATTCAAAGCAGCACAAAATACCATATATTCTGAAAATAAGAATATCACTTTACAAGTGAATGCTTCACAAAGAAACCCTAAGACATAAACAGATGGTTCATGTGTCTTAGAAATGCAAAGAATGGTAGCTTGTTTTCGTTGTGGAATTATTAAAAAGCAACCCAGCACTACTAAGCTTTCTTTTCTTCTCTAAGAGATGATCTCAGTTGTAGACAAGGAGAATGCTGGAGAAATTAATATGTTTCTAGATTTCAAAAAAGCACTGGATGGTCTTTTGTGATATAATGATGGAGAATAAGAGCAAGTATTATGTGAGTAAGTAGTTCATTAAATAATGATATGCAAGAAAATTGATTTATGTCACCTAAAGAAGTCAGTCATGTCTATTAGTTTTTCTTCTTGGCCTTGGCTTGAAAATATAGAAATGATTGTTATCAAACACTCTGATTATTTATTTTCACTCTTGTTCCAAAAAGAAATTTAGCATAGCCTATAATAATATTTATACTAAAACATGAAAACAGCATCTAGAAAAAGAAAACAATTAACGAAAAGTAAGAAAAGTTTAAGCCAGAAATGAGGTTGGTACTCCAAGCACATGCTACATATACCATCCATCTTTCACAGAACAGTGGCAATTAACTTCTCCTTTTAGGATTTCATGAGTAAGAAAGTTTTAGAGTTAGGCATATAGGCTCAGCTTTTTCATCTTTAAAACAGGGATAATAATAGTATCTACCTCATAGGGTAGGGTGAAGATTAAATGAGATAATACTTTTATACCTTTAACACAAGTATAGGTTCAGAATAAAGATATTAATTAATATTTGTTGAATCCACAGCTGACTTATAATATTCACCAAATTGCATGTGTTTTGATTCTGCTGTCTCTTATGCCCATTTTGACACATGGAAGGAACTCCATAAATGTCCATTGAAAGAAAGAAATCTGAATATTTCATAATGGTTTTAGAGGTAGCCAATTCAGAAGATTCAGCCAATTCAGCCAATTCACAGATCAGTATTCATAAACTTTTCAATACACTGTAAATATGGGCTTAACTGTCAAAAACAAAATAGAATTGGGAAACTTGTAACTTCCTGTTTTTAGCCATTAATTGCAAAAGTGCAATATGTGAGCAATCTAGCTTAAGAGCAATTCACATGAAAAATGTTGGGCTTCAAGTAGACATAAAGCCAGTACAAGATACTAGTATTAAATTGATAAAAATACATTGGATTATTATTAATAATAGCACTTATTTAGATGTAAATATTAGGTCATTCAATTCTTATAACTACACAAAGATACCAACTGTTTGCAGATTAGGAAAGAGTGGCTAAGAAAGGTTAATTTCCTTTTTTAAGGACACACATCTAATACGTGCCTGAGCTGTCTTTCAGATTCTGAATCTAATATCTACTGGCTTACTATACTGACTTGTGTGTGTTATGTGATATTCAGACCAAGGTGGAAAAGGCTTGTGGATGCTGTAGCATAAAGTGACCATTTGAAAAAATACTGACATTCTGAATGATTCCAGAGAAAGAGTTGACATTACACAAGAAACACTTGATGGGACGAAGAGATTTAGCATTTAGGAGAGATTTAAAATTGAACCACTCTAGCTGTCATCAAATATTGAAGATCTGCCATGTGGAAGGCACTTTTAACAGTCCATTTGGTGATGGCAAGTTCAGTGCAATACAAGGGAGATAGTTTTTAAAATTCGACATGTTCAACAATGAATAGATTTCTTCAAAAAGTAACATGTTTCTTATTACTAGAGGTGTTCCTGCCCTATGAACTTTAATTTTGTATTCTTCTATAAAAAGTGATTCTCTTATTTAAAAATGTTGCTAATTTTTCACTGTCAAAGTACTCTTTCTTGCTACCAGCTTTTGCATGAGTTGTCCCTCCCACATATCAATTCACACAAAATTCTCAAAAGCCAACCTTGGCCATCACTGATATTTGCCTAGAACCAAACTTTAGGTATCTCACTTATTTATTGCTGGCCTTCTGATTTCCTCATTCTAACATTACTTTTGTTGAACAGTTTAGATTTCCTTCTCTGACTTATGGTTTTGGTTTCCCAGCTCACCTGGTCCTAACTCAAGATATGTACTTAATTTCAGCAAATCCTTTCCCGGCAGGTAAAAGACAATCAATTTACCTGGGCATTTAGTTCCCCCAACCCTCACGCCCCACTAGCTTCTCAAGAATAGACTAGGCTTCCATTAACTTATTCTCCAGAGCCCACTGGAAATTCTTGGACTTGACATAGAACCTAGGAATTGAGGGTCAAACAATTGTCAACTTGTAAGGGTCTGAGATGGATAAATCTTTCTGGTGGCTGGTTAAGTCAAGAGAGTAACAAAAGACCATTTATTGAAATAGGATTAAGGTAGCAAGTAAGCCAACTGATTTGTGTCATATTAAAATGCCCTTTATTGTTTAAAGGCCATGTTCTCATCTCTGCTTCTATTCAGACAAATAGTTTAAATTTATGCAACCTTATAACCTGTCTGTTTCAGAGGAGTAAATGGTTTACTCTAATTGTAAACATTTACCCCACAAATCAACAGGAACTTATTCCAGTCAGACTATACAAATATAAGTACGTAAGTGAACAGTCATAACTAATCTAGTTTTTTAACATATATTTTCCATTCTTTTTTTGTGCCTTTCTGATCTTGATCATGTGGTCAATTTTTAGATAAAGTTCACATTCCTCAGGCAATCAAGGAATCCTGTTTTTACCATCTATTTTCCATTCATTTTCCTGCCTTTCTGATCTTGACCATGTGGTCAATTTTTAGATAAAGTTCACATTCCTCAGGCATCAAGGAATCCTGTATTGATGGACCCATTGAATCTATTCTACCTACTGTTCAAGAACAATTTCATAAACTCCCACATATTTACCAAACACCTATCATAAATGTATCATAGGTACATTTTAATTCTGGCCAAACTTATCCTACTATTTTCCACAGACAAATGGATTTCTGTCACCGTACCTTTATTTTTCATGTGCTACCTTTCAAGAATAAATCTTTCCACCAACACATTCTCTTATAATTAGTATTGAGTCCAATTCAGTTCCTATTTCCTTCAAGTCTCCATAAGATTTTAGCTTCAAACAGATTCATCATTATTTAAATTTCTATGAAATTTATATTTTAAATTAGTCTATTATACATTTTCTTATAGTCTTCTGTTTGTTGGTTGATCACTAACCTGTAAGAAAATCAAAGACTTGAATCAGTTAAATGTTGATTGAAATCTCAACTCTAAACTTGCCGTGGAGCCAGCATGCGCAAATAATTTAAGTTCTCAGAGTTTCATTTTCTTTAAATGTGAAATGAGAATGTATTTTACTTCAGTGCTTTTGAGAAAATGAAAAAGTAATGTATACAAACTCTTGACCCATAAGATGTGTTTAATAAATATTAGTTAATTCCATCTCCCTTCTCCCAATATTTCATGAGTATCTTTTGAATCACCAACTGAATTGTTAAATATGTAGTTATACAAGTAGTGTCTTTTACTATCACCATATACATCCCTACTGTTCTGAGTACTCATAGACAGAGTATATATACTCAATGAAATAAATGGTTATAGGAGTAATAATCATAATAATAATAATAACAGATGCCTCAGATACCCTTTGCTGCATAATAACTACCCTAGAACTAAGAGGCTTAAAAAAAAATGATGGAGAACTACTTCCAGAATAGCAGTGTGAGGAGCTCAGCAGATCCTTTTCCCAGTGTCACAACCATAGCTGGGAAAATTATATTTTAAAAATCACTTAACAATCTCTGGAAACTGTTCTTAGGGCATACAGCAAATGCAAACATATTCAATCAAGAAAATATACTAAATATCTGAAGAAGCATGAGTCTGTGGCATTTGACAGGTGACATGACAGGTGCCCTTCCTTTCCTTTCAAGCTCGACATCATGAACGCTCCATTCCAGGCAGGTGAGGCCAAGAACAATGTGCTCTCTCTCTCTCCAGCTCCCATTTGAGGGCTGTAGCATGCCCCCAGGCGGAGCAAGTCAACAGCATTTCTCATTCCCCCATCCCCGCTCTGTGTTGCAGAATCAATACCGTAGGCTGAGGACGCACATTTGATTCCTCTTATTGGCAGAGTTCCATTGAGACTGCATAATCCAAATAAAATAATAAATGTATATCAGTGTTGAAAAGACAGGATATGAAGCACCAACAATAATTTTGTCTAATGTCTGGAAATCGTAACGCTTATGTGATTGTATTAAGAGTGAAAACAGAATGGAGGAAATGCCACCACAGCTGGGCTACGAAGGAGGATAAATGTCATTATTTCTAGCAGAATCGCAGAGTCACTGGCACAGAGAGAAGGAAGGGCTAATGTATGTAGCTCTTCCATCAAGGTAGTCATAGAAGACCTGCCACAAATTGACTAAGCCACTTAAACTGTCCAAACACCATGTATTATATTTTCAATGTACTAATTAATTAATCAAACCCCTCTCCACTTTTGGGAATTAATCCTAAAGAAATAATCAGAGTTGTGGATTTTTTAATGAGAACAAAAAATATGATAACAACTCAAATGTCCAACAAAATTTAAAGAGTATGTGTTCTATGCACTAATATGTAAATAATTATCACTATATAGCAAAGTGTTTTGAGTGTTTTCATAGATTTGCCAAATTTTATGTATCAGATACTTGTGAAATAAACATGTGTTTTATGAATAGAGAATTTAAGATGTGTAGAGAAAGAATCATTAAAAATGTTGGTGCATTTTCTTCATCACACAACCCCTGTCGCCTAAGCTAAGTTCAAATATTTTGCCTTCAATGGTTCTGACAAACAGCTTGAAAAACTCTTTGGCTGGCTTTAAAAAAATAATGGACTATCTGTGTCTGCCCAGATGTATGATTATGGTTACAATACCAGCTTCTTTTAAAAGAATGACTACTAAAACCACATGAAAGACCATTCACAAGCATGCCCTAAATAAGAGGATAAAACTGTTTGGAGCTGTTTTGGCAACTGACGCTAAATTATATTGTGTCACATGTCTTAGAAATATGTGAGAAAAGACATACACAGACAAAAAAAAAGAAAAGGAAGCTTACAATTCTAATTTTTAAAGTTTATTGGTTCACTGACTTAATATTTATGTAAGACTGAGGAAGCAAAGGTGACTAATATTCTATGTATGTTTTCAAGTAACCTACAACATAAGGAGAGGTACCAGTATGCATACAAACAATTGTACCACAATGAAATAGATGCTAGAATAGAGTATTCAAATAGATACAAAGTATGATGGGAAGAGATGTGGAAGAGTGATAAACTGAAACTGTAGACTAGATTGTGTATTGCTTTTTCTTTTTTGAATGGTGTCATTGGATAACAAAACAATGGCCAGAAAGTAGCCTGACTGTACAATTCTTGGTCAAGACATAGAATGCTCTGTGAATAGTATCCTTTGCAATTAAGCAGCATGGCAGCCCTAAAAAAGGAAAATATTATGGTCTTTGGAAGTTTACAAAGACCTCCAAATGTTGGTTTTTGACTTCAGCACTTTCTAGCTCCATTAGTTGCTCATGCTTTTATTTGCAAAAGCTTAAGTCTATGACTTATGAAGTAAAGATATCATTATCTCAAGTTACAAAAAAGTGAAACTAAATGCCTTAGTTCACTTGGGCTGGTACAACAAAATTCCACAAACTGGGTGGTTTATAAACAACAGAAATTTGTTTCTTCAAGTTCTGGAGTCTTGGAAGACCAAGACCAAGGTATCCAGTGACACCAAATCTGCAGGTGTCTTGATCTTGGACTTTCTTTCATTTTTTTGTCTTTTAATTCAATAGTTTTGGAGGTACAAGTGGTTTTCAGTCAGATGGATAAGTTCTTCAGTGGTGATTTCTGAGATTTTGGTCCACCCATCACCCAAGCAGTGTACATTGTAGCAGTGTAGAATGTATCCAATATGTAGTCTTTTATCCCTCACCTGCCTCCCATCTTTTCCCTCAAGTCCCCAAAGTCCATTAGATCATTTTTTTGCCTTTGCAACCTCATAGCTTAGCTCACACTTATAAATGAGAGCATACAATATTTGATTTTCCATATCTGAGTTTCTTTACTTAGAATAATGAACTCCAGCTCCCTCCAAGTTTCCAAGTTGCTGCAAAAGCCATTATTTCATTCCATTTTATGGCTGAGTAGTATTCCATGGTGTATATATTCCACATTTTCTTTATCCACTCATTGGTTGATGGGCATTTATGTTGGTTTCATGTTTTTGCAATTGTGAATTGTGCTGCT
This sequence comes from Homo sapiens, assembly GCF_000001405.40. Lineage (NCBI taxonomy): Eukaryota > Metazoa > Chordata > Mammalia > Primates > Hominidae > Homo > Homo sapiens. Next base: position 99,242,184 of record NC_000001.11, read on the forward strand.
ATAAACGTGTGTGCGTGTGTCTTTGTCATATATTGACTTCTTTCCTTTGGATAAATACCCAGTAGTTAGATTGATGGATCAAATGGTAGTTCTACTTTTAGCTCTTTAACAAATCTTCATACTGTTTTCCATAGTGGCTGTACTAGTTTACATTTCTACCACCAGTGTAAAAGTGTTCCCTTTTTACCACATCTATGTCATCATCTATTTTTATAATAGCCATTCTTGTAGGAGTAAGGTGGTATCTCATTGTGGTTTTAATTTGCATTTCCCTGATAATTAGTTACGTTGAGCATTTTTTCATAAGATTGCCTTTCTGTAGTATTTACCCCATCATCTTCACTACTTGACAAATCTTTGTTTTTATATTTGTCTGTTTCCTTCTGTTAGAATGTAAGCTCTTTGAAAGGCAGGGACTTAGTCTGTTTTGTTTACTGCTGTATGTCCCATGCCTATTCTCCCATGTAGTAGATGCTCAGTAAATAGTTGCTAAATGAATAAATGAGTGGATGGCTAATATACATGCATGGCTACCTCACCATCTTTTTTTGTATACAAAGCATGCCCTTTGTGCAGTTCTGCTATACTGAGGTAAATCCTTTTTAATTCCTCCTATCTGATTCTCTCCCACAGTAATGTATTGGAATCCAGGAAAAACTGCAATCCTTGGAATGTACTTTAATCTAGCTCTTCAGACTTCCTCTGATCCTGCTTACTGTATTTCACTTGGGGAATTAAGTTATCTGAATTCAGTGCAACATTGCAAGTCTCTCCCTGTTTGTGTTTGGAAGTTGTAGTCTCTGAATGAATGTAGGAACACTAGGATAATCCCACAAAGTAGCAATTCCAGAGGAAAAAAAAATAGCCCCTCATTTTCCTGGTTTGTACAAAACAATTATTTGAGCCAGAAGCCATTTGACTGAAGAAGAATTTAGATTTTTTTATCTTTTCTCAGATGGGAAGAATTGCTTATCTTCTTGAAACAAAGCATGAGTAAGATATCAAATACATTTCTCAATTAATGGAAAATCTACTCTGGTTCTAACAAAAGATTAACAATTATAATGTTCAGTGTTGTATGTTTTTATTATTTTATTGTTTATTTTTATGTTCTCAGTATGTTTTCTAGAAAATATGCTAAGCTGGTTATCATCTATTAACCAGATAACTTTTTCAAGCTGAAGTCAGAATTTGTCATGAAGAAACTAGTAAACATCTGTTAGTGATGTTAAAGAAAAACATTCTGCATCCGATTTCTAGATTGAATTAGGTGAAATTTAAATTTTCTTCCAACTTTCATATGCTCTTGAAAGTAAATATATCTAAAATTTATTCGAAGAAAACATGTTTAGCAAATATAAAAACATTGCCTTACATTTACTTGTTTCTTTAGCATTCACATATTACCTGCACAAACACTAGGCAGAAGCTGCTAATTGCTCACCTGAATGTCAGAATTGTGATTTTGTTGGGTTAGGCAATGTGCCCATCTTGAAAATTACATTACCCCATTTCTGATGCTGTTAGGCCTTTTCCCCTCCTCCTAGATGGAGAAGCCAACTTGTGACTAAATAAGCTCAAAGTAAGAATGCAGGAAACAGTAAAAGAAACCTGGGTTCAGGGAGGATTCATGGAATTTCTGTACCCACCCTGGACTACCAACTTCTGGTACTGTCATGTGAAAAATAGCAAATTCCTTATTTGCTTAAGCCACTTTTGTGTGTGTGTGTGCGCTATTACTTGCAGCCAGAAGCAATCCTAGCTTTTTCACACTGTACATAAAAAATATATTATATATATTTCTCCCCTATGCCGTTTTAAAAATACTGAAGAGCTAATAGAGAGTAAGGATTAATTACTAAGCCAAAATTGAAAAAGAAAACAAGAACCTGGAGAGATAGTTGAGCACAGAAGCTACTTTTGGTCTTAAGGCATTTGTTAATACTGGAAATTCAGAACCTACGTCTTGGTTGCTTGTAGGGCAACAGTGACAGAAGCCCAGAGCAGGCAACAAGTGGGGCTTACCCCCCGTAGTGAGCTAGGACCATGGTAGGTTACATCCTCAGGGTAAAAGTGAACCAGAAATAGTATAGCCCTTTCAAGGAATTGCAGCCCCTTTTCAAGTTGTCTAATCAGGAAATCTCAACTTGACTTAAAATGATTTCAGGCTGATAATCCTACCAGTCACCCAGCAGGAGCAACTGCAAAACTACTATGTCAGAACTGACCTTAACATAAACTCCTCAACACATTGAAAAACAACTTTTCAATTATAATTACCAACATGTTTAAAAACAGTCAAGCCTACAAAAGTTGATGGTGACAACCAGCAGAGACAAAGACAAAACAAAGATCCACAGGATCTCATATAATGGAAGTATTGGAGACAAGTTATAAAACATCTGTATTTTGAATATGTACTGGGCAATAAGAGTGAAACTCCATCTCAAAAAAAAAAAAAGAAAAGAAGATAGTATAAAGCTTAAAATGAGGGGGAGAAACTGTCATTCTCAAACAACATGAAGAAAACTACAGATAAATCATGAGGATTAATGACAGAGTCTAACAATGTTTCTATATACAAAATCAATAAACAGATGTAACCCATTTTCCTATACAACAGTAACAAACAGGAAAAAAATACCATGTACACAGTAACACCAACAATACCAAATACCTCGAATAAATTTTGAAAAGAGATGAAAAAAAAGAAAACCTCTGCCAAAAATATCCCTATAAAATCATTGTTGGGAAATTTTACAGGAGACAAAAATATATTGAAAAATAGGTGTGTCCATGGATTAGAAGGCTAAATATTGTAAAGAGGTCAATTCTCCATAAATTGATCCACAGATTTAATGCTATTTCAGTTAAAAACCTCTTCTTGTTTTTGATTGTTTATTATTTCTGTGAAACTTGACAAGTTCATTCTAAAATTTATAAGTAAAGCCCCCAAAGAAGAACAGCGTGGAAGGGAATTGTTCTACCTTATATCAAGATTTATTGTCATGTAGTAACAATAGAGATCGCAGGGCAGTGGTGCTTGGGTAGACAAAATAGATAGACTGAGTAAAATAGAATTCTCACACAGAGACTCATGTATACACAGACATTTGATTTATGTAAGTGGTATTATAGCCAAGTGAAAGGGAAAGTTTTACTTTTCAATACATAATGTTATAACATTTGAGTATGTTTTGGGAAATAAATATTGTAACTCATTCCATAAAAAAATAATTCCAGGAGTATTATAGACCTACATATTAAAGATTTTAGTAGTTCATTAACAGACTATCTTCTTGATTTCAGATCTTGGAAAACTCTTACACCAGACACAAAAAGCCATAACTATAAAGAAAGAAGTTAATCAAATGCACATCATTAGGATTTAGAGCTTTATGATGTCATTTAGAGATATCATAAAGAAAATAAAAAGTGATAGACTGTATTTGTCAGAAAAAAACTGGCAAAGAAAACATATCCAAAAGATATTTTTAAAAATCTGCATACAATGAAAAACAAAAATGACAAGAACCTTCATAGAAAAACTGGCAAAGGATTTGAGCAAGCACACCGCAAAACAGACTATTCAATGGCCCATAGATGTATGAGAAGGTGATCATCCTCATTAGAAGTTTAGAAAATGCATCTGGGCGCAGTGGCTCATGCCTGTAATCCCAGCACTTTGGGAGGCCAATGCAGGTGGATCACCTGAGGTCAGGAGTTCGAGACCAGCCTGACCAACATGCAGAAACCCTGTCTCTACTAAGAATACAAAATTAGCCAGGCGTGGTGGTGCATGCCTGTAATCCCAGCTACTTGGAAGGCTGAGGCAGGAGAATCACTTGAACCCAGGAGGTGGAGGTTGTGGTGAGCTGAGATCGCACCATTGCACTCCAGCCTGGGCAACAAGAGCAAAACTCTGTCTCAAAAAAAAAAAAAAAAATGTTTAGAAAATGCAAAGTAAAACTGAAATGAGGTATCACAAACCAACAACCACATTTGTTGCAATTAAATAGTCTCACACTACAGAATATGTGGAGCAATGGGAATTCTCACACATTGCTGGTACTACCACTTTAGAAAACAGTTTGATGTTATATAGTAAAATCAAAATATTCATTCTCTATGACTAGCACTTCCACTCCTAGGTACACACCCTAGAGAAACTAGTGCGCATGTGTACCACAAGACATGTATGGGAATATTCTTAGAAGCCTGATTAGAATCCCCAGAAACAAAAACTGACCTAACTATCTGTAATCTTTGAAATGCCTAAGTCATTGTGGTATTTCCACATGCTAAATTCCCTGCACTTTGGGAGGCCAATGCAGGTGGATCACCTGAGGTCGGGAGTTCGAGACCAGCCTGACCAACATGGAGAAACCCCGTCTCTACTAAAAATACAAAATTAGCCAGGCATGGTGGTGAATGCCTGTAATCCCAGCTACTTGGGAGACTGAGGCAGGAGAATCAACAGAAAAAAGGGAACAGAAAAAAGAACTACATTTATATATCATACACAGAGGACTCTTAAAAATATCATGTTGAGTGAAACAATCAAGCTCTAGAGAAAGGACACATCGGGAGGTTCTGGTAGGCTGGCAACCTCCTACTTTTTGACCTGAAAATTACTCTGGAGTTACCCGTGTTGTACCTTATTAAATTATACATCTGTCTCTGTATTTTTGAATATGGGTGATTATATTTTACAATTTTAAAAGCAAAATAAAAATATAAGTAAAACCTTATATTTGTCTTGTAGGTTCATTATTCTTAAATATGTGGGGATTGGATACATTCGTGTGCAAAAGATATCTGATAAGCCAGAGAAATAACTCAATTTAGGACAACTTTCTAGAGTTTCAATATTTATAATGGGGAGAGGAGGAAAGACATCAATGCAAGTATGGAGGCCTTTGGAGGCAGTGAACAGATTTAAATGGTAAATAATTAAAATACACATGATTCAATGTGCAATTACAATGTGATGATTTTAAAAATAAATAAAATTTTAAAAACACCACACATGATTATATTACAGAATGACACCTTAATTCACATGAATTAAAAATAAAATACAAGTCTTCAACTAAGTTTATCTCTTTTGTAGATATAAATTTATTATCCTCTTATGAAAAATGGAAAAGTTTGACAAGTACTGCTGAATGGAATGGGACACCATTAAAACGTGATCATAGGTGTATAATATGCTGAGGTTTGCATTTTCGACAATTACTCTGGCAATAGAATACAGTGATTAATCACATACAAAACTGGAGACAGGGCTAACAGTTGGAAGGATTTTGCAGTATTCTCAATGAGAAGAGATTAGGGCATTGTGACATAAATGAGAGGATACCTCAAAAAATTAGCAGGACTCAGGGGCCAATAGGAGAGGTAAATAAGAAAAGTGTCTTGGGTGTCTGGATGAAACTAATAAAGGAATACAGGAAGAACGTTTTTTAGGAAAGATAAATCATGTGAGGTCATATGGGAGTTGGGAGGCATTAAAATGATATTTCCACCAGCAGCTCTATGACAGTTTAGAGAGAGTATTGGGTGTCACTAGCATTACATAAAATTTAAAGTCTTGGTAACAGTAAGAGTATACAGAGCAAGTCCAATTTTTTTTTAAGTCATACCATGTACTCCCTTCTACCATATCAATTATATCTGAGGTCTTTAAAATGAGTAATGGATATCCTGTTTGATACACTAAGACTTCTCTATTGCATAGTTTTTTTAAAAATATTGTCCAAGTGCTAAACTGCCATATAAACTCTTTCCTAAAGTTGGTCTACCTCAGAAAACACCATGCTGTTCTCCTTTCTCATCTGCTTATTGGCAATCACCTTTCCCTTTATAAAAGACAGATATAATTTTCAGACACCTTGACTTGTTGCAGTAGGCAAGATCCCCAAATGCAATCTAAGATTTAATATGTTGAATTTTGACCAACTGGCTTCAATTAACTAGGATCGATTTATCCTCCTCGGATAGAGTTATGTTAGTCAAATTCAAAATTGTAAATTTAAGTTTTAATCGTAAAAAATTATCAATTTCTTGGTAAGAATTCTTGTGTCAATTTCTCTTTTTTTATATTTTTAAAGTACTTTGAGTGCCATTTCAAACAGTTTTGGCATAAACATATAAGTTTTTACTTGTAATTAATGGGCAAACTCCAAATGTAAATAATACCTAATTTTATAGAGTTACTTTTACTCCTTCATCATATAAGTTTTACTGGATAAACAAAGTGGTTTTAAGTGAATGAGCAAGGTATACTTTAGAGTCATTTGCTATGTCTTGGTAATATTTTTTAATATACTTCTATGAAATTGAGGAAACAGATGACCATAAGGTCTAATCAACAGTTTTTTAATAAAGGCAAAATTCATGGCATTTTAATTTTTATATACATTTTAGAAATAGATTGTCAAGTTGCTCAAATAAATATTTTGGATTTTTATCAAGACCGTCTTGAATTTATAGGTGAGTTCAGGAGAACTAACATTTTTTTATTATTGAGTGTTTCACTCCAAAAAAAGTATTACTCCCTTAGTATAATATCGAGAACTTTATTTTATCTCATTAAAATGTTTAACTTTTACTGTCGAAGTCCTGCACAACTCTAAGTTAATTTCTAGGGCCTGCAACATTTTTTATACTGTTGCAAATAAATACAGCTACGTTAGTTTCTTTTGGCTAAGTTTTTGTATGGTTTACTATTTCTCTTATCTATACTTTTAATATTCAAAATCTTCTGTGAATAGGATGAAATTAATTTTTAAATATCATGTGTTAATCCTTGCATTTTAACTATATAACTTAGTCAATATAAATTCATGTAATTATATACATAATATATATTATATACAGTATGCATATTATATATTTTAAATATATATCTTCCATTTCCTTGTATGCTTTTAATTTGTTCTACCTGTTATGTTTTCTTTTCCTCTTTTTTTTCTATGAGAAAATGCAGAGACTTAGAATACTCTAGATCTATGTAAGCTTTTCGTGACTTACATGCCATTTTTATCATGTTTCTTTTTCGATACTTTTATCAGGGTCCGATCTACTGCTAAACCTATCTATGTAATCATTCCATTACATAATTTTTAGATAGTTCCTCTTCAAATATGCAAACCTAAATCCCTTGAAAACATTGGTTCCACTTTTATCTCCATGAACAGTTACAGAGTGCTTGTTTTATTCAGGTATCCAATATCTAGAGTTAATTTGGATCTGTTTCTGTCTATTAATTCTGCTGATTCTCATTTGTGTGAACTTAACTCATTACATGTATTGTGATTTTAAGTTATTTGCCAGCCAATTTTATTTGAAAAATTATCTTTGTCTAGAATACTCCCTCAATAAATATTTGTTCAATTATCAAATTTTTAGTTTAGCTTAAATTTGATTGATAAATATGGATGAAAATGTAGCTATCTCTCTCTTATATGTGCATGTACATAAACATATATGTGTGTAGATACATGTATATGTATATCATTATATATACTTTTGAAATTGTTATTGTGTTATGATGGTAATGAGTAGCTGGTCAACAATAGAAAACAACATTATTTCCATTAAATCTAGTCATATTCCTTTCTAATCAATACAACATTTGGTTTCGGTGTTTAAATAACATTAAGACGGTTATTCAAACGACATGTTGATTACATCTAAAAATCTGCTTTTCATGAAATAATGTTTAATTTACTCTGATTTGCATGCCATTTTAAATAACTTACAAAAGACTCAGCACAGACTGAATAAATTAAAGATATTTTTATAAGTGGCTTTTGCCATTTTATGGCATTTTAAGGTTTAAATTTTGCTATGAATAATATTTGCAGAGGCAAGTAGATGTCTGAAATTTAAATATCATATTAAAATATTACTTCACTGTATTTTATGGCATATTAGGGAATATATTTCATTTCTGTCAACTTTTTTATAAAAATAAATTTTAAACTCTACTTTGTGTCCTTGTTATTCCTGTGTGTCTAAAGTCATGTCAGAAATTCACTGCACTAGGAAATTCACATCCATAGAATGTGACATTAAAGAGTCAAACACTATATATTGTGGTTGGGTAGAATGTGGTTTAAGAACTTGGACATGAGGGAAATTAGTAAGAAATGGTATATGAGGAAAAAGTCATGGTCCATACTAGGGACAGTAAGATCAATCACATGGATTCAGACCAAACTCAGAGACTACAATTCAGAATTAGTGAGAATTAGGACAGATGAAGTGATGGAAATTGTGGAAGCTGTTGAATATCAGGGATGAGGATTTACTTTTCTATAAAGGGCCTGAGAGTAAATATTTTAGGTTTTGCACGCTACATAATCTCTGTCACAGCTACTCCACTCTGCCATTGTAGGTTCAAAGCAGACATAGACAACACAGAAAGGAATGGGTGTATTTGTGTTCCAATAAAACTAATTACAAAAGCAAGCTGGATTCGGGCTGTGAGCCAGTCATTCACCAGCCCCTGCTGTAGGGGCTCCAAAACCCCCAAGGTCTAACTGGTTCATCAAAGAGCTGAGTCCACTTCCAATGTCAAAAGAGAGAGAATTGAAAAGCTTCTTTTTGCCTGAGGCATTTTTGCTTTATTTGCTGCTGCATCCTGGTCCTCCACGGCCCAGTGCAGGTTACCTCGAGGATGCTGAGGCTCTCTCCCTCACTTGGAGCCTGACACAGACTCCAGTAGTGCCCCACCTTGGGACTGCCAGGTTAGAGCTCTATTATTTCACAATCTTACGCTGATTCATGGTTCCTCAAAGCACAACACCATACAAGGTGCTACAGCTGAGGAAACGGGAGAGGAGTTTCAAATCTATCTTCCCAATCGATCAAAATAAGGGGTTTATATAGTGGGGAAGGAATGTAGCTAAAGTGCAGGAAAACAAGAATTGGGGAGGGGTAGGTAAGAGGAGTTGGTCAATAGGCAGCAGGTGGTTGGTTAGGCAATCATGATGAATAACGGGTCTGGTGTCTCCTGGTCCAGAAGCAATGATCTAGTAAATTTCAGTTCCTTGATACTACTTGGGACTCCTGATAGTCGATTTCCTGAGAAAGGAATGCAGGAAATTATCATCTCCATTGCTATCATCTTTATCTATCTATCTATATTTCTATCTATCTATCTATCTATCTATCTATCTATCCAGATAAGACAAATATGTTTCTCAACCTTTAAGACTGAATGGGTCACAATGAGATACCATCTCATATCAGTCATAGTGGCTATTTAATAATAAACAATAATTACATAATATTAATTTAATAAAATATATTGCTCTAATATTAATTATATATTAATATACTGTTTTAAATTAATAATTCTAAAATAATAAAATGGCTTTTTAATAAAAGTAAAAAATAACAGATGCTGGTGAGGCTATGGAGAAAAGGGAATACTTATACACTGTTGGTGGGAGTGTAAATTAGCTCAACCATTGTGGAAAATATTATCGTGATTTTTCAAAGAGCTAAAAGCAGAACTACCATTCAACCCAGCAATCCCATTACTGGATATATACCCAAAGGAATATAAATAATTCTACCATATAGACACATGCACGTGAATGTACATTATAGCACTATTCACAATAGCAAAGACATGGCATCAACCTAAAGGCCCATCAATGACAGATGGGATTTTTAAAATGTGGTGCATATGCACCATGGAATACTATGCAGCCATAAAAAAGAATGAGATCATGCCTTGCAGGAACATGGATGGAGATGGAGACTATTATCCTCAGCAAACTAATGCAGGAATAGAAAATCAAATACCTCATGTTGTCACTTGTAAGTGGGAGCTAAACAGTGAGAACTTACGAACACAAAGAAGAAACAACAGAAACTGGAGTCTACTTGAGGGTGAAGGGTGGGAAGAGGGAGAGGAGCAGAAAAGATAACTATTAGATACCGGGCTCAATTCCTAGATGGTGAAATAATCTGTCCCACAAACCCTTGTGACATGAGTTTACCTATGTAACAAACTTTCACATGTAACCCTGAATTTAAAATACAAGTTTTAAAAAATAAAAAAAAAAAACATTAAGACTAGGAAGTTCAATTTCTATGTTTATTAAACTGTAAATATCAATTGTGTGAGACAATTGGGCTGGTTTCACTTTCTTACATGAGGATCCTAGCTTTTTAAATTAAATCAAACAGATTCATTTTTCAAAATACCAGAGCAAACAACTTTTGTGGCTTCCTTGGCCTTAAAAGTCTTCCTCAGGGTTGTTGGGTCCTATTCTATTTACATTTGCCTAGATCAACTCTTTTTAAAGTAAAGATCTGCTCCAAGATGACTTCTCTCTTTTCCTGTAGAATGAACTTGCAATTTGTCTTCATAAAAATAAAATTTAGCCTTGTTCAAAAGAAACCCTTATTCAGGTGTGAGCTCATTTTCCTGGAATGCAAGAAGTCCTTTCTGGAAGGGCTAGACATTCTAAATTGAATAGAAGCTCAAGTTTTTAAAATGCAAATTAAACCAACACTTTGTGTATTGATTCTTTTTAACTTGCCAGTGCCCTACTTATCTTTATTCTGGCATCACCTCACACCTGCTGGCTTCTCACACAACTTGCACAATTCACCAATCAAAATCTGCCAGCTGCAGTTAACCCCAGTGAGCTGCACCCACGGGCAAGACATATGTGCCTGCAAGTAGAGAAACTCCAGAATTACTATATAAGAGGGGTTGATGGGCATCCTTGTCATCACCTCTCCATGCAAGTTGTGGGTGGCAGCAAATTATGCAGTGGTGAGTAACTTGTGTTACGGCTTAATTTGTAGTCTATTGTGATGCGTCTCAGGATGATGGCATAGTAAGACTGATTATAGCTTGAAATCAGATACTGATTGGTAACACTTCATACTTTACTCCCACAGAAAAAATCTTACAACATCGTTAGTATTATTCTATATTGCTTGCACTTTATAAAGTGTATATTGCACAGAGATTTTTGTTTATAAGTGAAAGGAACTCACAAACAAGTAACTTAGGCAAAAATAGTTGGGAGAGGAGGTGATTACTAACTCATATACTGAACCTCAAAGGTTGAACAGAAGGTTGTGTTGGAGCTCTTCTTCTAAGTAATTGAACTCAGGGACTAAAAGCTCTTGAGAATTTCTATATCTCATCTCTTCTCTATTAATGCCAGTTTTATTCTCTTTCACAAGTGTAAGACTTTCTTCATTTGCTTGAGGCGACATGAACATAGGCGGCTTTGGTACTTACATCTGTACAGCTTTGCCACCAGAAAGAGAAGGACACTCTTCTCCTTTGATTCTAGTTAGAAAACTCCTGGGTATTCAGATAGGCTCCTACTGGTTTCGTGATCATCTCTGGACAAATCTCCATGGCCAGAGGATATAGGGTAGCATAAATGATAGGCTTCACTTCAGTTGTGTGCTCACCCCACTATTAGTGTGGTGCAATCTAACAGAAAATGTCCGGATGTCTCAGGACCACATATTAGCTTGTATTTGGAAGAGAGGACCTCTCTCAAAAGAAGGGGTCATTGCAAACCAAAGCGACAGATATTTCCTATATGTGGAATCAAAGTCAAAGTTTTATGAAAGAACATTTTATTGAATGATAAATTAATAACATACAATTGCATGTGAAGGGCAAGTCAATGAATCTGAGAATTCTAAAGATTAAGTGAGCATAGTCTCCCTATTTGCAGAGACAGGACTAGAGATTCTCTGTTGTTTGTGACTCCACATCTATATGAAATCACATTTGCAGCCAAGAGTGGTGGCACATGCCTGTAATCCCAGTGCTTTGGGAGGGTGAGGTGGGAGGATCACCTGAAGCTAAGAGTTTAAGACCACCCTGGGCAACATAGTAAGATTCCAAATCTACAAAAAAAAAATTAGCCAGGAATGGTGGCACACACCTGTAGTCCTGTCTGCTCAGGAGGCTAAGGTGGGAGGATCATTTGAACTCAGGAGTTCAAAGCTGCAGTGAGCCATGACCACATCACTGCACTCCAGCCTGGGTGACAAAGAAAGACCTCATTAAAGAAAAAAAGAAAAGAAAAAAGAAAAGAAAGGAAAGAAAGAAAGAAATCGAGTTTGTGTTACTGTTATGTATCAAAAAGGAGTCCAGTATAAATAGAGTCATTTTTCAACTATCAATGAACAAATCTATATCAAAGGAGTAACTAAAGGGTTAAAAATTATTTAAAGTCTATAATTTTATGTATTTTATTTTATTATTTTTAGAGGGAGTCTTACTCTGTCACCCAGGCTGGAGTACAGTGGCACAATCTCAGCTCACTGCAACCTCCGCCTCCCAGGTTCAAGTGATTCTCCTGCCTCAGCCTCCCAAGTGTCTGGGACTACAGGTGCATGCCACCATGCCTGGCTAATTTTGTATTTTTAGTAGAGATGGGGTTTCACTGTGTTGGCCAGACCGGTCTCAAACTCCTCACCTCAAATGATCTGCCTGCCTCAGCCTCCCAAAGTGTGCGATTACAGGCATGAGCCACCACGCCTGGCCAATTTTTATGTATTTTATATACTGCTGTGAAATTGAAATAAACTTTAATTCTATATGTTTTATTTTAAAGTTATGAAGTGTCTTAATTTTAGGAATAACCTTGCTTCAGCTCTTTTGATAGGAGCTTCGATAACAAATAGTATACATGAAAGTTTTATGAGTGTTAGCAAAGGTGGTTTTTCATATCCAGGAAGGTGTTTTCTTTCATTAATTTATTCTAAAATCATTTGGACTTTTGCCCCAATTTTTCTTACAATTGGTTCTGAAACATAATGTCTATCATCACAACAGTCAAATTAAGAGAGGGTGTAAAGAAAAATTGTATTTTAATGTGACAAATAAAAGTCCCAGCCCAGGCCGGGCGCGGTGGCTCACGCCTGTAATCCCAGCACTTTGGGAGGCCGAGGCGGGCGGATCACGAGGTCAGGAGATCGAGACCATCCCGGCTAAAACGGTGAAACCCCGTCTCTACTAAAAATACAAAAAAATAGCCGGGCGTAGTGGCGGGCGCCTGTAGTCCCAGCTACTTGGGAGGCTGAGGCAGGAGAATGGCGTGAACCCGGGAGGCGGAGCTTGCAGTGAGCCGAGATCCCGCCACTGCACTCCAGCCTGGGCGACAGAGCGAGACTCCGTCTCAAAAAAAAAAAAAAAAAAAAAGTCCCAGCCCACAGAAGAGTTCAACAAGTAAGGAGAACAGGACAGGTGGGAAGATGTATGCAAGAGCCACATAGATGCACAGGTAGAGAAAACGAGGACAACTAACATATAGATTATAGAACCATTTGGAGCTGTCTTAGCCTGGGAACAAACCCGGAAACTTCAAAGGGGAAGCAAATCTTTAGTAGAATTTAAGATGCAATATTTAAGAGAAGGCATGGGACTAGAAACTGCGGAGAGAAGAGGGGACAATAAAGATCTACTTTACTGAAGCATATTTCTCAGCAGCTCCTAAGAGATGCTCAAAATTCCCATGTTGTACTAATCATAATACATAATCTAACTTGCAACCAATGGATAATTACTAAAGGATTGAGAGAATGCACTTCTTGTTGGAGCCGATGGCATTCTCATAGTGTCAGGAGAGAGAAAGGGAGAGAGACAGGGTGCTTATTCATTTATATAAATTATAAAATCAGTAATTGAACATTCAAAACATTTATGTTGTTCCAGTGTTATAGTCATCACTGTAGAAGGAAGGGTAAAAGGAATGAAATTTATTTATTCAATAAAGATTCGCTGAACTCTTGATATGTACAAAATACTATGTTAAGGGTTCAAAAAGGAAGAAAAGGTGAATTAGATATGGCTTATACTTTCAAGAAGAAAAATATTATTGGGGGTAAATAAGACAATCAAGGCAAAATTTTTATACGTGATCTACAAAAATGTCCAAAGAAAGCTCTAAAGGATCACATAGGAGGGAAAGTTTGAGGAAATCTCATAAGGAGGTTACTTTGGTTTGAAATTTGAAAAATCATTAAAGGAAGAGTACAAAAAAGGCTTTGATGCAAGAGAATATGGTTTATAAAATGCCATGTAGCCTAGGATGTCTGGAGTTAGTGTCTGTACAGGAAGGAGAGGTAAGATGGAAAGATTGGTGGAGGCCAGACAGAGGCCCTTATATGCCAGGCTAAAGACTGAATACAATTTTATAGGCAATGAAGAATCATAAAGCACTTTTGAGCAAGAGAGTGGCATGATCAAAATTGTGCTTTAAGAGAATGTTCATGGCGCAAAGTTATAGACTTGATCAGAAAATGGAAGATTCATAGTTAGGGAAATTAGCCACTATGCTATGATACTGTCACTGAAATAATGAAGTGAACAAAATGGTAAGAGCAGACATGGAAAAGAGGAAATGGAGAAAAGAGAAATGACGTGTTGTTTCTCCAATTCACTCATACAATTGGAAGTACAAGATGAGAATATATCAAATAAAATAAAATGATTTATAGCCTTGTGCTAGATTGTGCAGTCAAAATAAGGTCTACTGGTATTCAGAGAGATGCCTTTGAGAGCTAGAGTAGCAAGGACAAAATTCAGAAATGTGAGATATGAATGCATTCCAGGAGAGTAGAACAGCATGTGAGAAGGCACAGGAACAGAACAAAGATGGTGCAAGTGCAGCTCAAACAAGCTCATCAGAGGAGAGGATACATCTCTGCAGAGCGGGACACAAGACAAGTGTCTAGTGGGGCAGGACTTACCCAGAGGGGTGTTGTATGATGGAAGAGCCTGAAGGCCATAGCTGACTTTTTTAGGAAACCAGGCATTAATTGATTGTAATGGAAATACGGAAGAGAAAAATACAAAAGGGCAAAAGTTCATTGGAAATTCAAAAGAATTTGGAGACTAAATATAAGGGACACAGGCATGCATAAATCAAGGATGATGACAAGATTTTTAGATTGAGTGGTTTGGATCATCTTATACTTTAAATAGCTGCTGCTTGTTACTTTCCAGGAATATAGTAGAGAACCAGTTGCAGTGTGACACTGAAGAAAAAGGAATGGCCAATTTATATGTGTGTATTTCTCAACCCTTTCACACATAAACTAGTGTATTAACACAGCACAATAAGGTAAATGTTTTAAAAGGGAATTGAAGGCAGCTGTGCAGAACTTAGTAGGAAAAGCATCACATTTTTGTAGTATGTGAACATGAAGAAAAATCAAGTTTTGGAGAAATACTTTAAATTTAAAACTTCCAAATAAAATCTATTCAATTTTTAAATGAGAAACTTGAGCTTACTTGCGCTTACTTGTGCAAAGAATGGCTACATGCATTTTCTCATCAGAATTTTTACTTTGGACCTCTTTAAATTCTTGATAGTAACCATTGAAGAGAAACTTTGCACAAGTAGGTGATAAAAATCTGATATCATTGCTTTATAATCATTAAAAATACAACCCTTGAAATTACATGTGAAGAATTCAATAGCACTGCCTTCATTGACAAAAGTAATGTTTAAATTTCTTGTGATAAACTTAGATGTTTCTAAATCCAATTAAATATCTTTTATCACATATTGCAAAAGAAAAATAATGCTTTATTTGCAGAATGTACATTCATTTTTAGAGCCATTGCTATGCAGGTAGCATGGAAGCCATAAACAAGACATATCTGTACCCATGGACAGAATTTACAGAGAGAAGACAGAAATAGCAATCTCTTCCCTCTATTGTACCTGTGAGGAGAACCGTTGGATCTCTCCACTCTCCAAGCACCTTTAACAGACCACACCTAGGGGTGTGCCCGGTGCTCTTGGGCAATAACATATGCTGCAGCTGGTTGTCCAGTGGGTTTTCAAGTAGTGGGGCTCCCTCTTGGCTATATTTAGTACATTGGGGTGCAGCAGCAAATTCTGAAGTTGTTTCTCTCCTGATTTATAGCCTTCTGAACTTGCTGTCACGCACTGTTCCACCTTGAATCTGGATTATTGCAACCAGAAGCAATCTGCATTGAGACTTTGCATAGACCCTGCTAAGGCCCTGAGGGGATCAATATCTTATGGGACAGTTGAAACCCATTCACAACACACTGGTATGACAATGCACAACACAACTCTGCAATGAACTTTTTATTTTGTTGCCTGTATCACTGCTATAGGTTATCCTGGGGAAGCCACTGATTTCCAGGGCAAAGTTATGTTCCTGTGGGATGAAGCTCCGTAGATTCATGTAAATCAGCTTCTACCATATCCTGATAGGGAATCACAGAGGACCATAGTGGACAAAAGTCATCGATGGTAAAAAAAAATAAAAAATAAAAAAGGTAAAATTATATTTAAAAAATCTCTTGCCTGGGCCAGGCATGGTGGCTTACACCTGTAATCCCAACACTTTGGGAGGCCGAGGCAGGCAGATCACTTGAGGTCAGGAGTTCAAGACCAGCCTGGCCAACATGGTGAAACCCCATCTCTATTAAAAATACAAAAATTAGCCTGGCGTGGTGGCATACACCTGTAGTCCCAGCTACTCTGGAGGTTGAGGCAGGAGAATCACTTGAACCCAGGAGGTGGAGGTTGCAGTGAGCTGAGATCGTGCCACTGCACTCCAGCCTGGGCAAGAGAGTGAAAATCCATCTCAAAAAAAAAAAAAAGAATCTCTTGCCAGAAGAATTGCCGTTAGGTAAATTTGATGTTAGATTAAAAAACAAAAAAGTCATGTCTTCTTATCAAAGGTATGTGACTTTTTTGTTTGATTGTGGGCACAGAAAATGTTTTTATTTGTTGTGGGCACAGAAAATGGGCTCTGGCTAAATTAATGAGAAAGACAGGAAAGAGTAGAGGAAAGGATATATTTGGAAAGAAAATGGGGATATAAAAAGAAACAAAAGAAAAGAAAAAAGCCAGACTTCTTAAGGGAAAGGTAAAAAGGACAGTTCAGAGAACCAAAAGGCCAGCATTAATTATCATTCTCTTTTCTTCTATCATGCATCAACACCAACAATTTTCTGTCTCTGTGTCACTTTCCTCAAGATTCAGATTCCTGGGGAACAGGGTCCAGTTGCTCACATTTGGTCACTATCCTATCTGGCCTAGGGCCGACAGAATACCTTCATTTACAGTCCTAGTTTGGACTGTAGAAGTGGGACAGTTTACATGAAAATTCAAGAAACCATCACAAAAAGAAGGAATGATGGCTCCTGAACAAACACACAACAGATGTCCATTTCACTCCTCTAATCTATTCATTTTAGATGTGGAAACGGAGTCCCTGAGTTAAAATGCTCTTATTTACAGCCGTGGAATTAGTCAATGATGAGGCTGTAACTAAAACATCACTTTCTCATCCTTCAGAAGCTTCTCATTTCAGTGTTTTTCCTACTTCACACATCTGCATATTCAGTTATGTTAAGTTTCTTCCATTTAGAAAAATGCAATAAAATCTTACATTGTCCCCTTAAAGTGTGGTGGAGTGGGCTGATATCTGAGAAATATGTAACTAATTTAAATATATTTTTATGACCTTAAAGATAAATGTCATGCAAATACCCAAAGGGCAAATAGTTGCCAGGAAACAGAAAAGCAGTTTGCATTTGGCTATGGGCACACAAATCCAATATAGAGAAAAACGACTTCTTTCTTACCTGAGAAGTCTGACACTTTAAATAATAGTGTCAAATGCATTTTCAGGCATATTTTTTCCAGGTTATTTGTGCTATGAAGTACTCTGTCTCGCAAAATGTCAGAGGGCTGCTTTTTCAGTGGGTGCCATTTTTCATTCGAATGCACTGAAACAGGATTTCCATTGAAAATGTTCAAGTTCTGTGAGGCACATTATATTGTTTTTAATGTCACTATTATAATGTAGGGCTGCAACTAGCATACATGAAGCAACATTCAATATAAAAGTTTTGCACTTGGCTTCAATGTGAATTTATGTGGTAAAGATGGGATGAAACATATTTTTTAGTTTTGGAGTGTTCTCTAGTAGCCTCTGTGCTGTAAATGGTTTGAATGTCAACTCCTCTCATGGACTTCCTTGACTACCTTTCTTTTTCTTTTTATTATTATTGTTATTATTATTTTATTATACTTTAAGTTCTGGGGTACATGTGCAGAACATGCAGTTTTATTACATAGGTATACATGTGCCATGGTGGTTTGCTGCACCCATCAACCCGTCACCTACATTAGCTATTTCTCCTAATGTTATCCCACCCCTAGCCCCTCACCCCCGATAGGCCCCGGTGTGTGATATTCCCCTCCCTATGTCGATGTGTTCTCATTGTTCAATTCCCACTTATGAGTGAGAACATGCACAGTGTTTGGTTTTCTGTTCTTGTGATAGTTTGCTGAGAATGATGGTTTTCAGCTTCATCCATGTCCCTGCAAAGGACATGAACTTATCCTTTTTTATGACTGCATAGTACTCCATGGTGTAAATGTTCCACATTTTCTTTACTGATGGACATTTGGGTTGGTTCCAAGTCTTTGCTATTGTGAATAGTGCCACAACCACCATTCTTAAGAAGTTTCTCATTGTGATTACAACTGCACCTTAATTGTTTGTTTAGTAGTCTATATCACAAGATATAATTATATGTTTGTAAAGAGAGGCAGTAGGTGTAGCCCTTAAGATCACATAGCCTGCAGCAACCTACTGAGTTCAACAGTCTCAGCCCTACTAATTATATCTGTGGTCCTTCCATAAAATCATAGTTTACCCCCTGAGTCTCAGTTTTTTAACTATAAAATGTGATAATAATGATACTAATTTCATAAGGATCTTGTGAGTACGTGAGGTAAGATGCAAAGTATTGTTAATGATGCTTATTCCATAGTGAGCTTCATGGAGGTGTTTTCTATTACTATTACTAATTTATTGTCTGTGTCTGTCTTCTCTTCACCTACATTAGCCTGTGAATTCTATGAAGGCAACAAGCATATATACTCTTTTCTCCAGTGGGTGTCTTGTGAGAAATATGCCTCTCACATAGCCGGGGATCAATAAATACTTGTAGGTTGAATGGATGGACTGATGAATGGATGAGTCAGTTTTACATTTCACCAAGTGCTTTCACATATATCGTCACAATTAAGCTACCAGGCATTGTTGTCAGATAGTACCAGTACTCTTCTCATTTTACATAATAGAAAACTAAAGCTTGGAGATACTAAGTGATTTGCTTATGAGCAGAGTTCAAACATTACAAATCCTGAGCTCAAGTTCATGTCTTCTGACTCCAAATTTTATTCTGTTTTGGTTCAAATTTTTCTATTTATTTATTCTATCTCTGAGTTCTGTCTACTGATTTTTTTTATAAAATAGGGAAATCATTTGCCCTGTTCACTTCATTGCATTGTTTTGAGTACCAAAAGTGAAAGTAGGTAATATATATCAAACTGTTACCCCAATGTAAGACATTACTATGGTGTTTAGTATTTAAGGGAATCTTTAGCTTGATTGTTTTATGAAATGCTATATATTAGAAAAATAAAATTCAAAAGAAGAGAGACAGAAGGAAGGAGAATCTGACCTAATGAAAGATAAAGGATTTACAATAAGTATTGGCTTTGAATTCTGAAACATTTCCTGATCCTTGACAATGTGAGCAGGTCAATCTGGGCAGACCAGCTAGGGAGGAAAAAAAGAGTACCTTTCTGATGTTTTGACAATTTGTTGAATTGTTGATGTATGGTCAGCATACATCTCTGATATTTTATCACATACCTTCAGGTTTTTTTGCTATTGAAATTAGGTGGGTATAGGTTTAGTCTTATATTTCACCTCTTCTCAAATAAAAACACTGAGTTTCCAGGATGATAACATCTCTCTTAAGTTTAATATGTTCTAGCTTATTTTTTACCTCACCAAAAATTGTAAATTTTCTTGAGGTACCAAGAAGGTTGAAAAAAGAAAGGGCTCCAGTACCCACCCCCTCCACAAGACAAAGTAACATTGGTAGTAATGAAAAGTATAACTACTGATTAATGTAATAGTTAAACAGAATCAACAAGCACTTAATGAACATATACTATGTGAAAAACTATGCTATACGGTTATATAAGCATCACTTAATTTTATTGTTCCATTTATTTCTTCACTATGTACTGACAACCTACTCTTTGCCAGGCACACTTGTAGTTACCAGAAAACATAATAATGAAAATGTGCTTGACTTTACAGAGTTCACTAGTGGGTGAGGCAGACAAGATAAAAAAGGACACAGAAATACTTGATATACTATCAAATGGTGACAAATTCTATGAAGGAAAATAAAATAGTATAAAAGAATAAAGAGTAACAGAGGTCTGAGATTATGAATCTACTCGGTGCATCAAACACAACTTCCCTGAGGAGTTAAAATTTGTGCAGAGATATGAATTAAATGAGGGGTTAAGCCATGCAATTTTGGCGGAACAGAGTTCTTGGACAAAGGAACAGTAAGTACAAAGCTCCTGAGGCAGTGAAAGGCTAGGCTGGAACGGCCAGACCATTGAGGTGCAAAGTGATGTGAATGAGGTCCTAGAACCAGGCAAGGTGGCCAGGCAGGGCTTTAAGGAAGAGACGGGAAGTTTGGACTTTCCATTGAAGTGGAAGAGAGCTCTTGGAGGGTTTGGGTAGGGGAATAAAACAATTGGGTTTACTTTCCAAAGGACCTTTCTGGCTGCTGCGTAGGGAATGGTTTGTAGGTTGTGGGAATGGCAAATGCAAAAGCTGGTAGAACAGTTAGAAGGCCGTTAGGTTATTCCAGTCTAGGCAAGAGATGGCGGTCGCTGTGTGTGGTGGGGGGTGAGGGCAAGCACTGAGTTTAGGAAGAAGATGTAGTTCTCTTCTGATTACTTCTATTTTCTAAGTGAAATAAGAGTTAATGTCATGAACTGAGAATGAGGAGATTTGAGAAGTGAGAAGTTGTGAATGGGAAAATGGCTGGACAGAAAAAATTATAGAATCGTGGGGGCAACTCCAGGACCTACTTGGAGTTTGTGGTCATGAGTTGGATGTGAGACAGCATCATGCGGTTGTGTGTTTTTCTCCAGCCACTTTCAGTTGCTCTGGTAAGGGCAGAGAATTGGGTTCAACTAAGCCGGGATATTATCAGGTGAGTATGGCAAATTGGGAGGCGGAAACAAGCAATTATATTGCTAGACTTTGGAACCCAAGCCTGGCAGAAGAAAGTGGGGGCAAGAGGTGGTGTTGGCAGTGAAATGAGTATATTATTAGATAGGATGGTCCCATACTGCCAAAGACCTATTGGAGGAGCAACTAAAAAAGGGAAATGGATAAATGAGTTGGGAATTGGCCATCACATGCTTGAAATGGAGACTTGGAGATATTGGAAATGGCCTGGGACATGTGATCACAAAATTAGGTCATCTTTATTAGTATAATATCATGTCTCGTGTTTGCTGGGTCTTTCTCTCTTCTATATCAACTTGATACTTCTGGTTGCCAAAGTAATCACAAAATTGAGACTAGCCATGTATACTGCCAACAAGATGAAGGACTTTAGATTATTAATATCTGAAGACATACTTCTTTTTACTGTTATGATTGCAATACTGACACTGTTCTGGGGGTGTGACAGTGAGATTAGAACATACAGTAGCCTCTGGGCTCAATGAGGATGCCCATTACCTGTGCATTCACACATCTGCCTCTCTGGATGCAAGGAACCCACATCATTCCCACACAACCGGTAGTGTTTGTTAGTGGGTGCTTCGATATGGAAGGGAGATAAGGAGTCTCCTAGGCAGAGAATCCCCCGTAGGAGCTGTCATTCCTGGGTAGCAACAAGCTGTCAGTTAATGCCTACCTCAGCCTACTTTTCAGTATGGGATCCAAGATCTCATTTCGTGGAGGTAGGGGTTGGTTTTCTTGCTATGGGTCAGCGCGCTGGAGCAGGGCTTCTGATCCTTAGCATTCTTTAATAGCATTCCTAGAGTGACCTAGGAGGCTCCCCAGGAGGAGACTAGGTGGCTTAGCTCCTCAGCCTAACTACTGCAGAAACCAGGAGTGCGTCCTCCTTTTCGGATTCTTGACGTCAAGCTCCGACAGCCTTGGAGCGTCGCAAGGGCGGTAGAGAGCTGAGGGAGGGTGACAGGGAGGGGAAGCCATTGCAGCAACAGCTTGGAGGAGGGAGCTGGACGTCGTCTCTCGCCAGAAAAACGGGGAGCAGGAGCCAGACTAGGGGAGGAAGAGGACTGGCCCGCTCAGGGAATAGCTGGGTTGCTGCAAAAAGGGGCGGGGAGAAGGCGGGGGCGCTGCATGCAGCGCGCTGGCTCCAGCGGTGGCCGCGGGGAATGTGACATCAGCGGCGCCGGGCGCTTGGGGCTGGAGGAGGCAGCTCGCCTCAGCTGCGCTGTGCACACCTCGCCCGGGGGAGGACGCAGACCCGGGCAGGCGGCAGGGATGTCGGCGAAGGAGAGGCCAAAGGGCAAAGTGATCAAGGACAGCGTCACCCTCCTGCCCTGCTTTTATTTCGTCGAGGTGAGTTGGCCCAGTGCCTTGGCATAATGCAGATCCTCTGGGCATCTCCTGAGCGAATTCAGGTCCTGGACAGTGTTGGAGGCGCAGAGATCCTGCCGGGCGCGCGCGGCTGTCCCCAAATGCCCGACCCTCCCCTCTTCCCCTAGATTTCACAGCAGCTCCCCGAATGTGCCTGTGAATACCTGTCAGCCCGGGGTGATTACCATTAGAGGTGTCGCTGCTGGGTGGCCTGCAGGGAACGGATACCTGTGTGAGTGAGTGTGGTTTTAGTTCCTTGGCCCTCCTGTAGTGCCTGTGTGCACAACGTCCGCTAGTGCCCCAGAGGGGCCATGATGCCCATATTTCGGGATTTGTGTCTTCAACCTGCCGAGTACGTGTCGGGAACTCCGTGTGCACACAGCTATGCCTAGGGCATATGAGGGTTGAAGGTGTTTACATAGTACAAATATTGTTAATTGCTTTTATTGCTCCTGCCCCCCCCCCCCAAATCCTTCTCCTATTATATTATTTTGGTGCTCACATACGCTTCTGAAATTGGATCTGCATCTCTAAACATCAATCATCAATGTACTGGCCTCTTTCCACAGTAAAAAATACATATTATATATGTGTGTATACATAACTATATATAATATTTTAAATCTATGACATCATCTGATTTTACATGATTTGTATCTGAGTATTTACTGTGCTGAGCAGTATTATAGATAAACAATTAAATGCAGATGTATCCGTAATGACCCTCTAACTTACCAAAATGCAGTATTTGAGGGAGAAACAATTCATAGGAGTGTTATAAAGATTGGCAGATACAGTGATTCCGTGTACTGTGCTCCATTGCATTAGGAAGACATTTTTAAGCAAGAGGTTTATTAAATTACAGATACTGAAGGGTTGTATTGCATAGATTTAGGGAAATCAGATGGTTTTAGGCACAAAACTATATTCTGTTTAGTTAGAGTCTGGGTTGCATAGAGAATTATAAGACTGTTGCTGAATCATAAATATCCTTCTCTGGCCATCTTTTCAGCCAAATATGGAGGTTTAGCCCTTCGAAGTGCAAACAGTAGATTCTGTATTCAATGATTGTAAGGCTTATCTGTCCTGAGGAATAGTCACTGCCTTGAAACTTGGGAGAAGAGACATTGTCGGACTGTTCTTATAGGTAACAATATATTTGGAAGTTTTGTAGAAGTGTCATAGATTTTTTAAATAATTTCAGTTTCAAGAAAGATGTATGTGACTTGCATAACTTTCAGAGAAATGATGGGTGACCCCTGCATTCATGAACCATAGAAAAGAAGAAAAAAAAATCTATGTATTTAAAATAATGAATCCATTTATTATCCTTTCTCTTTTCACAAGAGATTTTTGGGAACATGGTTTAGGTAATTTTTGTTGAAAGATAATAAAGAGCTTTCTCAAGAAAAATGTAGGTAGCAGAAGATTCCATGATGAAAATGGTGAAGGAATAGAAAGATGAGATACCTGCCTTCAAGTTCAATCCATCAGACCACTTGTCGCATGGCTAATCCGTGTAGTTTTGTATTATAGTGATTTCATTTGTGTCTGAATCAATGACATTTGTCTAGGAGAAATCAGTTAATGGCTGAGTTCCATCTCCAGGAAGGAACACACCTGAGGTCAGCTAGAAGCTGACTACATGTGGGTTGCAGCTATATGGCTTCAAGGAAAATGCCCTCATGAAAGAGGAGGCAAACCAGAGAATTAAGGATGTGCCTTTACAGAATGTACGTGGGCGCTTTTGAGGCATCTTTAACCGGAGTACATGTCCCTTAAGCAAGAATTTTAAAAGTACAAGTGCCTCATAATGCAATTGAATTGTGTGTTTAGGAACAGACATCTCACAATTGTTACTTCTTTTCCATGAGTGGAAATAGCCCAGATTCATTACTTTTACTTTGGCCTATTCAGATACCCTCTATGAATTCCTTAGCAGGGCAAGCTGTAGAACAATTACTTGAACACAATTCATGGAGTTTAAATGAGCATTGATGACACTGTATCTTGGGGTTAACAGACTTCAAAGACAGAGCCACACAATTGGATTGCAAATTATCTTCCTAAAAATTAAATGCATGATGAACCACTAAAGAGCCTCCAGAAAATGGGAGACTGCATTAGTATAAAAATTATTTAAGGGTTTGACCACATGCACTATCACGCTCCTTTGAAATGACTCATTTTGAAGCTGGTGAGAATGCACTAAATTTACATCTCCTTCGTAGGATGAATAAACATAGCTGGAATTTGCATGTTAGTAAAATGCTCTAGAGTAATGACACTTTGCTTTACAGCATAGTTTCCCAAGACCTTAGAAATTAAGATGGAAAAGTGAAACATGAGTGAATCTCCTTCCATCACATATCAGTCTAAAGCATATATTTTTAGCCTTCTCTGTTACTCAAACCATAATTTAAGTAACAAGAAGAGGCTAACAAAACAGATCTCAGGAGAAAACAGTCCCTGGTTCTCAAGTCAGTGACACCATGAGCAACTTACACTTTGCCTTTTTTCAAGGAGTTTAGAAGTTTTAAATTACTAATTCATGATAGGTATGAGATGTGAAGAAACTTTAATTGGGAAAATGAGGGAAGGGAAACTTACACTCGAGCCAGAGGGGGCTGAAATCAAGATGGACTGAGTTGTGTCAGGAAAATGGCAGCATGCTCTAGGAAAATCCTGGGCCTTGCAGACAGATTGACTTGGTTCAAACACCGCCTTTGCCAGATACTACATGAATAATTCTGGCCAAGTTACTTCTCTCATCCTTAGTTTCTTCACATATAATAGAATTTACATAATATAAATATAAATACACCTGTATTCATACATAAGAGAAATTATTATACCTACATCTTAGAATATTGAATATATTATGAGGTTAAAGGATCATGACTGAGATATGGTAGGCAATCAAGATATGTTAGTTCCTTTCCTTTCTTATAACTGTTCTTGACCTGAAATAAATTATTTTACTTATAGTTTGGACTTAAGGGATCAAGTCCTGACAAGGTCTAGCTTAAGAGTTCCCATTGTTGAGAAGAAGTCATCTTCTCCCCAATTTCTAGAAATAGTTTGGGCTCCACAGGCTTCTTGAAATGGACTTGTATTAATTGACACAAATGGGGAGAGTGAAGTACTATTTACAGTTTGTACAAGAATAATGACAACCATTTATAAAGTACTTAGTATGTACTAACAATAAAGCTAAATGCTTTACATCCACCATGTTGTTCAATCTTCAAAGTTTCTCTTTAAGAAAGAGGCCATTATTATCTGTGTTTTGAAGAAGAAACTGAAACTCATAAAAGTTAAACAACTTGCCCAATTTTATAAAGCAAAGTTAGAGGCAGGGCTGGGTATTAACTCAAAGGTCACGCTCTTCACCACTGCAATAACAATCTCTCTCAACTTGTTGAAAGAACATTCACATAGGCAAAGTTACTTTCTATTGTTTCTCACTGGTAAAAAAGGAAGATGTAGTAAGGCAAGGGCACACTGACAAACAGGGTGATACAGTTTTCTCTGGCAACAGATCAGCTTCCTCAGCTCAGTTCCTCCTCCACTGGGAGTGTCCAAGCACAAAGAGTTGGAGGACAGTGCATACTCCCCACATTGGCTCATCAGTTAGTGGCTAGTGCCCCTCAACAAGAACTCTGGATAGATGCAAGGAAGGAGTAAAGATGTTGGCAGCCCATTTGCAGAGTGTCAAGGTATCTCTAATTATACCCCAATGGGCATTAGGCTGAGGTGTTGGTGTTCAGCCACTAAAACCAAGTAATCTTGTCCTTGTTCACCACGATACCTGATGTTAAAGCACACATTAGTTGAAGGGATAGAATTTAGGGATAGAATTATTTTTTTCTTACATTTTTGGTTTATGCTGCTGCTTGCTAATGAAATGGCTTATGGTTGACAGTAATATTAGATGGTGACTTGAAAAATACGATGATTTTTAGTTTTGCACCTCATTTTATGAGCAAGTTTCTTAACTCAGTTTTACACTGTACAGCCTGGGAAAACAAAGGTCAAGTTGTGAAAAGAACTCTCAGACAAGCATACCCACACCTTATTAGGATAAAGAGAAAAGCAGGTAAAAAGCAATGTTCCACTAGAGAAAAGGTTTATCATGCCCTTAAAGTTCCCAAGTACACTGCAAGTGATGGCTGTATCACTTACAGTGGCAATTGCAGCCAGCAGTATACCTAGAGTTAACAAAAGAGTATTCAAACTTTTTGTTTATTATTATACTTTAAGTTCTGGGGTACATGTGCAGAACATGCAGTTTTGTTACATAGGTATACACGTGCCATGGTGGTTTGCTGCACCCATCAACCTGCCACCTATATTAGGTATTTCTCCTAATACTATCCATCCCCTAGCCCCCCAACCCCCACAGGCCCTGGTGTGTGATGTTCCCCTCCCTGTGTCCATGTGTTCTCATTGTTCAGCTCCCACTTATGAGTGAGAACATCTGGTGTTTGGTTTTCTGTTCTTGTGTTAGTTTGCTGAGAATGATGGTTTCCAGCTTCATCCATATCCCTGCAAAGGACATGAAGTCATCCTTTTTTATGGCTGCATAGTATTCCATGGTGAATGTGTGCCACATTTTCTTTATCCAGAATATCACTGATGGGCATTTAGGTTGGTTCCAAGTCTTTGCTACTGTGAACAGTGTTGCAATAAACATATGTGTATATGTGTCTTTATAGTAGAATGATTTATAATTATTTGGGCATAGCCCAATATTATATGTGATAAGGCTGGTTGTCTGGGGCTAGTGCACTTCCTTTATGCAAAGAATTACAGTGGTCCCTCTGGGGCTCAGGCTCACAATTTTATTCTCATTAGTCATCCTGCTCAAAGATCAATTCACTATATAATGTAAACAAATGACAAATTACCTTTTTAAGCCTAAAAAAATATAAATTCCTAACATGAAATAAATGGGAAAGGGATTCTTTTTACTTAAACATTCTGCTATATGATATAACATTTTTATGACAAACCTGATGCTAATTTTATGAAGGCAGAAGAGTTATGCTTGACCTATATGCAAATATATTTTGACAGGGCTACAGATAGAGAAAAGAGTTTGAAATTGCCTGTTATTCATACGAGAAAACACACAAAGACACATATGTATGCACACACTTCTGTGCATAGGTATGTACAAATACACATGGAGTAAGAATATCATCTCTCTCTCCACTCAGCATAAAATTACAGTATCTGAAGCATTCCAATTCAGAATATTTTAATCTCAAAAAATTAAGATTACTCAGAAAGTTTTCATTCCTTTTGTGTGTGTGTGTGTGTGTGTGTGTGTGTGTGTGTGTGTGTGTGTGTGGCAGGGTCTTGCTCTGTCACCCAGGCTGGATTGCAGTGGCATGATCACAGCTCACTGCAACCTCTGCCTCCCAGGTTCAAATGATTCTCCCACTTCAGCCTCCTGAGTACGTGGGACTACAGGCATGCACCACCACACCCAGCTAGTATTTATAATTTTTAGTAGAGACAGGATTTCACCATGTTGCCCAAGCTGGTCTCGAACTCCTGGGCTCAAGCAATCCTCCCGCCTCAGCCTCCCAAAGTGCTGGGATCACAGGCATGAGCCACTGCACCTGGCCTACTCAGAAAGTTTTCATTACTTTGAATGTGTACTTAGCAGTAGATACGTTGCAGGATTTTGTTAATGGAGCTTAATTACTATAAGGTCAGTAACTAAACAGTTTGTTCAGAAGAAGAAGCCATTGCTGCTACTCTGTTGCCATCCTACCTGGGGAAGTTCAACAAGCCTTTGAGCAAAGACACACATTTTGAAATTGTGGCTTCTTGACAAAACCTTAATACAATTTTTATTTTCTTTCCATTGGAAAGTGTCCACAGGTTTTTAATTGTAGCAAACATTAATTCACAAGATTTCTCTTCTATCTCATGATCTATGTACAAATTATATAACTCATTTGATTTTCTTGCTGAGAAATATTGCTAGTCTATTCCCTTTTACATAAACTTTAGCATCAGTAGGAAATACAAAATCACATTTCTGCATTGCATATACCAAAATAGTAGCTGTAGATTTTTTTCTCTTCTCTAGATTGTATAGAAGTAGAGTCTGCTTAAAGAAGTACTTCAAACCCTGCCAAATGAGATGAGTTGGCAAGTCTCTTCTCTTTCAAAGTCACAATGCATAAAGTCTGATGCAAAATAAAGTAAATAGAGAACAGAGTCCTAAGTTTTAGAGATAGAGTTAAATGAGGACATTTCTACAAATCTAAGCATCGAACATAGCACTTGCTATTAGGGAATTATTTTCTATTCCTAAACACCACCACTATCTTACTGTTTCTTCATGGCCAAGTTACTCAAAATGTGATTTTTTTCTACTTTTCTCTATCAGGAAATAAAAAATACTTGGTTTCTGCCAATTTCAAGGAGATTTTAATAATGATGATAATAATCATAGTAATAACAAAGAATAGTTCATTTCAAGTCTTCTTTATATGGCAGACTCTCTAGATACATTACTTTTAGTCCTGAGAACTACCCTACTGAGAAGGCATTGTTATCTTTATTTTTTGAATCAGAAATTGTAGCTCAGAGAGCTACTGTTTTTACCAGGGACACATAGCAATGAAGTGAGGGAGTCAGGATTTCAGAGCTTGTCCATCTTGCTCTTGCATTATGACTACACCATACTGTCTCACACATGCTTCCAACAACAATGCTAAACCTAGTGATGAAGTGCAATGGAGAGCCCTGTCTGTGCTGTGACTTGGCTAGCTTCATGGTATCTGGATGCATGCATTTGAAACATGTCTGTTTGTGGCTCTGTCAGAGTTCTGGAACAGAGTTTTTCTCTACATTCAGCTACTAAACTTGGCTGTATTAGTGGTATTTCCTACTTAATAGTAACTGGTTTAATTTTTGACATGTCTAGAAGGCACAGTGTCCCCTAAAAAGAAGCGTCCTCTGGGCAAGCACAAATGGCACCCATGAGTCTCTGATGAAGATTAATGAGGATCAGTGGGTGGGGGTGAGAGGGAAGACTTGGAACTTAAATAGAGTTTAGGAGAGTAGAATATGTAGGTGTGTCCAAATGATAGAAAGAAAGAAACTCAACAAGGTAATAGAAACAGAGAGAGGTCAAGTCAAGCAGGATTAGAAGAAAAAGCATTAGAAAATTGAAGGTAGGAGTGAAGTGTGTGTGTGTGTGTGTGTGTGTGTGTGTGTGTGTGTGTGTGTGATGGAGATCCAATCTGTGAGCAAACCATGGAGACCCCTTTAAACATTTTGGTTTTCTAAGCTGGCTTATTAAATAAAGATTATTTGAGACACAATTATTGCTGTTTATGTTGGAAATGTATTACAAATATTACTCAAAGCAAACACATTTTCTCTCAGCATATGTATACAGCATAGGCTATTTCTCAAGCAACTTTTGTATTTAAAAGGTGAGGAAATGTCTCACAGAGTTTAAAAGTCTTATTACAGAGATAAGGCTAATAAAATTATGCGATCCAAGAACATATGGCCTCACTGTTTCTTCTACCACCTAAGAAAATTTTGCTTTGAAAAGGTTAACTGAGTTAACCTTTGGACACATCAAGTATGCCAGCGTTACCTAAGGACACACTGGTTAATATCAGATCAGGAATAGAACCTAGGTCTCCTGACTCCTGTTCTAGTGCTCTTTCCTAATTATTACTATTTCTAGAATTCCTTTTATTAGAAAGTTTCCCTCTGGATTATAACATTTAAAATACAGGTCATTCTAATTCTACATGTGAACAAATTGCGCTGGCTGTTTGTGCTAACTTCCAAACACATTTCATGACCACCTTACATTAAACAAGTCAAAGCAATTATGAATGGATCTTCCACTGTTCCAAATTGTTAGGCTCTTTGAAAAGCACGGTAATAGCTAAAGATTAGAAAATTAGGAGGGATTTTTCTCATTGCCTAAGTGCCCACCTGTAATTTCACAATTAACTCCCTTGACATGAGGTCTCTAACAGAGAGTACAGGGAAGTATAAACATGGGAAGCAGTAAGAATATAATTTATGTCATCAGTTATGGAATAGCTTTGAATTTTCCCTTATACTTCAATGTAAATTTTTCATACATTATCTCATCTGATCCTCTAAATGCAACTGAGAAGTAAATATAAACTCTATTTTAAAACTTAAGTAACGAAGACTCAGGGAAGTCCAAAAACTTGCCTAAAACTCAAGTAGTGCTATTTTTCATCTTGGTCAGAAGAAAAAAAAAGGTGATATTTAAACTGTGAAATGTCTAATTATGAGCATCATGGTAGCCTTTTATGGTATGAATTAGCTGAGAAATGTATTTACAGATAACTATCGAATGGAGTAATCTTTTCATGGTCAAGTGGATTTTGTAATATGGATGCCAAGGATAGAAATACTAATTTTGGCAGAACTAACATTGAGGTGTTTTTCTTACCAATAATTAGACTGAACCAATTGCACTTAGGTCCATAACTATCTGGTTGGCTGTCAAGCAACATAGAGGAGGTTAATGGCTTTCTTATTTGCTGTAACAAGATGGTTTCTGCCTGTGTAAAACTGGTATTTAGATCACTTAAGAATAAATTAAAGAAAAGGGGAAAGACGAGTAATTAAAATCAATGTATTTGTGGGAAAAGGTAAACATGGAATCATACATTTAACAGAAGAATGATGTTTGGGAGTGAGAGCAATGGAAGTAGATGTGACTATATCGTTAACAATTTAATGCTCTTACCAAAAGTCTGCGCTATGGGTTTGCTTAGAGGTAAACTGCCATTTAATGAAATCCTAGGCATGCTTCAGAAATTAAGTCCTCATGGATAGAGTCCAAAAGAGACTGATCTTTTATTAAATGTTCTTCAATAAGGAATGCTAAAATGAAATTCCAGGGTATAACCTGTTTTGTACTCTTACAACAATTTATTTATGTGTTGAATAAATATCAATTGCTTATGATGTGACTTTTGGTAAAAGTAATAGAAACAAAATGGAATCATCACTGGCATACTTTCCGGTCTATAGTAGAATTTCAATAAATTTTAACTGGATGTAATAAAATAGGACTAATCATATGAACATAAATTTTTCTTTAACTGTCTTTTATCAGCTGGTGGAGACATTTTTATTTGTAAAGTGATCATAAATTGCCTATCAGAGATATTGCTCGGCCTTGTGGATTATTGAACAGTTGAAGATTAGATCAATATCCAAGGTCTATATGAGTCCTCATCTCTTAATTGTACTTACGTTCATTTTATAATCTAGGACTTACCTATGGATTGTTTGAGATTTGAAATTTCAAATAAAGGCATCACTGAAGCAAAGAACTTTGCAATTTTAATTTTCATAGAAAGTTATTTTAGTTACATAAGGTGCATATACCAGCAAACAATTTTCTGTGCCTATGGTAAAACAAACTATTAGATATATTTTTTTTTTACTTTTTTAAAAGAATATAGTTTTCTTTTTTACTTGATCTACCAATTAGCTTTAGAATCTTGGGCAGTTAACTTATTTTCTCTAAGCCTCATTTTTCTCATTTGAAAATGATGGAACTATTGTGGTCAGGTTAGAGTAATTATGACCCTTTAATCATATGCAAATTATAAAATATGGCCAAGAATTCTAAAGCAAAGACAGGCCTAGTAAATGAATTTTCTCTGTCCCATTTACCAACACCCCCTCTCCCATCTTGTCTAAAGTAAACTTTGTGGTAGCTTTAGATGCTACCTGATTCCCTGGAAAGGGGCTGGTTCTCCTGATTGTTTTTTATTGGTATCACACATTTATGTATGTTTTATACAGTGTGCATACAATGGTGGAGCAGTTTATTACAATGTATAATACAACAACAACAAATATTTACTGGAATTCCTGCTCATTTTTATAGATAGAGGGACATATGCACACACTCACAAAATAGAGACCACTTTTTTTCAGTACCCTTACCTTGACCTAGTCAGTGGAGGGGAATTCTCATTTACTGTGTGTCTTCTATACACAGTGCCCAGGTAACACTCTACTGAAAGTCTCTACTCCAAGGTTGTTGGTAGGCCCATAATCTGTAAGCCACTGCCATTCTTATCTTTCCAGAGTTCTAAAATATCATATATAAACTCGTCAGCAGCAGTGTCTGTTCAATGCAAATTAAATATCTTCCCATGCCTCAACTGAGCCATCTGTGAAATAAAGAATATTATGCTTTCTAAAAATGATGAATAAATTAGATTTAGTCTTTGGGAATGAGTCATCTCATTTAGGCTATTGTATGATTCATTGGAATCTTTTTTTTTAAGGCAGTTGGATACACCCTGAAGAATTAACAGGTTACTTATCCCTTGGGTGATGATCTGAAAATGCCTGTATTGTAGCAACTGAGATTTGAGTTATTAAAACATGAAGAACATCCAACTGTGAAGATTTGGACATAAATAATGTCTTCTTCATGGCAAAACCTGATAAAAAGGATGGTCAGCAATCTGTTATAAACAATATACTATAGGGAGATGAATTTTTGAAAACTCTTCTCCTTTAAGACCTCATTTGGTTTCTAGCTTCCAGTTGAATTTTATGTACATGAAGAAAAATTATTTGATGGTGTTACATCTTTCAATATTTCAGTCTCAGACTAATGGTTATTCCATAGATAATATTGGTTCTGGTAATTTTTAGACGGTTGGCCCAGGACATAATTAAGGAAAAATTCTTTTTATTATTTATTTTTAAACTCCAGCCTGTAGAACAATGCAAATAGCTGAGAGCAGACAGTCTCTCAATAAATCTGTGATGGATTCGTCGTTGCGTAGGTCAATAAATCTAGCAGCTTAATTAATGAATATAGGGAGACAGAGCCTGGACTGAACCTCAGCTTTGGCTTTGGCCTTGGCCACATTATTCTTTGGCTGACCTTAAAGGCTAGTGGTTCTTTCAGTCCTGTTCAGAAATAGAGGAAGAGATTGCTAAGACTTCACTGCTCAAATGTATGTTCCAACATGACTGACAAGGGCCAAGTGTAGCACATCCTAGAAAATGCCTACTTTATGGGACTACAAAAAACTTTAAGAACTGCTCATTCCAAATCCCCCAGCCCACCAAACTCAGGAGGCTGTTTCTTCCTCCACCACTACCCTTCACCTTCCTAAGATTCCAGAGGTCAATGCAGCACAGTAGGGAGAGGGAGAGGGGTATGAGGTACCTCATATGAGATGACCCTAAGAATCACAAGGACTGACGTTTTCCAGTAAAACACATAACACAATCCTACTTACTTTAATTAACTTAATCACAGCATTAAAATGTTAGAAAATAAAATAGAAGTTATTAATGTCCCACATTAAGTGCTCAACTTCAATATCTCTTTTACATACACCAAGCCTTTTCAAAAATGAAACTTAAATAACTAAGGCCTTCAGCAGCATTGGAAACTTAACTTTGAAGAAGGGCTCATAATGGGCATCTAAGTGTGCATCTAAGTGTGTATAAAGATGTGTATGTAGGAGACAAGCTTAGAGGGAAGAGAAGCTTGTGATATGCTAGAGCGTTCTAATCTCTGAAATTAGATGAGAAATTCCTTTTCTGGATAATTAATAGGTCAAATAAAATGTATCAGGCACATGGAAAATACTAAAAAGTATTTGTTAAGCATTGAATGTAATAGAAAATATGAACTTTCATAATATTTAAGTAAAATGGTTTAATAATAAAATTGATACTTTATTTTAATAAACATCATGAAAACATAATTAATTTAGAAACACTGATGGTCTTTAATTCAGTCATTCCTGTGTATATAATGTTAAGATTATATGTCAATTTAAATCTCAAAATCAGAAATTTGCTTCTCTTATGCTATAACTCAAATACAAGGGGACTTCTAAAAGTTCATGGAAAAAATGGAATTAAAAGATAAACACAAAAAATATAAACTTTATTTCTCAAGATAAGCTCTATCAAGTTCAAGATAGTTTAGTAAGCAATGATAAAAACCATTAGTCCATTCCTAAAGTACTGATGCTAATGGGAATTTAACCATATCATTGCAATCTTTTTTACATTATCAGCTAAAGAAAAATGGGTGCCTTTGAAAGATTTCTTAAGAATAGAAAACAAGAAGAAGTTAGAACAAGCCAAATTAGGACTGTGAAATGGATGCCTAATGATTTCTCATTGACACTCTCACAAAATTGCCCATGTTTGGTGAGAGGGATGAGCATTGTTATGATGGAGAAGGATTCTCTAGCAAAGCTTTCTTGGGCTTTTTTCTGCTAAAGCTTTGGCTAACTTTCTCAAAACACTCTCATAATAAGCAGATATTACTGTTCTTTGGCCCTCCAGAAAGTGAACAAGCAAAATGCCTTGAGCATCCCAAAACGATGTTGTCATGAACTTTGCTCTTAACCAGTCCACTTTTGCTTTGCCAGGACCACTTTCCCATCTTGGTAGCCATTGTTTTGATTGTGCTTTGTTTTCAGGATCATACTGATAAAACCATGTTTCATCACTTGTTACAGTTCTTTGAGGAAATGCTTCAGGACTTTGATCCTACTTGTTTATTTTTGTCCATTGAAAGCTCTACTCTTGTCTGCAGCCAATCTGGCCACAGTTGCTTTGGCACCAATTGAATGGAAAGTTTGCTAAACTTTAATGTTTCAGTCAGAATTGTGTAAGCTGAACCAAGTGAGAGGTCTATGTTGTTGGCTATTGTTTGTGTTGTTAATAGTCAGTCCTCTTCAATTAGGGTATGGACAAGACAAATGTTTTCCTTGCAAATTGATGTGGATGGTCTGATGTTGTGGGCTTTATCTTCAACATCATCTTTTCCCTTCTTAAAATGAATTATCCATTTGTAAACTGCTGATTTCTTGTATTTATAAACTTTCTGCAAATTATCAATGATTTTGCCATTCTTCTACTAAAGCTTCATCATAAATTCAATGCATGTTCTTGCTTCAATTTTAGCAGAACTCATGCTGCTCTGACAGGGGTTCTTTTCAAACTGATATCTTATCCTTCTCGGTGCTTCAAACTAGATCTTTTTCAGATATGTTATGAGTGAGTATGAGCTTATTTTGGTGCAAAAAATTGAAATCCATTCACAGTTTTTTCATAATATACATGTTCCATGACTTTTGAAGATCGCTCATGTAGAAGTTTTAGTTATGTCACATTTGCCTGACATTATTACAAGGTGAACATCTGTGTGCTTTCTATGTGTGAATAAAACAATCCCACTAATAGTGAAAACACTAATCTAAGTATATTAAGATCTTACCTTTTTAGAGGATATGAAGAATATATACAATATCACACACTATAGAAATTGTAGGGTAGCATTAACTATCTATAAAAAGAAATATTCTCTTTTTTATTTTGTTATTTCTCAATGTCTTTGGAAACCCATTGATCCATTGTATAAGCTTCTAGGAAGAGGTAGAATACAGTAATTCTGTACAATAATCACAAACATGAATTGGGAAGCCAGATTTCTTGAGTTTGTAATCCAGCTAACAAGCTGTATAACCTTATACAAATCATGGAATCTTACTGTATAACCTCATACAAATCATGTAATCTCATGTAATCTCAGTTTCCTCATCTGTAAGATGGCAGTAATAATAGTATCTTCATCAAAAAGGTGTTGTGAAGATTGCATGAATTCAAACATATAAAGTACTTTAAATGGTACCTGTCAAACATTAGTAGCATTAAATTACTATTATTACCCAAATTTTTAAATGTCAGCTGTATGTTGTAAGGGAAGAGAAATTACAGCTGGAAGAAAGGATTTAAAAGCAATTACTTTTAATAATTGAAATACAGATTCTCAGCCTCAGGTCTTAGTCTCTAACGGTTTAAAGAATAAAATGCTTTCCAAGACAATGCACATTCTTCAGTGTCTAATTATGTAAGAAGAACAAATTTTCACTACCTGAGGTTAAGTCTGGTGAGTGCAAAACCAACTACCCCAAGCCTAGTGCTAGATCAATATTCAGGTAATAAAACAACCACTTATCATTATTTTTGACTTTACTGTTACATCAGTGTGATTGCATTGGTCCTTTTAGAGCTGTAAAGATGTAGTTTCATATTCAGGTATAAAAACATAGAACAGATTTTTTTCCCATTCAACCTAATACATCTATTAGGTGAGGTAGCTCTTCTCTATTAATTATCATTGCTATGGAGGATCCAATTTAAGTTTCTTGATTTGTTAATGCTAATGAAATCATTAGAGTTCTAGAAATTCAAAATAGAAAGCATTTTCTTGTGGTAGAATAAATGAAGATCTTTTTAAATGGTGGATATTTTCTTAACAATACTGCAAGAATGTCTCAACATTTGGTATCTCTCTTCAAATTGTCCATGTATGTATTAGTTTACTGTATATTGGGGACACCT
Organism: Homo sapiens; assembly: GCF_000001405.40. Taxonomy (NCBI): domain Eukaryota; kingdom Metazoa; phylum Chordata; class Mammalia; order Primates; family Hominidae; genus Homo; species Homo sapiens. The sequence continues at coordinate 99,279,129 of NC_000001.11, forward strand.
AGTATGTCAGGGATAAAGAGATGGATAAGACTATTTCTCTGCTCTCAAGGATCTTGTCGCTGAATAAGAGAGAATGTAAAGGAACAACTGCCATCCCATATGACAATTGCTATGATCTAGACATTCATCAGGATATCTCTGTATGGTCAGAGAAAGTGATCCGAAGGAAGCACTAAAAGCAGGAAAACATGTGGAACCTTAAGTTTGCCTAATTTCTGATACTTTATATTAGAAATCATTCACTAGGGAAGACAAAAGTGAAAATAAAAGCAGACCATATCCAAAATATAATTAAATGCTCTTAAGATATTCCCAAAACCAAAATAATACAAATAACTTCAAAGAAACTGCACAAGGAATAACGTTCAGGACCTGAGGGCACCACATCAGTGAGAGTGTGATTTGAAAGTGCCTGCCACCCCTTTCCTGTTGTTGCCGTTGAAACCCCTTGACACATGGCCATCTCTCGCCTTGTGTCCTTTAAACTGGCAATCTCATTGAAGCCTGGGGCTGTCCTTTCCTGAAAAGCACCAGACTAGTGCCAGATGGTGACATGTGGCAGAATGACAGCAGGATACACGGCGGTGCATGCTTCCAGGAATTTAGCAGACCAGGTTTCAATTACTGGCCTTTGAAGCCAGGCATGCTATTTTACTTATCTGGGGCATGGTCCTTATCTTAAATTTATCTTAGGGATCCCAAGGAGGTTAAGAATTAAAGTAGATAATTAGGATGAAATGTCTAAATAAAAACTCAGTAAATGTCCTTTGCTTTTTAGGTCTAAGTACATACCTAATAAATTCTACTGAAACTGAGAGGAGCTCTAGAAAAGACAGATCTCAGATTGGAACAAACAAAGCAATTTTCATGTTTGGGTGATAAAGAATAAGTGAGTAGAGAATGTGTTTAAGAGTAATAAGAATTAAGAGAAACAGAGTGGCGTTTTTCAAACTGCACCTTTCCCCTAGGACCCCCTCTCCCCACATGGGCACCCCACATGCAGTTATCTTAGCGGTGTGGAGGAGGAAAGCCAGTTGAGTTCCATGAGCAAAGAATTTTGAGCATGTTTCCCAACTTAGACACCTGGGTAGGAGTCTGGGTGTTCCCAATTTGGGGGCTTTGTGGCTGTTGCACAATTTATATAACCTATTTCTGCCTCAGTTTTCTCATTTGTAATCTGGGGATACTAATAGATACTTTATACAGTGTAGATTGAATATAGCGATCTTTTAAACTTAACTAGTATCTGGCACCTAAGTCCTCAACACATGCTGTGTACTTTTCAGAAATTGCCTATGTTTTTTGTTCCTTTAATCATAATTTCTTGATTTCTTTCAATTAAATTCAGTGAACATTTATTGGACACCTAAAACATTAAAAGCACTGGGTGAATTGCAAAGGTTTCACTCTTGAGTACTTGATCTTAGGGCAAGGGTTGGTAATATGTAAATAACTATAATCAAAGGCAGACTAACAGATCCTTCGATAAAGTTATATATGAAGTATGTGAGACGGAGTCTTCAATTCTGAGTGGAGAGCCTGGAGAAGGTTTCAGGGAGAAAAAAATTACATGATCTCAACCTGAAAGAATAAGTACAATTTTTATGAGAAATAAATGTGGAACCATAATGTGAAGCAGAGACTAGAACATGTCTTTTTGAAATATAAATATAATGGGAACATGGGCTGTCTTTCTGGTTTAGGAGAGTGGAGAGTAGGTGGAAAGCAAAATCAACCAAGACAGGCAGATCAAGGCCATATTTTAAAAAGTCATAAATATCATTCTAAAAAATTTGCACTTTATTTTGTTATTAATGGGGCACCATTAAATGCATGATGAGGTGTGAATTCTAGGAAAATTAGTTTGGAAACATTGTGGAGGATGAAACAAATTATGAAGAGAATAGAGATTTTTTTAAAGGCCCTAATGCTTTATATAAGGCAGTGACAGTGTGAAAGAAATGAGAGAAATGATTCTTAATTCATGACAGTATATGAAGCATTTCAGTATTAGATGGCAATGTAAAAAAACCCCTCATTTCACTGATAACAAATGAAGCCCAGAAAGGTTAAGTGACTTTCCCAAATCCCAAAAGCTGGCAGAATAAATGAGGGGAGAAACTGGATTCTCCTGCTTCTGAGGCCAGCACTGGTTTCCCTCAATCACACTGCCCTGTTTCAATTTGTATCTATTCATGTCATACAAGCCACATCTGTTTTATGTATAAAAACCAGTTTAGATTTCTAGACCTTAAGTAATGTTGCAGACTCATTCTGACCAATTATTTCCCTTAATGACACTTCAAGTGTTAGTCTGTGTTTATAATCTATATTTTTGAAGTTCTTTGCAGCCAATCTGAATATGCTATACTTAGAGTGAGGATAGTTTTATATACCATAAAGCCTAATATTATGTTATTATTATTATCAATATTTGAAGAAAATATTAATCTGTATTAGCTACAAGGCAAAAAATACTACAGGATACCACTAAAGATCATACTGTAGGAAGTAGAAAATTCCCTCACCACGTGTGTGTTGACCTGTGACAATCTTCTTCATGGCTACAGGCTTTAATACAATTGCTTTGATCTGCTAGTATTTTTCCCAGTTTTAATTGAATTTCAATGTATTCTGTTATTGTTTCAAATTTCACATTATATATGATTTTGGGATATTTATAAAGTTGGTTCCAAGCCTCTCATTTTAAATGTGTTATTAATATTAAAATCTTCCTTAATCTCTTAGAATAGCTCTTGCATATGTTTGGCATGAATATACACAACTATTTTCTTTGACTTCTTGTGACATTACTTATATCAAAACTAAAATAATTTAACCTTGAAATCTCTTATGATAGTGTTGTTCCCCAAAAGTGAGGATTTTGCTGCTTAAATCATCTTGTACCAATAATTTTCAGCTTTATGCCTCCAGCCTTGGACTCTCCTGTTAGCTCCAAATTGACCTCTTACTTTAGTAACTAAGAGATGTAACAGTTTTAATATTTTCAAAACAGAATCTTCTATTCTTTCCATCCAAACTTCTCCCTATCCCAAGGAATGACACTACTGGCCTAATTCCTCAAACCCCATCTTTGAAATCAACCTTTATTGTTTTATCTTCTTCATTGATCAAGCCATAAACAAGGTTTGTCATATCTATGTCCAAAACCATATCAACAATCTGCCGATTTCTTTGTATCTCCAGTACTAAACTCTAGTACATGCTGTCTCATCTCTCCTGGATTTCCGCCATTGCCATGCATCCACTAGAATGTAAACTCTGTGAATGCATGGAGTTTTCTCTGTTTGGTTTACTGCTACATTCCTTACACTTAGAGAAGTACCCGATGCCTACTAGGTATTTAATAAATATTTGTTGAGTTTTGAACAGCCTTCTAAATTTTTACCCTATTCCTACTTTTGACCCACCATGATCATCCTCAATCTAACAGCCAGTGATCTTTGTAAAATACATTTCAAATCATACTACACCTCTGCTTGAACTCTCCAGAATGTTTCTGATCCTACTTTAAATAAAATTCTAACTTCCTCCTTGGACGTCGGGTCTCTGCAACGTCTGGTCCCAAATCTACCTCTCTGACTTCATTTTGTATCACTTCCTCCTTTTGATTATGGTCTTTACCTGGTTTTCATATGGCTAGTTCTTTCTTGCCCATTCAAGTCTCTGCTTAAATGGCACCTACTCAAATAGGTCTTCCTAGATCTAAAATGGGAATTCAGGCACTTAATTACACAGCCCTCTTCTTTATAGTATGTGTTCTTTCTGATATATATATCTTTCTGATATATATTTAATATATATTATATATTATATATGTGCAATATATAGTTAATATATAATATATATTATATATATGAAATATATATTGTTTACCTGGCTTCCTCAACTAGAATGAAATATTCATGGGAACAGATATTTTGTTTTATCATAACTGTATTCCCAGGACCTAGAACGAGGCTTGGGACTAGCAGGCTATCAAAGATATTTGTTGAATGAATAAATGGATGAGGCACCAATACCATGCATATAAATTGGCCCTTTGTGACTATGGTTTCCACCAGTTCAAAAGGATGTTATAGGACTCTGAATTCACAATGGCTATGAGAGAGGCAAAGAATGGAACTGATCTGTATTGCCCTAGGCTCAGAGCAAAGTGAACTCTCCCCAGTGAAAAGTAGTTTGTCTTTATTATAATCAGGCTAAAAACAAGTAAGCTGTCTGATCTAGATAAAATATCATGATAGTTTTGATAAAATGTTTCACTAAAATGGATATATAATCTAGATTTGTCTTTTTAAAGTTGGCATCAGAAAAATCAATGTTATCTAGCAAATGTGGTATTTTAAAACACCTTTCTTTTGTTTGCCCTGTTCTCTAAAACAGTTATAATTTTTCTTCTGGTTCCTCAGCAGATGGTAATTATAAGAATCAGTCTTTTCCTTTTGAAAATAAACCGCTTTCCTAATCCTCAGGTAATTTCCCTCCGCTCTATTGCTGCATAAAAATAGCTCGGTTTGGCTGGGCGCGGTGGCTCACGCCTGTAATCCCAGCACTTCGAGAGGCCAAGGCGGGCGGATCACCGAGGTCAGGAGATCAAGACCATCCTGGCTAACACGGTGAAACCGCGTCTCTACTAAAAATACAAAAAAATTAGCCGGGTGTGGTGGCACGCTCCTGTAGTCCCAGCTACTCAGGAGACTGAGGCAGGAGAATCGCTTGAACTCGGGAGGTGGAGGTTGTAGGGGGCCGAAATGGCACCCCTGCACTCCAGCTTGGGCGACAGAGCGAGACTCTGTCTCAGAAAACAAAAAAACAAAACAAAAAAAGCTTGGTTCACACTTTTTTGGGGGCTGTATCATGACTAGAGAATAAAATTTGTAGTTCTTGGCTATGTAGACTTTTAAAAAATCTCTTTAAATCTCATTTTCAAAATCTCATTTTAAATGCAATCGAAACAAGTCTGTGTAATTTTATTATGTGCATATCAATTCTATATGTATGCCGAAACCGGCACATACCGTCTGTTAAATTCCTTACACTCAAAAAAAATCTGTTGTTGAGCATTTCAAAAGATAAAAAGGTAACTCTGAAGACAATTATGTTAGAAATAAACATTGTCATTTAATTCATTACATTGGGTAGTAAACTACAGTATGGGAACACCATGTATAAAATTATTTATTTCCAAAATATAATGAATATAATGAAGATTTTATACAAATAACTATTACAAACAAAATGATGTAAGGAGCAGAGTAAATATGCTTTTTAAAAAATAAGATAAATAAACATCAAAAAGAAAAAAAGGTTCTTTTTAGTAGAGATGGGGTTTCACCATGATGGTCTGGCTGGTCTCAAACTCCTGACCTTGTGATCCGCCTCTCTCCCAAAGTGCTGGGATTACAGGTGTGAGCCACTGCGCCCAGAGAAAAAAAGATTCTTATTAGGAAAACAAATGAAGGTTTTAAAACATGCTTCTATAGAAATATAGAAGATATTAATATATATATGGAAAATTATATAATTAGAAAAATGATATAATTGGAAAAATTGTCAGTTTCAGGAAGGCTACTGGCTGAAAAGACTAATGCATAATATTAATGACAAATTACTTTAATTCATATGTTAATGTGGCATATATGTATATATAGAGATACATGCGTATATATTTGGAAGTCACTATAACGTGTATCAGTGGCAACATAGAAATCAGTACGATTAGGCCCCTGCCTTAAGGAGATTTTAGTTTGGGAAGCAAAGCAAAAGACTAAACCTAGTTTATAGCAGATAAAAAAGAGCAGTGGGTAAATATTTCCTAAAAAGAAGTACTAGGGGATTAAAACTGAAGAAATTACTCTCAAAAGGTATTATCAAGTAAAGCTTCATGAGAAAGGTGATGTTTAGTGAATATATTATTGTTACTGGTTATAACAATAACAACAATACTTAATAATATTTATAAACTATTTATTCCAGATATTGTTGACTGTGGAACTAGAATTCATGGATTCAAAATCCACCTCTGTCACTTACGATATGTAACTGCTTATCCACCTGCAAAATGAGGATACTGATAGCAACTATCTTATGTCACAATAGAAAGTTTTAGGTTAAATGAGTTTAAAATATGTCAAATTAATTAAAATTTCTAAAACATAATATTGGCACGTAGTAAGCACTTTATGAAGTATTTGTTAAATTAATACTTAAATATATTTATATGGATTTAAGTGGAAATTTCAATAATGTGCATGCACCACGAAGCGCTGATTTATTGGTCAAGACTGAAAGCTACTATTCGTGCACTATAGGAGAGGGAAGTAGTGAGGCAAAATGATCAGATATTTGAAGTGATCGAATAATAGCCGATAAGAAAAACTAAATGTTTTTGATATACTTTTTGTTCTCTGCAAAGCATCCATCTGAAAAACAGAAAGATTATGCAAGTTTACTCACTATGTATTTCTTTTTTTTCCGGTAAACCTAATTATTTCCTAACTACAAAAAAAAAGACCTCTTGGGAATAGAAGACATAATGCTGTCTTCTAAAAATAAAAATTAAAAAACTGTTTTTTCAAACCAAACAATCAGAAATCATGGGTAGCTAATATTGTCTTTATCAAAAACATTTCCTGTTTGCTTAAATAAATATTATATCCTCCAAAGGAACAAAGCCTTAAACTAAGCAGTTCTTTGAGTGTTATGTAAGTCCACATTTTTGGGTTCTGGAAGGTCTGGCACTAGGTTAAGCATGTGTGATATTTTCTCTTTAGCTGAGAGCAGGTCTCTCACTAAGCTATTGCTCCTTGGTGACCAAGTCTATCTCTTATTCACTATATTATATCTACCTACATTAGTGCCTAGCACATTCACACATGAATGAATAAACAATTAAACACAAAAATGGTACACAAAGCCTAGAAAGTACACTGTGCCTAGTTTAGGGAGACCAAATAGATGAGACCCAGTGAAGTCAGGATTTTCAGATAAACAATGAATAACTTTTAGTGTGAGTATCTCTCAAATATTGCATGGGGTATACTTACACTAAAAATTATTCATTGCTATCTGAAAATCTGATTTCACTGGGTGACTTGTATTTTTATTAGCTAACTCTGTTAACTCTAGTCTAGTTATTGTAATTAAATTAAGGTTTACACATTTATTCAATTATCTAGTTATCAACAAGTATTGATTGCTTCCTTAAATTATTAAATGATGTATTCCCTGCCTACCAAGTGCCAGGACTTATAAATAACACTGGCAGATTCTCACTTCATAGAGCACTTATTTCAGTGGGAGACTGGGAGAGATGAAAAATAAATAAGTGAAGTATTAAATTGGCAAGGTAATTTCAGTTAATGATAAGTGTCATGAAAAAAATCAAGCAAGATGATAAAGTAGAGAGTGAAGGATGGATCAAGATCTACCTTGGGTAAAGCGTGCAGAAAGGCATCATTAAATGATGTAAAGAAGCAGTAGTATAAAGAGCCAGAAAAAGAGCACAAAAGGAAGAAGAAACAGCAAGCACAAAGGACCCTGGGCAGAAATGAATTCGAATATTACAGGAAAAGAATGAAAACCAATTAGATTGCAGTGAGCAGAGGGCTGAGAAGTGGTGAAAACGTAGTACAAGAAGAATCAAGAGCCAAAGCATGAAGCAACTTGCATTGCATGGGATGGCATTTGGATTTTATTCAAGTTGAGTGGGAACCACTAGACTGATGCGATCTGAAATACTTTGTTGTTGTTGTTTGTTTGTTTTCTTTATTTCTTCTAAAATAAAAGGGATACATGTGCAGAATGTGCAGGTTTGTTACATAAGCATATGTGTGCCATAGTGGTTTGCTGCACCTATTGACCTGTCTTCTAAGTTCCCTCCCCTCAACCCTCAACCCCCAACATGCCCTGGTGTGTGTTGTTCCCCTGTCTGTGTCCACGTGTTCTCAATGTTAAACTCCCAGTTATGAATGAGAATATGTGTGTTTGGTTTTCTGTTCTAGTGTTAGTTTGCTGAGAATGATGGCTTCCAGCTTCATCCATGTGCCTGTAAAGGACATGATCTCATTCCTCTTTATGGGTGCATAGTATTCCATGGTGTATATATATATACCACATTTTCTCTATCCAGTCTATCATTGATAGGCATTTGTGTTGGTTCCATGTCTTTGCTATTGTAAACAGTGCTGCAATAAACATGCATGCACATGTGTCTTTATACTAGAATGATTTCTATTCCTTTGGGTATATACCCAGTAATGGGATTGCTGGGTCAAATGGTATTTCTGGTTCTAGATCCTTGAGGAATTGCCATACTGTCTTCCACAATGGTTAAACTAATTTACATTCCCACCAACAGTGTAAAAGCGTTTCTAGCTCTCCACAGCCTCACTAGCATCTATTGTTTCCTGACTTTTTAATAATTGCCATTCTGACTGGCATGAGGTGGTACCTCATTGTGGTTTTGATTTGCATTTTTCTGATTATCTGTGATGTTGACCTGTCTGATCTGAAATATTTCTACAAGACCCTTTGGAATGCTGTGTGGAAAATGAATGGGTATGGTGGGAGGGTAGGAGTGGAGGTGTAGCACCAATTAGAAGGTTGGGGTCAACATAGATGCGTAACAGGCTGTGACTAAGGGGGGTGAATTGGAATCCATGTTGAAGGTAGAAGTAATAGAACTTATGAATGATTTTTAACTCTGGAATCGGAGAAGAGTAGCGAGAGAAGGAGAGAAAGCCACTTGTTTTCTATGTATGCCCTGTATATCAGGTAGAATAAATTGATCTTCTTTGTCCTTCATTCTTAGTTGCCTATATTGGCATCATCGGTGGTTAGCCTCTATTTCCTCGAACTCACAGATGTCTTCAAACCTGTGCACTCTGGATTTAGCTGCTATGACCGGAGTCTTAGCATGCCGTACATTGAACCAACCCAGGAGGCAATTCCATTCCTCATGTTGCTTAGCTTGGCTTTTGCTGGACCTGCAATTACGGTAAGAATTACCCCCAAAATTGTGTTTATCTGTCCTGGAAAACTAAAAATCACCACATTTGTATAATAAATGGGTTCAAAGCAAACAAAACGTGAACTCTAAATCCTAAATCAAAGTCATGTCTTTGAGATATATTGACAGTATCATGTGGAAGTTAATAGCTTAACATTATTGGCATTAAAATTTAAACATTTTATGATTGGAGAAATGATTGATTCCTAGTGTTTATTTTTATTAATCATTATGAAAAGTTTTGTAACTTTATAATTCACTTTGAATGGCTAATAGGACATTTCTGATATACTTCCTAATTAACTTACTTTACATGTGTTTATTTAGTATCTGAAGCCTGAAAAAATGGGGGAGAAATTACATAGCCAAAAGTGCATTTGCTATCACTCACAGTTTTATTTCTTACTAGATTATCACTGTTTATTGATTATGGATACTGAGCATAAATAATTATAAAGATATAAAAACTCATTCCAGCCATGCATGCATGCACACATACACATACATACAGACATACTCAAATAATAAACTGTTTTATATTCAGAAAAGGCATTTTCATTTTAAAATATGTTCATGAATTCAAAATAGCTAGAAGAGAATAATTTAAATGTTCCTAGCATAAAGAAAAGATAAATATATAAGATGACGAATATCCTAATTACTTTGATATGATCTTTACATGTTATATGAATGTATCAAATTATCAGCTATACCCTGAAAAGATGTACATCTATCATGTATCAATAAAAAATCTAAAATAAATAACTAAATAAATAAAATATGTACATAAAGAAATGCTCTAATGTACTGGAACTGAATTCAAAACATAGTTGTTTTTAATGTGTTAATATACATTGTGAGTAACACACTTTTAGATAAATCTATTAATAAATAAGACTGGCCAACCCTTTTCACCACCTCTTTTGCCCCAAAAATACTACCTAAGAGGACAAGAAACACTTTTCAAGGGAAATGGTATTTACTTCTACAGTGAAAAACTCTTGTTTTGCTTTTAGCATGTTCATGAATGTCAAAGGAAATGGCTATTAAATTAAAAGCTTTATTTGAAAGCTCCACATTCTAATGAATTCGCCTATTCAGGTTCAGTACAGCAGAGTTTAAGAAGAGTCTCTGCACAGATGTTCTAAACTCTATATTTTTATGTAGCTATGGATTTTTTAATTCCCCAATATTAAATAATTATAATATGCTGTTTACAATTTAAATACATAGTGTATAAAATATTCTCAGAAGATAAAATTGAAACTTAATTTTCATAGAACTTTATCATATTTGAAAGGTCTCTAAACACTTTAAAAATTAATGAGTTATTCTATAGTGACTGTCACATTACTAGAACTATTAATAATGTACTTGGAAGAAGCTGAGACTTTGAGACTAATAAAACATTCTTGGAGTGCGATATTGCTCAGAATAACATTATTTTCCTATTATTTACTGAAGTTTTAACAAAAAATTCATATTATACAGTCATTTTACCAGGGCAGAAAAACAGAACTAAAGACAAAAGCCACATGATTATCTCAATAGATGCGGAAAAGGTTTTCAATAAAATTTGACATACCTTCATGTTAAAAACTCTCAATAAACTAGGTATTGAGGGAACATACCTCAAAATAATAACAGCCATGTATGACAAACCCAAACATCATACTGAATGGGCAAAAGCTTGAAGCATTCCCCATTGAAAAACAGCACAAGACAAGGATGAACTCTCTCACCACTCCTATTCAACCTAGTATTAAATTCTGGCCAGAGCAATCAGACAAGAAAAAGAAATAAAGTGGATTCAAATAGGAAGAGAAGTAAGACTATTGCTGACTAGTCACCAGATGGCATGATCCAATGTCTAGAAAACCCCATTGTCTCAGTCCAAAAGCTTCTTAAGCTGATAAGCAGCTTCAGCAAAGGCTCAGGATACAAAACTATTGTGCAAAAATCACTAGCAATCCTATACCCCAACAACAGTTAAGCTGAGAGCCAAATCAAAAAAGAACTCCCATTCACAACTGCCACAGAAAGAATGAAATATCTAGGAATACAGCTAACAAGAGAAGTGAAAGAGCTCTGCAAGGAGAACTACAAACTACTGCTCAAATAAATCAGAGATGACATAAACAAATGGAAAAATATTCCATACTCATGGATAGAAAGAATCAATATCATGAAAATGGCCATACCATCCAAAGCAATTTATATATTCAATGCTATTCCCATTGAACTACCAATGATGTTCTTCATAGAACTAGAAAAATCTATTTCAAAATTCATATGGAACCAAAAAAGACCCCAAAGAGCCAAGGTAATCCTAAGAAAAAAGAACAAAGCTGGAGGCATCACATTACCCAAGTTCAAATTATACTACAGGGCTACAGTAACCAAAACAGCATGGTACTGGTACAAGAACAGAGACATAGATCAATGGAACAGAATAGGAAACCTAGAAATAAGACTGCACACCTACAACTATCTGATCTTTGACAATCCTGACAAAAACAAGCAATAGGGAAAGGATTCCCTATTCAATAAATGATGCTGGGATAACTGGCTAGCCATATGCAGAAAATTGAAACTGGACCCCTTCCTTACACCATATACAAAAATCAACTCAAGATGAATTAAAGACTTACATGTAAAACCCAACACTATAAAAACCCTGGAAGAAAACTTAGGCAGTACCATTCAAGTCATAGGCACAGGCAAAGATTTCATGATGAAGACATCAAAAGCAATTGCAACAAAAGCAAAAATTGAAAAATGGGATCCAATTAAACTAGAGAGCTTCTGAACATCAAAATAAACTTCCAACAGAGTAAAAAGACAACCTACAGAATGGGAGAAAATTTTTGCAAATTATGCATCTAAAAAAGGTCTAATATCTAGCATTTGTAAGAAACTTAAACAAATTTACCAAAAAAAAAAACAATTAAAAAGTGGGCAAAGGACATGAACAGACACTTCTCAAAAGAGGGCATACATGCAGCCAACTAGCATATGATAAAAAAGCTCAACATCACTGATCATTAGAGAAATGCAAATCAAAACGAAAATGACATACTATCTCACACCAGTCAAAATGGCTATTATTAAAAAGTCAAAAAATATTAGATGGTGGTGAGGTTGTGGAGAAAAAGGAACGCTTATACACTGTTGTGGGTTCAACCATTGTGAAAGACAGAGTGGTGATTCCTCAAAGACCTAAAGTCAGAACTACCATTCAACCCACCAATCCCATTACTGGGTATATACCCAAAGGAACATAAATCATTCTATTATAAAGACACATGTACACGTATATTCATTGCAGCACTATTCACAATAGCAAAGACATGGAATCAGCCTAAATGCCAATCAATTATAGACTGGATAAAGAAAATGTGGTACATATACACCATGGAATACTATGCAGCCATAAAAAAATGAAATCATGTCGTTTGCAGGGACATGGATGGAGCTGGAGGCCATTATCTTTAGCAAACTAACACAGGAACAGAAAACCAAACACCACGTGTTCTCATTCATAACTGGGAGTTGAACATTGAGACCACATAGGCACATAGAGGGGAAAGACACATACTGGGGCCTACCTGAGGGTGGAGACTGGGAGGAGGAAGAGGATCAGAAGAAGTAACTAATGGATATGGGGTGTAATACCTGGGTACAACAAATCCCCATGACATGTGTTCACCTATATAACAAACCTGCACATCCTGCACATGTACCCCTGAACTTGAAATAAAAGTTTAGATAGATAGATAGAGTTTATAATATATATAAATTTTATATATATAGATGCTTTAAATGTATCATACTGTCACACCAGAAAGCGCTTATCCTAAAAGTGCTCAAAATTATTATAATTGATATATTTGAATTTGAGATAAATTACTTAACATACTACACAAATGATCATGCCTCTGTTATAAAAACTGTATTGATATGTAATCATTGAAACAATTTCCTTTGTATATATCTAGAAGTCTTTCTCCTCCAGGGTATTTTATCAAGTTGCTAGGAAAGCAAATTTAGTTGTGGCACTCCCTGCCAGCACTATTTATTTCATGTTGCTTCCTTTGCTGACACTGGTACATGTCCTGGGGACAATAACCTTGGTGTCATCACTGTGTGCCTGCTTGTGTTGACTCCTTCTCGTCCTATAATAAATTCTCAATATACAAGTTTGAGATGCTTTCTGAGAGATTTGGCATTAAAACTTTCTTTCTTGAGGCCTGAGAAATAAAAGGGAAAATACACCATGGCTCCCTTCCACCAGGCTGACGTAGGAAGTCCAGTGCCAACTCCTTCCAGAAAGGTGCCACTCAATTCCTGCATCTCCACAGAACCTCCATAGCTGCTGCATGCCTCTTCGTGGAAGGAAAGGCAAACTACGGGACTATTTACACTTCAGGATCCCTGATTTCCCTATATCACTTCAGGATACTCCAAGATGACAGCAATTCTTTCCTACCACACTGGTTTTATAGGTTTTAGGTAACCAACTGGATGGTGAGACAGATTTGACTTTGCTGACATCAAACACTTTGTCACAGCTTTCTCTCCAAACATATACTATACTTCTAGATTTCACTCTACTTTCATTTTTTTTTCTTGGTTTTGAAGGCCTTCTCCCCAAACATACATTTTCTCAGCAGTGATCCTCCAGTGTCTGCAGTCATCTTGTTCTAGAACCATAATTCTATCTCGAATCTTCCTACATATACAGCTATGCTAACTCCTTTCCCTCTCTCTTCCTGAAAGTAAAAATAACAGGCTCTAATTTCTGACTTCAAGGATGCCAGTTTCTTTTCTATCTTTAGGGTGGCATAAGCCTGTTCCAAAAATGGGGTCATGAGAGGGGGTAGGGAGGTAAGCAGAACTCTCCGTTTGGGAATGAGTGTCCAAAAGGACTTGTGTGAGGAGAGCTGACACCCGCCACGTGGAGTGGGGGTAAGGCAAAGCAAAACAAAAGGCCTCGCTTCAGCCAGATTCTCCAAAAGGACCTTCATATGAATAAAAAGATCGGCTGATTTGTATGCAGGAATTTAAATATGAATCATTCAGTATTTGCTTCCCAGATTTTTTTAATGCTTTGAGAGATGTTTAAAAATAACTTGTCTTTGTGATGTTATACATGGAAGTGGAAAAATGTATTTCATTTATGTGAAATGTATATTTTTATTTTTCTGAAATTGCCCTTAAATTGAAAAATTTATTCCTTAATATTCAATTTTCATTTACTTTAGAGTGATAAAACAAGCATTCTGTTTTAGGTTCTTTGGAGATTATTTCTCAGAGAAAACAAGAAAGACTATTTGGGTTTATCACAAATCTTCATGAAGTCTATGTGAACAGAAAAAAAAGGGCGCTTTTTCTTCCTGGAAATACAATTTTATTACACATTGTTAAAGAATTAATATATCTAATTTTATAGAAGAATTCCATCAGAATTTAATTCTAGCTCCTGGAATAGCCTTAGCTTTAGGAGGCTACACAATCAATATGCAGAATATTAGACATGTTAGGGCTTCCAAAAAACATTCATTGAAAATTGAAACATTGAAGATACTATGATGAATACTATAATAATTTTTGTTGTTTTGTTTTACAAGAAAGACTTTTTGGACTGTGAGTTCTCCCTATGATGACTGTTCCATGGCTAGGGTCCTTATAGTACTAAGAAATATATTTCCTCTCAAAATCTCCCCTGAAGTAGTCATTATAATATCTCCTCCCAAAACCTGTCCACAACAACAACAAATTGCGTCCTTTTCAGGGTTGGGTACAGCACAAAACAGAGATTGTGAAAAGATACTTGTTGTAAACTGTTTTCTGTTTACAAATGCAACAGCAACAAATAATTTTCTTATCAGAACCTAAATTCTGACACCATACCTCAGTACAACACTGTGCCATTCAAAAAAAAAAAAGGAGAAATAAGCTGGGCATTTGGAAACGCACTGGGAAACATCTCCCTATACCCTGAGGAGACCTATCTTTATGCCAAATTGAATTATTTTGAAAACTCGTGAATGACATTAGCTGAGGTTAAGTGACAGAAGTGAGTGTGAGGAGAAAATTAATGTCCTGTTTAATGAGAGGGATGGTTGGGTGATGTCAGAATACTGACAAGAAACCTCTATCCATATTACATGGTCTAGACAAATAAGTATTGATGCATTTTCTTTGCATATGAGTTTTGAACATATTCAAACAACTAAAATAAAACTCTTGGCCGGGCGCGATGGCTCATGCCTGTAATCCCAGCACTTTAGGAGGCAGAGGCAGGTGGATCACTTGAGGTCAGGAGTTTGAGACCAGCCTGGACAACGAGGTGAAACCCTGTCTCTACTAAAAATACAAAAATCAGCCAACCTTGGTGGTGCATGCCTATATTCCCAGCTACTTGGGAGGCTGAGGCGGGAGAATGGCTTGAACCCAGGAGGCGGAGGTTGCAGTGAGCCAAGATCACACCATTGCACTCCAGCCTGGCCTGCAGAGCAAGACTCAGTCTCAAAAAAAAAAAAAAAAAACTCCTGAAATCTCAAGGTCTCAAGCTCATTTGAGATAATGACTATTGTATTGTATGACAAAACACACTTTTCTATACAGATAAATTCTTATGTAATTCAACACTCATGGACAAGATGTAATCATTACAAATATAATTATACAGAGAGAAAAAAAATTATTCACAGAATTTTTATTGAAGAAGTGAAGGTGAAATTAACCTCTTTTAGCTGAATACAATACATTTCAAGAATAAGTGGTTAATTTTCTGGAAATGATGAATTTGAGGTAGCAGTTATATTATTCTGTGTAATTGTTGTACTATGTTGTATCTGTCTACACAGAGTATAGAACCTATTGAATTTCTATGTCTAACTTGAAGTGCTAATGTAGGACTATATTTTTCAAAAAGTATAAATGGTTAACTCAGCATCCAATGGTTTGAAATGAATTACTTTTGATTATTTCTATAATGATTGATCTTAAAATAGTTTATTATGCCACATGATTTTCACACATATGGTTATAGGTAGAGTTCTACTATGATAATTACTCTTTAAATTTTTAATACAAAGTAAGATTCTCTATAATTAAACATGTACCATATTCCCTACAGAAGTAAATATAGCAATTTAAGCATTCAAAGCAGAAGGCCATAGGCTTGCTGTCATTAGATTTTTTAAAAAAAACTATAATTTTGAACACTTCATAAAATAAATGTTAAGCTAGTAATGACAACTGAGAGGTTTTCTATGGAAAACCTGTTTCAGTCCAAATCAGGTTTATAGTATTTACAGTGACATGATTAGTTGTATTTAACAGACTGTTAGTATCTCATTTAAGAGACTGCTTGTATCTCATTAATTGTACTTTCCTCAGCTCCACGCATTTATAGCAAATCAATATTTAATTTCACAACAATCTTTTAGGCACAATTATCTCAAATATTTGAAAGACTTTTTCATGAATAAAATGGATAATTTTAAATCTTGCTTCTGTTGTACAGAATAATTGACAACCCAACGGCCTAAGGTAGTTAGCAAATGTGAGTCCCACAGTAAAAGCCAAAAATGCAATTCTCACCGTGCCAGGCACTGTGCTTGACAAGTGAAGGTGAAAGGTAAATAAGAAATGGTTCTTCCCTCAGAGGGCCCTAGTCTAGTGAGAGACAGCCAAATGAACAATTTCATAAAGCTATGCTAGAGGGAAGGATAAGATGCTAAGGGAGCCACATAGACGGAGATGTGATTCAATTTAGGGTACAGTAAGAGGTTTCAAAGAAAACTTACTGAGGGAAATCATGCCTAAATCATACTGAGTTCCTTCATTGATCTCACAGGTCCTAAAATCCTGCAGCAAAGTGCCATGTTCCTTATCTTAAGAGAGTCCTCTTGATACTACTGTATGACATTGTGAATACATTGTTTAGATGTCTATATCTAGGAAATACTACCCTTCTGACCTAGATTCTCTTGTAATCTTCATTCTCTGATAAGATAGCCACTAGCCACCTGTGGCCACTTCATTTTATATTTAAGTGTATTTAATTTTTAAATAATTAATACAATGGCATAAGATTAAAAATTCAGCTACTCATTTGCAGTAGCTATATTTCAAGTGATCAATACCTACATATGGGTAGTGGCTACTGTACTGGACAGTGCAAAGTATAGTTCCATCATTGCAGAAATATTTATGGGACAGCTATGCTATAGAAAGCACCTTTCTACACTCACATACTTTCCATGGATTGATCCTTCTGCTCAATCCCAAATTGGTTTATGGACCTAATCTGCTGGTAAAATGTTCCAGTACATGAGAGTCCAGAAGACCCTACAAAATCTCATTAGAGTGGCCTGATTACTTACTTCTCACTGCTTGATCAAATTCTCAGAAGAAATTGCTGTGCCTCTACAGCTTTTAAGAAAATTTACATCTTTACTTTATTGAATTGATATGTTAAAAAGTGATATATAATTCCTTTATACCTGTTGGCTTAATAGGTATTCCAACATGCCTCTTCCTGAATACCCTTCTATCTTTGCAGATTATGGTAGGAGAAGGAATTCTCTACTGTTGCCTCTCCAAAAGAAGAAATGGGGTCGGACTAGAGCCCAACATTAATGCTGGAGGCTGCAACTTCAATTCCTTCCTCAGACGAGCTGTCAGATTCGTTGGTGGGTGTGGGGAACCACAAAGAAAAGAAATGCTTTTTTTTTTATATTGAAATGTTATATTTAATTATAGATATTAAGTCTCGTACGCTATAATTTAGATGTATAATTTCAGTACATGATGAGTTTTATATTGTACAAGAAACTGTTAAAACACCAAAATTTGGGTTTTGTATCTGAAATGTGTTATTTACAGTTGTAGCCCTTGTTTTGAGAGCTAATATGCCATGTGTTTCAATTTATTTTTGCCTTAGCTCTGGTTGAAGTATGAATTTATTTTAAAATGGTTTCACTGGATCTGTGGTCAGTTTTTCAAAATGGAGAACAAACGTCAGCAGGCCAGAATGAATAGACAACTCTTCAGGAATTACTTTAGCCACATTAATGATTCCATTTCAATTGTCCTGGAGTGTTTCCATCCAGAAGTTACTACACTTTGAAATGTCACTATTGAGTACTGCATCATGGCCATTTTTCCTTGGTTGTAGCCCCTAATGTTACCTTTCATCTTTTATGAGACCTATAGAAAATCTATAGACCTGGCTACCAGCATCTGAATCAAACCAGTTTTCAAACCTTCATCTCTTCTGCTTAGCATTGGACCATCCTAATGTTGTTCCAGTCATAGGTCTTTTATTTTTTTAATATAGTTGAATAGTCACACACAATACATCACACTAACCTGAATGTTTTCTATTCATTCCCAATAAGTCCGCATAAAGTTATTTTTACCTGTAACATGTAAGCTCAAAATAATTGATGGCTTTGCTTAATCCCTAGTAGATAATTATACACAAATTTCTTTCCCACAAGAGGAAAAATCAGGTCTAACTCATGCCCCAGACTCTGCTCCACTAAGCATTTTCTTACCATCACATTGAGATGATAAGAAAACAATAGACAGCTTAACAGCATCGCAAACTCAGGCAAGGAAATAAAACTCCAGGACATGTAGCTGCACACAGAGAAAATATTCCCTAATGTAACAAAATACTCTGGACAAAGGGCCACATACCCTCTCTCGACTGGAAGGATGATCCATTCTACCCTAGAGAACAATGTTCCAGAGCCTGCATCAGCGACAGGTCTAGAAAGTCCATTATCCAAAGGAAAAAGTAAGTCTTTGCATGCTTCTAGGAATTAGAATGTAGAAATAAAGTTTCTGTGTCATGAATCCCAGGTGTGTGGGTGGAGAAGCAATTGGAGGAATGGTGGTTAGGTGACAGTAAGCAGTGAAGAAAAATGTAAAACAGGGTAATGTGCAAGCCAGCACTCTTGGTCTGGAGGCGGTGACTGAAGAATTACCCTGGTCCTCTCATAATGATTTCTATGAGCAACTCATGAATCAGAATGCAAGCTGTCAAGTCAGAATGAATCTAGGGTGACAAGAAAACCTAGAGTGAGAAAGTTCCAGATCATGTGCCTGTGAGCAGAGAGCTGGACTCCCAAAGATAAGGCCAAGCAAACAACTTCAAGCAGGCATGGAGTTTGCATGTACAAGTGCAAGGATTTTTTTATTTCATGGTTTAAAATTGGTCCTAGGAGAAACAGAAAAAATAATTTGGACCAAGATATGTAAGAACATCGTGTCCAAATTCCAAACACACACGTGGGCTCCCCACATTCGTGTACCTAGGATACGATTGTCATTTCCACGTTAGGGCCTGTCTGACTTCTTCTCTGTTTTAATTAGCATTCCTAGTATGATCACAGCTTGAAGAGAATTAGAATGGATTCTGTAGGGTGTGATAACTGTGGCTAGTGTTAGAGACCATCAGGGAGAAATAACCCTGGCAACTTAAAAACGCTAAGCAAATTAAAACTACTTTAAATTTTTCTTCATTCCACACATGTCGTCGCTCTCAAATAATACCTTAGCATGTTCCAAGTGTCTTGACAAGTGACTTACAGTTAATGTTAAGAATTGGCACTTTATCACCAAATTAACAAAAGTGCCTAAAGTTACTACTTTGGAGATACTCATTGCCTTTATTTTGGACTTAAGTATCTGTTTAGAAGTTTAGGAATTTTCTATACTGTCTTCTTGAAATCAACTTAGAGAAAATGAACACAATAGATTTTAAGATCTTAATTCACTAATGTTTAATGAATATGTTTGATGCTGACACAACCACCAACTTGGTAACAATTTCTTTCATTTTGCCTATAGGTGTTCATGTATTTGGATTATGCTCTACAGCTCTCATTACAGATATCATACAGCTGTCCACAGGATATCAAGCACCTTACTTTCTGACTGTGTGCAAACCAAACTATACCTCTCTGAATGTATCTTGCAAAGAAAATTCCTACATTGTGGAAGATATTTGCTCAGGATCTGACCTCACAGTTATCAACAGTGGCAGGTTAGAAACAGATCTAAAAACACTCTGCATCATTGTTTTCATTATTCAATTGCTGCTTGGAGTATCACTTTAAGCATGCCTCTTTCAGTCATAATGATTTTGTTTTTATTTTTCTTTTCAATTCAATGATCTCTTCAATTACTAAACCATAGAAACTCATTGGGGGCTTATTCCAAATTCTTCTCTATGTCTCCAAATTTCAGCCTCACATTTTTGCTACTAGTCCCTATTTCACCAAACTCCACCATGTTTTGTGATCAATCCTATACTCATTATGGTTTTAGGTTACTATAAATGGTTTATTTCAGAATATTTACAGTCAGTCATGGCTGGCAGTCAATATAACTCTTGTACTGGTTTAAAAACTAAACACATATGAAAGTTATATCTCCATTATATGTTCCATAAAAAAAATGTGAATTTTCCTTTTTGTAAAGTTTGAGGAGGGGTAACATCTAAGATTGCATATGTTTTCTTTGAATCAGATCTAACTCATGCCCCAGACTCTGTGACATAATTTCATTCATTCTTTGAATGAACCCGGGTGTGCATAGCTTCTGGCCTTACATGTCAGAAAATAAAGGAAACTCAAGAAATTACCAATGCATTACATTTCTTAATAAATAAAGCAAAAATAAACTTACATGACAAGAGATAGTAGTTTACAGTCTCAAAAGAAATAAATTGCAGAGGGATAAGGGCCAATCAATTATTGAAAGAATTGAATTTTCCATTCAATAAGTTGCCAAATATTGACTAAAGAGTCAAAAATAAGTTAATAGGTACACCTGAATAATTAAAGCCTGATGTTATGTGATTATACACATTAAGGTTCTCATGTATCATTCAATAATTTTGGATCTACAGTCAAGACCTATGTCCTCTATTTTTTTCTCAGTCCTATTACATTAACTTATCTCTGTTGAATGGGGATCTTGTTTATCATGGTACCAAATAATTAGGAAGGCACTAATTTAAGTGAATTTTATTTTTTCTAATTTTTTAATTCATTGAAACAAATCTCTATTCTTCTTTTGCCTGCCCTTTTCAGAGTCTCTTCACTATCTTTGCCTGCTCTTTAAACTGTTTAAATAAGATGATCTATAATTCTTGAGATGAAATTATTGTAAAGTGTACTACATTTTGTTAATTTTGTAGAGAAACATTTTGTTAAAATTAGACTTTTCTTATGCTTTCTAGAGTATTAACAAAACACATTTAGATCCAATGCCATGAGAAAATAACTTCATTTTTTAAAATTTTTATGTAAATAAAACAATGTGTTTAGGAGCATAGAAAAAGTTTAAAGCTTTAAACCCCTAGGTTTTATGAGCTGTTACTTAGAACTGGTATAATTCTTACACCAAAGAACAATGATGTTTTCCAATCCATTTTTACTTCAACCATCCTTCTAGTGATGTAATGAAGTGGCCCCTTGCCAAGCTAGCAGTTTTTTATACTGGAAACTACATCACTACTATTTGTTAATATTAATGGTGATTAGCAGCATTTATTTTATCACTAAGGTCTTTCACCAGAAAGCTGGACAGAAGGTAAAATTATTGCTTATTGCCTTGTGACTTTTAAGTTGAACATTTTAACCACTCAGTGTCTTTGAGATGATTGCTAGCAGTGTATCTGAACTACAAGGCATAATTTGACTATCTTCTTTTGGCAGAAAGTCCTTCCCTTCTCAACATGCAACCCTTGCTGCCTTTGCAGCTGTGTATGTTTCGGTAAGTAACTGGTTCTTTTTTGTTAAGTTGTGTTCTACAGAAAATCTGAGGAATGAATGTTGTCTCCAGGTGACTAATTGGATGATATAACCATGTAATAACAGAATGGTAAATTTAGCACTGCAGCCTTTCAATACAATGGCATCCAAAGCAGAAATCAAACACTACTATAAAAAATAGTACAGTAAAAGAATTTTTCTACACAGTTATAATAGTATTTATTTATTCTGGTATCCCTTTAATATTATACTTCATAGGAGGATATTGTGAATTATAGGAATGTTACAAAACTTGAAAGAATCACAATAAGTACCCACAAAGACATACAACGTGCACACACACACACACACACGTACGCTACTTTAGTATTTCTGTAACAATAAGTTTTAGGTCAGTGTAAATTTAGAAATGTTGTACAATGAATAGTCATTTTATCTAATTTGTACAATAGTCCGTGAAGTCTTTCCTGAGAAAAATGAGCGAAATTATACGACAAGTAACATGGAGACTAAACAGTTAAATGGTTAACTCTACTGTTTTGGTATTTTTCCAACTTTCATGTAATTAATTTGTTATTTATTTGATAAATTTCATCATGCATATCCCTTCTTGGCAGGCACAGAACATAGCCATAGGAAGAGGGGGTGAAACAGTAAAACTGAAGTCAATTGTATCAGACTTTTAACTTTTATTTGATTATAATTTACTAATAAAATGGCCTTTCTAACATACTTAACCCATTTCTTCCATTTTTAAGATGTACTTCAATTCCACATTAACGGATTCCTCTAAGCTTCTGAAACCTCTCTTGGTCTTCACATTTATCATCTGTGGAATAATCTGCGGGCTAACACGGATAACTCAGTATAAGAACCACCCAGTTGATGTCTATTGTGGCTTTTTAATAGGAGGAGGAATTGCACTGTACTTGGTAAATAAGTTACTATTATCTTATAAGCCAAAGTTTAAAATGGAAAACATGCATAGAATATTTTGCACTATAATAGCTTCCTTGCGATATATTTTATATAAATGAGAAAATCTCTGGCCGCATCTCCATTCTATGCCAAAACACATATCTCACTTTCAACAAAATCATTTATTGAACTCTTACTATGAGCCAGAAATTGTAATTTTAGAAAGATTTCTGAATTTTGTCTTTATGCCAACCAAACAGGAGGTGGGCAGGGACTACTATTACTACTATAATTATAATGCTACAGATGAGGAAAGTGATTATTGCCAAAAGTAAGGTTAGTGAAAGCAAAAATTTAGTTAAAGGTTATATAACTTGCCCCACACCACAAATTTAGCACCTGAATGTAACTGTGATCCAACTAATACTGACTTCTTTAACACTACTCTTTTTTCAAGCCTGGTCCCCCTCTAAGGGAAATATCCTCAGCATAAGGAAACTGAGATTGTCCATTTCATTTTGTCATGCATGCATGCATTCATGCATTTTACATTTATTCAATATCTATTCCGTGCCAGGGATTATACTGAACATTGTAACACTGAGAAATGAGATGTATTCTTTTTTTTATTATTATTATTATTATTATACTTTAAGTTTTAGGGTACATGTGCACAATGTGCAAGTTAGTTACATATGTATACATGTGTCATGCTGGTGTGCTGCACCCATTAACTCGTCAT
This sequence comes from Homo sapiens, assembly GCF_000001405.40. Taxonomy (NCBI): domain Eukaryota; kingdom Metazoa; phylum Chordata; class Mammalia; order Primates; family Hominidae; genus Homo; species Homo sapiens. The sequence goes on from NC_000001.11 coordinate 99,302,626, forward strand.
TTAGCATTAGGTATATCTCCTAAAGCTATCCCTCCCCCCTCCCCCCACCCCACAACAGTCTCCAGAGTGTGATGTTCCCCTTCCTGTGTCCATGTGTTCTCATTGTTCAATTCCCATCTATGAGTGAGAACATGCGGTGTTTGGTTTTTTATCTTTGTGATAGTTTACTGAGAATGATGATTTCCAATTTCATCCATGTCCCTACAAAGGACATGAGCTCATCATTTTTTATGGCTGCATAGTATTCCATGGTGTATATGTGCCACATTTTCTTAATCCAGTCTATCATTGTTGGACATTTGGGTTGGTTCCAAGTCTTTGCTATTGAGATGTATTCTTCAGAAGTTTACAATGTAAAGACTAACATAAATATAAATGGTTACAACATGTTAAACGATATAACAGGGTATGAACAAAGTATTTTAGGAATAGCAAACTGCCTGAGGAAGTTAGAAAAGACGTCACAAAAGTGATGTGTATGTGTGTAGCTGTTGTTGTTGTTGTTGTTTTTAATGGGAGTTCCATGGGGTAAAGAAAGAAGGGAGGGCATTCAAGAAGAAGAAACTACATATGCAAAGAGACAGGTATCTGAAAGAGCAAGTGGAAGTGGAAGGTGGGGGAACAGGAGGAATGAGACATAATGGCCAGGTTTCCAGCATGGAACACTGGACAGATGATGACTTCATTAGCAGACCAGGTAAATGACAGATGAAGCAGATTTGTGGGGTAAAGGGAGTTGAGGGGATCAATTGAATCAATAAGCAGTTAAGTAGTTGCTTCTGGAATTCAAAAGAGCAATCAGTATTGGAGAAGGATATTTAATGGAAGTACCATTGTAGTTACTACGGTTATATAAAACTGCCAGGTCATAAAAATAAAAGGTAGCCAGGGAATACCAATAAACAAGTGACATGCGGAGGAAAAGGCAATAATGAAAGAAACTGAGAAGAGCTGACAGAAGTAAAAATAAATTATCTGTAGCTACAGTTCTCAATCATGTGGTCTTAGTGCCCTTGGAAAGGCATTACAAGAAAATTATTACCAAAATACAGGTAAAGTACTGAAGTGTGCTATAATTTTATAAGTTTTTTTATTTTCATAAACAGGCACAGTCAAGATTGTCACTTTAAAAGTTATTCTCACTCGCATGCATTCTTCACTGCAGGAGAAAGGGATCAAATTAAAATTGGTGTGCCAGGAATTGTGCATAAGCCTGGGTTGCCCATGGGAGTGTTAGTTGGCAATGTGCATTGCAGAAGAAATAAAGGAGACTGGAAATGCCACTCTCTAGTTTATGTATTGCTTTTGCATGTGTGTCATTTCATGATGTCCTGGAATTAGCATGGGATTTATAGTGCAAAGGATTTGGTTATGAATCCAAATTTTCCTCCACTTAGCCAAGTTACACAGCTTTTCAGAAGCCTGTTTCTTCACCTACAAAATAAAGATACTAACTCTCTGTCCCATGTCATAACAAGAATTAAACAACTACAGACATGTGTCACATAATGATATTTTGGTCAACCATGGACCCCATATATAATACCATGGTGATCCCATAAGATTAGAGTACTGAATTTTTTCTATATGTTTTCTATATTTAGATATGCAAGTGCTTACCATTGTGTTACAATTCCCTGGAGTATTCAGTATAGTAACACACTGTAGGATTTTGTAGCCTAGGAGCAATAGGCTGTACCATAGAGCCTAGGTGTGTGGGAAGCTATACCATCTAGATTTGTGTAAGTGAACTTTATGATGTTCACACAATGACAAAATCACCTGTCAATGCATTTCTTAGAATGTATCCCTGTCATTAAATGACACATGGCTGTACTTGTATGGAGAGCTTATAGTTTAGTGGAGGATCTTCCCCAACTTACAAATTTAAGTACAATTATTAATAGAACATGAGTTAGGGATTGCTCATTCTGGTGAGAGCATAGACAGATATTTAGAAGATGGTTTCAACCAGGAATTAAAATACTTGAAGAGGCAGGAGCTTGGCTTTATTTCATTTCTGTCTGTACTCTTGCCCTGAAATTGGAAAATTTTCAGTTCTAAGCCAATGCTTTGTTCATTGTTAAGCATTCTATAAAATGTTAAATCAATATTTTTTTGTTTTGAACTTGAATAGTAGACAGTGGTTACCGCCTTTTGAAATTAGCACACAAACAGGTGTCTGCTGCTTGATTTTTTATCTCTAATACCAAGTATCTCAAAAACTGAAAGTCCAGCAGGGATTAGATCTTCTATGTGCCAAAAGGGTAATGATTTTGAGTCTGAACTTTAGCCTTTTTCCAAATTTTTGCTTCCCAAATCTAAAACAAACAAAAAAAGATACACTGTGTATGAAGACAAAATTAAATAAAATCTGGCTCACATTTAGTGCAATGGTACTAAATTGATCAAATAGTATTTCCCAATTTATGACCAAGTTTAAATCAGGAAAGAATCTAGGTGCCCCAATCTGGCGATGGTTTTTGCCCTGTCTTCCAAGAACACCCTGTACAATGCTGAACACACAAGGCTGTAGTCAGTGCGAGTCGTAATAACATATGTCTCCGACCTTCTTTCAAAACCAGATATCATTTTTTATAAATGATATATTGTTCTATATTTTGTACACTTCTTCTACTTTCCATCATATGATTGAAAATGGAAGGTAAAATAAATCATTTAAGCCATTTGAGATGTCACGCAACAAGAAGTTCCTAAATCCAGAAAAATGAATTGCTTTGAAAAGCAGAAAAAAAGTCCTTATTTCTCTCTTGTCTGCTTTTTCTTCTGAAAATATACACAGGATAAGATAGACAAAAACATCCAGTAGGATGGAGAAAAGAATGGGGTTCACATTGCTGAGCAATTCATGCAGCGATTTATGATATAACTTACAAAGTATTTCCCTGCAAAAATATAGTTTTCATGTTTCATTATTTGTACTAGTCAATGGTGTATAGGAAGCATATACCTATGTATGTACTTCAGTGGGTACTCTAAGGAAACCCTAGTGACTGTCTTCTAGTGCATGATATTTATTGCTTTCTCTCAAACACTAGGGCTTGTATGCTGTGGGGAATTTCCTGCCCAGTGATGAGAGTATGTTTCAGCACAGAGACGCCCTCAGGTCTCTGACAGACCTCAATCAAGATCCCAACCGACTTTTATCTGCTAAAAATGGTAGCAGCAGTGATGGAATTGCTCATACAGAAGGCATCCTCAACCGAAACCACAGAGATGCTAGCTCTCTGACAAATCTCAAAAGAGCAAATGCTGATGTGGAAATCATTACTCCACGGAGCCCCATGGGGAAGGAGAACATGGTTACCTTCAGCAATACCTTGCCGCGAGCCAATACCCCATCTGTAGAAGACCCTGTCAGAAGAAATGCGAGCATTCATGCCTCTATGGATTCCGCTCGATCAAAGCAGCTCCTCACCCAGTGGAAGAATAAGAATGAAAGTCGAAAGTTGTCCTTGCAAGTTATAGAGCCTGAGCCTGGGCAGTCACCACCCAGATCCATAGAAATGAGGTCAAGCTCAGAGCCATCGAGGGTAGGGGTGAATGGAGACCACCATGGTCCTGGCAATCAGTACCTCAAAATCCAGCCTGGCGCTGTCCCCGGATGTAACAACAGCATGCCTGGAGGGCCAAGAGTGTCCATTCAGTCCCGTCCTGGGTCCTCACAGTTGGTGCACATCCCTGAGGAGACTCAGGAAAACATAAGCACCTCCCCCAAAAGCAGCTCTGCTCGGGCCAAGTGGTTAAAAGCTGCTGAAAAGACTGTGGCCTGTAACAGAAGCAACAGCCAGCCCCGAATCATGCAAGTCATAGCCATGTCCAAGCAGCAGGGTGTCCTCCAAAGCAGCCCCAAGAACACTGAAGGCAGCACGGTCTCCTGCACTGGCTCCATCCGCTATAAAACCTTGACAGACCATGAGCCCAGTGGGATAGTGAGGGTTGAGGCTCACCCAGAGAACAACAGGCCCATCATACAGATCCCGTCCACTGAAGGTGAAGGCAGTGGCTCCTGGAAGTGGAAAGCCCCTGAAAAGGGCAGCCTTCGCCAAACTTACGAGCTCAACGATCTCAACAGGGACTCAGAAAGCTGTGAGTCTCTGAAAGACAGCTTTGGTTCTGGAGATCGCAAGAGAAGCAACATTGATAGCAATGAGCATCACCACCACGGAATTACCACCATCCGCGTCACCCCAGTAGAGGGCAGCGAAATTGGCTCAGAGACGCTGTCCATTTCTTCTTCCCGCGACTCCACCCTGCGGAGAAAGGGCAATATCATTCTAATCCCTGAAAGAAGCAACAGCCCCGAAAACACTAGAAATATCTTCTACAAAGGAACCTCCCCCACACGGGCTTATAAGGATTGAGTGATGTCCATTCCATCATTAGGGCTACTCGCAAAAGACCATATGTTGATTCTACCTGTGTTCTGTTCCAGCGAATTGGGAAGTCTCACCAAGCTAGATTGTCTACCATCAGCCCAGAACTCTGTAACTTTTCAGAACTGCTATACTCAAACTTGCAGATCTCACATCAAGGAGAGGGAAAAGCACAATGCAAGAACCTAACTAACGTGATGATATGAAGAGTTTTCTTAAGACCTGTCGTCAAACTTAAAAGGTTTTGCAGAGGGCAGTATCAAAAGAAAGTGGTTTTCTTCAAATGTATACTATTTTACTTCCTGAATGTGCCAACTTTGGGGATTTTTCTTTATAGTGAGCTGTGGGAACCCAGAACACACACGTTTTCCCTACAGCAGAGGCCATGCAGTATTATATATTCATTTTGCAGAATCTGCACCTACAGCTCAATACGGGTGGTGCTGATTATTATAGTACATATACCATGTAAACTCTCAAACTCTATTTAGCTGTGAAATAGTGGTGTGCAATTCCTTGTTAAAGAAATGCTACTTTATTAAGAAGATGCTGGCTGCTTTGTGTTAGAATAGGACACCCCGCAGCTTCTCTGTAGTGGCTCTGTCACAGTCAAAAAATGAAAAGGTTTTTGTGCGTTTCTTCAAAATTCTGCTTTCTTCAACATCAAAAATTGTGTAGAAATATTTTCAGTGAAAGGGAATAACTAGTACTTTTCTGCATAGTTTTTCTTCTGCTTACTTTTTATTTAAGTATAGGTACTGCTAATGAATCTGTTTTCTTAGTGAGTAAATTTGCATAATTTTATAAATATTATTTTAGAGAATCTTTTGAAATTGTTGTGATCATATTTTGCTTTCTATGGCTTCTCCTTAACTTATTGATTAATTTTTTGAAGTTATAGATATGTTCTCCTATTTTAAAAGCAAAAATAACAATTGACATTCCTTGAGCAAAATATACTGCTGTGAATTTGCAAACAAGAAATCTGAGCCAAAACTTGACATTGTGGGTTACATTGCCAGAAATGTTGGTCAAGTTTGCCCTTAGATGTCTACAACTAGCTGGCATAGGTTGCCATCTTAACAAGTAATCTAAAAGTCCCATTCGGTTCTACATTATTAACTTTTTTTTTCTATATCCTGATGACCAGTAAATTAGAGCCACACTGGTTAAGTTTGACTCGTCTCTAAAACGTTTTTGTTAATTGGACACCAAGAGGAAGAATCTGAAAAAAAAATGCATGTTGGTAAGTAAAAGTATCTCACGGTACAAATTAAGAATGACTTTCTTCAAAATATCTGAATAGGTGCAGTTTTAGTTTAACATGCAAACAACCATTGTTGCTACCTATCCTGAATCAAGCCTTGAGCCTAAATCAAAGCAAACCAATACCATTGATAAGAAGAAGATAAAAACAAAATATTTTGGAGTGTTTTCCAACTTAAAGTATGAAGACATACTCAGTTCTTGGAACTTAGTATTAAACCTTTTTTATGCCATTTCATAAGAATTCCGATATATACTTGATGATTGCCAAGGGGATGAAAGGAAACAACAGAGATGGTTGATCTGATCTTAGCTCACTTTCCAATAACAGAAGGAGTTGTTTACAGATGAATAGTATCACATCATTATCAATTTCCACATGAAAAAGGTGGAGCTTTCTAGAAAAACCAACCTCTAAGGCATTAGGAATTTAGCTGAAACCAGCAGAATTGAAAACTCTGGCAATAAAACATGGACTCAACCATATCCCTTCTGGCAATTTCCTTCTCAGAGAGGGGAGTGGGAATAAAATGTTGCCTTCCCCACTTCTCACCACCACCGCCATCATGACGCTCATACTGGCTTTTGCCTGTTTGTAGAGGAAAAGGTGGGCTGGTTTTAGTACTCTGAAGGACAAAAACAAGCAAACAAAAACCCCTGCTGCAGCATTTCAGGTGCAGTATGATATTTCCTAATCTTTCCTATTTCTTAACAAAAGATTTTAAAGTACTTCTCTAGTCATTGAAGTTTTTTTTTCTTTACATAAATATTGATATATTCTTTTTCTACTCAAAGTGCCAAAGGCTACAGTTTTTAATGACTTAACAAATTGTACCACATTGTTAAGGACATATAATGATAGACACTAGAACTCAGACCTCTGCATGTATATTTGATAACATGTCTTTTGTAAAACAAAAATTACAAAAAAATTTGTTTACATTCCACTGGTACCTTAATTTAAAATAAATCAGACTAAAAGGTGGTATCTCTTCTTAGTGTTCTATTTATCTTATTTGCTAATGGGAGCACTTCTTCCTTTGTTAGGCTGTGCTTTACTGATAAAACCAAGTATTGAATAAAGAGAGTTAATTATCTTTTTAAAGTAAATAAAATTATGAAAATATATATAGTATATATAAAGTACTGTGTTTAAAAAAATGTTATGCAATGTTTTCCAAACTGATAAAGTTTGTAAAGTGCTATAAATGTATTTTGTTAAGTACAGATAAAAGCTATTGTGTGAGTATATTGTGCTAAAATCATAGAAATAAAGATTAGATTTCTTCATCAAAATTGGAATAGTTTGGTTTTTACTTCAGAGTCTGAATAGATAATAGCTTGGCTTGTAGGAAAATAACTGAGGAAATAAGAAAAAATCAGAATTGATTAAATTCATAATTGTTTAGGAATGGGTTACAACTAAGAAAGAAAAGTTTCTCAATCTATGACATGTTTTCTTATTGTTAGAATTTTCTTTTATGCTTATTAAAGGAGCTCTTTTATACTTTACACATATTTTTGCATATCAATGTTACAGTGTATGAAAAAGAAAATATGAAGGACTTGACTAAGAGTAGTTGATGTACTTATTTTCCCAAACAGTAGAGACCTTTATGTCATCATGGCCATTGGCGTTGCAGCTTTTCTTAAAAGAATGCTTCACCATTAACTCCACGATATTCTTTCAAGCCATTAAGGCTCATTATATTAATTTTACTGCTGATGATTTGTACATCTCACTGGAAGGTATTAGCACAAGTTTTTAGACCACAACCAGAACTTAGGATTTACTCAAATGGTCCTAAGGAGTTTGTTGAATGATATGTGAAGTTACAAACATCCAGTAATGCCACCAAGTTCATGTAGCTGTCCAATTGCAACAAAGTTCATACATACCAGGCAACAACATCACAATCACTACCTGGCCAACAGCCAATGTAAGATACTATTGATTGTAGGAAACACCCTGGTTTTAGAGAAGTTAACATGTGAAAAAACAATGTGTATCTTATATAATGGGTGAAATACAGTTTCTCTAGGTCTTTAAATTAAACTTCTCTAGGTCTTGATTTTTTCATTTCTAAAATGGAGACATTCAGCCATATTTCCCTTCTAAAGGATGTCCTAAAGTTCTCAATTTCTATGGATTATCATTATGTATTTTATCCAATGAGCAAAAACTGGTAAGAAAATAGGAAATAACTTGATGATCTAAAATAACTAACTAATTAGTATTGCCATCTTTGACTACAAGGTTAATAGAAGCAAGCCAACTGGGGCTGCTGAAAGCCTACATCAACTATTTCACCACATAACATATCAAAACAGGTGACCTGTATACGTATACCCCTAGTCCTAGTACCTTTCTCATGAGGCAACAGTTGAGTAGATTCTTGGTTATTATACACCTAGGAAGCTATCATTAAGGGCCCTGCTATTTCTGTCTTTTATAGGTCAAGTCTTTACTTGATCTCTATGGGTAATTTCATATTACAGGTCAAAGGGAAAATGAATATGTATGCATGATTCAGAGAGTAATGTAATTAATATAAATGAAAAAATCAAAATGAATTAAGATGATTTAATCTAAAAAAACAACAACCATGACTTGGAAAATTGTCAAAGGCCTGTCTGTGATTGGATATTTCATTTCCTCTGCTTAAATATGTTTCTGCCTTTATTCTGTAAGAAGATTCTAAAATGCCCTAGGATCAAATATTCCCATTTGAAGAAAGCATATATTTCAGTAATAGTATATAGATTGCAAGTAAGATCTATTTATAGAAGATCCCCATTGACGATGCTTTCAAGTTGAAAGAACATTTAGATAAGCCATTTGATATAGAAGTGACTTTTATTTCACGGTCAAAACAATTATCAGCCAAAGAAAGTTCCTAATTTTGTGTATTTGTGCACCACAGTAAATGACAAGTGAAACTATAGTTCTGCCACCAATTCTACTTCACGAACTTGAATGCCCTTTTCATCTCCTTTACTCCCCTACCTTAAGATTCTGTCATTGCCTATGAGAAAAATGTATCTAAATTCTAAAGTTACATTTTCAAAATGGTACAACTGACCATTAGATAAATGAGTTTGAAGAAGAGAAAATATGAAAATTGCATTTGTATAAAATCTCATTTTCTATTTATCACTTTGTATGCCTGGCTACTTCCTTATAAGAATGAGAGAAAGGAAGTCAAGGATAAGCCTCTTTGTCTTTAAAAAGATGACATAAGGCCAGGCATGGTGGCTCACGCCTGCAATCCCAGCACTTTGGGAGGCCAAGGCAGGCGGATCACCTGAGGTCAGGAGTTCAAGACCAGTCTGGCCAATGTGGTGAAACCCCGTCTCTACTAAAAATGCAAACATTAGCGGGGCATGGTGCCAGGCACCTGTAATCCCAGCTACTCAGGAGGCTGAGGTAGGAGAATCCCTTGAACCTGGGAGGCAGAGGTTGCAGTGAGCAGAAATCACGCCACTGCACTCCAGCCTGGGCGACAGAATGTGACTCTGTCAAAAAAAAAAAAGGAAGAAGAAGAAGAAAAGAAAAAAAAGATGATATAGAAGTGACCGTCATTTATAATCCACTTGATTGACCCAAACTAGATCCAGTGAAACTTTTCCTTTTATGAGTAATGCTTTTAAGGTCAAATCTAGAATATTAACATAATTCTCAAAACTCAACAGTAGAAAAAAACAGAGTAAATTAAAAAAGTAAAAATGTAAAATAAAAATGGACAAAAATATGTACAGAAGTTTCACCAAAAAAGCATATACAGATGGCAAATAAACACGTGAATAGATATTCTGCATTGTTAGCCATTTGGAAAATGCGAATCACAACCACAATGAAATATCAGTAGTCATCTATCAGAATGATTAACATTAAAAATAGTAATAATATCAAAAATAGCAATAATGTGGAGAAACTGAATCACTCATATACTGCTGGTGGGGATGTAAAAGGTACAACCACTCTGAAAAACAGATTTATAATTTATTTTAAAAACTGAGCATACACTTAACCACACAACCCAGCAATTGCACTCTTGGGCATTTATCCCACAGAAATGAAAACTTATCTGCCCACAACAAAAATGGTACATATATATTCATAGCTTCTTTATTACTAATAGCTAAAAACTAGGAATAACTCCGGTGTCCTTCAATGGGTGAATGATTAAACAAACTATTATATAATCATATCACAGAATATTATTCAGCAATAAAAAGAAATGAACTATTGACACCCCCACTAACTTGATTGAATCTCCAGAGAATTATATGGAATGAAAAAGCCAACACCAAACAGTTATACAATGCATGAATTTATCTCATGTAATAAACAGTATAGATACAAGCAATCTGTATTTGGAGAGGTGGATTTTCATCTTTAATACATGGCTTTCAAGGTTGTTCTAATTGCCACAATTTCCAAGCAGAAGTAGGAGTAGGAGGGAGGAAGTCAAGGATAAGTAGCTTTACCTTTAAGAAGATGACATAACTGGCATCCGTTATTTATGATCTACCCAACTGGCCCAAACTATTAGTCTGGGGCAAAAGTAATTATTATGTTGGTCCCATTGAAAGTAATGGCAAAAACCGCGATGACTTTTGCACCAACCTAATAGATTACCTTGCTGCAAGACAGGCTGAAGAATGTACTCTCTAGCTGGGAGGCCCTGGGCCCAGCTAAAATTGTGTGTGCATCTTTTCTAAGTAGGTAGAAGAGGATGAGAATAATTCCTGGGGACTAATGATCAGTCTCTGTCATACCAGCTTCAAAACTCTTCACAATCTAACCTGCAAATTCCTATAGTCTACTACTTCTCCAGGAAAACCTGTTTGATAGACATATAGATAGATGATAGATAGGTAATTAAACATTTTTAAATAATCAAATAATTAATCTTCTGACATCACTAGAGTTAGTACATTTTTTAAAAGGGCTAACCTCATCTCTCCTTTTTGAAACTACTTAAAGATCCTTGATCTGTATGACCAATGCATTTACTTAATCATACAATTTGTATGATTAATCAATTTGATAAATGAGACATTGAATATTTACTACACACTGAACTGTAAGTTCTTTATAAGCAGTTCTAGCACAACAGGTGTTTAATAGATACAGAATAATTGAATGAGTACAGTGTGTTCTATCTACTGTGAATAAAAAATAAATAAAATAAGTAAATGAGACTTATTTGGAAGAGAAAGGAATGGTTGTCCATTTGATTGTGCCCTGAAGTTCCAGTTTCTCAAAAATCCACTCTGAGACCCTGAAGCCAAACTTATGCTATTTATGCTTTTCCCTTTTTTCTTATTTGAAGCATGTTTAAAAAGTGTTGACATAGTATAAGCCAGATTTCTTGGAACAAGCTGTCTTCTCACAATACATATGATTTAGCAACAGTTGTTTTTTCAGATGTTCCCACCTCCACAGTAATCTTTGTGGAGGCAAGTGACAATAAAGTATACCTACTTATTCCAACATTTAAAAAAAAAAACAAACAAACAAAAAAAAAACAGAAAACCCTTTGTATAGTCAAGCATGCAAGGTTTTTTTCTTAATTCAAAATCAAATAATAGACCAGGACCTACAGTGATTTCTTTGTACCTGGCATATCCACTGCACTCTTCTTGCTACTCAATGTGCCACTCGAATATCACAATATTTTTCAGAATTCTAGAGTAGTGAGAGTCTTTGTGGTCAGACTGACAAGTATTCAAATTTCAGCACCACCTACTGTGTGCCTCAGTTTTCTTATCTGTACAATAAGTATAATAATTTAGGGTTGTTATGGGGATTAAATGAATAAATATAGGTACAATATTTAAAATACTATGTGACATTTAGTAAGCAGCACATAAATGTTCTTTCTTAGTTTTATTATTTGGAAGTGTTCTGTGGCTTCTTTATCTCCAGTCCTCACTTCTCCCTAGAATTCTAGACTCAAATATGTAACTCCCTACTTCATTGATATCTTTACTTAAATATCTATAACTATCTCATATTTAACATTTGCAAAATACACTTCCTGATTCCTACTCCCAAACTTGTTTATTTCTCTTAGTAATATCTAACTCTCCACCCTCCCACCACAGCTGCTAAAGAAAAATTCTAAACTCTGTCCTTAATCCATTCTTTTCTCTCACCATTCACTCTCAAACTAAGTCTTATCAGCTCTTCCTCCAAAATATAGGATCGCTTTTCCTATCATCACTGCCTTTACCCTTAGCTATCTCACCATCAACTCTTGATACTCTTATCCAGGCTTGGGGCTCCCCTTATAGTCTTCAGGTGGCAGTCAAGGTGAACTTCTTAAAAAAAAATCAGATCAGATCTCCTCCAAATATTCTCCAAATGGCTTATGGAAATTCAGATTCTAAAAAGATTGAAACTTCAGATATGGCTATCCAGTTTCCTTCATTGGCAGATAGGTTTCCTCATGAACAAATTTCAATATTCAGTGATGTTATCTATGAGATGCAGAAAGTAGAATGAATTCAATCTGAGCAGAGGACCCAGTGAGAAAAGACTGCCACTGTCACTTTTACTTCAGTGACATTACTCATAGGGTCTAAGACTATCTAGTGACCTCAATTAATCAAAAGTTACCTCTATTATTAATACCCCAAAACAATTATTTTAATTATACAATTGGTAAATAATTATGATTCACATTCAACATGTCTATGTTTCAGGCACTCCGTTAGATTTAAATCTTTCAACGTTTCATCATAGTGATAGAAAATGGGTTTTCAAAGATCCCAAAAGTTCTTTAGTTTGTTTATTTGGTAAGAATAAGAAGTGTGTGTGTGTGTGTGTGTGTGTGTGTGCATGCATGATTTAAAATCACAGCCTTCCAGAGCATAATTGTATTAACTGCCGTCTACTTAAAAAAAATTAAACATCGTTTAACATATGCCCAAGTCACCAGATTATTAATATTAAACTCTTCAACATACATATAGCAAGGTCAAAATTTGTGCCCTGCATACAAATATACAAAACAAGACAGAATGGCTTTTTTACCATTACTGTTCTCAGGCTGCTTTGAAGCACCCATCTTGGTGGTAGTCTGGAGATTACGTACCAAAATTATCAGTTAAATGTATATCAGCCACTTTTCCTACAAAAGTCTCTCTTGGATAAAGGCTTCAGGGAATAGGGCAAAAAGGCTAATGTGTCCAGATGGCAGTAGGATTAGTCATAACTAGCCCATGTGCAAACCTTGAATTTTATTATGAGCCCTCACTAGCTTAACTTCCATGTCTTTTAATGCTGCTTGTACCTACTGCTACAGTGGGCAACCAGAAAAAGTGAGGTATGTTCTTTCAGTGTTGGGTCCTGTGATTATCCTTCACTGACTTGCCACTATCCTGTCACTTGTTGGAATTCCAGATTCTCTGAGTGTCAGCCATATTTTCTTTCTTACTCCAGGTGAGGATGTGCTGCTATGGAGGCACCTCACTCACTTCTTTCCACAGAATTCCATGGCAGACCCATGGCCTTCAAATCAGTTGTCTCCTGTATTTCTACTGAGCATATTTGGGAAACTCTGTTGCCTACACACCACAGGGGAGCAAAGACTCATGGGGCATTTCTTCTGATGCTCTCTGTTTTATTCCTTTACTAGCAATTTCCAACTAATCATTGCACCTCAAGTTTATAAACATGAATAAAACACCATTTTCTTATTTGAGGAATTCACAGGCTGGTGAGGAAGAAAAGGATAAAACAGGTCATTTGGTGAGGTAAGTCTCAAGGTACAACTGGAACACGAAGATAGGAATGGTTTCCCTCTCTTAGATCCATGTTGGCCATCAGAATCCCTAAGACAGGAATTCTGGTCTGCAATGATAGCACTTGTAAGGTAGTAAATCTAAAATCAAGGCAATGTCATTCAAATGTGACTCTCTCTGCAACTTTGATGGTTTCCTTGTCTTAGAAAAAGTATACCAAAAACTCTCCCTTATCCCAATGACTGAAGTCAACTAATCAAGGCAGGCTCTCTACTGCTGCTGGACATACACAGAATTAAAGAAGATACTAAAGAATGGAAAAACAAGGGCTTCTAACCAACTGCTAAAAAAAACTGGTTACCACAAAGAAAAGCCAGGTTAAAGCAAAAGAACTCAGAAAGTTAAACTCTTCACAAGGACCCATAGTGGATCACCAATGGGCCCTTGTGAAGAGTTTAACTTCCTGGGTTCTTTTTACTTAGATCACAGTTTCTCATTTTGCTTCTATTTATTTAAGTCTCTTAAAAACACTTTTTCCTTTTTCTTCTATCTGTTGAGCAAAGCTCTAACTCATCTCCTACTGACATGAGCTAGTTTCACTCCATGCCACCTACCTTTTTTAAGGCTCTACTTAAGTGTTAGAATAATGCCCTGGGAGTAGAGGTTCTGGGAAGAGTCTTTGGAGCCCTTTGGCTATCCAAGTCCACCAAGAAATTTAAATTTGGGCCATTTGAGATTTCCCCATCAGAATGAGCTGCAGATAAGTTCCTTTACTCTTCCACTGGGGTAACTATTGAATATCCTCCCACCCCTCTCTCTAATGTGAATGTATTTCTGTTGAGATATTACTTTTATCCTTCACAAGCATCACTATCTCCATTTTCATCCTCTTCTCTTATGTCCCTTTCTTGAGATTTTGTATCTCTTCTTCTCAGACAGACTTCTCAGACTTCTTTTTTATTTCTTGGTTTTCAAGGACAAGTGTTTATAAGCTTTCATTTTATTCTTGACACAGTTGTCCTTGGTTTAGTCTTCATTTGTCTTTGGTTTACCATGTCTCTTTCCTTCTGGGTTTTTCTCCTCCCTTCCCACCCCCAAGAACATTTACATAGGTTCCAAGCCGGTCCCTTTCTGATAATACTCATGTTTAAATCTGAGCTGTTCTTCTAGAGACAGTTTTTTGTCTAGAGATTGTGTGGAAATATCTTCACTGCCCTCTTGTCTTAAAAAAAAATCCAGGATTGTTTTTAAACACATATATTTTGCTAGATTATACTTAGCATGGTACAGATCTATTTTTTTAATTTTTTTCTAATTATCTAATAATGTGTTAATTAATTCCTTTAAAAATACTGAACTCTCAGCTAAAATTAAAATTCACCATTAAATACAGCATCAGCATCATATTTAAACGGTACAGGCAACAACTTAGGAATGCATGAAGTGCACACACCCACATAAATACAAAACATACATACACAATATAACAAAACCATTCATACACAATATAACAAAAACAAGATCTAAATATTCCTTTATAAGAAGGTAAGTTTAATTATGAGTAAATAACAAGCATTACATGTAATAATTTTAAAATTCTAGACCAATAAATAATTTTCACACATTAGAATACAAGATTATTAATGAAGCCTGTGGGTTCAGTGAGGCAGCCTCTTCCCAATTCTGAACTATGCAGTTAAGAAATATTTAGCCTCCCTTTCTGACAAATTTCACTTCCTGACAGTATTCTGGCAATAGTTATAATATTTTTAAAACATAAACAACAGTGTATTTGACCTGATTCAATCAAAAATTATTTAAAGCAAGCAACATATTTACCGTAAGATTTTCTTGTAATTTTTATCTTTTTATAGTCTCAAACTACCACTTTTCTCCTAGGCCTACGTAATACTGCCCCTACTCACTACTCTTAACATTTACACGAAAACTATTTAATGGATTAGTGTTCATTTGTTTCCCTAGAATAACTACCCACTGTAGGAACTCTAATGCCACTTTTGATTCTAAAAGCATTTTAAAACATGTCAAGAACATGCTAAAAAAATGAAGTTTCCTTACAGTTTTCTTCAGTGGGGGCATGGTTTGGGTTCTTCTTTTTTTTTGGCATTTGATCACTCCTCCCCCTCTTTAACCCCTCACTGTTTCATAAATCACAGCAAATGTTTCTCCATGATTTTTTGGAAAAAATTTTGGAAGAAGAGAACATTTTTGCCAGTCTTTTTGCCTAAATGCCAAATATCTGTGAGTGCTATTCTCATATCCAAATAACCAAAGCAGATCCTATTTTTTTTGGTGGCTAACAGTACCTTCACCATAGAAACAGCTTTCTGGCTATAGTTGTGAATCACATATACATAGTGACAGCAACGAGTTCCCGATTCTGCAACACATTTTAACCCATTCAGTACACAAC
Organism: Homo sapiens; assembly: GCF_000001405.40. Classification (NCBI taxonomy): domain Eukaryota; kingdom Metazoa; phylum Chordata; class Mammalia; order Primates; family Hominidae; genus Homo; species Homo sapiens. The sequence goes on from NC_000001.11 coordinate 99,318,478, forward strand.
AGATGTCCCACATATATTGATCACTCCTTGTTTCACCTACTTCATTTGAATAGCCACCTGACCACATGCATTTAACTTCTCTCTGTCCCAAAACTCTATTAAATCAAATGTAGAAAAGTAAACAAGTAAAAAATAAAAAATAATTACCTACAAAGACAAGGAAAATGGAAGAGAATGTAATAACAGATGAATATTTTAAAATAATTTTGTAAAAATGTGGATACTGGAGTGGTAGCTATATTAGCAAATTTTAAAAAAGGAAAAAGGAGATTTGCAATCTATATACCTACAGAGGGGTAAGCCTAAAAAGAAGAAACCCCTGAAAGGCTCAGCTCTCAAAGACTATAGGAACTTCAGTCCATAAGGGTAGATTACACAAATAAAAACAAGTGGCTTATAGAAAGCATGTACATAGATCATTTGTCCTCCCTATACCCTTTATGTGCAGCCATCTGTCAACCCCTTCCATAGAAAAGACTGGGGGGTTATATTTCGGGTAAATAACACAAATGTGAGGTGCAATGGGGGCAAGTTGGATGTGTAAGTCTCAAAAAAGGGGGCATGTGAAGTCTGACATGTAAGACCTTCATTCCACATTTTTGGTAGAATACTGCAATTAGCTGATACAACTCCCACCTTCCCAACCAAGCTTCAGATTGGATGATTCTTCTCTGAAGAAATGTAAGAAATGAACAGTTCCATGCAAAATATTCCCACACGCTGACATCTGAAGATCCTTACTCACATGGTTGACTTACTCCTTGATCTTTCTAGAGTATACCATTAATCAAAAGCATTGCCCATCCACACAATTTCCAACCAATACTTTAGTGTTTTGCAATAAATATGAACGGATAGCCAAACTTAGCATTACATGTTTGTTAAAAACTTCCATGTGAAAGATAGAGACCAAAACAAAACAAACTATAAAATAGTATTCAGAAAAAACAAAAAATTCAGATAGGAGAATAAATCTTTGTGAGAAAACTATAATTAAATTCCTCAGAGATAACAGAAGACATTACATCTATGAAACAGGAATAGGATGCATGAAAATAAGCTAACCTGAGAATAAGAATTCTTGAAATTAAAAATATGATAAAAATATGATAAAATTTTTAATCAAAGATTTAAAAGGCAAAAGCAAGCAAATCTGGAAATTAGAGGAAAAGGACAAATGAGCAATAGAGCTGAAAGGAAGGAAGGAAGGAAGGAAGGAAGGAAGGAAGGAAGGGAGGAAAAGAAGAAATGAGGAAAAAGAAAATGAGAATAGTAATCCTAGAAGTCCAATAGAAAGGGAAAAGTATTGAATAATACAAGAATTTTTTTTTCAGACTGAAGGACCTAACACTATAACTTGAAAGAGCCCATGAGATATACAAAAAGATAATAAAAATAACCACACCAAGATACCATCATGAAATTTAAAAGAAAGAAAATAATCTACTTCTTGAAAGAACAAGAGAGAAACAGAAATAAAATAACATCAGCCTTCTCCATTATTAATACCAGATGTGAGAAAACAGTTGAGCAAAATTCGTAAGTTTAAAATTGAGAAAGAAAATCATTTTCAATCTAGGATAGCACAGCTCACCAAACCATCATGTAAAGGTAATATGTAAATAGTAAAAATAAGAAACTAGAAATGTGTAGTCTCAGAAAATTTATTCCTTACACACTCTTTAATGTCTTCATTTATTAATTCATTCATTTAAAATATGTAATGAATAATGTATATCTGGTTTTTGCTAGTATCATGCTGTTTTGATTACTATAGCTTTGTAGTATATTTCAAAATCAGATCATGTGGTGCCTCCAGCTTTGTTCATTTTTCTCTAGACTGCTTTATCTATTGGGGTCTATGGTGGTTCCATACAAATTCTAGGATTGTTTTTCTATTTCTGTGAAAAATAACATTGAAATTTTAATGAGTATTGCATTGAATATGTAAATAACTTTGGGTAGTATTGGACATTTTAACTAAATTATTCCAATCTATGAGAATGGGATATCTTTCTATTTCTGTCGTTTTCAATTTCTTTCATTAATGTTTCGTAGTTTTCAGTATACAGATCTTGAACCTTTTTAGTTAAATTTACTCCTGTATTTTTTTAATGCTATTGTAACTGAGATTGCTTTCTTGATTTCTGCTTTCAATAATTGTTATTGTATAGAAATCCCACTGATTTTTGTATGTTGATTTTGTATTCTGCAACTTTATTGAATTTATTTATCCATTCTAACAGGTTTTTTTTTTTTTTGGTGAAATCTTTAGGATTTTCTATATACAAACACATTAGCCAATGGAATAGGATGAAAAGCCCAGATATAAACCCACACACTTATGGACAATTAATTTTCCACAAAGGTGTCACAAATATACAATGGTGAAAGACAGTCTTTTCAAAACACATGGTGTTGGAAAAACTGGACATTCACATATAAAAAGTGAAGTTAGATCCTCATCTTGTACCATATACAAATATCTACTTGAAATAGATTAAAGACTTAAACATAAGACCTTAAATTGTAAAACTATTAGGATAAAACGGGAAAATTCTTCATGACATTTATCTGGGAAGTGATTTCTTGGCTATAACCTCAAAAGCAAAGGCAAAAAAAAAGCAAAAATAGACAAATGGAATTTCATTTCAAAAATATTTTACATAGCAAAGAACATAATTAACAGAGTGAAGAGACAACCCACGGAATAGAAAAGTAAATATTTGCAAATCATATATCTTGTAAGGGGCAAATATCCAAAAATATATAAGGAAGTCAACTCAATAGCAAGAAAAAAAAAATAACCTGATTAAAAAATGGACAAAGAGCCGGGCACAGTGGCTCACACCTGTAATGCCAGCACTTTGGGAGGCTGAGACAGGTGGATCACCTGAGGTCAGGAGTACAAGACCAGCCTGACCAACATGGCAAAACCCCGTCTGTACTAAAAATACAAAAATTAGCCAGGCATACACCTGTAGTCCCAGCTACTCAGGAAGCCAAGGCAGGAGAATCGCTTGAACCCGAGACGTGGAGTTTGCAGTAAGCCGAGATCACGCCACCACACACACTCCTTCCAGCCTAGGTGACAGAGGGAGACTCCGTCTCAAAGCAAAAAAAAAAAAAAAAAAAAAAAAAAGACAAAGGACACGAACACATAAACAGACAGTTCTCAAAAGTAGACATATGAATGGCCAACTGATATATGAAAAAATGCTCAATGTCGCTATCATCAGAGAAATGCAAATTAAAACCACAATGAGCTATCACCTCACACCTGTTGAATGGCTATTATCAAAAAGTGAAAAGATAACAAATGTTGGCAAGCAAAGGAAACCACTGCACACTGTTTGTGGGAATGTAAAGTATTATATACCCGTTATGTAAAACAATATTGAAGTTCCTAAGAAAACTAAAACTAGAATTACCATAGAATCCAGCAATCCCACTTATGGGTATACATCCAAAGAAATTGAAATTTGTATGTTGAAAAAATATCTACATTCCCATGTTCATTGTGGCATTATTCACAATAGTCAAGATATGAAAGCAACTTAAGTGTCTGTCAGTGGATCAATGGATAAAGAAAATGTAGTATATACACATGGTGGAATTCTATACAGCTTTAAAAAAAAGCAGGAAATTCTGTCATTTGGAACAACCTGGATGAACATAGAGTACATTAAGTTAAGTGAAATAAGGCAGGCACAAAAAGACACATTCTGCATCTTCTCACTTATATGTGTAACCCAAAGAAGTCAAACTCACAGAAGCAGAGATGGTTACTGGAGGTGGAGGTAACAGGGTGGAAAAATGAGATGTTAGGCAAAAGATAGAACGCTTCAGTCAGACAAGAGAAATAAGTGTTAGTGATCTATTGTACACCATGGTGACCATAGTTAATTATAATGTATTTTATATCTCAAAATTGCTAAAAGAGTAGATTTTAAATGTTCTCACCACAAAAAAATAGTAAGGTGAGATAATGAATATACTAATTCACTTTATTTCATTATTCTATAATGTCTACATATATCAAACATCACATTGTACCCCATAAATAAGTACAATTATTTTGTCAATTAAAAATAAATAAAAACTAAAATATTTAAAGAGTATCTCCTATGCGCTAAGTACTGTTCTCTGTTTTTGAGATGTAGCATGGGAAAAAAGTTTCTTATTTCATAATGCTTAGGAAGTGCTGGCAAGTTTGCTTTAACAAATGAGAGAGTAAATGAGAAAGAAGATATAGGACCCAAAACACAATTCTAACACACAGAAATACTGAAGGGCAGCCTCAGGAGTCTAGTTGTAACCAGGTGCAGAAATCAAGTAGTCTAAATTAGAGGAGGCTGGAGGCTGGATGGTGAGATGTCATTAGAAATGGAATTCAGCTGAGTGCATCTGAAATGTTTGAGCATCTGGAAGAACTGTTGCTAGAAATTTGACAGATCTCAGAGCATTTTGGAAAAAATTACCAATTAGACCTTTAAAGAAAACTAAGAAAATAAAAAAGGCAACTATTAAAACTTTTGGACCAAAAAAGAAATGAAAAAGTAGATTTGTACATGCTTGACTCCACAGTGAATAAAATTTACATAATAATATACATACATGAGCACCAACCATTGCCTTAATATAAATTTGTGCAACAGGAAGGTCATCGGTGACTACGATGAGGAAAGTGTTAGGAGACTTGCAGGAGAGAAGAGCCTGATTGGAGTGGGTTCAAGAACAAATAGGAAAGGAACTGGAGATGGCAAATGTTGGCAATGCTTTCAACAAGTTTCAGCAAACATTTATCTCAGCATCATTAAAGATTTTTATTTTTGTGCAAGTTGGAATTAATACTTCAAAAAATGCTGAAACTATACATTATATGAAAAACGTAAGTAAGTTTATGTTTACATGCCATTTAAAAGTTGATCCAGTCTGAACACAGTAGCTCACGCCTGTAATCCCACTACTTTGGGAAGTCAAGGAAGGAGGATCACTTGAAGCCAGGAGTTCAAGACCAACCTGGCCAACATAGCGAGACCCTGTCTTTACTAAAAATCAAAAAATATAAAAGCACCCACCTGTAGTCTCAGCTGCTCAGGAGGCTGAGGTGAGAGGATCACTTGAGCCCAGGAGGTAGCCGTTGCAGTGAGCTGAGATTGTGCCACTGCATTTCAGCATGGGTGACAGAGAAAGATCCTGTCTCAGAAAAAAAAAGGTTAATCCAATTAAGGACTCTCACTATACACCCCTCCTCCATCATCAAATTTTGAATACCTCAATTTTAAGACTTCAGCTGAAGGATATATAACAACTAGGTGAAAAAAAGTCTTAATCTACACTTATCTATAAATAGAAATTGTTTATGCTGTCAGCTTTCCTTGTCCAGGCTAAATGTTCTAATCAAGTTTTTCCACCTTGCTGAGTCTAAATACTAAATAACATCTATGACAGAGGAGGTGCTTCACTAGCTAAGCAAACCATTTTCTGCTAAGCAAATCAAAATGGTAAAGCATTGCAGATGACAGACTATTTTCTCACTTCAAATTGATGTTGAGTGCATATAATCATGCACAGTCTTGGGGATTCTTTCATTATTAAGATTAATCACGATATCAGTATTTTCAAAAGCTGTTTTTCTTTAAATAGCCATGAAAGTTAGCCTCAGTGGTAGGACTATCCTCTATTCCAGAGACTTCTAATGAACACCTAGCAATCAGCAGGCAATCATGTTACTCTCTGAACTACTGAGAAAGTAACTGCACAATATGACATGTCAAGACCCCTCACCCATGTATCAGTGGCAGGTGGAGTGTCATTCTGCTGAGATAAACCCAGGGGCAAGCAAAAGTAATTTTCCCACAATTCCTCCTGCACTCCAATCTCTTCTCCCTTTACTTCCCTTTACTTCTCCCTTTACTTCAGTAAAACACTTTTATCTGAAGTCTTGACCTGTTTTCTTTTGTGATCTTTTAGGTAATGTTGTCCGCTTTTAGTCTAAGCCACTAGTGGAATTAAAGGCATGCCCCCAAATTCATGTAGCTAGGTATAATCCTGATTTCCACAAACTCCATTACTCAGGGCCTGGATGCTGCAGTTGTTGAAATGAGCCCATATTTTCCTGATACCCTCACCATGTCTGCTCTATTTGAACTTTCTACCTCTTTCTACAGCCTATTTCCCCAATCAGATAGTCCAATACCTGGGTTCCAGCTCTAGGATTAGAGCTGAATGGAATCTCCAGGAACTCCTTGTGGCATTAGTCTTCTCAATCTTATCCTCTAGATAGGATAAGATCCTTCAACCTTATCCTCTAAAAGCTACAAACTTGACTGTGCTTTCCATACTTTCTATTCTAGCTTCACAGTCTTTCCTCTCCACTGAAGGAAGACCAGTATTGCTGCTAGCATACCGCACAAATGAATCATATATTCTAATCCTGCCAGAAGAAAATACAATAATTGCAATAATTATGGAGTTCAGATTTGATCAACAGTAGCAACTTTCAAAACAAATGAAATGGCATCTCAATTCTATCAGATGTGGTGATCCTTGGAATTTATTCAAAAAATGTCAGAACCTAGCTCAAGGTTTGCTATTTTGTTGTTGTTGTTGTTGTTGTTCTTTCAAAAGTAATGATTAAGAGAGAACATCCACCATATTTTCATTTCAGTTCTGTCACTTTCTACTTTGTACTAAGTCTCTCAATTTCCTTATTTGTAAAGTAAGAACCAAAATACCATGTGCCTAGATAATTGCTGGGAATAAAGGAAAGTGTCAGGGAAGAGCCCTCAATCTCATAGAGAAGAGCAAAGAGTAGCAAGACTCCAAAAGAGAAGACTAAGCAAAAAAATTGACTTGTGACAGTTGCACACATCCCAAGAGTAGACAAGACACATTGGATCAGAGAACAATTTATTACTCACATCACAGCAAACATCAGGAGCATCAAATAGTAGAACAAATTCCCCCAAGTCCTGTGAGGTAAAACAGTGGGCCCAGATGGTGATTACAGCTGGGGAACCCAGGACTAGGAGTTCAGCACAATTTGTAGCAAGCAGTAAACAAGCCATTTTCCCCTCCAGCAGGGAGCAAGCAGGACCTAGGTATTCATGTTCTAGTCACCTCGAACTGCTTGAGACCCTACATGAAAAATTAAGTAAATGGTTCTGGATCAGAAGACACTTAGGTCTTGCAGTTAAACATATTCAACAAAGACATACATAGGCTATGGGGGAACCACAACAGACTGTCTTGTTAACAGTAAGCTTAATAAGCCTTTGCTATGGCTATTTTAAACAGCACCCTAGCACATCTGTGATACTTTCACTATGTAATAAATAAGCAAAGTGATCTTTCAGGAAATTAGTCTTTTCTAACTCTATACATTTAAAATTAATTGGATTTGTCAAACTTATGACCTGAAATTTGTGGGAGATATTGTATATATGTTTGTAGCTATATTTTAAAATCAGATGATAACTCCAGGTTAGAGGCAATCTTGTAGAGTGAATAAAGGCTTGAGATACAGTCACAAGATTTGGATTCAAGTCCCAGGTCTGCAACTTCCCTGCAGTGTAAATCAATTATCCTTTGATCTATCTGAACTTCCATTTCTGCCTCTGTAAAATAAAATTTAAAAAATATCAGTCCAAAAACATGAGCTCACACAGATTTTTGAGAATCGGATTGATGGTACATCTACAATTTCTTTTAAAATTATAAAAGATTGGTAAATACCATAAATATAAACTGGCAAATGAATTTAGGGTTTGCTTAAAATTCATAATTTAACTTCCTCATTATACATAGCTGAAGGTATAATAAATGAGATGTGATATATTCAAGTAAATCATTTCAGTGAATGGTTCAAGTATTGGCAATATGGATTGGCAATGCTCAGTTATTTCCACCTGTGATTCAGCAGGCCGCCACCAGGAGATGGTAGCACTATTTGTCTTCTATAATTAGAATGCAATGTTTAGCTCCAATACTTCAGCATAGCAATTTAAATTATAATGAATAAGTTACTTAATATTTATTAAAATAATAAACTGCTCAAATATTAAATATATGCATTTATATAAAATAAAGAAAATAGCATGTAGAGGAGGATTTTAAGAAATGTAAGACCCACACATAAAGCAGCTTGGTTTATTTAAACTAATTTTAGTCACCAGATAAACCAACACTTAGGGAAGAATGTAGCGTAGACTCTATTTTCTGCACCTGGGAGGAGGTGCTTTCCCAGTCCCTTGCAGCTGCTGCTGCCCATTAGATATGGAACTAGAGTGGGTCCCTTCCTCTCTTTCCTTTAAAACAATGGGGCTCAGGGCACACAAAGGGCTCCAACATAGTTGTTTGAAGAGTATTGCAAGTGTTGTTATTTCTGTTGCTTTTGCTGTTGAAGCTGTGCTCAGTGCTGTGACAAGATAGAAACTAGATATTATCTTCTTTGTGCCCGTGCAGAACTCTAGTACCAGCTCAGCATGTGCCTGCAGTAGTAGGGTCCTTGAGTCCTCTGAGTAATCTCACAAAAATCTTATTATTTTTCCCACCTTACAGATGGGCAAACTGATGCGCTGAAAGATTGAGAACTGAGATTTTAATCCACTTTATGAGATTTTAATCAATTTCTTTCTTTGTTAATCAATGAGCACCAGGAGCATGGCTGGAATGCATGTATTCATCCTGGCCCAGAACTGCAACGTACCCAAGAAGTCACCATCATCTTTCAGTTCTGTTAATGCTGCTTGGGTCCACTTCCACACATGCCTTGACAGATCTTGCAGCATCATCACTGAACTGTTTCATTACCAAGTCAGAGAGAATTCTTTCAGCTTTGTGGTCTGGATTGCTAGAAATATATAGATGCCATGGGGGTTTGTGCATGTGTGTGCATAACCTTTAAGGGAAAATATACACCTGTAAGTATGTTAGCTGAAGCTCCTAAGTAGTGGCTGTATGAATATTTTATGTTTCCTCTTGGCCATTGCTTCTGTAACCTGTTTCTAAAGTGATAAAAAGAGAGAGAGAATGCAAGAGAGGCCAGTTTCCATAGGAACAAACGTAACAACGGAAAAACCTGTTAGTCTAGAAGGCCACCTCCAGGTAAGCTGAACTCACACCACCAGTGTTACGAGCAATACATGTACCCAGTTTAATTGCATTTCCAAACATCATCTCTAAAAACCTTCCATGGGTAGTATTCACAAATTTTTTCAAAGTATAGAAATAGGATCTATCTGACCTCTAAAAATAAAAATATTTTAAGTCAGAAAATTAATTACAATTTTTATTTGCATTGGTACTATTTGAGTATAAGAAAAAAGACCAGCATAAAACATAAATACTCTAGGAGAAAATTAAGGCAATGCAAAGTAATTGCTTTTTCTTAATTATTAGCTTTGTAGTACCTCTAACTGCCAAACATGTTAGCTACTTGAGAGAGAGCCTGAAGAGTCAAAAAATAATAAGCAATAAGTAACGTAGAACATTTATAAATTTACAAGATGAATTGCTATGAAATAATTTGATTTAGAAAAAAGTTGGTAACTTACAAATAACTTCCTATAAACAACATAAGAAAGCAAGATTAATCTGTACTGTATTTTAAGAGCCCAGAGAAAAAATTCCATTTTAGAAAAATCTGTAATTCTCCAGAAAGTCTGCATATAGCTTTCAAAGAGGAGTTTAAGTATTACAATATTAACAGCAGATAAGTTCTAGAAACTTTAATATTATCTTTGAATGCTTTCCTTTTTCTCTTCATGTCCAACTTCTGATAAAACTCTGCATCTTGTCAATTATCTTCTTTCCCCATCACCTCATAGCACTCCTTTCCCCAGGTGTTCTAGGTCCCCACACTGTAGGCTTACAATGCTCAGAAACAGACCCACCCTGGCTTTTTTGCATTTCCTTATCCACATTCCCAAGCCTTAGTAGGGGCGGGGGAGGTTCTCATGTGTTTGTTAGAAAGATCTGATTAATTTTTTTTAAGAATATCATGTAAATGACTGATGGGGAGGTCCATGTGTTAACACTTCCCAGGGTGATCTACATTTAAAAGAGATATTTAAATTAAAAAATTAATCTGCTGATTTGAATCCTTTGGAAATAGAGGAAATGTTTTTTAACAAATAAGTGCATAAATGAGTACTCAAAGGAAGAATTAATTTATGATGTTAGAATTTCAGCAGCAACTCAACCATAAACCCCAATAATCTCCTACTTTCCATAATTTGGGCCACTATTCCCTTTACATACAGTCCTCAACTCTGCAACAAAATTTTGGAAACTTAGAAGCAATCTGCTTTTTCTTTATCAACTCTTCCCACAATGCTGAATTTGCAGCACTGGGTACCTTTAAAAATAGAGATAAATGTAGGGTTTAAAACAAGATGTTTAAGAATCAGCAAGAGCTACCACATAACTTTCTCACTGTTCCTTCCCACTTCTGCAGAAGACTTCAGCTTTGTCCCTGAGACTATAAGACACAGGCTTATTTGAGAGGGTAAGAGGTCCGTCCCTGGGAAGCACTCATCACAGATAGGAACAGAAATCCTTATTAAAAATCTCAAAGTTACTCACCTAAGAGAATTTGACTAGCACAAGAGAAAAGTACTAAAGGGATTGATATCAGCCCAGCCAGATTAACCAGATGGGGTATCAGTGAATCAAGAAAACATAATAGTCCCAGGTTTGCATGCACCCATTAACAGAATTTTAAAATATAAAAGCAAAAATTAACAAATCCACATTCAACGGTGGAGATTTTAACACCCTTCTCTTTGTAATTGATAGGTAGAAAAATATCAGTAAGCACACAGAAGCTTTGAATAACACTGCCAAAACTTGACCTAATTAATGACAGGCTGGATAAAGACAATGTGCTACAGATACACCATGGAATGTTATGCAGCCTTAAAAAGGAACAACATCATGTCCTTTGCAGGGACATGAATGGAGCTGGAAGCCATTATCCTCAGTAAACTAATGAAGGAACAGAAAACGAAACACTGCATGTTCTCACTTATAAGTGGGAGGTGAACAATGAGAACACTTGGATACAGGGAGGGCAACAACACACACTGGGACCTGTCAGAGGGCGGGATGTGGGGAGGGAGAACATTAGAAAAAATAGCTAATGCTTGCTGGGTTAAATACCTAGGTGATGTGTTGATAGGTGCAGCAAGCCACCGTGACACACATTTACCTATGTAACAAACCTGCACATCCTGGACATGTACCCCAGAACTTAAAATTAAAATTAAAATTAAAATTAAAAAATATATATATTTGACCAGGTCCAGTGGCTGACGCCTGTAATCCCATTCCTTTGGGAGGCCAAGGCGGGTGGAACACCTGAGATCAGGAGTGAAAGAGTAAAACTCTTTTAGAGATGGGGTACCCACCCCATCTCTACTAAAAATACAAAAAGTAGCTGGGCCAGGCATGGTGGTGCGTGCTGTAATCCCAGCTACTCGGGAGGCTGAGGCATGAGGATCGCTTGAACCCAGGAGGCGGAGGTTGCAAGGAGTCGAGATCACACCATTGCACTCCAGCTTGGGCAACAAGAGTGAAACTCCATCTCAAAAAAAAAGAAAAAAAATGTAATGTTTAGCTCCAATACCTCAGTATAGCAATTTAAATTACCTTTTTTTTTTTTTCGAGACAGAGTCTGGCTCTGTTGTCCAGGCTGGAGTGCGATGGCACAATCTTGGCTCAGTACAACCTCTGCCTCCCAGGTTGAAGCCATTCTCCTGCCTCAGCCTCCAGAGTAGCTGGGATTACAGGCGCCGCCACCACACCCAGCTAATTTTTTTGCATTTTTAGTAGAGATGGGGTTTCACCATGCCAGTCAGGCTGGTCTCAAACTCTTGACTTCATGATCCGCCAACCTCAGCCTCCCAAAGTGCTGGGGATTGCAGGCGTGAGCACCACGCCCAGTCTTATTTATTTATTCATTTATTTATTTATCTATTTATTTATTTATACATACATACAACTGCAGAATATATATTCTTTTTATGTGCACAATGAAATACTTACTAAGATGGACCATCTGCTGGGCCATAAAGCAAGTCTTGCTAACTTTAAAAGGATTGGATTCACATGTTTTCATACCATAGCTGGATTTTTTAAACAAATCAATAAGATACCTAGAACATCCCCAAATATTTGGAAATTAATCAGCTTCCTTCTAAATAACTTAGGAATGAAAAGGAAATCACAAAAGAATTTGAAAATATTTCTTATTAAATGATAATAAAGACACATACAACATACCAAAACTAGCAGGATGCAGCTAAAGAAATGCTATTGCTATACTTAGAAGGAAATTTATAGTTTTAAATGTCCATATTTAAAAGGAAAAATGCAAAGCCAATGATCTAAAGCAAGGCACTGTGCTAGACACTAGAAATACAATGGTAACTAAAACAAAATCCCTGTCTTAGTGAATAGAGCCTGGTGCGATGGTTGTCATATGTTGGCATGAATAATCATCACCAGGAGTATTTATTAAAATGCAGAATTATTAAAGTGTAGACCCGATTACAATTTTCCCTTATGAAGCAATCACTGTTTTGGAGATGCTCTTCACAATGAAAAGATCCATGTCACTAATAAACGTATGAAGAAGTCCTCAATTTCATTACATATTAGGAAAGTGCTAATTAGAAACCACAATGAGAATTCACTACATACTCACAAGAATAACTAATGAAAAGGACAAAAAATGCTAACTGTTGCAAATATGTGAAACAACTACAACTCTCATCCTATCGATAGAAGTTTAAATTGGTATATAACCACTTTGGAGAACTGTTTGGCAGTATCTGCTGAAGCCGAATATGTGCATTCCTCATGACTCAGCAACTCACTTCCTTAGTATCTACTCTATAGAAATACTTACATATTGATCAAAAATGGTCAGAGCAACAACAATGTTCAGAGCAGTGCTGTTTATAAGAGCCAAAATGAAAACTACATGTCTGTCTGTCAACAGAACAGATAAATGAATCAAAACATTCACACAATTAAATGCTATACAATAAATATGGGGGTGAAACCACAAATAAATGCAAAAGGTAGATAAATACCATAAAGATAATGAGTAAGAGAAGCAGCATCCATAAAAGAGTATATACAAAATACTCTATTCAGACAAATTTCAAAAATAGGCAAAGTATTCCATGATGGTAGAAGTTGGAATAATGTTTAACCTTAGGAAGCGTGAGTAGTGACTGGTAAGAGGTAGCTTTGGGATGTTGACAATATCCTATTCCTCAACTTGGGTGCTATTTACATGAGAGATGATATGGTTTGGCTGTGTCCACACCCACATCTCATCTTGAATTGTAGTTCCCATAATCCCCACGTGCCCTGGGAGGGACCCAGTGGGAGGTAATTGAATCCTGGAGCAGTTTCCCCCAGGCTGTTCTCATGATAGTGAGTGAGCTCTCACAAGATCTGATGGTTTTATAAGTGTCTGGCATTTGCCCTGCTTGCACTCATTCTCTCTCCTGCTGCCCTGTGAAGAGGTACCTTCTGCCATGATTGTAAGTGTCCTGAGGTCCCCCTGAGCCATGCAGAACTGTGAGTCAACTAAACCTCTTTCCTTTATAAATTACTGTCTTGGGTATTTCTTCATAGCAGCATGAGAATGGACTACTACAAGTGGGTTTTCACTTGGTGAAATTTACTGGGCTGTACACGTAGAAACTGTTATATATAACATTAAAATTTTAAATAAAGGTAAAAGAAATATTCCCTCTTAATTTTATTTGACTCATAAAAGTCATCAGCAAAGTATTTTCATTGTCAGGATTTCTCATTCCTAAAATTCACAACTACTGTTCTTTTTCTCATTACATTTAGTTAAAATCATTTGTACTGTTTTGTTAGTTCTCATACTTAGTATGTACAATTTGGGTGTTCAGATAAATGAAAGGCCTTTAACACTCTCAAAATCAAATAATACGGTCAATTTTTCATGAAGAGAATTATTTTTGAGGTTAGTGATTTACTATGTAATCCCCCTGCAGTTGTGTAAACCTCTTTGAGTCAGGGTAGTGTAGTCTACAGCTCCCTAAGTGTAATGAAAGCTACCTGAGCTATTTCCCTTTGGAATGAAATGCATTGCTTTCTGCAACTGAACAAGCCTATAGTGAGTCATAATCTTCATTTTTGGAACTATCTGATATAATTAATATGAATTTTTAAAACCAATCATTTTCCTTTTCATTTAGTAGACATATGGGAAAGCAATCCATGTTTTTTGCCTGCCAAATTTTGAGAAGCTTCTAATCTAGCAAGAGAATATTCATAGAAATATGAATTATCTTATGCTCCCTAGTATACTATAAACTTCCTTTGTTTGTTTGGTAAAAAAAAAAAAAAAAAAAAAAAAATCCAGTTACTCATATTGGTTTACGTGAGGTTAAATTACAAGGTGCCTTTGACTTTAGGGTGTAACTCATATTAATTTACTAAATAAAGGATATTGACTCTAACATTCTTCACACAATTCCATTTTACAGTAGTGAATACCTACAAATGAGAAAAATCCATTCATAAAATAATTTATCAACAGAACACTTGCTTTCTTTTGTTCTGCCTTTAAAAAATTAAAGCATGCTTTCAAAAGAGAAAACTAAATGCCATTCCCACCAGAATTAGCTATAATTCCTTCTGCAATCTTACCAGAGAGTCACAATCATGAATTTGGGAATGATTACATTACTGCACCAAACATCCCAGCTAAAAATATCTAGACAATTATTTGTCAAAGGATTTTATCACTTTGATGGTCATCTATTAAGATTCTTGACCTGTTCAGCTGGGCGCGGTGGCTCACACCTGTAATCCCAGCACTTTGGGAGGCCGAGGCGGGTGGATCATGAGGTCAGGAGATTGAGACCATCCTGGCTAACACGGTGAAACCCCGTCTCTACTAAAAATACAAAAAAAAATAGCCAGGCATGGTGGCGGGCGCCTGTAGTCCCAGCTACTCGGGAGGCTGAGGCAGGAGAATGGCGTGAACCCGGGAGGCGGAGCTTGCAGTGAGCCAAGATCGTGCCACTGCACTCCAGCCTGGGCGACAGAGCGAGACTCCATCTCAAAAAACAAACCACAACAACAACAAAAAAGATTCTTGACCTGTTCCTCAATTTCACCCACTGAATTCAACTCCCGTGTTTGTGTGGTGGTAGCTGTAGAAGGGGTAGATGTGGGTCAAGATAGCCAAATCAAAATGATCTGGGCATTGCATTTGAGGTAGGTCTAATACTGGGGGTATAGACAGAGGAGTGATAATTGCTTGCCTTAACACATAGTGTTAAGTGTACTTAACACTCTCAAAGTGTACTGAAGTTTTATGTTTACCCAGTTTTCTTAAAATAACCAATTTCGTGACAGCATCTTAAAATGAGAGCATGCCTAGCTTCATTACAATTGCACAAATTTACATTAGTGGATAAACCATAATTGTAAACGGTTTTTCCTTCTGTTATTATCCCTTGAAAAAGATTCTATTTTGCATTTTTTTAATAATTATGAGGGATTGTGTGTTTTATTGGTTTCTATTCATAATACATCTTTACTTACACTTTTATGGTTTCTGAATTGATTGCTGTTTTGGTTTCTATGGTAACTCTGCCAGTTGCCTACCTATAAATAGATATTTTATAATAACAGGCTTATCAGAGTTCAATTTTTGAGAAACCTTCTGCAATAAGAAGGAAAATTGCTAGAAAAATAACATATGAATCAAGGTTTATGGAAACAGATCTCTTGTACCTGTCATAGTGTAAAAATAGAAGAGTCAAAATGAAAATTCATGTAGATGCATGCTGGCAAGCATATGGTGAAAAGAAAGGAATACTCAACCATTTAAAAAGAAAAATGTAAAACTGGGATATACTTTTACATTTGGCCTCCATTAAAAAATTCATGCAATCTTTTAAAATAACGTTTATTAACTACACACAAACTACAGTCTGCATTTCTTTCATCACCTTCTTGTATTACTCTTCAGTGTGACTTTGTAGAAACTCTTATGTATGGGTGTTACCCCTTGGTTATATAGAAAGTATATATTGTCTTCCAATTTGTTCTTTATCTTTTAACTTTCATTGTATTATGGTTTTATTTGCTCTACTGACCATTTTAGTTTATGTAGTCAAATATGGCAGGCTTTCCACTGTGGCTTCTGAATCTGGGCATAACTTAGGGAGACTTTTCTACTGCAAGATTACAAACACATTCCTCTACATTTCTTTTTCATTCTTGAATAGTCTTAAAGTATATTATGTTTTTACTCCTGCATAATTGAAAATCTGCATGTAACTTTTGACTCCCCAAAAATTTAAGTGCTAACAGCTTACTGTTGACCAGAAGCCTTACCCACAAGATAAACACTTAACACATATTTTGTAAGTTATATGTATTATATACTGTATTCTTACAATAAAGTGAGCTAGAGAAAACAAAACGCTATTAAGAAAATCATAAGGGAGAGAAAATATACTTACTATTTATTAAGTGGAACTGGATTGACATAAAGATCGTCATTCTTGTCATCTTCATGTTGAGCAGGCTGAGGAAGAAGAAGGGTTGGTCTTGCTGACTCAGGGGTGGCAGAGGTGGAATAAAAATCCACGTAAAAGTGAATCCATGAAGTTCAAGGATCAACTGTATAGTAGGAAGTATCAAATGTGTGCTAGTAACCTGTTTATTTACTCTTTTTTATGAACATTGGAACCAGCTAGAAGTTCCATAAAATTCCCAGCACTGTTTGCATTTAGTTTATTATTTAGTTCACGGTTTACATCTATATAATGTTTAATCTTCCATGCAGAAACATGGGATGTGTCTCCACTTGGTCTGTTCAGTTTTATATTCGACGGTAAAATTGTAATATTTTATTGCCTGCTTAAAAAAATTCTAGAATTGTGTAGTTTCATGCTATTGTGCCTGAAATATTTTTTCCAGTTATTCTTTCTAATTACTTACTGCCATTAATATTACCTATTCAGGCATGTTTATCTTGCATTTTGTCATCTAACTGCATTCTCTTACTAGTTCTATCAGTTTTTTAGTTTCTTTATATATTTTAAAAAATACTAAGACATGTTCTCATTAGCTATCTGTATATATATTATAAAGCTTTCCTTATAGATCATCAAGTTATTTGTACATTTTTGAAAATCATCTAAGTATATGCCAAAATGTCAAAGAAAAAAACACATATACATAAATGTATGAGTTTATATATATCTGCCCCAATTAATACATGAATAGCCAGAGAGAGGGCTGATAATTCTAAAACATAATTAACATATTACTACTCTTTTATTTTACAAAAATGATTAACCACAACTTTTTTCTAAATGTAGTAAGTGTTGTAAGTTTTCATATGATATAATCACCACTGTGTTGTGAGCACCTTTAAGTCCACCTTGTTCATTTTGGGATGCCCAGGCCCACAAAGGAAACTCATTCAGTGTTGTTGAATCAATCAATCAGTCTTTACTGCCTTCATTAATTTTTGTCGGTGAAAAAGCCCACAGTTTGATTGAAGCCTGTGAAATTTTACTCTGCTTTGAAATTGTATTTTGATACTTCATTTGGTCTTATTTCTAAATGCTTTTCACATAGAAGATGATTGTACATTTAACTGAAGAAGGGTTTTTTTTTTTTCACTTTAATCAGAATCGGAGGGTTAACTGTGGGTGTCTCACATAAGAGAACAGAAAGATCAAAAATGTCTATTCTAAAATGTATCTTTTTTTCTGGAAAAAAATATTTGAAACAAAACACTAAAATCATCTAAATAATCTAAATATCTAGTCAGGTTTTTAATCTTCTCACAAAATTTGATTGTTTCACTATCATTAGAATTATACTTTCTGGGTAAATTCATGATACAAATTAATAAATTGTATTAGCTATGCTTTTTAATATAGAAAATGTAAGTTACATATTCCTCACTGTGTGTTAGCATAAACAAATACAAATTACCCATAAAAGTTCAGAATTATATTATAGTTTCTGAGGTTTCTTCAGAACAATGGTAATAACATATAGACGATGGAAGAAAGTATCTTGATTTTATGCCAGTCAGTACAATGTTCCATTAAGGATGCATTTGCGCATTAATTTCAGGAAAGACTGTGTAATGAAATGCATGTCAGACATTTAATGCCTGCTAGACATTTAAGCTGCTTTGTATTTAAGAGCATGACTTGACCTTATTAGATGCCTAATAACTGAAGTAATTGTATCTTGTAGTAATCAAAATGTCTTCCATTATAACAAAAATATGATTCAATTACATTATAGTATCAACTGTTATTTCTGATGTTCAGAAAATTATGGTTAAATACATATTTCCGGTGCTAAAGAAACCTAATTACATTTTTTATGCCTGCAATAAGCAATGCTTTTAAAGATATGTAAGTGCTATAATTATTGGAAAGAGAAAATAGTATCAAAAATGAAATATCAGCAATGCCTTCCATTTCTTGATCTGTTCAGACAGAGGCTGTATACCTCCAGCAGAGTTTATTCTGCCTATAACCACATACATGTATTCCATTTAAATAAACTATCAGAAAAATAGTGACTAAAAAAATGGGTCCTGATTCTGGAAAACAATCCTTAATATCTAGTTCTAGAAACTAGAAATCATAAAATGTCAGTACAGTAAATTAGATTATTTCCGTAGTGTCCCACTATGTAAATGTTATCTCCGATGCCAAATTTGCAACGCTATGAAGTTTTAGACCAAACACCTCCCATTTGCTTGCTCTCCAACCCACTTGCTGATTGGCTGTGCCCTGCCTCTGATTGTTACATGTAATAGCCGGTCTGTAACTCCAAATTGCTTGTACTTCTTTTAAAGGCAGAAATGCTTTTCTTTATACAAGGTCCAATACTTCATCTCTATGAGTTTTAGAATATGGAAATATTCAGTTCTCAATGAAAATAATATTACCTTATCTTGTGCCGATTTTCAAAGGGAATGCTTCCAGTTTTTGCCCATTCAGCATGATATTGGTTGAGGGTTTGTCATAAATAGCCCTTATTATTTTGGAATACATTCCATCAGTACCTAGTTTATTGAGAGTTTGTAGCATGAAGGGCTGTTGAATTTTGTTGAAGGCCTTTTCTGCATCTATTGAGATCATCATGTGGTTTCTGTCATTGGTTCTGTTTATGTGATGGATTACGTTTGTTGATTTGTGTATGTTGAAACAGCCTTGCATCCCAGGTATGAAGCCAACTTGATCGTGGTGGATAAGCTTTTTGATGTGCTGCTGGATTCGGTTTGCCAGTATTTTATTGAGGATTTTTGCATTGATGTTCATCAGGGATATGGGCCTGAAATTTTCTTTTTTTGCTGTGTCTCTGCCAGGCTTTGGTATCAGGATGATGCTGGCCTCATAAAATGAGTTAGGGAGGATTCCCTCTTTTCCTTTTCTTTTTTTTTTTTTTTTTTGCAGTTGAATTCATAGGTTTATTTGCCCATGTACTTTTTCCTCAGTCTCTTTATTCTTATTTTTTTTACTATACTTTAAGTTTTAGGGTACATGTGCACAATGTGCAGGTTTGTTACATATGTATACATGTGCCATGTTGGTGTGCTGCACCCACCAACTCGTGATTTAGCATTAGGTATATCTCCTAATGCTCTCCCTCCCCCCTCCCCTCACCCCACAACAGTCCCCGGAGTGTGATGTTCCCCTTCCTGTGTCCATGTGTTCTCATTGTTCAATTCCCACCTATGAGTGAGAACATGCGGTGTTTGGTTTTTTGTCCTTGTGATAGTTTGCTGAGAATGATGGTTTCCAGTTTCATCCATGTCCCTGCAAACAACATGAACTCTTCATTTTTTATAGCTGCATAGTATTCCATGGTGTATATGTGCCACATTGTCTTAATCCAGTCTATCATTGTTGGGCATTTGGGTTGGTTCCAAGTCTTTGCTATTGTGAATAGTGCTGCAATAAACATACGTGTGCATGTGTCTTTATAGCAGCATGATTTATAATCCTTTGGGTATATAGAACTAGTTTACAGTCCCACCAACAGTGTAAAAGTGTTCCTATTTCTCCACATCCTCTCCAGCACCTGTTGTTTCCTGACTTTTTAATGATTGCCATTCTAACTGATGTGAGATGGTATCTCATTGTGGTTTTGGTTTGCATTTCTCTGATGGCCAGTGATGATGAGCATTTTTTCATGTGTTTTTTGGCTGCATAAATGTCTTCTTTTGAGAAGTGTCTGTTCATATCCTTCACCCACTTGTTGATGGGGTTGTTTGTTTTTTTCTTGTAAATTTGTTGGAGTTCATTGTAGATTCTGGATATTAGCCCTTTGTCAGATGAGTAGGTTGTGAAAATGTTCTCCCATTTTGTAGGTTGCCTGTTCACTCTAATGGTGGTTTCTTTTGCTGTGCAGAAGCTCTTTAGTTTAATTAGATCCCATTTGTCAATTTTGGCTTTTGCTGCCATTGCTTTTTTTGTTTTAGATATGAAGTCCTTGCCCATGCCTATGTCCTGAATGGTATTGCCTAGGTTTTCTTCTAGAGTTATTATGGTTTTAGGTCTAACATTTAAGTCTTTAATCCATCTTGAATTAATTTTTGTATAAGGTGTAAGCAAGGGATCCATTTTCAGCTTTCTACATATGGCTAGCCAGTTTTCCCAGCACCATTTATTAAATAGGGAATCCTTTCCCCATTTCTTGTTTTTGTCAGGTTTGTCAAAGATCAGATGGTTGTAGATATGCGGCATTACTTCTGAGGGCTCTATTCTGTTCCATTGATCTATATCTCTGTTTTGGTACCAGTACCATGCTGTTTTGGTTACTGTAGCCTTGTAGTATGGTTTGAAGTCAGATAGCGTGATGCCTCTGGCTTTGTTCTTTTGGCTTAGGATTGACTTGGCAATGTAGGCTCTTTTTCGGTTTCATATGAACTTTAAAGTAGTTTTTTCCAATTCTGTGAAGAAAGTCATTGGTAGCTTGATGGGGATGGCATTGAATCTATAAATTACCTTGGGCAGTATGGCCATTTTCATGATATTGATTCTTCCTACCCATGAGCATGGAATGTTCTTCCATTTGTTTGTATCCTCTTTTATTTCATTGAGCAGTGGTTTGTAGTTCTCCTTGAAGAGGTCCTTCACGTCCCTTGTAAGTTGGATTCCTAGGTATTTTATTCTCTTTGAAGCAATTTTGAATGGGAGTTCAGTCATGATTTGGCTCTCTGTTTGTCTGTTATTGGTGTATAAGAATGCTTGTGATTTTTGTACATTGATTTTGTATCCTGAGACTTTGCTAAAGTTGCTTATCAGCTTAAAGAGATTTGGGGCTGAGACGATGGGGTTTTCTAGATATACAATCATGTCATCTGCAAACAGAGACAATTTGACTTCCTCTTTTCCTAATTGAATACCCTTTATTTCCTTCTCCTGACTAATTGCCCTGGCCAGAACTTCCAACACTATGTCGAATAGGAGTGATGAGAGAGGGCATCCCTGTCTTGTGCCAGTTTTCAAAGGGAATGCTTCCAGTTTTTGCCCATTCAATATGACATTGGCTGTGGGTTTGTCATAGATAGCTGTTTTTATTTTGAGATACGTCTCATCAATACCTAATTTATTGAGAGTTTTTAGCAGGAAGCGTTGTTGAATTTTGTCAAAGGCCTTTTCTGCATCTATTGAGATAATCATGTGGTTTTTGTCTTTGGTTCTGTTTATATGCTGGATTACATCTATTGATTTTCATATGTTGAACCAGCCTTGCATCCCAAGGATGAAGCCCACTTGATCATGGTGGATAAGCTTTTTGATGTGCTGCTGGATTCGGTTTGCCAGTATTTTATTGAGGATTTTTGCATCAATGTTCATCAAAGATATTGGTCTAAAATTCTCTTTTTTGTTTGTGTCTCTGCAGGCTTTGGTATCAGGATGATGCTGGCCTCATAAAATGAGTTAGGGAGGATCCCCTCTTTTTCTATTGATTGGAATAGTTTCAGAAGGAATGGTACCAGTTCCTCCTTGTACCTCTGTTAGAATTCGGCTGTGAATCCATCTGGTCCTGGACTTTTTTGGTTGGTAAGCTATTGATTATTGCCACAATTTCAGAGCCTGTTATTGGTCTATTCAGAGATTCAACTTCCTGGTTTAGTCTTGGGAGGGTGTATGTGTCGAGGAATTTATCCATTTCTTCTAGATTTTCTAGTTTATTTGCGTAGAGGTGTTTGTAGTATTCTCTGATGGTAGTTTGTATTTCTGTGGGATCGGTGGTGATATCCCCTTTATCATTTTTTATTGCATCTATTTGATTCTTCTCTCTTTTCTTCTTTATTAATCTTGCTAGTGGTCTATCAATTTTGTTGATCTTTTCAAAAAACCAGCTCCTGGATTCATTGATTTTTTTGAAGGGTTTTTTATGTCTCTATTTCCTTCAGTTCTGGTCTGATTTTAGTTATTTCTTGCCTTCTGCTAGCTTTTGAATGTGTTTGCTCTTGCTTCTCTAGTTCTTTTAATTGTGATGTTAGGGTGTCAATTTTGGATCTTTCCTGCTTTGGGCATTTAGTGCTATAAATTTCCCTCTACACACTGCTTTGAATGTGTCCCAGAGATTCTGATATGTTGTGTCTTTGTTCTTGTTGGTTTGGATTCCCTCTTTTTCTATTGTTTGGAATAGTTTCAGAAGGAGTGGTACCAGCTCCCCTTTGTACCTCTGGTAGAATTCACCTGTGAATCCATCTGGTCCTGGACTTTTTTTGGTTGGTAGGCTATTAATTATTGCCTCAGTTTCAGAACTTGTTATTGGTCTATTCAGGGATTTGACTTCTTTCTAGTTTAGACTTGGAAGGGTGTACGTGTCCAAGAATGTATCCATTTCTTCCAAGTTTTCTAGTTTATTTGCATAGAGGGTTTATAGTATTCTCTGATGGTGGTTTGTGTTTCTGTGGGATCAGTGGTGATATCCCCTATATCATTTTTTATTGCAGCTATTTGATTCTCCTCTCTTTTCTTCTTTATTAATCTGGCTAGCGATCTATTTTGTTGATCTTTTCAAAATACCAGCTCCTGGATTCATTGATTTTTTGAAGGGTTTTTTTGTGTCTCCATTTCCTTCAGTTCTGCTCTGATCTTAGTTATTTCTTGTCTTCTGCTAGCTTTTCAGGAAACTTCTGGCCAGGGTAATCAGGCAAGAGAAAGAAATAAAGGGTATTCAAATAGGAATAGAGGAAGTCAAATTGTCTTTGTTTGCAGATGACATGATTGTATATTTAGAAAACCTCATTGTCTCAGCCCAAAATCTCCTTAAGCTGATAAACAACTTCAGCAAAGTCTCAGGATATAAAATCAATGTGCAAAAATCACAAGCATTCCTATACACCAATAACAGACAAACAGAGAGCCAAATCATGAGTGAACTCCCATTCGCAATTGCTACTAGGGGAATAAAATACCTAGGAATACAACTTACAAGGGACATGAAGGACCTCTTCAAGGAGAACTACAAACCACTGCCGAAGGAAATGAGAGAGGACACAAACAAATGGAAAAACATTCCATGCTCATGGACAGAAAGAATCGATATCATGAAAATGGCCATACTGCCCAAAGTAATTTATAGATTTAATGCTATCCCCATCAAGCTACCACTGACTTTCTTCACAGAATTGGAAAAAACTACTTTAAACTTCATATGGAACCAAAAAACAGCCCACATAGCCAAGACAATCCTGGGCAAGAAGAACAGGAGGCATCATGCTACCGGACTTCAAACTATACTACAAGGCTACAGTAATCAAAACAGTATGGTACTGGTACCAGAACAGATATATAGAGCAATGGAACAGAACAGAGGCCTCAGAAATAACACCACATATCTACAACCATCTGATCTTTCAGAAACCTGACACAAACAAGCAATGGGGAAAAGATTCCTTATTTAATAAATGGTATTGGGAAACCTGGCTAGCCATATTCAGAAAACTGAAAATGGACCCCTTCCTTACACCTTATACAAAAATCAACTCAAGATGGATCAAAGACTTAAACGTAAGACCTAGGAACATAAAAATCCTAGAAGAAAAACTGGGCAATACCACTCAGGACATATGCATGGGCAAAGACTTCATGTCTAAAACACCAAAAGCAATGGCAACAAAAGCCAAAATTGACAAATGGGATTTAATTAAACTAAAGAGCGTCTTCACAGCAAAAGAAACTATCGTCACAGTGAACAGGCAACCTACAGAATGGGAGAACATTTTTGCAGCCTATCCACCTGACAAAGGGCTAATATCCAGAATCTACAAAAAACTTAAACAAATTTACAAGAAAAAAACAACCCCATCAAAAAGTAAAAGAAGGATATGAACAGACACTTCTCAAAAGAAGTTGTTCTCAAAAGAAGTTTATGCAGCCAACAAACATGAAAAAATGCTCATCTACACTGATCATTAGAGAAATGCAAAGCAAAACCACAATGAGATACCATCTCATGCCAGTTAGAATGGTGATCATTAAAAAGTCAGGAAACAACAGATGCTGGAGAGGACATGGAGAAATAGGAACGCTTTTACACTGTTGGTGGGAGTGTAAGTTAATTCAACCATTGTGGAAGACAGTGTGGTGATTTCTCAAGATCTAGAACTACAAATATCATTTGACCCAGCAATCCCATTACTGGGTATATACCCAGGATTATAAATCATGCTACTATAAAGACACATGCACACGTATGTTTATTGTGGCACTATTCACAATAGCAAAGACTTGGAACCAACCCAAATGCCCATCAATAATAGACTGGATGAAGAAAATGTTACACATATACACCATGGAATACTTTGCAGCCACCAAAAAGGATGAGTTCATGTCCCTTGCAGGGACATGGATAAAGCTGAAAACCATCATTCTCAGCAAACTATTGCAAGAACAGAAAACCAAACACTGCATGTTCTCACTCATAAGTGGGAGCTGAACAATGAGAACACATGGACACAGGGAGGGTAACGTCACACACCAGAGCCTGTCAAGGGATGGGGGTCCAGGGGAGGGATAGCATTAGGAGAAATACCTAATGTAGATGATGGGTTGATGGGTGCAGGAAACCACCATGGCACATGTATACCTATGAACAAACCTGCACGTTCTGCACATGAACCCCAGAACTTACAGTATAATTAAAAAAAAAAAGGATAAAAAAAGCAAATAATAGTACCTTCTTTGGTACACAAGTATAATATTTTTATTGTAGAGACTATCTTTAATAATATATGTCATGTGAGGTCTTACCTAATGTTAAACTATTTACCTCTGGAGAGACTTGAAAGTTTTGGAAAGCATACAACATCTTTCTAAAATAGTTTTATATGCTTTAAGCTATTTGTGTCTTTCCTAAGGCTGACATTTAGTTCCAAAATTTGTATTCCAGTTCCAACCTCAGTTATCTACACCCTTCTCTGGCACTATAAACCTACAGAATGGTTTCCCACATCTTGACCATCAGAATCCACTCTACAATACAGATGCCTCTGACCTTTCAGATGTCCAAGTGGAAAGTACAAAAGAGAGGCTACAAGGCCAGACTCCATCCTTCACTCTGACACATATAATTTACCATCATGCTTCCTCCCGCTATGTATTATTTATCCCTATAACAATATTCAGACTTCCTTCTCACTCACCCAGTGTCCTTGTTGTTAGGGTACTCCCACTGCACCCTTCTCTCAAGATTTTCCCAGCCTTCTCTAGAAGAAAAGTCTTCTAATCTGGTTGAGAATCCTAGATTCTGCTTCTGCCAATCCATGGACTCAACTAGCTTTGCTGAGCAAAGTTTTCACATCCAATTTCCCGACGGAATACAGGATTGATTAAATAGTCTGAACTTTGACTCATCCAAATTTGTATTTTGAACCTCTTCACATGGCTTATAAATCTCTGGTTTTTAAGATTTACTTTCAGATATGCTCATTACTTTTAGTTCTAGTATGCTCTCTCATCCCCAACTACTAAAGCCTTTTCCCATTTTCCATTTTTTTTTCTCCTCACTTAAAATCAACAAGAATTCACTGGGTGACTACTAGGCATATAGAATGTGCTTAATACAAAGTGTGAGGCATAATTCCCTACCCAGGCATCCAACCTTTTAAAACTTGTATTTTCTGTGGAGCATTCTGATGTCCAATTTGTGCATGTTTGAAGGACTGGTATAAATTGATAAAACTGAAAAGTTAATGGAGTGGCATGACCCAATCATTTCTATTTATTTTTAAAGTATTATTTTCTTACTTATCATATGGTATGGAGAACTGAAATTTGAACTTGGTGAACCATTCAGGAATCTAGAAAAGTTTTGAGGGTTTAAACTCTTTTCAGATTGTACAAAAGAAGCAGAAATTAAATGGAAACTTTGTCTATAAACATATAATCTAAAATTGTATGTGATTGTACTTAACTTGGAGTTCTGTTTAATCTGAGTCCATATATCATTTAAGCCTCTGGTAGTACTGAGATGAATTATATGTAAGGGAAAATCAGAAACTGCTTGCATCAGAAAGCTCCAGTAATAATAATAATTTGTAAAAAGCCATAGGAGAATCTAAAAACACTTCAAATTATAATCCAAAGAAAATGTGGAAAGCCTACTGGATAAAAGGTTCATAAGCAGGCAAACAAAATAAGGCAAACTGGTTTCCAACCTTCTGTAGGTAGGAGGTGCGAGACAATCTGAAATCACTGAGCAGCACTTATCGACTGTAGGTGTTAACTTTCACCTGCACAAATGATAGAAACTGAAATAAAGAATAATAATACCTATTTGTATATCTGAAGCACTTTTTATTGCATATTTCTCATGACATCCTTGTAAGAACCTTAATCAGGAAGTCCTATGTCTTAATGTCCATTGTACAGAATCTGAAAAAGGAAAAATGAATTGGAAAATAGTTTGAGCAAGAAATAAAGACAAACTTCTCTGACCTCACAATTTTAACTAGAGGTTGCTTATTTCTAATATAACAACAGGGGAGGCCTTTGATAGGATCCACTAAGAAGCAAGTGAAATGCTAGTATAGGTCAGAGAATGTTTTGAACTAAGTGAATTTCTTCATAGACTTTATAGGCCTTTATGTATGATGAATGCCTAGTATTTGTTTGACCACTTTAATATACACTTCCCCTAACTTACAGTGTACATTTATGCAAAGATCTATTTGATCCTCTCAGCAGATCTGTAAGGAAACAAATATTGGCCATGTTTTAAGGAAGAGAAAACAGAGGCTTAGAAAGGCTAGTGTCTTGGCCAAAGTCACTCGTACCAAGTAATAGGTAGAAGAAGCATGTACATCCGGGACCTAGGCTTCAAAACCATACTTTGTGCTACTTTGCCAGGGACGAGTGGCAAAACACAGAAAATATTGAGTTAGGTTTATAGCCCTGTAAACACACGATTTATTGAATTGTTTCTTAAGTCAAATAGTCATGAGATAATTGTCCTAATGTCACAATAATTGAGTTAGTTGAGTCTATATTTTAAACACTTTCTTTCTCATAGCTAAATTGTTGTTTTGTTATTTAAGTAACAACGTCAATAGCAACACTAAACAAAATCTTTAGAATTGACTAAATATCTCCACTTAACTAGCTAGTGCTTTTTTTTTTACTTGGTTTTGCTTCATTATTTGATTGTATATTGTATTT
Organism: Homo sapiens; assembly: GCF_000001405.40. NCBI lineage: Eukaryota > Metazoa > Chordata > Mammalia > Primates > Hominidae > Homo > Homo sapiens. The sequence continues at coordinate 99,346,215 of NC_000001.11, forward strand.
ATGTGGTTTAAAAATATAGCCTCTCAGTTTTTCTTCTAGATGTTTTGGCAATTTTTTGCTGAAAACAGAGTAATGAGGAAATTACATGAATAATCATTCCTGTCCTGGTCTGTCATCCCCATTGGTAATCTTCACTAGTATAGGTGGCCCTCATTCCTCTCTACCAATACTACACAGCAGTCAATGGAAACACAAATTTGGCTCTGCTATCACCTTCTCCTTTTCTTGACAGCCAATGAGAAAACTTAGCTTCAAGCCTTAGCTGTACTTTCAACTATCTGGCCTAGGGCAGGGGATCTCATCTTTAAAAGAGTTCATTTTCTGATTATTAAAATAACGAAACTGAATTAAAACCTTTTCAAGGACTCTTACAACCAAGGATATATATTATTAGCATCGCACTAGAACATAAACTCTGAATGCAAAGATTTTGTTAATTTTGTTCATTGCTGTATCTTCAGTGCCTACAACAATATTTTCTAAGAGATGTTCAATAAATGAATAAATAAACAGCATTTCAGTTCAGGTTTGCAGGGGGAAAATTCATGTTTTAACATGAGAAATTGGATGGTTTACCACTCAGGGGAGGCTTCATGAAGGAGCAATGCAGTCGCAGAAGGGCCCACCACTTTGGAAGTTCATAAACGACATAAACCACCCATTTAAAGGTGACCAAGATAAGAGGAACAGACACAAATTAAATTTTGACTGACTGATAAACCACAGTTATAAATTCATGGTTTACAATAAAGGACTTGCACTATGTGTGTGGCTGGGATTTGTGTTTTCTCCAGTTCTCCTAGTCTATTCAGGCTGCTATAACAAAATACCATAGACTGGGTGGCTTATAAACAATGTGTTTATTTTTCACAGTCATGTAAGTTGAGAAGTCAAAGATGAAGGCCCTGGCAGATTTGGTGTCTGGTGAGGGCCTGCTTCTTGAGGCACCCACAGCAGTCTTTTCACTGTGTCCTCACGTAGTAGAAAGACAAAAGCACTCCCTTGGGCCCCTTTTATAAGTGCACTAATTGCATTTGTGAGGGCTCTGCCTCTGAGGAGGGCTGAGACTGTGCCTCTGGCCTGGGAACTTCACAAATGCTTCTCGGTCCCCCATCTCCCATTCCCACCCCCTGCCTTTGGTGGAACAGGATGGCTAGATTGGACTAGAGTTGGCTATTTCCTTTCTCCTTTGGAAGACTAGAGCCAGCTGGAGTAGGGTATCTCCTTTCCCCCAGGTCAGTTAGTTTCTGATAAAGACCAACAGGTGAGGCTCTGATTAAATAGTTGCTCCTGGTGGCCAGCCTTGCTAAGTACACAGTGCACTGGCATATTTCAAAATGGTTCTTTTCACTGCCCTTTGCCTGAAGCAGGAGGGGATTTTTCTTCTCTATTCACTATGAGAATCAGGTCAAGCTCTTGGAGATAAAACTTGCAAAAGTGTGGTGACTCCCAATAACTGGGGCCCTCTGGACGTTTTATATCTCAGACTTGTCCGCACGAAGCCTCCAACAATCTATCAATCACAGTTCAGGTTTCCCTATCCTGGTACTGGTTCCCACAGAGGTTTCAGCTCCTGGATTTCTGCTCTGTTAAAATGAGATTCTCTGTATTAATCTGTTGATCTCTCCAGTTTTGGAGATGGTAGTTTGCCCTGTGACCTCACATCTTTTACCAATTTAAGAAGAGTTGTTTCTTTTTCAGTTTGTTCAGCTTTCTCCTTGTTAGAATGGAGTGGCAACTTCTAAGCTACCAGTATGCTGAACCGGAAATTACATAATGTATTTTTTAGAACACCTAAAAGTATAAGGCTCTTTTTTCTGACCTAAATCCAAATGACTTTGAAAAGGGATTATAATTAATGTTAAGAACAAAATTAAATTACTTATCTCCTAGCAATGAGAAATGAATTAATTGCCTCACAGCATAACAGTCTTCTGTTATGCTCTGTCGATATTTTATTTTAGCCACCGTGTTAGGTTTATTTTATTTTCTATCATATTCAGGACTTCTTTTTACAATATTCTTATTAATGTCATCAGCTCTCTTAGCAGAAAGCAAAAGTTTTAAATTATTTTAATTTGTATTATTTCATGGTGTATATTCTGCTGTTTTGTTGCTATTTAAAATTTTTAAATCATCAATAAAACATTTTGAAAGTAATGCTTATGGAATAATTTTTCTCAATTAGTTACCATGTCAAAATAATGTCGTTTACTTTAAAGATACATGGCAACAATCAAAAGAAAGAACTGCAGTTTCTTTAAACCCTCAATCATAGGGGTGTATTATGTGATAAACAAAATGGTGTTACTTTGGTTCAGAGGTCTAAAATGGAGTCAAGAAGCCATTCTAAGAATTCCCTGAATGACCTAAAGTAAGCTGGGCCAAACCACCACAACCACAACATCCTAGAAAATAGCTGAATTTTGCCATCCCTGCAGCTCCTAAACAGTAACAACGAATGAGCTATAGACTCATACTAAACCAGCCGCCTCCACTTATGATAATTCTTTTAAAACAGTTTGTGTAATCACCCTCAGTGTCCTTTCAAAAATCACTACTCCCTTTCCTCTTTTTGGAACACAATTTGGCTTCTAGTTGAATCTGTATCTCCTGAATTGCAGTTCCTAAGACCCCAATAAATGCCTTGTCTTACTGCTTTACAGCCTGGTCTTTCTTTTCTTGATTGACAGGAGCTACTGGAAGCTCCAGTCCACTACGTTTTACTGTAAACATAGCTATTTATAAATGCAGAAGTCAGATGGCTATGCTAGCTTCTCCCCTTGGCAGTGTGGTGGGGGGGCGGTTCAGGGGTTGATATAATGAGTTTATTTCAATCCCAAAGTTTGGAATATGTCAGCCTGGCAAAGAGGAAAAAAATAGAGTCCAACTTATCTTATTATTATATACACTATTTTTTCAGTCTGCTGAAGGAGACTCACAGTTTTTTAAAAAATTCAATAAATGTCAATTTAACTTCTACCCTATGCCAGGATCCTTTCTTAGAAACATGATATTTGGTTCGCTAATATTAACATGCAGAGTGGCAGGCATTGTAAAGTCAGAAGGAAGTAAGAATTAAAAAATGATAGTATTGATACACAAAGAGATAAATGGATTATTGTAAGAGGATAGGGTCCAGAAACAAGCCTTTGTATGGATAAATATGCAATAATTGATAAAACAACCCAGTTGGGAGGGTGTAGTCAGTAAAATGTGAGAAAAATTTAGGTTAAATCTCTTTTTTACACCATTTGCAAAGAGACAAATTCCATATGGATCAAAGACACAAAGGTGAAAATCAAAACTGCAAACACGCTATTTTTTTAAAAAAAGCCTGTTTATAACTTTGGGATAAAAGAGACTTTTTTAAACAACATACAAAACACAGAAGCCACAAAGAAAATACTCAAGACTCATTATTTTGACTACACCAAAATTAAGAACTTTAAAAATCAGAAAACAAACTACAGATTGGGAGAATGTACTGTCCATCTACATAACAGAAAAATTGACTAGTATTCAGAATAGATAAAATTCAGACAGGAAGAGTATATTTTCAATCTTTGTAATGGGGAGACGATTACTTCCTAAAATAGATACAGATCTCATATAAATCAATGAGAAATAATAGGAAATTATAAAAACACTTTAAACTTTGATACTACTATGTGTCAATGAGATTGTCGGAAAATTGATATTGTTGTATATTACTGTTAGGGGTGTAAACTGGCACACTCTTTCTAGGGAATGATTGTCAGTACTCTCAGAAGTTAAAACATGGCTACTTTGTCACCCAGCAATTGTACTTTTCAATATATTCATGAAAGAAATATTTGTGTGTAGAAGAAAGCACACATGGCATTCACTGTGACATTGTCTGTTACAGTAAAAAGTTGAAAACACCAAAATATCCATGAATAAAATAATGATTATGGAAGGTCATACAATGGACTGCTATGCAGCTCTTGGAAAGAATAAGACATCAATATTTACACATGTGGAAAGATCTCCAAGGTGTACTACAGAGTAAAAATACAATTTGTAGAATAATATTCACATTATAGTCCCATTTAATTTAAAAACAAGTCACACAAAATAAAACAATATATTCCTATATACACATATGTAATAAACTCTTATGTAATAATGTTATACAGAATGTTAAACTAATAATGGTGGATATTTCCTAGGAGGTAGCTGGGACTAGGAATAAGGTAAATGGAAACTTTACTTTGTCTTAGTCCATTTTCTGTTGCTTATAACAGAATACCTAAAATTGGGTAATTTATAATGAAAAAAAATTCTTATAGTTACGGAATCTGAGAAGACCAAAGTTGAGAGGCCACATCTGAGAAGACCAAAGTTGAGAGGCCATATATTTTCTTGCTAGTGGGGACTCTGCAGAGTCCCAAGGTGGCACAGAACATAACATAGTGAGGGGGCTGAGCATGCTAGCTCAGGTCTCTCTTCCTCATCTTGTAAAGCCACCTGTTCCACTCCCGTAATAACCCATTAATCCATTAATTTATTGACCATTAATCCATGAATGGATTAATCCATTGAAGAGGAAAGAACCCTCATGACCCAACACCTCTTTAAGACCCAGCCTCTGGATACTGCCACATTGGGGATTAAATTTCAACATGAGTTTTCAAGGGAACAAATATTTAAACCACAGCATTCTTTATCTGAATTATTTGAACATTTATAATAAAAATTATTTATTTAATATTTATGTAATTGGAGTATATAATCTTAATGAGATCACAGTGATTATAAGTACAGGAATATGAAAAAGTCCATTAATGCAAAGCTGTCAGGGCCATCTTGAAAATTATCCTAAATGACATAAACTATTTCTATTCAAATCTGGCTTTCATTATGTTAATAATTAGAATTTTTAATATTAATACTATTTAAAGGATATTTCAACAGCTAACTCCTTTTACTTTTCATTTCATTTTGATTTTTACAATGTTTCCCACACTATGAAACTTTCTATAGAAGTTTATGCTGGTTCATCACCTCTATCATCAAACTAAAGATCTGCATGCTATATATACGAAGATCTATTGCTCCACTTTTCAAAGGATCATTTTACATTTTTGCTTTGATGTCAAATGAGATTTTTAGTCAGTTTCCTGAAATAGTGTAATTAGCACCAAATTAAATCTCCAGAGCATAATTCCTAAATAACCCTATTACCTCTATTCTCACCCTAGACCATGAGCACTTTTGTAACTGTGCTAGCACTTATTCAAGATGCCCTTAAAGTATAATAATAAAAAAAGACGCCCTGGATATCATGCATCTGAGTAAATATTAGGTGATGGATAGATGGACCAATGGATGACGTGATATTTGGAAATCACTGTAGAGATAAGTATATCTGACCTCAGTCTTCTGTTTTAAATCTTTCCTTAAATCATTCATAGTCACCATAAGGACATCCACTTCCAGTGAAGTAGTTTTACAGCTTTATTAGAAGACATTTAGGGATCAGGGTGCAGAGATGCTTAATAAGTACATAAGGCTTAAATAGGATACTCTGCTACTCTGTGACTTTGTACATTCTTTATTACAAAATTTGCATGTACCCACCCTGAAAAACAGATGCCTGCATTGTGATTCCCTCAAACAATAAAAGCAATTAGGTTTTGTATGATGTTTTGCCAGGTGCAAATTAATCTCATATATATTACCCGGAAAACCCCTATTTAAAATTGCAAACCACTTTTACACATATCCCCTATTTCCAATCCCCTATCTTTCTTTTTCCCCCATAACAACAAACACCTTCTAGCATATTATATAATTTATTTATATAATCGATTTATTGTCTGTCACTTCTCTATCTTGCCAACTCCAACAAACCCACATCCACATTATAAGCTATGTGAGAGAAAGGAATTATGTTTCTTTTCTTCACTGCTGAATCTCTCATGCCTAAAACACAAACTGGTACATAATAGGTGATCAGTAAAATTTCATTGAATAAAAGAATGAATGCAGTTTTTACAACATTTTTACGTTTTTTTAAATGGGTAAAATTTGAGGATGAGGGAGTTTGGGTTGCTTTGTTTTGTTTCATTTTGTTTTGTTCTGAGACAGCCTCACTCTGTTGCCAAGCCTGGAGAACAGTGCGCTCACTGCAGGCTTAACTCTCTGGTCTCAGGTCTCAAGCAATCCTCTCCACTCAGCCTCCTGAGGAGCTGGGACTCCAGGCACCCGCCACCAGGTCTGGCTAATTTTGGTATTTTTTTGGTAGAGATGGGGGTCATCTCACTTGGTTGCCCAGGACGGTCTGAAACTCCTGAGCTCAAGTGATCCTCCTACCTCAGCCTCCCAAAGTGCTGGGATTACAGGTGTGAGCACCTCACCCAGCCACTTTGGCTTTTTGAATATTAGAAGTATAACTCCAGTTCTCCCTGTTTTGCCTTGCAATTAAATTACATGACATCAACATCAGCAGCAGCAGCATGATTCAAGTTTTGCACAAATACATAGACGTCTTTTAAATTCTAAGACAAATAGCTGATTCTCCCGGGTCAGCCTGTTGCACTTCACCTTTGTCTGCATCACTTTGGGTTCAGCACAGAATGAAACTGAGGGTGGAGATGGGGAAGGATGCTGCAGACAGTCAATATGGATGCCAGTTTGCTTGAAAAGTTTTAAAAATCACGGTAAATTCATTTGCAAAGAGAATCTACATAATATAGGCATATAGTCAATACTACTGTAAAACATGTTCTGCCCCAAATTGTCTTATGAAATGCTTTGCAGCATCTGTGTGTAATCAGATCTATTTATTGGCATTATTCCACAGTCAGATTTGTTCATATTCTCTGAACACATGAAGACTTTGTAGGAGAGAAATTTGAATTTTATCTCAGCTTGAGCAGATTCAGAGTCAGTGTGAAGGAAATGGAGTGAGAAGGATGCTGGTCTTTTTTTTTAAATTTTATTGCTATTATACTTTAAGTTTTCGGGTACATATGCACAACGTGCAGGTTTGTTACATATGTATACATGTGCCATGTTGGTGTGAAGCACCCATTAACTCGTCATTTAGCATTAGGTATCTCTCCTAAAGCTATCCCTCCCCCCTCCCCCCACCCCACAACAGTCCCCGGAGTGTGATGTTCCCCTTCCTGTGTCCATGTGTTCTCATTGTTCAATTCCCACCTATGAGTGATAACATGTGGTGCTTGGTTTTTTGTCCTTGCAATAGTTTGCTGAGAATGATGGTTTCCAGTTTCATCCATGTCCCTACAAAGGACATGAACTCATCATTTCTTATGGCTGCGTAGTATTCCATGGTGTATATGTGCCACATTTTCTTAATCCAGTCTATCGTTGTTGGACATTTCGGTTGGTTCCAAGTCTTTGCTATTGTGAATAGTGCCGCTATAAACATATGTGTGCATGTGTCTTTATAGCAGCATGATTTATAATCCTTTGGGTATATACCCAGTAATGGGATGGCTGGGTCAAATGGTATTTCTAGATCTAGATCCCTGAGGAATCGCCACACTGACTTCCACAATGGTTGAACTAGTTTACACTCCCATCAACAGTGTAAAAGTGTTCCTATTTCTCCACATCCTCTCCAGCACCTGTTGTTTCCTGACTTTTTAATGATCACCATTCTAACTGGTGTGAGATGGTATCTCATTGTGGTTTTGATTTGCATTTCTCTGATGGCCAGTGATGATGAGCATTTTTTTCATGTGTTTTTTGGCTGCATAAATGTCTTCTTTTGAGAAGTGTCTGTTCATATCCTTCGCCCACTTGTTGATGGGGTTGTTTGTTTTTTTCTTGTAAATTTGTTGGAGTTCATTGTAGATTCTGGATATTAGCCCTTTGTCAGATGAGTAGATTGCAAAAATTTTCTCCTATTTTGTAGGTTGCCTGTTCACTCTGATGGTAGTTTCTTTTGCTGTGCAGAAGCTCTTTAGTTTAATTAGATCCCATTTGTCAATTTTGGCTTTTGTTGCCATTGCTTTTGGTGTTTTAGACATGAAGTCCTTGCCCATGCCTATGTCCTGAATGGTAATGCCTAGATTTTCTTCTAGGGTTTTTATGGTTTTAGGTCTAACATTTAAGTCTTTAATCCATCTTGAATTAATTTTTGTATAAGGTGTAAGGAAGGGATCCAGTTTCAGCTTTCTACATATGGCTAGCCAGTTTTCCCAGCACCATATATCTAGCAAACTCCAACAGACCTGCAGCTGAGGGTCCTGTCGGTTAGAAGGAAAACTAACAAACAGAAAGGACATCCACACCAAAAACCCATCTGTACGTCACCATCATCAAAGACCAAAGGTAGATAAAACCACAAAGATGGGGAAAAAAAAACAGCAGAAAAACTGGAAACTCTAAAAATCAGAGTGCCTCTCCTCCTCCAAAAGAATGCAGCTCCTCACCCACAACGGAACAAAGCTGGACAGAGAATGACTTTGATGAGTTGAGAGAAGAAGGCTTCAGATGATCAAACTACTCCGAGCTACAGGAGGAAATTCGAACTAATGGCAAAGAAGTTAAAAGCTTTTAAAAAAAAATTAGACGAATGGATAACTAGAATAACCAATGCAGAGAAGTCCTTAAAGGACCTGATGGAGCTGAAAACCAAGGCATGAGAGCTACGTGACGAATGCAGAAGCCTCAGTAGCCGATGTGATCAACTGGAAGAAAGGGTATCAGCGATGGAAGATGAAATGAATGAAAAGAAGCGAGAAGACAAGTTTAGAGAAAAAAGAATAAAAAGAAAGGAACACAGCCTCCAAGAAATATGGGACTACGTGGAAAGACCAAATCTACATCTGATTGGTGTACCTGAAAGTGACAGGGAGAATGGAACCAAGTTGGAAAACACTCTGCAGGACATTAACCAGGAGAACTTCCCCAATCTAGCAAGGGAGGCCAACATTCAAATTCAGGAAATACAGAGAACGCCACAAAGACACTCCTCAAGAAGAGCAACTCCAAGACACATAATTGTCAGATTCACTAAAGTTGAAATGAAGGAAAAAATGTTAAGGGCAGCCAGAGAGAAAGGTCGGGTTACCCACAAAGGGAAGCCCATCAGACTAACAGCTGATCTCTCAGCAGAAACTCTACAAGCCAGAAGAGAGTGGGGACCAATATTCAACATTCTTAAAGAAAAGAATTTTCAACCCAGAGTTTCATATCCAGCCAAACTAAGCTTCATAAGTGAAGGAGAAATAAAATACTTTACAGACAAGCAAATGCTGAGGGATTTTGTCACCACCAGGCCTGCCCTAAAAGAGCTCCTGAAGGAAGCACTAAACATGGAAAGGAATAACCGCTACCAGCCACTGCAAAAACATGCCAAATTGTAAAGACCATCAAGGCTAAGAAGAAACTGCATCAACTAACGAGCAAAATAACCAGCTAACATCATAATGACAGGATCAAATTCACATATAACAATATTAAGTTTAAATGTAAATGGGCTAAATGCTCCAATTAAAAGACACAGACTGGCAAATTGAATAAAGAGTCAAGACCCATCAGTGTGCTGTATTCAGGAAACCCATCTCACGTGCAGAGACACACATAGGCTCAAAATAAAGGGATGGAGGAAGATCTACCAAGCAAATGGAAAACAAAAAAAGGCAGGGGTTGCAATCCTAGTCTCTGATAAAACAGACTTTAAAGCAACAAAGATCAAAAGAGACAAAGAAGGCCATTACATAATGGTAAAGGGATCAATTCAACAAGAGGAGCTAACTATCCTAAATATATATGCACCCAATACAGGAGCACCCAGATTCATAAAGCAAGTCCTTAGTGACCTACAAAGAGACTTAGACTCCCACACAATAATAATGGGAGACTTTAACACCCCACTGTCAACATTAGACAGATCAACGAGACATAAAGTTAACAAGGATGCTGGTCTTATCTCTCCCATCTCCTCTTGCCCTCATTCTGTCCCTGCTTCCCCGCCCCACTAGTCTGCCACCACTCCACACCTCCTCTCACACACCCACACAATTTGGCTTTCATTACATCTTCTTCAATGTTGGGGTAGGTTAGGGTGGAGCAGGAAACAGAGAAAAGGGCACACGTTTTTCCAAATACCTCTTGCTGCTGAAGACCTCTCCTGGCTGTCTTTTTCTTTTCTTGTCTTGGCTGTCATTTCCTTTTCTTTTCTTTCTCACTCTGTTGCCCAGACTGGAGTGCAATGGTGCAAGTAAAGCTCACTGCAGCCTCAAACTCCTGGGCTCAAGCAATCCACCCACCTCAGCCTCCCACCTCCCAAATAGCTGGGACTACAGGAGCACACCACCACGCCTGGCTAATTTTTACTTTTATAGAAATGGAGTCTCACTGTGTTTCCCAGGCTGGTCTCAAACCTTTGGCCTCAAGTGGTAGTCCCATCTCAGCCTCCTAAAGTGCTGGAATTATAGGCATGAGCCACCACATCCAGCCTGACTGTCATTTTACTCTATGTGGTAGGTGACCTAGTGGGTTCCTCAGGAAATCTTAAAGAAATCTTCACGGTGTAGTTGCTGATGTGAGAGACTTTCCAGCTTAAATCCCCCACCTCTCTCTCCTCTCACCTCTTGCTTTTTGGATTCCTACCTCAGCAAGCCACTCTCTGCCATAAAGTCCTCTTAAGATAGATGAAGTCTTGCTTCTTTTCACAGGGTCCGTCTACCTGGCCTACACACCCATGACACACCACACATTGGGAATGCAGATTTCTCTCTTACTTCTCCTGTGTATTCACCCTGCCATCTCTTCCCTGCTCCTTTCTCCTGTTCTGGTAGGTAATGGGACAGAACCACAAGCACACCACCTCGGCAGACATCCATCCAGGATGAGAGATAGCTGCCTCCCTTCTTTATCGAAATGGCAGTCTAGTGGTGACTCAGAGACTGAGCGCTTGAGCCACACTGCTCAATTCAAGTTACAGTGCCTCCATTTACTGCTCCTGTGACACTAGGCATGTTTTTAAATTTCTCTGTACCTCAGATAACTCATCTATAAAATGGAGATAATAATATCTCCTACCATAGGATTACTATGAAGATCAAATAAGTTAATTCTAGTAAAAATTGCATTCGATATATTCTATTATCAACCCAAATTTCTGTTAATTGTTGTTTTAGAAACCATTTTTGGTGACAGGGAGGATGACTCCCACCCCTTCCCTTCTCCTGCCAAGGGAGCATAGAAAAGGCTCAGCACTCTCTTGTTAGTCGGGGGACCACTCTAACCCTCCTGCTTGGTTCCAAACTCCATCCGTTCTCACCTGCACTTCTGCAAATAGCACCCTAACCAGACGCCTCACCTCCCTACAAACCATTCTTCCTCCTACAACCAGGACAATTTCCTGAAGGCAGAAGTCAGCACATATATATGTATATATATATATTTTCTTTTTTTTTTTTTTCTCTAGAGGACCGAATAACAAATATTTTAGGCTTTGCAAGACAAGAGGCAAAAATCAAAGATATAATGTAGGCACTTTCAAAACAAAAAAGAAAAAAATCAAAAAATGTTTATTGATAGAATTTAAAATATATTAATAATTGAGTACAATTTTGTCATAATACATGTAAATTTAATAAAAAGGAAGTAATTGTTTTGGAAGGAATAACATTTTGCTTAACTGGGATTCAAGTTAGTGTTTCCAATCCTCAGAACAATTGCAAATGTTAATTTGTTAATGCTGATCTGAAATGGAATTTTATGTTTCATCTTTGAAATTGTTCCTTGCACAATAGTTGACACTGCCAGTGACTACCCATGTACTTACATATATTGAAGCTCAAAATTATTTAAAGTTTTCAAGAGTTGTTACTATGCATTTTACAGTCATTGAGCCATTGAAAATTTGGGGTAACATGTCAGAAACAAGGTATAAAAACTGAAGTAATCACTTTGCACACCTGCTGATATAAACAGAAAATAAACGTGCTATTTTCAAAGTATGCTCAGTAAAGTGTCTTTGATAGAAAATAGGCTCAAAAGATCCTATTTGCAGAAACAATCAAAACATCAAAAATGGAATCAACTAATTTTAGAAATCTCCTTTTGATGATGAGAATATGAATCAAGAACAATGGGAAAATTTCTTACTCAAAATATATTAGTAATATTTTGTAATATGAAGGAAAAATATGTTAAAACATGAATAATGTACATTGTTATCTGGATTAAATTTGATATCTTGTAACTATTAAATGTGCACAGTTATTTAGCAGAACAAAAATCAATTAAGAAACAATCTTCAACTTTATATATCACATATTTAAATGCAAAAAATTAATTAACCCCACTCATTAGTTAAAGAAACTTAATAATCTATGTAGAAAGAAAGCATAAGTATATATACAGAAAAATGTGCTAAAAACATAAAATGGAAAAGACTAATCTAATTCTATCCAAGAAAGGAGATTGTTTCTCAACATCTCTATATCATGCTAAAAATTGTTTTAAAGGCCACACTCAATAAATAGACAATGTTCACAAAAAAGTTAATATGCTTAATGTACTTCAATAAAAAATGTATTTGTATTCATAGTTTGGTTGTTTTTTACTTCACATAATTTCCAAGTAAAAAAACATGTTTTTCTTCTACTTCATAAAACATTATAATTCAGCCCTGAGAGAAAATTGTGTAAGAACACAAGTTTTCATGCTTATGAGCAAAATATGTGGTATTTTGCAATAATAATTATGATGAAATCATTGAAGCCAAGAGGAAAGTGGTATAACACCTGGAAGGTTCTTAGCAATTTGCTTAGATAATCATTCAGTTCAGAGTGGTTATTTCACTCATAGAGATATACAGTCAGAGTCATTTTGATGAGGACCTTATTGCAACAATAATATAGCAGTAGATGTGTGATGTTCAAAATATAAACACATTAAAGTGGTATAAAATGTAAAATTTAAAGAAGAATGTATCCTCCTTTAAAGGTGAATGAATGTAATGAAAGGTGGTGAATGTATCTATGTTTTTGCAAGATTTTCTAAACTAAGGGCTTGGTTTTAAGGTGGATTATTGTCCAGGTGCTTTTATAAGGTAAAAGTTATTCCAAAATGCTATCTTAGATTCTTATTTGAGGATTATAACAGGATCACATTGGAAGAAGAATAAACTAGTAGAATGGCAACTAGAAAGGACAATTATTAATTCTTATCACAATAGCTACAATGGATATGAAGCTTATGTGTCATCTACCAGTATTTGATGAAAAGTTCATTTATTTCCCACAATAATCCAAAGAAGTAGGTACCATTATTAGCTCCCTCCTTATAGTAAAGAGAAGGAATCAGGAATGATGTAACTTGCTCAAGGTTGTCCAGCTGGGAAGCACCCATGCCTGTATTTGATTCCAGACCCTCTGCCACTTCACGTCCCACTACACGAGTTTTTACAGCAGAAGTTGTATGCACCAAAAATGAAACTAGAGCCCCTGGACAATAATCCACCTTAAAGTCAATCCATTTCCAACTATGTCATGTTGGAAGATAATAATGATGTTAATAACAGCTAACATATGGATTGCGCTTACTATGTGTCAGGCACTATTCTAATCAGTATTATAATATGTAGTTATAATTATTTTACCCATAAGACAACTGCAGCTCAGGAAAATTAAGTTACATGCCAAAGATCATTTTGAAAGTGACAGAGCCAGGATATAAACCCTGGGGTCAAATCAGGTCCAAGTAATGACAGTAGAAAAAGCCTTCACCTAGACTCCTATATCAGCTAAGACCAAACATCCTTCAGTTGACTCACTCTTTCCATACCGCAGACAAAGTGACCTTTTTAAAATGTAAATCTGATGATATGAACCCCTGGTTAAGCTCTCCCAGTGGCTTCCCATAGAGCTTCATAGAAATATGCCATTAGAAATCCCAGCACTGTCTGAATCCTACCTACCTTCTGGTCTTGTTCCCCACTGAACTTCCCATCATCCTCTACTTCAGCCACACTGGTTTTTCTTGAGTATCTCTACATCCCACACTGCTTTCTCCCACAGGCTCTTGGCACAGATTGCTCCTCCATGCAGAACCCTGCTCTATCTCTCTTGTCTTCCAATTCACAGCTAAAGCATCACTTCCTAAGGAGAGACCTTCCCTGACTCCAACACACATACACACATCAAATCCCCTTCTAGTCCCTTTTATATGCAATACAGCTTCTTTGCAGTACTCATCACTGTTGCAATTTTACAATTATAATGTAATTATTTGATTAACATCATTCTCTTTTACTAGTCTATAAGTAGAGGGAGGTCAGGACTCTGACTTGTTTTGCCACTTTTAGGTTGGGTTCCTTGAGACAAAGATGTAGGTGCAAGTATCTTATTTGGGACGTAATTCCAAGAAGCACCAGTAAGAGAGTGGGGCAGTAAGACAGGAAAGACAATACAGCCAATATAGGGTATGTTAATGAACAGTTTGCCATTGTGGGAAATTGAAACAATCTTTTAGGGACCTCTGGGAGACCACGTAGAACACCCCTCAGTCATCCCACCAGAGGGATGAGACACTACAATATTACTTCATCGCTTCCATCCATAATTGGTTTAGGGTTGCTCTCAGGAATGTTAACTCCTCGTCATTTCCAGCCAGTCATGCACACAAGCCAATATCATTCCTACAGACAGTGAAAGTATTCAGAGAATTGTCAGGTATTTGCAGTAAGAAGCAATCGACTTGTATAGATAGAGTTAGTGCCAGAGAAATACTGGTGGTCAACTGATAGCATCTGCTACAGTCCCTCCCTTGTGACCCAACTCATGATCCAAATTAAATTTACTCAGACCTCAGTCCTATCACAGATATTTAAAATTCATAAGTATTCACAATTTCTTTTTTTTAAAAAAAGAAAAAGACAATAGGAAGATTCATGGTATAAACTTTATTCCCAGTTGCATTGATACAATTTGTTCAGGCCATAACTGATATTAATTTTCTTTCTCCTCCACCACCTGTTTTAGGTTGTAATCAAATTCAGCCAGCGCTTTGGTCTAGGTCACTGGCTCTGTAAACTAAGGTCAACCTGTTTCACCACTGAGGTGTCTAAGCCCTTAAATATGAGGCCTTTGTCA
Organism: Homo sapiens; assembly: GCF_000001405.40. Classification (NCBI taxonomy): domain Eukaryota; kingdom Metazoa; phylum Chordata; class Mammalia; order Primates; family Hominidae; genus Homo; species Homo sapiens. The sequence goes on from NC_000001.11 coordinate 99,361,322, forward strand.
GGGCTATAGTTTCTAGAATAATCTGTTCACTATTATCACTATGCATATAAGCATCGGGAGTCTCCATAAAGCTTCATTATGTAGCAACATCCTTATGTCCTTATGATAATTTGGCTCAATTATTCCTTCCTGTAGAGTATCTAATTTCTTTGCCTGATGGTTTACTAGAATGAGGGACCCTAAATAAACTGGTGTAAGCCAATTCTTCCAGTTTAGTGGAAATTTTATTATTGCCCTTGATTAGAACCAGGACCTCTAATTACTCAAAGCAGACAGGAAGCACAAATTCCCTAGGAATGATAAGGAGAGGGACCATTTCTCAATCTACATCCCCGCAGCAGCTCAGCAAAGTGTTCCCACTATCAGTAGAGAAGCAGCACCAGGACGATGGTTTTAGTGATTATAGAAACAGAATGTCATTGGCAGTAATAGAAAAATAACAGTTGCATTAGGATAGTGGTAACAAATGCTACAGACAGAAACATCCTGAAATAGAATGATAAGTATCCAGATCCATATTTTTCATTGATTCTGAATTCATCTTCTATAACTTTATAACTTCAGGCTTCTGCAGAAAAGCTATACAGATCTCAGAGATGCATTTTTTCATTTATCTAACACATTTTAATTGATTTTCTACTATGCTTATAGAAATAGCAGATATTGGTTGCAGTGGGGTTAATGGATTGATATTGACAACAACAACAATATTAAATAGCAACATCCATTTCTTAACTACTTATTGTATGTTGTACTTTCTGTTATGTGTTTTATATGCATCTAATGTGTACATTTCAGGGGTGAATACAAATAGGGTCATATTTGGCCAGGTGTGGTGGCTCACATCTGTAATGCCAGCATTTTGGGAGGCCAAGGCAGATCATCCGAGGTCAGGAGTTCAAGATCAGCCTGGCCAACATGGTGAAAATCCATCTCTACTAAAAATACAAAAATTAGCCAGCTGTGGTGGCACACACCTGTAGTCCTAGCTACTTGGGAGGCTAAGGCAGGAGAATCACTTGAACCCCAGAGGCGGAGGTTGCAGTAAGCCCAGATCGTGCCACTGCACTCCAGCCTGGGTGACAGAGTGAGACTTCATCTCAAAAAACAAAACAAAAAAAAAAAATAGGGTCATATTTATAAGAAAACACCAAGTCATGAAACTAAGAGAATTCTAGACTTTTTCCAAGACTTTCTACCTTCATTTATCACCCAGAATTCCCAGTGGCCCTTCAGTAGGTAGTCTGAATGTAATCTACTATGAGATTCTAGGCCCAGTCATTTTAAGTAGTTCACCCCTAGGTCTATTAATAATACTTTCCAACTGCTACTCCCCATTCTTTTTTTAAAATCTGATTTTATAAAATGGACGCATAATAATTATACATACTTTTTGCATACAGAGTGATGCATCAATACATGTATGCAATGTGTAAAAATCAAATTAGGGTAATTAGCATATCTGTCACCTAAAAATTTATCATTTATTTGTGGTAAGAACATTCAAATTTCTCTCTTCTAGCTATTTTGAAACATACATTATTCTTAACCATAGTCACTCTACTGTGCCATGGAACACTAGAACCTATTCCACTTATCCAGCGGTAACTTTTTACCCCTTGACCAACACTCCCCTCCTTTTCCCAGCCTCTGATAACTACCATTTTAGCCTCTACCTCTATGAGATCAACTTGTTTAGACTCCACGTATGAGAGGGATCATGAGGTATTTGTCTTTATGAGCCTGGTGTCTTTCACTTATGATGTCCTTCAAGCTCATGCGTGTTTTTGCAAATGACAGTATTTCATTCTTTTTAAGGCTGTGTATACCATTGTGTATATATACCACATTTTTCCTTATCCATTCATCTGTTTAAGGACACTTAGGTTAATTCCATATCTTGGCTATTGTGAATAGTGCTATAATAAACATGGGAGTGCTGATATCTATTCAAGATATTGATTTCCTTTCATTTGTCTATATATCTAGTAGTAGAATTGCTGGGCCATACGGTAGTTCTATTTTTAATTTTTTGAGGAAGTTCCATACTGTCTTCTTCCACAGTGGCTGTACTAACTGACATTCCTACTAATAGTGTATAAGAGTTCTTCTTTCCCCACTTCCTCACCAACATTTGCTATTTTTTATTTTTTTTAATAAAATGCCACTGCCTATTTTTGTACCCCTCCTAGAGTCCCCAAGGACAGAAGGTGAATGATGCTTGCAGCTCTCATTCAGTGATATCCTTTTCAACCTTTTGCAACACTGTTTGTAGCCACATCTGCTGCCAGAACCATCTAGAAGATAGAGACTTCCCACAAGTTGGTGTCTGCTCACTGGCGAATCCAATGTACCCTTGGAATTGCAGACTCTCTTCCCACATCCCCCAGATGCAGCTCTAAGTTCACTGCAGCTGCCGTGGTACATTCCCCCACACACTGACAGCTTTCAAAACATCAAGTGTCCACATCTTTCTGCCCACTTCCTTAAGGCTTTCTCTGGAATCAAGGTGGAGCTTGCTCAGTCCACATGCAGATTCTAGAACAATCATATTTCTTCTTCATTTATGAGGACCTTCTATAAGGTCTCTGTTATCACAGTCTGCTATCTAGATACCACACTTTATCCTCTATGAGTAAATCGATTGTCTACCCATAGCCAAGGCCAAATTATAGCAATAGATAAGTTTTCAGCTCTTTACCAGCAGTCTGAGAGACATTTTCAAGCTGTTCAAGTAGGCTGACAATACAGACTACAAGAAGATGTAAGGTGGAGTGATTAAATAGTGTTGGCAAAGCAAATAAAAGTCCATATGAGTCTCAGCTTCAGTCCCTGCTACATGTATACAGTAGGCCTCCTTTATCCTCAGGGTAACAGCGAGACACCAATGGATGCCTGAAACCACAGATAGTACTGAATCCTATATATACTCTGTTTTTTCCCATATATCCATCATAAAGTTTAATGTATAAATTAGGCATAATAAGAGATTAATAACAATAGCTAATTAATAAAAAAGAACAATTATAATACTGTAATAAAAGTTAGTGAGTGTGGTCTCCCCCTCTCCCCCACAATATCTTATTGTACTATATTCACCTATTTTTGGACGACAGGTGACCACAGGTAACTGAAACCATGGAAAGCAAAACCATTCATAATGGGGGGACTACTGTATTTTCTCATTTAATTCTCACATCAACACTCTGGGATGAGTGGTATCATCCTTGTTTAGCAGTGAGGAAGCCAAGACACCTTAACGTGTCTAAAATAACACACTTAACAATGGTCAAAGGTGTATTTGCAGTTTGGAGGTGGGGAAAGGGAAGGTACCATCTATCTGGTGGTATTATCACCAAAATTGCTAACTAGAAAAGTATCTAAAGCAAAGACTGACTAAAACTTTTAGTAAACTTGTGGATATAGTATAGCTTCAGTTTCTTCATCGCAGACCTAATGTTTTTAAGATGAGTATATTCTCTCAGTATACTCATAAGCATCCAGAATGCACATCAACATACTCAAGCAAACCGCCATTTATACAGGTATCCAGGAAAGTTTTTACTTTTCTCCTAAGCCAGAAGATCATCATTTATTCATGGTGAAGACTCTATGAAATTTGTAACATCTATACTAACAGCTGTTTGGGGTGAAGCCCAGATAAAATTAAGGAATCTTTTCAATACTGAAATTAATTCCAATTTCAGCCTTTCAACACACATGTCCAACAAAAGACCTAATTATTTCATCATTTACATTTTTAAACAGTACTTTAGGTACCACTTGCCTAGCTAACAAGACTCTAATTTCAAGCTTCTTGTATCAGCAAATCATCGTAGTGGTGTAAACATGAGACAATTGTTGATGTTCAGAGGCCCATTACCTCTCATGATCAGAGATTTTCCATGTGAAAGATGAAATGAATGTCATATGACTGTCGCCACCTTCAAAGGCCCACGTGCAAAAACTGATGGAAGTGTTCTGACTCACTAAAAGAAACAAAAACAGTTCATCTACTTGGAATCTTTAACACACTTCGGGAAACAAACAAAACGCTCTTTGAGAGCTGGTTTGTTTTTTTCTTTACTTAAAAGAAAGCTTAATTGCAGAATCAAAGCCAAAATATAAATGCAATCCTCAGAGTGTTTTTCAATAAGAGGCACGCAATTTAGGAGATCATAGAGTGTGAGTTCAAAGAAAAGAGCCAGTGTTTACTTCTTTTAATACAATTATATATTTTAGTCTGTTTTTGAGCTGTCTTCCTGCAATCTTGCACTTGTCAAGAACAAATCCAACATTAAGTTTCTGTTTGTATCAACATGATAAATTTTGTTTCCATATCTTTGATCTGTGCTTTACTTTCTACACAAACATGCATGTATCTTAACATTCATCTACATGTTGCCTTATTAAATCCAATCCACTATCTCCTGTCCTGTTTCTCCTGCTCTAGTCTTCTTTTTCTCCATCTCTCCCAGACTGTGGGCAAATAGCCTTTGGTCTTATCTCATACTCACTGATAAAAACCTCTTTCAGAGCTGAATCGGGGCCCTGGGAATAGTCCTTTACCTTGTCAGAGCACTCTCTGTATTTTATTATTTCTCTATTCATTTTTCAGCAACATGTTATTTTCCCTTTTCAATAATTGATTGTATTCATGACTTCTGCCACTAGATTGAAAATGAATCTCCTTAAGCAAAAAAAAGTTAGATTTTGAAAGGCTTTACATTCTCTAAATAAATTCCTAACTGGCATGAACTGCCATTCACCTTCACCTAATACGCAAATGTGTTACCTCTTATTGTGACTCAAGGAAGGTAGAAGGTATTGAAACAAAGAAAACCTTTTAAATATTACCAGACAGGTGCCAAGTTCAGCAACATTTAAAGTTAGCATCCCAAACGAAATATCCTAAGGCTATTTAATGGAAGCAATTGCAAACCATGGGTCTCCTGCCATCGGGTAAAGCCAAAAGTAGTGGAAAGAGGGCTAATTATAGACTGTAAATTTTCTGCTCTTTTTGTGACTGAATTTCTTCAGGATGCTGACCCTGGAGCCATAAAATCTTGGCACCCATTATTTCACAGTGAAAAGTGTTTCACTTTTTTCTTAAGTATTGAAGTAGTTCATGATCTTAAAATGGATTTAGTGAAAAGGCAGCAGCTTTCTATTATTTTTTTCCATTTGTTCCAACAAGGTCACAGGAAAATGTCAAAAGTAACTTGTATTGGTGTTGTTACCAATTTGGTTTGTCTTAGGTCACATATAAAAGCTGACTTTTGGATACATAAATTGCTTTCTCTTAAATTTTTCTTTTTCTTAGTTAATTAATTGAGATTGACAAGCATATGTATGCAGTTCAATCTCGCCAAAGGGCTGCTTGTGCCAAAATCCACTTATTCTTTCTGGACTTTCATTATTCTAACTCCAAAGAGTTTACCAAGAGCAAAATGTAGCAAGATAGTGTCTTTCCCTAGAGACTCAGCATTTAAATAGATTAGGATCCCAAGGCAAATCAAATGCTTCATGTCCTGGGAGTTTAATTCAGCTCTTGTTAATTAACTAGTCAGTGGATTGATGATAAGATGTTAGTTATACCAGAATAAAGACAGAAATAAAATAGCCTTTCTGGATTTTCATATTTTGTCATATGTGTAGTTAAGAAAAATAAAAAACTACTGTACCCAATCTGAATGCTAATCTAAAATATCTACATTTCTGAATAATGGATGTCATGATTAGGACTGATGCTATGCATTAGCAGGCTACCTGCTTTGTATGATTTGAGAGACAATACAAGTTCTCTCCACTAGTTTACCAATCCCCTCTACCAATGTTCTCTGACCCTACCTATTAAAGTTAGATTTATATTATAACCTCCACATAGCTGACACTTTGAGTTACAGCTCAAATATGCTGTTTCCTGAAAAACAATTTTAAGTATCATAAGGGTATAAGCCTCTTAAATTAATGCACTAGTTCCTGTCAATGACTTCTCTTATTGGATGGTAGAGAGCAAGGAAGACAGCAATACCCAATATCTGTATTGTGGGAAATCCACAAGTTTACTCTCAGTATCACATTTGGGGGTACTAAGCTGTTGGCTAGTAAAAGAGAACAATAGAGGATGCGTAACTTTCTCAAAATTTAGGAGAGTAGTTCATGGGTGATAATGAGGCTGGGCTACTGAAGGAACTAACACATATGTAGAGTTAAAATTTAAATTCCTTGAAACTAGAACTGGGGCAAACTATTATATTTAACCCCTTTCTCTAAAGAACACTTCTGTTTAATTCATTCAACAAACACTGAATGCTAACCATGTGCCGGAATGTCCCGTAGGCACTGAAGATTCACAGTGACATCATTTGATTTACATTTTAGAACTATCACTCTGGCTCCTATGTGGAAAAAAGACATCAGAGTGACAAAGTCAAAAGCAGAGAAGAAAGTAAGGAACTAATTCCAATAGTCCAGGAGAGAAATGATGATAGCTTGAGGTATGACAGTAATCATGGAGGTAGTGCTAAGTGATAGGATTCACAATACAGTTTGAAGGTAGAGCCAATAGGACTTACTGATGGACCAGAAGAGATGTAGGAGGGGCCTAGGAAAATACAAGAGTAGATATGACAATTACAGAGATGGAAAGTCTTTTGGAAAGGCTCAAGAGTTCTGTTTTTGAGATGTTGAGTGGCATGGAGTAGACAGTTAAAAATATGAGTCAAGACTTCAGAGGAAAGGACCAGCTGGAAAAAGGTGGAAGTGGTTGGCAGGTAAATGGTGCTCAAAGATGGGTGTATGGATGTGATAAACTAGGCAATGAATATAGAAAGGAAAAATTCCAAACCATGGGGACTCCAACACCTAGAATTCAGGAAGAGAACAGGAGCTGGAAAAGAGATTGAAAAAGACTATTCAGAGAGATAGAGAAGTCCAAGAGTTCAGTGTCCTGTAAGCTAAGTGAAGAAAAGTTTTCAAGAAGGAGGGAATATTTAATTGTGTTAAATTCAGCAGAAAGTAGAAGATAAGAAATTAGACTTGACTACTCATTTGGCCACATCAAGTCATCAGGGACAATTGACTTTGACAAGAGCAGCTTCAGTGAAATGCTGGCTCTGAAAGTCTGGTTTCATAGCCAACATGTCACTATGATGGACTCCTCAGAGGAAGAAGTAAGGTAGTAGAAGAATGTAAACATGTTTCCAAGAGATTTTCAGTGAAAGAAAACAATATATGGGGCAGAATCCAGAGAGGGACATTTGGCCAAGTGAAGCTTTTGCTGTTTATTGATATGTGCTTAAGGAAGTTGGAATTCTTTAGGTGGTAAAAGGAATAATGACCTGGAAGTCATGATAAGAAACAACAACTATCTTGTTTTTAGTTAGGGGACAGTGTAGGAGAAAACAGTCATTTATTTATCGTATAATTTTAAAATTTTATGTTTTCCTATTTCCTCGACATCATCACAAATAAGCTGTACATCCAGGTACGCCAATGTGATAAGACTGGCCCTGCCACAATTTTCCCTTCTTGACATCCCATGACTGTGACCGACTGACATTCAAATGCACCAATGAAATTCTCTCCAGACTTTTGCTGTATCCTCCACCCTGAACCCCAATCAAGACACTTGCCCACAGGTCCTCACTGCCTCTCAGCTCCCTGCCTGTTTGGTTGAGCCCACTTTCTTGGCACTCTTTCCTGTGACCTCCTCTTGATGTACAATGTCTCTGTCTCCCAAGGATCTGTGAGTATAATAAACCTCATTTTCCTGGGCCTCTCCTGTGACCCTCTTGCGGCTGCACTTGACCGATCATCACCTGAAAGAACACAGAACACTGGGTGAAAAGGTTGCAAGGAAAAGAGTATCCTCAGGGAACTGGAAGGTCCTGCTATAGCATACAGTTGAACGGAACATTCTGAAAACAGTCTAAGGTAGAGGGGATTTTGCTAATGACAGACCATATGTTGCAAAGCACACGATGCAAAGATTTGAAGGGTTGAGTTTGGGAGGGGTGGAACTGTGAGTCATAAGATAATGAACAAGGCTTACAGCACAAAGGCTCTGGGAAGTCTGAGCTGCTTCTGTTGAGTGGGAGCCACAGGGGTATTGAGCATATTGATATTTTATGACATTGTGTTCCTTGCTTCATTATCTCTAGGCTGCCTTTAATGTTTACTGTATTATATTCCATAATTTAAATAAATCAGTGAGGATGGGAGAGACAAAAATATAATATACAATGTGATGTGGCCAGAATACCAGATGGCATGGAGAATTTAGAATATGTTTGTGTCTGGTATAGGAGAGGGAAAGAATCTGAAGGGGCACTGAGTTCCTCATGAGACATGAATTTGTAGGGTTCTTAGAGACAGATATAAGATATATGGATATACTTCACTGGCCACTATGAAAGATTAAGAAACCTCTCACTTTTTTTTGTTCTCTCACCCACCTACCTTTCCTAAGAACGAGAGGATTGGACAGGGGAAACTGGGAAAGCAAACGTCAGAGAATCAGTAGAAATCAGAACATAGGAAATCAAAGGACAAACTTCCAATACTCCCAATTATTTTCATGCATTTTTTTACTGCAAATAATTTTCCATTTAAATTTTTCCATGTTTATTATATTTTTAAGACTTTACTTTTAGAATAATAAAAAGGAATTGTATTTAGACCTGAGACCTTAATGAATTTCTTATACCTATTTATTTTATATTTCTTTTTCCCTTCAACTTACCTTTAATTTTTATTTTGTGTGAGTACATAATAAGTGTATATATTTATGGAGTATATGACATATTTTGATACAGGCATGCAATTCACAATTACCTTCTTGTTTTCATTTCCTTTATCAAATGGAATGGAACCTTATAAAGCTTTGAATAAGAGAAGTATAGTATATGTATGGGCAGGAATGAGAAATAAATTATGACTCACAAGCAGAACTGCAATTTATGTATGATGAATCTATCACCTAGAAAAAAATCAACTCTAGCTTTTCTAGTTAGAGCCTTCTCAAAACTTTCTGCATGCTTCCTTTCTCTGATTTTTATTATGTAAAACTTGATAAAAACTTTACTCTTCCTGGGGTGCTTGAATATCTATAGTCACACTTGCTAGACATTGTTTAAAATCCTCAGATTATATTTTTTCCTGATTCAGTATAACATCATGTAACTATTTTTTCTCTCAGTTACTCATGCTTATTAAAATGACACGATAAATCTATGTGTATTTCTCTTAAGGCAAAGATTAATGTTGAGTGTTAATAAATTGCCCTTTTACTCAGCTATGCAATTTGTTCCCAATAGCATCCTAGTGCTATTGGGAAACAAAGCCACAGATCATTACTTCAGGCTCATCTCCTTCTCTGTGCAACCAAATGGAAACATATCTTGCATACTTTAGATAAAGGACTAGTTCCTGTTATGCCACATTGGTAGTAGTATTTAATTGGGATAAATATCTAAATCACCCTATGTTTAAAAACTATGAACAATATCAGGGTAAAAAGAAATGTGGGGTTGGATAGCAATTTTTCTATCTCCCCAAAGTCTTAGGAAACTGATAGCCACAACGAATCTTACAAAGAGGAAGCTAATGTGTCAGCTCAAACTCTTTGAAAAAAGGGGTACAAACCCAGGCCAAAGTCTTTGAAAAGGACAGCCAGAAAGATCCATATGACTCAAAAACTCCTAACCTTACCTCCTCTCAAAGAAAAAAATTATAAATAACAAAGAAAGGAACTAAATAGAGCATACCCTACAAAAATAAAATAAAAAAAAATTTAGGCCACACTTGCAACCATTTATAGCAAAGCAGATGAGAAGGTATATGACAAACCCAGACATATGACCAAGGCAGCCCCCAAGATTTTTTTTTTTTACTCAACTACATAAAAAAATAATTTTATTACATATTTTCCATTAAGACACAAAATCTACAGGGGTATATCATATTGACTTTTATTAAATGGGAGAAAGTTCAAGATAAAAGACAATTTAAAAAGTGAAAGAAAAGAATGAGTTTGAGAAAATCTTATCAGAAATTAAGTTCTGGTGAGTGAAAATTGGGTTGTGAGGAGTGGGATACTGGTATAAAAAGATCTCCAAATAAGATGTCTCCCTGCTTCATCCTTCTCCCCATTAATTCCATGAATAAGATACATAAATGTCACCTTGTTAATATTTTGCCTTTGGTGAATTGTAGGCAAGTGAAACCTTTTTAGGGAGAGGTGATGAAATAAGATAAATCTATTTTTGGTCCTGATTTTCTCTGTAGATGCTAAGGTTCAGGATTGCATTCTACATTGCGAAAATGGCAGGAAACTTGAAGGTTTCTGCCAAAGCAAATGGATATGAGCCCTAAATTGGCACAGAAAATTGTAGGACAAATATTAATTTTATATCAAATCTGAAGGAAACTCTTAAGATTATTTATGTTATAAGTAAGAAAAAAAAAAGAAATGACATAGCCTGAATTCTAAAAACTTCAGAACACACAAAGAAAAAAAGTAGAAATAAACATATATCAATAAACACATTAAATCAGTTCTGAATATTTAAGAGTACATAAACATGTTTTAAGAATCTACGCAGAAAATGAAGCCAGCCCTAGGACTTGTGAGACAGGATGAATGCTTAGGCTGCCCACTTGAATCACATGGAATGTATTTCCCACAAGAAAGAAACATTCTGTTACCATAAGCATGTAGAAAGGGTGATGGGAAGGCAAAACATCAGAAAATCACTAAGATAAGTACATAATAATAAAAGTTTAAGTTTATCAGGAAGATATAACAATTCAAAAGAAAGTAACTTCAAATATGTAAACCAAAAGTTGGGTGAACTATAAGAAAATTTGGCAAATCCATAGCCATAGTTAGAGTTTTCAACATGCTTCTCTCAATTTTCAATAGGATAAACAAAGAACAAGTCAGGAAAGAATATTTAAATTGCACAATTACCAAACACAGTCTTTAAAAATGTATGTGGAGCTATGCAAGTAAGAATTAGAATATATACATTTTTCTTAAGTACATATAAAAAGTTTGCAAAACCATTTCAAAAACCTAATATATTATCAACCATATTATCTGAACACAATGAAATTAATTAGTCAATTCCAAAAAGACAAATGAAAACCCACATACTTAAAAAATTTCAAAGATCACTTCTAAATACCTTACAAGTCAGCGAAGAAATGTTCACAGAAATTTGAAAATACTACAAGATAAACAATAATGTAAATGTTGTATATAAAAACTTATGTGATCCAAAAAAGTAGTATTAGAAAGATTTTATAGATTAAAATGCTTATATTAGAAAAGAAAAAAAGGCCACAAATTTATGAGTAGTAATCTAACTTAAGAAAGGTGCTATGGTTTAAATGTGTTTTCCAAAATTTTTGTGCTGGAAACTTAACCTCAATGCAACAGTGTTGAGAAGTGAGACGTTTAAGAGATGATTAGGGCATGAGGACTCTGCCTTCATGAATATAGATTAATGCCATTATCATGGGAGTGTGTTAGTTATCTCAAGAGTGAACTTGTTTTAAAAGTGAGTTCTGTCCCCTTTGGTCACTTGCGCTCTCGCTCTCTCTCTTTCTCTCTCTCTCTCGCGCGCGCTCTCTCTCTCTTTCTCTCTCTCTCTCTCCCTTTTGCCTTTCCACCTTCCTCCATAGGATGATACAGCAAGAAAGCCCTCACCAAAGGAGGAATCTCCAACCTTAAACTTCTCAGCCTCCAGAATTGCAAGAAATAAGTCTCCGTCTTTTATAAATTACCCAGTCTCAGGTATTCTGTTATAGCAGCGCAAAACAAACTAAGACAAATGGCTAGTGATGCAGGATGTTACAAATAATAACTACAAATTTATGACTAGTTACAAATATTAACTAACGCCTCATGAAAGTTGCAGACATTAGAAATATGGTAAGCTACTTTATATCTACTCTGAGAGAGAGAGAGAGAGAGCAGGGTTGGGGGGGGGGGAGAGAGAGAGAGAGAGAATGTTTCTATTTTTCCTGTATAGCTTTCTTCTCCTCATTTATATAGGATGAATTCTTTGCTAGTAACTTTACAATTTTTTCCACAACTTACAAAATACCAAGATATGATACCAAGATATGTATCTGTAATAGAATAGAAATGAACATTATGAACATTATCCAGGAAAGAATGCAGAAATAGATGAGACTGTGGACCTCCCTTTTGAGGAGAGAATAAGTGAGTTTTCAGTTGAGCAAAGGGTAATTGAATTATGTTATATTGTTTTTACTTTTATGTTGTTGACGTTATTGTTCTTGTTGTTCTAGTTTTCATTGTTCTTGCTTGAAATTTTAGGTATGAGAATAAGGTTTGAATAGATGTTGAATAGTTAAAGGAGTATTTAGTTGGCTAATTCAATGCCCATTCGAGCTCACCTCTAGTTCGTCTTCCTAGTTTTCTAAAGGCTGGAAAGTTAAAGATTCTATTTCTTAGACTCACTTGCAATTGGGGTGCAAGTAAGTGATCTATGCTCTGTATCTATATAAGACTTGAGTTCATTATAAGCAAGAGGAAAAAAAAATACATGAAGCAGAAAGGAACTGGTTCTTCTTTAGCAGGTGTAATGGTTAATTTTATGTGTCAGCTTGGTTAGGCTATGGTGGCCAGTTGTTTGGTCAAACATTAGTATAGATGGTGCTGTACAGAATGTGATTTTAAGAATCACATTTTAAGAATGTGATTTTAAGAATCTTTTAAAAATGTGATTAACATTTACAATCAGTACACTTTGAGTAAAGCAGATTACTCTCCATAATGTGGGTGAGCTTCATCCAATCAGTTGAAAGCCTGGAAGGAAATATGAGAAAACACTTTAAATGGTCAATTTTGAGGCATGATAAATCTAAGTACTGGCAGGCAGCCTGCAGATGTGACAAACCGCATGGCTCGTGCACCTAAAAAGTCACAATAAGGAAACAGTATGTAGAGGAGGGGTCAGCCCATAAAAGGGAAGAAAGTTTCACTATTGCGAAATCGAAACTTAAGCGGGGAAGGGGACCGGGCTATAAACTTGTAAGGGGGATAATGAAACTTAGGCGACCTCCGGGAAGATTGTAACCCCATAGTTTGACCAATGAGGAACTGGGGGAGGGACTTGCGTGCTAGAAGATAAATTACCTGCTGTAACTGCCCCAGGTATGCTGGCCTACCAGACACACAATCTTGGAAAACCACCATTAAAAGTCTCACTTCCACTGTTCTTCGTGTCTCCAAGTCCATTCTTTGGGTTTGGACGGTTGAGTGTGTGTTTCTCACAGGCAAAGACTGAGGTTTCTCAAAGAAGAAACAAGTCTGCGTCGAGACTGCAATATAAAGACCTACCTGCTAACTTGCCCCACAGATTTCAGTCTTGCCAGCTCCCACAATTAAACAATCACATGAGCCAATTCCTTAAAATAGATGGTAGATAGATAGATAGATGATAGATAGATAGATAGATAGATAGATAGATAGATAGATAGATAATAGATAGATAGATAGATAGATAGATAGATAGATAGATAGATAGATGATAGATAGATAATTGTGTTTTTCTGGAGCACTCTAATTAAATAGACATGGCAGAGCTTTTGGTATCCATTCCAGAACATCAGTGATCCAAACAGATCAAAGTAGGTGTGGTGTTTCTGCTAGGATAGCAGATAGATAGATAGATAGATAGATAGATAGATAGATAGATAGATAGATAGACAGTATTTTTCTGGAGAACTCTGACTAATTACATAGATGTGGTAGAGCTTTTGGTGTCCATTCCAGAACATCAGTGATCCAAGCAGGTTCAAAGTAGGTGTGGTGTTCCTGCTAGAATAGTTCAAGGTGTACAGAGTGGAATTTTTTTGGCTTCATAGTTCCTGGACATGTTTTCCAGGATGAGTACTACAAAATTATGTAAGCCTTGTATTTGTCAATAAATGTCATTCTCCTTAAACTGGCTAGAGTGAATTCTGTGGTCTGTAGCCGTCCACAACATAGGTTTCCTATAGATAGCCTATGTTTTCTGTAGTCTGTAGCAACATAGGTACAGATAACCTGTGGTCTGTAGCAACATAGGTTTCCTATAGATAGCGATGTCCAAATCTGGAATGATCTTTTTAAAATATAACTCTGAGGATGTCACTATTCTACCTAGAATCCTTTAATGATCCCTCGTCAAACATAGAAACCTTTACAAAGTTTCCAATACACTCTTCTTAACTCACCCTTCCAACTTTGTCTCCCACCTCTCTACACATGGTGCTTCCATTGCAGTCACATCAAACTACTCAGAGTCTCAGTTGCTTTTGCATCATTTTCTCTTTCTGGAATGGCCATCACCTTGTACTTCTCCTGGTCCACATGAAGAACTGCATCTCACACTCAACTATAACTTTCTCTAGAATGATTGCTTAGAACTCCAACCAGTTAAACATTCTCTTTTATGTGCACTCCTTGTATGTGTGCTAAGAGTCATTTTCTATGCCTTTACTATTAAATGTATGTCATTATTTCATTTATTAATTATCAATTCCTATCTTGCCACACACACTAGAATATGTGATTATGAAGAACATAAAATGTATGCTGTTCATTTTTTTGTGTTTTTAAAACCTGAAATCTTACTTGGCATATAATAGCTTCCCAATGCTTTGGTGGATTAATGAATGATTTAATTGATGTAGCAGCATCAGTTTTTGCACATCGCAATTTTTCTTAGTCCTAGCATTTTTATTGATTCCATGGCAACAAAGTGCTTGAGTAATCTCATAGGCTATTACTCACATCCAATTGAGCTCACTAGCAGGAAGGATCATACCCAGAAGCTTTTTCAGAGAATACAGAGGTAAAAAATAACTTAAATTCATGTTGCTTATGTTACTCAAATACTCACAGAAATATACAAAAGAACGACATTATCCAAAAAAATGCATTGACTTCCCACCAGTGTCCATCTGCTGATTTCTGACTAATGATCAAGCTCAAAGGCTTCAGAATCAAACAAACTTGAGCTCAAAACACCTCCATCACATGCTAGGCTGCAGAGATCTTAGGAAAGTTACCTAACCTCTCTAAGATTCACTTGCCTCATGTAGTAAACATAACTTATAAATACCTACCTCTACAAAATGTGATGAGAATTAAGTATATGAAATAATAATCACAGTATCAAACACATGATAAGCACTAAATGTTAGCCATATATATCATTATTATTATTGTAGCATGTTAATCAAGGAGGAATTTATAGAGATTAATGCCTGTGAAGAGAGATTTTTATAGCCCATTGAAACATCTTTACAGTGCATACATGTATTTATTTTTATGTGGAAATTACACCTATTCCTTAATTTTGTGAAAAAATAAAATTGGGCAATGAGCAACAAGAGGTCAAAGAGTAACGCCTTCATCATATACTGACTTTATATTTACTAACTGTCCTCTTAAGACAGATGTGTACTACATCATTAATTCTTATAACACTCTTGATTTGTTAGAGAATGCTCCTATGCTCTCTTTCCTAACACGTTCATCTATAGTATTTCAGATTACCTGCTAAGAAGTGGGCATCAAGACACGATGACTATCTCTGAAGGAAAAGGAAGACAAAAAGGGCAAAACTCACCAGGCTTCGATTAACAGAAGTGTCTTTGACATACAGTATTTTATTTTTTATTTTTATTTTTATTTTTGAGATGGAGTCCTCCTTTGTCACCCAGGCTGGAGTGCAGCGGTGCGATGTGATTCTTCTGCCTCAGCCTCCTGATTAGCTGGGACTACAGGCACACACCATCACGCCCAGCTAATTTTGTATTTTTAGTAGAGATGGGGTTTCACCATGTTGGACAGGATTGTCTCGAACTCCTCACCTCAAGTGATCCACCAGCCTTGGCCTCCCAAAGTGCTGAGATTACAGGCCTGAGCCACCACACCCAGCCCATACAGTATTTTAGAAGCAATGAACCAGACAATCTTTCTGCTGAGGTGGTCCAAGCACAGTCTTCCGTGAAGGTAAAAGTAGCCAAGTAATTGAGTATAGTAATATTTTTTAGCTACATGATTTGTTAATAAAATTAGGGACCTCAAGATTATCTGTCTCCTCACCATGTAACAGCACCCTTATACAGTCATTAGCTGTACTTGTAATTTTGAACTAAAGTAGGAGTTAACTTGATTACTATGTTTGCAGTATCTTTTCATTTTATCTTTTCATTTTAAACTAAGTAATGTTAAAAGAGCACACTGAAAGCACTTACAACATGAAACATCAATACATCCTTCCCTCATAGAAGCAGATAAACAAAACCAATTGCTCCCAAAGAAGAGGGGTTTTTAAATGAATAACTTAAGCAAACTGAAAGCAACCTGAAATCAAGTAACCACTATATCAAAGCCTAATAGCCCTTATCCTTTTTTTCTCTGGCTGTTTACAAGGCATTAGCCTGGGTGTCCCACGGCATTAGCCTGAGTGTCCCATGGTGATTCACTGACATATTGTGTCCTCCTTCTATCCTTTTTCTCTAGCTCCCTTTAAGTTAAAGTTCAGTTTTAAAGAACATTCTCCATGCAGATGGAGCACATAGAAGAGATGAAAATCAAATTGATATGTCTTTCTAAACATGCAGATTACCTGGGAGGAAGGTATAGAGAGCAAGAATAATGAAGCCTTTTTATTTAGTACCTATTAAATAGAAAGAATTATAATTATATATATTAAATTTAGTAACCCATACAGTGATCCTGTGGGATAGATATCACAAAACCCCTTTTATAGATGATTTAACTAATGTTCAGAGAAGTGAAGTCATTTGCCCAAATTTACGCATGTAAGAAATAGCAGAACCGGCCGGGCGCGGTGGCTCACGCCTGTAATCCCAGCACTTTGGGAGGCCGAGGCGGGCGGATCACGAGGTCAGGAGATCGAGACCACGGTGAAACCCCGTCTCTACTAAAAATACAAAAAATTAGCCGGGCGCAGTGGCGGGCGCCTGTAGTCCCAGCTACTCGGGAGGCTGAGGCAGGAGAATGGCGTGAACCCGGAAGGCGGAGCTTGCAGTGAGCGGAGATCGCGCCACAGCACTCCCGCCTGGGCGACAGAACGAGACTCCGTCTCAAAAAAAAAAAAAAAAAAAAAAAAAGAAATAGCAGAACCAGTGGCTCCCTTCAATGAGTCCATTGTGCCCAGTGACTGATATTTCTCAAAAAGATCTTCTTATATTGATAAACTAAAAATGTACAATATTTTGAGGTAGTTAAAAATATTCCAAGCCTAACATGTCTTAACATAAGCCAAATAATCCAAATGTGTAACATCTGCTCAGTTTTTTGTTTGTTTGTTTGTTTTTTGTTTATTTGTATGTTTGTTTTGATGGAGTCTCACTCTGTCGTCGCCCAGGCTGGAGTGCAGTGGCACAATCTCAGCTCACCGCAACCTCCGCTTCCCCGGTTCAAGCTATTCTCCCGCCTCAGCATCCCGAGCATCTGGGATTACAGGCGCACACCACCATGCCCAGCTAATTTTTTGTATTTTTAGTAGAGACAGGGTTTCACCGTGTTAGCCAGGATAGTCTGGATCTCCTGACCTTGTGATTCACCTGCCTTGGCCTCCCAAAGTGCTGGGATTACAGGCATGAGCCACCGCGCTTGGTCCCCTGCTCAGCTGTTTTTAAGAATGCAGGAAGTACATTGACCCCCCATATATAATCAATAATAGTATCTAACATAGATCTATTTAGTGTAATTATGTTAAAAAACAGATTTTCTCTTTTTGAATATTAATTATTAAACAAAAAATTATGATCTCCAATGTCAACACATGCTAATATGCCCATTATCATTGATAACATATTACATGTCGAGTAATATGGTAAGTTCTGGACACATAGGTAAACAAAACAAGATGTGGTCCCTGCCCTTAAAGAGCTTACAGCCCAGTAAAGGAGACTGCTTACTAATTCAACAAATCTAAACTTTTCATTATGATTAGTGCCATAAAAGAGAGTTACATGGTGCTTGAGACTGGGCAAGAGGTCACGGTCAGAGGTTTCATGGCTAAGCTGAGGAAGGAAGAATATCAGTTTATTCAGTGATAAGAAGACAGAAGGGTTTTCCAGACTGAAGAAGAGCACGTGCAAAGGTCCATTCATAGGAGGGAAGGGGCATGATATATGTGTAGGACTGAAAGAAAGCCAGTGATGCTAAAGAAATGAGAGCAGGCTCAGGGAAGGTTAAAGAGGGAGATGGCCCAGACCACTCAGGACCTTGTAATCTATGTTTAATACTTTCTTTTTAAACTTTAAAATGATTGAAAACCACTGGAGGGTTTCAAGTGGGACAATGACATAATATAATTTGCATTTCAGAAAGATCGCTCTGGCTGCAAGACGCACAAGGAATTGGAGAGGGTCTGAAGATGAAGCAGGTAATCAGTCAGAAGGCCATTTTTTGGTCTTTCCTGGGTCATGGTAACTGCTACTAAGGCAGTGGTGGTAGTAGAAGGAGAAAATATTAAAGATGTTTGGTAGCTATTAGGATGTACTAGATTGAATGCAGAAGTAAGAAAACAGGAAACATCAAAATAACTCATAAATTTTTGGCCTAAGAATTTAGTAGATGGTGTCCTTTCTAAGAAGAACTGCAAAAGAATCATGTTGGGGGTTAAGGTGGTAGTTTTATATGTTGAGATTCAGACATAGAAGAGAGGTCCTTTGTGTAGCTAGACATAGGGGTCTTCATCTCTCTCAGGAAAACTATTCAAAGCTAAAAATTGGTGTTGTCCGCATATTTTCACTTATAAGTGGGAGTTGAACAATGAGAACACATGGACACGGTGTGGGGGCATCACACACCAGGGCCTGTCAGGGGGTCAAGGGCTGGGGAAGGAATAGCATTAGGAGAAATACGTAATGTAGATGATGGGTTGATGTGTGCAGCAAACCAACATGGCACAGGTATACCTATGTAACAAACCTGCACATTCTGCACTTGTACCCCAGAACATAAAGTATAATCATTAAAAAATTAAAATAATATGAAAAAAATAAAATTGGTGTTGTAACATGTGTTTTGGAAACAAGGCATTTGTATCAAAAAACATTCTCATGTATCTGATGGCAAGTAAATTCTATTATTATCCAGTTGGTTCTATTGATGGCTCTTTTAGGGTATATTTGGGCCAGGTCCTACGTCTCTTTCTGCTCAGTTGCCTTCCTTGCCTTGATATAAAATCCTCTCCTTAGTTTCCATGTTAATTTCCAATTATAAATAGCTCAACTTGGTTTGTTCTAAAAAAACGAAGGGGCACAAACAAGACATGAAATATTTTCTCTAAATTAGAGAGAAATTATTCAAATTTTGATTAAAGAAAACTTTCAAATTTAGGTAAAAATCATCAAATATCATGTATTTCTCTCTTTAATTTCAAGAATCCTAGAGTAACCTAAGCCTTAACACACAGTTATCATCCAATGTAAAATATTACCCAGATATAATTCATGACATTAAAAAATGATTGGGCTATAAGTTCTCTTTTACCATTAACCTTTTGAGTATCTATTATGCAGCCTTCTAATATCTTTTTCACATATATATTCTTCATACTGATAGGATAATGTATTTTTATTTTAATTAGTTGAAATTAACTTTTAAGATTATTAAGTTGGAAATTCTATCTTCCTTTTTTGTTTGTTTTTTGTTTTTTGTTTTGAGACGGAGTCTCGTCTGTCACCCAGACTGGAGTGCAGTGGAGCGATCTCGGCTCATGCAAGCTCCTCCTCCCGGGTTCATGCCATCCTCCTGCCTCAGCCTCCCGAGTAGCTGGGACTACAGCCACCCGCCACCATGTCCGGCTAATTTTTGTATTTTTAGTAGAGACGGGGTTTCACCATGTTAGCCAGGATGGTCTTGATCTCCTGATCTCGTGATTCGCCCGCCTCGGCCTCCCAAAGTGCTGGGATTATATCTTCCATTTTTGTTAAAGTGTTAGATTATCCCCTGCTGTTTTGTCTACTATTCAAATGGAGCAAAATTTGAGAAGGAAAAAAAATGAAAAATTTTATCTTAGATACTCCCCTAGAGTAAGAAAAAGGAAAAGGAAATTCAGAGAGTTCTATAAAAGACTGAATAATTTCCCATTACTGGGCATATACCCAAAGGACTATAAATCATGCTGCTATAAAGACACATGCACACGTATGTTTATTGCGGCATTATTCACAATAGCAAAGACTTGGAACCAACCGAAATGTCCAACAATGATAGACTGGATTAAGAAAATGTGGCACATATACACCATGGAATACTATGCAGCCATAAAAAATGATGAGTTCATGTCCTTTGTAGGGACATGGATGAAATTGGAAATCATCATTCTCAGTAAACTATCGCAAGAACAAAAAACCGAACACCGCATATTCTCACTCATAGGTGGGAATTGAACAATGAGATCACATGGACACAGGAAGGGGAATATCACGCTCTGGGGACTGTTGTGGGGTGGGGGGAGGGGGGAGGGATAGCATTGGGAGATATACCTAATGCTAGATGACGAGTTAGTGGGTGCAGCGCACCAGCATGGCACATGTATACATATGTAACTAACCTGCACGATGTGCACATGTACCCTAAAACTTAAAGTATAATAAAAAAAAAAAAGATTGAATAATTTTGGTTTATCTGAGGTTTTCACTATTCCCTAAGAGCCTCAGAGGAAAGGTAGTTTCTGGTATTTGCAATATCTTAAGGAAAACTGATTTTTAAAAAATCCTAAGTATTATTTACATAACAGGATGATCTTTTCACAAGCTTTAGGGTAAAGAGGGATTTTAAATGCACCATTTTTTAATTATGCATTTGCCTAGGTCACATCTTGTACTCATTTTCTTTATTGCCAAAAAGCATTCATTACGCATTTGTAGACTAACCACTGAGATACCCAGTGAATTCACACAAACAACTAGAATTTCTATAGACAGGAAAACACTGTGTCAGAGGTTACCAGCTACACATCATTTTAAAGAAATCCCAGCCATTTTCATTCGGTCTTATCAGATACTATAGATAACAATTAGACATGCTCCCTCCCAATTCCTCCACCTTCATCTTCTACTGAGGTTACTGAGATTTAACCACGCCATTCATTCATTTAATATTTAATAGTTTATTCAATATTTAATACATTAATATTTGCAGCAAATGTTTTTTGTACATATTATAACCCAGGCTTACATGAGATTTAGATACTTTTTTATTATTACTATACTTTAAGTCCTGGGATACATGTGCAGAACCTGCAGGTTTGTTACATAGGTACACACATGCCATGGTTGTTTGCTGCACCCATCAACCCATCATCTACATTAGGTATTTCTCCTAATGCTATCCCTCCCCTAGCCCCGCATTCCTTGACAGGTCCTGGTGTGTGATATTCCCCTCCCTGTGTCCATGTATTCTCATTGTCCAATTCCCACTTATGAGTGAGAACATGCAGTGTTTGGTTTTCTGTTACTGTATTAGTTTGCTGAGAATGATGGTTTCCAGCTTCATCCATGTCCCTGCAAAGGACATGAACTCATCCTTTTTTATGGCTGCATAGTATTCCATGGTGTATATGTGCCACATTTTCTTTATCCAGTCTATCATTGATGGACATTTGGGTTGGTTCCAAGTCTTTGCTATTGTGAACAGTGCCACAATAAACATACATGTGCATGTGTCTTGATAGTAGATACTAAAAGGGTAAATAAGATATAGTCCTTGAACTCAGATATTAACTAGAAACAGAAATAGACGACAAAAAAAGAACTGCAAATACCATGCATAGATAACATATGAAAGGTGTTTTTAAAAATTTAATTGGGAGTCCATTAGGCTGAGACAGCTTCAGTGCCTTGGGTTCCTCCATAAGCAAACCAAAGCCCAATGAAAACAGCAAAATGAAATTATGCTTAGCCAATCAGAAATCATCAGCTAACCTCTAAATATAGACTTTACCTATCAGAAACCACCACTAACCTCTAACTAGGGACTTTCCACTTTAACCAATCAGATGCATTTTCTTTGTCTTTCTTCCGTGAACACCTTATAAGTTTCCTCTCTTGCCCCAGCCCCCTAACCCCAGTGGTCTGCTGCTGCCCAATTCATGAATCACTATCTGATCAAATAAACTCATTAAAATTTGAATATGCTTAAGTTTATCTCTTAACAAGGGTATGCCAAAGTTCAGCTGGACCAGAAGGTGTTCATCTCTGCATGGGAAGCAAAGTGTGAGCTAAATATTGAAGGATGAGCTCAGTTTGTACAAATTTTAAGCAGGGGATAACATGTTCAGGTTTTCATGTAAAACAGATGAGTCTGTTGGCAGTGTGGATGATGACTGGAGCAGAGTAGGACTGGAGGGAGCACCATCACAGGAGAAAAATCACCCAACGAAATCATAACCAGCAGGAGGAGAAGGGAAATATAAATTTTAGTTGAAACCATCTTACCAGAATAGGCTGTTTAGTATGTTAATCTAGTTAACTGAAGAAGCAGGATCTGTATCTTAATGTCTTGGCAAATGCTGGCATTCATCCCTCCTTATTCAAGTAATACATTTTGGGGCTCATGGCAGAGAGCACAGAATAAAAGAGGAAAACAGGCAAACTCATGACAATGCATTTATGCTGCACGCCTTTTCAACTGCAAGGCCCTCCCTTCAATGAATGAGCTTACTTGGCCTGGCAAATGTTCACCCAGGCAGGCAACACAGAGAGCTTCTCAGACCCATGCTTGCTGGAAGCTGCCATCAAATTTAAAACACCTGTGGCATTGCAACCAAACTGAATACCAAATCAGTCCTTTGTAAAGGAGGGAGTAGCTGCTTGGGGATAAATACCCTCATGCGGAAAAACGTGCTGCAGAAAATGAGCTTTTTGTGCCAGCTCAACAAGCACTGCCATATTCTGACAGCTGCGGGCTGCAACGGGGACTTAGCAAGGCTTTTAAAGCAGCACTAGGTATTTGATGTTTCTTTCTCTCTAGCTGGATAGTGAGTTGTTGGGGGCAAAGCACCATGTTGCCTGCATCTGTACCCTACCACCTAGCGCCAAGCCTACAACATGATAAAGGCTAAATAAATGACTGTCAAACCGCTTTTAAAATGTTAATTTTTATTGGAAAGCCAATGCATTCATATTTTATTGTCTTTTTTTCATAGCTTGGTCATTCAGCCCTGAAGAATATTAACAATACACATCTCTATCTATATATTATTTTTTAATTATACTTAAGGACATATAGAAAATAAGTAGTTAAACTTGGATGCATTCTATAAACTATATATGGTTCATGCTATAGCACTCTGTCCATTACATTTTTCTAGAATATTGTTTTGTTGAATCAGTTATTAAGATAGAATAGCTTAGCATGTACTTATAAACAATTTTGTATTGTGGTTCTGGTTTTTTCCCACTTTCCAAAAGCCCTATTTCAATTTCTGCAGTTCTAAAGGAGATTTGAGTTCTTTTAAAATTACTTATTAATTAAGTAATAATAATTACAAAGACAATTATTATAATTCTTAGCAACGTAATCCATGTTTATTCTAGAAAACAAACTCAATGGAAACAAGCAAAATGAAAAGGCATTCATAATTCCACCAACCAGGCAGAACCACTCTTAGTATTTTGTTATATACCTTTGCAGATATTTTCATTGGAAAATAAATGCAAATATAAAATTTCAGGTAGAAGGGCTTCAACATGGCTGACTAGAGGCATATGGTACCACCTCCTCTAAAAAGAAGAAACAAAATAGGAAGTAAATAATCACACTTCGGATAGATCACCTAAGAGAGAATGCTGGAATTCAATAGAGAAGTAACAGGAAACAACTAAAGCAAGGAAGGAGGGGGAAGCAAGGCAGGCAGCCTGCTTGGCAGGATCAGCTGGGAGCCAGGAGAGGCTCTCCAGTGTGGAAAAGGATAAGTGAGTGACCCCCCAACCAGTGGTCCATATTCCCTCTGTGGACTCCTGCAATCCAAACCACAGAATAGCCCCTCAACCCACACCGGCCCTGAGACTAACATAAATAAGGAGCTACCTGGAAGCCGAATGATGGCCTTGCTCCAGAGAAGGAGCTCAAGCTGGGTCCCACACACCTCCACAAGTCCTAAGAAGCTTCTTATCCTAGTAACAATAGCTACTATTAAAAAGGCAAAAAATAACAGATACTGACAAGGATGCAGAGAAAAGGGAACTTTTATATGCTGTTGGTGGGAATGTAAATTAGTACAACCACTATGGAAAACAGTATGGAGATTTCTCAAAAAACTAAGAATAGAACTATGATATGATTTATCTATCCCACGACTATTTATCCAAAGGAAAAGAAATTAAATATATAGAAGTGATACCTGCACTTGCATGTTTGTTGCAGCACTATTCACAGTAGGCAAGATATGCAGTCAACCTAAGTGTCCATCAACAGATGAATGGATAAAGAAAATGTTGTACACATATGCAATGGAATACTATTCAGCCACAAAGAAATATGAAATCATGTCATCTCTAGCAACATAGACGGAACTGGAGGTCATTATGTTAAGTGAAATAAACCAGGCACAGTAAGACAAATACTGCGTGTTCTCACTCATATGTGGGAGCTAAAAAAGTTGATCTTATGGAGGTACAGAGTAGAATGACAGATACCAGAAGCTGGGAAGGGTGTCTGGTTTGGTGGCGGTGGCAGTAGGAGATAAGAGAGGTTGGTTGATGGCTACAAATGTGAGTCTAAGTAGAAGGAATATGTTCTGATGTTCGATAGCAGAGTAGGATGGCTGTAGTTAACAACCACTGTATATTTCAAAACAGCCAGGAGAGAGGACTTGAAATGTTTCTAACACATAGAAATAATGAATACTCAAGGCGATAGATAGCCTATATACCCTGACTTGAGCATTACATATTCCATGCATGTACCCCACAAATATGTACAAATATTATGTATCAATTTAAGTGTTTTTTCAAAAACAGAATTATTATAGACAGGCTATTCTATAAGATTTTGTCACTTAATAATATACCATGAATACATACATTACACATACATACATACATACATACATTATGGGAATTTATCAAAATGAAATATGTTTATCCAATTCTCTGTTGCTGAAATTTTAGGTTATTTTCTATATTTTCCTGTTATAAAGGATGCTGTGATGTATCTACTTGCAAATACACTTATGCAACATTTTTTCTAATTTTTTGAGCTATACCAGAACTTCATTTTTATTGTGATTTTCATAATGACGCTGATTTTTAATATGTGAATTGTTATTAATTATAAGAGGCCAGGCCCAGGAACTGGTATCTTAAAGACTTTTTAAATGTTAAGCACATGACTTATATCTCTTAGCCTTTTTCTTTACTTACAATTAAAAACCATTGGCAGCTATGAATGTTATAATTAACTTTGACTTAATGCATTTTTAAAATATCTAATTTCAGCCATATCTTTATCATAGCAATAGGTTACAAAAATTATTTAGGATAATGGTAACTCATTAGAGGCTCATTGATTTTCATTGTTTAAAATGCATAGGACTTAACTCAGAATTTTTAATGTAATTTTTTATTTTATTGAATTAATCTTTAACATTTACATTAAAAATATAAAGTATTTATAGTTTTAAAATACCTGTGTCATTGAAATACCTGTACAAAATATGAGCTTATAATTGTCATTCTAAATTTACCCAGGTTCTAACTTCCTTGCCTCCATTCAACTGTGTTTACACCATGATTCTTAATAATTCAAGGTTTCTTGAGAACATGACAATTGTGTTATAGCAGAACTAACTTTATTCCTAAACATGAATTTGCTGAATTAAGGTTATGCCTATTTTAATACATAATGATGATTTTGATCTCTAATGCTATCCTTAGGACCAAGAAATACAGGCATACCAAGTTTTAATGTGCTTCACTTTATCGCACTTTTCAGACATTGCATTTTTTACAAATTGAAGGTTTGTGGCAACGTTGCATCGAGCAAGTCTATCAGCACCATTTTTCCAACAGTATGTGCTCATTTCATGTCTCTGTGTCACATTTTGGTCATTGTCACAATATTTCAAACTTTTTCATTGTTATCATATCGGTTATGATGATCTGTAATCAGTAATTTTTTTATATTTTCCCCAATATGATGTGCAAAAAAATCAGTGATCTTTGATGTTACTATCGTAATTATTTGAGGCACCATGAGCCACACCCGGATAAGATAGAAAACAATCAATAAATGTTGTGAGTGTTCTGACTCCTCCACTGACAGGTGGTTTATCTCTCTCTTCTCAGTCCTTCCTCTTCCCTGAAATGCAACAATATTAAAATTTGACCAATTAACTTTAATTAACTAACTTCAATTAATTAATTGAAGTTAATAGGCATCATTAATTGAAGTTAATTGGCATAATTTATTCAAGTGTTCAAGTGAAAGGAAGAGTTTTGTGTCTCTCACTTTAAATCCAAAGTTAAAAATTATTACACTTAGTGAAGAAGGCATGCAGAAAGCTAAGATAGACCAAAAGCTAGGTTTCTTGTGCTAAATAGCCAAGTTGTGAATTCAAAGGAAAAGATCTTGAAGACAATTAAAAGTGCTACTCCAGTGAACATACAAATGATAAGAAAGCCAAACAGCCTTATTGCTGATATGGAGAAACTTTTGTGGTCTGGATAGGAGATCTAACCAGCCACAACATTCTCACAAGCCAAAGCCTAATCCAGAGCAAGGCCCTAACTCTCTTCAATTCTCTGAAGGCTATGAGAGGTGAGGAAGTTGCAGAAGAAAAGTCTGATTCTTTTCTTCTGAGGAGGTTGATTCATGTACTTCAAGGAAAGAATCCATCTTTATAATATAGAAGTGTAAGGTGAAGCAGCAAGTGCTAATGTAGAAGCTCCAGAAAGTTTTTCAGAAGATATAGCTAAGATCATTGGTAAAGGTGGTAACACCAAATAGATTTTTAAGGTAGACCAAACAGCCTTCTACTGGAAAAAGATGCCATCTAGTACTTTCATAGCTAAAGAGAAGTCAGTGGCTGACTTAAAACCTTCAAAGGACAAGCTTGTGAGGGGCTAATACAGCTGGTGACTTGAAGTTTAGACCAACGCTCATTTTCCAGTCTATAAATCCTAGAGCTCTTTTTTTTTTTTTTTTTTTTATTATACTCTAAGTTTTAGGGTACATGTGCACATTGTGCAGGTTAGTTACATATGTATACATGTGCCATGCTGGTGCGCTGCACCCACTAATGTGTCATCTAGCATTAGGTATATCTCCCAATGCTATCCCTCCCCCTTCCCCCGACCCCACCACAGTCCCCAGAGTGTGATATTCCCCTTCCTGTGTCCATGTGATCTCATTGTTCAATTCCCACCTATGAGTGAGAATATGCGGTGTTTGGTTTTTTGTTCTTGCGATAGTTTACTGAGAATGATGGTTTCCAATTTCATCCATGTCCCTACAAAGGATATGAACTCATCATTTTTTATGGCTGCATAGTATTCCATGGTGTATATGTGCCACATTTTCTTAATCCAGTCTATCATTGTTGGACATTTGGGTTGGTTCCAAGTCTTTGCTATTGTGAATAGTGCCGCAATAAACATACGTGTGCATGTGTCTTTATAGCAGCATGATTTATAGTCCTTTGGGTATATACCCAGTAATGGGATGGCTGGGTCAAATGGTATTTCTAGTTCTAGATCCCTGAGGAATCGCCACACTGACTTCCACAATGGTTGAACTAGTTTACACTCCCACCAACAGTGTGAAAGTGTTCCTATTTCTCCACATCCTCTCCAGCACCTGTTGTTTCCTGACTTTTTAATGATTGCCATTCTAACTGGTGTGAGATGATATCTCATGGTGGTTTTGATTTGCATTTCTCTGATGGCCAGTGATGATGAGCATTTCTTCATGTGTTTTTTGGCTGCATAAATGTCTTCTTTTGAGAAGTGTCTGTTCATGTCCTTTGCCCACTTTTTGATGGGGTTGTTTGTTTTTTTCTTGTAAATTTGTTTGAGTTCATTGTAGATTCTGGATATTAGCCCTTTGTCAGATGAGTAGGTTGCAAAAATTTTCTCCCATGTTGTAGGTTGCCTGTTCACTCTGATGGTAGTTTCTTTTGCATGATCAAGTGGGCTTCATCCCTGGGATGCAAGGCTGGTTCAATATACGCAAATCAATAAATGTAATCCAGCATATAAACAGAGCCAAAGACAAAAACCACATGATTATCTCAATAGATGCAGAAAAAGCCTTTGACAAAATTCAACAACCCTTCATGCTAAAAACTCTCAATAAATTAGGTATTGATGGGACGTATTTCAAAATAATAAGAGCTATCTATGACAAACCCACAGCCAATATCATACTGAATGGGCAAAAACTGGAAGCATTCCCTTTGAAAACTGGCACCCTCTCTCACCGCTCCTATTCAACATAGTGTTGGAAGTTCTGGCCAGGGCAATCAGGCAGGAGAAGGAAATAAAGGGTATTCAATTAGGAAAAGAGGAAGTCAAATTGTCCCTGTTTGCAGACGACATGATTGTTTATCTAGAAAACCCCATCGTCTCAGCCCAAAATCTCCTTAAGCTGATAAGCAACTTCAGCAAAGTCTCAGGATACAAAATCAATGTACAAAAATCACAAGCATTCTTATACACCAACAACAGACAAACAGAGAGCCAAATCATGGGTGAACTCCCATTCACAATTGCTTCAAAGAGAATAAAATACCTAGGAATCCAACTTACAAGGGATGTGAAGGACCTCTTCAAGGAGAACTACAAACCACTGCTCAAGGAAATAAAAGAGGACACAAACAAATGGAAGAACATTCCATGCTCATGGGTAGGAAGAATCAATATCGTGAAAATGGCCATACTGCCCAAGGTAATTTACAGATTCAATGCCATCCCCATCAAGCTACCAATGACTTTCTTCACAGAATTGGAAAAAACTACTTTAAAGTTCATATGGAACCAAAAAAGAGCCCGCATTGCCAAGTCAATCCTAAGCCAAAAGAACAAAGCTGGAGGCATCACACTACCTGACTTCAAACTATACTACAAGGCTACAGTAACCAAAACAGCATGGTACTGGTACCAAAACAGAGATATAGATCAATGGAACAGAACAGAGCCCTCAGAAATAATGCCGCATATCTACAACTATCTGATCTTTGACAAACCTGAGAAAAACAAGCAATGGGGAAAGGATTCCCTATTTAATAAATGGTGCTGGGAAAACTGGCTAGCCATATGTAGAAAGCTGAAACTGGATCCCTTCCTTACACCTTATATAAAAATCAATTCAAGATGGATTAAAGATTTAAACGTTAGACCTAAAACCATAAAAACCCTAGAAGAAAACCTAGGCATTACCATTCAGGACATAGGCATGGGCAAGGACTTCATGTCCAAAACACCAAAAGCAATGGCAACAAAAGCCAAAATTGACAAATGGGATCTAATTAAACTAAAGAGCTTCTGCACAGCAAATCCTAGAGCTCTTAAGAATTATGCTAAATCTACTTTGCCTGTGCTCTATAAATGGAACAAAAAAGCCTAGATAACAGCACGTCTGTTGACAACATGGTTTATTGAATATCTTAAGCCCATTCTTAAGATCTGCTGACCAAAAAAAAAAAAAAGATTTCTTTCCAAATATTACTGCTCATTGACAATGCATCTGGTCACCCAAGAGCTCTGATGGAGAAGTACAATGTGATTAATGTTTTCACGCCTGTGAATACAACTTCCATTCTGCAGCTCATGGATCAAGAAGTAATTTAGACTTTCAATTCTTATTATTTAAAAAATATATTTTGAAAGGCTGCAGCTATAATACATAATGATTCCTCTGATGGAATGAGAGGAATCAAAGTAAATTCAAAACTTTTTGAAAAAAAGTCATTACTCTAGATGCCATTAAAACATTGGTGATTTATGGGAAGAGGCCAAATATTAACATTAACAGGAGTTTGGAAGAAATTTATTCCAACCCTCATAAATGACTTTGAGGGGCTCAAGACATCAGTGGAAGAAGTCACTGCAAATGTGGTAGAAATAGCAAAAGAAATAGAATTAGAAGTGAAGCCTGAAGATGTGATTGAATTTCTGCAATCTCATAATATTTGCACAGATAAGGAGTTCCTTATTATGGATAAGCAGCAAAAGTGATTTTTTCAGCTGGAATCTACTCCTGGTGAACATGCTGTGAACATTGTTGAAATGACAACAAAGGATTTAGAATATTTTATACACTTATTTGATAAAGAAGCATCAGAATTTAATAGGATTTACTCCAATTTTGAAGGAAGTTCTACTGTGAAAAATAGTTATACTGGTAAAATGTTAACAGCATTGCATGCTACAGAGAAATCTTTCATGAAAACAAAAGTCAATCCATGAAACAAACTTCTTGGTTATCTTTTTAAAAAATTGCCATTGCCACCCCAACATTCAGCAGCAGCCACCACCCTGATCATTCAGCAAACATCAACACTGAGGTTGTGACTCTCCACCAACTAGAAGATTAGGACTCAGTGAAAGCTTAGATGATCATTAGCATTTTCTAGCAATAAAGTATTTTTAAGTAAGGTATGTATATTTTTTAGACATAATGCTATTGCACATTTAATAGACTACAAATAGTGTAAACATAACTTTCACATGTACTAGGAAACCAAAAAAATCCATGTGACTCACTTTAGTGCTATATTCACTTTATTGTGGTGGTCTGGAACTGAACCTGCAATACCTCCAGTGCATACCTGTACATGTCATAGAGCTAAAGAGAGTGTAGTCTCTTAAATGAGGAAAAAAAACAAAATAAGATAAAAAGAAAATACAAAAGTGGGAAATTAGTCACTATTATTTGTAGAAAGGAAGAAATAGTTCTCAGAGAAAAGATAAAATTACAGGAAAAATTGCAAACTGAAAGATTTTAAACTTCCAAATTACTGCTGTTTTCACTAAGATAATAGTTGTCTAATCCTTTGCTATAATTTAGTTTGGTCAAACAAATCATCTCAGTATCACATTCTGAGAAATTTTTTTTGGTTACATAATTTTCAGAGAAGTCAATTTCAAGAACATAAATGAAGATAATTAGAGCTGGGAGAAGCAGATATAGCAGGTTACCAGGTTTTTACAGAATAAGTAAAATGAACTGTTGGTTGCACAAAGTTGATAATTTGTATTTGCTTAGCATAACTTTTTAGCAAAACTCTTTCAGGATGTGTCAAGCTTGAACAGTATATAAAATTTCCAACTGACACTCAATTGCACAATATGACACAGATGAATGCAATAATAGAATGTATGAAAATGTCTGGTCCCGCCTTTTTATACCTAGAATCAGCTGGTATATTTTAGAAAACCAACAAAACAAAATAATTATAATCAAACATCTGGCACTGCTGTAGTTTTCTATGGTATTATTGACTTCTTCAGTGACATTGTGAGAATAAATGAAATAACATACCTAAAAAACCTAGACTAATACAATGTAGTTATAACTGTAGTTCTGGAGTTACCTCTTTTCCTATGTTGCAAAAAACAGGTAAATGCATTGGTATATCTGGACATATGTGTTGGGTTTCTTAAAGGCTGTGATGGTTAATACTGAGTGTCAACTTGATTGGATTGAAGGATACAAAGTATTGATCCTGGGTGTGTTTATAAGGATGTTGCTAAAAGAGATTCACATTTGAGTCAGTGGGCTGGGAAAGGCAGACCCACCCTTAATCTGGGTGGGCACAATCTAATCAGCTGTCATCGAGGCTGGAATATAAGCAGGCAGAAAAATGTGTAAAGGGAGACTGGCCTAGCCTCCCAGCCTACATCTTTCTCCTGTGCTGGATACTTTCTGCCCTAGAACATCGGACTCCAGGTTCTTCATTTTTGGAACTCGGACTGGCTCTCCTTTGTCCTCAGCCTGCAGACAGCCTATTGTAGAACCTTGTGATTGTGTGAGTTAATATTTAATGAACTTGCCTTTATATTTATATCTATTCCATTAGTTCTGTCCCTCTAGAGAACCCTGACTCAATGAATATCAACAACATCCATATTCTCCACCTGAGTTCTGAGCCATTCAAAATATAGACCTAGCTGTCAAACAGTAGAAGGTAAATATTTCAGCTTTATTATGAGTAAAGTCATTTGGAGAATAGCTTAGATCTGCATGCAAGATGTCTCAGCCAGTCTAGCAGCTGTGAACAGCTAGAGGACCACTGTAGGCCCACAGAGGCAGAGCCTGCTGACAGACTCTCTCCTTGACCAATTTGTCTCTGAGCCTTCTTTCTACTAAAGCTTGACCTTTGCCCCTGTCCTTGCTGAGCCTGCCTATCCCAATTTTATCATGAATTTTGCTAAATTAGTTTAGAAAGAATCCCCCACCCTTGATATTTGATCATCCTTGATATCTGATTAAATTCCTCATCTCTTACCATCTTCTAGGTGATACCTCGTCATCTTGGTCTGCCTTCAGCAAGGATCATGTTAGTTTAGCAAGAATTACCCCTACCCTTGATGTCTTCTCTTAGGAATTTTCCATCCACTGCCCCCCCTTCTCCCTAACCTGCTCCTTAGCTGTAAAATTCCATTTATTTTTGTATTTGAAATTGAGCTGGATCTTCCTTCCCTATTACAATAGTCTGGACAACTATCACCATAGTTCTGAATAGTCTTCCTCACCATTTTAACAAGTGTCAGAATAATTATTTAACACTGCTCCATTCAATTTACATCATGGCAGAGAAAGAGATGAGAATAAACTTTCTCTGCAATCAGGCAGAACCCAATAAGAGAACCAGGAGCAGCCAAAATGTGTACGCACATCTAATTCTGGCTTCCAAACTTGTTGAGCAGGAAAAAGTATAAGGAAGCAGAAAGATTTTAATTTAACTAAATATAGTCACATTCACTATGCACAATGAGTTTCTTAAATATTCTTTCTCCTGTCCTGTCCTTAATGTTAATCAGGACAAATAGTAAAAGTGCAACCTCTAATTCAGGTCTTCTAAAGAAGCACCATGTGCCCACAACTAAAAAGAGTGAAAAACAAATGTAAAACATAATCCTTACCGGCAAGGAAATTATCCAACAATTATCATTAATGAAACACTAATTAGTTAACATGAAATTAGCTTAGTGACCACCTACTCTGTGCTGAGAACAACACTTTAAGAGAATTCAGAAGTGTGATATTTGGTCCCTGGTACCAAAAGGCTTAAGCTCTAAAATTTGACCTTCATATGTCCAGAATGCCAATCTCTAGGAGCCTCAGCCCTCAGTAATAACACCAAGGATCTGAAAATAACTAAATTCAGACTTCAGGTGACAGACAACAGTTACATAGGTTAAGAGATTCTGTGCCTCCTGGTTATACACACTTACAATTATGTCTTTGTCTCCAAACGACCTCCTTCACTCACTCATGCCCTGAAAAAAAGTATCATTGATCTCTACCTTCTCACCCACATAACAAATCCATCAGCAAATTCTGTTGCTCAGACCTCCAAAGTCAAACCTGATTCTGTCCACTTCTCACAACCTCCACTGTCACCAATAATACGTGGAGCCACTGCCTGGACCTTGTAATCAGACTTGCGACTATTCAGGGAATTTCTCCCTTACCTGTTCAATCCATGCAGCTGGAAATCTTCTTAAGATATATTTGAGATCTTCCCACTTTCCTGCTTAAACCTATTTCCAACTGCACTTAGGAAAAATTTAAATCCATAAAATAGCCAAAAAGGTCATGCAGTGTCTGACTCCACCAGCTGCACATTGCTTTGTGTCACTATACTCCTGCGACATTGGCTTCTCTTTAATTCCTACAAGCACCAAGCTCCTTTGCAACCTGGGGCTTTAACATATGATATTCCCTTGGCCTGGGATGTTCTTCCCTTGCTCCTCATCTGGCTAAGGTTTACCTGCTCTTCGGGTTTCAGCTTAAATGTCCCTTCTCTGTGGAGGCTTTCCTTGACATACCAGTCTAAATCCGTTACCTTTGTTTTACTTCATCATAATATCCCTGTAATTTTCCTTCTTTGTGCCTTCTCTAATTTATACTTCTATTTTTGTGCTTTTTGTTTAGTATCTATACTCTATAAGTACTATAAGACCTAGCAATGTCTGCTTTACTATTGTCTAGTAACTAGTCTAATACTGAAATACAGTGATCAATAAATACTAAATGAACAAATAATTGAATCTTCTTAGAAGCAGAGGCTTGATTGAGAAATAGGGGATCCTTGTTAATGTTTATGCCTTGAGGAGCAACAACTGACAGTAGTTTGGGGGCCAATTGTATCAGGAGAAAACAACACATGTTTATGATCATACATCATCAAGAAAAGCCTAAGTTGTTTTAATATAGATATTTACTTAAGTAGGGAAGTAACATCTTTTGTAAAAATTAACAAAATTAACATTTTTTAAAAGTTTCTTACCAAAGTGGTGATTTCAGTTATTTTATAAAGCTAACTATTCATCCTGGATTAATGAGATATGATTTGGAAAGATAACACTTCTATACACAAAAAAATCCATATGATAAAATATGTTACAAACATTATGGTTCAGTGGAAACAAAGAAGGAAAAAAATATCGTTTTGAAAGAGGTTTACTTAGGGAAAATTTTCGAATAGAATTTATATCGGTAGAGAGATCCTAAGGAGTGGGTTCTAGAAAGAAGAGAAACAGAAAATTCAGAAATGGGTAGTAATATGCTTAAGTGGAAAAGATGGAAACCTGCATTAAATAGAGCAAAGGGTCCACATTACAGCAATAAGTTTGGATAGATAGATTTGGGCCAGACCATTTGTAAGTATAGAGGTGGAAGAAATAAATGTCCTAATCTTGGTGCTTTAAGATATAGATTTACGCATTTCTTCATAATAGGAAACCCAATAACCTCAAATTGAACATGAACTATTTCTCACTCCCTGAATTACCTTTCCTACAGATATAACATAGCTTTAGGGAAGAGTGCCTTTCCTGATACAAAATACCTAATGTCATAATAAATTCAAATTAAATAATTATGGTTTTGTGAGGCTTTTTTCCCCAAAATTACTATCAAACGCCTCAGTAAATATAGGCAATAAGACTGCACGCATCCACTACAGAAGTCATCCTGGTTCTAAATTCTACTATTGATTTAGCTATTAAAAAGGTCAGCTTCAGTAAGACTGCTGGCCAGAACAACCCCAGTGGGAGATAGCCTACCTATTACAACAAAGGGATTTAAATAGGTTTTTAGCCAAGCCCTTTGCTTCTGTGAGTCTGAGGAACATAAATAAATAAAATTTCTTTCCAGACAAAAATTGAGAGATTGCTCTACTTGAAAAAAAATCAAAAGTAAATTGTCTAAGACATTTATTAAATAACTGTTTAGTGGTAATATGCAGCAGGATAATGTTCACACAAATCAATAGAATTATCAATGGCTTTGATATATTTATTTATAACATTTACAAACACACAAAACTGGAAAATTAGAGGTAATGAATTGAACATTAGGATGAAGATTCAATAAGGTATTAAACTTGAACTAAGGGTTAAGTATGAAATGTTAATGGAGCTGTGTTAAGACCTATATACAGTTTCAAAAAAAATTATATAAATACTTAATATGCTTCAAGATAGGATCACATTCAAAAAGCATTCACTTGGCTGAAATTATAACCTACCACTAGTAAGATTTCATTTAACATACTTCCTTACATTTTAATAATGCTGTGCATTTTTCAGAGGTCTTTATTTAGCGTTAGCAACAAGCCAGTGAAATGTGGCAGCGGCAAACATTCCTTGAGTTCCTCACTATGTGGGCTGGTGCTTTATCTTGTTCAAGACTCAGACCAAATTTCTGTGAGATAGGTGCTACTATTATCCCTGCTTTACAGGTCAGCAAGCAGGTTTTTAGAGTAACTTGCTCAAGGAGCTTGTTTTATGCATTTGAATTTTCCCAGTGCTGAGCACTTTATAAAACACAGAGAAAAAACTAAAATTATTGTGTGTGAGAGAGTGTGTGTTTTAGTTTAAGGAAAGGATTTTCCAACAAAACAAGAGAAAGAAAATGGGAATAAAATAAGTAGCCAATCACAGGACTGTGAAAGAGAAAAAATCTACAGCCATTTCTCACTCAAAAATCTATTGTCCTATCATTTAAAAATAAACATTTAGTACATTGATTTTAAATTATCTTAAATGTTTCCCTCAAAATTTAAGGCAAGATTATAGAAAACATTAACTAAATTAAGAAAAGCAGATCCAAGTAAACAATTAGAAGAATTATAACTATACATCTTTCATCTCCAGGAATTATAAATACCTCAGGAATGATTTTCTGTTTCAGTGAATAAAAAGATATGTAATTAGTTTATTATTTATTCATTTATACCTTTCTTTGTTTCAAAAGACATTTAAGAAATTTATAGAATTTCATGCAATTTATGGTGAAATATGTAATGAAATCAAGGGGAAAAAAAGAACAGCTGGGTGGAAAAGGCTATAATAAAGCCCAGGAGAAAAATTAGTAAACAGGATAGCTGCTGAGAGATCCTGCATGGTGAGAGAAAAATGCTTCTGTGAATTTTCTAACACCCTACACAGACAAAGGCTGTCAGCTTTTTGGTTTGCCATGTCATACAGTAAAGCAAACCACTCACTTGGGAGAAAAACACAATATGTGGTATGAAGAAGAGAAAAAAATTATCCTACATAACATTACAAGTGTGTGACATTCTCCACTTAGAGTGAACAAGATGAAAAGTTTCAGCAATGTAGGCAGATAGGTTCATTGCAATGTGCAACTGAGCATTAAAAATGTCAGTTGACACAGGTATCTGCTGACCTGTCTTTTAAAAGGGTATATTTTAGAGCAGATTCCAGAAAAATTAATAACTTGCATATTTTCATATAGTCATTCATATATGTGATTTCTCTTAAGAAAATTTTTATTTCATTATTATCAAAGGTATGTTTGGATCTGTAGGGAGATGATCAGACAATATGTTAAAAGTAGTTATACCAGAGACACCTAATTTAATCCATCAAGTATTCTGCCCTATTTATTTTTAAAATGTATTTTTCTGTAGCCTCTCCATCATGCTCTCTTCAATTCCTCAGAAACAACTGTCTTCAACTTCTCTACTTGTTTTTGTTTGTTTTTTTGTTGTTGTTGTTTTGTTTTTTGGTGGGCAATTATATAGCAAAAAACAAACACAAAAAGTTGAAATAGTTATTTATTGATTTTTCCATTTTAGGCATTATCTATTGACTTTGCCAAAAAAGTAAAGATTTAGAATTCTTTCATCTCACATATGTATCCTTTTTTCCCCACTCCATCTTTACAATATAATATCATAACTAATTTACGTTAACATGTAGTGTTAATTTAATATAGTTTATAACTACAGAAACACTCTTCACGGTGGAACTATATAATACAATTAGATTTTCTTTCTTATACCAATTTTTGTGTTCCCTGGAGTTCATTTATTTTCCATTCATAAATCGCTGTTGAACCCCAGCACTGTTCTTCCTGCTTGGAATGCATCAGTAAACAAAGCAGATTAAAATTCACACTATTATGGAGCTTACATTCTGGTAGAAAAAGACAAAGATGATAACGAATCTAATATTAATAAGCATTATAAATAAACTATGTACTATATTAGGTGATAAGTACCATGAAGAAAAGGAAATTGGGAGTGATAGTGGAATGTAAAGTTTTAAGTATATGAACATGCACATTCATATAAAGATTCCATTTCCTAGCTCTGTCTGTTGAGGAGGTCTATAAGCCAAGACAACCGAATTGCAATCAGCATACTTAGTACCAGGGTATTGCTTTCTTAAACATGTTATGAAACTTACATACAGTTATTTGAAAGCCCCTACTCTGGTACATGATAGGTTGCAAGTGAACAGAAAGCAGTACTTATTTTTATTATATTCTTCTTTCTCTTGTTGCTGTAGTTATCCTTCTTTTGAGACAAAGGAATAGGATATTGTTCATGGTTCTCATTCTCTAGTGTCATTTCATTAAATACCATTCTTCATTGAAAGGAATTAGGGCTTCTTGGAGAAACAGCTGATTGCAGGGCTGAGGCAAGGAAAGTACACAATGAAGCCAG
Organism: Homo sapiens; assembly: GCF_000001405.40. Classification (NCBI taxonomy): domain Eukaryota; kingdom Metazoa; phylum Chordata; class Mammalia; order Primates; family Hominidae; genus Homo; species Homo sapiens. The sequence continues at coordinate 99,399,547 of NC_000001.11, forward strand.
GAACATCTTGTTATGCCAAAAATTTTGGAAGCATCCAAAAATGGAGGGGATATGTCAAAAGGACACAAAAGCCAGCTTAAAGTGGTCCCCACTGAACAAATCAGGGACAAGATGAGCATCAACATAATCTATAGAGCCAGAATCCATGCATCCACACTGACAAAAAGAAAGGTAGGAGTAGGGGCCCTTTCTTCCAATAGAAAGCCGACTAATAAATAGCAACAGAATGATATCATTAGAAAATCATCAGTTGGCAACTACTTTTTTTAATTTTTTTATTTTATTATTATTATATTTTAAGTTTTAGGGTACATGTGCACAACATGCAGGTTAGTTACATATGTATACATGTGACATGCTGGTGTGTTGCAGCCATTAACTCGTCATTTAGCTTTAGGTATATCTCCTAAAGCTATCCCTCCCCCCTCCCCCCACCCCACAACAGTCCCCAAAGTGTGATGTTCCCCTTCCTGTGTCCATGTGTTCTCATTGTTCAATTCCCACGTATTAGTGAGAATCTGCGGTGTTTGGTTTTTTGTTCTTGCGATAGTTTACTGAGAATGATGATTTCCGATTTCATCCATGTCCCTACAAAGGACATGAACTCATCATTTTTTATGGCTGCATAGTATTCCATGGTGTATATGTGCCACATTTTCTTAATCCAGTCTATCATTGTTGGACATTTCGGTTGGTTCCAAGTCTTTGCTATTGTGAATAGTGCCACAATAAACATACGTGTGCATGTATCTTTGTAGCAGCATGATTTATAGTCCTTTGGGTATATACCAAGTAATGGGATGGCTGGGTCAAATGGTATTTCTAGTTCTAGATCCCTGAGGAATCGCCACACTGACTTCCACAATGGTTGAACTAGTTTACACTCCCACCAACAGTGTAAAAGTGTTCCTATTTCTCCACATCCTCTCCAGCACCTGTTGTTTCCTGACTTTTTAATGATTGCCATTCTAACTGATGTGAGATGGTATCTCATTGTGGTTTTGATTTGCATTTCTCTGATGGCCAGTGATGATGAGCATTTTTTCATGTGTTTTTTGGCTGCATAAATATCTTCTTTTGAGAAGTGTCTGTTCACGTCCTTCGCCCACTTTTTGATGGGGTAGTTTGTTTTTTTCTTGTAAATTTGTTGGAGTTCATTGTAGATTCTGGATATTAGCCCTTTGTCAGATGAGTAGGTTGCAAAAATTTTCTCCCATTTTGTAGGTTGCCTGTTCACTCTGATGGTAGTTTCTTTTGCTGTGCAGAAGCTCTTTAGTTTAATTAGATCCTATTTGTCAATTTAGGCTTTTGTTGCCATTGCTTTTGGTGTCTTAGACATGAAGTCCTTGCCCATGCCTATGTCCTGAATGGTAATGCCTAGGTTTTCTTCTAGGGTTTTTATGGTTTTAGGTCTAACGTTTAAGTCTTTAATCAATCTTGAATTAATTTTTGTATAAGGTGTAAGGAAGGGATCCAGTTTCAGCTTTCTATATATGGCGAGCCAGTTTTCCCAGCACCATTTATTAAATAGGGAATCATTTCCCCATTGCTTGTTTTCCTCAGGTTTGTCAAAGATCAGATAGTTGTAGATATGCGGCATTATTTCTGAGGGCTCTGTTCTGTTCCATTGATCTATTTCTCTGTTTTGGTACCAGTACCATGCTGTTTTGGTTGCTGTAGCCTTGTAGTATAGTTTGAAGTCAGGTAGTGTGATGCCTCCAGCTTTGTTCTTTTGGCTTAGGATTGACTTGGCGATGTGGGCTCTTTTTTGGTTCCATATGAACTTCAAAGTAGTTTTTTCCAATTCTGTGAAGAAAGTCATTGGTAGCTTCATGGGGATGGCATTGAATCTGTAAATTACCTTGGGCAGTATGGCCGTTTTCACGATATTGATTCTTCCTACCCATGAGCATGGAATGTTCTTCCATTTGTTTGCATCCTTCTTTATTTCATTGAGCAGTGTTTTGTAGTTCTCCTTGAAGAGGTCCTTCACGTCCCTTGTAAGTTGGATTCCTAGGTATTTTATTCTCTTTGAAGCAATTGTGAATGGGAGTTCACTCATGATTTGGCTCTCTGTTTGTCTGTTATTGGTGTATAAGAATGCTTGTGATTTTTGTACATTGATTTTGTATCCTGAGACTTTGCTGAAGTTGCTTATCAGCTTAAGGAGATTTTGGGCTGAGACCATGTGGTTTTCTAGATATACAATCATGTCATCTGCAAACAGACAATTTGACTTCCTCTTTTCCTAATTGAATACAATTTATTTCCTTCTCCTGCCTAATTGCCCTGGCCAGAACTTCCAACACTATGTTGAATAGGAGTGCTGAGAGAGGGCATCCCTGTCTTATGCCAGTTTTCAAAGGGAATGCTTCCAGTTTTTGTCCATTCAGTATGATATTGGCTGTGGGTTTGTCATAGATAGCTCCTATTATTTTGAGATACATCCCATCAATACCTAATTTATTGAGAGTTTTTAGCATGAAGGGTTGTTGAATTTTGTCAAAGGCCTTTTCTGCATCTATTGATATAATCGTGTGGTTTTTGTCTTTGGTTCTGTTTATATGCTGGATTATATTTATTGATTTGCGTATATTGAACCAGCCTTGCATCCCAGGGATGAAGCCCACTTGATCATTGTGGATAAGCTTTTTGACGTGTTGCTGGATTCGTTTTGCCAGTATTTTATTGAGGATTTTTGCATCAATATTCATCAAGGATATTGGTCTAAAATTCTCTTTTTTGGTTGTGTCTCTGCCCGGCTTTGGTATCAGGATGATGCTGGCCTCATAAAATGAGTTAGGGAGGATCCCCTCTTTTTCTATTGATTGGAATAGTCTCAGAAGGAATGGTACCAGTTCCTCCTTGTACCTCTGGTAGAATTCAGCTGTGAATCCATCTGGTCCTGGACTTTTTTGGTTGGTAAGCTATTGATTACTGCCACAGTTTCAGAGCCTGTTATTGGTCTATTCAGAGATTCAACTTCTTCCTGGTTTAGTCTTGGGAGGGTGTATGTGTCGAGGAATTTATTTATTTCTTCTAGATTTTCTAGTTTATTTGTGTAGAGGTGTTTGTAGTATTCTCTGATGGTAGTTTGTATTTCTGTGAGATCGGTGGTGATAACCCCTTTATCATTTTTTATTGCGTCTATTTGATTCTTCTTTCTTTTCTTCTTTATTAGTCTTGCTAGCAGTCTATCAATTTTGTTGATCCTTTCAAAAAACCAGCTCCTGGATTCATTAATTTTTTGAAGAGTTTTTTGTGTCTCTATTTCCTTCAGTTCTGGTCTGATTTTAGTTATTTCTTGCCTTCTGCTAGCTTTTGAATGTGTTTGCTCTTGCTTTTCTAGTTCTTTTAATTGTGATGTTAGGGTGTCAATTTTGGATCTTTCCTGCTTTCTCTTGTGGGCATTTAGTGCTATAAATTTCCCTCTACACACTACTTTGAATGTGACCCAGAGATTCTGGTATGTTCTGTCTTTGTTCTCGTTGGTTTCAAAGAACATCTTTAATTCTGCCTTCATTTTGTTATGTACCCAGTAGTCATTCAGGAGCAGGTCGTTCAGTTTCCATGTCGTTGAGCGGTTTTGAGTGAGTTTCTTAATCCTGAGTTCTAGTTTGATTGCACTGTGGTCTGACAGACAGTTTGTTATAATTTCTATTCTTTTACATTTGCTGAGGAGAGCTTTACTTCCAACTATGTGGTCAATTTTGGAATAGGTGTGGTGCTGAAAAAAATGTATATTCCATTGATTTGGGGTGGAGAGTTCTGTAGATGTATATTAGGTCCACTTGGTGCAGAGCTGAGTTCAATTCCTGGGTATCCTTGTTAACTTTCTGTCCCGTTGATCTGTCTAATGTTGACAGTGGGGTGTTAAAGTCCCCATTACTATTGTGTGGGAGTCTAAGTCTCTTTGTAGGTCACTCAGGACTTGCTTTATGAATCTGGGTGCTCCTGTATTGGGTGCATATATATTTAGGATAGTTAGCTCTTCTTGTTGAATTGATCCCTTTACCATTATGTAATGGCCTTCTTTGTCTCTTTTGATCTTTGTTTCTTTAAAGTCTGTTTTATCAGAGACTAGGATTGCAACCCCTGCCTTTTTTTGTTTTCCATTTGCTTGGTAGATCTTCCTCCATCTTTTTATTTTGAGCCTATGTGTTTCTCTGCACATGAGATGGGTTTCCTGAATACAGCACAGTGATGGGTCTTGACTCTTTATCTAATTTGCCATTCTGTGTCTTTTAATTGGAGCATTTAGTCCATTTACATTTAAATTTAATATTGTTATGTGTGAATTTGATCCTGTCATTATGACGATAGTTGGTTAGTTTGCTCGTTAGTTGATGCAGTTTCTTCCTAGCTTCGATGGTCTTTACAATTTGGCATGATTTTGCAGTGGCTGGTACTGGTTGTTCCTTTCCATGTTTAGTGCTTCCTTCAGGAGCTCTTTTAGGGCAGGCCTGGTGGTGACAAAATCTCTCAGCATTTGCTTCTCTGTAAAGTATTTTATTTCTCCTTCACTTATGAAGCTTAGTTTGGCTGGATATGAAATTCTGGGTTGAAAATTCTTTTCTTTAAGAATGTTGAACATTGGCCCCCACTCTCTTCTGGCTTGTAGAGTTTCTGCCAGGAGATCAGCTGTTAGTCTGATGGGCTTCCCTTTGTGGGTAACCCGACCTTTCTCTCTGGCTGCCCTTAGCATTTTTTCCTTCATTTCAACTTTGGTGAATCTGACAATTATGTGTCTTGGAGTTGCTCTTCTCGAGGAGTATCTTTCTGGCGTTCTCTGTATTTCCTGAATCTGAATGTTGGCCTGCCTTGCTAGATTGGGGAAGTTCTCCTGGATAATATCCTGCAGAGTGTTTTCCAACTTGGTTCCATTCTCCCTGTCACTTTCAGGTACACCAATCAGACGTAGATTTGGTCTTTTCACATAGTCCCATATTTCTTGGAGGCTTTGTTCGTTTCTTTTTATTCTTTTTTCTCTAAACTTCCCTTCTCGCTTCATTTCATTCATTTCATCTTCCATCACTGACACCCTTTCTTTCAGTTGATTGCATCAGCTCCTGAGGCTTCTGCATTCTTCACGTAGTTCTCGAGCCTTAGCTTTCAGCTCCATCAGCTCCTTTAAGCACTTCTCTGTATTGGTTATTCTAGTTATACATTCATCTAAATTTTTTTCAAAGTTTTTAACTTCTTTGCCTTTGGTTTGAATTTCCTCCTGTAGCTCGGAGTAGTTTGATCGTCTGAAGCTTTCTTCTCTCAACTCGTCAAAGTCATTCTCTGTCCAGCTTTGTTCCATTGGTGGTGAGGAACTGCGTTCCTTTGGAGGAGGAGAGGCACTCTGCTTTTTAGAGTTTCCAGTTTTTCTGCTCTGTTTTTTCCCCATCTTTGTGGTTTTATCTACTTTTGGTCTTTGATGATGGTGATGTACAGATGGGTTTTTGGTGTGGATGTCCTTTCTGTTTGTCAGTTTTCCTTCTAACAGACAGGACCCTCAGCTGCAGGTCTGTTGGAGTTTGCTAGAGGTCCACTCCAGAACCTGTTTGCCTGGGTACTAGAAGTGGTGGCTGCAGAACAGCGGATTTTCATGAACCGCGAATGCTGCTGTCTGATCATTCCTCTGGAAGTTTTGTCTCAGAGGAGTACCCGGCCATCTGAGGTGTCAGTGTGCCACTACTGGGGGGTGCCTCCCAGTTAGGCTGCTCGGGGGTCAGGGGTCAGGGACCCACTTGAGGAGGCAGTCTGCCCGTTCTCAGATCTCCAGCTGTGTGCTGGGAGAACCACTGCTCTCTTCAAAGCTGTCAGACAGGGACATTTAAGTCTGCAGAGGTTACTGCTGTCTTTTTGTTTGTCTATGCCCTGCCCCCAGAGGTGGAGCCTACAGAGGCAGGCAGGCCTCCTTGAGCTGTGGTGGGCTCCACCCCCTTCCAGCTTCCCGGCTGCTTTGTTTACCTAAGCAAGCCTGGGCAATGGCGGGTGTCCCTCCCCAGCCTTCCTGCCGCCTTGCAGTTTGATCTCAGACTGCTATGCTAGCAATCAGTGAGACTCCGCGGGTGTAGGACCCTCTGAGCCAGGTGCGGGATATAATCTCCTGGTATGCCGTTTTTTTAAGCTCATCGGAAAAGCACAGTATTAGGGTGGGAGTGACCCGATTTTCCAGGTGCCATCTGTCACCCCTTTCTTTGACTAGGAAAGGGAACTCCCTGACACCTTGCACTTCCCGAGTGAGGCAACACCTCGCCCTGCTTCGGCTGGTGCATGGTGCGCTGCACCCAGTGTCCTGCGCCCACTGTCTGGCACTCACTAGTGAGATGAACCCGGTACCTCAGATGGAAATGCAGAAATCACCCATCTTCTGCGTTGCTCACGCTGGGACCTGTAGACCGGAGCTGTTCCTATTTGGCCATCTTTGCTCTCCCCCAGTTGGCAACTATTATGACAGTTAGTTTAGGCAAGAATTAGCAAAGGATGCTAAAACTAGAGGACAAAATTTAAGGGAATAACAGAATATTTACATAGTGTCAAAGTATCTACCCCCAGGATACATACTAACTGCAAAGGATAAAATAGTAACTTCATAGGGGAAAAACCTGGCAGACACCATCTTAATCAAGTTTAATATATTTGATAATGAGACTAATTGATAGTTTGTGCTTCCTGATATAATGCAGTAAGAATTCAGCATCACATCTATAATATTCCTGCCAAACGTGCATAAACTAAATTTAATCCCGAGAAAACACCAGACAAACCCAAACTGAGAAACAGTCTACTGAATAAATGGCCTTGCTCTTCAAGAGTGTCAATGTCATGAAAGACAAAGACTTAAGAAGATTCAAATTAAAAGATATTTAAGATATATGGTAACCAAATATAATACATGACCTTGGGTTTACTTTGTCTAGCAGAACATTACTGTATAAAGTCTGAATGAAGTCTATATAAAGACAAATTTGAATAAATCTCACAGATTATATAACAGATAATATGTAATATACTGCATAAATAATCATATGATACTAATGTTAATCTCTTAATATTATAATTGCACTGTTGTAAGACAATTTCTTTTTTTTTCTTTTGGTAATACATATTAAAATATTTAGAGGTAAAGAGTCATCACCTTTGCAACTTACTGTTAAAAGGTTCTGGAAAACAAATATATATATAGCAGTAATTATAGCGTGTTTAATAATTGAAAAGACTCATCATACTCCACAGCATACTCACATAAGACATTTAAAAGAGTAAAGAATGTAGTACAGCAGGAAAATCACAGGCCAACATCAGAGCAACCTGAGACTTCCAGTTCTGGTTCCCAGGGTTTTTTCTCAGTCTCGCAGAACACATTTCATCTTCAGATCATGAATCACAAAGACTGTGTGAGACATCTTTTCAGTGGCATCACAGTCGCACCTGAGCAAGAGTTTTTAATATCACACTGATCACACAGCCAAAAGCAAGTTGCATGACCAGGCTCAATAGCAAAAACTACATGAAAACAATCAATCTGTACGTTTTCTGAAATAAATGCTGATAAACTGCTAAGGTTGTTCCTGATGTTTTTCAGACCCTAGTACAGATCTGTATCAATCACTAGTTAGCATATTTCATTCAGGTTTGGCCAGTGGTCGGCACTATGGCTCTAGGGAACTTGAAGATAAGTACAGGGATACAACAGCACAACTGAAATTAGACCTATACTTATATAGTCCAAGCCCCTGACCCTTGGTCAGCTTTCTAAATTCCAAACCACATAGCATTATTCTTTTTGCATCTTTCAACATTTACAGAATAAAAGAAGTAGAAAGATACGCACCCAAACACTAATCATTTGTATCTTCCATTGAGGAGTAGGCATTGCTTTACATTCATTTGAGTTTACGAAATATTCCACCATAGGCATTCAAAATCATGTACAAACTTGACAGCTCCTTGCTAAATATGAGCTTTCTGAAAGTTATCAATATAAACAAATTTAATGTAACAGTTGATTGATGATTAACAAAATCTGTCAAAATCTGTTCTTTCTCTAACCAATCAGCTTTCATGAGAAGAACAGCTCGTGGGAGCTTTTTCATTCCCCCAGTAAATCGCAGCACTGACGTCAGCTTATCATAGGTTCGTTAAAATCAAATTAACGTTACCAGTTATACTAGTGTTACACCAAAATCCAGTTACATTATGAGTTATCCTAAGATCCTAACAAGATTAATCAGAATATCAATAGAATTTTCTTACCCTTCTAAAAAAAATGATATTTGCACAGATATTGTCATGGACTGAACTGTCTAGATATAAAAACAGATAGAGATAGATATAGATGATAGAGATGTGGATGGGGAGACACAATATATTGTATATATATGAAAGAAAGATAAAAGATAAATTTGTATGTACATATATATTTATATATACATAAATATATAGATAAATTTATATATGTATATTTATATATAGTGTGTATACAACTGTATATACACTATATATGGTGTATGTTTATATATACAACTATATATACAACTGTATACACACCATATATATAGTGTGTATACACTGTATATAGTTAGATAATGTGTATACAGTTGTCCCTTCCATAGGTACCAAATTTGTGGATGCTCCAGTCCTTGAAATAAAATGATGTAGTATTTCATATAACCTATGCACATGCTCTGTATGTTTTAAATCATCTCTAGATTATTTATAATACCTAATACAATGTAAAGTCTATGTAAATAATTGTTGTATTGTTATACATTATTCCTGTATTCCATTATTCTGGTATAATGTATTCCTGTTATACGTTATTCCTCCCTTTTTAGAGAATAATGATGAGGAAAAGAAGTCTTTACATGTTCAGTACAGTTGCATTATTTTCAAATATTTTCTATGCGTGGTTGATTAAATCCATGTATGTGGAACTCATAAATACTGAGGGCTGACTTTCTCTCTCTCTCTCCGTGTGTGTGTGTGTGTGTTTGTGTGTGTGTGTGTGTGTGTGTGTGTGTGTGCGTTCTATTGGTTTAGCTTCTTTGAAGAAACTTGACCAATATATGTGGTTTTTGTTGGTACATGGGGTCTTGCAAGTTAGAAAGCCACCCATATAAATTACGTTTTTCATTTATAAATTGCAATTTACTAGAGATATCATAAGTCTCCCACAAATTTATTCCCTGGCTTCTACTGCCAAAATTTTGGCTATTTTCCTTGAGCTAAATAATAGTCCCTCTGAGGTCAGCCTGCATACTGTTCCCCATTTATGCCCCCCTAGCAAACTGGCTGCCTATCTGTTGAGTTTGTTTTACCTGTTTTCCTAAAGCTGTGTTGTCTGTCCAGGCCAATTGCCATCCTTTTCCTTTTTTTCCAAAATAGCATCATTTCAGCATTCAATATGGCAAATAAATCTTTTTTCTCAATACAGCTCTCTTATTAAAGGTAAATGTGATTTGTTCTAGGACATGGATCTGTACCAATTTCTTCTAATTCCCTTTTAGAATATTTTTTTACTGATGTTTATTTTTCCACCAAATGTTTCATTGTCACTGAGGACTTAGTATTAGAGTATAATTTAATTACATAAATTTCCATTTCCATTTTCCCAATAAATCTGAACACTGATATCAATGTCCCAGGACAGTGTGACATAGTTAATAGTCACCCTCAAATATACTCCACTTTGAACATCCCATAGAGTTTATCATAGGTGCCCTTGGTGAGTATCAGAGCTATCAGCAGTATGTAGATGACTTCACCCTGTCATCCCTAAACAGTGGTTCCAGTTTTTCATCTTTTCTTTACTTTAGCCATTGGTCTCCACTTATAGCAACATGCCTATAAACACAAGGAAACATGAGAGAATGTTTTATGTCCACTTATTCCAGGCACTTTTCAACAGATCATCACTTAGGTTAATAGTTACACAGTGGCTCTGTTATAGAACAAGGTCTTTGTGTGCATACAGGAGCAACAATCCCCACATGTTACCTTCTAATAGGAGTCCTCTGTAGTGCACATAACATCAAATGAAAACAAAAGACAAAGCAAAATAGAATTATTCCAAGTGCTCATCCACAAGGCCTTAAGGTCATCAAGGTACATCACGTAGCCAACTCTATATTGAATGCTAGGATCCATCCTTGACCTTTAGCTCCAAATAAAGGAGTATATTTTTACAGGCAAATAGATTCCTTCCTCTAGGATTCAGGGCTGGTTTCAAGAGTTTGAGACCTGTGCAGTTGTACAGCGCCTCATGCTTACAAGAGACATACTTGGTTTAATGCTTGACTGACTACAAATGCTTTATCATTTCTGAACAAAATGCCTTGCATTTTTATTTGCACTGGGCTCTGCAAATTTTGTAGCCAGTCCCATGTTCATGTGTAAATACAGCCTACAGATAGTATCATTCCCTTGCTCTCAGCATCTCACAACGAAGCGAGGTAATGTTAGCTTTCCCTTTTAGCATTATCTATTTATTTACTCTCTTTGCATCAGCAGTTATTTCACCTTCTTTCCATTTGTCATTAACTTTAATTCAGACCCTTTGCCATGGAAAATAAACACCAGATTCAGCAAGAGGAATGACCTGCAACACAGGTAGCAAGTGCTTCATCCTTTCTCTGGAATAGGATTGGAAAAGTACATTTTTTTATTCACTGTGTAGGAAAAAGGCAGACACCATTAATTTCAACTTAGACAGGTGAGAAATAAACACCCCTCCCACCATTTCTCTATAGATTTGACAGTTATATTTAGATATATTATCATACTGTCATGCTTGGCAATTGATCCTTTCTCTGGAACTCATAGATGAAATACAGATCCCAGCACTATATAATCAGGCAGAGAAAAAGAAAATAAAGTAAAAAGGAAGTTTACATAAAGTTTTTTTTATTATACTTTAAGTTCTAGGGTACATGTGTACAACATGCAGGTTTGTTAGATATGTATACGTGTGCCATGTTGGTGTGTAAATGACAAGTTAATGGGTACATAAGGTCTTATATATGTTTTTCCTGTATTTCTTCCAAAAAAAAAACTGGATACATGTGCAGAATGTACAGGTTTGTTACATAAGTATACATGTGCAGTGGTGGTGGTATGCTACACCTATCGACTCATCCTCTAAGTTCCCTCACCTCACCCTCCATCCCCAACAGGTCCTGGTGTGTGTTGTTCCCCACCCTGTGTCCACGTATTCTCATTGTTCAACTCCAACTTATGAGTGAGAACATGCAGTGTTTGGCTTTCTGTTCCTGTGTTAGTTTGTGGAGAATGATGGCTTCCTGCTTCATCCATGCCCCTGCAAAGGACATGATCTCATTCCTTTTTATGGCTCTATGGTATTCCATGGTGTGTTTGTACCACATTTCATTTATCCAGTCTATCACTGATGAGTATTTGGATTGGTTCCATGTCTTTGCTATTGTAAATAGTGCTGCAGTAAACATACATGTGCATGTGTCTTTATAGTAGAATGATTTATAATCCCTTGGGTATATACCCAGTAATGGGATTGCTGGGTCAAATGGTATTTCTGGTGTTAGATCCTTGAGAAATCACCATACTATCTCCCACAATGGTTGAACTAATTTACATTCCCACCAACAGTGTAAAAGCATTCCTATTTTTCCACAGCCTCACCAGCATCTATCATTTCCTGACTTTTTAATAATTGCCATTCTGACTGGCATGACATGGTATCTCATTGCGGTTTTGATTTACATTTCTCTGATGATCAGGGATGTTGAGCTTTTTTTCATATGTTCGTTGGCCACATAAATGTCTTCTTTTGAGATGTGTCTGTTCATATCCTTTGCCCACTTTTTGATGGAGTTGTGTATTTTCTTCTTGTATATTTGTTTAAGTTCCTTGTAAATTATGGATATTACACCTTTGTCAGATGGGTAGATTGCAAAAATTTTCTCCCATTCTATAGGTTGCCTGTTCACTCTGATGATAGTTTATTTTGCTGTGAAGAAGCTCTTTAGTTTAATTAGATCTCATTTGCCAATTTCGGCTTTTGTTGAAACTGCTTTTGGCATTTTGTCATGAAGTCTTTGTCCATGCCTATGTCCTGAATGGTATTGCCTAGGTTTTCTTCTAGGTTTTTTATGGTTCGGGGTTTTACATTTTAAGTCTTCAATCCATCTTGAGTTAATTTTTGTATATGGTGTAAGGAAGGGGTCCAGTTTCAGTTTTCTTTTTATGGCTAGCCAGTTTTCCCACAACCATTTACTGAATAGGAGATCCTTTCCCCATTGCTTGTTTTTGTCAGGTTTGTTGAAGATCAGATGGTTATAGATGTGTGGTGATATTTCTAAGGTCTCTGTTCTGCTCCATTGGTCTACATGTCTGTTTTGGTATTAGTACCATGGTGTTTTTGTTACTGTAGCTTTGTAGTATAGTTTGAAGTCAGGTAGCATGATGCCTCCAGCTTTATTCTTTTTGCTTAGGATTGTCTTGGCTATATGGGGTCTTCTTTGATTCCACATGAACTTTAAAATAGTTTTTTCTAATTCTGTGAAGAATGTCAATGGTAGTTTGATGGGAATAGTATTGAATCTATAAATTACTTTGGGCCGTATGGTCATTTTCACGATATTAATTCTTCCTATCCATGAGCATGGAATGTTTTTCCATTTGTTTGTGTCCTCTCTTATTTCCTTGAATAGTGGTTTGTCATTCTCTTTGAAGAGGTCCTTCACATCCCTTGTTAGCTGTATTCCTAGGTATTTTATTCTCTTTGCAGTGATTGTGAATGGGAGTTCATGATTTGGCTCTCTGCTTGCCTATTGTTGGTGTAAAGGAATGCTTGTCATTTTTGCACATTGATTTTTGTATCCCGAGACTTTGCTAAAATTGCTTATCAGTTCAAGAAGTTTTGGGGCTGAGATGATGGGGTTTTCTAAATATAAAATCATGTCATCTGCAAACAGAGACAACTTGACTTCCCCTCTTCCTATCTGAATACTTTTTATTTATTTCTCTTGCCTGATTGCCGGGGCCAGAACTTCCAATACTATGTTGAATAGGAGTAGTGAGAGAGGGCATCTTTGTCTTGTACCGGTTTTCAAAGGGAATGCTTCCAGGTTTTGCCCATTTAATATGATATTGGCTGTTGGTTTGTCATAAATAGCTCTTATTATTTTGAGATATGTTCCATTAATACCTAGTTTATTGAGACTTTTTAACATGAAGGGATGTTGAATTTTATCAAGTAAAGTCTTATATTAATCCCCACTCCCTCTTTTCGGTCATCTCAACAATTTATCCAATGCTGATTACTTTCATGTATATTCAGTATTAACATGCATTTATTTAATCTTGCAAGCCATTCATTCATTCTCTTATCATGCCCCAATTTAGCTAATAGATCTCTTAATTGTCTATTTTCATTTTTACTTAGTCTATTACTTTGTAGATAAAGTAGACAACAGTCTATTGCATATGATGCTTGTTAGCTTTCTATTGTATTTCACCTGCAGTAAAATGCCTACAATGACTGTAAAAGATTCCAAAAAAAAACTCACAAAGAAAAACCTCATAAATACCTGACAAGCTCTAACATTCCAGTATAAACTGCAAGATAAACTGACTATAAAACACAGGCGTAAATACCTGACCATCCTGGTATAAACTTGTCACATATAAACTATTTAAAATTGATAAACATTATGGCTTTTATTTAGAATAATTGATCTGCTTCCTTTGTCAGAAAAATATTCGTGGCTTTCAGAAACCTTGGTAATCATAATAATTCAAAGTTAGGGTCCCATTGATATCATACATGTCTGGCTATTTCCAATTTAAGAAATTTAACAAATAATGCTGTACTATTGCTAAGCTAAATATCATTTATCAAAGTTTATTGTATAATTTTAACATGTGAATATTGTAATGACATAAATTATAAGGTAATAGCCTTGCTTTTAACCACTTTTTTTTTCTCTGTATCAGTACATTATTGACTGATAGAATAACACTTCCTGAAAAGGAAGCTGAATTGCAGAAAACATACAAAATATCACAATTTCTAAAATGTTAAAATCATTGCAGACTGCAAAATAACACTTTTACTTAAAGATAGTTTAAAATACCAATGAAAATTAACATTGCTTTACCACCAAAGAAAATTGTCAACTCACATTCATTTATGCAACATATCTGTCTGTAATACAATTCTGATTTAGGGATTGGGACACCAGAATTAGGAATTTATAGTCCCTGACCTGTAGAATGTAACAGGTTTTTTAATAAATCAAAAATGTAAAATAAATAAGTATTCACAATGCACAGAAAAAAAATAGAAAATACGAAAAAATATTTTTGCCCCCAAAAATCAACACAATCTATCAGAACAGAGATTTGGAAACTCTGCTTAAAGAAATAGACTGAACTTCAGGCCAGTAAAATTCAGACTATTATCTGTTTTAAATACACTAAAATCAGGAAGAATATGCCACTTAGACAGGGGGTACCTCAGTCACTTAAATATACAGAGAAAAAGAGAGTCATATACAGGGAAAAAGGGGGAAAGGTCAGTAGTTTTACTCCAATTAACAAAGGAACTACTCAGAAGAAGAGTTTTATCAGGTTTACAGGATTATCAGCTCTGCCTGAAGGCACATCCCTATTGCTGAGGTAGTTGTGTCCAGTCATTGGAGCTTAATGTCATAAAATATTGAAATTACACAATGGATATAAATCTACTTGTTCTGATTCCATGCTCATCAAGCATCTCCCTGATAATTTGGTTTTCATTATAGCTTAAATACAGAGAACAAAGGTACTTAACAGACAAATGTGAATGTCAAGTCAGTTTCACAGATATTTCTCATTTTAAGTTGACAGAATGGCCACTGTGAGGTCTCTTAGTGTGAGTTAGCATCTTTACATCCAATCATTCTTATTAACAGAGTCGTGGTTGAGGCTGGATTCTGAGCACATATAGCTCAGGGTCTGACTCTGCACTGTGGCGAGGTCACCAGGCAAATAAATGAATACCACCCTGTGGCAATGTGTATAGGTGACCTGCTGACCTACCACATGAAAACACCTATTCATCCTCATTACATGTGTTCTTAAATCTTCTAAACTGAAGAAGGCCATATCATAGATGTGCAGACAGCATACCTAACTCTACCTGGAGCACATCATAAGGGATGAAAGAGTAGGAGCTAACCCTTCAGCTGAGGCTTGACTTGGCCTAGTAGCTAAGGGAGGGAAGAGTACTCTAGAAAGAAGAAATTTCCCTTGCAAACAGCTGACAAGTGTGAGAAAACTTGGGAAGAACAGACTTTGGAAAGTCTGCAACACCATGTATGCTTTGGGGAGAGATAAGAGATGACATTGGAAATGCGGAACACGACAAAATGATGAGGAATTTGTATGTTTTCAAATCAATTATGAAGTATATCAAGTGTCTGTCATGCCCTAGGTTCCATTATAGACCTTTGAGACACATCATTGAATGGGAAGTTGGAATTTGTAGTATAGCCAATGAAGATTAAAAACATTTAGCCAGAGAACTGATATGTTTCTTACAAAGACATTCAATACAAATGGTAGTGTACAGAAGAGAGTTTACATAGCAAGCCTGAGAATGCTATCCTCAGAAAGAGCCACTTATAAGATTAGCTTTTGGCTTGTGTCTGGGAAGTTGGATTTCAAGATCCTCAACATTCCCTAACTTATTAAAATGGCTCTGCCTAAATTGTTTATACAAATAGTGTGGTTGCTCAGGGAACACCTGCTTTCCTTCTGAGAACTTGGAATTTTGGTAAGTAAAAGACAGAGGGTGTCTGCATGACCAATCAACTGCAGAAACATTGGGCACTGGGTCTCTAATGAGCTTGCCTGGTAAACAACGTTTCATATATGTTGTCTGAAATTAATGCTGAAAACATTAATCATGTCCTGTGTGTCTCCACAGAGAGAGGACTCTTGGAAGCTTGTACCTGGCTTCCTCTCAGACTTTACTTCATGTACCTTTTCCCTTTGTAGATTTTGCTTTGTATCTTTTAGCTATAATAAATTTCATTTGTGAGTGCAACTATATGCTGAGTCCTGCAAGTCATTCTAGCAAATCAAAGAACATGGAGGGTGGTCTTGGGGATCCCCAACACAAACAGATAGGAGGAGATCAGGAATGAATATGTGCAGCAATAGAGGGAGTAGCTGATAGTCAGTTGATGATCAGGCAGAAGTTTAACAGTAAGATTCTGAATTTTCATGGGTTACTGAATGAATAGTATTATTATTAAGCAATATTTTTTAAAAGTTTTGAGAAGAAACAAATTTAGGGAGAAAAATATTTTTCATTTTAGATCTAGTATATTTAATTTAGCTATTAGATATCCATAGAGGGCAACTTAATAGGTAGTAAGAAGCATAGGCTTGGACCTTGGGATAGAGACATTGTAGGAGTCACTGGCATTATAGAAGGGTATCTATTAGATCTCTCAAGAAAGCTTTAGAAAGTAAGGAAAAAGAACCAAGGATTAAACCACAGAATATCAACATTTAAGAGGTAGATGGAAGAAAAGAATTCTACAAAAGAAATAGAAAGGTAACAAATTTTTAGGAGTATTAAATGCCACAGGAAAGTGAAGTATGAAGATATCTGAGCATTGTCCATTGGATTCACCATACTAAAGGTCCCTAAAGACTTAGGAGTGGGTAGCCTTACTAGAATGTGTGTGCTGGACCATAGCAGAGGGAGAAACCAGATTAATGAGTGAGTAGGGAAAAAAGAAATAGGGACAAACAAAAATAATTAAGATAATTCCCTGAAGCATGAAGAAAGCCTTTTTGGCTTTTTTGGTTTTTTGTCATTGCTTACTTACATATGTGAGAGAGCCTTGGACATATTTCAAGTTTAAGGAAATAAAGCTAAAATTAATAAGGAAAGGCTGAAGATACAGGAGAGTCAGGAAGGCCACCAACACATGGCTGTATTCTTATAAATTATCCTAGCTCTCCAGTGATCAATAGGAGACAGTTGAATGACATACATTGGCAGAGGGAGGGTCCTGTGTGTGGCACCTGTTGATGCCCTAGACATCCTGGCAAGGTAAGTGATTATACATATAACAAAAATCAAGTTATACAGATATGAGCTTTGTCCTGTAAGTCAGCCCATTCCAAGCTCATGCAGGAGCAAGTCTATCAATGAAATATATTTATTTCCTCATTAATCTTCTTCCTCTTTGTCCTAAAATTTCCATTGTGCCCATCCACATCAGGTCATCAATACCTTCCCCATTAACAGATTAGCAGAAAAAAAGGCCTTCAACAAGTGCATTCAGATATCTCCACAGACATAGAAATAGACTCCTATGAAATGAGTCTTTCTCTTTTAGACCTCTTACTTGATATTCCACCCTAAGCTTTTTAGGTGTTGAGCTTCATAATCTGAGAACGATTTTTATTTGCCTTACAGGAAAGAGTATTTTTAACTATATTTCTGAAAGTTTAAAGATATTAATTTAATTAATCCAAATCATAAATCCACGAATACTATCATCATATATAAAAGATTTACCAGAAGATAATATATTTCATCTTTTTTCCCCAAAATTAAAGTTAAATAAATATATAATTAAATATGTTATTTCTCCTTTATAAGACTATATAGATAAATTTTCAAATCAAAAATGTAAACTGTCAGATATTTGGCAGAAAATAAAGTTACAGTATCTATAAAAATTGATCACCTTCATTTCTGTCAGAATGTGAAATAAAGAGAAGGTACAGGTCAAGAGGCCAAATTCAAATTGTAATATCCTCAAAAAAGGTAAAACACACACACATGCACACACACACACACACACAACCCTACCTAGCTGCCATCACTGGTATGAGCACTTAGAAGGTACCCTACTCTGGCTGACAGGGATAAAAAGAAAAAGAAAAAGAAAATTTAAAGAGGTACCCTAGGCCCTATGGCAAACTGCTAGTCATTTATAGGGAACAAAAATAAGATGTTAGCAACAGGTAATAGGGAAGATGGAGGATAGGAGGAAAAACTAGCTGGCAGCTCCCGCTCGGACAGACAGAGAAGCATGTGGAAACTCACATCATGAGCTTTTGCTCCAAGAATTACCACAGGAAGATACCAGGAAAGCTAAGAGAATCCACAGAGCCTTTAAAGGAACTGGATCAATGCTGCAGTCTCCCTAAGACCAAATAACTGAGACTCTGCTTGCTTTCTCAGCAGGGAGGCTGGTGGTCCAGGGCAAGTTCTCATCCCTGTTCACCAGCTGCCTGGAAACAGACTCAGTGCTATTGGGGGGCACAGCGGGAGTGAGACCGGGCTTTAGGACAGTGGGCTGCATGGGAGCAGTGTGAGGCCTGTGACTGCCAGCTTTCCCCCACTTCCTTGATGACCTGTATGATGAAGCAGAGGCAGCCATAATCCCCCTGGGAACACAACCCCATTGGCCTTGGAACCACACCCCCATCCCCCACAGCAGTCATAGCAAGCCCTGCCCAAGGAGAGTCTGAGGCAGACATGCTTATCCCTGCCCCTACCTAGTGGTCTCTCTCTACCCACCCTGGTAGCTGAAGACAAAGGTCATAATGTCTTGGGAGCTCTAAGGCCCTGCCCACCACCTGAGAAGCCTGAATACTTAACCAGGAAACCCTAGGGCAAGTTTGCATCCTCCCTATAGTACCACAGCTGATGCACTCCAGAAAGCACCACCTCCTGGCTAGAGGCCTACCAACACAAAACTGGCACACTAAATAAAAATACAACCAAGAACCCTCACAGAGTCCACTTCCCACCCCTGCTACCTCCACCAGAGCTGGTGCTGGTATCCACGGCTGAAAGACCTGAAGATGGATCACATCACGGGACTCTTTGCAGACACTCCCCAGTGCCAGCCCAGAGTCTGGTAGCTCTGCTAGGTGGTTAGACCCAGAAGAACAAAAACAATCACTGCAGTTTTGCTCTCAGGAAGGCTCATCCCTAGGGGAAGTGGGAGAATACCACATCAAGGGAGCACCTTGTGAGACACAAGAATCTGAACAACTGCCCTTGAGTCCCAGATCTTCTCTCTGACACAGTCTACCCAAATGAGAAGGGGCCAGGAAAACAATTCTGGTAATATGACAAAACAAGGTTCTTTAACAACCCCGAAAGATCACACCAGCTCACCAGTAACAGATCCAAACCAAGACAAAATGTCTGACGCTAGAAAAATAATTCAGAAGGTTAATTATTAAGCTAATCAAGGAGGCACCAAAGAAAGGTGAAGTCCGACTTAAAGAAATCAAAAACATGATTCAGGATATGAAAGGAAAAATCATCAGTGAAATAGCATAAATAAAAAACAATCACGACTTCTGGAAATCAAGGACACACTTAAAGAAATGCAAAATGCACTGGAAAGTCTCAACAATAGAATCGAATAAGCAGAAGAAAGAACTTCAGAGCTTGAAGCCAAGGCTTTCAAATGTACCCAATCCGTCAAAGATAAAGTAAAAAGAATTTTTTAAAAATGAACAAAGCCTCCAAAAAGTTTAGGACTATGTTAAGTGACCAGATCTAATAATTAGTGTTCCTGGGGAAGAAGAGAAATCTAAAAGTCTGGAAAACATATTTGAGAGAGTAATCGAGGAAAACTTCCCCAGCCTTTCTAGAGATCTAGACATCCAAACACATGAAGCTCAAAGAACACCTGGGAGACTCATCACAAAAAGATCATCACCTAGGCACTTAGTCATCAGGTTATCTAAAGTCAAGATGAAGGAAAGAATCTTAAGAACTGTGAGGCAAAACCATCAGGTAACCTATGAAGGAAAACCTATCAGAGCAACAGCAGATTTCTCAGCAGAAACCCTACGAGCTAGAAGGGATTGGGATCCTATTTTTAGCCGCCTTAAACAAAACTATTATCAGCGAAGAATTTTGTATCCAGTGAAACTAGGCTTCATAAACGAAGGAAA
The DNA here is from genome assembly GCF_000001405.40 of Homo sapiens. Lineage (NCBI taxonomy): Eukaryota > Metazoa > Chordata > Mammalia > Primates > Hominidae > Homo > Homo sapiens. Next base: position 99,419,506 of record NC_000001.11, read on the forward strand.
GACACTGTCTATTCCAGACAAACAAATGTTGAGAGAATTCGCCACTACCAAGCTAGCACTACAAGAACTGCTAAAAGGAGCTCTAAATCTTGAAATAAATCCTCAAAATACACCAAAATAGAAACTCCTTAAAGCATAAATCTCACAGGACCTATAAAACAAAAACACAATAAATAAATTTTAAAAAAAGGTATTCAAGCAACAAATAGACAATGAATAGAATAGTACCTCACATCCCAATACTAACATTGAATGTAAATGACCTAAATGCTGCACTTAAAAGATACAGAATGGTAGAATGGATAAGAATCTACCAACCGGGTTCCTGCTGTCTTCAGGAGACTTATCTAACCCACAAGGACTCACATAAACTTAAGAAAAAGAGTTGGAAAACGATATTCCATGCAAATAGCACCAAAAGTGAGCAGGAGTAGCTATTCTTACATCATATTAAAAAAACCTTCAAGGCATCAGCAGTTAAAAAAGGCAAAGAAGGAAATGATATAATGATAAAAGGACTAGGCCAACAAGAAAATATTAATATCACAATCCTAAATATATATGCACCTAACACTGGAGCTCCCAAACTTATAAAACAATTACTACTAGACCTAAGAAATGAGATAGATGGCAACACAATAATAGTGGGGGACTTTAATACTCCACTGACAGTACTAGACAGGTCATCAAGACAGAAAGTCAACAAAGAAACAGTGGACTTAAGCTATACCCTACAACAAATGAACTTAACAGATATTTACAGAACATTCTACCCAACAACTGCAGAACATACATTCTATTCATCAGCATATGGAATATTCTCGAAGATAGACCATATGATAGGCCACAAAACAAGTCTCAGTAAATTTAAGAAAATCAAAATTATATCAAGTACTCTCTCAGATCACAGTGCCATAAAATTGCAAATCAACTCCAAAAGGATCCCTCAAAACCATGCAAATACATGAAAATTAAATAATCTGCTCTTGAATGATTGTTGGGTCAATAATGAAGTCAAGATGGAAATTAAAAATTATTTAAACTGAACAATAATAGTGACACAACCTATAAAAACCTCTGGGATACAGTGAAAATGGTGCTAAGACGAAAGTTCATAGCGTTAAATCACTACATCAAAAATTCTGAAAGAGCACAAATAAACAATCTAAGGTCACACCTCATGGAACTGGAGGAACTAGAACAATCCAAACCCAAACTCAGCAGAAGAAAAGAAATAACAAAGATCAGAGCAGAACTAAATGAAATTGAAACAAAAAAAATACAAAAGATGAACAAAATGCTGGTTCTTTGAAAAGATAAATAAAACTGGTAGACCATTAGCAAGATAAACCAAGATGAGAGAAGATCCAAATAAGCTCAATTAGAAACAAAATGGGAGATATTATTACTCATACCACAGAAATACAGGAGATTATTCAAGGCCAATATGAACAACTTTATGCACATAAATTAGAAAACCTAGGGAAGGTCAATAAATTCCTGGAAATATACAAACCTCCTAGATTAAGCCATGAAGATAGAGAAACTCTGAATAGACCAATAACAAGCAGTGAGATTGAAACAGTAATTTAAAAATTGTCACCAAAAAAAAGTCCAGGACCAGACAGATTTACAGCTGAATTCTATCAGACATTCAAAGAAGAATTGCTACCAACACTATTGACACTATTCCACAGGATAGAGAAAGAGGAAATCCTCCTTAAATCATTCTATGAAGCCAGTATCACTTTAATACCAAAACCAGTGAAGGACATAACCAAAAAAGAAAACTATAGATCAATATCCCTAATAAACATAAATATAAAAATTCTAAACAAAATACTAGCTAACCAAATCCAACAGTATATCAAAAAGATAATCCACCATGATCAAGTGGATTTCATAACAGGGATGCAGGGATGGTTTAACATACACAAGTCAATAAATGTGATACATCACGTAAACAGAATTAAAAACAAAAATCATATGATCACCTCAATAGATGCAGAAAAAGCATTTGACAAAATCTAGCATCCCTTTATGATGAAAACCCTCAGGAAAATCAGCATGGTATGTACTAGGGACATACCTTAAGGTAATAAAAGCCATCTGTGACAAACCCACAGCCAACATTATACTGACAGGGAAAAGTTGAAAGCATTCCCTGAGAACTGGAACAAAACAAGGATGCCCACTCTCACCACTTCTATTCAACATAGTACTGGAAGTCCTACCCAGACTAATCAGAAAAGAGAAAGAAATTAAGGGCATCCAAATCAGTAAGGAAGAAGTCAAACTGTTACTGTTTGTTGATGATATGATTGTATATCTAGAAAACCCTAAAGGCTCCTCCAAAAAGCTCCTAGAACTGATAAAAGAATTCAGCAAAGTTTTAGGATACAAAATTAATGTACACAAATCTGTAGTTCTGCTATATACTAACAGTGACCAAGCTGATGATCAAATAAAAACTCAACTGCTTTGACAATAGCTGCAAAAAATAAAACAAAATACTTAGGAATGTACCTAACTAAGGAGGTGAAAGAGCTCTACAAAGAAAACTATGAAACACTGCTGGAAGAATCATAGACGACATAAACAAATGGAAACACACCTCATATTCATAGATGGGTAGAATCAATATTGTGAAAATGAACATACTGCCAAAAGTAATCTACAAATTCAATGCAATTCCCATTAAAATACTGCCATCATTCTTCACAGAACCAGAAAAAAAATCCTAAAATTCATATGGAACCAAAAAAGAATCCACATAGCCAAAGCAAGACTAAGCAAGAAGAACAAATCTGGAGGCATCACATTACCCAACTTCAAACTATACTATAAGGCCATAGTCACCAAAACAGCATGGTACTGGTATAAAAACAGGCACATAGACCAATGGAACAGAATAGAAGACCCTGAAATAAAGCCAAATAGAGCCAACTGATCTTCAACAAAGCAAACAAGAACATACAGTGGGGAAAACAACAAATGGTGCAGAGATAATTGGCAAGCCACACACGTAGGAAACTGGATCATCATCTCTCACCTTATACAAAAATCAATTCAAGATGGATCAAATACTTAAATCTAAGACCTGAAACCATAAAAATTCTAGAAGACAACATCAGAAAACCCTTCTAGAATTGGCTTAGGCAAAGACTTCATGACCACACACCCAAAAGCAAATGCAACAAAAACCAAGATAAACACATGGGACTTAATTAAACTAAAAACCATCTGCACAGCAAAAGAAATAATCAGCAGAATTAACAGACAACCCACAGAGTGGGAGAAAATCATCACAATCTATATATCTGACAAAGGACTAATATCCAGAATCTACAAAGAACTCAAATCAGCAAGAAAAAACAAACAATCCCATCAAAAAGTGGGCTAAGGACATGAATAGACAATTGTCAAAAAAGATATACAAATGGTCAACAAGCATATGGAAAAATGCTCAACATCACTAACCGATAGTGGGGAAATGCAAATCAAAACCACAATGCAATGCCACCTCACTCCTGCAAGAATGGCCACAATCAAAAAATCATAAATGTTAGCATGGATGTGGCAAAAAGGGAATACTTTTACACTGTTGGTGTAAATGTAAACTAGTACAACCACTATGGAAAACAATGCAGACATTCCTTAAAGAACTAAAAGTAGATCTACCATTTGCTCCAGCAATCCCACTACTAGGTAACTACCCAGAGGAAAAGAAGTCATTATTACATGAAAAAGATACTCGCACAAGCATGTTTATAGCAGCATAATTTGCAATTGCAAAAATATGGAACCAGCCCAAATCCCCATCAATCAACAAGTGTCTGAAGAAAATGTGGTGTGTATACACACACACACACATATATACATATATATATATATATATACACACACACACACACACACACACACACCATGGAACATAAAATATGACTCAGCCCCAAAAAGGAAAAAAATAATGGCTTTTGACATCCAGCAACCTGGATGGAATTGGAGACTATTATTCTAAGTGAAGTAACTCAGGAATGAAAAAACAAACATCATATGTTCACACTCATAAGTGGGAGCTAAGTTATGAGGATGCAAAGACATAAGAATGATACAATGGACTTTGGCAACTCAGGGGAAAGGGTGGGAGGCAGATGAGGGACAAAAGACTACACATTGGGTACAGTGCACACTGCTTGGGTGATGGTGCACCAAAATCTCAGAAATCATGACTGAAGAACTTATTAATGTAATCAAACACCACTTGTTCCCCAAAAACCTATTGAAATAAAAAATTAATTTTAAAAAATAAAAAAGAAGAAAAAAGATGTTAGCAACCATCTTCTTAGAATCCCATAATCTACTTGTACCTACACTAATACATTAATAATACCTACCATTCATTATTTACTGTATATCAGGCACCATAATAACTACTTTATAGAGCTCATCTCATGTAATCCTTAAATCAGCCTTAAGTGTGGGTACAATCAATATCCCAGCTCTAGATTATGTGACAGTCATGGTAAGGTTGAGTAAATAATACAAGATTCCATAATTAGTGAACAAAGAAGTCTGGGTTTGAACCTAGCAAAGCGGTCAAGTTTGGGTTGAGATTTACCTTGGTAGGGATGGATAGTATTTACAGGGACTTGGCATGGAAGTAAAGTTACTTCCAATCCATGAGCCATGCCTATGAAGAGAAGTGATAAGATCTGGTACAGTGGAGAGATCTTATAAATACGTGTTTACAGTGCTTTATAGTGTACAAATCACCCCCACACATTGCCTCACTGTGAAGCCTCACAACAATCATATGAGGTAAGATAGGACAGGCCTTGTTAACTCCATCCACAGACGAAGAACAGGCTCCTGGAACTTAGGCTACTTGTTTGAAGTTACATTTGTCAAGTACTGGCAGGGCTCAGAGTCTTTTGTCTCCAAAACCATGACATTTCTACTAAAACATACTTCTTAAATAGACACCCATGAATAAATAGGATAGGATAAGTCAGACATTCATAGTGTACATATGCATTCAGCTCTGGAAAAAAAATACCTTACTGATTAGTCTGAAGAGAAATTTCAGGGCTCATTGCTAATTTTCAGCTGACCTGGAGAAATGTAGCATGCACAAATTCTCAGCCATAACTATTTAAGTTTTTCATGCAACTCCCAGGAAAGAAGCCTGAGCTCCCCACTCTAGGAAAGTGCTGACTTCAGCCCTGCAAGTAATAAGAAATGCCTAAGGGATGCTACTCTGACACAGAAATCAAAGGGGCCAAGGCTGGCTAGCACACTGAGGCACAGGACCTAAGAGCCATTAGGACAATTTATGATGCAGCCTCATTTCTGACAACCTCTCCAGAGGTGATGGATACTTAAGTATGGTACCTGTAGACAAAAAGCCAATTTAAATGAAGTGGTATATTCCTGATCTATGATGGCTTGGTAGAGTCCAAATATAAAATATGGCTGTGCCATTGATAGCTGGTTTTTCCCTTCCACATTTTATTTCCAACCAAACAGATTTTTCCACGTGCACATCTCAAGTTACATTTTAGGAATGAAAGAAAGATAAAGAAATGGGGGAGAGAAAACCTTTGAAGAAACTGCAAAAGAATTTTTCATGCAGCTATAAATAAAAAGATCAATTTTTAATAACTAAAAAGAAAGATGAATAAAAAAGTAATGAATCTAGGTTATCTTCTAATTAGTAAAAGATGAAAACTTTCACTTACATATGGAAGGGCCAGCTGATTCTCTAGTTTTATAACCAAGACTTCTTGAAAATGGGAAAAGCAGGTGTGAAAAAGCCGCAATTCTACATTTAAATGACACACAGATGCCACTAAAGCAGTGGCAGAAAGCTGGTTTTGAGGTGAATGACATCAGAAACTTCAACTCTGTGTATCCCTGGGGCACCACTGAGCATCCGTCAATATACTGAGCATTCCTTAGGAGAAGTTTTTCCACACTCTACAAGAAGAGATTTCGCCAGCCCCTCATATTTATCTTACACCTGTGTCTTCAAGTTAATTTAGGATGAGATACATAAAATTGATGGGGAAAAGGTCTATAAGGCGTGACAGGACTGAATTATGAGGTTGAACCGCCACACATTTTATTGGTTGGTAAACCAGGGCTTGTAATGTGGGCAATCACCTAGACACCTAAAAATGCAAGAGTCACCACTGATGGTCCATGAAAACATTTGGTAGACAGTGATATCCAAAAACTTTATATTGGTTGAAGGATGCATTCAGCTATGAATAACAGAAACTACCCCTCACCTCCCAAAAAATGTAACAGTGGCTTAAACAAATTTGGGTATCTTTTGCATACATAACAAGAGGTTCTGATCAGGAAATCTAGGGCTAATTTAGCAACTCTACGATGCCATTGGGGAACGAGGCTCATTCCAGTCTTCTATTTCATTGTCCTCATGTTTGCTTTTGCTTGTTAGCTCATTCTCATAACATGGCTGCTTTACAACCTGCATTGTGTTCGTGTCCTAGAGCAGGGAAGAGGTGAACACTGAAGGGTGAAAGGCATATGCAAGCTGAGTTCCTTCCTCTTTTAAATTCCATTTTTAGGAATCTCACCAAGTAAATTCTCATTTCATCCCATTGGCCATCCTGACAGTGAAGAATGCTGGGCAGTATAATCCTTTTGTTTTAGACAAAGTATGACAACCTGTGCAAAATAAACAACAAAAAAAAAAGGGAAGGGAGGCTATGAATACTGGGAAGGCAACTTGCAGTTTTGCCACAGAACTGAAGAGAAATGCCGTGGCCGCTGCTCAATGTCAACTCCAAAAGTTAGGAACAGACCTCACACATTCAGACGTTTTTCCCTTCATTAATCTATTTTCACTTTAATATCTATAAATTTATCACCATCTTTGTATTTTCAATCTGTAACACAGGTTGTATCCTGCTCCATAAAATAACAAAATTCAATTCAACCCTCCTTTATCAGGGCTTTATATTTACCAGCACTAGTTTTGCAAATATAAGAAGTGTGTATCTAGCATTTATCTAGTAGTTACTGTATTCTGGGAACTATAGATATCATCTTAGGTAAGTCTTAAAACATTCTCATTAGGTATTATGTTAATTTTGTCTGTTTTGTTGACTATTGTATCCCAAAGCACCTATAACAGTGTCTAGCACCTATAACAGTGTCTGGCACCTAGTAATGTACCACTAAATCTTTGTGGAGTAAATGAATCCCCATTTTGCAAACTGGAAATTTGAAGCATAAAGAAGCATAAATTGTATAACATCTAAATTTAGTAAATGGCAGCACCAGACACTTGAAGTCTAAGTCCAGAACTTATATCTTTATAATTATTACAGCTGATCTCTAGTAGGAATAAGCAATTTTATAGCAGCAAGGACCATGGTTTACCTGTCAATCAGATATCTTCAGCCTTTAATACAGTCCCTGACGTGTTTTATGTGCCAATAAATACTCTTAATAAATTAATGATAGGCATAGAGGCAGAGAATGACCAAGAGGCTTACAAATCCCAATTTAACATCAGCTGGGACAATATGATGGGTTTGGCAAAGCCATAAAAATTATTTCAAATATTTAAGCAACCTAATCTTAGAAATCTCCAGGGAGAACATTCTTGAGTCTCTTTAAATAAAGCTTTCTCTTGCTATATTTTGAAATCTTACTTCCAAATAAAACAAAACAAAAACCTTAAGTAGAATGATTGAAGGAACAGAAAATACTATTTGAGCTACACATTTTAAAACAAAGTTGTCACTGTTTCAGGCCTTGACATTTGCTGTTTCTTCCACCTGGAATTTTCTTCCACCAGATACATGTATGACTTGTTCCCTAACTTTGGTTAGATGTCCACTCAAATCTCATATCCTTAGAGATACTATCCCTGACCCCTTTGTCTAAAATGGTCCCCCTCCGCTTTCCATTCACTTATCTTGATTTATTTTTCCTCATAACACGTTGTGATACTACCAGACAGTATATTTTATATTCATTTGTGTGCTGCCTTCTTCCCCAGTAGACAGTAAGATTCCTAGGAATAGTGGCTGTTCTTCATTTGGTTACCCAGATTTGGTTTCCCAGAACTTAAAATAGTATATAATACATTGAATAAGTGAATCAACTTCATTGATTCAAGGATAACAGAAAAATAAGCTGGCAGAAATCAGTACAATGTACTCAGTAGAAAGTGACTAAAGCCATATACAAAGATGAATGAGACAGATCAGCATCCATACTAATATAAACATTAGTTACATCAACTAAAAAATTAATATATTTTGGTTATCTTAAAATGAGTGCCTTGTGTGTGCCTTTTCCTCCTGTGGAGAAACATGTTTAGGTAGTCCTGAATATTATCCTTGTGGGTGCAATGGAACAGTGTGCTTTATGTAATCAGTTAACAAATTTAAGAAACTTTCAAATGCTGTCTAAAAGAAACAATCTTAGGATACCTTAATTGGTATTACTGGCAGTTTTAGATATAGTCCTGAAAAATCATAATCATAAACTATATCAATAAACACAATGAGGAGAGAAAATAATGCTATGACCATTCTGCCTTTAAGCAATAAAAGTTTAATAATATACCAATCACTTATTCCCTAACTGTACAGAAGAGAATATAAGTATGAAATTGTATTGAAAGTGTTCAATTTCAAGAAATTGAACTTTTATAAGTAGATATAAGCAAGCACTTACTGATTATAAGGGAACTATATTATTACCAGGATGGTGGTTGAATCGCCAGTCCCAGAAATATTTTAAATAAGGTTTTTGATTCCCTTTGTTAGGAAAATCTAGATATAGATACCTCATACTCTGAGAATGAACCATATGACCTCTTCAGATGCTGTTATGGACAGAATTGTGTCCCCCTAAAAGTATAAATGTATATGTTGAATTTCTCATCTTTAACGTGAATGCATTCAGATTAAGAAGGTAATTAAGGTTAAATGCAGTCATAAAGTTGGGATCCTAATCTGGTAGAGTTAGTGTCCTTATAAGAAGAGATATCAGAGAGCTCTCTCTCTCCTTCCCTCTCTCCTTCTCTCCCTCTCTCCCTCCCTCTCTCTCTCTCCCTCTCCCTCTCTCCCTCTCTCTCTCCACCACATGAAGAGGACATAGTGAGAAGGCAGCTGTCAGCAAGCCAGGAGGAGAGCCCTCCCCAGGAACCAAACCGGCCTGTACCTTGATCATGTACTTCCCAAACTTCAGAATTCTGAGAAGTAAGTATTTTTTATTTAAGCCAACCTATGACTACCCAAATAGCCTATAATATTTTATTATGGCATCCCAAGATGACTAATACAAATGCCACATAAATACAACCTAAATAAATACTGAAAGAAATACCCCACACACCCAGTCCACATGAAAAATCTCAATGCAATGTTATAAAATATTACACAAATTATACATCTGTGTCCAAATATCCAAGGGCTTTTAAGAAATCCTAGGGTATAATGAAATGTTTGAAGAAAATACTAATTATTAAATGCATTAGTTAGCTCTGCTGCATAACAAACAAGCCCCAATACTAAATGGCTTCAAACAAAAGCACATATTAGGAGTCATCAGGGTAATTCTTGGATTCTTGTTAGATCCATTCATGCATCCGAATGAGCCGTGGCTCTAGAAGACAGCTCTTCTGGTCTTGGGTGGACTGTCTCACACATTTAAGGATCATCTAACTCTAGGCTGGCTTCTACATGGAATAATAGGGCTTTCTTCCACATAGTCTCTTATCCTTCACAAGTTGGCCTAGGCTTATTCACATGGCAGTGGCATGGTTTCAAGAGAAAAAGCAGAAGCATTCATGACTGCCTAAAGCCTAAGCTCAAAAGTGGCATCTTAGCACTTCTATCACATTCTACTGACCAAAACAAGGCACAAGGCTTAGCCCAGATTAGGGGAGTCAGGCAATAGACTTACCTCTTGATGGAAGAATATGCAAGGTCACTTTGCAAAGGGGATGAATACAGGGAAGCCATTAATTTTGGACTTCAATGCCATTGATTTACATTAGAAAACCTAAAAAAGCAATTTACAAAATGAATGTATGCATGGAAATGGAGGTAGGAGGGGTGGCCCATATGGGGATAAATTAGGGCTGACATTTCTTAGGCATAATTATCATAATTTAAGTAGTAGTTATACATACAGAGATGTGGGAGTACAGAGATTCTTCTAATTTTCCTAATGAAAGAAAATTCACTTCTTTAAAGAACATTTGAAAGAATTTAAAGAGAAAGATTTTAATTACATAACCTTAACATGAAGATATTCATTGTCTGAAGTAAATCAATTCATGTTGTGCTAAAATCTGTGAGTTTCATTTTTCCTTTCCTGTTGTATGAATATTTCTTTGTAATAATTCCCTTTGTACAGCACAATAACTACTGAGCCCAGTCTGCCAATCCTCTCTGAGTAGGAGGCTGTCAAATGGTACATGAGAGTCAGGCAAAATGCAACCATCTTTCTACATCGTGACACTAAACAATCAAACCAAAAGCTTTTAGTAACATGGAGATAATAAGTGAGTTTTAGGCCTAAGTGTACAGAACAGAACTTTCATGATTACAGCATAGCAGAGGCAAAAGTCAAAGAAAGGCAAGCAGACATCATTTTCTTTTAAACCTTCAACATAAGTTTATTTTTATTTGACAATTGTTAAATAGAATTAAAAAGTCACATTAATGTTCTTTGTAAGGAGCTTGTTTTTTTGCTTTTAAGTTTAGTAGGAAGAATAAATACGGAATTTAACAAAGCAAAATTTCTATTAAAAACAAAATTATGATTAGTGTGTGCCTCATGTGTTCATGCATATTCAAGTATAAAAAAAAACCCTTATTTTCTATAATTAAACATAATTTCTACTTTGTGTCCTAACTTTTCCAGGGAGGTAAAAACTTCATGTTAGCCAACTTAGTGGCCCCTCCATTTTTCCTCTGAGTTGTATATAAGCTCCAGGGACCTTACGTAGTGCCAAGGTATTGGGGGCACAGAAGGGGATGTGGCCTTGTTGTCAGCAGCTATGAACCCTGGAATCCACAGAGATATCCAGTAGGCCCTTGGGCCTCAGTCATTGGTTCTTGTATTGCACTAGCTTTGCTTGGTTTCTGTCACAAGACCCCTCAGGTCCAGCAACAACCTCCATGACTTCCGTGTTCCTGTTCGGAGCAAAGGAATTGTTCATTTTTCTTGCCACAGAGTATGGAAATCCTAGCTGGTCTGTTTTAAGGTCTCGTGTGCTTAGATATACCACTCAGCCAATTCAGTTTTGGGGGGTCTTGCCATTGCTCAGATTCTTAACTAGGAAAGGAGAGAGTGTCTTTTCTTTTTTGGGATGTACCCCCAACCCCAGGCTATCTGGGTTGGGTTTGCTTTGGTTTTCCTGCCTCTGGGCTGGGGAGGTATCTATCATGGAAGTAAGATAAAGGACTTTCCACCCTGAACTACTGATATCCACATTCTTAACACTTCTCCTGACTCTTTTTCATCTCACAGGCCCAACAAACCTTCTCTCCAGGGTATGTGGGGTAGGAGGGTTGTTCTTTCTCATACAGTATTTTCTTCTACATCTTTCATCAAAATTATGAGTAATTTTTGTTTCTCTAAGGAAGGCAAGTGGATATGTTACATTTAATTTGGGACTTAGTGGGAAAAAAATACAGTTGGCTTCTTTACAACCAGCTCTGGACTTCCTCCCATGTTTAATTCTATTATAACTATCCTTCATAGTATTTCACTGTTTGCTATTACTTAATAAAAATTAGAAAATCATTTTATTTGTAAATAGACTTAAACGTAGTTCTCAAAGGAGCAACATTCAGAAAAAGACTTGTTTATTTTTTTTCTACTTTCTGCTCTGTGTTTTCTCCATGAAACTGCCCAGCTGCTTGAAAGGAGGAAAGGTCAAAGAGGAAAAGCAAATGTAAAGGGAAAAATATTCATTCATAATTTTAATTGTACCCTTCCACACCAACAATGATAATCACGTTTGCATTACACATAATTTTTTTTTGTGGGGGGGGAAATATGTGGTTTTCTTTGACAGCACAATCAGAATTACATTATGCCAGACTCATCACAAACGTAGGTCAAAAACAGTTCAATTTCCTGCAATAGTTGGTAGTCAACTCTAAAACAAGATGGTGAGAGGAGACAGAGGATTTTTTGAGGTTTAGGGGGAAAAGAGCTGACCATTTTAAGGTGAGATGTGAACCTCTTTCTTTGTTTAATTCTGGTATACTTATTTTTACTGCTGCTTAACTGTCTGTTATTTAATAAAAGTTAGAACATCATTCTACTTATAAACAGACTTGTAAACAAAGTCCATCTCTTGGTCAGCCATCTATTCAGTTAGTTTATAAATTTGTCTGAGGTGAACAAACACTCTTTACTTCTTCCCCACTAGGACCACACAACAAATACCACAAACAAGACTGCTCTGGAAACACTTCCCACAGACTGTGTGAGAATGTGTGTATGGGGTTGTGTTTCTGTATGTCAATCTCCACTTCAAAACCAAATTGAATTTCTTAATTACTGTGGCTTATGCAAATAAAATCCTAAGTTTCCTGGGGGTTCAGTCTTATTTTTGAGACCAATGAGTACTCAAGATTGATAAATATGAGTGTTGTCAATGCTTTTTCTCATTTTTGTTGATTTGCATAATTATATCTTATTCTGGCATCCCCTGAAAGCAGAGGCTGAGACAATGTCATTTTGAGTGAAAGTAGTTTATTTGAGAGAAAAATGTGGGAAGCAGAAGAGAGTAGGGAGAGTGACATATGGAAAGGCAATAAAGTGTGCCTTATTTAGTCAGTTACCACTTAGGACCACTGGGGTTCAAATCTTGGTGGGGACCCTCTGAGAAACCGTGTGGTACATGCCTTAGATTTATCTTCCTGAAGGACTAGGAGGCTTGACGTTTGCCTCAGAGGATGTTAACTTCTCTCTCACTTCCCTCCTGTGCCTCTTCACAGGAGCCAAGTGTCTACCATGGCTTAGGGAACTCATAGAGATGCTCATAATGTACAACTAAGGCCGGTGCCGACAATGTGCACAGTACTGTGGACATTTGATTGACTGAATTCTCTGAAGCTGAGTTTTCTCTTCACACAAATTGAGATAATATTCGCCTTGCTTTTCTTTCAGGATTTCTTCAGTTGTATTAATTCAATTAATCCTTGCCACACATTGTGTCATAGGAAAGTATTCATCCCCATTTCATAGGTGAGAAATTGGAGGTTCTGAGAGAAAAAGTAGTTTTCTGGGTCTTCAAACCTCGTCAATGGTATTCCCTCAATATACCAAGCTGCTTCTATTGTAGGAATAGATATGAAATTTAAAAATGCCTTTGAAATTTGTAAATACCTTTGGATTAAGCCATAGTGATCAAACTATAAAATCCACCCCGTAATTTTCAGACCTCAGCAATACAAAGAGGACACCTTAGTCAGAACTCTTTTGGCTGCGTCTGACAAAAATCCGAATTAGGCAAAGAGGAATTTTTTAACTCTGATAACCAAAGGGCTGATGGAGAGCCCTCAAGTGACTCTTCTGTTTCTGTTTCTTGGTTTCATTAGCATCTGCTAAGAACTAGCTTCTTCTTCAGGATAGGGCGCATTTCCATCCATCAGTGCCAGAGTTTCCAATATCTATTATCAAAGGGAGCCTGTAGCCTATCTCTCCAATCCAAAATTATAAAATCCCAGGAAAGAGCTCTGCTTGGCCCAGCTTCAGTCAGACACACACCTTTAAAGAGGTCATTAATACCAGAGAATCAACATCTGCTTGAACTTTCAGGCCTTTGGACGGTGGGAGGACTCAGAGTAGAAGCATTTCTTGTAAAAGTTAGAAAATGAAACTTTGTACAAATAAAGCAATTAGTATCTATCTATGCCCAAGGAGAAAATAATGTGATAGCTACAGAAGACTTAGAAAGTATTAATATTCACTAAACAGAAAAGCTTAAATCCTTTGACGTTTTTCTTTTTTTGTTCCTAAGTAAATTTGACCAAATTGGACAACCTGCTCTGATATTCTGACACCATTTAGGCATAGTCATCTTCTTAATTAAGAAAAGAAACCCCTACAGAATTGAGATATAAAATATTTTTCTGTTAAGTATTGGTTATGTATTGTCTTTTAAGGTCTATGCTATTGCTATGAATGTCCCTTGGGTGAGCTACATGAAAATCAACATCAAGAAAAGCCTAAAGTAAAGAAGGAGAAGATCTGTACTTTGGAAGATGATATGGCTTTGGAGAAAACTGGAAATACAGTAATAAAATTAAGAATCCAATGAATGGGCTTAATAATAAATTACACATAACAGAAGAGAAAATTAGTGAACTACAAAACAGTTCAGAAGAACAAACCGAGAGGGAGTGTGAAACAAAAAAGATGGAAAAATAATGGAGAGGGTAAGAAATGTAAAGAATTCACAAAAAGGCCAAATACATGTAACTGAAGTTGCAAAAGGACAGGAGAGAGTGTAGAGGTAAAAATTCTTTTAAAAACCTAATGGCACCCTTTCCTTCCATCCTCTCTTCACCTGTTATCTTTTTTTCCATTTCCATCTTCAGATTCTTCCCCAGCCCTTCCTGTCCCACCTACACTTCCCAAACTGGCAGGGTCAGCATGGTGGCTAAGAGTACAGGGCAGTTAAGTAGGTGATAGGAAGCCACATGGATTATTTTAAAAATCAGTAGAGTGGGCCGGGAGTGGTGGCTCACACGCGTAATCCCAGCACTTTGGGAGGCCGAGGCAGGCGGATCACGAGGTCAGGAGATCGAGACCATCCTGGCTAACACAGTGAAACCTCGTCTCTACTAAAAATACAAAAAATTAGCTGGGCATGGTGGCTGGCACCTGTAGTCCCAGCTACTTGGGAGGCTGAGGCAGGAGAATGGCATGAACCCGGGAGATGGAGCTTGTAGTGAGCCAAGATTGTGCCACTGCACTCCAGCCTGGGCGACAGAGCAACATTCCATCTCAAAAAAAAAAAAATTCAGTAGAGTGCCTTCCTCAAGAAACTTTTCCTTTTATTTATTAAGTGGAAAAAATACCAAGAAAATCGTGTGTGTGTGTGTGTGTGTGTGTGTGTGTGTGTATATCTATAGTTTGGTTATCTTACAAGAGACACGCTTTTAAAATGAGGACACAGGAAACATTAAAAGAATATTATACACACACACACTTCACATAAAACTCAGTAAAAGAAATGTGATATAGCAAACTGATACCAGATACAGTAGACTAATAATTCAACAGAAAGGTATGGCAGTTCTATGTGTGTATGCTCTTAATAACATGCACTAAAAATAGAGCCAAAATTGGAAAAACTAAGAGGAGAAATATGAAAATCCAAGAAAATATTTGGATTTAACTCAACTTAGAAAATGATAGAGGAGGCCAAGGGTGGTGGCTCATGCCTGTAATTGCAGCACTTTGGGAGGCCGAGGTGGGTGGATCACTTGAGGTCAGGAGTTCAAGACCAGCCTGGCCAACATGGTGAAATCTCATCTCTATTAAAAATTCAAAAATTAGCTGAGCTTGGCGGCACGCGCCTGTAATAACAGCTACCCAGGAGACTGAGGCAGGAGAATCACTTGAACCTAGGAGACAGAGGTTGCAGTGAGCCAAGATTGCGCTACTGCACTCCAGCCTGGGCGACAGAGTGAGACTCCATCTCAAAAAAAAAAAAAAAAAAGAAAATGATAGAAGAAAAATAATCAGTGGAGGTATTTGCAAATATTTGAACACCACTAAGTACAAAAGCACCCTCACTGTTATACATTATACATAAAAAATACCTAACTACTTCAAAATACACATTCTTCTCAAGTTTACAAGGAATATTTACCAAAATAAGCCATATGCTGGCCATAAAACAAACCACATTTCTAAAAATGAAAATTATATAGTATGTTCTTTCAACATCAGAAATCAAGTAGGAAATTGATAACAGAAAGTAATTAGAGGCTGCTGGGTGGGGTGCTGGAGCCTGTGCCTGGTAAATGGTTCCAGGACAAGAGAAAAGAAAGGTATGTCAGACAAAGAAATAAATGGCATGTCAGGTTTTGCAAGAAGAGAGGGAAGAGCCAGCTACCATAGTTGCTTCCTGTGATGTCCAATGGCAGAGGCCAAAGAGAGTCCTGGGGCACCCTAGAGGGAAAGTGTTCTGGCATGGAGGATGACATAGGTTACCTTAAATATGGCACCAGTTGTGGTTGAAATTACCTTGTTTTTCTCTTTTCTTTCTTTTTTTTTTTTTTTAATCTATTGTCTCTTACTTGCCCTTCTATGTAATGGAAGCCCAGTAAGGCCAGAGACTTTATCTAGCTAATTCCCTGTAACCCTGGCACCTTGGACATACAGGTATTCAAGTATTTGTTCCCTGAAATAATACTCTGAATTAACCTGCTCACATAAGAAAAATAACACCAGCTGGGGAGCACTGGGACTGACAGCTAAATGTTTGTTAGACATTTACTATGGGCCACGTTCTTGCTGTGCTCCTTCTCCCTGTGGTTTTCAAAAACCAGTCACCTAACCTGAAGCCTCAAACTCTTCATCTGCAAAAATGAGTTGTGGCAGGTGCCTCTGAAGCAAAAATCCTGGGCTAGAAGGAGTGTCGTCATCTAAGGCAAAAAAGAAAAACAAAATCAAGACTAAGAGAGGAGGAATTAGAATGAGACTCATGTACCCTCCTTCCCCACTCCAGGGGAAGGAGAGACTGTTTGGGAATGCCCTCCCACTACTTCCAGGGCAGAGGCTGTGCAGAGGAGCCTTGGAGAATCTGCAGCCCACTGATGACTCTGCTTCAGTCAGTGTTTCTGACTTTCTGATGGAGAGGCCTCCCATTGATAAGATTTTTGTCACTGCAGCTAAATGGGGGCTTCAAATACAAATAAGTTTCAGTTACAGAAAAAAAAATTCTTGCACGTTTAAGCTTATCCCTTCTACGGTATTATCTGTGAGAATTATAGACCAACCATAAGGCACTCAACATTTAGTTGTACATGAGAATTTTCACTTCACTCAAAGCTTGTGAGGTTTTATCATTAACGTTTTAATTTGGTGGCTATAGTGGAAAAGAACAAAGCTAACGAGAACCAATGAACACTGCCTTTCCTGGGATTGTCACTTCAGTAGGTTGTGAGTTCCTCTAGGGCAAGGGCAGGGTCCATACATTTCCTTTGAATCCCTCACGTAGTCACTAGCATGCACAGTACTTGTATCTAGCACATGCTCAATAAATGTGGAATGAACGCATCATGAACAAAATATAGACTAATGACTTTGAGTGCTGATTCTTTTTGTCAATAGTATAATATTTAAGATATTTATGTAACAAATATTGAAACAGTTGTCAAAAATATAACAGAGCATAAATAAAATTAGAGAGTTTCAAAGTGACAACTAAACCGTGTTTTTGGATATCAAGCAATATATTTCTACATAACTCACAATCAAAGAAATATTAAAATAGAAAGTAGAAACTATTTTGAACTAAATGCAAATTAAAATACTATTGTAAAATGCAGCTAAAGTTATACTTGAAAAGATGTTTATAGGCTAAATGAATAGAAAAAAATAAAAGTATTAAAAATTAGCCGGGTGTGGTGGCATGTACCTGAAATACCAGCTACTCGGGAGGCTGAGGGAAGAGAATCACTTGAACCCAGAAGGCGGAGGTTGCAGTGAGCCAAGATCACACCATTGCACTCCAGTTTGAGCCACAGAGCGTGACTCCATCTCAAAACAAAAAAAGTATTAAAATTAATGAACTAAGTATTCTTCACAATAAGCTAATAAAAGAACAGAATATTAAATGAAAAGAAATAATATCATAAGAGCCAAAATAAATAAAATAGAGAATTAACATATAAAAGGAAAAAAAAGCAACGCCAAAGATGAGTTTCTTGAAAAACCTAATAAACCCTGGCAAGATTGGTCAAAGAAAAAAGAGAGAAAATATAATTTCTAATAGCAGAAATGAAAATAGGGACTTGGCTATAGATCCCACAGACATTAAAAAGCTGATAAGGGGATATTATGAAGAAATTTGTCAATAAATTCAATAATTTTATGAAAATGGACAAGTTCTTTGAATAACACAATCCATAACAATAGATGGAGTTTATTCCAAGGATTCAAGACTGGATTAACATTTTAAAAGCAAAGGATTTTTGTTGACATTATTTATATTAAATTTAATAGAATAAGGAGGAAAAAGCATATAATCAACTTAATAGATACAGAGAATATACTTGATAAATAAACCCCACTCATAATAAAATTCTCTGAACAAACTACAAATAGAAAGAAACTTTCTAAATTTGGTAAGAATGTCAATGATAAATAATCTATAACATATGTGTATATAATATATATGTACATTTAACATTGTACTATGTTGAAATATAAATGCTTTCCATCTATAAAGATGTCCATTCTCACCATTACTATATAACATTCTACCAGAAATCCTAGCCAAACTACTAAGGCAATAAAAAGAAATAAACAAATAATAATTGAAAAGGAAGAAGAAAATCTATTATTATTTACAGATATTTTGTACACTAAAAATCCAAAGGGTCTCCAACAAATTATTATAATTACTAAATAACTTTCACAAGTCACAAAATCAACATTTAAAAATTAATTTCTATATACTAGCAATGAACAATTAGAAACTAAAATTTTTAAAAACAACATTATTTTCAGTAGCATCAAAACCTTTAAATATTTAGAGATCAATTGAGCAAAATCTATACAAGAACTCTAAACTGAAAGCTACAAACCTCACTGAGGAAAGTTAAAGAAAATCTGAATATATCAGGAAATATACCAAGTTTATGGATTGGAAGATTCAGTATTGTTAAGGTGTCACTTCTCCTCAACTATACACATAAATTCAATGAAATCCCAATCAAAATCTTGCAATTTTTTTCATGGAAATTGACAAACTAATTCTAAAATTTAAACAGAAATGCAAAAGACTGAGAACAGCTTAGACAATTCTATAGAAGGAAGAACAAAGTTGGAGGACTGACAATCTACCAGATATCAAGATTGACCATAAGCTACAGTAATTGAGACTGGTAATGTTTGACAGATGAATATATAGGAAGAAATGGAAAATAAAAAGAAGTCATGAGTGCGAAACAGGTTTAAAAACCAGCATCCAGGCAGTGGCTACCAGATTGAAGGCCTTGAATAATCCCCTATGTCTCTTAGCTCTGTCCTCCGGGCTGCGGGCTTCACACTGAGTCCCCATCCCCAGCCTGTGGGCTCCAGGCTCTGCTCTCCTAGCTCTTGGTTCCACCCTCTGATTCATCTTTCCTTTATGCATGAAATGTAGCTTGTGTTTGCAGATAAGTAGGTTTATGGGGCTTGACAGTCATCTTTTATTTTATACACTTTCTGTTCCTTTCAGTCTAGCTTGCAGTGTGTCTGCCAACATCATTTTCTCTAGAATCTTGTGGATTTTGCATGAATTTCATGAGGGTTCACTCCATTAGACTAAAGTCTCACCAACAGATCTTTCTGAGCTAATCCCTTCTCTATATTTGGCTTCTGCTGAGATGGCCAAGGGATCACACCATTCAAGACTCTTAAACTTGAAATCTGTGAGCTGCACCCTTAATCTCGTGCAACTGAATAATCTTTGATCTTTCAAAGATTTCCACAAGAAGTTGTATAGCCACACTCTCAGCCTTTTCTCTATGTCATGCTTTTGGCAGTCATTTGTGAATTTTAGCCTCTTTCACCACCTGGATAGATTAAGAATATTCCAAATCATCAAGTTCTGGTTCTCTTTTGTGTAATTCTTTTCTCAAATTATATCTCACTTCTCTTATTTTACTATAAGCTATAAGAAAAAACTAGGCCACATCTTCAATATTTGGAAATCTTTGTTAAATATCCAAGCTTGTTGTTTACAAGTTCTGCTTTCCACATAGCTGCAAGAATCAATTCTGCTAAACTCCCTGCCTCTGCTTAACAAGGATCCTCTTTCCTCCAGTTTCTAATAATATGTCCCTCACTTCTTTCTGAGATTAAATCATTGTGAGCTCACAGTACTATAGGTCAGAAGTCTTCACAGTCTTAGCTGAGGTCACCAATGAGGGTCTCACAGGGCCTAAATCAAGGGGTTGGCTAGGCTGAGCTCTTATCTGGAGGCTCTGGGGAAGAATAGACTTCCCAAGCTCATTCAAGTAAATGGCTAAATTCAGTTGCTTGCTGCGTATAAGCTCTCAGTTCTTAAAGGCCACCTCCATCTTCAAAAGCAGCAAAGATACTTTGAATTCCCCTCTCACTTCAAATCTCTGGCTTCTCTCTGTCATCAAGCAGAGACGATGCTCTACAGACTCTCCTAAATAATCTCCTTATCTTAAGGTCAACTGACATCTGCAAGCTCTCTTCACTACAATGCCTAGATTAGTGCTGGGTAAGATAATCAGGGAATGAGAATCTTGGAGGACCATCTTTAGAACTCTGTCCACCGCATTTGGGGAGGGGGTTCTGACTAGGAAGAGCAGGAAACAACTTGCTACATCTTGATCTGGGTGGTGGTTACATAGGAAAATTGACTTTGTAAAATTTAGAGCTATACACTTATAATTTGCATACTTTTTTACATGTATGTTTTACTGCAACAAAAAGTTCACAAAGAACATTCCTGTAGGAAAGCTCTGTTTTCTCATTAATATTTTTTAATATATTTTATTTGGAAAGTTTAGATATTCAGTGATTAATATCTGCCCTATAGTTTGTAGATTATGCTTGTTTATTGTATGGTCATCATTATATAATGTATAGAACATAAGATGGTTTTTTTTCACCAAGTTCAAGCTTTAAAATTTGGGGAATGAATATTTAAATTATATCTGCAGTTTTTAATTTCTTCACACATTCTGACCTTTGATGTAGGTGACATAGGAGAAAACTTACTATGCCATTAGTCTTGGCCAAAGGACAAGGCAGTCGTGGCCCAGGCTTGTGTTGGATCGTTTTTTGTTTTTGTTTTTGTTTTGTTGAGACGGAGTCTCGCTCTGTTGCTCAGGGTGGAGTGCAGTGGTGTGATCTCGGCTCACTGCAAGCTCCACCTCCCAGGTTCATGCCATTCTCCTGTCTCAGCCTCCCAAGTAGCTGGGACTACAGGTGCCCGCCACCACGCCCGGCTAATTTTTGTATTTTTAGTGGAGATGGGCTTTCACCATGTTGGCCAGGCTGGTCTCAAACTCCTGACCTCATGATCTGCCCACCTCGGCCTCCCAAAGTGCTGGGATTACAGGCGTGAACCACTGCACCCGGCCTGTGTTGGATCATTTTGCTTCAACATGGATGAGAGTTCTTCAGCAAGGATCTCCAGAAGAGTGGCTGGTGGCAAACTAATTAAACTTAGGGTGACCATTTTGAAACAAGTCCCTCCTAAGATTTACTTACCATAAATACCTAAAAATGGAGTTTCACTATATTCTGCTTTCTTCTATTTTTAAAGGGATCCTAAGCCCCAAATGCAACATTGCAGGTCCAGTAGATTCCAACAATGGGACATTGTTGTTATTATAGGTCAGAACATCTCCACAGAACAAACTCTGTCACTTATGGCTGACAAACTCGCAAAAAATTGTTAGATTTGGTGATAATAATTAAACTAAATTAAATATTTTTTGGATGCTCATTTAACAAGATCTCAAAAAGATCACACCAAAATGGTCCCTGATCAGACGTACTTAGTTTAACGACAGCTACTCTCCCCTCTAAACTTCAGATTTCCAACAGTTCACAAAAGCAGCTTTGAACACTTTCCTTGTTAAATATGGGAACATACTGCTCTTAAGCCCTGAAATGAGAAAACTTCCCTCCAACGTAATTGCTCCAAGTGAAATACCACATAATATTAATCTCCTTGGAAAGCACCGAGAACTTTTCAAGTGGCTCATTACCTCTGCAGATAGTCAATGTACTTCCTAATGTTTTCAAAGCTTACAGGAAACAAGAAATGAAAGTGGAGAGTCAGGTCTTCTAAAAAAAATCGTAATAAACTGTTTCTGCTGGCCTCAGAAGTATAATAATAGTTAATATTCATCTAGTGATCACTAGATGCCAGACACCGTTCTAAGTGTTCACAAATGGTAATTTGTTTAATCCTCACTAACAATATTATTTCCCATTATGCAATGTAGAAAGCTGAGGCACAGACAGAGTAAGTCATGTGCCTGGTGTCACATAGCTAGAAACGCCAAAGCCAGGATCCAAACCTCCATATTCTAAAATGCTACATCAGTCTTCCTTTTAAAATAGTTCTGGCTTCCTGAGAATGACTCATGTGGGTTTTTACAACAATTTTTACTCTGATGTATTGCATCTTTTATGTGGGAAGTGGGCAGGCCAGTTCAGAGGAGCTAACTGGGGCTCTCCCTCCAGGAAAGAAAAGATGGTTCAGAGAAGTTACTTCTAAGAGAGTCTTGGAACTGTGTCAGCCACAGTCTTTCACACTGTGTGCAGTGCGTGCTAGGGGTCCTGAGTCCATTTTTATTATATGTACTAG
This sequence comes from Homo sapiens, assembly GCF_000001405.40. Classification (NCBI taxonomy): domain Eukaryota; kingdom Metazoa; phylum Chordata; class Mammalia; order Primates; family Hominidae; genus Homo; species Homo sapiens. The sequence goes on from NC_000001.11 coordinate 99,442,100, forward strand.
AATGACTTTGACCTTTGACTGCCTGGTTAAAGGTATGAATGTGTTGAAGACATCTCATGATAAAGGGATGTTAAAACTTAAAGAAGGGCCCCAAGCACATAGTCTTAAAAGAAATTGTGCACTGCCTATTGCCTTTGGTTGTGAAATGGACTCTTAGTTAAAGGACCTGTGGCATGCACATGGTTATAAAATAAGACATATTTTATTATCTTCCTTATGCAGGTATAGCACTGGACACTTTATATGAATTACCTTCTTTACTTATTATGATAACCCTATAAGATTACTATGATTGCCCCCACTTTCCAGATGACAACTACAGTGCTAATCAATAACTGAGAGAGGAATTTAGCTTAAATATGTTTTTCTCTGAAGCTTGTACTCTTTAATGTTAATCTAATTTTCCACAAAAACAGGCTAAGTTTTTTTTATTAGTGTAGGAATTTCTCAATTATTGTTGTTTTGGTTTCTGCGTTGGGCAGAGATTCCAGGCAGCACTGTCAAAGACAGAACTGGACTCTGAAGCAGGTTGTCAGGAGCCAGAAAACAGGTAAGGATTGATGTCAAGACAAGGTAGGTGTGAGAAGGGGATTGAAGGGAGAGGAGACTGCAGGCAGACAGTATTAAAGAAGCATAGTCCTGGAAACTGAGGCAATCTGGACTTCAATGAGGCTGGACTTTATAGCCATGTTGCTACAGATGCCTATAGCTTTCTTCTTATGCTCACCTTGGACTCAGTCTTCAAGTTACAGTTAATGTTCTCTCTTGCCACAGCTGGATGCTATTCCTAACGAGATGCGTTAAGAACATGATTAGTTCAATAACCAGAGAATTCCAGTACCCCACAATAGCATGCTTGGCTGACAGTTATGAGAAGTTTAAGTAGTGTTTTTGAAAGGTTGATCCTCTTGTCTTTTCTTTTCTTTTCCATTTTTTTTTTTTTTTTTTTTTTAGACAGAGTCTCTGTCTGTCACCCCAGGCTGGAGTGCAGTGGTGTGATCTCGGCTCAGCGCAACCTCCCCATCCTGGGTTCAAGCAATTCTCCTGCCTCAGCCTCCCAAGTAGCTGGGATTACAGAAGCATGCCACCATGTCCGGCTAATTTATTTTGTATTTTTAGTAGAGATGAGGTTTCATCATGTTGGCCAGGCTGGTCTCGAATTCCTGACCTCGGATGATCCACCTGCCTCGGCCTCCCATAGTGCTGGGATTATAGGCATGAGCCACCACACCACTTTCATTTTTACCAAAATTTGTGAACAATAACAGAAAACTGTTATTGCCCATTTGAAAACTTTTACGAACAGCCATTTTAATTCAAGATGGCAAACCAAAGCACACATTTTACCATTTAAATTATAACTTTATGACTTTTCATGCTAGATACTCTCTTACTTATTCATAAATAGTTGATGCTAAAGTGACTAATAAAGTTATTCATAACTGATTTATAAGAAATACTAGTGTGGGTAGTTTAAAGACCAGGAAAACAAATAAATATAAATATTGACATCAATCAACTTAAGAAGAGAAAGAGAGATTTCATTTAGTCAAATATTCTAATTGTGTTTGAAATCTTAAAATATATTTTCAAGAATATTTTATGCATTCAACCTTGTTGTTAGGAAAAAAACAGAAACATAGCTGGATTAGAAATCCAAGAACTATCTTTGAGTCATAGTAAGCGGAACAAAAGACAGAACCATGTGCCCCTAGGGATCTATAGACTTTTATACATTTTTTGTTGTTCTTTTGATTTGTTTTTCTGTTTTCTTTTCTTTTTTCTTTCTTCTTTATTTATTTATTTTTGAAACTGGGTCTTGCTCTGTCACCCAGGCCGAAGTACAACTTCGGCCTGGGTGACAGAGCAAGACTCTCAGTGGCACAATCACGGCTCACTGCAGCCTCAACCTCCCAGGCTCAAGCCATCCTTCCACTTCAGCCTCCCAATTAGCTGGGACTACAGGTGCATGCTACCATGCCCTGCTAATTTTTGTATCTTTTGTAGAGATGGGGTTTTATCAAGTTTCCCAGGCTGGTCTCAAACTTCTGAGCTCAAGCAACCCGCCTTACTCGGCCTGCCGAAGTGCTGGGATTCTGTTCCTGTGTTAGTTTGCTGAGAATTATGGTTTCCAGCTTCATCCATGTCCTTGCAAAGGACATGAACTCATCCTTTTTTATGGCCACATAGTATTCCATGGTGTATGTGCAATATTTTCTTTATCATTGAGGGGCATTTGGGTTGGTTCCAAGTCTTTGCTATTGTGAACAGCGCTGCTATAAACATGTGTGCATGTGTCTTTACAGTAGAATGATTTATAATCCTTTGAGTGTATACTCGCTAATGGGATTGCTGGGTCAAATGGTATTTCTGGTTCTAGATCCTTGAGAAATCGCCACACTGTCTTTCACAATGGTTGAACAAATTTACACTCCCACCAACAGTGTAAAAGCATTCCTATTTCTCCACATCCTCTCCAGCATCTGTTGTTTCCTAACTTTTTAATGATTGCCATTCTAACTGGTATGAGATGGTATCTCATTGTGGTTTTGATTTGCATTTCTCTAATGACCAATGATGATGAGCTTTTTTCCATATTTTTTGGCCACATAAATGTCTTCTTTTGAGAGGTGTCTGTTCATATCCTTCTCCCACTTTTTGGAGGTTTTTTTTTCTTGTAAATTTAAATTCTTTGTAGATTCCGGATATTAGCCCTTTGTCAGATGGGTAGATTGCAAAAATATTCTCCCATTCTGTAGGTTGCCTGTTCACTCTGATGATAGTTTCTTTGGCTACGCAGAAGCTCTTTAGTTTAATTCGATCTGATTTGTCAATTTTGGCTTTTGTTGCCATTGCTTTTCGTGTTTTAGTCATGAAGTCTTTGCCCATGACTATTTAAATAAACTTATCAAGCTAAAAAAAATCTTTCTAAAAATTATTTCGAATACTATCTCTTCAAAAAAAGCATTTATACAGAAATCATACTCCTTTTCAGTTTTACTTCCTTTTCAGTTGTATGCACTAGCATTCTAGAAAATATAAAAGACAGAGATAGAAGAGGAAAATCATCTTATCATTTTACATATATAGCTACCTATACAAGTAGAGTTACACCATTTTTCAAGAGATATGAGAAAGTAAAGAAACTTGGCTGAACTGTTAAAACTTATGTAATTACCATGGGAATTTTTGCTAGAGAAAGAGTTTGAAATATTGTTCCTATATAATCTGATAATATTTTGGACAAGAGTTTAATTTATGAAATTATGGTGTAGAATCTCAAAACACAGTAATTCACAAATATATAATGTCAATTTGTTTTATTTTAGAAGCTCTCATGAACAATTATATTCTGAGAATTTTTATTATAAGACATATGCTTGAAAAAAACTGTGTGGGTGGTTCACTGTTGAGTGAAAATTCTACTGTACTTTACTGCTCTACAATCTTAGGAATGTTGGCAATTTTTAAGAGCAGATGTTCTTCTTGGCATCTACTGTAATATTTAGCATAAACAAAAGTACTGGACACATTAAGATGACCAAATAATAGGCTTTCCTCTCTTTGTAGTCTATTTAAAACTTAGAGGAAGGGGGTGGGGGAACCTAACTAAAACTATTATTACATTCAAGGCTTATAAAAACAACAGAGAAAATTAAATTTGTTGTCCTTTGGGCTTAGATTTCCATTACAGTCTTTATCTCACAGTATTACCAGAAATGACAACCCTCACAATTGTTTTTCTCTGAAGTGTTTCTTGCGGTCATTCCCAGTGTGCTCACTGAACATTCAGAAAGAAACTTGGGTGATCATTTTTCGCTTGTCTGTTATTTTTTTTTAATGGAGGAAAAGGGAATACATTATTTCTGACCATATCAAAAATGAGATCCAGTGTTCATGCAACAAGCTCAAACAGTATTGTCATATAGCTCCATGTCAATAAATTAAGTTCTCTCTATTCTTAGTATTTTAAAACAAATGTTTTCGGCAAACATGGAAATGAAAGGTGCTCTATTTTTTAAAAACAAAGATATATCTTTGTTTTAGGGACAGAAGACAAGAATATGATACAAGGACTCTCATATATTTATAGTATTCCTTCAGTAACTAGCTTCTGAAGTCCTACTGTATGTCAAGCACTGTTCTAGGCGCTGGAGAAAGCTTGATGAGAAGCACAGAATCGAAGTGTTCCAAGAGTTTTCCTGGACACTCAACTATTGTTGACCTTTGTCAAGTGTCTTATTCATTGGTCTTTACAAAAAGTCATCAACAAAATACCTTATTGGTTGAGTAAGATTACTATATATGAAAGAAAATCCTTTGGTCTTCAAGTAGAAAAAAAAATCCTTTCAAAGGTTAACGTATCTGATGCAAGCTGAATAATGAAATGTGGCATGCTGGCTTGATCAAAACACTAATTGCCAACTTTGATGCTCCTCCTCTGTTGAATACCCTTTAGGAATGCCTGAGGAAGCATCAAAGAAAAGAAATGTGAGGAAATCCACTTCTTTCATCTCTCAATAAGTTAAAAAAGAAAGCATAGTTAGATATTCCATAAATGTCCTTATACAGATCAATTCACATAAGCCCAAAAATTAAGACATCAAGAAAATCTTTCTCATGTTGTGTTGGGGGTACAGGAATATCCTCACTTTTTTTTCAGCAAGCTTTAGTCTGGTAAGATAAATGTGCATTTAACGGATAGAGATTTCCTAACAGAGTCTAAATTTCTCATTTCAGATATCTAGAATTTTCTAAAGCAGGGGCCAAATATTTGAACCTCAATATGAAAATATACTGCTGGTGGGAATGTAAAGTGGTACACCCACTTTAGGAAACAGTTCCTCGTTATTTTAAAAGCTCGAATATATTTTAAAAGCTCACCTACCACATGACCTAGTCCTTCCTCTCCGAGATGTTTACCCAAGAGAAATGAAAGTACACAGGCTTATGCATGATGTTCAGAGCAACTTTACGTACAATAACCAGAAACTGGAAACAAATCAAACCTCCATCAATAGGTAATGGATAAACAAATTTCAGTATATTCATATAATGGACTAAAACTCAAGAATCAAAAGAATCTAAAGAATAGACTATTGATACACGTGCAATATGGATGCATCTCAAAATAACTGCAGAGTGAAAGATGCCAAGCAATGAGAGTACATATTATATGATTCAATTTATATAAAATTCTAAAAGCAAAACACTTATCTAGAATGAAAAAAAGCACATCAGTTGTTGCTTGAAGATGAAGATAAAGGCAAGGAGATTGGGGAGGAAGGATTATAAAAGGATATAAGGAAACATTTGAGAGTGATGGAAATGTTCATTATCTTGACTGTGATGATGGTTTCCCGGGTTCATATTATATCAAAACATTACACTGTAACACTATAAATATGCACAAAACAACTATGGGCTGAGAGGTAAAAGACAAATGGTACAGATACATTATTTTCCTCAAATGGCACATGGATCAGACTACATTTGACCACTTTCCCATGCAGACTATGGCTTATGGTACAAGCCCACTGCTTAAGCATCTCCACTAAACTACACAGATATCTGTGTTCAGATTTAATTTTTAAAAGTTATTAAATTCATAAGCAAAAATTAATTGCACAGGCTCCTAGTAACTAATTTTTGGAATATAGTTTCATATTAGGAAATAAAGCCAATGAACAAAATTTATACTGTAATAAAATTGTTCTATTTAAATGTCACCTTGGCTACATTAAAAGGCTGAATTTTCCAGGGGTTTTAAATAGTGGCAATGCTGACTCATAATGTAGGAGTTAAAACCAACATGATAACTATACAGAGTGACCCAAGGGAGTCATCATCATCAAGATGATCATAATAATTAAGTGAGGCAGACTTAAGTAAACTTCAGAAAATGAGTATATTTGTTTTATTAAAAGTCTGATGTCCCAGTACAACAGATTTTAGGTTTTTCTGTACAAGGTCAGGGTTTGCATATCCTGTGAATAGAAACACTGAAAATTGATGATGTAGCTTTATGTAAAACACAACAGAGACCATTGTAATTGTGTTTGTTTTCTTGAAGAAACACCTAGCTTGTGGCTGGGTAAGGATGGAGGTCAGCCTGTACTCCTGGACCCCTAGTGCCTGGCACAGTGCCTGACAGTGCATAGATGGGACTCAATAAATGAAAACAGTGGTCTCCTTCAGAGCTGTCATTTAAAGTGCACCATACTGGGCTTTTAAACCAATCTACCTTAAGGCAGCTTCAAGAAATGCTAAATTATGCATAATAAAAGCAACCAGTAGATTCATAATATTTGAAAACCAGTAGTTTTGAAGAAAGTATTAAGCATAAATAATATAGTAATAAGAGCACTATAGTGATAATAATGTTTATAGTAATAAAAGTAATATAAACACTATATGAGGCACTATGCTAAGCAGTTTAATTGTTATTTCTTTTACTTCTCACAATAATGATGTGAGATAGATGTTATTGTTATGATCACTATAGACCATACTAACCTATTACCTATGTACTTGTGCAGAGAGAGAACCACATCTTTCTTGTGCTCCACTATGTACCCAGCACCAAGCATGGTTTCTAACATAACAGATATCTGTGAGTACATTATACTGTTGGCTACTGAACCTAAGTACCTGACTCAGTATTCCATGCCTTGTAAATAGCAAAGTCAGGACTCAAACTCGGGGCATTGAGACTTCAAGTTCCATTTGTTTGTAGTTCATTATTTATGCCAGTAAAAAACTAGACACAATGATCTTATATTTGTGAAAACCCGAAGACGTCACCAAAAAACTGTTGGAACTAATAAACAAATTCAGTAAAGTTGCAGTATACTAAATCGACATACAAAAATCAGTAGCATTTCTATATGCCATCAGTAGACAGTGTGAAAAATAAATCAAGAAAGTAATCCCATTTACAATAGCTACAAATTTAAAAAATGCCTAGGAATTAACTTAGCCAGAGATGAAAGATATCTACAATGAAAAGTATAAAAACATTGATAAAAGAAATTGAAGAGGACACAAAAAATGGAAAGATGTTCCATGTTCATGGATTGGAAGAATCAATATTGTTAAAATGTCCATAATATCCAAAGCAATCTACAGATTTAATGCAATCCCTATCAAAACACCAATGACATTCTCCACATAAATAGAAAAAGCAATCCTAAAATTTATATGAAACCATGAAAGACTCAGATAGCCAATTCTATGCTGAGCAAAAAGAATAAAATTGGAGGAATCACGTTACCTGACTTCAAATTATACCATAGCACTATAGTAACCAAAACAACATGGTACTGGCATAAAAACAGCCCCATAGACCAATGTAACAGAATAGAGAACACAAAAACAAATCCATACATCTACAGTGAGCTCATTTTTGACAAAGATACCAAGAACATGCATTTGGGGAAATAGTCTCTTCAATCAATGGTGCTGAGAAAACTGTATAACTATATGCAATAGAATAAAACTAGACCTCTATCTCTCACCATATATGAAAATCAAATTAAAATGGATTAAAGACTTAAATCTAAGACTTCAAACTATGAAACTACTATAAGAAAACATTGGGGAAACTCTTTGGGACACTGGAGTGAGCAATGATTTCTTGAGTAATACCCCACAAGCAGAAGCCACCAAAGCAAAAATAGACAAACTGGATCACATCAAGTTAAAAAACATCTTCACAGCAGGGCGGGGTGCAGTGGCTCACGCCTGTAATCCCAGCACTTTTGGGAGGCCGAGGCGGGCGGATCACGAGGTCAGGAGATCGAGACCATCCTGGCTAACACGGTGAAACCCCGTCTCTACTAAAAATACAAAAAAAAAAAAAAATAGCTGGGCGTGGTGGCGGGTGCCTGTAAGTCCCAGCTGCTCGGGAGGCTGAGGCAGGAGAATGGCGTGAACCCGGGGGGTGGAGCTTGCAGCGAGCCGAGATCACGCCACTGCACTCCAGCCTGGGCAGCAGAGTGAGACTCCGTCTCAAAAAAAAAAAGAAAAGAAAGAAAAAAAAATCTTCACAGCAAAGGATACAATCAACAAAGTAAAGACTGGGAGAAAATATTTGCAATCTACCCATATGACAAGGGATTAATAACCAGAATATATAAGGAGCTCAAACTCTATGGAAAAAAATCTAATAATCCAACTTAAAAAATGGGCAAAAAATCTGAATAGACATATCTCAAAAGAAGACCTACAAATGACAAACAGGCATAGGAAAAGATGCTCAACATCATCGATCATCAGAGAAATGGAAATCAAAACTAAAATGAGATATCATCTCACCTCAGTTAAAATGGCTTATATCCAAAAGACTGGCAATAACAAATGCTGATGAGAATGTGGAGAAAAGGGAACCCTTGGACACTATTAATGGGAATGTACATTAGTACAACCACTATGGAGAACAGTTGGAAGGTTCCTCAAAAAATTAAAAATAAAGCTACTATATGATCCAGCAATCCCACTGCTAGATATATACCCCCAAAGAAAAGAAATCAGTATAATGAAGAGATAACTGCACTCCCAGGTTCACTGCAGCACTGTTCACAATTGCCAAGATTTGGAAGCAACTTAAGTGTCCATCAACAGAAGAATGGAGAAAGAAAATATGGTACCTATACACAATGGAGTGCTATTCAGCCATAAAAAGAATGAGAGCCAGTCATTTGTCACAACATAGATGGAACTGGAGACCATTATGTTAAGTTAAATAAACCAGGCACAGAAAGACAAACCTCACATGTTCTCACTTATTTGTGGGAGCTAAAAATTAAAACAATTGAACTCATGAAGATAAAGAGTGGAAGGATCGTTCCCAGAGGCTAGGAAGGGTATTAGTGGGTGGGGAGGAAGTGGGGTGGTTATTGGGTACAAAAAATAGTTAGAATGAATAAGAACTAGTATTTGGTAGCACAACAGGGTGACTACAGTCAATAATAATTTATTTAACTATACATTTTTAAATAACTAAAAGAGTATAATTGGATTATTTCTAACACAAAGGCTAAATGCTTGAGGTAATGGATACCCCATTTACCCTGATGTGACTATTACGCATTGCATGCCTGTATCAAAATATCTCATGTACCCTATAAATATATACACCTACTACATACCCACCAAAATTAAAAAATTTTTTTAAATTAGAAAAAACTAAATGTTCAATATGAAAATGGTTAAATGCATTTTGCTACAGTAACTCTATGGAGTTAATACAGCCATTAAAATGTTAATTTAAAAAACTAAATAGCTATATGGAAAATTGCTCATAGGATGATGGAAAAAAGAAAACAAAATTATATTTCTGCTTTGATTATAATTACGTAGAAATAATGTACATATTAACAAGAACTGGGAGGAAGTAAAATATTAAGCAATGTATTGTATGGTGTTTGTGGGTAATATATTTAATTTCCATTGTTATTTAATGTAGCCTTCTTAAAATTACTTTTAAAAAAGCAAACAGTAGTATATGTTGATATTATGTGAAAACCACATTTTTAACCAGTGTGTTTGCATTTAAACACCACCTCAACCATCCCTATTTCAAAAGAAAAATGGTACATTGTTGTTGAACAAGTAAACGTTAAGTTAAAACCCTATTAGATGATTAATTTGTAGCTTGGGCAAGGAACAGAGGGATTATAATATATCTAACAGAAAAAAGAGATGGTAATAAGCCTTCTCTGCCTTCTCAAGAGGCTATCCTCATAAATGCCTTTTATTTCTTTGCATCATATCTACAAAGTGTACAAAGTATTGTTATGTTGACAACCCTTTGTAGGACATGGGAATTCTAGTAACCAAATTCCTCTTATGCCCTTATCTTCTTCAGCAGGTTCAACGCTAAAATTATTCACTCCTCATTTATAATCTTCAGGTGGAGGCTGATTGCCTAATACCCCCGGCATTCAAGGGGCTGTATTAACATGTATTCCTGCATCTTTCTTCCTCCCCCGTTTAATGACCTACCCTCCCACTCCAGTCACCACAGACTTAGACTGCTACAGTCTCCAGCAGAACACATCACTACTACCAATAGAGATGTGGTGAGCATGGGGTAATAGCTCTCAATTTAGAGCATTTGAACCACATTAGCACCAGTAACCAGATTTAAATTAGAGTAAGTTACTTAACATTTCTTAACTTCAGTATTCTTGGCTGTAAAATGAGATCTGCAATGGAATTCAATTTATCGGATTAAGTAAAGATTGAGAAAATGTAAATAAAGTGCCTAGCCCATAATAAGCGCTCATTAATGTTAAACATTACTATAATCGTAGTAGTAATGGTAATATATTTCCTTATCAAGGCCCTCCAGCAACTCCTGGATGCTGCTTGCAGACTTCCTCTTGACTTTTAAAGCTCTTCACCATATTTTCATTTGCCTGATCTCTCTTTATATCTTCTTATGTTTTTCATTGATCTCTCACCTCTAAGTATGGTTAATTCTTAAAATTCTTCACTAGGCTTTAATAGGTATAGAAAAACAATTTGTTTAAAGAATGGATTAATATCACATCTTTTGCTCAGTCTTTAAATATTAATTTAATACTTAAGCAATTTTCCATTAAAATACAGAGAGACTCTCTGAGTGTTTGATATCAGAAGCCATTTAGTTGAGGTAGTGAATACAAAAAAAATCTGAGGAGAATGGGCTACTGCCATAGTTAAAGGCTTAAAGGACTGAGAAATGGTGGTCCCTGTTTATACACATTTAATTCATTAGTTTGGCTTTTGGAAAAACCAGGTGGATCCTGATAGATGACAGTGGACTAACACAAACATAACCAGCACTAGTCCCAGTTACAGCTTCTGTACCAGATCTGGTGTTTTTACTAAAGCATGTGAATGAAGTCCCAGGGATGTCACACGTGCCTATTGATTTAGTAAATGTGTTCTAGTCAATATCCATTAGGAAAGGAGATCAGAAGCACTTTGCATTCACTTGATGTGGACAAGTAAATAAAGTAAATATTAACGTTATTGAGGCAGAACTATGTCCTCTATCACAATATGAAGGGGCATGAACAATCTGTACACTCTGCAGAAAATCACATGAATATACTCTATTGATGACATCATGTAAATTGGACCCAATGAGTAAAAAGTGGCAAGTACTCTAGATGTCTTAATAAGAAACATACTCCCCAGAGTGAGGGAAATAAACATTATAAGGATATTAGAGCCTGCTATACCCATGAAGTTCTTTGGAGTTCACTGGTCTCAGGCACATTGGGACATTTCCTTCAAAATAAAGGACAAGTTACTATATTGCACATAAACTATCATAAACTAAACTGGCTGAGAGGCCTCTTCATTTTTTAGAAGCAGAGAATTCCATACTTGGCAATACTGATCAATCTACTTAAGTGATGCAGAGACTCAAATATTTATTGCAATGAAATGACAGAGGCTATGTAGTCAGATTACTCTCTTTAAAGAGCAGTAAAGTGCAGGGGTTAAGATCACAGACTTTGGAATCACCATATCCACATTCAGAACCTAGCTCCACCACTTAACTATCTTGTGTGACTTGAGGAAGTTACTTTCCCTCTCTGGTCCTCAGCTTTCTCATCTGTAATGTGAAGATAATAATGATGCTTGTGACAAAGTCGTAAAGACTATTGTGGACTTCTACATCTGGCACAGATAATGTTAGCTATTGTTTTTATTATATTGGAAATGTCTCCCTTCTAAGTAGGCTGGGTATTTTGAAGAGAAGGGACAGAGAAGGGAAGGCCTAATGTAAACATTAATACTCATGAGCTTATTTTAGTGAATGGGATTTTAAAAAAAGGTTAAGAATTACTTTAACAAAAGAAAAGGTGGAAGATTAGTTCTTAAATATAATACATGAAGAAGGTCAGAGTCTGATAGAAAGAAAGAGATACCCAGAAATAAAGAAGGAGGCCCAAACAAAGAAGGGGTGAAGGTGACCAGGAGAGATGTGATAAGTAATAACAAAGGACAGGCAGAAAGGACAAATTAGAAAGACCTTGAAGTTAAAAGAAGAAAAGAGAGTGTGAGAAGGCCAGCAACAGATTTCAGGTGGCAGAGGGCATGTGCCAGTGAAGAATAAACAGCAGGGCCTTTGTAGAGGGGACCAACTGTTGACAGGAAAAAGAGAAGATTCAGAGTCCAGGGTTGGGAGAATTATAATTTAGAAGCACATTCTGTTATTGCAGCTGCAAGCATCAGCACTCTGGTAAGGTCATGAGAATATGAGAAGCTGATTAACGAAGAGAAGAGGTCATCAGAGTCACTGAGGAAAATAAGTGCAAAAATGGTTGACAAAAGCACATCCACGTGATCAAGAAGTTGATGGGAACTAAACAAAACTGGCGCTATTAAGGCCCAAGCATATTTAGTCAGTAAATGTAATCCTCCTAAATGTCATTTGTTTTAATGATTCCCATTGGTGTGGCTTTTAACAGACAACCTGTCCAAGGTTGATCGTCTGACTTTAAATGTGCAGAGAAAATGCAGAGTTGATTTACACAAACCAGAAAACTGTATCAAGGCCTGAGCTCATTGTGATCAAATAACAATTTTGTTCCTCTAACACTGCCTAAAAGGGTTATAGAGTAAGACTCCGTGAGTTGGTGTCAGCTGTGTGTGTGCAACCACCAACCTTGCTTAACTCCTCCAAGCCTCAGTTCCCTCATCTGTGAAATTAGAATAATAAGAGCAACTACTTCAATGACTGTTATAAAAATTAGATGAGTAAACATATGTAAAGTGCTCAAACCAGCACCAGTCTCAAAGTAAACACCATGTAAGTGTCCAATAGCATAATCTTTATAGGGGATGTTAGCTCTCTTTCAAACTGACTGATTAGATTCATTCTATTAACTCTTAGTTATGGGATAATGTATTTTAAGACGAAAGGTTTCATTAAGTTCCTTTTTCTTAATAATTATTTTATTTGTTTATAAAAATAGATAAAAATGACAGGAAGGGAGGCAAGGTATTGAGCCATAACAACAGTTCTCAGAAGTGTCCAGATATGATCATCACCCTTAAGCCATCAAAACAACATTCACACACACCATCCCATTTGTCATATTCCCCAAGTGAGTTATAAGGACCTGAATCTCTTCACATAAAAGACTTAGATTTATGTTGGTCCTACAAGGGCAAACACACATTAACTGCATCTCAGAACATTTTTTAATTTCAATGAAATGGGTTCCTGAATGAGAGAGCTTTGAAAAGCTGTGCTTTGGTAATTTTTGTTGTTGTTGTTGTTGTTGTTGTTTTTGTTGTTTGTTTGGGACAGAGTCTCGCCCTGTCACCCAGGCTGGAGTGCAGTGGCGTAATCTCGACTCACTGCAACCTCTGCCTCCTGGGTTCAAGCAATTCTCCTGCCTCAGCCTCCTGAGTAGCTGGGATTACAGGCACGCACCACCACACTCAGCTAATTTTTTGTTATCTTTAGCAGAGACCAGGTTTCACCATGTTAGCCAGGCTGATCTCAAACTCCTGACCTCGTGATCTGCCCGCCTCAGCCTACCAAAGTGCTGGGGTTACAGGCGTGAGCCAACGCGCCCAGCCGTGCTTTGGTACTTTTTAGCAAAGTTCGAAACAATAAATGAAGGTGTCGTATCAGAGCTTCCTTCCTCTGGTGCAGCAGAGACTCCCGGAGGCATTTTTTCAAAATAACAGGGACCACATAAGCAGAATATTCTCTCCGAAGTGGTAGAGATTAGTCCCTGAAATGATGGCTCGCTGGGGAAAAGCCTTCAGCCAAACTTTCTCCCCCACAAACACACACCCCAGGGACACACCCTTGTAATATTTCCAGCTGAACAGAGGTTGCCACAAGATATATGATCTTTCAGTAAAAAATTTTCTTATCAACAAATACCTCCCCCAAAGTCTAATGGCTATGAAGCAGAGGTGCTACTTTACCTCCTAAGAAGTTGGAAACTCCTTTTCCAAACATGGAAAATATTCAAGCAAAAATTTCCATGGTTATTCATAACATCAGAAAGTAAAACCATGAAATATTAGGGGTTCTTGCCTAAGGCAGTCTCGATTTCTTTTTTTCTAACATGAGAATTATTATTTTAGAGTATTTCTCATGTTAGTTGCATGATCATTAAGTAATTACTCAGAATCTAGCCTTAGAGGAAAAATTCATCTAAATAGGTATTCCCTAAAGATTTGAAATAAGCATAGGTAAAGGTCAATAACAGAACTCTATTTAGATGAAACAAATATCAGAGTATTGGCAGGTTACAAAGAGAATATTTGAATCACAATTTTATAATTACTGGGGAGATGTTGCTCTTCCCTCACAGTAGGACTATTTGCCACAAAAGTGCAGGATATGGCAATAGATATGCCTATTAGGTCAGGTCAGTGGTCATTTCATTACATCCCCTTTAACTAAATTCCACATGCCTCATGAGTCTGAGCCATCCCAGGATAAATCTGCAGTGCCCGTCTGCTCACCAACCCTTCCACAATTCCTCCTAGTTGTCTCTCATTTGGCAGTTCCACTAGTCCTATTACCACCATTCCCTGATTCCCTGGCTCCCATTTTGCTTCCATCTGTTGGGTCTGATTCTCCATTAAAGCCCTTGGATTGATGCCCAAGTAACCAACCTTTGACAACATTCCAGGACACCACTTCATTCTTCCGTGCTCTAGTTTCCCAGACAGTGCATTCACCCATATAGCACCCATCCGGATTTAGCCTGACACAAACCGGACCTTCTGACCAGGAGAGTGGGAGGGAAGTTTCAAAAAAACATTGCAATTTCAGCAGGCTGGATACAAAATAGTGCCTACGAGATAGACTCATCTCCAACTAGATTTAAAGCAGATTGTCTGTGACCACGAGGTCTCAAAGAGATGGTGAATTTCAAGCGGCAGTCTACAAGTGATAGGTAGTATCAGTCCTTGTACACAGGGTCCTAAGCAATTTTGTGGGGGTCGCTGGCAAGATTTTTGTCCTTTGAAGAGGGAACTGCCTGGAAAAACACTATGCCTCAGTCCCAGGTTGGAGGAAAATAAGAGACAAGGTGATTACAATAACTGTAACTGGGGTAGTGGGATTGAGGCTTTAATCCCAGTTGTAAGAACTGGGGCACACAGGTCCACAATTGTGGTGATGATGGTGTCCCATATCAGAGCACCTGGCTCACATAACCAGCTTAGGATAGCCAGAAGCTCTACCCTTAATACCACTCCCAGACCCCTCTTGAGGTGCCTGGGAATATAAGCTTTTTGATGATTAAGTAGTCTTTGGTGCTAGAACATGTCAGTGACCTCAATCCATTACTACATTCAGGAAAACACAATCCAGTTGCAGTGGAGGTTACAGTAGAGACAGGATGAGCTGTTCCCAAGTCTGGCTATGCAAAGATCTTTCCCTTCAGCCCCATCCTGTTTCCTCCCACTCCTGATTCTGGTGCTAAAATCTCAAGTAGAGAAAGATTTACTCAGAGCTGCCATCAAACTCCCACCCAAGCGTAGGTTGCCAGTAGGCAGATAGGCTTAGCACTTATGCAGTTCCCATGAAAAGAGAAGCTTCTGTCTGTTTTATTATTTAGTTTAGTCAGACAGATAGAAATCTCAGATGACGCTGATATGAGTAATGAAGTAATGTATAAACTGTTTGCCAGCAAACTGTTCCTCCTGTAATCTGCCATGTTACATCTATAGGAATGCTCTAAGCAAGTTTTATTATCAGCACACAAATAATAAGTGCAAAGGGGAAAATTAATCATCTTATATTATCTTTTTAAATTGGTTTTAAGTAAGGGTTTTTAATTCCCCATGAGGGTGACTGGCATTTCCTGTTTTGCCTGGGGCCTTCCTGGTTTGATTAGCTATGTCCCAGGAAAACCCTCAGTCCCCTGCAAGCCAAGATGGCTGATCGTCCCATCTGGAATTGTAAAACTTGGATTGGAGTTCACGACATCATAGATTAACCATGTGGTTTGGGGCATATCAGTTGACATATCCTATCTTCAGATTTAATCTAGGATAATATTAGGACCTACACAAAGCATTCTCTTGATCTTTTTATTGTACCAGAACTTCTCAACCAAGGAAGAGGAGTCAACACCAAACCAAACAAACCCTGAGTAGTGCCAAAATTTGCCCTCTCCCTTCTGTCCTTTATTAAGAACAGGGAAAAGGTTGAAAAACAGGGGCCAACAACAGTTGAGGAGCTTCAAATAGTTCAGTATTGGCTAGGGAATTTATTCATCTTTAGTAAGAATTTAACATGTTTCAAATAATAGCTATTTATTTATTTACAAATATATTTGCCCATTTGCAGCAAGGCATTTCTCCTACTCCAGCCCCCTCTGGCATTACTGTCTCACCTAAGGGAAGTAAAAAGGCTAAGAAACACAGTCACCACCCAGGAACTCAGGCCCACCAAAAACTGAAATTTAATCATCAGATTATAGAATATGTTCCCTCTCTCATACCTTACTACCACTGCAATAGGCCTCCAGTATAATAACAGTAGATTAAAACTGAAACAACTGCAAGATTCAGATTTTCCCTCAGAAGAGGTACTTAGGGAAGCCCAAAGTCAACAAAACAAACAAAAATAAGGATAATAAAGGAATTTAAAGCCTCTGGCACCTACAACTGTAACAGACATTAAACTTGGCACAAGTTCTGGCCAGATTTACATAACCTCAAAGTTAAAGTGTAGTATTTACCTCAGCTCCTACCACTCAATATATTATATCTATCCTCAACAAAATAATACAAAGCATTCTAGGAAAAAACACAGTCTGAATAGACAAAGCAAGCATCAGAACCAGACTCAGATATAACATAGATTTTGGAATTACCAGATAGGGAATTTAAAATAACTATGATTTAATGTTAAGGGCTCCAATGGCAAAATTAAACAACGTGCAAGAACAGGTGGGCACATCATGCCTGCTGTTAACAATACTGTATTGTACATTAAAATTAGCAGTTAACAATACTGTATTGTACATTAAAAATTTTGATTAATGTTTTTAAGTAAAAATGGACAATGTAAGTAAAAAGATGAAAATTCTAGAAAGGAACCAAAAGAAAATGCTAGAATCTTTAAAAATTACGACAGAAATGAAGAATGTTTTTGATGGGCTTATCAGGAGACTAACCACAGCCAAGAAGAGCATCAATAAGCTTGAAGACATGATAATAGAAACTTCCCAAACCGAAAGGCAAAGGTAAAACAGAACAAAATTAAAAAGAATGAAGAATCCATAACAGAATATCCAAAAACTGTGGAAGATCTCAAAAGGTGTAGCAAATGGATTGGAATACCAGAAGAAGAAAGAAGAGAGCAAATGAAATGTGTAAAGTAATGTCTGAGAACTTTCCAAAATTAGTGATAGACACCAAACCACAGATCTGGGAAGCTCAAAAAACACCAACCAGTATAAATACTAAAGCAACAAACAAAACTTCAGTATAACTAGATATATCATATTCAAACTTCAGAAAACCAAAGACAAAGAGAAAATCTTGAAAGAACCTAGAAGAGAGGACAAATACCTTACCCATAGAAGAATAAGAATTACATTGGAATTCTAGTCAGAAACCACGCATACCCCTGCACACCTATTACAATGGCTAAAATCCTAAAAGAAATGACAATACAGATTACTGTCAAGGATGCAGAGCGACAGGAACTCTCACTCTTTGCTGGTGGTAATAAAAAATAGTGCATCCGTTTTGGAAGACAGTGTGTCAGTTTCCTACAAAGCTAAATGTAATCTTACTATAATATCTGGCAATCACACTCCTAGATATTTAGGATGTATGTAAATATTTATAGCAGCTTAAGTCATTTTAAAAATCTATAGAAAATATTTTTAAAAAGTGATTGCCAGACTATAAGGGGGAGGAACAGGGGAGGAGCATGAGGTAGGAAGAATTAAATAAGTGAGGTAGAGTGGAATTTTTACACCATAAAACTATTTTGTTTCATACTATAATGATGGACACATGACACCATGCATTTGTGGAAACTCATAGAACTTTACAACACAAAGAGTGAACATGAATGTATGTAAATTTTTAAAAATTGTTTAGGAGGTTGGGGGATTACAGGATGAAATACAGAACATGACAAGACAATCTAACTGTATTGCAAATGGATGAAACAACCTCACTGAAGGAAAAGGTGGGGGTGAGTTATTGATCAAAGAAACTTTGAAAATTAGTGGAGTCTAAGACTAATGGGAAAAGAAACTATTCTGAAGTACAGTACTCTAATACATTTGTTTCACAGAGGAGTATTGGTTAACAATTCTAATACTGCTATATATGCATAATGGCACTGAACAATTAAATAAGTGGATATAAGGTCGGGGGCAACCCAGTTTTCTCACTGTTGGGGTGGGAGTTTGGAAGTAAGCAAGAATACTTTTCGAAGTGGAAGAACAGAAACTGATAAATGTAATAAACAAAAAATGAACTAAAAATAAATTTTAAAAACAAACAAAAAATAATAAAAAGAAGAGGCTAGAATGGTTTATGTGATAGTGGATTACAGTTGAAGATATCAGTACTCACGGTAGCTTTACAGAGATCAGATGGTTACATAAGCATTTATAGATATATATATATATGAGTTCGTATATACACATATATCCTTGTTCTGTCTGCTGAGAAGGCTTAGAAGCAATGATATCCAGTAGCAAAAAACACACCTATCATTGTGATTTGGGTTTTTAATACTATTCTAACAAAAGGAACAGTGTTCCTTAGAGAAATGGTTGACTCTAGAACTGGGGCAGGAAATATACAACATGAGCCTGGAGTACATTATTGTGTCAAAAAGTAAGAAAGTGTGAAGAACACACACACACACACACAATGATGGGAGTATGTCAAAGGGACACAAGAGTCAACTGAAAGTGCTCCCAGTGGCCAAAGGTGAAAAAATTTGAGCAACAAAACAAGTAGAGTAGTATTGGATTATAACCTGAAGTATAAAGTAAATATCCATGAGTTCAAATTGATATCAATAAACAATTGATTGAATACATAAATAAATGGGAGGGAAGGGACAAACATCCCACATAAAAGTATTCCAAATAGTTTGTGTAAATACTGTGCTGTCAGGGAGGTGCATCATAACTCCCCACTCCTTCAGTGTGGGCTTCACATATTGACTTCCTTTCAAAGAGAAGTCTATATGGAAAAAAGGAAATGGAAATGGAGAACACGAGAATAACTTTACAACAGAGAAAACTGACAAACACTACCTCAGTCAGGTGACTTAAGTTCACTTCAGCAATGATACATCCCAAAATGGCAGGACAGGCACAGGATTCCCATTCCAAAAGAGAGCAACAGCAAAGAAGAAAGGGGAAACAGGTTCCAAGTAAGTACAAAACCCAATGGGAAAAACAACACTAAATTCTAAGGCTTGAGAATAATCTCCTTTGATTCCCTGTCCTGACTTCTAAGAACACTGGGGTGGAGGGTTGGTTCCCCAAGGCCTTGGCCAGCCCCTCCCCCAGGTTTTGCTGGGCTCAGCTCATGCAGCAGTTATCATGGGTTGGAGTCTCAAGCCTGCAGCCCTCCCAGGCTGGTGTTGCACGCTGGTTGCTCTACAATTCTGGGCACCTACCCCAATGGTTCCACTAGGCATTGCCCTCTGGTGGAACTCTCTGCAGTGGTTCTGCCCCATGGCAGGTCTCTGCAGCATCCTTTGAAATCTAGAGGGAGGCAGGCATGCCTCCATAGCTCATGCACTCATGCGCCAGCATGTGGATGCTGCCAAGAGTCCTCACTCTTGATCTTAAAATCTGTATTGGTCAGGGTTCTCCACAGAAACAGAACTAATAGGACACAGAGATAGGTAAATATATGAGAGGGAATTTATTAGCATAATTAACTCATGAGATTATGGAGGCTGAGGATAGACCACCTGCAAGCTGGAGACCCACAGAGACTGGTAGAAGAGCTCAGTACAAGTCCAAAGGCCTCCAGACCAAGAAGCTGATGGTGTAACTCTCATGCCTGAGGCTGAAGAGCCTGGGAACCAGGGGGACCACTGGTGCAAGTCTCAGCAGCTGAAGGTCAAAGAAGCTAGTTCTAATGTCCAAGGACAGGAGGAAAAGGGAGAGGTTTTCTGACTTTTTGTTCTATCTGGGCCCCCAGCTAACTGGATGGTGCTTGTCCACATGAGGATGGGTCTTCCCCACTCAGTTCACCAACTCACGCGTCAAATTCCTCTGGAAACTTATAGACATGCCCAGAAGGAATGCTTTACCAGCCCTCTAATTATCCCATAACTCGGTAAAGTCAACACCTAAAATTAGCCATCACAACCATGAAAACTGTATAAATGTGACTGTATAACATCAAATAATGAGGAACTGCATATTGGATTGCTAAAATATCTATTCATATTTTATAACCAAAACCCAGTAAAAATGTGTTGCCTAAATGCTTATAGGCTAATAGAAATCAACCAAAGACTTAAATAGTTTAATATAAATAGCTTAAGAGTTAACAGTAATTGTTGCAGTTTTATTTTCAAAGTATTCAACTTTTTTTATATATTTAATAGCCGGGGAAACTTCTCCCAAAAAGAAAGTATATATTTCCTCCTGAGAAAAAAGAAAAAGAAAGATGAATTATTCTGTGGGGAACTTATTTGCACTGACCTTTCCTCAGATATCATTAGTTCCCTGTAGGTATAAAATTGTGAAAAGAAACTTTTTCACTGTGGCTACTAGGCAATTCAATCCCAAAGTTAGTGTTCAGTTATAACAATTTTGTTCACCTGTATGTCCTGTATTTTTAATTTTTTTTTTCAAATTTTAACCTCCTATTCAATCTGTTTTCTTGTTCTATTTTTGCCTTTCACTTCTGTATCATCTGTATTTCAAATGTTTTCTCAAGTTCTTTTAAATTATTGTGGACTGGGATGTACACAAATTAATAACAAATAAAATACTAAGAGAATATGAAATAATTCTTATTCAGTTTCTCACAGTTTGTACTTTGGAAGCTAAATGATTTAAATTTACCTCCCCAAAAGGTGTTTTTATTCTGTCCAAATGACATGGAAAAAAATGGTTCTAGTTATTTGTGTTTTTTTCTCCCTAAAATTTCCCCTGTTCCAGGGAGTGTATATCATAAAGTGGACCTAGTCCTGCTCCTGGAAGATAACAAGGCAGGACGAGTTAGAGGCTTCCATTTTGCTTTGATTTTTTTTTTCCTTTGAACAGTTAAGAAAAAAACCTTCAGAAGTAGAATGCATATAGTCTAGTGCTTGGCATATTCCAAACACTAGGAAAATATTTGTTTGGTGAATACACTAATTAATTATCAAATTAACAGCTGAATGAATATTGTCTCCCTTGATAAATATAGCATGTTCTGGTAGGTACAAAGGGTACAAAGTTTTGGTTACACAGGATAAATAAGTCCTGGAAACCTATTGTACAACATATTGACTACAGTTAATAACATATTGCACACGTGAAAGTTGCTAAGAGATTAGATCTCAAATGTTCTCACCACAAAAAAATGTTAAGTATGTGAAGTGATGGATATGTTAATTAGCTTCATTTAATCTTTTCACAATGTATACATTTATCAAAACATCATGTTGTACACCATAAATGTAAACAATCTTTGTCAAATATGCCTTAATAAAGCTGGGAGAAAACTTTAAGTGTATTCTGATTTGGGTGATATAAGAAGGTAAATGGATTGTAAACTACATCTTGAACGTAAGTGAAATTTTATTAGGAACCTATGGAGAAGAGGCATATAAAAGGCACGGCCTAAGCAAAGGTGCAGAGGTAGGAAAACTCAGGAATTGTTGAAGCCCCCAGAGCTGATTTTTGGCCAATTTACACCAGTACTTCTATGCCGGTTGATGAATAGATGATGCCCCAAACTTCTCAAGGGTCCCCACCACCAACCTGGCTGCTCATACCACTGCCCAACAAGTTTCCACCTCCCAGTCACCGTGACACCCAGCAACTACAGGGCTCACGTGTAGCAGACAGAAGCCTCCAAATCATGGCCAGTATTCATTTATAAAAATGTACTGAGCACCAAGCATGTGCCCAGTACTTTTCTAAGTGCTAGGGATATAGCAGTAAAGGGAACAGACAAAACAGAGGAGAAAAAACTGTTTTCCCTGTGGAGTTTAGAATATAGCAGATAATGAACAAGATAAAAATAAAATATGTAGATATTAGTGTTACACGCAAAGGATAAAGCATAAATAAGTAACTGCAGTGGTACCTGAAAATGAAATGTGGCAATGGTAGCGAGATTTCAGAGAAGTGGCACTACATCCAACTGATGGACAGTGTGGCACTAAAGTGGGGCCATGGCAGCTCCTTCATGGTCCAGAAGTGCAAGCTGTGCACACAGGAAATTCCACTGAGATTTTGAGTGGCAGCATCAAATCTTACAATGCCAAAGACAGAGAGAAGTTCAAAACTATAATAGAGTTTGAGTGCCAGGGCTTCAAACCATTTGATTTCCAGCCCTAGGCTGGGTTTTTTGCTGAGGGCACGAAGTCAAAGACAGTCTTTGGTGACATTCTGCAGGAGAAAGACTGGACTGACTATGACAAAAAGTCCAGGGAGTCTGTGGGAATCTCTGAGGTCATGCAGCAGTTTTTGAAGTGCTGAGCCCTCTCCCTGTACACTTGCCTCTAAGAACAAAGAAGGGACAAAATGCCCCAAGCAGCAGAGCCCACTGAGGCTGGTACTCTCATCCCTGTCTCCTGGCAGCTGCACCAGGCCCTCACAATCTGCATGCTGGGCTCAGTCGCAGCCTCCCAAGCCCCATCAATAAAGCCCCTATTAATGCACCACCAGTATATGAAGGTAGGTCAGGTGGCAGCCACTCCTCCCACAAATAAGAATTCACATGGAGATTTTTTGACTGCTTCCTGGCATCTTCCCACAGTTTAAAATCCTGTGCCTGATATTTGCAAAATATGCAGGAGCACACAGCTTCTTAGGGCTCTCCAGAGCCCTTTTTGGGGAATCCGGCAGGTCAGCCCGAAGGACCAAAGTTGTCAAGCCCGATGGCACAAGGACAACTGAGCCACAAAATGAGGCCATGAGCCCAATAATCTTGAGCCAAGATACTTTGAAGACTAGCTTGGCTTGCAGGTAAACCCAGGCATTCCTGCTAGCTGGTGTCACTTCAGATTCCAGAGCTAAAAGGGATTTTACAGCTCTCCTCCTGATATGAATCTGCTCCACAAAATTCTTGCCAGATGGTCATCTGGTGTCTGCTCTTTTGCTGTAATGGGTGCTCCCCTCCCCTCAAAGGAGCCAGTATGTAAATTCTTCCTAATGCTAAGTCAATCTCTATGCTCCATACAGCTCCTCCTGCTGTTCTTCGTTTGTTCCCCTGCAGGAACACTTGGACATCCCTGTGGAGATGTGAAGGCAGCAGCTGTCATGGGTTAAATTGTGTCCCTCCCAAAATTCATATGTTGCAGTCCTAACCCCCAGTACCTCAGAATGTGACCTTATTTGAAAACTTGGTGGTTGCAGATGTAACTAGTTAAAATGAGGTCATACTACAGTGGAGTGAGTCCCTAATCCAATATGACTCATGGCCTTATGAAAAGGAGATATTTGGAAACACATACACAGGGAGAATGCCATGTGAAGATGAAGGCAGAGATGGGTGACGCTTCTACAAGCTGAAGAATGCCAAAGGTTACCAGCAAACCACCAGAAGCTAGATTCTTCCTCAGCCCTCAGAAGGAATCAACTTGCCAACACCCTGACCTTACATTTCTAGCCCCCTAAAGCATGAGACAATAAATTTCTGTTGTTTAAGCCACCCAGTTTGTGGTACATTTGTGCAGCAGCCTCAGCACACTAACACGACAGCCAAGCCCTCTACGTGCCACGGGCCAGGTTTCTCGGTCTAAAGACCCCTCCTCCCGCCCCCCAGCAGATGGTGGACAGGGCTATTAGTACATGGCCAAGTCATCAGAAGGTGATCGTGCCTTTACACCAGCAAATCCACCAATTGGAATATCTATTACAAAGGACCTTATTTCTCCAATATCCTGCTGGCGCCTAGAATTCTTTTGGAATTAAAAATTAGTTATCTTTAAGGAAAAAAAGTACCTGCATAAGAGAAAGGGGCTATGAAGGACTGTGTAAGGTAATGAAATTTTAGAGTGGCCAGGGAAGACCTCAATGGGGCCACTTTTAGTAAAAATCTGAGGTTGTTGAAGGATCTCCCCTGTGAATATCTGAGAAAAGAACATTCCAGGCAGCAGAAACAGAACATACAAAGGTCCCGAGGCAGAAATATGCCTGCCCTATCAGAGGAATAGTGAGGAGGCCAGTGCAGCTGGAGTAGGATGAACAACATGGCAACTAGAAAGGAGATGATTTTTGAGAGGTAACTGGGTCAGATCATTAAAGTCAAGGACACCAGCTTCTACTCTGAGTTGGGAGCCATTGGTGAGTTTTGAGCCAAGAAGAGACAAGACCTGACTTACATCAGACCATTCTGGCTATGTGGTGTGGGTGTTAGGAAGGACAAAAGCAGGATCTCAATGGCAGCCAGAAAGCCATTTTAGTAATCCAAGGTGAGTGATGATGGTGGTTTGGGGTAGGATGGGAGCAATGAATGTCGTGACAAGTGGTCAAATTCTGGATACATTTCAAAGAATTGGTAGGATTGATTTAATTCAATACAGGAGAGAAAGGCAGGAGTCAATGATGACACCAACATTTTGGACTGAGCAGCTAAAAATTTAAGAGGACATTAACTAGCAAGAAATTTTCAGGAAGAACAGGCTTGCGGGAAAATATCAGGAGCTCAGCTTTGAACATGGTAAGCTTGAGGGGCCTATTAGACATCTTAGGGGAGATGTCAGGTAGGCAGCTGGAAACAAGGACCCCCAGTTTCAGGGGGAAATTCCACAAAGAGATATCAATTGGGGTGTCATTGGTATACAGACACTATAGAAAGCCATTGATCTGAGCAGAATTGCCCTTGAGTAGACACATTAGATTAAAAAGAAAAGAGGACTCAGCCTTCAGGCATCTCTAGTTTTTAGGTTTTGAA
This sequence comes from Homo sapiens, assembly GCF_000001405.40. Taxonomy (NCBI): domain Eukaryota; kingdom Metazoa; phylum Chordata; class Mammalia; order Primates; family Hominidae; genus Homo; species Homo sapiens. The sequence goes on from NC_000001.11 coordinate 99,467,198, forward strand.
AAGATGAGGAAGAACCAGCAAAGAGACTGAAAAGGAGTATCCAGTAAAGGAAAGCAAACATCTAGCGAGTGCAGCATCCGGGCCATTAAGTGGAGTGTTTCAAAGAGAGCGATAACATGTCAAATAAAGACTGAGGAATGAGATGACCATGGGGGTTTAGCCCAGGAAGATTCCTGGTGACCATGATAGGAGCAGACTTTTACGTATATTAGAACTTTACTTCCAACTTTGTTCATTGTCTTTTAAAGACAATAAAATAATGATCCATTCTGCATTTCCCACACTGATGTCAGGTAGCAGTGCCATGACCCTACATTATCAGTGGGCTCAAGATCACACAAGTTTTGAAGAGGCTAAACCAGACTCAGGACTCTGTGAGTCATGGCGGTCTTTTCTCTCCCCTCATGCACTCTGTGGACATTTAAGATTACAGGATGTTTCTCCAGTTGTCTTCTATCCTTCAAGAGGTCACTATCTCACAAGAATAAATTTAAGTCTTTCCACATTATTAATTTGCATTATAGGACCCATAGGATAACAAATTCTGTTAATTCGTTGTCCCCATTCTACTGTGATCTACCCTCTTTACCTCTGTCTACCCCTTCCAGTCTGGGAGCGAAGCCTCCAATATGGACTGCCAGCATTGTTTAACAAGTTCATGATGCAATTACACAGTCGTCATATTCTAATTCATGCCACGCCCACACAGCTATGGTGCTTTCTTCTGGTGTAGATGCAGAATTATTTTGTACATGCTTCAAATAAAATTTTCTGTACTGTTTCTATCCTCATGATGCAAGACCCTATTGTGCTTCTTAGATTGTAACTCCAATACAAAAATAAGATAATAGCCTAGATTATTTTGCCCTAAATGCATTAAAGAAATAACACAATGCATGGAACATCTACATTAATAGGTTGCAAATAAAAAATGATCTTACCCCAAATTTAAATTTTACCCCAACCCCAAGTTGATCTACATCTTTGGAAGTGTTAATCAAAAACCTTCCAGTTGGAAGTGTTAGGAACCAATTCAAACTAGCTAAAGCAAAAAAGGTAATTTCTTGGCTCATATAATGAAAAGTCTAGAACATATAATGAAAACTCTGGAACTGATGGAAAAACAGTGAATGGAACTAGCATTGCTAAGTATCTTATTTAATTTTTACAACTTTGTGGTAGCTAATGCTGTTCTCGTTCTACAAATGAGAAAACTGACGTTTGGAGATATTCAGTAACTTACCAACAACCTCCTAACTAATGAGAAACAATGTCAGTTGTGGAACCCAGCACTTCTGGCTCTAAAGTCCAAGTTAGTTTCCCTCACCATGAGGCTCAGCACTGCTGCCACTGAGAGATGGTAATTAAATGGGGTGATATTGAATATAGTAAACATTGATTGCAGGTGACACACGAAAGGTATTAAGCTGTTTGTGAGTTGAGGGCATTATACTTTCCTTGATATCCGTCACATTCTAAACCATACCTGCAGCCACTACCCTGGTCCAAAAAGAATTTTTTTTAACTCCTTTGAATTGAAAGAAACTCTTCTTATAATCCAGGGAGTTCACAGAAAATAGTATTACATTATATTTTTGCATCATATAATTTCCTTTTTCTTTTTTCTTTTTTTTTTTTTTTGAGACGGAGTGTCACTCTGTCACCCAGGCTGGAGTGCAGTGGTGCGATCTCCGCTCACTGCAAGCTCCGCCTCCTGGGTTCGCGCCATTCTCCTGCCTCAGCCTCCCTAGTAGCTGGGACTACAGGTGCCCGCCACCATGCCCAGCTAATTTTTTTTGTACATATATATATATATATATAATTTTTTTTTTTTTTTTTTTTTTAGTAGAGGCGGGCTTTCACCATGTTAGCCAGGATGGTCTCCATTTCCCGACCTCGTGATCCGCCGGCCTTGGTTTCCTAAGGTACTGGGATTACAGGCGTGAGCCACTGCACCCGGCCCACATAATCTCCCTTTGATGTCTAAAAAATATGTCCACTTTGATTCATAATAGAATCATGTATATAGAAAATACAAAATTAGTCTTTCAATTAAAATTGCCTTTCATTTTTATCCAGCTTTCTGGAAACCTTTTTTAAGGTGTAAATGCAGATGTGCATGTAACACAAAAAATGTTGTTCCATTCAAAGATGCAGATCCTTCTTGCTTTGCTTCTCTGCTTAGATGCTTTGAAAACATGCAGTCTATCTCAATGCTTTGAACTCTTTCTTGGAATTAAATAATTTCCATGGAAACTGGGGCTAAAGAGAACACTTGACAGCTCATTAAATAATATGCCACTTAAACAAGACTTTTTAAATTTCCCTTGTTAGATAATCAATGACTACCAGTATTTATATTCCTTAATGATGTAACTTCTCGACAAGCCTGGAAAATGATGTCTGATTAATCCACAGAGGTTCCTTCTGATATAGAATGCAAAATGTATGCTTAAAAAGAGATCCCTTGCAGCACAGATGAGGCAGAAAAGGAATCCAAATGTTTCCAAAGCAACTCAGCCTTTTAGCCACAAAGGAAAATCCTGTACTGAGATTCCAGAATTTTTCTTTGTCTTGGTAATTTTCCAGCATGTTTTTACTCTTCCAAATGCCACATCAGAACCACAGATGGCAGCATGATTTAAGCAGGTTTGAGCTTCTTTGCTTTTTAATCCAAATCCTAAATTAGATGGAAGTTGATACTAATCTCCGAGCTTCCCTCACCCCTGTCTGCTCCTTCCTGCTCCTGGTTGTTTTCATCTCATTGAGCTTTCAATTGCTTGACCCTATTTTTATTTTTTACCAGCACAATAAAAGCACCAGAGTCTTAGTATTATCAATACCATTTCCCAGCATCTCAAGTGCTTTCTTTCTTGTTTCAATTTGTATTTTCAAATCTAAACTAATTGAGGTTATCAGAGGAATGCTGGGTAGCTGGTTTTGCCCATTTGCAAAGGTAGATGTAATGTTCATGGTAGGACTGAGCTTGAGGTTTAAAAATAAAATATTATACTTTAGGCTGTTTCTGCATCATGCAAAATATTCCTCCAATATCTAAACATTTGGCCTAGAATTTTTTTTCATTTTTCACTTTTTATCCAGAGGCTAGATTTGGTTTTGAGGTGAACTTGAACCTTGAAATGACAAATGGCATATACATTTCATATATTAAGATTTGAAGATGTTAAATTTCAACCGCTATGGAAATATTAATTCCTACCAAGATATGAATATCATACATTATTTTAAACGGTTAACTTAGTTTTATAAATCAATTTTAAAAATTGTGAATGTCTACAATGTGAAATTGTTCTGAGAATTTGGGGAATACAAAGATGAGCATAAATGGATCTGCATTCAAGTTACTGTGTATATCACTCTGTTTAACTGGTTGGCCCAAACCGAATTTTTTTTATAGTACAGGCTACTTTGTTGTACAAAGATCTCTGCTGCAATGCCATTAATTCAACTTGTGTTTTGTTTGCATGCTATACCATACGATTATGGGCTTGGTTTAATAAATTAGCTCATTCAACATATATGAGCACCTACTAAGTGCCAGGCACTGTACAAGGCACTGGGGATAGAAAGTTATCTCCTTACTCTTGAGATGTATACAGTGTAGACAAGGCCATCCAAATAAATCCATAAGTATAACACAGTATGGAATGGGCCATGGAAGCTTGCACACGGTGTCCTGGGGCCACTGCGGGGAGGGGGGGGCCCTGCACTTATATTTTTATATCTCTCTCTCCTTATGTTCCAAAGTTCAGACCTCCTTCTGACCCATTTCTCTCTAACACAGATCTCTTAGTACTGTAAAAAACTAGCCCTTGGAAGAAGCACATAATCAGACAGACTTCTAAATCTGGCTCCAGCATTGACAAGCTGTGTGTCCTTGAGCAAATCATTTTTAAGTTCTCTGAGTGTGTAATTTCTCCCTCCAGCACGTGGAAATGTTGATAATGCTGCATACACTTGAAATAGGAGTGAAGGGAGATACGTAAAATGCCTAGCAAAGTGCCTGAGCATAATAAATGTGATTACTGTCCTACATACAGCTAGTTTAAATTATCTTGCTGGTCATATCTCATCTCTGGCCCTGGTAATGAGCCTGACTTATCATGGTAACAGCTAACACTTATTGAGTATTTACAGTGAACCAACCATTCTGGACGTATTGTCTCAGTCCATCCTCACAACCACCCACTGAGTAGATATACCCAGCCAAGTTATCTAACCTTATGGCTCCCATTGTGACCACCACATTGTTCATCCAGAACATTCCTGACAATAATTATGAAGCAGTCTAGTCTCTCCATCACTTTCTGGATCACAAAGCTTGTTACACATTTGCATCCTGACAGATCTGAACTGCCGCATGACTGAACTTTACTACCCATTACCCCCAACTTAAGGCCTTTTGCTCCATTGGTGTTATATTGGAAAGAAGAGTTGCCAGGCACAAGGCCACAAAGAAGACCATACTGCTGGGAACAATACACTTCCTTCTCTACACTCTTTTCTTGTTTCCATTTCAAACTGTCCCACTGGCCAAATGCTTCCCAACTGTTGCAACCAGCCTTGCAATCAGACCATGACAAAATGCGGCTGGCTGGGATAGGCACATAGAACCCCTTAACTCCTTTCTGTCTGCTATTTGAAGTTTATACTTACCACCTCAGAAGAAGAAAACTTGCCTTTTAATTATACTATAAGGTAGAGTAAGATAAGCATCATTAAGAAAAGTACAAAATGCTTCAAGAGCACAGATCTCACAGGCTCTCAAGGCACCCACACATGCCTTCTCTCAATGTCTTTCCTTAGCCATTTGACAAGGAGTTTTAGCAAAGAGACCCTGATAAACTGCCAATAATCTCTTATTTGTTATCCACCTGTTTTGCTCACTGAAGCAGCTAGTCTATTCCCATTTCCCTTTCCTTTGGGGAAAAGCTGTAGTTTGATAAATGCTAAGCCTCTACCATGATCCTGTGCATGAAGGAAATAAAAGGCTGGCTAGAAATTGCCTGGATTCTTCAATCTGGGTCAAGCTTTGTGATAAAGCTTATGCCATAAGCCAAATGGCTATTTTTGTAATGATAATTCTTGGAAGGTAGAGGGCAGGGAGGCAGGGAGGTGGCAAACTCAGCAACTAGTCATGATCGTTACAATTCAAAGATGTAAAGACCTTTCTGACCAACACATTTATCCATTCAGTTCACAGTTCCAGGTGGAGGATGTGCTTGGAGGGGTCGACACTTGAGGAGTTGTGCAGACCTAGCTATCTTCATGGTAGCTTGATGGGACATCTATTGTTTATGTCAATAATTTATGAACCCAGTGTATTTGAAACTAAGGGAGAACTTCATATCTTATCAGTTGATATCCTCCAGTTTCAGAGTGTTGTGTTAGCCAGTTCAGAATGTGTCTACCATCAGCTTCTTGTTTTCATCTGGAAATCAGAAGAAATTTTATTTATGTCAACATTTACCTTTGGCCAGTTTCTAGGTCAAAGTTGTTAACTTTGTCAAAAATACCAGTTCATGTCCATTTTAATTCCTTTTTAAAATGTCTTTTTAATATATCTAATGAAATAAAATCATCCACCTTTAAATTATTAGTATCACAGTATTCATTACAAGTACCTTTAGTATAAAAATGAATTATTATTATGTCCAATAGTATAGATCTTACAACATGCATGTAAAAGCTTAAATATCTCCCAAGCAGATCAAGCTCATTGTGGTCCAAACCAAACCCAAAATATGTTTTTCAACTAGTTTTTCTTGATCCATAATTTCGTTTCGTCTATCTTATTTCTTACGCTAGAGGTTTATAAATCGTCCTCACTTTTCCCTCTCTATCTCACATTCCTCACCACAACATTAGTCATCAGGGTCCACTGATGCAATTGTCCAAAATCTCTTCATTATAAACTTCTCACCATCCTTCCTGCCACAAGCTTGTTCAGTTAAAATCATAAGACCTACTAGCTGGTCCTCCCAATCCTCTTTGTCACTTGTCTAATTTATTCTCTAACCTGCAAGCAAAGTTAATCTTAGGAAATCTCAAATCTTTTATTTCACTCCCTACTTAAAATTCTTTTATGGTTTTCTCCATCACTTATGATCATTGTTTAATGTGAGCTGGTAGGCCCGGCGTGACCTGAACCCTGTCTCCTCTTTGCCTCTGCACCAGCCATTTATCCCCTCACTTTCATGTCTTTGGCCACACTGATTGGCCTAAGCTCTTATCCACCTCAGGACATTTCCACACATTGTTCATTGCCTGGATCACCCTTTAATTTTAACTAAGCTAACTAACTTTAATTTATCCTATAGATAACAGCTAAAATGTTATTCATTCAGGGAATAATTTCCTCCCCATCCATCCTAACCATAAATATACTTTTAATTAGGCCCCACAGCTCTGCTTCCAAAGTATCCACAATTATTCCTTCATAGGTCAATTCACAATGGTAATAACTTGTTTAATATTTGTGTTCCTTGCTATAATGACAGCAGGTAAACTTAATCCACCAATCCAGATGTGTAAGAAATAAGGCACTGTCATGTTGTTGGGTTTTTTTCTAAATTAACTTAAATCTAATCCCTGCTTAATCAGTTTAAATCTAAATCCCACCAATCTGGAGAGAGTTTTAATCCCAGTGATTACTGGGCTCTACCTCTCCCATTTGCTTAGTGCCATGAAAAATCTGAGTGGTATGTCTTATTCTGTCCTAAAGCACTGCACTACAGAGGTCCATCCTGTTCGTGGTTCTCACTGGTTACTTCAGAGAAGCCCATTTTCCATTCTCATATGGTCTTTTCTAGCACCTATCAGCTCTGTACTATGCTTGGGGTCTGGGAATGTTCACTGGGAGTGGGAATTCCATGGCTTGAGAGCAGCCTCTCTGGATGTACTTCTAGTTTGCCATTGCCCAAAGATGCTGCCAAGGAAACAGGGCAGGGCTATTCTACTTGTGGGCCCAGCAGCCTCTGCCCCCACCCCAGTCTGAAGCCTCTCCAACCTTCCTTGGTGACCCTGAAGATGACACTCCTATTCTTGCTTCTCCATTTGCAGTGAGTACAGTCTTTTGGAAAAGCAGAAAGGTTGCTTTCAAAAAGTTTCTACTTTCCATTCTGCAAACGTCTTTGAAGCAAAAAACAAAAGTTATCTGCTTAAACTAAGAAGGAACAGAAAAATACAGCAGGAAAAAAAAAACAAATGAATGTCTAGAGACAATTCATGTGGGCAGAACTAGCTCATATAATGTGCCCAACATATATGTATATTGAAAGAATGACTGGATTTGAATTAACTCACAATCCTATTAATGTGTTTTACATGTCTTTGCATGTGTTGACAGGCCTGCATAAATGAATAGAGAATTTTATAGAGAAGGAGAAAGAGAAATCTGACCTGATATTTATGGCCAGCAGAAGAGCAGCCTTTCTGCTTTTTGTCCTGCCTATCATATGACCACATCTAGCTTTAGCTCCATGTCAGCTGTGTACTGCAGACACCACCACCATCGGCTTGGCAAAATAAGAGAAAAATAAATATTCTCTCCATATGACATGAATCCCAGTATGCCTTTTCCACAGGCTAATAATAGTCTGTCTTCCCCTATAAGGTGGACAGGGAGTGTAAATGATTGATTGCAAGGTAGAACAAGACTGTATTTGACCTTTTACCACATGTGAAGTAGAATTGAGAGTTTTAGGTACACTCAGAGTTTAAATCAAGCAAGCTCTAATAGAATCACACACTACAGTGTTTAGATAACCTTCCTTTCGAATAGAAAAAACATTTCCACTTCTCCATTCCAAAGCTGAGGTACATTTTGAAAAATGAGAGATCTATTAGCCTTCTTTATAAAGGGGAAAGAGGAAGAGAAAAAGGTTTTCGGCTGGATTTCTTCTTATTTTTGCAGGAGACATCCAGCAATTGTGCTGTGCTTACAGAAATTTCATGCGACTCTCTAAGGCTACATATTGTCTAATATATGGTTGATACTTAAGAATATCAAATAAAAAACACCGCTTCCTAGGAACTGGGCTCTCTTTCAACTTGAATATTTGGATTTTGCAAAATGTATTTATACCTCCCGGCGCTGAAGTCGATCTGGACTTCAGCAAGTTACCTGTCCTATGGAACTGGCTCTTTTAAGAACAAGCCCCTGGCTCCAGGAAGCACATTTGCTCAAATGTAAGCGGGCTGCAATTGAAGCAATTTGCTCCCTAACCACCTTGTAACAATCTTGTTTCTGATTCTGTGTTCCTTCTCCAGCTCCCCTCCTGCTTTGGCCCTGAAGATTGAGGGACCATTTTATCTGCACTTCAGAAATCCTTTTCATATCCTATTCCTGGCTAGGATGCTGCCTCCTAGACCACTAATTCCATGGACCGTTAATCTGTTAAAGTATTCTCCATCTTGCAACAGACTCATATTTGGCTTTCACAGATACTTCTGACCGCTCATGGCCCCATTTTAAATGAGCCTTAGCCCCATTCCTAAACTGCCTGGATCAGGTTGCTTCATCTCAGAATTTGAATCTTTATCAAAGAATTCTGGTGTTGTATTTCTAGTTGTAAAAGAATCCCAGGATAGCAAGACACAAGACTTGCCCAAGATAGATACCCAGGCCATCATTCCTATCTAATTCATTTCAATCATTGGGAAAGCTAAGTTCTTAAACCAAGATATTCAGCCTTCTTTAAGCAGACTCCTTCATTTAATAGTTGAGGTAGCGAAGTATCATTCTTTTGCGGCACAAACTCCAAAGACCAGCAGGAAAAAATGCTGATATCCTTTTATTCTAAGGATATAGAATACAAGTTATTTAGGTGCTCAGCGAGACATATGCATCCAGAAGCATTAGATTGAATGACACAGTCAACACACGGAGGCACATCTCCACTCTCCTCAACATAAGGAAGCATGATTTCTGGTGTTATAGAAGCTGTTTCTTGACACATTATTGCAGGGAAATGCCCCTGAATTGCAGTTACCAAGTGAAAGCCACATCACATAAGCTATCTGACAAATGAGGAGAAAATCAGGTCACAGAGCATTATTGGAGAGAAAAATAACGTCAAAGTACTCAACCATAAAATTATAGCTGAGAATGCTGTCATAAGTCAGCACCTCTAATGGAAACAGCAAGGCTAGCAATTGTTGCTCAGGTACCTGAGAGGCAATGTTCTACAAGAGCGATGGTCACCCAGAACATCAGTGCTCTCTTTCAGTTGGCTGGTCCCCAGCCTCACCTTCTTCTACCCAATTTGGACCACCTGACCCCACCTTTAGCTTCAGGACTGTTACATCATCAGAAACCAAGCCTAGACTCAGCAATGAGGACTTTAAGAAATTCGTGAGCAATATTTGGATGTGACACTCATTCCAGGCCTGACCTCACTTCATAAGATGCACATTCATAATTGTATCTGGATATTTTTCTTCTGCTCACTCAAATTTTACAGTCTGGATTTTGAAACCAGATGGGTTTAAGTTTTTTCACTGAGGAAATTGTAATATCTGACTTCTTGCCTATAAAGTGGAGATAAAATATTTACTTGCAGAGTTGTTATGAGCATTCACTGAGATGATAAATGTGAATGGGTCTAGCATAGGGTCTAACACATGGTAAGTGCTAAGCTTGCTGCTTTTTAAAATTCCCATACTACAATTCTTCAGTTTCTTTTTCTGTTTTCAGTCTGATGTCTTACTTGTTGACATTATCAATGGCTCATCTCAAAAATTATAATTCTAATTTTTTTTAATTTTACTTCTAAAATTATTTTAGTTTTAATTAAGTATATATTCTTCTAGATGTGCACTCTAATACAGTAGCCACTAGACACATGTGGCTATTTAAATATAAATTTTAATTATTTATTTTAAGTAATATTTAAAAATTCAGTTCCTCCATTGTACTAGCCACATTTCAAGTGCCCTGTGGCCATGTGTGGCCAGTGGCTATTATATTGGATAAAACAAATACAGAATATTGTCATCATGGCAAAAGTTCTGTTTGACAGCTCTGGAAGAGACAAAATCTAAGGAATTTGCTAATATACGCTATTACTTTTCTCTGAACATTTAGTTACATTTTCCTTAATGTATCAACAAATGAGACAGGAAGTTCTAGCCAGAGCAATCGGCAAGAGAAAGAAATAAAAGGCATTCAATAGGAAAAGAAAAAGTCAACTATCTCTCTTCATTGATGGTATTATTCTATATCTAGAAAACCCCAAAGATTCTGCCAAAAGGCTACATGAACTGGTAAATTATTTTAGTACAATTTCAGAGTACAAAATCTATGTAACATATCTATACACCAATAATGTCCAGGTTCAAAGTCAAATCAAAAACATGATCACATTTACAATAACCACAAAGAAAATGAAATACCTAGGAATACAGCTAACCAAGGAAGTGAAAGATCTCTATAAGGAGAACTACAAAACACTGCTGAAAGAAATCAGAGATGATACAAATAAATGGAAAAGCATTCCATGCTCATCAATGTCATTAAAATGGTAATACTGCACAAAACAACACTGGAGAGAGATTTAGTGATTTAACACTATTCTTATCAAATTACCAATGTCATTCCTGATAGAATTAGAAAAAACTATTCTAAAATCTATATGGAACCAAAAAAAAAAGCCCCAATAGCCAAAGCAATCCTAAGCAAAATGTACAAAGCCAGAGACATCACACTACTTGACTTCAAACTACACTATAATGATATAATAACCAGAATAGCATGGTATTGGTACAAAAACAGACACATAAACCAGTGGAACACAATAGAAAACTTAGAAATAAAGCCATACACTTACAACCATCTGATCTTTAATAAGGCAAACAAAAACAAGCAATGGGAAAAGTCCTCATTATTCAATAGTGATGAAATAACTGGCTAGTCATATGTAGAAGAATGAAACTGGACATTTAACTTTTACTATATACAAAAATTAACTACAGATGGTTAAAGTTTTAAGTGTAAGACACCAAACTATAAAAATCCTAGAAGAAAACCTAGGAAATACCCTTCTGAACATCAGTCTTGGCAAATAATTTTTGGCTAAGTTACCAAAAGCAATAGCAATAAAAACAAAAATTGACAAGTGGAATCCAATTAAACTTAAGAGATTCTGAACAGCAAAATAAACTATCAATAGAGTAAACAGACAACCTACAGAATGGGAGAAAATATTTGCAAACTATGCATCTAACAACAGTCTAAGATCCAGAATCTATAGGAACTTAAACAAAAAACAAATAACCCCATTTTTCAAAAATGAGTGAAGGACATGAACAGACACTACTCAAAAGAAGATATACAAGTGGCCAACAAACGTATGAAAAAATGCTCATTCTCACTAATCGCCAGAGAAGTGTAAATCAAAACCACAATGAGCTACCATCTCATACCAGTCGAAATGTCTATTATCAAGAAGTCAAAAAACAACAGATGCTAGTGAGCTTGTAGAGAAAAGGGAATGTTTATACCATTGGTGGGATTGTAAATTAGTTCAGCCATTGTGGAAAGCAGTTTAGAGATTTCTCAAAGAACTTAAAACAGAGCTACCATTCGACCCAGCAATCTCATTACTGAGATATACCCAAAGGAAAATAGATCATTATGCCAAAAAGACACATGCACTCTTATGTTCATCAATGCACTATTTATAATAGCAAAGACATAGAATCAACCTAGGTGTCCAACAATGGTGGATTGGATAAAGAAAATGTGGTACATGTACACCATGGAATATTATGCAGCCATAAAAAGGAATGAAATCATTTCCTCTGCAGCACCATGGATGGAGCTAAAGGCCATAATCCTAAGCGAACTAATGCAGGAACGGAAAACCAAATACTACATGTTCTCACGTACAAGTGGGAGCTAAACATTGAGCACACATGAACATAAACATGGGAATAACAAACACTATAGACTACTAAAGAGGGGAGAGACAGAGGGAGGCATGGGTTGAAAAACTACCTATTGGGTACTATGCTCACTACTTGAGTGCAATAAACCAACATAACAAACCTGCACATGTACCCCCTGTATCTAAAATAAAAGTTGAATTTTTTAAAATGAGACAGATGGTCCAGAGGCCATCTGCTTCTACAACTCACGTTTTTAAACTAAAAATTGTTCATACTTCCTGTGGTCATATGAATAATAAAATTTTCAGTTTTCAGTCTTCTATTCTCAGTTTAGGAAACCAGTGTATAAGAGGAATTAACCTGGGACTTAACCGACCTTTAGAAATGTAAATCACATTCAATATCCTTGGAAGATTTTCAAATATTTCCCGTCAAAAATTTAAGAGTGAACTAAATCTTCCCAAAGATTGGGTCTCAGAATAGTGCCAATGTCTGATACTTTAGGTCCAATTTAATAGAATCCATATTGACTCAGAATAAATCTCTCTTTGTTCCAAACTATTTAAATTATATGATTCTTTGATACTTTGAAGTGCAGCAGAGTAGACAAAGCACTCACAGGTTTCCCAACTTTTACTGCTGGTATCTTTCTGTTGTACCTCCAAAAGGTCATGTACTGACCTTCAAAAAATCTTTCCCTTTTACTTATCTGGGAACCCTTTCTCCAGAGCAGTCGCCAGCTTAGAGTGCAAATCTACCCCATTTAATGGAGAAGATGGTGTGGCATGAAATATAATATTTGCCATTATTCACTATTAGTTCATTCAATCAGCAAATATTATTGAGTACCTGATATATACCAGACCCTTGGCTAAATACTGGGGATATGGCGATAAACAAAATAAACATGACCCTTCTTCTATGGTGCTTAGGGATTAATATAATAGCTCAGTTGGACTTAGATGAATAAAATTATATGACATTTTAAGTTGTTTTATTTTCTTACCTTCAGACTAACTGATTTGTTCTTCTGTAGCCATGTTCAGAGGAAGGAACACTGTTCTACAAGCATCTTCATATTCAAGCTGAAATTACATTCTCCAAAGCCACCCAATCCTGGTCTTACTTATCTAGACACAAATTTGGGCTAAGTCAGCAAGATGGCAAATATCTCATAAACTATCAGTAATTAATTGGTATAGGTATCTGAATTATTCTGAGAAGCTGTACTGAGAAGGACACTGAGGCTACATTTAGTGAGACTGGAGAAAATATTGTGGTCTATTAGCAATATCTTTCCATGAGCTCAATAAATTAGAGTATGACAAATATGCTCAGTTATTTGCATTACCTGGGGGAAAACTCGGAGGTGACGTGGAGAGGTGTAATTCCAGATTAGGAAAGCAGGCAAGGGCCAAGACATAGAAACATGGAAAAGTATGACTTGTTCCCCAAAAGGCAAGTGGTCCAGGTGAATGGAATGCAGGATGGGTAGAGATATGAGAAAAGGGCCAGCGAGGATGTGTGGGCCCAGACTATGGATGACCTTGAATGCCCGGCATCAAGTTTAGATGATTTGTCTGTGAAATTCTCATGTGGTTACCAATCTTTGGTGATTCCCAATCTGAATCAAAGTCACATTCTTTCTGCTATTGGTTTTTCTATAATAAAAAGCTCTCTTTCTCCTCTAAACTTCCTTCTAACCAAGGCATCTGTTCACACATAAATTATCTCATTATCGTTAAAGTTAACATTCTTAAAATTCAACTCTAAATTGGATGGGCTCTATATTTACAGAGAACTAAATTTCAGAATAACCAATAAAACAAGGTGAGTTATGTAATTAGATTGCTGACATAAAGTCCTACCCAAGCTGTTTATGAGAACTATGTTAAGATAGATACATATAGCTCAGCATGTGTTTTTCTTACTCAAAGTAAAGATGAATATATATTTAGTGCACAAAGGATAGAATAATAAAACTATACTAAAAAATCCTGTTCTTTCCAAATGTTTAATTTCTAGTTTCTATGACATAAATGCCTAAATATTCCCTGAATGATTATGCAAAAATAAAATAAAATCTCTTTTTTCCCCCACCAACGTATCTATGTATATGTGTGTGTACATGTGTGTATGTGTGTGTAGGCTAAAGATAAGACAGTAGAAACTAGCTATGAAATTACCAGTGAACAATTTACTGCAACATCTAACATAGCATTCTTATAACTAAAATTACTTAATGTACTAAAGAGTTAAGTTATATAATGCCTACAATTTATATAGTGGAGGTCTCTTCATCTTTTAAAAGGTATACACTGTATGAAGAGGATAATAGTACTTATAGATTTCAAATTGAAAGGCAAATGAAAAAAGAGACTCATGGAAAAAATAATGGCTCAAATGTATTCTGTCAAAGAATAGTCTCAGGATAGAGAATGCAGTCCAAAGAACTGAATATTTGTCTATCTCTGCCCCCTTGTGGTGGTATGTGCCTCTCAGGTAAGATAAGCAAATTTTTGCAGAAGGAAATCAAACACTTCAGGTTTGAAAACAGACATAAGAAAGAGTAAAAATAGAAGTAAATTATTACATTTAACACAGAACAGAATAATTTTACTTCCATCAGTATGTGTATACTTAATAAAATATCTGTGGTTAAATTTTAGGAGCTACTGGACCAGAATAGTTATAAATGTGAAATGCTAAATTAGCCTGAGACAGAAACAAACAGCAAAATTATGGTTAATTTTTATTTTAGATCTTCAAAGTGTTGTAGTGGTAATTATATAGAGATATGTTTTACCCAGAAACTGTGTAGGATTATATGACATATGTTATTCAACCACAATGATGAATGTGTATTGAAGACCTTCTATATGATGGGCACTTGATTAGATCTCAGGGAAAAAAAAGTCAGTACAGTCCTTGACCTCATGGATTCTATGCTTTATGAGGAAAAGAAGACAAGCTACAGATAATCACAATAAAAAATTACAATCTCAAGGTAATGTGTGAAGGAAGAGAATATGGTTCTCTTATATATATTTATTATTCTATTAATAATATTAAATATTAATATATTTATTTATTAGAGCTAATAAAAGAAATAGATCTAGTGTGGGAGGCTAAAATGAAGGAAAGAGTGAGAGAGGCTGTGAATATATGGGAATTGTCTGTAGTTTCTGCTCAATTATGCTGTGAACCTAAAGCTGCTCTAAAAAATAAAGTCTATTTTTAATCAAGGAAGAAAAGCAAGAGGGAAAAAGAGGCACAGCGTGCTGGGATAGGCAGGAGGAGGGGTGCACTAGAAGGTATACAAACAAAGCTCTGGGCAAAACAGTGGCAGAGCACATTCCAGGGCCTTACAGTCAGTGCCTGGAGCCCAGAGAGGGAGAAAGGTGTCCCAGGAGCATGGAAAGGTGTTCAGAAGCCAAAGCTTGCACAACCATCTAGGTCATATAATGAATTTAGGTCTTTAGGAGTAATAGGGAACTACTGAAAGCTTTCAAAGAGTCGGGCAATATAGTCTGTATTTTAGAAATATATTTTAAATATTTTTAAATAAAATCTTAAATGAGGATAAGAGAACACCAAATAATATACGACTTTAATTAAATGTCTGATATGGTTTGGCTCTGTGTCCCCACTCAAATTTCATCTTGTAGTTCCCATGATTCCCACGTGTTGTGGGAGGTACCCAGTGGGAGATAATTGAATCACAGGAGTGTGTGTTTCCTGTGCTGTTCTCGTGATAGTGACTAGGTCTCACGAGATCTGATGGTTTTAAAAATGGGAGTCTTTCCACACAAGCTCTCTCTCTTTGCCTGTTGCCATCCATGTAAGATGTGACTTGCTCCTCATTCCCTTCTGCCATGATTGTGAGGCTTCCCCAACACGTGGAACTGTGAGTTCTCTATTAAACCTCTTTCCTTTGTAAATTGCCCAGTCTTCAGTATGTCTTTATCAGCAGCATGAAAACAGACTAATACAATGTTGGTTCATACATGTAGTGAATGCTTACTAGGTGACAACCTTTGTTCTAAGCTTTGCAGTTTAAAAATGTAATGTTCCCAATTCCATAATGTAGACAATAGACTATTATAGGAGTTTCAACAAAACTTGGACTAGAACCAGGGTAATGGAAATGAATGGACATTTGAAAAACGTCTAGAATAACCAGTGACGGGTTGATTCCTTGTTTCTGGCTTATGCTACTGGATGGATGGTGGCCATATCCTAAATAGAGAATTCTATGGCTCACGCCTGTAATCCCAGAACTTTGGGATGCCAAGATGGGTGGATCATTTGAGGTCAGGAGTTTGAGACCAGCCTGGCCAATATGGTGAAACCCCATATCTACTAAAAATAGAAAAATTAGCTGGGCGTGGTGGCAGGTGCCTGTACTCCCAGCTACTTGGAGGCTGAGGCAGGAGAATCTCTTGAACCCAGAGGTAGAGGTTGCAATGAACTGAGATCATACCAATGCACTCCAGCCTGGGCAATAGAGCGTGACTCTGTCTCAAAAAAAAAAAAAAAAAAAAAAAAAAAAAAAAAGAATGCTAAAAGGAACTAAAGTTTGGAGAGTTCAGATAGCAGGGACCAGAAGAGAAGAATATACCTACATTCAGTCTTGGAAACACTGAATTTGAAGAATTTCTGAGACACCTAAAAGCAGGTATGGGCCAGGTCGAGGAAAGAAGAAAACGTCAAGTCAGAGCAGCTTAAGAAACCTTGGTTAAAAAAGAATAAATGGCTATCACTTAAGAAGACAGCTGATCATCTCAGGGGGAAGAGAAACTTCAATTTCACAGAAGAAATTATGGAAACTGGAGAAGTTGGAAGTTTGGGAAATTTGCTGGTGGCAAATAAGCAGCGAAAAATCACTAAAAATCAGTTCACCACATGGCTTATTTCCTGAAAACCAACCCATCAAACATAGTGACTTAATAAAAATAATCTTATAAATTTTAAGAGAAATATTTTGATTTGATGACTGAATATAAAACAGTACATATGTCATAAGTAAAATTTTAAGTTTCATGTAGAAATTACTCATTTATACTGATTTTTATTCCTTTTAAAATTTCATTTTTTATTGAGCCAACCTTTTAGCATTCATCTGTTTTCATTTACAGTATTTTTAATCTATTTATGTTTTATCCATTTTTTTTGTATCTTTTTCATTTGGTCCATTGTGGTCTTTTTTTTCTTTTTTTATGTGCTTTCATAGAGAATCATTTGCAAATTACTGCCAACCAAGTCAAGAGACCTTAATTGTTCCTTGATAAAAATCACATTTTTAGTTTCATGTGAGATGTGATGGTTTAAACTAATTCTGATTCTTTTGAATGAATTTAAATTTTAATTCTAAATTTTATTTAATTAAAATTTTTCTTTCATTAAACTTCAATTTAAAATTCTGATTTATTTTAGTGCCTGTGAATTTAAATTTAAAGTTCAATCTCCTAATTAAAGTTTAATTTCATCTTAAACTATAAATGCTAGAGATATAAAAGGAAAGCTGGTATGCCATTTGAGGAAGTTGCAGAAGAATAAGGAAAATGCATAAAGTTTACCAAAATAGGAAACGACATTCAGAGATAACTGAAACCATATCTGAGGTAGACAAGAAGTCTCATTACATGTAAAATAACCCCCTCAAAAAAAAAAAAACTGAAAAACAGCTTTTCCTTTGAGAAATTTTAAAAATAAATACTGATTCTTTAGCATTTACAGATTTTTTTGGCCAGGTTCTCAGGTTGGGTTTAACCTTAAAAAGTTAATATCCAGAAAATCATATTTCATCATTGGGTACCAAATTTAAACATCCTAATCACTTTATTACAACTATTTGGGATGAATTGATAAATCTGGTAAATTTGGTGAATCTGTTCATTTGGCAAATGACCATTCAGTGAACTGGTCCTTTAGCAGATATATTTTTAAATTAGGAAGGATCCAATTCACTGTCATAAAAACCAGCTTTCCTTTCTCAAGGCTCTCACAGTCTAGAAGGGGAGATGAATAGGCAAAGGCTTAGAAACTTTTTATAAATATTTAGAAAGGAGCCAAGTGCAGAGCTCTATAGTAGCATAGGAGGGAGGGTAGGTGAGCAGCCAGCTTGACCTCAGGAAACACTTCCCAAGATTCACACTGGTAATGATAATATAGTTATTATTGAAAGAGTTTTCCAACCCATAAAGGAAGAAAAAGACATCATTTCTCAAAGCATGAAAGGGCATGCTATTTTCTGAGAATGGCAAATAATGTTGCATCAGCTTCTGATGCACAGAAGGCATGAATAATGGCAATTGGTAGTAAATGATGATTGAAAAAAAAAGCCTATCACATGCATTTAGGAAGTATATTTAGGAAATAAAATTTTACATTAATTAACAAGACTTAGAACTTGATTGCATTTAGGGGATGAATGAAAAAGCAGATCCCAAGATGATGTGTAATTTCTAATTTGGACAAATAGACAAATTCCTGAGACAGAGGAGCTCAGAGGGACAAATGTTAGAAGGAAAGATTTTAGAGGGAGAGATTATAAGTACAATTTTAGATATGTTACATTTGAGGTGCTTATGTGGGATCTAAATTTAGGATCTCAACTTGAAATTGATGAAATGAATATGGAATTCAAAAGACATGTGTAGATGAGATTTTTTTAAAAACTAGGAATTAGTAGCATATATAGCAATTGAAACTGTAGGAGTAAATGATATTATAAGCAGAATATTTAATGTAAAAAAAAAAAGAAAATTTTAGGGACAGAACCCTGAAGGACACTAGCATTCAAGGACCTGTCAGAAGAAAGAGTCCCCAAAGTTAGACGGAGAAAGAGTGGCTAGAAAAGTAGTGTGGTATGTAACAAACTCTCCTCTAGTGTTTTGGGGAAGAGAGAGTGGTACAGAACTAAATATTTCAGAAAGGTTGAATGATAATCCAAACCAGGAAGCCTCCACTGGATGTGTTACTAGAAAATAGAGGCATTTCATTGGAGTGGTGAGAGCAGAGGGCTTAAAGAGTGAAGGTGAGGAAGTTGAGACAGAAAATGAAGATAATGAAGAAGGAAGCCAAGTTTCATGGAATGGTTTTTCTCAAGATTGTAGGGATATGTGCACATTTAAATGCAGATAAAAAGTGAAAAGAGAATGAGAGAGTTTGAAGATATTCTTGCGTTTTGAGCAAACTGCTTAATTTTTCTCCTCCCAATTCTTTAATCTGAAATATGGGGATATAAAACAATGCCTACATCATGAGATCTAATTGTATAATCCATGCAGGGCTTTGCATATTACCTGGTATATGCTAATCACTTAATAAATACTGGCTAATATTAAATAGCAGAAAGAATAGTATTGGAACAGGAGTAAGGGAAGAGAATGTGAATTTGGATCCATGTCTGTGTATAGATTCAGCATTGGGAGATGTACAGAGTTTCAATCTCATAACCACTATCTCTGTGTCAAGAAAGAGGGGTAGTGGATGCAGAAGTTTCTGAAGGGAATTAAAAGGATTGTATTTGTCATATCTATATGAAGAAGGAAGGAAGGGAATAGACTAAAATTTATCATATATTTTATGAGTCATGCATTAAAATAAGTGCTTTGTTTATATTATCTCATTTAGTTCTCAAAGTAAAGTAGTTATTATTTCCATTTCACAGGTACACAAGCTGAGGTTTCTGTATCAAAGTATTCTGTGGTAACAATGGACTCAAACAATGACTCAACATGGAATAAGTTTATTTCTTGCTCTCCAAACAGTCTAGGAGAGTAACAGGGCTCTTTCTACATAGTCACTGAAGAACTCAAGTCGATAAAATGCTCTGCCACTTTCAACAATATGGCTTCCAAGCTTGGCACAGTCTTCTCCAGCCAAGTGGAAACTAGGAAGGGTTTTTTTTTTTTTTTAATCTTCGTTGTTGTATTTGGCTTATTTGTTTGTTCATTGGCCAGAAAAATGATATGGGCCAGACATGGAAGAAATACCCATAAGTTCTGTTCATATTCTCTGACTAGAAATTAGCCACATGCTACAGGTAACGGTCTCTGCCAGTGTGTTTATTTGTTTGAGGAAGCTTGAGAGCAGGGAAGAAGATTAGGAGTTTATTTTAGAAACATTGCATTAAAGTTTATATGTTCAAGTGAAATATTACCTATAGAGGTACAGCTTAAGAGAGAACCTCAATGGCGTTTTGAGGAGAACCCTGAGGTGTAAAGCAAATAAGACCATCCAGCACTGAAATAAGTAAGGTTGTCAAAAAAGATATTATAGTAGCCATAGAATTGCAACATTTCCACAGACAGCACTAAGAGAATCCCTACCTACTACTTAAAATTTAGTAAGGATAAAATGGGAAAATAGGCCCCAAAATTGTTAAGCAAATACACTAAATTACCCTTCCAAAAACTACAGTAAAGAAAGAAGAAGTAAGAATGGGTAATAATTGATAATACTGTGTGGTTTTCTTCAATCTTATTTTATTTTCTGTCAGTAAAAGCATTTGCTATGCAACTAAATGACATGTAGTAAATGAGACAATATTGCTCAAACTTATGTGGGCTATTTAGTAACCAAAAAAAAATTATTGATGCTGCTGGCAACAAGTTGATAATCTATACTTACTTTTTCTATTGTGTGTGAATCATTTTTCTAATACATGTTCATGCCATATCTCTGTTAACTCTGTAAGCAAAAATGTAAAGCAAGTTAACAAACATTCCAACAACCAAACCCGTAGCCTTAATGGGAATAATGCACAACCCAACAAAATCATAACAATTCTTGTAGAACAAACTCCTCCATGAATATCAGATATAGTAAAAAGAGCAAAAGATCTAGATTCTTGCTCTAGCCATGTAAACATCTGAATAATTTGAGTAAAGTCACTTTTCTTTGAAGGGCTTCCGTTCTTCTATCAGTAAAATGACTCAAGTTGAAACTAGATTAGATTGAATTTACCAAACATTTATTGAACATCTATTGTTAAACCCTGTGCCAAGTACTGGGGGTATAGAGATATTTATGATACAATCCCTGTGTTAAGCTTTTCAACAAAAGTTATTTCTTTCCTGGGCATATGGATAACTAAACTTTCACTCTTACTGTCAAAAGATAAAACCCTATTATTAGTTCTGCTCAATGAAATGTGAATAGCATATGTCTGTGTAGTCCACACTGAGCCAGTAGAAGCCCCTACTCACTTTCTACTCCTTCTGCCATGGAAATATAAGAACAGTCCTTGTATTGAGAAGGTAGAGCCTCAAGTTTGAGGTTGCCTAGATCCCTGAGTCACTGAACAGACGAACACACAGCTGTCCTTGAGAGTTGCCCAGATCTGCGACAGATTCTTGCATCAGTGAGATGTAAACTTTTTTTCTGATAACTAGCATTAACTGCAATAGAGCCTATCACATCTTGACAAAAGAGGCTAGTTAGGAGGCAGACATATGCAAGGTGGTATGCATTTCACTAAGGGAAAAATAAAGTGCATTTAGCAGAGAAAATGAAAAGTAATCTATTATTTCTAAAGATGTCGGGGAAGGTATCATAAATTTAGAATGAGTGTGGCAGTTTAACGAAGCAACTGGAATATAACATTGAGACACAAGAAAGACAGTCAAGGATGGAACCTTGGGGTACACTAACATCTAAGATTTAGATAAAGGCAAGTTAATAAAGAAAACTGAAAAGAGAAGACAAAGGAGCAGAAAGAAATGGTATTCTGGAAACCCAGAAAGGAAAACATTCCAAGAGGAGTCAGAAATTGTCTGTAATGTCAATTGTTGGGAAGTCATGATCTGAAAAGAGACCATTGGATTCAAAATTATGAAAACTTTAAAGATGATATGCAGACTCTAGTGAATGGGAGACAAAAAGGTGGCAAAATATGCTTATAGTAAACACACAATAGCATTTACCAAAGTGTGTTTTGGAAAACATTTACTGCACAAAATTCTCCCCAAAAAGATGGAGGGAGTTGACTGCCGAATACATTTGAGACATGCTGCTGCATACTATATACCTATGAGGGATTTTAAAAATCTATTTGTGATTTCTCACCTTGGGAGATAAGGAAAGGAAAAACAAAAAGTATTATTTGCTTACAAACTCACAATGTCAAGTCAAGAAAACAAAGTAACCTCCTGGGACTTCTCCACAAGTGTTGACCAATAAAGTTTAGTTTCTAGTAGCACTAAATTTTGTTTCACTAAGAAAAACAAAAGCCCTTGAATGTGGACAAATTAGGCTAAATTTTTTAATTAGGTATGTCTTGAAAATAAAAGAATCCATAAAGTATGTTTTCCCTTCTCACAAAGCACATTTGTGGTTTGCTAGCCTGAGCGCAATTACAAGCTTCGGCCGATTTTTGCAACTTTCCTTTTCTCTAATTTGTAAAATGGAGATAAGAATAACACAGATTTCAAAGAGTTGTTTTGAAGAGTCAGTGAGAGAAAACATGAAAGCACTTAGAATATTGCCTGACATATAGGGAATGCTCAATAAATATGAACTATGACCATTATTAAACTTTTCATATCTCCTTCAGCATCAAGCTGGCACACAGCAGAACGCAAATCATCTGGGCTCCCTGATGAAGTGTTGCTATTGACCCTTGGCAGTCAATGTACCATCCATGCATAATTTACACACTAATAATCAAGAGTTGACAGAGGAACTATTATATTTGGTTACTTCAGTTTCAAGTGGAGATATCTGAACTTGAGAACTGTCAATCTAGCCATGATTTTCACAGAACTATCCTTGTGGTATTTGATCATTTAATCCACCTAATTGCATGAAAATAGAATAATTTAATGCATATTCCTAATTGGGATTCACACCTAAACAAACCCACATGTTCCTAAATGAGTGTGCGGTGAGTCTGTGCTTTTCTGTCATTACTCCAACCATTGCATTAAATTGTTAAGAAACCTATTTTCTGAAAGGAAACTATAGGAAAATATCTAGCCATTTTCTTAATTAAAGAGCAATTCTTTAAATCTTATTGTGATTTCAAAACTTTAACATAAAGTCTTCTGCTCTGAGGAAAATTATATATGTCAGGCTGCCAAAGAATTCCCTCCCCAAGAATTTGCACCATGTGATCATGTGGGCTGTGAGCATTCTGAACGCTCTCCGCTCAAATCTCCCAGACAGAGCACTGCCTCTTCCTCCCACACAGTTTGGGGTTTGGGTTTGTTTTTTTGTTGTTGTTTTTTTTTCCCAAAAAAAAAAGACATGAGAATTTAACTCATTTTTACTTTTAATGTCAGACTCATTCTGAGGCTATATACAGAATCCAGCATCAGCACAGAAAAAGTCATTTGAGTTTCCTCTTCCTCATATTGAAATAAAAATAAATATCTAAAATTATCCATAACACGTAGTTTTAAATTACGTAGATGTAAAACCCTTGCTCTGAAAGCAGCACTGAATTCCCCTCAGAATGTCTTTAGAGGTGGGTTTTTATATGTCTGCCATCTGAGTTTTTTATACCCGCATCCTTAGAAGGCGTTTTATAGATTACCCTGTCTGTCCAGCAAGAAGTCCACATTAGCTTGTGGTAACTGCACTACCATAAGGAGAGCAATCAGCATTACCTCATTGCTATCTTCTGCCTCTTCAGAATTCACAGACTCTTCATCCCTCTTCTGGCAACTTCAAAGACAAAAAGTAGGCAAACTATCCACCTCTATTTCTATAATTCTACCACATGTCTTTGCTTGCCAGGATACAAGAGGGTATTTTAGAAGACAAACATTGTGTCAATCCAGTACTCTATTGTCATTTTGTAATGTTTTCATATTGCCATTGCATTCTTCCACCTGGCCACACCACACATAGTTAACTAAGCTTCTTTTGTACTAACTTCATAGACACAAACCCAGTTACTATAAAGAATAGAGTAAGATCAATCATGTGCACCTGACTCTTCCCGTCACTGCCTTCACTCTGCCAATTCCTCACTATTCTTCGTCTCCTTAAGTATAACTTACTCAGGGAGACTTTCTCTCTACCCTCCTTCCTCTCCCAACACACACCTGTCTAGATCAGGTCCTTCTATACCACGTTCTGAGAAACATCCTAATTCTTCTTTTTCTTTGTGGCATTTGAAATGACTGTAATTTTAGGGTGATCTGTATAATTGTTTTTTAGTGTTTCTCTCTCCTAGACTGTTTACATGTCCACGATTACTGCTCAATAAGTGTTTGTTGCATGAATGAATCCTTGTGGGTAACATCTTTTATTAAAGAAACAAGTCTGATGAGATTATAGTCATGTTCAGATTTCTGTTATCAAACTGAGGAAGAAATAGAAATAGACCATTA
Source organism: Homo sapiens (assembly GCF_000001405.40). NCBI lineage: Eukaryota > Metazoa > Chordata > Mammalia > Primates > Hominidae > Homo > Homo sapiens. Next base: position 99,491,452 of record NC_000001.11, read on the forward strand.
TCACTTTGGCATTTAGAAAAGCATTTAATCTAACCGTAATTCATTTCATGAGTCTGGCCCTTTAAAATTTAAAATATAGCAAATAAACAAACAATGATATTACCTTATCCTTGGGAACACTATTTTTCCCCTGTTATAGTTTTCTATAACTGACACAGAACATTAAAATGTGGTATCTGCTTTTTCAGCAAATCATTTAATATACAAAGTACCATTGCAAAATAGCCTATTGAGGAGGATAAAAATTTACTACCAACTTCATTTGGCCTCCCTGACCAATCGCCTCTAATGGCTACTCTGTGTTATCTTCCCCATGTTCTCTGCTGTTTATGTCTTTCCTGCTGCCTCTTTCGCTGCTCGGCTTCCTCTCTGTGCTTCACGCATTTTACCACTGGCATGCAATCCACTGAAGGATGTTCCCGCAGAGATTTTCCACTCCGTGGAGGAGTCAGAGATTCACCATTAACCCCAAACTGGCCTACTGGCATTTACAGAACTGTCCAATAATGTCCCTCCTCCCTTCTCATCAGCTGGTGTATGCTTGGAAAATACAAGCAATTATGATATTGTCCTGAGGTAAACATAATTAGGAATCAAATCATTAGAGAAAAAAATCCACCATAATGCTTTTTAAGCCAAATATAAATGATTTATTAAAAGCAATCTATATTCGTTTGTCAGACTGATTTCCAGAACTGAAAATCTCATTTAATATTTCTATCCTTACCTAAAATGGTACTTAAAAGGTTATTTGAAATGTTATTTGTGATTACTAACTCTTATGGTCTTGCAGAAATCAAAATACCACAGACAAATATAGGCAAGGGTAACAAGGCAGCTGTAAATGTTTTTCCTCTAAACAGATTCTCAAAAGTTCTTTTTACTGAAAAAAAAAATCAACCACGCAAATGAGCTCTGCTAGGAAATATTAATAAATCTGCATGCAAAATTTGATCCAGTAAATATTAGGTGCCTGGTATGTATGGCACTGGCAAAATGCAGAGATAAATAAATCCTCAAACTCTCTGTCCCTCAGTATCTTCATTTGCAAAATGGTAATAACAATAGTACTTACCTCAAGTACGTGTTGTAAGGATTAAAGGAGTTAACACATATGAACACTTAGGGGTGGGCCTGGCACCTAGTAAGTGTTCAAGAATGTTAGCTGTAATTTTTATTATTTACAATGATGAAGAAGTTTTAGCCGGGCATGGGAGATTTAAATGTAAACATAAAAATATGGACCCCACTGTGGTTGTTCCAGATGTTTTTAGTATTTTTTAAACCTCACTTGCCTTGAAAATGCATCTATATGAGTAGCACCTCCACCATAAGTCTGATCAACATTGGACATCTCAGAGACTTGAAACCAAACCAATAAAATAAGGGCTAATAGTACCTTTTCATTCCCTCCACTCATTTCCAGAGAAAACCGGGAAGATAGTTCTTTCTGTGGGAGACCCAAGTTTCCAGCTCAGGCTAATGCCTGGATATCTTCTTGAATATTCTAAAGTGAACCTAAAAGACATCAGATAAACCCTGAAATATAATTTATTTGTTTCATTTGGTTGTGTGTGTGTCTTCTGAAATCTATAAAATGGGGATAATTACACAAAATGACAATATATAATAATATATAATGCTGTGAGCCAGACCTTGCTACAAGAAATTTCCATATATTAACTCATTTAATTCTCACTATAACCAATTATTGTTCTCAATTTACAAATGAAGAAGCTAAGGCACAGAGTAGCTGCTCATATAGATGTATCTTGCCCAACGTCACACAATTAATTAGCCAGGATTTGAAACTAGTAATGCTCTTAACTACAATATTATACTGGTCCCTACTCAGCACTTACATTATAAATTATGCCTATACCAAAATTTCTGATATGTCAAGACCAAAAGCTCCAGGAGCTCCTTAGAGGAGCACAAAGAACATTGGCTTTGTCCTGTTTAACAAAGTCTGTGTGGTTCCTATAACTAGGGTCACCATACATCTAATTCTGCCTGGGACAGTCCAGGTTTGTACCTGTTTCCCCAGTGAAAATTATAAATAGCACCCCCTTTCACCTTCAACAGTAATGTAAATTATATGTCTGATCTTTAACTTAATAGTTCCAAATGTGAGAAATGAGTTTGTATGTGTGTATATACACATATACACACATATGTTGCCGCCTGAGATTTTGAATCATTTACCCTTAAAATGCTTTGCTACTTTTTCTTGCACAGATTTCTATCTCAAAAATAAAATCAGAATATTCACTCAGCAAAAGAGTGGAGGGGGTATAAAGGAGTAACAGGCCCTGACACCTATGACACAAAGTATTGGTAATAATTCTGACTAGAACTCAGCTTATTCTCCCGTTGTCCTGCTTAGTTCATGAACTATTGTTGAAGTTGTTTTGTAAAATGCATTTGAATGTATCTTTGACAAACATACTGTTAGTCACTTTTCATTGTTTTGTAATCTCCAAATTGATATGTTCACTTGCTTGATCGTTGAAAGAGGAGCATCCTATTTTCATTCATGGGGTTTCCTTGAGGTTTCATTGAGGTTTCAAACTTTCATGCATTTGTTAGGGTATGTATAAAGTAACAGATTGTTTTCCCTGCTACACTTTCACCATTTCTTGTCCTGATTCAGTTGTCTTTGATGCTGCTTTGTTTTATGAATTTAGTTTGCCTTCTCTCAATCCAAGAAAAAAAAAAGAAGTAGAAGAAAGAAAAGAAACAATTACATCACCTTTATATGCTTTCTGGGTATCTTCCTTCCACTTATCATTTCTTCAAAAATGGAGTGACTCTCTTGACATGGACTATAAGTAGATATCTGACTGGAATGCCCCTTGTGCCTTCTCCCTCTGGTGAAATATTACCTATCATTCCAAGCCCACATTAAATATCTTCTCTTCTGTGAACCCGCTAGACAGAATTAACTGATACACCATCTGTGATGCTGCAGTTTTGTTTATCCTATATTATGATTTTACCTTCATCTGTCACTTCCCTCGGTTGTGAGCTCAATCACAGAGCAAGAATTTTTTTTATATCCCTCCCTTGGGTCTAGCACAAGGTCTGGTATATATGGTACTTAATAAATATTTGATGAATTAATAGCATTTTATAGTATACAAAGTTATTTCAAACCTATTAGCTCATCCTAGCTCTATAGCAATTTTATGAAGTATAAGATTATGTTGTTTAGACTTATAAAATATAACATTATGAACATCTCCATTTCATAGATGGGAAAACTGAGAAATCCCAGAAGGTAAAGGGTATGGGAAGAGGGGTATAAGCCACTGTATAGGTTCCTAACTCATTAGATTTATTCAAATAATACATCATTTAGTCTTCAAGGGCAATAACGATCATTTTGATTTGAGAAGAACTATTTGATTTGACAATCTTTTCTAGTGTCCAGAGAAGCTTCTGGAAATTGTGTTTCTGGTTTTTCTTTATAGTATCAGTTATCAGAACTACTATGAGCTTTGCTGTGAAAACTTCATCTGACACAAAATGTGCATGACACAGCCTGAACTTTCAAAATTGCACAAGTCAAAGAAGATAGGCCTTGAAATTACATTTCCTGAGTAGGTTTTCCATTACTTTTAGAATGGCCTCCAGGGTAAACCTGCCTCCACAGAGTAGACTTTAGCCAATCTTTATCATGGTGGCCCACCAGGAAATTTCCATGTGGCAACAGGCCACAGCTAAAGTAACATGGGTAGGACTGCTCTCAAACTGCTGAAACATTGCCTGAGTGTCCTTTTGTGTAGTCCAGACCCTTTCATCCTAAATTATCTGCTTTTTTTTTTTCTAAGGAGTTCAGACTGCCGGAAAAGTTCATTAACATAAAATATCATTTACATTTAACCCCTGAACAAGAAAAGTGATTTGAATTTATATGTATATATGTGCACTACTAAAATCATTTTTAGCTCATGAACATAAAATTAATTAAATATATGGGCAAAAGAAACAAGATCAGCAAATTGAATCTAAATTGCAATGTGCCATAGTAAAAAAAGCTCAAAACTCAGACAAGCCAGGAGTACCTGTTCTTTTAACCAGCATTGATTAAGTACCTATTATAGAATAGCCACTGTGTTACATGTCAGAGATTCAGTACTAGGTGAAACAGATAATGTCCCTGATCTCACAAAGCTTTTAGTCTCATGGGAAAGTCAGATTCTGAACATGTAATTACAGTGAAGTACAAATGCTAAGGTTCACTTATACTTCAGTTAAGGGAGGCCTGAGGAAAGGATGTTTTAGCTGATACTGAGGGATAAATAGGTGAGTTAGGAAAAAGGAAAGAAGAAAGATAGGAAAATGAAGAGTTTTTCAGATAGAAAGAGAAAAGGAGACCAATGAGAATTGACTGCAGTATGCTCCCTTCTGCCTTGGTGAGAATTAAACTAGCTATTTGAGTAACCAAGAGAAATTAAGAACATAACAGGGAGAGAGCCAAAGCCCAGAGAGGTAGACAGAATACAAATCCTGGGGTTTTATATTAATCACATTAAAGGATTAGGACTTTATTCTCAGAGCAGTGATATGCCAGTGAAGTTTTAAATAGGGTGGTTACATGATAGACCATCCATTGACTGCTGTGTGAAAAAATGGATTGGACAGGGCAAGACTGGTGGTAAGGAAACCAACAATGCTAGGTTATTACAAAGGCCTAGCATAATAGACTACAAAAATGGCCATAAAACATTCCTATTTCTCTACTGACACCCTTTGGCAGTGCCTTGCCACAGTGACTCAGTGCCCCTGGCTGGCATTGAGAAATATAGCACAAAGGTTTGAAATGTACTCGTACACTGTTCACTCTTACCACACTTGAAATCCTGAGACGACCATGTGAATTAGCCCAAGCTAACCTGCTGAAGGATGAGAAACCACATGGAAAAGAACTTAGGCATCCTAGCCAAAAGCCATCCAGCCCTCAGCTGACAGCCTACCCACCCTAGATAGACACGAGGGAGGTCATGGTAGATTATTAAGCCACCAGCCAACTCACTGGCAAATCACAGACATAAGAGAAAGTCCTGCAGAGATTAGCCAAGCTGGTCCAGACCCAAAGAACTGCCTGGCTGATGCACAGAATTGTGAGTTAAGTAAAATGATTTCCATTTTAAGCCATTAGTTTATGGGGAGATTTGTGTTGTGCAGCAAACGCTAACTGATGTGCCTGGTAAGAGATGACGCTGGCCTGAACTAGCAGGTTAGCAATGAGGTTTGACAGAAGGACACAGAACTAGGTGCTTCAATCCACAAAAAAAACCATTATTTTTGAATTGAACCAATAGATTCATGGTAGGATCTACTTGCTGAGTTCAGGGATAGAGGAGGAGAGAAATACGTGGGAGGAAGACAATAAGTACAACTGAGAACATGTAGAACTTGAAGTATCTGAGAAATAGCTAAGCAAAGATGTCAAACAGGTCATCAGATCAATGGCTGGAAGACACACAAGAAAGACCCAGGCCGTGGACACAGATGTGAGATTTGTTGGTATAGACATTGTGTAATTGAAGCCATAGATAAACTTCCCAAAGCAAAGTGGGGAGACTGAAAAGCCCAAAAGTTCCTGATTATTACTATATATGTAATTGTGGACAAGTTACTCAACATTTCTGAGCCTGTTTTACACCTATAAAATGGTGTAAAGTTAATTGACTTACTGAGGCTGTAATAAAGATTAAAATACATATATTTTGTTTCAGTCTTTTGATGAATAGTAGAGACTAAAAATGCTAATTATCTTCCCCATCACTTACAGTCAAGTTGCACAAAAATATTTTAGAGTTGTCTTTATTTCCTGCTTTCTATTCTTGATACTTGTGGATTAGTGATGTATTTTATGATGAGCAATAAGAATGCTAGATTCTTCATTCTCCTTTTGAAATATTAAACAATTTTTCTTAAATTGCGTGCATCAGAATTGCCCGTGGTAATTATTTAAAATGCAAATCCCTTTGCTCCACTTTAGACCTTCTGAACCAGAAATTCTGGAATCTGCATTTTTAATAAGCTCCCAAGGTGCTTGTTACACACACATTCTAAAAGTACATAACCCAACCCCTTCCCTGCAGCTCCCTAATAATAATATAAAAACAAGCAGAAGTTATTGAAATTTACTTGATATGCTGTGAAACTCCCCCACAAATGGTCGCATACGAACCACCTTTCCCCAGCTCTTCTGCTGTATTAACTCCATCCCCAACCTATCCAGGTAAAACTCAGCTAATCTTCCTCCTGCCTGTGAATTTGGCTGGCCTTCCTGGAAATGGAAATCCCTGGCCTCCTCCTGAACTGCCCTGATAATTATTCCATTATATTTCCAGAATGGAGTTTGACCCATTCCAAGATCCCAAAGCATTCCTGTCACAGCACACTTGATCTCTTCCTGTTGAAATTCTGCCTCATCATTTAGGCAGCTCTGCATGTTTTAATACACAGTCACATATATTACATGCCATCAGACTCATGAAATCAGTTGCTGATTAAAAATAAATATTGTCTCCCAGCTGCTAGGAAGGTTCAAACACTTGAAACTGATTGCAGAAAGAAAACAGGTCCAATATGTTCTGTTCTACAAAATATCAATAGAGACGACTATGCAGGCACATCTGATACTTTTCTTTTGCACAAATTACAGAGTAGAATAGATACAAGAATGACATGAATAGAGATACGTATTTCAGGAGAATAAAGGAAATGGTACATCTATGAGCTGAACCTCCACAGGTTGCTACCTGCCATGGACTTCTAAAGCTAAATTCATATAAAGAGGGAGGGCTCCCCTCACCCCACCCCACAATTCTCCAAAGATGAAGCTACCTAATCACAGGAGTACTTTCATAGGCATATGTTTTTAGGAATTATCTTGCGCATAGCACTTGGGATCAAGAATGCAGGGTCCATAAATACACTGTATCTGTCTTTCTGGGAGCAATTTGCCTATTCTCAGCAGCTGGAGCAGAAGGAAGGCTATTCACACACATTCTAAGATAGCATTAAAGGCCTATGTTTAAAATACCTTTAAATCTGTTCAGTAACACCATGTGCCAGCTCACAGTCCCTCCCTCCCAGCAATCTCTCTACATCTGAGCCCCCTTTTCTATGGAGCTGCACAGGGGCCAGATCACCACTGTCGGAAAGAAAGAAAAGATAATCCTTCTCTGAATTAATGAAAAAAGCTTTATCTCTATGCTCCTTTGACGAGGTTGGGTTTTAGCATTTCTGCTGGTGCATTGTAAAATATTTATTTTCAAATAATTTATTACCAGCAGATTGTTGATGTATTCCTGTTTGAATAGTGCAGCCCCCATACACCCATGCTAAAGAACATCCTGTGTCCTTAACATACTTCAGCCAGAGTAATCATCACAGGTGTGAAGTGGTGCTCACCCGCAGACCATTGTATACCTCTCCAATTTCCACCCTAGTCTACAATGTGTACAAAAATCTGTGGTCTTTAAAAAAAGGGGGAGAAGGTTCTTTCTAAAAGAAACCAATATACTTGCATATTTTTCTCAATTAGAAGACACTGCTCAAAGCAAGAGAATGTGCCTTCATGTACCAGTGGCTTGCTTTGACTCCACAAATGCTAATGTGATTGTCACTGCTGGCAAGTGTCATTGAGCACAAGTGCTGGTATCAATTGATACACGGCACCTCAAGGAATCTATTGAAGGCCACAGTCTCAATCTCAGGAGAACTTTTAGAGGCCAGGTAAGAAAAAGGGAATTGCTTGTCACTGCTTTCGATAATTCCTTTCTCCCTTATGCCTAACTAAATCTAATTGAATTCAAGTTTTCAGAAGTCTCTGATGGCTAAGGATCTCCAAAGCTAAGGATTAAAGAAAAAAAATCATCCTCCAATCACAGTTAATTAAATTAAATTAAACTCATTAATTCAATTAATCCCTTTTCTGTTCAAGACACTACTTGATGGATGATTGAAATACAGTACGTTTTGAAAGTTTTAAATACCATAGGAAATGTGATGCTCTGAAAATGTAAGTAAACTTACATGAGATCAAGTAGCCAACAAAACAAAATGATTCTGGGCCTACTACCCTTATTACTATAATATATTTAATATATAAATATATCAAATATATTTATATTTAACATAACTATATCATGTTGTAGACAAATTCTAGGTCAAAAATCTATAGATTTAATAAAATACTTAATGCTAATGTCAGAATTGAAGTTCTCTTTATTCTTATAAAGGAGTGGGTACACTTATAAATTACCTAAGTGGAAAAAAAATTACTAAATTTTTGAACACCTTCAATCTCTATTTTTAACTAGAAGCTGAAACTGTACTATTTCTTCCTAATCTAAATTTTAATGATTTTAGTACAACCTTGTTTTTGTCATTTCTTTATTTTATAGCTGTTACAACAATACAAATTTGAGCTTTATTAAGGAGGTATCCAAGTACCTACTGTGTAAAGCACTGAAAATAATTATTAGAACATAATTATTTTTTCCTTTCCCCTTCTTAGTCTCTGGGCATGGCTACTTAACAACTACAACCACCACCATGAAAAATGTGTCCTCTGACATATCTGAAGGTATCATCCTGAAAAGAAAAAGAAAGTGTTCTTTTACCTGAACTCTTCAATTTTCTCATTCTGATCTCCACATTTCTTTTTTTTTTTTTTTTTTAGACAGAGTTTCGCTCTTGTTGCTCAGGCTGGAGTGCAGTGGCGCGATCTCGGCTCACTGCAACCTCCACCTTCCGGGTTCAAGCGATTCTCCTGCCTCAGCCTTCTGAGTAGCTGGGATTACAGGCGCCTGCCACCACTCCCAGCTAATTGTGTGTATATATATATATATATATGTGTGTGTGTGTGTGTGTGTGTGTGTGTGTGTGTGTGTGTGTGTGTGTGTGTGTGTGTTTTGTATTTTTAGTAGAGACAGGGTTTCATTATGTTGGCCAGACTGGTCTTGAACTCCCACATTTCTAAATCAACATGCAGGACCAGCGCACAGGAAGGATTGCAAATGCTAAAGGTACAGTTGTAGCGAAGGGCCCTTCCTAACTCCCCAGAGAATGGCAGGAATTCATTTACCTAAGAGGTAATACAACAAGAAACAAGATTAGGATCTGCCCATTTTATCACAGGATCATTCAAGCAGCTTCTGAAGTTAGTTCTCCTGGTCTCTACATAAAATCTATTTCCCACAACCACAGTTCCTTTTAAATGTGTACAAAATGCCCTGACAATAAATAAAAACCCAACTGCTCTGAGCTGACACTTCCACCCATGGGACATGGTCAGACATAGGTAATAAAACTCTGGCTGACAGTCTGTCAAAGGATCATTTATTTTCATTCTCTGCACAAAAAGAGAAAGAGCTTATGAACCTATGAAAGATACCAATGTGTATATTAAAATAAAATTTTCTCCATTGGAAGTTTGACTTTTGATGCAATATAAAGGTCACAAATCAAAAGAAAGCAGGTGCAAGGAATCTGAAAACATCAACAATCCAAGGGCTAGAAATGTGAAATAGTTCAATAAAATGCAAATATCTATATTTTATTCACCAAGCGAAAAGTATTTTTGAGTCACTACAGAAAATGGAAGAGTGACAAGCCTAACAGATTAATAGACAATTCTAGCTAACATATTAAGCCCAAGACTTTAAGAAGTAACTCAAATTACCTTCAGTTATAAGTGATATAAAATGAAAAGTCACAATTTAGTTCTAGGAAGCAGATGGGAAAAAAATTCAGCCAATTTCTCAGTATAGGAGAGATAGCTACTTGGTGATGCTTTAAGTGAAGAGAAGAGTGAGGAAATCTGTGCAGACTTCAGAGTTAGAAACTGGAAAAAATTTCTTTCACCTGTTAAAATTTGATATGGTGACCAAAAAATTACCAGTATTATATCACAGGAATGAAGGATGCTTCTTCACTCCCTACACACACTTACAAAATTAGACCTTTTTTTTTTTCTTTTGGCCACTGCTAAGGAGACAGTTAAGCATTTTGTTGTTATTGAGGGCCAAAAATGTTGCTACAGTACGGGTGGAGGTAGAATTACTTTGAAAAAGAATCCCCACTAATATCTCTATGTTGAAATATCTAGACAATTGATCTTATTGAAATGCCTATGGTGGCCAAGTCAGTAATAATAAAATAACTATTTAAAAAGCAATAATAATAACAATAACACCTACAAAGCACTTACTATGTGTCAGGTAGAGTGATAAGTGGCACACACACACAAATCTGACTACTCTTTACAACATTGTTATGAGATAGGTGTCTTATAGTATTTGCAATTTATACATGGGAAAACTGAGATACAGAAAGTTTACATAACTTGACCAAGCCACACAGCTAGTATGGGGTGGAGCTCAGAGTCAACCTTGGATAGTCTGGCTCTAGGGGTTGTGCTCTTAACCATAAATATAAGAAAAGCAACAGTGAAAGGATGATAGCACAGATGCTGTTTCAATATTGGGAATCGAAAAGGAGGGGTGGAGACTGTAGTAAGTTGGATAACAAAGCTGTCTGACAACAAATTTAATCTTTGGACTATAGGTTTGCAGCCTTATGCCTGAAACAGATAGTGACTATGTTGCCCAAAGTGGAACATGATGGATGACAGTGTGGCCTTGAGTACTGAGTAGGGTCATAGTTCAAAGAGCCCAGATTGATCCCCAGAGACTGGAGAGGTGGGTAAAGGTAGGTTTTTGTGAAGTACCAGACACCAGCCTCCTTGTTCACAGCACCATTTAATGCACAGGACATTGACAGCTATGTGAGTTCTTGTGGAAATGGAGGCCAATAGTATCTTGGCAAAAGTTCCTAGAATAAAACTTGGTACCAGAGGAGAGGTGCTACACACACACACACACACACACACACACACACACACAAAATTAGACCTTTTTTTTCCCACTCCTAAGGAGACATTTGAACATTCTGTTGTTGTTGAGGGCCAAAAATGTTGCTAGGATATGAGTGGAAGTAGAAATACTTTGAAGAAAGTCCCCACTAATATCTCTACGTTGAAATATCTAGTCAATTGATCTCATTGAGATGCCTATGACAGCCAAGTCAGTAATAATAAAATAACAATAATAAAAAGCAATAAAAATTATTATTTATTATTTAAATTATTATTATTAATTATTTTCACATGTCTGGCAGATCCAGACACTTCAGAAGCATCTTACAGGACCAGACACAGAGCAATGGTAACTCTGATGATGGCCAGATACAGAGAGAGGCAGGGATTGCTCTTGTTTTTCCCGGACTGTGTAAAATCCCAACGTTCTGAAATAACCTAAGAGATAGAGCAGACTTTATGAAAAATGAGTGATACTGAACTTCATTCTGTGTAAATGAGAGCTAGAATAAGCTTCAGGAGGGCAGGAACTCGTCTGCCTTCTTTTCCAAGAACATCTGCAGAATTGAGCACATGTCTGACATACAGAAGCCATACAATAACTATTTGTGGAATAAATAAATTAACCAGATTTAATTTCATCTAGAAGAAAATGTGTGCTATTTCTTACATCTCAGGTTTAGGAGCAGTTCTTACTGTTTATTCACCACTGACTTGTAGATTATTTTTAAACTGAAAAGGACCTGTACAATCATTTTATAGACCCCTACATTTTATAGACAGGAAAACTGGATGACCACCAAGAACACAGTCAGTTAGCAGGAGAGCTAGGACTAGAGACCAAACAATCCCTTTTCACTTTAACAATATTACTACATAGTTTTCTTCTTAGAAAATTCTTATAGGATCAAAATAAAATAGCTAATTAAGGGTCACAAAGTTTTAGACAATTACTCTCCTTTTGCACTACAGATTTTCCACTCTCCAATGCTGTTGCAATCATATGAAAGTAATTTCTACTTCTTACACATGCCCTTTGTGGTCTCATCTTCGACTAGCCCTCATGTCATTTGCTTCCACCCAGAATACTCTGCCATGTGACTTCTTTGTTGGAACATTCCTGCTTAGAGAACAGCTCAAACTTTTCTCACCACGGAGTCTTCCTTAACTAACATTAGTTCCTTCATTGGAAGTCTGCCCATTTTCAACTGGGAGTCACTATCTGGCCGGTGGGCCCTTCCCACATTTCAAGAGACAATTAGCGTCATTCACTCTAAACTGGGTTAAGTGAAACAACTTTTTGTAATAGATAATTCATTCAGTTGCTTTTTTTTTTTTTTTTGCCTCTGAGTCATTAAAGCATACATTTCAAAAAACAATTGCTTACCAATAATTTCTAGTCAGTGTTTTATTTTATTTATTTTTAACTGAAGTTAGAGGGATTAATCGTACCCTTCCTTATTATGATGTTACTGTTCTATCCTTTTCCTACTCAGAGGTATAAGAAATATTTTCTCTCAATTTGACTTTGAAGAAAACTGCTGAAAAAAAGAGCCCCAGAAATAGAGGTGCTAAAATACAAGATTACAGTTAGATAAGAAAACTGAGGACTCATTTTTTAATACTTTTTGATCAGATTTGTTTTAAATGATCACTTTCTTAATTAAAATGAGAGGAAATTCTTATTCCCACATTTGAGTTAAATCAGCTAATGAAGGCTGTGGAAAAGTGATATTCATTTATCCATTCAATTAATATTTAGAGTTAGGCCTATTATGTGTCAGATGCTATTCTAGATACCAAGGAAACAGCAGTGAGGAAAAAAATAAGCAAAAGTCCTTGTCCTTTGTAAAGCTTACATTCAAGTTGAAAAGAAAGAAAACAAACAAAATAGATAAGTTAAACACATAGTATGCTAAATTTTTGTGTGTTATGAAGAAAATAATAAAAAGGATGGGGGATAGAGAGTGAAGGTAGCTCATAGCGGAAGAGGTGAAGAAAGACTTTAAACAAGAGATTAAGAAAGGCCTCACAGAGAGGGTGACATCTGAGTAAGGACCTGAGAGAAATGAAGGAACAATCATATGGTTATACAGGAAGACAGTGTTCCAGACAGCAAGTGCAAAGTCCTAAAACAGAGACACATGTGAAGAACAACAGTGATAACAGTGAGGCGACTGACTGAGAGGAATAGAGGCCACAAGACCAGAAAGCAAGGTTACAAAGGGATTTGTGTACCATGTGAGAACTTCAGCTTTTCTTTAGAGTGAAATGAAAGCTATTGGCTGGTTTTAAGAATAGAAAGAAGACATTCTTAGCCTTCTCTGATAAGGCGAAGTTTAAGCAGAAACTTTAATTAGGCAAGGCAGCAGTCTGTGTGGATATCTGGGAGAAGATACAGCTGTAAATGCAAGATCCTAGAGAAAGGAACAACCAACACTGGTACGCTGGAGAACAGCAATGAGAAAAGAGTCACAAGAATGGGGTGAACAAAGTTGGGGTACAACCAAAATATGGGTTAGGAAGAGGAAGTGGCATTATCATGTAGGGCCTTTTAGACAAGGACTTTGTGTAAGCTTGTCATGGAGTATAGCACAAGTAGAGAAAGGTACACAAATCATAAGTGTACAACTCAGTGAATTTTTTTCTTTTTTTTTTTTTAGACAGGGTTTCACTCTTGTTGCCCAGGCAAAATTACAGTGGCACAATTCGGCTCACTGCAACCTTGCAACCTTTGCCTCCTGAGCTCAAGCAATCCTCCTGCGTCAGCCCCCTAAGTAGCAGGGACCACAGTCACGTGCCACCACACCTGGCTAATTTTTGTATTTTTTCTAGAGACAGGGTTTCACCATGTTGCCCAGGTGGGTCTCAAACTCCTGGGCGCAAGCAATCAACCCGTCTTGGCTTCCCAAAGTGCTGGGACACAGGCGTAAGCCACCGTGCCGGGTCTGAATTTCCACCAACTGGCAAATTTTCACCAACCCACACATTTAGACCACCGTCCAAACCAAGCTATAGAACAGGGTACTATAGAACAACCCTGAAGCCTCCTTCATGTTTCCTCTGTCATTACTATCTGCCCATCCAAGGATAACCACTATTTCACTTTCCATCACTCTGGATCAGTTTTTCCTGTGTTGAACTTTTTACAAATGGAATCATACAGTATTACCCATTGATATCAGGCTTCATTCACTCAGTGTTATGTTTGTGAAATTTGTTATTGTGTGTAGCGATGGTTCATTTTTTTCATTGCCATGTAATATTGCACTGTGTAAATATACCACAATTTATTTATCCATTCAAAAAAGAAAAAAAAAGAAAGTGAAGAGGTGGAAAAAGACATTTCATGTAAATGGAAACCAAAGATAACCAGTAATAGCTACACTTATATCAGGTAAAGTGGACTTTAAATTAAAAGCTGTAAAAATATTACAGCTTGGTTACAGTATTTAATATATTTAATATAAATATTAAACTTGAATGTAATGACAAAAAACACAATTACTTTTGCACAACTTAGTGACAAAGAAGGACATTATATTATGATAATAAAGGAATCAATTCAGCAAGAGGATGTAACAATTGTAAATGTATAGGCACTCAAAACTGGAGGAGCCAGATATATGAAGCAAATATTATTAAATCTAAAGAGAGATACAAACCCCAATACAATAATAGTTGGGGACTTCAACACCCCAATATCAGCATTGGACAGATCATCTAGACAGAAAATCAACAAAGAAGCATAAAATGTAAACTATACCATAGATCAAATATGCCTAACAGACATTTACAGAACATTTCACCCCACAGCTGCAGGATATACATTCTTTTCATCAGCACGTGGAATATTCTCCAGGACTGACCATATGTTAGGACACAAAACAAGTCTCAAAAAATGTTTAAAAATTGAAGTCATTTCAAGTATCTTTTCTAACCACAATGAAATAAAGCTAGAAATCAATTAACAATAGGAACATTCGAAACTATACAAATACAGGAAAATCTAACAACGTGCTTCTGAACAGCCAATGGGTAAAGAAAAAAATTAAGAAGGAAATTTTAAAATTCCATGAAACGAATAAAAATAGAAACACAGCATATCATGTCTGCAACACAGCAAAAGGGGTATTAAGAGGCAAGTTTACAGCAATAAATGCCTACATCAAAAAAGTAAGAAAACCTGGTATGGTGGCACACGCCTGTAGCCCCAACTACTTGGGAGGCTGAGGCAGGAAGATCCCTTGAGCCCAAGAGTTCAAGGCCAACCTAGGCAACATAGTGAGATCCCCCCAACCTCCAAAAAAAAAAAATAGTGAAAATATCTCAAATAAACAACCTAATGATGCAGCTTAAGAAACTAGAAAAGGAAGAACAAAGAAAACCCAAAATTTGTAGAAGGAAAAAATAACAAAGAGCAGAGCACAAAGAAACAAAATTGAGACTAAAAAGAATATAAAATATCAACAAAATGAAACGTTGCTTTTTTGAAAGATAAAATCAACAAACCGATAACTAAGCTAAGAAAAAAACAGAAAAGATCTAAATAAGTAAAATTAGAAACAAAAAAAAAGATGTTACAACTGATACTAAGAAATGCAAAGGAGTATTAGAGACTACTAGGAAGAACTATATACCAAAACTTCAGAGAATCCAGAGGAAATGAGCAAATTTCTAAATACATATCAATACTGAAACGAGAACACATATAAGAACCTGAACAGACCAATAATGAGTACTGAGATTGAATCAATAATAAATAGTCTCCCAGCAAAGAAAAGTTTAGGACCAGACAGCTTTACTGCTGAATTCTACCAAGCTTATAAAGAAAAACTGATACCAATTATTCTCAAATTATTCACCCAAAAATGAAAGGGGAGGGATTTCTTCCAAACTCATTCTACATGGCCAGCATAACCTTGATACCAAAATCAGATAAGGACACACAAAAAAGAAAACTACAGGCCAATATCCCTGATGAACATACATACAAAAATTGTCAACAAAATACCAGCAAACCGAATGAGATCACATCAAAAAGATAACACACCATGATCAAGTGGGATTTATCCTTGGGAGGCAAGGGGGGTTTAACATATGCAAATCAATACACATGATACATCACATCAATAGAATGAAGGACAGAAACTCATCTCAACAGATGCCGAAGAGGTATTTGATAAAATTTATCATCGCTTCATGAAAAAAACTCTCCCTCTCCCTCTCCCCCTCCCCCTTCCCCTCCCCCTCTCCCTCTGTTGCTGAAGCTGGACTGTACTGCGGTGATCTCAGCTCGCTTCAACCTCCCTGCCTCGGCCTGCCAAGTGCCTGGGATTGCAGGCACACGCCGCCACGCCTGACTGGTTTTTGTATTTTTGGTGGAGACGGGGTTTCGCCGTGTTGACCAGGCTGGTCTCCAGCTCTTGACCTCAAGTGATCTGCCTGCCTCAGCCTCCCAAGGTGCTGGGGATTGCAGACGGAGTCTCACTCACTCAATGCTCAATGTTGCCCAGGCTGGAGTGCAGTGGCGTGATCTCGGTTCGCTACAACTTCCACCTCCCAGCCGCCTGCCTTGGCCTCCAAAAGTGCTAAGATTACAGCCTCTGCTGGGCTGCCACCCCATCTAGGAAGTAAGGAGCGTCTCTGCCGGGCCGCCCATCGTCTGGGATGTAAGGAGCCCCTCTGCCCGGCCACCCCGTCTGGGAAGCGAGGAGCGCCTCTGCCCAGCCACCACCCTGTCTGGGAAGTGAGGAGCGCCTCTGCCCGGCCACTATCCCGTCTGGGATGTGAGGAACATCTCTGCCTGGCCGCCCCATCTAGGAAGTGAGGAGTGCCTCTACCTGGCCGCCCCGTCTGGGAAGTGAGGAGCGCCTCTGCCTGGCTGCCCATGGTCTGGGAAGTGAGGAGCGCCTCTGCCCAGCCGCCACCCCGTCTGGGAGTGGGGAGCACCTCTGCCTGGCTGCCCCATCTGGGATGTGAGGAACGCCTCTGCCCGGCCGCCCCGTCTGGGAACTGAGGAGCGCATCTGCCCGGCAACCGCCCTGTCTGGGAAGTGAGGAGTGCCTCTGCCCACCCACCCCGTCTGGGAACTGAGGAGCGCCTCTGCCCGGCCGCCCCGTCTGAGAAATGAAGAGCACCTCTGCACAGCCGCCCCATCTGGGAACTGAGGAGCGCCTCTGCCCGGCTGCCCCATCTGAGAAATGAGGAGCGCCTCTGCCTAGCCACCCATCATCTGGGATGTGAGGAGCACCTCTGCCCGGCCACCCTTCATCTGGGATGTGAGGAGTGCCTCTGCCCGGCTGCCACCCCATCTAGGAAGTGAGGAGTGCCTCTGCCTGGCCGCCCCATCTGGGAGGTGAGGAGCACCTCTGCCTGGTCGCCCCGTCTGGGAGGTGAGGAGCGCGTCTGCCTGGCCACCCCGTCTGGGAGGTGAGGAGTGCCTCTGCCCGGCCGCCCCATCTGGGAGGTGAGGAGCGCCTCTGCCTGGCCGCCCATCGTCTGGGATGTGAGGAGCGCCTCTGCCCGGCTGCCCCATCTAGGAAGCGAGCGCCTCTACCTGGCCGCCCCGTCTGGGAGGTGTACCCAACAGCTCCGAAGAGACAGCAACCATCGAGAACGGGCCATGATAACGATGGCAGTTTTGTCGAAAAGAGAAGGGGGAAATGTGGGGAAAAGAAAGAGAGATCAGATTGTTACTGTGTCTGTGTAGAAAGAAGTAGACATAGGAGACTCCATTTTGTTCTGTACTAAGAAAAATTCTTCAGCCTTGGGATGCTGTTAATCTATAACCTTACCCCCAACCCCGTGCTTTCTGAAACATGTGCTGTGTCAACTCAGGGTTAAATGGATTAAGGGCAGTGCAAGATGTGCTTTGTTAAACAGATGGTTGAAGGCGGCATGCTTGTTAAGAGTCATCACCACTCCCTAATCTCAAGTACCCAGGGACACAAACACTGCAGAAGGCCCCAGGGTCCTCTGCCTAGGGAAACCAGAGACTTTTGTTCACGTGTTTATCTGCTGACCTTCTCTCCACTATTATCCTATGACCCTATCACATCCCCCTCTCCGAGAAACACCCAAGAATGATCAATAAATACTAAAAAAAAAAAAAAAAACTAAGAAAGTTGATCTCATAAGAGAGCAGAACAGTGGCTATTGTCAGGCCTCTGAGCCCAAGCCAAGCCATCATATCCCCTGTGACTTGCACGTATATGCCCAGATGGCCTGAAGTAACTGAAGAATCAACAAAAGAAGTGAATATGCCCTGCCCCACCTTAACCTGATGACATTCTACCACAAAAGAAGTGTAAATGGCCTGTCCTTGCCTTAAGTGATGACATTACCTTGTGAAAGTCCTTTTCCTGGCTCATCCTGGCTCAAAAAGCACCCCCACTGAGCACCTTGTGGCCCCCACTCCTGCCCACCAGAGAACAAACCCCCTTTGACTGTAATTTTCCTTTACCTACCCAAATCCTATAAAACGGCCCCACCCTTATCTGCCTTTGCTGACTCTCTTTTCAGACTCAGCCCACCTGCACCCAGGTGAAATAAACAGCCATGTTGCTCACACAAAGCCTGTTTGGTGGTCTCTTCACACGGACGTGCATGAAATTTGGTGCCGTGACTCGGATCGGGGGACCTCCCTTGGGAGATCAATCCCCTGTCCTCCTGTTCTTTGCTCCATGAGAAAGATCCACCTACGACCTCAGGTCCTCAGACCGACCAGCCCAAGGAACATCTCACCAATTTTAAATCAGGTACGCAGCCTCTTCTTACTCTCTTCTCCAACCTCTCTCACTGTCCCTCAACCACTTTCTCCTTTCCACTCTTCAATCTCTCCCTTCTCTTAATTTCAATTCATTTTCTGGGAGAGACAAAGGAGACACGTTTTATCCGTGGACCCAAAACTCCGGCGCCAGTCACGGACGGGGAAGGCAGCCTTCCCTTGGTGTTTAATCATTGCAGGGATGCCTCTCTGATTATACACCCACGTTTCAAGGGTGTCAGACCACGCAGGGACGCCTGCCTTTGTCCTTCACCCTTAGCGGCAAGTCCCGCTTTTCTGGGGAAGGGGCAAGTACCTCAACCCCTTCTCTCCTTGTCTCTACCCCTTCTCTGCTTTTCTGGGAGAGGGGCAAGTACCCCTCAACCCCTTCTCCTTCACCCTTCGTGGCAAGACCCGCTTTTCTGGGAGAGGGGCAAGTACCCCTCAACCCCTTCTCCTTCACTCTTAGTGGCAAGTCCCACTTTTCTAGAGGAGGGGCAAGTACCCCAACCTCATATCTCTGTGCCCCAATCCCTTATTTCTGCACCCCGACCTCTTATCTCTGTGCCCTAATCCCTTATTTCCATACCCTGACCCCTTATTTCCATGCTCCAACCCCTTATTTCTGTGCCCCATCCCTTATTTCCGCACCCCAACCTCTTATCTCTGCACCCCAACCCCTTTTCCCACTTTTCTGGAAGGTAAGAACCCCCGAACCCCTTCCCTCTGTTTCTCTACTCTCTCTTTTCTCTAGGCTTGCTTCCTTCACTATGGGCAACCTTCCACCCTCCATTCCTCCTTCTACTCCCTTGGCCTGTGTTCTCAAAAACTTAAAACCTCTTCAACTGACACCTGACCTAAAACCTAAATGCCTTATTTTCTTCTGCAATGCCGCTTGACCCCAATACAAACTTGACAGTAGTTCCAAATAGCCAGAAAATGGCACTTTGAATTTTTCCATCCTGCAAGATCTAAATAATTCTTGTCGTAAAATAGGCAAACGGTCTGAGGTGCCTGACATCCAGGCATTCTTTTACACATCAGTCCCTTCCTAGTCTCTGTGCCCAGTGCAACTCATCCCAAATCTTCCTTCTTTCCCTCCCGCCTGTCCCCTCAGTACCAACCCCAAGCATCGCTGAGTCTTTCTAATCTTCCTTTTCTACAGACCCATCTGACCTCTCCCTTCCTCCCCAGGCTGCTCCTCGCCAGGCCGAGCTAAGTCCCAATTCTTCCTTAGCCTCTGCTCCTCCACCCTATAATATTTTTATCACCTCCCCTCCTCACAGCTGGTCTGGCTTACAGTTTCGTTCCGTGACTAGCCCTCCCCCTCCTGCCCAGCAATTTACTCTTAAAAAGGTGGCTGGAGCTAAAGGCATAGTCAAGGTTAATGCTCCTTTTTCTTTATCCCAAATCAGATAGCCTTTAGGCTCTTTTTCATCAAATATAAAAATCCAGCCCAGTTCATGACTTGTTTGGCAGCAACCCTGAGACACTTTACAGCCCTAGACCCTAAAAAGCCAAAAGGCCGTCTTATTCTCAAAATACATTTTATTACCCAATCTGCTCCCGACATTAAATAAAACTCCAAAGATTAAATTCCAGCCCTCAAACCCCACAACAGGATTTAATTAACCTCACCTTCAAGGTGTACAATAATAGAAAAAAGTTGCAATTCCTTGTCTCCACTGTGAGACAAACCCCAGCCACATCTCCAGCACACAAGAACTTCCAAACACCTGAACCACAGCGGCCAGGTGTTTCTCCAGAAGCTCCTCCCACAGGAGCTTGCTACAAGTGCCAGAAATCTGGCCCACAGCCTAGGATTCCTCCTAAGCCACGTCCCATCTGTGTGGGACCCCACTGAAAATCGGACTGTTCAATTCACCTGACAGCCACTCCCAGAGCCCCTGGAACTCTGGCCCAAGGCTCTCTGACTGACTCCTTCCCAGATCTTCTCGGCTTAGCAGCTGAAGACTGACACTGCCCAATCACCTCAGAAGCCCCCTAGACCATCACGGATGCCGAGCTTCTGGTAACTCTCACAGTGGAAGGTAAGCCCATCCCCTTCTTAATCAATACAGAGGCTATCCACTCCACATTACCTTCTTTTCAAGGGCCTGTTTCCCTTGCCTCCATAACTGTTGTGGGTATTGATGGCCAGGCTTCTAAACCTCTTAAAACTCCCCAACTCTGGTGCCAACTTAGACAATACTCTTTTAAGCACTCCTTTTTAGTTATCCCCACCTGCCCAGTTCCCTTATTAGGCTGAGACACTTTAACTAAATTATCTGCTTCCCTGACGATTTCTGGACTACAGCTATATCTCATTGCCACCCTTCTTCCCAATCCAAAGCCTCCTTTGCGTCCTCTTCTTGTATCCCCCCACCTTAACCCACAAGTATAAGATACCTCTACTCCCTCCTTGGTGACCGATCGTGCACCCCTTATCATCTCATTAAAACCTAATCACCCTTACCCCACTCAACGCCAATATCCCATTCTGCAGCACGCTTTAAAAAGATTAAAGCCTGTTATCACTCACCTGCTACAGCATGGCCTTTTAAAGCCTATAAACTCTCCTTACAATTCCCCCATTTTACCTGTCCTAAAACCAGACAAGCCTTACAAGTTAGTTCAGGATCTGCGCCTTATCAACCAAATTGTTTTGCCTATCCACCCCGTGGTGCCAAACCCATATACTCTCCTATCCTCAATACCTGCCTCTACAACCCATTATTCTGTTCTAGATCTCAAACATGCTTTCTTTACTATTCCTTTGCACCCTTAATCCCAGACTCTCTTTGCTTTCACTTGGACTGACCCTGACACCCATCATGCTCAGCAAATTACCTAGGCTGTACTGCTGCAAAGCTTCACAGACAGCCCCCATTACTTCAATCAAGCCCAAATTTCTTCATCATCTGTTACCTATCTTGGCATAATTCTCATAAAAACACACGTGCTCTCCCTGCCAATCGTGTCCTGCTGATCTCTCAAACCCCAGCACCTTCTACAAAACGACAACTCCTTTCCTTCCTAGGCATGGTTAGCGTGGTCAGAATTCTTACACCAGAGCCAGGACCACACCCTGTAGCCTTTCTGTACAAACAAATTGACCTTACTGTTTTATCCTAGCCCTCATGTCTGTGTGCAGTGGCTGCTGCTGCATTAATACTTTTAGAGGCCCTCAAAATCACAAACTATGCTCAACTCACTCTCTACAGTTCTCATAACTTCCAAAATCTATTTTCTTCCTCATACCTGATGCATATACTTTCTGCTTCCCGGCTCCTTCAGCTATACTCACTCTTTGTTGAGTCTCCCACAATTACCGTTGTTCCTGGCCCAGACTTCAATCCGGCCTCCCACATTATTCCTGATACCACACCTGACCCCCATGACTATCTCTCTGATCCAACTGACATTCACCCCATTTCCCCAAATTTCCTTCTTTCCTGTTCCTCACCCTGATCATGCTTGATTTATTGATGGCGGTTCCACCAGGCCTAATCGCCACACACCAGCAAAGGCAGGTTATGCTATAGTACAAGCCACTAGCCCGCCTCTTAGAACCTCTCATTTCCTTTCCATCGTGGAACTCTATCCTCAAGGAAATAACTTCTCAGTGTTCCGTCTGCTATTCTACTACTCCTCAGGGATTATTCAGGCCCCCTCCCTTCCCTACACATCAAGCTCAAGGATTTGCCCCACCAAGGACTGGCAAATTAGCTTTATTCAACATGCCCTGAGTCAGATAACTAAAATACCTCTTAGTCTAGGTAGACACTTTCACTGGATAGGTAGAGGCCTTTCCTACAGGGTCTGAGAAGGCCACTGCAGTCATTTCTTCCCTTCTGTCAGACATAATTCCTCAGTTTAGCCTTCCCACCTCAATACAGTCTGATAACAGACGAGCCTTTATTAGTCAAATCAGCCAAGCAGTTTTTCAGGCTCTTAGTATTCAGTGAAACCTTTATATCCCTTACGGTCCTCCGTCTTCAAGAAAAGTAGAATGGACTAAAGGTCTTTTAAAAACACACCTCACCAAGCTCAGCCACCAACTTAAAAAGGACTGGACAATACTTTTACCACTTTCCCTTCTCAGAATTCAGGCCTGTCCTCGGAATGCTACAGGGTACAGCCCATTTAAGCTCCGTATAGATGCTTCTTTTTATTAGGCCCCAGTCTCATTCCAGACACCAGACTAACTTAGACTGTGCCCCAAAAAATACTTGTCATCCCCACTATCTTCTGTCTAGTCATACGCCTATTCACCATTCTCAACTACTCATACATGCCCTGCTCTTGTTTACACTGCCAGTTTACACTGTTTTTCCAAGCCATCACAGCTGATATCTCCTGGTGCTATCCCCAAACTGCCACTCTTAACTCTTGAAGTAAATAAATAATCTTTGCTGGTAGGACTATGCTGAATCTCCTTAGGCACTCTCTAATCAGATATCCTGAATCATCCCAATTCTTAGACCTTTTATACCTGTTTTTCTCCTTCTGTTATTCCATTTAGTTTCTCAATTCATCCAAAACTGTATCCAGGCCATCACCAATCATTCTATATGACAAATGTTTCTTCTTACATCCCCACAATATCACCCCTTACCACAAGACCTCCCTTCAGCTTAATCTCTCCCACTCTAGGTTCCCACGCCTCCCCTAATCCCGCTTGAAGCAGCCCTGAGAAACATCGCCCATTCTCTCTCCATATCACCCCCCAAAAATTTTCGCCGCCCCAACACTTCAACACTATTTTGTTTTATTTTTCTTCTTAATATAAGAAGGCAGGAATGTCAGGCCTCTGAGCCCAAGCCAAGCCATCCTATCACCTGTGACTTGCACCTATACACCCAGATGGCCTGAAGTAACTGAAGAATCACAAAAGTGAATATGCCCTGCCCCACATTAACTGATGACATTCCACCACAAAAGAAATGTAAATGGCCGGTCCTTGCCTTAAGTGATGACATTACCTTGTGAAAGTCCTTTTCCTGGCTCATCCTGGCTCAAAAAGCACCCCCACTGAGCACCTTGCGGCCCCCACTCCTGCCCACCAGAGAACAAACCCCCTTTGACTGTAATTTTCCTTTACCTACCCAAATCCTATAAAACGGCCCCACTCTTATCTCCCTTCCTGACTCTCTTCAGACTCAGCCCACCTGCACCCAGGTGAAATAAACAGCCATGTTGCTCACACAAAGCCTGTTTGGTGGTCTCTTCACACGGACGCACATGAAAGCTATCAGAGGCTGGGAAGGGTTGGCAGGATAGGGATAGACTTGTTAAAGGATACAAAAATTACAGCTAGATAGGAGGAATAAGTTCTACTGTTCTGTAGCACTGTAAGATGACTATAGTTAATAATAATTTATTATATACTTTCAAATGCTAGAAAAGAGGATTTTGAATGTTCCCAACACAAATAAATCATAAAACTTTGAGATAATGTGTATAATAATTACCCTGAGTTGATCACTTTACATTGCATGTATCTAAACATAACTATGTACCCTAAAAATATTTAAAATTATCATGTGTCAATTTAAAAAATTGAAATGGGGAAAAAAATCATCTCATGCTCAAATGACCCCAATGACTGCCATTTGTTTCCATAAACACCTGAAATCTATCCTCAGTTGCCATTTATAATTGCAGGAGCGTAGAACGTTTAGCAACAATCAATCAAACTGCTCTCATGAGAGAATGCTGAAAATCTTTTACTGAGACTCTTAACTCCATTCATTCACCATTTTGTGGCATCATGTAGTGAGATTAGATATAGTAACTCCTCAGGGTCTGAAACAAAATTAGCAAAAATAGTGTTTTTCTCTCTTATCTTTTCTGAGAATTTCATGGCAGTTTTTTAAAAAATTAATTATAAGGACATATTTAGGATATTCTGGCCACATGCACTCTCAACTTACAAGTCCCTGGTCCATCATGGGACCATAAATATAAGGGATTAAAATATAATAATATTTAAAATAAGTAATTGTTTAATAAGGAAATATAGATATGTACCACCCTGCCCCCCCCCAAAAAAAAAAACAGAGTTCATTAGAGTGTGTGCCAATGATCCTAGTATGTTCTTGGCTGATAGAGAAGTCACTGACAGGCATTCACAAGTGTCCCAAAGTGATATCAAGTGTGGATCAGTTTTCATAATTCCCAATACCCAAAGCAGATATTAAGTCATTCTAATTTGTTTCTTTTTTTCCTTAGCAACATACTCCCTTGGTCACATTCCATTTTAGTTTGCTGGATCATAAGAACAAAATGCAGGAATAAAAATTTAACATAAATCTGTACCTAGATTTCTCAACAACCACCAAAACACAGCATATATTTTATTAAAAAGAAGATAAAGTTGTTGAACTATAAAGTTCGATTTGGGGAAGCAGAGTAGTGTTAATATAATTCTAATTGGATAGAGTCCTCTATTAAATATTTCCTTTAATTTCAGTAGGAAAAAAATCTTATCAATGCTTTTGATTATTATAAATTATTGGATCTTTTAACACTCTTAGTATTGAAATGGGTGTAAACAGCACACAATGTGAAACTGGAAAGACAAGTATTAAATGAAAGGTTGATACAGCTAACAGTATGATCACATGCATTAAAACTATTACAGAATTTACTGAGACCTATTAATGTATTGCTATTTAGTAACTCCTATATTTCTCATGTTAACTTTTATAAGGAAAAGATCCTGGGCTTGTACCAAAAGTTACTATGAATTAATTTTAATTATATTGAGATGTGTGCTAAAAAGTGAGAATAGAATTACATTTGAAACTGCTGCAGTCTGCAGGCTGCCTCAGCAAGTTTCCAATGCAACTGAATATATTGTTAGGTTGGTGCAAAAGTAATTGCAGTCTTCGCCATTACTTTCTCTCTCTCTGTTTTTTTTTTCTTTTTTCTTTTTTTGAGACGGAGTTTCGCTTTTGTCACCCAGGCTGAAGCGCAATGCCACAATCTTGGCTCACTGCAACCTACGCCTCCTGGGTTCAAGCAATTTTCCTGCCTCAGCCTCCTGAGTAGCTGGGACTACAGGTGTGCACCACTACACCCGGCTAATTTTTTTGTATTTTTAGTAGAGACGGGGTTTCGCCATGTTGGCCAGGCTAGTCTTTTACTCCTGACCTCAGGTGATCCGTCCACCTCGGCCTCCCAAAGTGCTGGGATTACAGATGTGAGCCACCGCGCCCGGCCTTTTACCATTAATTTCAATGGCAAAAACTGCAATTACTTTTGCACCAACCTAGTATGAGTATGTCCCAGATTTTAGCTGGGCATACTCAGAATGTTGACATTTCCCAACTCTTTTTGCACCTATGTGTGGCCATGTGACTGAAAGCTGGCCTGTGTCAATGTGGAAGTGGCATAAGGCACCTTCCAGGAAGTTTTCTCAAGGACAGGGTGCTTCCCCTGCTTTATCCCTTTCTACTCTCTGGCTGGAATGTAGCCCTATTGGACCACCTGGTAAACTTGGAGATGAAGCCCACACATACATAAGAAGGTAGCAAGGAAATAGAAGCCTGGATTCTTCCATGATCCTTCTTTGGATGATGTGAGGTAAAAATAAGGAACAGAAATACCAAGAATAATATTTGAGAGATTTTTTATAGAGGGGAAATGAGAAATATAACCATATATAGGGTAATTAATTGCCTGAAATAATCTCTTCATTTCTGGTTTTATCTAAGATGTTTATTTCTTAACACAAAAATTAAAAAGTGCTATCTTACACCTTGTTCTGGATCACCCATCCCCAAATAATAACAAATATCTTATCAATAACAGTGTACCCTAGGTACAAAACATGACACCATTTCTAACTAATGAATTTCACATGCCCAAGCAAAAGTGAAACCATGGATTTGGGTTAAGCAAGAGGATGGTTGTCTATGCTGATAATGGTCTTGGAAGAAATAAATTCAGGGGATATTAGACAATAGTATCAAGCTATCCTAAAGGGGAAAAAAAACCAATGATAACTCTGTTCGGTAAAAACGCCTTTCATGAGAAAGACAGAAGGTAGTAAATATGGTCAAACAAGGAAATTGATCGTGAGGTTCACATAAGAAAACCCACTTGTCACATAACACATTTTGAACCCCTGAATAAAAAGGGTACCAAATTAAAATTTTTTCTACAACTTCTGATATGATTTGGCTCTGTGTCCCCACCCAAATCTCATCTTGAATTGTACTCCCATAATTCCCACATGTTGTAGGAGGGACCTGGTGGGAGATTATTGAATCATGGAGGCAGTTTCCCCTATACTGTTCTCATGGTAGTGAAAAAGTCTCACAAGATCTAATGGTTTTACAAGGGGGTTCTGCTTCCACTTTTTTCTCTTCTTCTCTTGTCTGCTGCCATATGAGACATGGCTTTCACCTTCTACCATAATTGTAAGGCCTCCTCAGCCACACAGAACTGTGAGTCCATTAAACCTCTTTCTTTTGCAAATTGCCAATCTTCATTATGTCTTTATCAGCAGCGTAAAAACAAACTAATACATTCCAAAACCAATACATTTACCTTTTCTTCTCTGAATTAAGATTTTGTAATTTTTTTGATTCAAAAATAAGGGTGTTTCTCTTTCAATAATGAGCACTGTTACATATCTGTGTGAACACAAGAACGTAACAGAGAATGGACAATTGTTCATATTTAACTCTTTAGGTATTCACACTGAAAATGGCAAAGAACATGTTTCAAAATTCCTTTCCCCAAGATGCTTAGGTCTCAATATTACAGGACACCTATGTCTCCACCTATCTCACTAACTTCTATTCTCAGAAATGCATAAGACTTTGAAACATTACACTATCAGCTGTCCTTACAAGAAAAATAGATTAAAGTCTAGAAAAGAGGTAAGTATATTTGGTCTTTTGTACATGGAAGTGGTATACAGATTTCTGGAAAGTGGAATGACATTTTTAAAATGCCTTCACAGAGAGGAGCAATCAAATTACAAAACATCTTGATACCTGGGTGAAAATAAAGACTCCAAAATAAAACCAATATGCCTGTGTATCAAAGAGAATGCACCTGTGATAAAAGTGCCTGTGTGTTGTGCATGAGTGGTAAAAAAAAAAAAAAAAAAAGGCAGGAAAGGTGAAGGTATGTAACCAAATTTCTACCTCTGCATTTCAGGCACAGCTCACAAGAACTTGGTTTTGCTTCTAACAGTTAGAGTTAGAGAAGAGATGTACAAGTGCAATCAACTACCACAGGTACAGACCTAATACAATTAAACATGGTCTATTATTAAATACTATTGAACACAATAGATTGAGTAGCTTTGTTACTGGAAGATGATTGCTACTTGGAAGACTCAATGACAGGAATAATCAAATGCCCTAAAATATGCCTAGATGATAACAACAAAACCCAAACCCAGCTCAGTTTCTGACTAGATTGACTCAATTCCCATGCAAAAGGTTTAGCAAGTGGTATTACAAATCTCATGCTCCTATTCCATTTACTTCAGTCTCTAGATTCCTACACAAGATAAATGACATGCACGCAAAACCTACAAAATACATGAGGAAGGAATAAACAAAAACACTGTGTCAAAAGACAAAATAATCAGCAAAACCAGGTTCAGACATGACCCAAGTGTGTAAATATTAGGCAGGGAATTTAAAATAACTATGCTTAAACTGTCGAAGATGCTAATGGAAGAGGTGGGAACACCACCTGAACTTATGAGAATTTCAGCAGAGAGATGGAAACTATAAGAAAAAATAAAAGGAAATGCTAGAAGTAAAAAATAAAGTAACAGAAGAAGAATGCTTTTAACAAATTTATTGGTAGACTCAACACAGCTGATGGAAAAAAAAAATTGGTGAACTTTAAAAGAGGTCAGTAGAAATCACCCGAATTGAAACACAAAGAGAAAAGGTGAGGTAAAAAAGGAACAGAACATTCAAGAGCAGTGGAACAAAATCAAATATACATATAATTTAAATCCTAGTAGGAAAATAAAGATATAACAGGGGCATTTGCTGTGAATTTTCCAAACCTAATGAAATATACAAAACCATAGACACACTTAACACATCCATGAAGATAGATTAAAACTGTCAAAAACCAAAGAGAAAGAGGAAATTTTGAAGGAATGTAGAGAAAAAAAATTACATATGGATCAGTAAAAATAAGAATTATAGCAGACTTTGTGTCAGAAATCATGCAAGCCAGAAGGCACTGGAATGACACCTTTCAAGTATTGAAAGAAAAAGAAAAGGAAAAAAACCCTGTCAACCAGGTATTCTAGACCTAATTAAAATATCTTTCAAAACTAAAGCAAAAATATACTATACTATGCTACAAGGCTACAGTAACCAAAACAGCATGGTACTGGTACCAAAACAGAGATATAGACCAATGGAACAGAACAGAGCCCTCAGAAATAATGCCACATATCTACAACTATCTGATCTTTGACAAACCTGACAAAAACAAGCAATAGGGAAAGGATTCCCTATTTAATAAATGGTGCTGGGAAAACTGGCTAGCCATATGTAGAAAGCTAAAACTGGACCCCTTCCTTACACCTTATACAAAAATTAATTCAAGACAGATTAAAGACTTACATGTTAGACCTAAAACCATAAAAACCCTTGAAGAAAACCTAGGCAATACCATTCAGGACATAGGCATGGGCAAGGACTTCATGTCTAAAACACCAAAAGCAATGGCAACAAAAGCCAAAATTGACAAATGGGATCTAATTAAACTAAAGAGCTTCTTCTGCACAGCAAAAGAAACCACCATCAGAGTGAACAGACAACCTATAGAATGGGAGAAAATTTTTGCAACCTACTCATCTGACAAAGGGCTAATATCCAGAATCTACAATGAACTCCAACAAATTTACAAGAAAAAAACAACCCCATCAACAAGTGGGTGAAGGATATGAACAGAAACTTCTCAAAAGAAGACATTTATGCAGCCAAAAGACACATGAAAAAATGCTCATCATCACTGGCCATCAGAGAAATGCAAATCAAAACCACAATGAGATACCATCTCACACCAGTTAGAATGGCAATCATTAAAAAGTTAGAAAACAACAGGTGCTGGAGAGGATGTGGAGAAATAGGAACACTTTTACACTGTTGGTGGGACTGTAAACTAGTTCAACCATTGTGGAAGTCGGTGTGGCGATTCCTCAGGGATCTAGAACTAGAAATACCATTTGACCCAGCCATCCCATTACTGGGTATATACCCAAAGGATTATAAATCATGCTGCTATAAAGACACATGCACACGTATGTTTATAGCGGCACTATTCACAACAGCAAAGACTTGGAACCAACCTAAATGTGCAACAATGATAGACTGGATTAAGAAAATGTGGCACATATACACCATGGAATACTATGCAACCATAAAAAATGATCAGTTCATGTCCTTCGTAGGGACATGGATGAAGCTGGAAACCATCATTCTCAGCAAACTATCGCAAGGACAAAAAACCAAACACTGCGTGTTCTCACTCATAGGTGGGAATTGAACAATGAAAACATATGGACACAGGAAGGGGAACATTACACACCGGGGCCTGTTGTGGGGTGGGGTGAGGGGGGAGGGATAGCATTAGGAGATATACCTAATGTTAAATGACGAGTTGATGGGTGCAGCACACCAACATGGCACATGTATACATATGTAACAAACCTGCACGTTGTCCACATGTACCCTAGAACTTAAAGTATAATAAAAATAAAAAAGAAATTTAAAAAAAGAAAGAAAAAGAAAAGGAAAAAAACGCTGTCAACCAGGTATTCTAGACCTAATTAAAATATCTTTCAAAACTAAAGCAAAAATACTTTTTCAGACATGTAGAAAGAGACAAATTGTTACCATCAGACAAGTACTATAATAAAATGTTAAAGATAGTTCTTCAGGAAGCATGAATACAATGCCAGACAAAAACCAGGAGCTATACAAAGAAATAAAAAATGCTGAAATTGAGACAAATAAAGATGAATATTAAATTTATTTTTCTTATTTTTAAAAGTTCTGGAAGACAGTTGGCTCTCTAAAGCAAAAAAAAATAGTAACAGTGAATTGTACATTTATGGTGCACGTAAAGTAAAATATATGTTAACAATAGCACAAAGAATTAGAAAAAATGAGAATATACTGTTGTAAGGTCTTTACATTATTTTAACCTGTATAATATAATTTAAAGGTAGTGTATAATTGATTAAATATATGTAGTAAATACTAGAGTGTCTTAGTTCATTTTGTGTTGCTATAACAGAACACCACAGACTGGGTAATTTATAAAGAAAAGAAATGTATTTTCACAGTTCTAGAGACTGGGAAGTCCAATATCAAGGCGCCAGTATCTGGTGAGGGCCTTCTTGCTGCATCATTTCATGGCAGATGAGAGGATAAGAGAAGGTGAGAGAGAGAAAAAGGCCAAGAGGGGGCCAAATTCATATTTTTAACAAGCTCACTTTCTAAATAACTAACTCAATCCTGTGATAACAACATTAATCTATTCATGAGGGTAGAGCCCTTATAACCTAATCACCTTTTATTAGGTTCCACCTCTCACATTATTGCATTGGGGATTAAGCTTTTAACACACAAAGTTTAAGCGACACATTCAAACCACAGTAAAGAGTATAGGTAATAAGCTAAATATAAAAAGCATATAAGAATTTTATGAAGTCATAAGAAATCCTCACTCCAAAGGAAATCAAAAGGTTGGGGGAAAAAAAGATAGAAAACAACTAGCAAGATAACAGATTTTAGTACAAGCCTGTCAACAATTATACTAATTGCAAACAGTCTAAACATATGAATTAAATGAACATGTTGGATTGGATAACAGAAGCAAGGCCCATTTACATAGAAGATATAGATAGGTTAAAGTAAAAGGATGTTAAAGATATACCTTGAAACACTAATCAAAGGAAAGTTGAGCTGGCTATAATAATATTACACAAATTAGACTTCAGAAGAAGACACTCTATCAGAAATAGAGTTTTACATAATGTTATTATAGCCACCTCAACTTTCCTTTCCCTCACTTAAAAGGCTCATGCTTTTTTTTTAACTTTTATTTTAGGTTCAGGGGTACATGTGCAGGTTTGTCATATAGGTAAACTCGTGTTATGGGTTTGTTGTACAAATTATTTTGTCTAGGTACTAAGGCTAATACTCAATAGTGATTTTTCTGCTCCTCTCCTTCCTCCCACCCTCCACCCTGTGGCAGGCCCCACAGTCTGTTGTTCCCCTCTTTGTGACCACATGTTCTCATCATTTAGTTCCCACTTATATGTGAGAACATACAGCACTTGGTTTTCTGTTTCTGGGCTAGTTTGCTAAGGATAATGGCCTCTATCTCCATATTCCTGCAAAGGACATTATCTCATTCTTTTTTATGTCTGCACAGTATTCTATGGTGTATATCTATTACATTTTCTTTATCCAGTCTACCATTGATGGGCATTTAGGTTGATTCCATGTCTTTGTTATTGTGAATAAGCACTAAATAATTAAAAAAGAAGAAAACCTCAAATCAATGATCCACACTTTCAATTTTAGAAACTAGAAAAAGTAGACCAAAATAATCTCAAACCAAACATAAGAAAATAACAAGTAAAAGAGCAGAAATCAATGGAATTGAGGACAACAACAGCAAAAAGACAAAATAGATAAAACCAAAAGTGATCAGCAGGAAACAGCCAGCATAGTTTCCTGGCACCTCCATTGCATGATTTGTAGCAACATACTCCTAGTAAGATACCTCCTCATTCGCATCTTTTCTTGGAACCCTAGCTTCAGATTTCCAGCAAGTTCCACCTGTGCAGCACCCCCCAGTGAGTTCTCCACCATCTAGTTACTCATAACTGTGTCCTCCAACAAGGTTTGTGTCTCACCCCCAGGGGTTGGGGCAAGGGGCAGGCTCTTTTTTGGATGTTCTATCTCAGCCCTGGAAGTAGTAGCTGCTTCTTATATGTGCTATTCTGTATTCTTTAAACTTCTGTTTCCTTTATATTAATTAACCCTTTATTACTCCAAACCCCATTACTCCAAATTATTATACTTAACAATTCTATATATTTAACTTTGTTCAAATTACTTATCACTGTGCAGTTTCTGTCTCCTGATTGGACATAGACTGATACAATTACACATTATTCTTTTTCAGACTCAGTGATTTGAACATCATATGGAAAGCTTTTAACTACCCTCCTTCTAAAGATCTTCAAGCCACCTCACTGCAGTTCCTATGTTCAACCCCACTCTAAAGAAGAAGTGGGGAGTCTATTTTAATTTTCTTGTCATACAGGAAATTGCCAACATAGCATCTGCATATAATACACCTAAAGAGGCTCGTATCTTTTTCTCCTTGAATAGAAGGTGTAATAGAGCACTTGTGCCTTCCATCAATTATTCATTAAATCTCTCCCATGAGATGAGCCAGTTAGGAGAAAAGAATTGTTCAATACAGGAATAAAGTTTCCATTGATAGAAAAGCCCAATAGGAGAGCCAAAATCTTGATTTCTCATTTCACATGCCACCTAAGACTTCATTACAAGACTGCATTTCTTTCCAAATTAAAAAAAAAACAAATAAGTAAAACTCTGTGCATTTCCAAAATCCCATGTAATTTTTCATACTCTTAATATTTTAATATCATATACTTTTCTACTTAGAGGCTTATTCCTTCCATGTCTCTAATTAGTATATGTTAGGAGATGAGAATACCATCTACAATAATTAAAAGAATAGAAAAAAGGATACAATAATTTGCTTTTCATGTGTTTATTCATTTGTAATCAACAGATTTGGAAAAAGAAACGGCAAAATCCCTGAACTATAGACTCCAGGTAAGAAAAAGAATTTGAATCCATTTATTCACATCATTCACCAATACTTGAATACCCCACAGCACTCTCACCTCTGTAAATATCTCACATTATGGGAAACTCAGTATCAACATGATAGTTCATCCTATATATGGACAACTTATTGTTAGAAAGTTCTCCCATTTATGTTGAACTATTATGTTGCTCTATTAGCATTGTTCCTAGTTTTGTTCCTTGGGTTCATGGGGAATGTGCTGTGCCAAGTGTTTCAAATATCTAGACCTCTGCCATGTTCCCCTTGCTACACTCTGCATTTTTGGTAATGAAGAACTTTAGCCCACTCTGTAAACAAGATTCCTGAAACAAAGATAGTAATTCTAATCAATAATGATATGAGACAAAGATTTCCTCACCCACCTCCACGTAATTACAAAAGATTATTAAAGAGGCTAAACACCCAGGTCCAACTTCACAAGAGTCTGAGAGAAGTAAAACTAAACCATCTGTCCAGAATTTCTTCTGACCAGGAGCCAACTCAGCTCAGAAGTACTTCCTTCTTCCCAGAGCACTCCCTTAGAATACCAGAACCTGTGAGATCTCTGCACTTCTGGAGAATGAGCCTCTGATCCCAGGATCTGGCCAATTTTTTCACAAAGGACTTGGCAGTATATGGCTATCTTGTTGAATATGAGATGTGAAGGAAGATATTTTATACTTACTTTCTCCAATGACAGGTAAATGCTGACAGCATTCTGTTTATAGTAGCTGGTTAGGATACAGACAAAAGGTTAAAGCTCAAGTTCGAAGACCCAGCATTTTTCATAGACCCAGTATTTTTTCACCAAGGGAGTGGCCACCACATGCTAAAATATACATTCAGTTTTACACCAGCTAAGAAGAGATGAAAAGATTCCAGGTCTCATGGAAAAAATGACTGAAAAACAGCATCAATGGAATCTGGAATTTAGAGCTCACAGATGGGGCCTTGCATATTAATCTTGGTTCTGGGAAATACAGGCTCCAATCATTTGCCCTCAAACCCACAAGGTAATCATTATTTCTTCCTTTTAAAATGTCTAAATGTTAATTAATATTACATTGTGTACACTATTTAAGGTAGCATACGCATCTCAAAGGAAGTTCAAAATTGAAGATACCCACTAGTTATGTTCACTCTGTGACAGAATGTCTTGAACTCCAAACACAATTGTAAGCACCAAGTGTACAGATGATATCAAAACCTAAAGCTGGGCTAGATTACGGAAATAATATCAACTCTGTGAATGAGCTCCTCCTTTACATTGGAAGGAAGGGGCAATATGTTTCAATAGAAGATAGCAGATGCTAAGGGCCAAAATAGCTACGTACACAAAAAGAGAGATATGTCCTTGGAGGATCCAGCAGATGAGGAAAGCTTCCCAGAGAATGTAGCCCTTAAGCTGTACCCACGAAGGAAAAGTAAGATATAAATAAATGAAAAGGAGATTACAGGGCATTTCAGGTGGTAGGAATGGTGTGATTAAAAAATGGAGAAGCAGGATATGCAAAGCATCTCCATTGAACAATTTGTACCGTTGGACTGGAAAGGATTCAGGAAGCGAAAAGCATAAAAGGCAGATAAGTCAGAAGCAGAGGGTAAAGGGTCTTAAAATGCTTAAAACGATAACGAAAATTTCAGTTTGCTAGGAACAGTAAAGTTCCCATAAAGAAGAGTTTTTTTACCATGACATTGTTTGGAGCTGCTGGTTCATGGTGATTATAAAAAGTAGACTGAGTTTAGTTGACATTGTTAGTATTTTTAAACTCTCTAGGGACAATGCATCTCCTTTTTACCTGCACATAGGGACTGACTACTGCTCCCATGTTCCTCTCGTTATCCTACTGATTTAGAAAAAGTTACAAAAACTTTCCTTTGATATATGATGTTCGTATTTGACATGGTTAAATTTCTCTCTCTCTCTCTCTCTCTCTCTCTCTCTCTGTAAGTACCTACAATATCCTTGCTAGGAAGGGCTAAGTCTTTAACATACATTATCTCCCTTAATCCTAAAACAATCCCGTAACTATTAATGTTCCCACTTCATAAATGAGGAAACAGAGCTTAGAGAAAGAAGCTACTTGGCTTGCCCAAGTTCACGCAGCCGACACGTAGGAACACAGAGTCAAATTCAGGTATTTCTGGTACTACATTGCATGTCTATAACCAGTTTCTCTATCTTAGTTCTCATCAATAATTAGTAGTTTTGCTACTATTTACAACATATTTGTATCATGTTTTTAACATTGCTCATGGAGTTTTTCTCACACATTCTATGCTGCCACCATCTGGTCTCTTATAAAACTTTCAAGCTTTTCTTCTGGAGTCATTCTCAGTCTTATCAGAGTTTTGCATTCCCTTGAAAGAGGGCTGAAATTGGTGTGGACTGGATTTATATAGCTTGAAAATTCTTCATCTTATCAATATACTCCCCTTTACTCATCTGCAATGTGTAAGGGTCATAAAAGATTAAAATGGAAATTAATTGGCTAATGAAATTGTACTGGCAAAACAGAAATTCATAGCAAATGAGCCACTATGCAAAAATGCTGCTGAGGGGATATGTCAATTCCAGATTCAGAGTACAAAGAGAGTTTGATGCACTTTTCCCTTGGTTAACTGTGAAAGCCTCGCATTAATGAGTAAGGAAAGGTAGGCAAAGAGGAGCAAATCAATTAGGTCGTATAGAAGAGACTGAAAGGGCAGGGAAGGAACCAGGAGAGATTTAGTGCTTAAGTCATCAGTTTCTAAAAGGCTGATGGCCATAATCCTATGAAAAATAAAACATGTTCACATTTGTAAGAACAATGAAACCGTTGCCAAGTCCTTACTAACATCTGGTTTCTTCTGCCCAGTTTCTATCTACCACCAACCACTGATTGTATTAAATGAGATTCTCCCTCATGTGAGAGGCAGGGGAGAGAAAAAAAAGGATGCATGATAGGAAGACAACATGTTGATGTATGTATTTGTCTATCTTGCATTGCTGTTAAGGAATACCTGAGACTGGGTAACTTAGAAAAGAAATTTATTTGGCTCATGTTTCTGCAGGCTGTACATGCATGGCACCAGCATCTGCTCAGCTTCTGGTGAGGCCTCAGGAAGCTTTAAATCAGGTGGAAGGCAAAAGGGAAGCAGATGTGTCACAGGTGAGAGAGCAAGAGAGAGAGGAGGTGCTGGGCTCCTTTATTTTATTTTTATTTTTTATTTTTTCACTGAAAGTAATCAAGAAACTGGCTCCTTCCAACAACCAGCTCCCACATGAACTAACAGAGCAAGAACTCATTTGTTACCATGGGGAGGGCACCAAGCCATTCATAAGGGATCTGTCCCCATGATCCAAACACCTCCCACCAGACCCTACATCCGACATTAGGGATCACATTTCAACATGAAATTTGGTGGGGACAGATATCCAAACTACATCAACATGGAAGGAAGGAGAAAACAGGGAGACTGTAGTTCTGTGTTCTGATGTGCCTCACCATCCTCCACCTGTTTGTGAATAGTTAAATCAGTTGATCTTAAAGTGCCTTTGCAGTTCCCACACCTTGGTGCCCTTGTTAAGAGTATAACCTTAATACCATATTGAGATTATGGGAATATTGAGGATGAAAAATAAGACAACAGGTGTTTAGTGCCTACTACTTTCCAGGCACCATGTAAGGTACTTCAAACCCACTGTATCATTTAATTGGTCTTCACAGTAGCCCTATGAAATAAAGATCATTATGCCTGACCTGGCTCTTACTGTGTGTCAAGCCCTATTCTAAATACTTTAATCAATTAATATTCACCACAACCCTATGAGAGTAGGAACTGTCACTGACCCCATTTTCTAGATGAGAGATCTGTGGCCCCGAGAGGTTAAATAACTTACCCAATAGTACACAGTAAATGTGGAGCTGTTCAGCTCCATTTGGTTGCAGAGTCCATGCTCTTAAGCAGTACTATACTCTAACTTCTCTTCAATACACACATACACCCTCACATACAGGTATGCACACGTGTCCATGCAACCTGACTTCTTACACACAAGTACATGGAGCCATAGGGAAAGTAGATTCAGAGTTCGGATGAACCAGGATGCATCACATTCTCAGTATCCATTGCAACACTCTCTCTCTATCTACCTGACAAGGAGTCAGAGGAAATAAACCAGGTGACAGAGAAGCTGACTACGATAACATTTACAACTGCCAGGGCTTGGAATTCATACAACCTCTTAGAGGACAGAGATTGGCCTTAGAATTTCCATAGCTATAGCTGTAACTGTATTATAATAGCTTGCTCAGGTTACCATAACAAAGTACCACAGACTGGTTGGCTTAAATAAGAAATTGTTTTCTCACAGCCCTGGAAGACAGAAGTCTGAGATCAAGGTATTGGCAAAGTTGTTGTCTTTTGAGGCCCTCTCTCTGTCTTGAAGATGGCTGTCTTCTCCCGTTGTTTCCACATGGTTTTTCCTCTGTTTATGTCTGTTTCCTAATCTCCTCTTCTTATGAAGACAACAGTCATATTGGATTAGGACCCACCCTAATGACCTCATTTTAACTTAATTATCTCCTTAAAGACCCTGTCTCCAAACACAGTCACATTCTGTTCTGAAGTACTGGGTGTTAAGAAATCAACATGTGAATTTAGAGGTATACAGTTCAACTCTTAACAACTACTCAATAAAAAATGACACTCTAACAGTTCATAAATTAATTATGTTCAGAGGTGGATGCATAATTCTTAGTGACATCAATGTAAATTGTCTAGGTCAATTAAATATTGAAATCAATAATGTTTAAAACTGTCCTTTTTATCTTTTATCTCTGTAACAAAATGAGAGATAAACACCTTTAATACAGAGGCAAAATAAGATTCAGAAATTTTTAAAAGTTAATTTTGAGAAATGGCTCCCTTTTAAGAAATGCCTCACCAAAATAAATACACAAACTACAATATCTGATATTTCCAGAAATAAAGTTCAGCTTCCTTTATGAAAATTCTTATCATAAGTCTGGGGTTTAAGCTTTCCAATAAAAAATAGACTTGGACTCTGTGACTTACAATTTTAATGTATCTGTAAGCTGGGACTATAGAGGGTTTGTTTCAATACAAACTGATTCTGAATACTTGATTTCTTCAGTAATCATGTATTTGATTGCCCATAGAAGAACAAGATTTCTCAAACAAGTTACATTATTATTATGTCTAGACTACCAACAACACCCTGAGGAGATCCGTGTTTTCACATATGCAAAGCTTTGGAATAAATTCCTATTGTCAAAATAAATAAAAATAACTCAGTAATTGGTTTTTAATTAAGTATCCATGTATATCATTATTAATTTTATACATTCAGTACAAATGAAGCTGTCTCAATATAAAAGAAATTACTAGTGGGTAGTAATTATAAGCCTACTATACTTATATTTTAAGTTCATGACTAATACTCAAAATACTAATAAACAGATCCTCAAAAAGTAAAATTTGCCCTAAGAAATAACAGAAATACCTTTTCATTCTAGAGCTGTATGCACACCTGGCTTGTGTTTTAGAGTTTGTTTTTATTTCTTCACATAGCACCCCAAAAATAATAGCACCTGAGGAAACTCTGGGGTGATTTGCTCACTTCTAGAGTCTATTTCAACATCACCAAGCAAAGTTGGTTAATACTTAAAGACAAATGATAAGCAACATAGGAATCTTGTTTGTCTATAAAATTATGTCAAATTAGATTTAACTTGGAAAAAAATGATAAGCCAAAAAAAAAAAGTCCATTCAGAAGAATATAAACTCAAAATCACAATCACGCCTACTCTCTGCGTGTCGGGGCCCTGTGTCAGACACTGCATGCTAAGCCAATGTGTCCTCAAACAAGAGGTCTTCAGTCATCTGTCTAAGAATGACCCATGGAGAAAATCAAGAGAATCTAATTAGGCAACATTTAATTCCACTATGATAAATAACTTAAGCTGCATCTCTAAGAGAAGGTAATTATTGGCCCTTAGAGCTAACAGCAGAATCAGTTAAAGGTTTTTAAATTCACAGCTAAACAAACATTGTAAAGATAAATAAAAGGATAAGAAAGATAAATTAATAATTATATTCCTGTTCTTCAATAACGGATTAATGACGTTCTACAGTATTATATGAAGATTTTTAAATTCCTTTTTACAGATAAATTAATAGAAATATAAGTACAAGAATAATTATAATTAAGGGAAAATGAAAAGTTTCATATCCCTTAAAGTCCTAAAAGCTGTACACCACCACCAATGTGTTCACTAAATAATTTAATTACATTACATGCTATTTTAGCCAAGCCTCAGTTACATGGACAAATTATTCAAATCTTTTGCCCTACCTCTTACCTTCTAATAACAATTCTTTGAGAAGGTTACAAATCATCCTTATCAAAATTGAAACATGAAACATTTTTATCAATGTTTATCAAGGTTTATAAATGTTTATCATTGTTTATCAATCATCCTTATCAAAATTGAAACATGATTTTTTTAAGTGGAATCATATCAATTTGTTATTTATTAGCTACTCTAGTAAAATATTTGCTCTTAGTGAGAGATTGAACCTTGTGTCGTGACTAATTGCGGTTTGAGATTGATTATTGGTAGATGCCATTATTCATTATATCACTATGGTTAATAAAGGTAATTCATAGTTTTCTCTATTTTAAAGTACTATTTTTAAACATCTGTAAATGTCATAGAACTTCTTTGACCTCTACTCAAGGTTTCATATTGCATCACCCAAGATAACGATTTATTTAATCTTAAAGTGCTCCAAACGACAATGCATTTAAAATACTAAGTTTTTTTTAGTTCTGCAGAATGACTCAATATAGACAATCTGCCTTGAAAATAATTGTTCAATTTAAAGATTTTTGCAAAAGGAGGCAATCATTTCAAGCCTCTTCAAAGTAAGCACGAGATTCCCAGTCCCCACTTTGAAGGCTGTAGTAGAAATAGATAGTTGGAAATGTAGCCAGTGATATTTTTCTATGTTAGGGATTGATATGAACAAACTGTCTTTTTATTTTTATGGCCCTTGGAGATATTTCTCTTCAGCTATAGAGAGCTTTGAACCCTGCCATAATTGATCCATTTCTTCTACTTTCTAAGGAAAGCAAACATCAACAGAATTCTGCTTGTTACTCCAATAACCATGTATGTTTTTCAGGAGCAGCACTTGCTCCAACATTCCTCTTAGATCTGTATGACACAGTGAACTGACTTCCTAACAAGCTGGCCTCTTAATTTCATCTTGCTCTGAAAGTAAAGGAATAATGAGCTCAGTGATGCTGAAGCAACACTCCCAGCCTCCAAGAAGAAAACCTTAGTGCCCATTCTGTCACCAGCCGACTGGGAGCAAGACTAATGAATTTCTGCCACAAAGAAGTGTTTGCTCCCATGTAAGACTAAGTCCTGATCTTTAAATTGTGACAACCCTGCCAAGCAGCATAGCAATCAGCTGATGAAAGGATATGTGTTTGTTTGGTTTTTGTTTTTGTTTTTCTAAATGCTCCATGTAGAGAGAATGAAAAGATTAGGAGAGCTGGAAATAACCATCCATTTCTCCCATCTATCTTGCCAGTTTTCTGACATGGCAGGGCTACATTTACTTTTACTTATTATTCCTTTTGCAGTCTTTCTTCTGGCCCCAACCATTACCCCAAGAGTCATCAGACACTTTCTACTTTTCAGATCCAGTGGTTTCTTCTTAGTTCTTATCTGCCTCAGGCTCTGACATGTTTGACAATATATCTTTAAAAACCCCTCTTTTCTGTGGCTGCCCTCTCCTTGTTCTTTTCCCTTTCCTCTCATTCCTGCTCTACATTCATTCCCCAATAAGGGATTAGCACACAGGCTAATTCTTTGGGATGCAAAAATATTCTACCTTCATGTAAATCAGTAGAGAGGATGGTATTTAAGAATCAAATAGGCTGGGCGCGGGGGCTCACATCTGTAATCCCAGCACTTTGGGAGGTTCAAGTGGGTGGATCATGAGGTCAAGAGTTTGAGACCAGCCTGGCCAACATAATGAAATCCCATCTCTACTAAAAATACAAAAAATTAGCCTGGTGTGGTAGTGGGTGCCTGTAATCCCAGCTACTTGGGAGGCTGAGGCAGGAGAATCGTTTGAACCCAGGAGGCAGAGGTTGCAGTGAGCCGAGATGGTGCCATTGCACTCCAGCCCGGGCGACAGTGAGAGACTCCATCTCATTAAAAAAAAAAAATCAAATAGGCTCTCAAAGAATGAAGTTCTCAAAGTTGACATATCTGAACCTGACTCCCAACTGTACCACTGCTATGGACTGAATGTGTGTGTCCCACTAAAGTACATATCTTGAAACCTAACCCCCAGAGTGATGGTATTAAGAGGTGGGGCCTTTGGGAGGTGATATGGTCATGAGGGCTCCACCCTCAGACATGGGACTAACGTTCTGATAAAAGAGACTGAGAGGCCCCTTGCCTCTTCCATCACGTAAGGACACAGCAACAAGGCATCATTTATGAAGCAGAGAGTTCTCGCCACACATCGAATCTGCTGGCACTTTGATCTTGGACTTCCCAGTCTCTAGAACTGTGAGAAATAAATTTATGTTGTTTATAAATTACTCAGTCTACGGTATTTTGTTACAGCAGCCTGAACGAACTACGACAGTCACTTACGACAGGCACATTACTTTATTTCTCTGAGCCTCAGTTTCCCTCATCTGTGAATACTGATCATAATAATGTTACCATTTTTTAGGTTTGTTTGAGAGGATTCAACTAAATATTTTTAAAATATTTATCACGTTCACAACACATTCACGTTTCAGTACAAAATACTATTATTATTATTTCTAATTTCAGTAGCCTTTGGTAGACAAAACTAAAGATCTAGCCAAAGAGTAATCAAATGACAGCTGGCTTTCAATTTGTTTGAATAAAATTAAAAATCAAGGAGCTAGAAAATACCTTTGCATCCAGGGTCATCAAGTTATATCTGCAGAATAAATGCAGCCCGCCTCCTGTTTTTATAAATAGTCATTGGAACGGAGCCACGCCCATTCATTTATGTATTCTCCATGGCTGCCTTTGTTCCTTAACAGCAGCATTGGGTAACTGTGAAAGAGACCGACCATGAAAAGAGAGCCTAATCAAATCTGGCCCCTAATCTAGTCTAACCACTTCATTTTACTGATGAGAAAATTAAATACAATCATTTAATTCAGAATATTGCTAAGAAAATTTTCCAATATATCATCTTTGTTAGTTTACAGGAAGACGTATGTATATGCAGACTATTAACTGATATAAATAAAACCTGCTTCATTCGTTTGTTTTGTTGTTTCTATGGCACAGTTATAGTTCCTGGGAGCCCCGCAGAACATGGTGTTTTATTCTGACACTATATATCTAGCACTTGCACTGTAAAAATGGAAGTAATTCCCATTAGGACCAGCAAAACCTGAGGCTAAAAAAAGACAGTAAAAGCTCATGCCAAAAGCTGAATTTTACTTAATATAAAGAAAGGTGGCAGTTTCCAATTTCAGTAGAAAGTAGGAGTGTCAAATTGCTACAGAAACTGCCATCCTCCAGAGACTGACGACCCGAATGAACCCAGAGGCAATTTTTTATTCTCATGAGATGGCTTGCTTAGATATTTCTGGGAAGGAGCAGTAGGTCTTAGGAAAGGTTAGAATGTTGTTGTTTCCTGGTAACTACTTGCAGAGGTTGATAGGAGTCAATGAGACCAAACAAAAAGCAGGAATAGGGTGGGTCTGTGGCATTTAATCAGCGGCTATAGAGGATTTCAGTGGATTTTCCAGAAAGAGGAACATTTCATGGTTGAAGCTTTTATTTGCTTCTATTATTTCCACATTCTTCCCTAATGCAGTATGAATATCACAAATAGAAGCCACTTCTAGGATTCCCATTAGTAAAGCTTAGCTTCAACTTAAAACTTCAAAAAGAGTTAGATACATGCCTTTTCTAGCAGAGGCATCAGACAGGCAGAGAAAAAGAAAATAGCATTTCCCTTTTGCGGAAACCAGTTCTGTTTTCTTCTCTCCTAAAAGGAGTGGCATTAACCCTAAATTGCACAAGATGTTTAAAAGATGCAGAAATAACTAATAGTTTTTGCTCTCAGAGCCTTCATATGTGATCCCTATGGTGTTGTCCTACAATCACCTAATTCAGAATCACTAGGTGTGTTTGTTTAAAATGGAGATTTCTGGTCTCTGTACCAGGCATCGTGATTCAGGACTTATGTGTATCACAACCAGGCATATATATTTTCAACAAGTTTCCCATGTGATTCTAATGCATATGAGAGTTTCGGAACCATAGGTCTACTGAAGAGGGAACTGTTATGGGAAAGGAGTCCCGATTCAGATCCCAAGAGAGGGTTCTTGGATCTCACACAAGAAAGATTTCAAGGCGAGTCCACGGAGTACAGTGAAAGTAAGTTTATTAAGAAAGTAAGGGAATAAAGAATGGCGACACCATAGGCAAAGCAGTGGCATGGGCTGCATATACTCATAGTTATCTCTTGATTATATGCTAAACAAAGGGTGGGTTATTCAGGAGTTTTCTGGGAAAGGGGTGGGCAATTCCCAGAACTGACGGCTCCTCCCCTTTTTAGACCATGTAGGGTAACTTCCTAACTTTGCTATGGCATTTGTAAACTGTCATGGTACTGGGGGGAGTGTCTATTAGCATGCAAATACATTATAATTAGCATAGGATGAGCAGTAAAGATGACCAGAGATCACTTTTGTCACCACCGGGATTTTAGTGGGTCTTGGTTAGCGTCTTTACAGCATCTTATTTTATCAGCAAGGTCTTTGTTACCTGTATTTTGTGCTGACTTCCTATCTCATCCTGTGACTAAGAATGCCTAACTTCCTGGCATGCAGCCCATTATGTCTGCCTTATTTTACACAGCTCCTATTCAAGATGGAGTTGCTCTAGTTCAAATGCCTCTGGCAGAACTAGCACTAAATTTTTTAGCTCTGCCACTGTCTAGCCCTGTGACTT
Organism: Homo sapiens; assembly: GCF_000001405.40. NCBI lineage: Eukaryota > Metazoa > Chordata > Mammalia > Primates > Hominidae > Homo > Homo sapiens. Next base: position 99,536,057 of record NC_000001.11, read on the forward strand.
TGAGCAATTTACTTAAAAATGAGTACAATCTGAGAGTTAGCCAACAAGATTAATACTTCTTTTTTTTTTTTTGAGACGGCGTCTCGCTCTGTGGCTGGAGTACAGTGGCTCGGTCTTGGCTCACTGTAAGCTCTGTCTCCCGGATTCACGCCATTCTCCTGCCTCAGCCTCCTGAGTAGCTGGGACCACAGGGGCCACACCTGGCTAATTTTTTGTATTTTTAGTAGAGACGGGGTTTCACCATGTTAGCCAGGATGGTCTTGATTTCCTGACCTCGTGATCCACCTGCCTCGGCCTCCCAAAGTGCTGGGATTACAGGCGTGAGCCACCGCGCCCGGCCAAGATTAATAAATTTTGAGAATTAAGAGAGCAGAGCCCAAGGAGTGATAGTAGTGTGAGATATAATTACCTGGAAGATATTAGTACACCGAACGACAATGGCTAAATTGCTTGAAGGCAGGATTGTGCAGAAGGTACCATGCTTGACAACATTGCCTTAAAAAATAATGTATTCAAGACAAAATATTTTGATTTTATAAAATGTTAGTTTAGCTATTCATGTTGTGTAGTCTCTTCCCTTTATCCTGTAAATTTGATAGGGTAGACTAAAGTCTAATACATATTTTCATGAGAATGAATAAAATCTCAGAAATAACCAATTCACCAGGGTTTCATGCTAGTCCTGCCTGCTCAATATATTCTGCACAATTAAAATGTCTTAGGGGCAGAGCTTGAGTTACCCCAGATGAGAAACCATCTAAACATTTGCATATTGCTATAGACTAAATTAATGAATATTTTACTCTCACCAGGTGCTTCATAATCCTTCTCCTGCCTAAAAGCCATGAGATTACAAAGTCTAATTTCACCTTCTCTGCGGCTTTTATACCTTGTATATACAACACCCAAATCCCTCTGGTATTTTACTGACAAAATAAAAGGCAGCAAAAGAAGCTGTGATTGAAGTCACCACTACTAGATAAATCCAAAACCTGTTCATTAGCAATTTTCTGCTAAACTACAGAGTTCAAAACTGGGCCTACACTCTTGATGCCATTATAGTTCCTGGGACTAAGGAAATAAGTAGCCACTAAAATTAACATAGGTATGCTGGAAAGCAATACCTTCTCACATTCAGCTAAAAAAAATTGGTTAGAAGATAAATCTGAGCATATTAATTATATATATAACATGTATTGATTATGTAACTGACCTTAAGTACCTTTAATACATCATCTCATTTAATCCTCACAACAATTCTATGAAGTATGTATTATTATCCCCATTTTACAAATGAGAAAAGTGGGAAAGAGCTTAAGGTTACAATGAATGTCACAGTACATGTGGTACTGAAAATCACCAGTCAGGTAGCCAGTCCGGTTTTACCTGCCTCCAAATAACACATTTCTAAGTATTACAACAAAACAGACCTGACAGTTTTTATGTCTCTACCTCTATTAGAATTGTTTGATTCTTGTTTGAATTGAATCAAATATCTCCATTAGACATTATTATCATTTTTCTTTACTAGGGATCATCCCGGTTGAAGGGACTGTATTTTTAAGGCATGTAGTCAGGAACTCAGCAAATATTTGTTGAATGAATAAATGAATACTTCAGTACTCAGAGGACTTGCTGGGTGCTTAAATCCCAAATTCTCTTCTTTTCAATAACCAGCCATCAGCATTATTCTTATATCAGATGTTCATGTTAACAGTTCTTCACAGATTAATTTAGCATGATTAGTAATTACAGGAACATAGTTTGCAAATTATTTACTTTTTGAGTGTGATGTTAAAGGGTAGTCCACAAGACTACCCCCACTTCTGACACCATTTCAAGTTTAGGATCTCTAAGACCATACTTAGGTTTAATAATGCACTAGAAAGACTCACAGAGCTCTCTGGATGCTGTTATACTTATGATGACAGTTTAGGATGCAGGTTAGGTTAGGCTGAAAGGCTTACATCCTGACTCTGACTAAAGAATCCTGTCGTGAGTTCCTCAAATCTTGTCGGGAGTTCCTCAAATTGTTGACATACTAATTAATACGTAACCTACTAACATCGAAAAGAACACTGATTTGTTTCTGAGTCATGAACTTTTACTGGTTGTCTTGCATGTAGAACATTTTAGCTTTTATGTTGTAATCTGTAGCCAATGATTATAACCTCCGTATTGCACCCCACAATGAAAAGGACAATTTTGGTGTGAGGAGTCCTCCTCCCTTCTTCTAAACTTTCCTGTAAAAGCCTTCCAACTGGTAGTGGACTGTGGAATATGCCCAACTTTTTTGGTGTGTTTTCCCAGGTCAGTCCTCACAGTTGGCTTCCAACAAACTTTTGTCAAATTATTTCTGCCTCAGCAGCCTTAATTTTGGTTGACATGACTCAAAACTTCCATTATAAATTGCACTGTTAGGCTGTCTGGCACAGCCTAAATTCCCAAATAAGACACTCCTATCAGGTATGACATTGCAAGAACATAGAGATTACCTCCCAGAAGCTGAGGGCAAAGGCCAGATCTCTCTTTGGAAAAGGTTAAATTCTTTATTCCACAAAGAATTTAAATAAGTCCAAGGTTTGTTTTTGTTTTTGTTTTTTTCCAAAAACACTCTTTTCACTTGTATTTTGATATACTTTCTGAAGTAGGAGATCTAGAGGTCCAATTATAGCTACGGGGTCAGGATGTGAATGTGAACGTCATCTTCTTGGCATGCAGTTATTTCAGTGTCTCTACAAGTGTAAGCATAGATTAGCATCAAACTACAGTAGAGACCAACCTGCAATTATAGCTAATTCATGTGACCAAATTAGGGAATCTAAATAAGGAGAAAGATTTTAGTGTCCTTAATTTAGGATCCAGCCCAATAACTAGACTCTGAAGCCAGGCCTATCCTGCACTGTTATCCCAAAAATCAGTCCTCTTCTTAATTCTACCATCTTTTCCTATAGTGCATTTCAGACTCCTTGCTATTCATTTTTTTTGACTACCAAAAGATAAATAAATGGACCAGGTTCAGTGGCTCACACCTGTAATCCCAGCACTTTGAGAGGCCAAGATGAGGCGATCACCTGAGCCCAGAGATTTGAGACCAGCCTGGGAAACATAGGGAGACTCTGTCTCCAGAATTAGCTGGGCATGTTGGTGCCCACCTGTAGTCCCAGCTACTTGGGAGGCTGAGACAGGAGGATTGCTTGATCTCAGAAGGTCAAGGCTACAGTGAGAGTGAGTCATGATAATGCCACTATACTCCAGGCTGAGCAATAGAATGAGAAACTGTCTCAAATAAATAAACAAATAGATTATTTATCCATCTGGATCTCCAAGTTTCACTCCATTCTGTCTAGAGTTGATCTTTAAACAATGTGAGGTTAGGAGTGCTGACCTCCCACACAGTCAAAAATTCACATACAACTTTTGACTCCCCAAAAACTTAACTACTAATAGCTTACTGTTGACAGAAAGTCTTACTGATAACATGAACAGTTAACATATATTTTATATTTTCCATGTATTATATGTTGTATTCTTACAATAAAGTAAGCTAGAGAAAAGAAAATGTTATTAAGGAAATCATAAGGAAGAGAAAATACATTTACTGTTCATTAAGTGGAAGTGGATCTTCATAAAGTCTTCATCCTCATCATCCTCATGTTGAGTAGCCTGAGGAATGGAGGAAGAGAAGGGGTTGTTCTTGCTGCCTCAGAGATAGCAGAGGCGAAAGGAAATCCACATATAAGTGGACCTACACAGTTTAAACCCATGTTGTTCAACAATCAACTGTATTAGCAAACCTACTGAAGTCTCAAAGGCCTAGGTCTTTCCATTGAAAGCAACAGTAACCTAATTCCAGTAAATCTGGGCAAAAAATAAAAATAAAAAGACACTGATGTGCTCAAAGAGAGAACTCCATGTAAAGATGAAGGGAGATTAGGGTAATGCAACAGAGCCAAAGAATGCCAAAAGATTGCCAAAACCCACCAGAAACTAAAGGGATGCATGGAACTAATTTCTGCCTCACCCCCTAGGAAGTAACCAACCCTACTGATACCTGATACCTCCAGAACTGTTATACAATAAATTTCTGTTGTTTAAGCCAGTTTATTCCCAACTTTTTGGCATCAGGGACCAGTTTTGTGGAAGATAATTTTTCCACAGCCAGGCATGGGAGTTGGCTTCAGGATGATTCAAGTACATTACATTTATTTTGCACTTTATTCCTATTACTATTACATTGTAATATATAATGAAATAATTATACAACTCACCGTAATGTAGAATCAGTGGGAGCCCTGAGTTTGTTTTCATGCAGCTAGTCAGTCCCATCTGTGGGTGATGGGAGACAGTGACAGATCATCAGGCATTGGATTTTCATAAGGAGGATACAACCTAGATCCCTTGTATGCACAGTTCACAATAGAGTTCATACTCCTATGACTATCTAATGCCACTGCTGATGGAACAGGAGGTGGAGCTCAGGTGGTAATGCAAGTGATGGGGAGCAGCTGTACATACAAATGAAGCTCTACTCACTCACCCGCCTCTCACCTCCTACTGTGCAGCCCAGTTCCTAACAGGCCATGAACAGGTACCAGTCTATAGCCCAGGAGTTGGGGACTCCTGGTTTAAGCTACCCAGTTTGTGTTACTTTTTTACAGAAGCCCTAGCAAATGAATTCACAGACTAAATATGTACCACTAGGTCATTTTGAATGTCATTTTTGTCATTTTCTCATCTTATTGGTCAAATCAGTACAGTTCAGAAAAAGAACTTTCTCTTTCGCATATGCAACTTCAGTCTCTTCTTTTTCATTGTCTTTCATTAGCCTGTACTTACTCTTTTCTCTATTCACATCCCAGATTTTATTCTATGTGGCAGATAAATATTATTGCACTGAGAGTCCAGACTTGTGAGTCAGTTATCAAGCATGAAGAGCTTAATTTCAAATATTGTATTTTGCAAGCTCAGAATTTCTATTATGTTATTTTAATAAATTTCAATTTTCTGTTGAAGTACTCCATCTTTTTATTGATTTTGACTATCTTTTTAATATATTAATCACAGTTATTTTTGAACTCTATTTACCAAATCACATATTTATATCATCTCTGAGTTTGCCTTTATTTACTGTCTTCTCTCTTATTAGTTGCTTTTCCTGCTTGTTTGCATATCTAATACTTGCTTACTATGTGCTTGACATTATAAATGATACACCATAGATGCTGTGGAATGTGTTATCTTCCTCTAGAGATTAAGTTTTTATCTAGCAGGCAATTAAATTATGAAAAATCACCCTCATCCTGCCACAGTTTGATTTTAGTCTTTGTTAGAGTGGGTCTATTTCACTTTTTCCCTTATTCCTAGAGTCTAACCCTTACCCCTAGCATGCTCCTTACTTCTAAGATGTGATACTATCATAGTAACATCAACAACAGGCCCAAGGTATTCATTAGCTGGACCCAAATGTCAGTGTCTCCCCAGAGTTGTGCGATTTCTGAAATCTCTGCTTATCTCTCAGCACCCCACATCCTTTCTCTGCTATATCTCCTGAAATCTCATTATGTGAATACACACCTTTATGCATCAAAGACCCAATGTGAATTTTTATGTAGATTTTGGAGCCACTTCTCTGTAACTCTCTCCTAATACCCTACCCCTCAAATCCCAGTCACCATTGTAACTCCTAAAACCAGTCTCTGTTTTCCCTGAGAGCAAGAATTTTGCTTTCTGCTAGGGCTGTATGCTCCCATACAGTGGTTTGAAAATTGCTTTTTGGGGGAAATCCAGAGTGAAGGCAGGGTGTAGGTCATGTGTTTTCCTTATCTCAGGGATATCAGCCTTGCATTAGTTGCTGCTCACTTTCTGCAAACACTCGTTTAAATTTTTTCCATATTTTATATATGTTTTGGTGGGTGGACAAGTCTAACATAAGCTACTTAATCATGGCCAAATCTTAAAGTGAGGCATAAAGTGTTTTTATTGTATTTATTTATTTATTTTTTAGAGACAGGGTCTCACTCTGTCACCCAGGCTGGAATGCAGTGGCATATCATAGCACACTGCAGCCTTAAACTCCTGGGTTCAAGTGATTCTCCTGCTTCGGCCTCCTGAATAACTGGGACTACAGGCAGGCACCACCATGCCTAGCAAATTTTTTAACTTTTTGTGGAGACGAGGTCTCCATATGTTGCCCAGGCTTGTCTCGAACTCCTGGCCTCAAGTGATCCTCCTGCCTAAGCCTCCCAAAGTGCTGGGATTATAGGCATGAGCTACCACACTAGCCCATAAAGTTCTTAAGCACAGAATTAATCCTCATGATCCATTTATTTGCTCTTTTATATCCTCGCTCCTCTCTTTCCATACCTTACTAACTGTAACATAATAAAAGCATGTTTCTAACAGATAATTTCCACAAATAACTATAATCCTGCTATTTAAAAACTCAACATACTATCATCCTAGAGAAGAAAATCTATAACATAGTGACAGTAGGAATGCCAACTAATAACAAATTGGTGTTTAGACTTCTTACCTTCTGTAAGGCTCATGAAAGAAATATGTATTCATAATTGTCCAATTTCTTAAACGCAACCTTATGGAAAGACAGAATCAGGGTAAAGACAAACACTAAGAACAACGCACAGTGGAGACATAAACAGAGTTCTTAGATTAAGATACAGGTAGGGGCTAGCAGAATTCACACTGTTTCCCAGATTCCCTATCCCGTGAAGGGACACTTTGTCCAAGTACAGCCAGACATACTTCAGTTTTGTTTGAGGAAAGAAACTCTGATTTGTCTCCTAATATTTACAGAGGGGTTGGGAATAAGGAGGAAACATCCACAATGAGTAGAAAGAGTCTTGATCTTTGCAATTGGAGTGTCATTGACATCTACTCTCAGATACCAATTGCTCAATAAGTTTGAATAGCCAGCTGTTTTCAACTAAAGACCATGATGCTCTCCTGGATGAGCCAATGAGTCTATATGATGAAGAAAACCATGTTGTCTCTTTGCAGACAGTAAGTAACTACCTATAGGTTATTATTTCAAGCTTATCATGAAGGGTTTTTTTTGTTTGTTTTTTTGTTTTTTGTTTTTTTTTCTGAGATGGAGTCTCGCTCTGTTGCCAGGCTGGAGTGCAGTGGTGTGATCTTGGCTCACTGCAATCTCTGCCTCCTGGGTTCAAGTGATTCTCCTGCCTCAGCCTCCCAAGTAGCTGGGATTACATGCACATGCCATCATACCCAGCTAATTTCTGTATTTTTAGTAAAGAGGGCATTTCACCGTGTTGGCCAGGCTGCTCTCTATCTCCTGACCTCATGATCTGCCCGCCTCGGCCTCCCAAAGTGCTAGGATTACAGGTGTGAGCCCCCACGCCTGGCTCATAAAGGGTTTTTTCTAGCAGGGCCTTTGTTTATGGTTAAAATACAAATACAGTACATCTAGGAGAGGTATCACAGATTAGTCAGTTACATTTCAGAATGATGTTTTTAAAGACTCCTTTTCTGATAACTTATTTTGATAGTTAAGAGAGAGTAGAATCAAAAGCTGTGGGTTGTGAAAGGTAAATAGGAAAAGGAGCAAAAAGAAAGAAGAAAGAAGTTTGGAGGCTTGAGGAAACAGCTTCAGATTTAGCAATTTGGGCTCCTGCTTATAAATCTTCATGTCCGTATTGATATGTTACTAACAGCATATTGGTACATTAGTATAAGTGGTATTATACATCTCACTTAAAACAGTGGTCTTCAATCTTCAGCTACACAGAATCACCTACAGAGGTTTTATAGCTCCAGATGTCCTAGGTACACCCCAAACCAATTACATTAGAGACCCTAGAGATGGGGCCCAGGCAGTAGTGGTTGTTAAATCTCCACAGGTGATTCAAATATGTAGCCAAGCTTGCGAATCACTGACATGTTCTCTTGGCTTCTGCTCTCTTTCATAACAATAAAGCATCAGCTAGACAATCCCTGAGCATTCTTTCCAGTCCAAGTTCTTCAATTCTGTGATAATGCATGAAAAATTTCCCTTTTCTTTCACTGCTCGCAAAACTGAAGCAAATCCACTGAGTTATTTTCTGCTTTGGCTTTGTGACTTAGGTAAATACAAATGTTCTCCAAAGTTTATATTGTTTCATAAGATGTTTTCCATCCCTGCTCACCTAGACATTCATCAGAGGGAAGGGGGAAACAGCTATTAGCTGTCCAAAGAAAAGCATAAGTCTAACACGAAACATATTATAAAAACAAACACTTTACAAGTGGGATGAGCCCTTTTTGTAAACACAGGAAACACCTGCTTATTGATGCTTTGCTATTGTGGAAGTTTTGTGTAAGTGTTTTCATAATTACAGATTCATATTCCATATATGTTAAGCAAAACTGTTTGCATGACTCATTTGGAAAAGACTTTGAAGTCTCTTGCTTAAGACCTAACAGTGCTCTCTTCTCTTCCTTTCTCTCTCCCCTAGAAGAGATGCCTAATGAGAAACGCCAAGATTGGCCACATGAGCTTTCACAGAGAGGCTCTGGGAAGGAGAAAGCCTGGAAGTCAGGCCCATCTGCACAGCACACTCACCTGCTGTGAGTCATTCAGTCCATGTCAGGCATTTTTTTCCCACAGCTCTTCCTACCTCACAGATGTGATATTAAAGAGCTATATAATGTGTAAGACACTCCAAGGTACTGTGAAGCAAGAAATGAAATAAATATAGGATCTTTACCTTGCCAAAAAGCAACATCTCAGAATTTGCCAAGCCACCTGCTAAGGTCAAGTCATTTGTCATCTGAAGCAAACTGCCTCTATTAAAGACAAATGGCATAATATCCACAGCCCCCTCCCCAGGAAACCTTCAATATGGTTCACTTATATTCTCCTTAAACATAGCTGCATATTCAGACCTTCTCAACCTTGAGCATATCTTTGTTCCACCAGCAAGATCCTCTGCCTTTTTTTCTGCCCTGTCTCCACTTTTCCCTCTACCCCCACTCCTCACTATGGAAATACAATACATCATTCAAGTTCCCGTTTAATTAATAGCAGCTACTTTATTGAGCACGTTCCAGGAACTTAGCTGAATGCTTTTCATGCATTTGTTTACCTAATTCTTCCAACATATCTACAAAATAAGTTTTATTAAGCCAGTTGACTCAAAGACAATCAAAACTCAAAGAGGGAAAATAACTTGCTCAAGATCACAAAACCAAGATTCAAACCCAGGCGTATCTTGCTCCAAAGCTGATTCTATTACCCACTACATTGCACTGTCACTCTTTCCATAGAAGGGTGAAAACTTTCTTGATGACTCTACCATGCAGCAATTTCTCCCCAGTTGAAATCAAGCTCCCCTCCAGTATATGTTTTTACATGTTGCGTAGTCTTGGTCACTATTTTATATTGCTATTTAATTTAAAATGAATGTTTTGTTTCTTTCCCTAAGTATATTACAAGCCTATTAAAGCCACAGAACTATTCAAAGTGCCTAACACAATGCACTTACATTCTGTAGGCACATACAAAAACTGGTCTTATTTTCAGTTGTGGTATATGCTTTTGTTACCCTTTTATCACCTAGCACATTGCTATGTACAGTAGTCTAACCAAGACAATAAATCCTTCCCATTTGTGTAGAGCACAGATGGAGGAATTAAATAACAAGACATGAGGTGAAGAAGACTAGTAAAGGTGTAATTGAAGATGAACCTATCTATCTACTTTTGGGTCATCTTGGGTTATGATTTTAATGTTGATAGCTATCAGAACTTAAGAAGCATTTCTTTTTTATAATGCACAGAATACCAAAATACTGATATTAGACAGTATTCCATATTTGCATAAATTATAATTTCTAATCAGTTATTAATATTTACTAGTGTCTGTGCAGAATGTTTATCAATATGTCATAGCACAAAAGTAGAAACAAGCACAAAATAAATTAACACAGTATTTTACATTTTAAGAATAATCAGCCAGGTGCGGTGGCTCATGCCTATAATCCTAACATTTTGGGAGGCCGAGGCAGGCAAATCACTTGAGGTCAGGAGTTCAAGATCAGCCTGGCCAACATGAGAAACCTCTGTCTCTATTAAAAATACGAAAATTAGCTGGACATGGTGGCACACACCTGTAATCCCAGCTACTCAGGAGGCTGAGGCAGGAGAATCACTTGAACCCAGGAGGCAGAGGTTGCAGTGAGCCGAGATTGTGCCAATGCACTCCAGCCTGGGCAATAAAGCAAGACTCCATCTCAAAAAATACAATTTTTTAAAAAAAAAAGAATAATGAACACAAGATCTTTCTATGCAAAGCGATTTGGTAAATTAAGAAAAATATTTAGAAAAGTCAGAAAGAAAAACACTCTAGCCAGGCAAACTTAGAAAACTAAGGGAAAACTTTTAGAGCTTGATTAAGTAGATAATTACTTAAGATGAAAGAGTAAATTATATAAAAGAGAACTTATTGGTGAATAAAAATAAATCTGATTCTAAGAGATAAGAATAACTGGCATGCAGGAGATACTGACTCACAAAGCTTCCTGTACCAACCAGAGTATCATTTTTTCAAATAGGAGAGGAGTGAATGTTATGCACTGTGGCTTAATAGTGTGCATGAAATTACTCTGATGCTCATTTTTCTGATTCCAAGACTCTTGACTAAGAATGTTCAAGCTCTTATTTGAGACCATAAAATAGAATATGAAAATAAATAACTTGAAATAGAGAGGCAGGCATCTCAGCGAGTAGCCCATATGCACTCACCCCTAAACCAGTCCCGAGTACCTCCTCAGTAACACACCCTCTTCAGCGTGCTAGAAATATGAAGCCAGTACATGACACAGGAAGACTGGAATATGATATTTATCTTACTCTTGTCTACTGTTTAATGTGTAAGAGTGTAAAGGGTATTCTTCCCTTATTTATGAGTTTGTTTCCCTTTGTGTAGAATGTAGTATAAGTCCATCATATATAATATATAAGTGTGATGTATACATATATGCATTTTCATGCTGTTAAACATTATTTCTAAACATGATTAATGATGGCTGCCTTGTCTACTGTTTTAGTGTGTGAGAGTGTAAAGAGTATTCTTCCCTTATTTATGAATTTGTTTCCCTTTGTGTAGAATGAGGTAATATCTACTTACTTTCCTTCAAAGTTCTCAGGAATGACTCATGAAAAAGGTTCTTCAATTTAGCCAGTACACTAAAATGTTTTCAATAACAAATAATTTCCTTTATGCCTGTAGAACATTTCATCTGCATATAACTACAATTTGGACTCTCAGTACACATTTTCTATTTCTTGCTAATGCCCATGAGACTTTCAGGAGTTAGAACTATAGGTTCTACCATTTCCTGGCCTTTCTGTATCTATAGATTTTCTAGTCATGTGATCTTACAGTCACCTTAGTTTAGTGAAGGTAGCTCCAGACATGGCGTCAAATGACCCATGTTCAAATTTCAGCTATGCTTTTCATTGTTAGCCTTGTGACCTGGACTAAACCAAGCATCTCCCCGAGTCTCAGCATCTTTTCTATAAAGAGGAGAAACAATACCTGCCTGCACTTACCCATAGGATTGTAATGAGACTCAAGATGAAAACTATGCAAAAATGCTGCATAAATCACATCTCTGTAGCAGGAATTTTCTTGCTATTTTTAGTTGCTTGCAACCCTTTTTTCCCTATTAGCGAGCAATAGCTACTATCAAAATTTTCATTGGTTTTCTTCTGGTCTTTAGTTTCTACAGTACGTATATATGTGTTTATGTATGTATAGATGTACTTTGTAAAATATAGTATTTTATTGTAATACAATTATGTATTATAATAGTTTTATCCTACTTTTACAAAATGTATTTTATAATACACATGCAATTTTATATATTTTATAATGTATTATGGTAAAATTATGTATTATACGTGCATATATAATGACATATGTGTATATATATGTCCCTAGATTAATAAAAGTTCTTCCAAATAACAGCTTTGTATAAGTCCATCATATATAATATATAATAAAGTGTGATATATACATACATGCATTTTCATGTTGTTAAACATTATTTCTAAACCTGGTTAATGATGGCTGCCTTAAAAATATGGTGAGTTTTTTTTTTATTCTACCATACAAGTAAACTATAATTTATTTGATCATTCCCTATTTTTAACTCATTAGGAATACTTTTTCCCAGGTTTTCCCAGGTTTTCCCAGTTTTTTGTTTTGGGTTTATTTGTTGTTGTTGTTGTTGATGATGATGATGATGGTACTGGGTTTATTTGCTATATAACAATACTGTAGTAAATGTATCTGTGCAAAAATCTCTGATTCCATGGGGGAGATTTCTAGAACTGAAATCACTGGATCAAAGATATGGAGTTTTCTGAGTCCCTTTCTAACATACTGTCAAATTCTGTTTCTGAAGCATTGTACTATACAACGTAAAATGCAATCAATGTTACAGTAACCTTGTCAGAATTGTTACCTATTTCAATCATTACTAATGTCACAGGCCAAAAATAATGTATCTTTATTATTTATGTTTATGTGATTATTAGTGAAGTTGAAAACTTGTCATGTTTATTGATTTTAATTATCTCTGCCTAGAATTATCTCTTCTCATTCTTGCTCCAATTTCAATATTTTCCTTATTATGTGTCATTTACACTTCAGTGAGATTAATTTCTTTATTTTTCTTATAAAATTTTTCAAATTTGTCATCTGTGTTGTAACATTGCTTATGATTTTTTTATATTGTGTTTTAAATTTATGTTTTTTGAAATCAAATTCACTAGCCATTTTCTTCCATTGCTTTCTTTTTATGCTTTGTGAATTAAGTAAAGGGAATTCCTACTGCATCCATATATCTATTCATTCTTTTACTAAAAACCAGTCCCTATGTTCAAAGATTTAGCAATCTAGAATAAAGTTAAAGCTGAAGATGCTGACTGTTGCCATTCTGCTAGGAAGCCAGTTTGAAACCATCAGCCAAGAGATTATTAAGTATTTCTGGTACAGGAGGAGTTGGCACCAACCCAGACATAGCTCTATTTATAGGCAGCACAGATACCTCCTGTGCTGTGGCTTTTAGCCAATGCTGAGGACCCAGAAGTTCTAACACTTGTAAAGCACGTCTGTACCAGTGATCGTATAAGTCAGAGGGGGTCAGGCTCAGGGCTAGTTGATACCTGGGGAACGATGAGAACAGAGAATAGGACACCACTACCAGAATCAGCTCTACTGGAGGAGAGTAGTTTGCAAATGTCTAGCATGCAGAAATTGTAATTAGAAAGATGAGTCTAAAAGCAATTCATGACCTTCCAATTCTAAGGTCCTCTCTCTCACTGTTCTCTGGCTGTATTCAACTCTATGCTGAGTAAGGACAAGCCTCTTGTTTGCCTTATATTTAAATTCTACACTCCTGTCTTTAGAAATACCCCTGGACAGGCAAACTTGCTTCCTCAGCAGCAGGAAGATTAATCATGGCTAGTAACAATAATACTTAACATCAATTAAGCTATTTTTATAGTCCAGACCCTGTTCTAAGCCTTTAATATTCATCAACCCCTTCAAACTCTTTGCACTTATAAGAACTATAATTTTCTCTATTTTATAGTTAAAGAAACTGAAGCATGGAGAAGTTAAGTAGCTTGTCCAAGGTTGAGCCAAGACTTGAAACCAGACAGCCTGGTTCCAGAGTTGGCACCCTTATGATATTCTATGTTATTCTGTATTAATGTAATGCAAATTTTGAGAATAAGTGTTTATTTTAATTTATGTATGTGGAAAGACATATACATATATTTATATATATGAAAAGATATATAAATATTATGCCCTTGGATATCTATCTTTACTTATTCTGGTCAATGGAGGGGGAGGGTTAGAAATTAATTAAATAATTCTTGGATTGTCCAGGCCTCTGACGTTCCCACCTTCTGATGCTTGCATCAGAAAACAGAAGGGAACAAAGGAAAAAAACACACATGGCAATTTTGCTACAGTTTGAAGTTAGTTCTGCTTGGAGTTGGCTTTAAAGGGACAAGAGAACGGATATACTGGTCAAAGTAACATCAGTTTTATGTAACCACCCAGTCATCACAGGTGCTTCCGTTGGTACCAGCTTAGAGCTGAACAGTGGAGGGTGCAGAGTGTGTATGGGTAAATTCCCAAGAAGAACACAATTTTAGCCATCTCTGAGTGAACTTTGCCAGATGGCAAAGTTGTTATTGGGTTGTGGTGTCATTGTATTGTTCTTGGGAATTCACCCATACACAGTCTGCACCCTCCACTGTTCAGCTCTAAGCTGTTACCAAGGGAAGCACCGGTGATGGACACTTATCCCTATAATCCCTTTCTCTTCCCACCCAGTACCCCGCACAGACTCGAGCTTTCTCGTGGCTGCTGTTTCAGAAATATTCATGGCCAATTCGCTGCTCGAAGCCTCACACAGTGAGCAGGAGAGGTGACTCCTGCCATCAATTTGCCTCTCGTCGTCTCATTCCCGCCACTCTATCCTCCACAGCACTGCTGGTATTTTCCGTTTGTGAATTTAATCACATTCCTTCCATTAAAATTATCCTGTAGGCTGGGCGCAGTGACTCATGCCTGTAATCTCAGCATTTTGGGAGGCCGAGGAGGGCAGATCACTTGAGGTCAGGGGTTCAAGACCAGCCTAGCCAACATGGCAAAACCCTGTCTCTACCAAAAATACAAAAATTAGCTGGGCCTCATGGCGGGCACCTGCAATCCCAGCTACTTGGGAGGCTGAAGCAGGAGAATCGCTTGAACCCACGAGGCAGAGGTTGCAGTGAGCCAAGATAGTGCCACAGCACTCCAGCCTGGGCAACAGAGTGAGACTCTGTCTCAAATAATAAATAATAAAATAAAATAAAATAAAATTCTCCTGTAGATTCTCATCTCCTGTGGGATAGAATCTAACCTCCCCGACACAGGATACAAGACCCTTGAGGCTCTAGCTTCACCTCCCCCACCCTTGAGGTTTGCATTCTAAGCTTCACAACCTTCTTGTAAGTCCTCAAATATGCTTTGCTATCCCACAGTTCTGTGTCTTTGCCTAGTCTGTTTCTCTCCTGGAGTATCCCCCACCGTCCAACACCCACGTGAACATACACTTTATATGATTTACATCTTTGGATCTCATTTTAACTTCTGCCTCCTATGTGAAGCCTCTCTCACTGCATCAGCCTACTTTATGTCATTCAGAAAAACTAATTGTGTTCCAAACCTGCCTCCCATGTGCATGTATCACCTTGTGTGCTAGTTGCTTGTGTATCTGTCTCCCACTTAGATTGTGATCTCCTTAAAGAGGGGACTATAATTTCCACCTTTGCAAATGGCATTTAATAAATATGTATTTATTGGAAGGTAGATGAATGGATGGCTCAAAGAAAGAATGGATAAATAGTATCATTTACACAGTGATAATTGCTTACATTTGTATTCTTTAAAATTAGCAAAAACACCAGTTTATATAATCTCACTTAAACGTGACAACAAATCTCTGAGATAGGTATTACTGTCAATTTACATTTAAGGAAACAGATTCAGAAAGGTTAAGACACTTGCCAGAGGTCACACACTTTTGGTCATACCAAAATCATAAAAATGATTTAAATGTATTCATTTACTGGTCCATAAATTTATAGAGTTTTACAGCTGGAAGACTTCCCTAGTCAATCCCTTTTATTGGAACCATGAAAAACTGAGGCCCAGAGACTTAAACAATTTCTCAAATTTGCACCACTTATTAGTGGCAGACTCACAGCTGGTAAAAAAAAAAATGCTTTATGGCTCTTAATTCTAATTTTCTAGGTTCATAAATCTAGGCTCTTACACTCACTGACTGTAATGATTTTAAAAAAATTGCTTAACCTCTCTGTGTCTGTTTCCTATAGTGATAAATGGGGCTAATAATAGTACCTACCTAACAGGCTTGTTATAATGATTTAAATGAGATAATCCATGGGAAACTCTTACAAGAGTGTCTGATCATTGTGAGTGCTTTAAAAATGTTAGCTATTAATCTTCATCATTTTACTCGGGTTGGTTCTGCCTCCTCCATAAATCAAGAGCATTAAAGAGGTGCTAGTATAGTGATAGCAGTCACATTCAAGGGAAAGAAATCTTTTGACTCATAGGCCTGACATTTATATTCATTACATTTTTTTGTTTCACAAATATTTGCTAATAAAATGATTAAAAGAAACTGAGTAAATCTCCTAAAATAAAAATAATAGCCTTGAATCCCAACTCTACCGACAAACTGTTCTGTAATATTAAAAAGGGCTGGTTCATGCCTTTGGGTTTAGAAATTGATGATGTCATTCTTAATGGAATTGGTGAGAGATTGAAGAGTGTTCATTATTTAATGACTGTAATGGGCTCTGAAAGCCTTCTGCAATTCATGTGACTTACAATGCCAAGCCATCAAAATCAAAATCAAAAGGAAAAATAAAATTACCCTGGAAGTCATTATTTCCATGAGTCAGAGAAAAACTAACTTCTACATAATTTACCTCACACATAGTTTCCAAATCATATCCACCAATTTGAGTTTGTAACATATTTTTACCCAAATTACCTAGATTCACCTCAATTCAGTACTCTATCTCGGTGAAATGAACCAGAATCAGATCTAAGGTGGGACAAGTTACTTTCTTCAGGGGCTCCATAAAAGTCACAGTTTGGCCAAACCCATCTATAGCAGTGTTTCTCAACTTTTTTTTTTCATCATCATTCCCTTAAAGATCTTTTTTTGATTTTTTTCCTAATGCCCTTCCATGCAAATTTAATACCACAGATATACCTTGTACCAGATTACTTATTTTATATATACATATATATATATGCTTTATACATAAAAAGTAAGAGTCATATTTTGCCCAGCCATGAACCTAAAGGAAGTTTTTATATCTGAGGATTTGCTCCCTATGGACATTTCAAAATAACTGACTAAGTAGAATAGTAGAGATCTAGGTAATTAAGCTTTGCTCTATGTTTTGGAAGATGATTTTTCTCTTTCTAAAGTTAAAACAAAAGATTTTAATTTAGACAAAATCATTTTAAATTCAAAGCTATGGATTTTCTTTTTGGAGTTAATGTAATCCCAAACAATGATAATTGGGCTTTGTGTCATTTTGTGAAAATGCTTTTGCACATTTTATGTGTCCTCCAGTGTCACAGAGTAGCATTTTATTCATTTTGATGATATAATCTTTTATTTAGACAATGCTTGTACACAGAAAAAATGTTACACTATGAGAAGATTAGAGACAGCCAAGCATAATTCCAAGTAGACCACTCAGTCCCTCCACTCAGTCCCTAAAACAGACTTTCATTCATAGCCAAAAGAAGCCCACGTCATCCATTACTTTATTGTCTTTAAGGAGCTTAAGGACCACCCATGTAAGCTTCCCTTTCATATCCCATACATGTCTTGACATCTTTGTGGAGGTCATCATCTTTCATCAGCCCACCTGATGTCCCCACATGGGGGAGGCCTCATTATGCAGCAGCCCTGCCATTTTAAAATTATGAATTATGTACAAATTACATAGATTTCACAAGTCTTCCAGTGCTATGAAATTAGGGATAACAAACCTTTTTCTGGGAGGTGTTTTGCTTCTAGAGCCCAAATTATTAAGCAAACTTAATCAAATCTTTGGCAGTTTTTGTGCATCATTTTCCTCTTCTTCTGAAATAGAAACAATAGAAGTCCTAGATGGAGCAATCAGGCAAGACAAAGAAATAAAA